>NC_000010.11:67870368-69120368 GCF_000001405.40 Homo sapiens | reverse complement strand
ATCTTTTTGCCCATTTTTTTCTATTGTGAACAAAGTGCTACTATGTACACGCCTTTTTTGTGAACCTAACCGAAGTGGAATTGCTGGGTTGGGTTAGGTGTATATTTAATTTTACAAGAAAATGCCACATCACTTTTTAAACTGTTTGTGCCATTTTATCCTCCCATCACGAGTGTGTGAAATATTGTTTCTATATCCTTGCTAACATTTGGTGTTGTCAGTGTTTCTAACATTAGTCATTCTTATGAGTGTGTGGTTTTCTCACTGTGATTTTAATTTGCTTTTCCCTGATGATTAATGATTCTGAACACTTTTTCATGTGCATATGTATCATTCACATATACCTCCCTTTGGGAAGTGCCTGTCAAGACTGCCAATTTTTAGTTAAGATGTTTATTTTCTCATTGAGTTATAGTTTATCAAATATTTTGAATATAAGTCCTGTATCAAATGTAGTAATTGCAAATATTTTCTCCCACTCTGTGTGCTTATTTACTTTCCTAACAATGTCTGTTGATGACTTGAGAATTTGGACTTTTACATTTAGGTGTAAAATGTAAAATGAGATCCATCTCAAACTAAATTTTGCAAATAGTATGGGGTAAGATTTGAGAGCTTATTTGTGTCTACATGGTTCCAGCACCATTTGTTGCAAACACTTACCTTTCCCCCTTAAATATCTTTGGTGTTAGCCGGGCGCGGTGGCTCATGCCTGTAATCCCAGCACTTTGGGAGGCTGAGACAGGTGGATCACCTGAGGTGAGGAGTTCAAGACCAGCCTGGCCAGTATGGTGCAACCCCGTCTGTACTAAAAAATGCAAAAATTAGCTGGGTGTGGTGGTGCGTGCCTGTAATCCCAGCTACTCAGGAGGCTGAGGCAGAAGAATCATTTGAGCCTGGGATGCAGAGGTTACAGTGAGCCAAGATTGGGCCATTGCACTCTAGCTTGGGCAACAGAGTGAGACTCTATCTCAAAAAAAAAAAAATATATATATATATATATGTATATATATATATGTATATATATATATACATATATATATGTCTGTATAGATAGATAGATATATCTTTGGTGTTTTTGTAAAAAATCTATTGACTGTATAATTGTGGGCCTATTTCTGAAATTTCTAGTCTTTTCCATTGATCTGTTTGTCTATATTTATGCAATACTACACTGTCTTCAATACAATAGCTTTATAGTAAACCTTGAAGTAAGGTACTGTAATTATTCCAACTTGTTATTTTTCAAAAATGCATTGGCTATTCTAAGTTCTTGTATTCCAACATACATTTATAAATTGTGAATCCACTTCTCCAAAAAAAAAAAATCTACTGCTTGGAAATGGTTTGAACCTACACCTTAATTTGGGGAAAATTGGTGTCTTAACAATATTGGGCCTTGCAATCCATGAATATGGTGTATTTATCTATTTTTCTAAATAAGTAGAGAAAACAGCTTTAATTTCTTTTGGCAATGTTTTGTAGTTTTCAGTACCTTTCATATCTTTTGTTAAATTTTTTTCTAAGCATTTATTTTTTGACACTATTGTAAATTGTATTAATTTTTTTTTTTTATTTTCTGGCCTGGTATGGTGGCTCACACCTGTAATCCCAGCACTTTGGGAGGCCGAGGCAGGAGGATTGCCTGAGCCCAGGAGTTCAAGACAAGCCTGGGCAACATGGCAAGACCCCGTCTCTATACCAAATTTAAAATTTTGTTTTAAAAAAATATTTTCTAATTGTTCATTGCTTGTGCATGTGTTTGTGTGTGACTTTTCTACAATAACTTGGTATCTTGAAACCTTGCTAAATTTCTCTGATAATTTCTTCCCATCTTTTCCTCTCCTCTTTCATCCTGGGTCTTCTATTAGTTGCATATTGGAATTCCTGAATTGATTATGTCATTTTCTTATCTCTTCTTTTCTATTTTCCATCTAGTTGTCTCTTTGTTCTCCTTTCTAAATAATTTCTCCAATTTTATGTTCCAACTCTTATGATTTTTTTTTGAAATGACTGTGTTATAGTAGCCAGCCTCCAAGATATTCCCCGATGATCCTTGCCTTCCAGTATTTACACTCCTTTGTAGTCCCTTCTCAAATGTTGTCAACACTGGTCTGTGTGACCAACAGAATAAAATGGAAGTGATGTGTGTGACTTTCACGGCTGCTTCTGACTTGCTTTCTCTTGGGTCACTCATTCTGGGAGAAGTCCAATGGAGAGGTCCACATAGTGAGGAACTGAGATCACCTGGAAATAGCCAGAACTAACTTGCCAGCCATGTGAGTGAGCCATCTCAGAAGCTAATCCTCCTGCCCTCATTAACTCTTCAGGTGACTGCAGCCTCAGCTGACAAATTGACTGCAATTTCATGAAAATCTCCTTAACAGAACCACCAAGGTAATCCTCTCTCAAATTTCTGATCCAAAGAAACTATAAAATTTTGAAATGTTCATTATTTACTAATATTTATTGCCACTAAGGGGTGTGTGTGTGTGTGTGCGTGTTTGAGACGAACTCTTGTCCCCCAGGCTGAAGTGCAATGGCATGATCTTGGCTCACTGCAACCTCTGCCTCCTGGGTTCAAGTGATTCTCCTGCCTCAGCCTCCCGAGTAGCTGGGACTACAGGCACCCAGCACCACGCCCGGCTAATTTTTGCATTTTTAGTAGAGATGGGGTTTCACCATGTTGGCCAGGCTGGTCTCGAACTCCTGACCTCAAGTGATCTGCCCACCTCAGCCTCCCAGAGTGCTGGGATTACAGGCGAGAGCCACCTCACCCGGCCTGGAGACAGTTTTGATTGTCGAGTTCTAGGGGGGAAAGTGCTACTGGGCAAGTAATGAGTAGAGATCAGAAAAGCTGTAAACATCCTATAATCCACAGAATAGCCTCCCTACAACAAAGATATACCCTGTCAAAAATGTCAATAGCCAGGCGCAGTGGTATGGACTTGTAGTCCCAGATACTCAGCAGGCTGAGGCAGGAGAACCACTTGAACCTAGGAGCTTTGGACCAGCCCGGGCAACATAGTGAGTCTCTAGCTCTAAAAAATAAATAAATAAATAAATGTCAATAATGCCAAAGCTGAGAAACCTTGGTTTGGTATGCATAAACCTAGGAAGACAAATAGGGTTCTGAAAGATCAACTGTATTAATATTTTCAACAGTGACCCAACTGGTAAAGCAGACAACGTGCTGAGGGAATGGAGACAAAAAGCTTCTGCAAAATCAGCCATTCCCAACCCTTTGCTATCTTAGCATTTTATCATTATTATAGATTTGAAAAAACATCTATAATGTAAAATGTATTATAGTTATTTGTGTTTTATCCACTAAATTGTGAGTAGTCTTAACTGTTAATCCCTGGTGGCTTGGTCCTCAGCAGGTTTTTGTTGATTGTATAATATCAGATAGGAAAATTGGCTACTAATTAGACTATTGCTTAAAAGTACAAATTGGAAGAAGTTTTTAACCCTTTGCCCACAACCCCCCCCCCAAAAAACTCTGTAATTATGGTAAATAATTGATTGAAAAATAGAACCCAAAAGGTAAAAGGGTAAGAATTTGAAAACCTACACAAGGCCAGGCACGATGGCTCACGCCTGTAATCCCAGAACTTTGGGAAGCCAAAGTGGGAGGATCACTTGAGGCCAGGAGTTTGAGGCCAGCCTGGACAACATGATGAGAGCCTGTCTCAAAATATATATATAATATATAGAGAGAGAGCCAGGCATGGTGGCACATGCCTGTAGTCCTAGCTACTTGGGAGGCTAAGGCAGGAGGATCGCTTGAGGCCAGGAGCTCAAGGCTGCTTAAGCCTGGGAGGTGGAGGTTGCAGTGAGCTATGATCGCACCACTGCACTCCAGACTGGGTGGACTGGGTGACAGAGCGAGACTTTGTCCCTCACAAAAAACAAACAAACAAACAAACAAACAACACACACACACACACACACACACACACACACACACACACAAAACCCTAGCCTAGGCAACACAACAAGACCCTGTCTTTACCAAAAATACAAAAGAAAAAACAGCTGGGTGTGGTGGCGTGCACCTGTGGTCCCAGCTACTTGGGAGGCTGAGGTGGGAGGCTTGCTTGAGCCCAGAAGTTGGAAGCTACTGTGAGCTGAGATCACACCACTGTACTCCAGCCTGGGTAACAGAGCCAGATCATGTCTCAAAATCAAAAAAAAGCTATACATTTTATATACTATTTCTTCTATGTGGCTGATAATATTTACTTCCATCTATCTAGGTTGGTACAAAAGTAATATTTACTTCCAGCTATCTAGATTGGTGCAAAAGTAATTGCAGTTTTGGACTGTGAATTTTATTTTATTTTATTTTATTTAGATGGAGCCTCCCTCTGTTACCCAGGCTGGAGTGCAGTGGCATGATCTTGGCTCACTGCAACCTCCACCTCCTGAGTTCAAGCGATTCTCCTGCCTCCGCCTCCCAAGTAGCTGGGATTACAGGTGCCCACGACCAAGTCCAGCTTATTTTTTCTACTTTTAGTAGAGATGGGGTTTCACTGTGTTGGCTACACTGGTCTCAAACTCCTGACCTCAAGTGATCCTCTTCCCTTGGCCTCCCAAAGTGCTGGGATTACAGGTGTGAGCCACTGCAGCCAGCCTGGACCATGAATTTTAAATCATTATAACTAGGCTCAAATTCATCTTTATTAATCAAAATAGGAACGATTACAATCAATACAATTTGGCCAATGAGAAATAAGTTTGTATTCCTGTAGTGTAAAAATCCGTGCTTTTGGATTTGATGAACTCTTGGAAAACATTTTCTGCATTCTACTGGTTGTGGAAGCGTTTTCCCTGCAAAAAGTTGCCGAGATGCTTGAAGGAGTGGTAGTCAGTTGGCAAGAAGTCAGGTAAATATGGCGGATGAGGCAAAACTTCGTAGCCCAATTCATTCAACTTTTGAAGCATTGGTTCTACGACCTGCACTTGGGCGTTCTTATGGAGCAGAACTGGGCCTTTCTGTGGACCTATGCCGGCTGCAGGAGTTGCAGTTTTCGGTGCATCTCATCAACAATTTGCTGAGCATACTTCTCAGATGTAATTGTTTCACTGGGATTCAGAAAGCTGTAGTGGATCAGACTGGCAGCAGTGACCATGCCCTTTTTTTGGTGCAAGTTTGGCTTTGGGAAGTAATTTGGAGCTGCTTCTCTGTCCAACCACTGAGCTGGTATTCGCCGGTTGTTGCATAAAATCCATTTTTTTTGTCGCACGTCACAATCCGATCAAGAAATGGTTCATGTTGTTGCGTAGAATAAGGGAAGACAACACTTCAAAACAACGTTTTTGATTCTCGCTCGCTCATAAGGCACCCACTTATCGGGCTTTTTTACCTTTCTAATTTGCTTCAAATGCCGAACGACCTGTAGAATGGTCGATGTTGAGTTTTTCAGCAACTTCTTGTGTAGTTGTAAGAGGATCAGCTTCAATGATTGCTCTCAATTGGTCATTGTCAAATTCCCATGGCCGGCCACTACGCTTCTCATCTTCAAGGCTCTCATCTTTTTTGCAAAACGTTTTGACCACCACTGCACTGTACGTTTGTTAGCAATTCCTGCGCCAAATGGGTTGTTGATGTTGCGAGTTGTCTCTGCTGCTTTAAGACCTGTTTTGAACTCGAATAAGAAAATAGCTTGAATTTGCTTTTGTCTTAACATTATTTCCGTAGTCTAAAATAAACATAAAATAAACAGCAAGTAATAAGTCACTAGCACAAAAACATAAAACAAGAAGTGCCCATTAAAATGATGTATAACATAACCATATTTATTTAAGAATGCATTCCAATATCAAACAGCAAATTCCAACAATGCAAAAACCGCAATTACTATTGCACTCACATAATACCTTCCTTAGTGCCAGGCAAGACTAACATGTTACATTCACTCTCATTCAAACCCTGTTAGACTAAGCTCAAGGACAAATGCCATCTGATGTGTACTTGTTTCCCTCTGTATTCCCATCACCTAGCACATAGATAATCTTATGAAATAGCATGTGTAGTTTTGTGTAGTTTTTAAAATTCTTACTCTTAAATTTTTTTAAGTTGTGTAGGTTTTTAAATTCTTACTCTTTTACGTTTTGGGCTCTATCTGTCAATCAACACACATTTTCATGATTACAATTTTTTAGGGGCTTACTATTTGCCAAACACTGAGCTAACTATATTGTATACATTGCCTCATTTAATCTTCACCACAACCCCTTGGGCAAGTATTGTTAACCTATAGTACAAGTAGTGATAATAGCTCATGTTTATTGATCAGTTGCTCAATGGCATTGTCTCTAGCACTTTACATGTATTAATTTGTTTAATCTTTTTAACAAACCTACAAAGTAGGTACTATCATTATCCTCACCTTAAAAAGGAGGAAACTGAGGTATAGAGAGGTTAGGTAACTCATCTAAGCTTATCTAGTTGGTAAGTGACAGAACTTTTTTTTGTATGTGTGACGGAGTCTCGCTCTGTCACCATGCTGGAGTGCAGTGGCATGATCTCGGTTCACTGCAACCTCCAACTCCCTGGTTCAAGCGATTCTCCTGCCTCAGCCTCCCAAGTAACTGGGATTACAGGCACGTGCCACCACACCCGGCTAATTTTTGTATTTTTAGTAGAGATGGGGTTTCACTATGTTGGCCAGGTTGGTTTCGATCTCCTGACCTCGTGATCCGCCCCTCCTCGGCCTCCCAAAGTGCTGGGATTACAGGCATGAGCCACTGCGGCCGGCCAACAGAACTTTCAATCCAGATGATCTGGCTCTGGAGTCCACACAATTAACCCCTTACTATACTGCTCTCCCTAGACAAGCTTAGCTAAATTAGGCTAGTTGTCTAAACTTACACAGCTAATAAAGAGTAAAACTGGTATTTAAGCCAGGACTTTGCAATGCTAAAACTCAAACTCTTTCTACAAAACAGAAATATTCTACAGTTTCTTTGTGGCAAGTTTAAGATCTTTTTTAACAAGAATGTCATTGGCCGGGCGCAGTGGCTCAAGCCTGTAATCCCAGCACTTTGGGAGGCCAAGGCGGGTGGATCACTAGGTCAGGAGATCGAGACCATCCTGGCTAACACGGTGAAACCCCGTCTGTACTAAAAGTACAAAAAAATTAGCCGGACGTGGTGGCGGGCGCCTGTAGTCCCAGCTACTCGGGAGGCTGAGGCAGGAGAGTGGCGTGAACCCGGGAGGCGGAGCTTGCAGTGAGCCGAGATGGCGCCACTGCACTCCAGCCTGGGCGACAGAGCGAGACTCTGTCTCAAAAAAAAAAAAGAATGTCATGTTTTAAAACCTAGACTACCTACCTCTCCTTTAAAGGTGTAAAACCTAGCACTTAACTAGTGATACAAAGCAACAGGTGTATTTTCTAAAACGTGCCTTGTTTTCTCTGCTGTATCATGTGGAAGCCAAAAATAGGCCTCTTGACAGTAATACCCCATTGGGCATAAAACTAACTAAGTTCCTGTTAAATAATCTCAGATTTATTAACAGAAAGATCAGGGTATAATTTACAACTGTCACCAAAAGTAAAATGCTATAAACATATTCCTATGAGTTGTGTTCTATGAGAAGCAAACTCTGAGAGGATGAATAGCATGGAGGAAGTTAATGATGGAGTTGCCTTAGGATAAACACCTGTGCAGAACGAGAAGGAAACAGGATTAGAGAGGAATAAATTGAGCTGCAGTATAATCACAAGGCATCAGCTGACCAAATAGAGAGTTCTGAAGTTGGGGTGTTTCTTCTGAGTTGTTCCAAGTGGAGCATGAGCTCTGAGACTCTATACCCCCACATAGATGAGTCTTTGACTGTGAGCTGTCCATGAGAAGGGAGCATGACCTTGGATGAACTGGCTCTCTGCATCTAAGAACTTGCAGCCGTCAGCCAACCTTTCCTGTGGCCGAGGGAACAGATCTTCCAGTCCCAAAGGGGGAATCTCGGTAACACAGCACAGCATTCGTAACAGTTTACCCCTTGTGCCACTTAGATCTTTTTGCTTCATATAAATTCTGGGAACAGCTCTTTCAGGATACTGCAGGGCTCTTTTCCTGGAGAAAGGTCAGTGGAATGAATTGCAGCCACTGCCACTGCAGCTGGTATCAAGACTACAATGGATACTCATTAAATGCCTCCTCTACTATCAATTCTAGATTTCTCTCACCCTTGGCTAACACCTCTGCTAGTCTAGATAGCATAGTTGGAGGATTGACCCAGACCTTCAGCCATGAGGATCTGAGCCCCTAGTTGGCAGGTTCTTCTCAGGCCTGGCTGCTGTATTTATCCATTTACCATTAAACCATTAGTACTTCTTCGAAATACTCAGAGAAGCCTCAGTGGATCACTTGGGTGTCAAGCGTAGGCCTCCCTGTCCCCACTGTGTAGCAGCAGCCCTGCCTCTTGATAATCAGGTTCATAGCCCCCGCCAAGATGGTGACTTCTTGACCATTCATCCCTTGCCAAAAAGAGCTTAAGATGCCATAGCTTAAAGTTCAGTACGACACTTACCATGTCCCCCGGTGGAAACATTTCCCACAGGGAATCATAACATCTAAATATGCAAAACTCAGGGTTGCGGTAATAGGAAGAATAAATTCCACAAGTGGTGTTTTGTTTTATTTGTTAGATAAGGGGACAGGGTCTTTTATGTTGTCCAGGCTGCTCTTGAACTCCTGGCCTCAAGCAATCCTCCCACCCCAGCCTCCCAAGTAACTGGGATTGCAGACCTGAGCCATTGTGTCCAGCTAAACACCCCACGTAGTTTCGATGTTGAGTCCTTTTGTACTTCCACTCCTTGGTTCCTGGACCCATGTATTCTACCTATTAAGGACACAGCACCATATAAAGGTTACTGATCTAGCATGTAAACTGCATCCCGAAGGTTGTGACGCCAACCTCAGTGTATCATAGCCAAGCATTGCCTCAGCTGTGCCCTCAACAGGCCCTTCCAACATTCTGTCATGTTGAGGGCACTGAGGTGATGTGGTGGGTGATAAAACCAGTGGAGCCCATGGTCGTGTGCCCACTGCTGCATCTCCTGCTGTTATGCTGTGATGTGATGTTATATGCAAAACCCTGTTGATAAATCAAACATACTCTGTAAGTCCTTAGATTTTAGTGTTAGACATCCCCTGAGCAGGAAAGGCAAACACATACCTGAAATACATCTCTATCACTGTTCAAACAAATCTCTGGCCCTTCCATGATGGAAGGGACCTAATGTAGTCAACTAGCCACCAAAGTCTCCTTCAGGGATAGTGCCATATCAGTGGCTCAGCAATGAGCTCTGTTGCTAGCATACTGGACATTTGGCAACATCAGTAGCTGGATCAATCTTGGTCAGCGGGAGCCCATGTGTGGCCTCCATCACTGCCACTGTGGCCACTCCTTCCTAAGCTCATTGTGCCAGTTTTAGGGTGGCCCATGACAGAGGCTGACTGACATCTGTCCAAGTCATTTTGTCTACCTGGTTGTTTAGTGCCTCTTCTGTGATGGATGTTTTCTGGTGGGCATTCACATTTGATACGTACATCTTCACACTTTGTCTTCTCTCATTGGTCCATCCACATGCCTTTACCCTGAGCTGCTTCGTGCCCAATCTTCCAATCTTTCTGTTTTAGACCCCTTATCAACTGGGCAAAACAGTCACCACAGTCCATGCAAATGAGTATCTTCCAACCTCAGGCTACTTCTCTCTCTACACAGAGTGGATGGCCAGGAGCACCACCCAATGCTCCTGCTCACTGGGAGGATTTCCCCTCAAAGCTGCTTTTCAAGTCCACTCCTGAATGGCATTGTAGTGTAGCTGACATCCACTTTTGGCTTGCTCCCATATACCAGACCAATCCATGTGTGAACCAAGCTGGAGTTTATTCCTATCCTGGCAGTTGGTCATTAGGAAGCCCTCATACAGTCATAGATGTGAGCCCAGGAAGAAATGCTGGTGCATCAGTGGCAATGACATGGGGGTCTGGTCAGTGACCACTGTGATTTTCTGTGAGATGTCCAGCCAGTTCAGGTCTCTTTAGATGGTACTATGACAAAGAGTGGGAGAGTTAAAATAGTCCTGGGAATAGACTGTAAATATACTGCCGTCTGTTCCAAGAGTACGTAAACTCTTTCTGATCCTCTTTTTTCTTTTCTTTTCTTTTTTTTTTTGACAGGGTCTGGCTCTGTTGCCCAGGCTGGAGTGCAGTGGCGCAATCTCAGGTCACTGCAACCTCTACCTCCCAGGCTCAAGCCAACCTTCCACCTCATCTGCCTGAGTAGCTGGGACTACAGGCGCATGCCACTACAACTGGCTAATTTTTGTATTTTTTGTAGAGACAGAGTTTCACCATGTTGCCCAGGTTGGTCTTGAACTCTTGAGCTCAAGCCATCCATCCACCTTGGCCTCCCAATGCTAGGATTACAGGCATGAGCCACTGCGCCTGGCCTCTGATCCTCTTTTAAAAAATGGAGAGATGAGGTCTCGCTATATTTCCCAGGCTGGTCTCGAACTCCTGGGTTCAAGTGATTCTCCCACCTCAGCCTCCTAAAGTGCTGGGATTATAGGCATGAGCCACTGTGCCCAGCCTTATCCTCTTTTTTTGATAGGGATATAAAAGAAAGCATTTGTCAAATAAATGACTATTAGGTATCTAAAGCTATGTAACTCTGCTCTAGCAAAAGTGTTCCACCTGGGGATGCTGCTTCAATAGAGCTACTACAGATGCACCTCAACTTACAGTGGGGTTACATCCCAATAAACCCATCATAAATTGAAAATATTTATTTATTTATTTATTTATTTATTTTTGAGTCTGAGTCTCACTCTGTCTCCCAGGCTAGAGTGCAGTGGCGCAGTCTTCGCTCACTGCAACCTCCGCCTCCCAGGTTCAAGCAATTCTCCTATCTCAGCCTCCGGAGTAGCTGGGATTACAGGTGTGCACCACCGCACCCAGCTAGTTTTTCTATTTTTAGTAGAGACAAGGTTTCATATTGGCCAGGCTGGTCTCGAACTCCTGACCTCAGGTGATCCGCCTACCTCGGCCTCCCAAAGTGCTGAGATTACAGGCGTGAGCCACCACACCCAGCCAAAAATATCTTAAGTCAAAAACACATTAAATACACCTAACGTATCAAACATCATAGTTTATTTAGCCTAGCCTACTTTAAGTATGCTCAGAACACTTACATTAGCTTACAGTTGGGGAAAATAATCTAATAGAAAGCCTATTTTGTAATAAAGAGTTTTAATGTCTCATGTAATGTATTGAATACTGAAAGCGAAAAACCATGCTCGCTAGTGCTGCCCAACACCGCCAGAGAGCATCACATCACATATCACTAACCTGGGAAAATGTCAAAATTCAAAAATTGAAATTTAGTTTCTACTGAATGTGTGTCACTTTCACACTATCATAAAGTCAAAGAATCATTAAGTCAAATCATTGTAAGTTGGGGACCCTCTGTACTCGGTTGAATTTGTAATAGTCCACTAGCACTCTCCATTTGCTTTTTGTGAGGCCCAGACTGGTGAATTAAATGGAGGTGCATTGGGGACCAGCATTCCTGCGTTCTTTGTTTTTTGTTTTGTTTTGTTTTTGTTTTTGTTTTTTTGAGACAGAGTCTCACTCTGTCGCCCAGGCTGGAGTGCAGTGGCTCGATCTCGGCTCACTGCAACCTCCGTCCCCCGGGTTCAAGCGATTCTCTTGCCTCAGCGTCCTGAGTAGCTGGGATTACAGGACCCTGCCGCCACGCCCAGCTAATTTGTGTATTTTTAGTAGAGACGGGGTTTCACCATCTTGGCCAGGCTGGTCTTGAACTCCTGACCTTGTAATCCACCTGCCTCAGTCTCCCAAAGTGCTGAGATTACAGGTGTGAGCCACCACACCCGGCGCGTACCACCATACCCGGCTAATTTTTGTATTTTTAGTAAACATGGGGTTTCACCATGTTGGTCAGGCTGGTCTCCAACTCCTGATCTCGTGATCCGCCCATCTTGGCCTCCCAAAGTGCTGGGACTATAGGCATGAGCCACCACGCCCAGCCACCATAGTGTTTTTTTATTGAGGCAATTGCCCTATGCCTCCTGACCATCTTGATCTTTCTGGTTGAATAATGTGGTGGTTAATTTTAGATGTCAACTTCACTGGATTAAGGGATACCTAGATAGGAGGTAAAGCATTATTTCTGGGTGTATCTGTGAAGTTATTTCGTCAGGAGATTAGAGTGTGAGTTGGTAGACCAGGTGCGGAAGATCTGCCATATCCCTGGATCCCTGGTCCAAGGCCTTTGGACTTGGACTGAGCTATGCTACCAGCTTCCTTGGTTCTCCAGCTTGCAGATGGCCTCCACCATCACATGAGCCAATTGCCCTAATAAACCTCCTCTCATATATCTAAGTATATGTCCTAGTGGTTCTGTCTCTCTGGCAAACCCTGCTTAATACAATAGATTGAGCAATACTTTTGCTGGCTGTGCAACTACATTGCCTCTAGAGATGCCATCTCCTATCTCAGTGCCCATGAGGCTCCCCTGGATACATCTCTGACCTTGCTGCTCATTAAGATAACTGCACCTCTTGGCTTCTTGGCTGGACGCGGTGGCTCATGCCTGTAATCCTAGCACTTTGGGAGTCCAAGGCAGGCAAATTGCCTGAGCTCGGGAGTTCGAGACCAGCCTGGGCAACACGGTGATCTCTACTAAAATACAAAAAAAAAAAAAAAAAAATTAGCCAGGTGTGGCAGCGTGTGCCTGTAGTCCCAGCTACTCAGGAGGCTGAGGCAGGAGAATTGCTTGAACCCAGGAGGCGGAGGTTGCAGTGAGCTGAGATCTCGCCATTGCACTCCAGCCTGGGCAACAGAGTGAGACTCCATTTCCAAAAAAAAAAAAAAAAAGGTAACTGCACCTCTTGGCTTCTGATGGTTGAGCACTACCACCTGGTCTCTATTATTTTGGTACCCTTTATTCCCACTGCTATTAATAAGCCCAGTTATGTAACAACATCAGCCCTGCCTTTCAGAGGAAAGCCACTGCAGATGGCTCAGAGGTGCTGATTGCTCTCACCAGGCTATTCTTTATTGCTTTGGCCTTCCTGCAAGACAGTCATCTGGTGGGTTTGCAAGGCTTATATAGTCCATTCATTCTATCATGTGCATTTCCTTAATCCTATTGACCCCTTTTTCCACTGCCTGGCATGACAATTCTAGTATTTCCACTTCACTTAAGTGTGGGCTGTCACTTTCTCCAAGTGTCTAAGAGTCATTTTAGCAGAGTCTCAACACCTTCTCCCAGGGTTCTTGCCAGGGCATTAAAACCTGTATCCCAGGAGGGTACACTCACATTGCTAAACACTCCCTTATCCAAGTTTGTGTTCTATCTCCGTCCCTGGATCAAGGACTTCCAGAGTTAAGTCTTACAGACACCCTCTTAGCTTTTAAGGTCCACGTTAGCTAAGTTCTACAGAACTTTCAGAGTATTTTACCTTTCCTCCTGAGCAAGCCCAAAACTCCCCTGTTGGTTTATACTGACTTAACTTTGATATTTATCTGCTGTCTAGGAAGGGAGGTGGGGACAGATCTTGAAGGAGAGTGAGTGTTGTCTTTAAGGGTAGAGGCCTCTTGATTGTCTTCAACAGGAAAGCACTAGTTTTTTTGTTTTTTGATTGCTGTTTTTTGTTTTGTTTTTTTTTTTTTTTTTTTTTTTTGAGACAGAGTCTCGCTCTGTCACCCAGGCTGGAGTGCAGTGGCGTGATCTCGGCTCATTGCAAACTCCACCTCCCAGGTTCAAGTGATTCTCATACCTCAGCCTGCCGAGTAGGATTACAGGTGCTCGCCACCACAACCAGCTAATTTTTGTATTTTTAGTAGAGACAGGGTTTCACTGTGTTGGCCAGGCTGGTCTTGAACTCCTGACCTCAAGTGATCTGCCCGCCTCAGCCTCCCAAAGTACTGGGATTACAAGCATGAGCCACCACACCTGGCCAGCATCGGTCCTTAAAGCATGGGACTCTTCTGTAGATTCAGAGGTTCAAAGGAATCTGAGGATTTAAAACTTGAATGTATCAGCCCAGATGTTTCCATCTCTCAGGGTCCTATTTTTCCCCAGTAAGGACTCTGAGCTTGCATAACAGACTGGGCTAAGCTGACAATTTAATATTCTTGGAACTCTGCTATTTTTTTTTTTTTTTTGAGATAGAGTCTCCCTCTGTCACCCAGGCTGGATTGCAGTGACATGATCTCAGCTCACTGCAACCTCCCAGGTTTGAACCTCCTAGGTTCAAGCAATTCTCCTGCTTCAGCCTCCGGAGTAGCTGGGATTATAGATGCCTGTCACCACACCTGGCTAATTTTTGTATTTTTAGTAGAGACAGTGTTTCGCCATGTTGGCCAGGCTGATCTCAAACTCCTGACCTCAGGTGATCCACCTGCCTCAGCCCCCCAAAGCGTTGGGATTGCAGGCGTGAGCCACCACACCCAGCCATCTGCTATTCTCATAAGTCCTGGGCCTGGTCCTCAGCTTTTTAATTCCTTCTATTACAGAAGAGAGTTTCTTAATATGCTGCCAAGGAGGCCCAATGGTTTTCACATTTAGCTTTTAATTAATTGTCCTTAGCCTTTCATTGTCTTTTTCAAAAGCATTAATTAAGTCCAGCAATAGCCAACCAATACCATTGTCTTTATTATTACTACTTGCCAACATTTCTCAGATGCCTAGTACATCACACCCTAGTGCACTCCCTTCCACTGGTATACCATCTTGGTTCATCACCAGTGAAAGTTTTAACAATTGCACTGCTATCTTGTGCCTGTGCTCATCTATGGCCAAGGATGGAGTCCTCATTGCCAGCCAGACAGCAGGCAATCTAGCTCCAAAATCCCATCTTAGCATCCATTTCTTATCCCTCCTGGCACAACCTGTCACAAGTTGTGTTCTCCTAGAAGCAAATTCTGAGATGGAAACTAGCAGAAAATTTCTAAGGGAGCACTCTCAGGATAGAAACCTATGAGCGGAATGGAAGGAAGTAAAATTGAGTAAAGAAGAAACTGAGCTACAAAGTAGTCCCAGCAAAACTGGAGCTGATCCTGTGGGGAGTTTTGAATCTGTATGACTATTCTGAGTTCAGGCCTTGATATGCCCACATCAGCCAGTCACTGGATGCAGGCTGCCCTGCAAAGCAGCATGACCTTGGGCAAGGTGGCTCTCTCCTGAGGAGATTAATTTGAGTAAGTACTCAGTTCTGGAGCTGGGATCTGGACAGTACAGAACAGAATCCAGGATGGTGATGTAAGGGGGCTTTTCAGAACTAAGGGGAACAGAGATGGAACTATCTTTCAGGTGAGGAAGTGCTTTGAGATATATAACCCTCTTGCTAAGGCATCATTGCTTTCTTCATTTGCTAGTTAGTATGATTTGATTCTGGTTACAAAACTTGTGTTTACTGTAGAATACGTTTAAAGTTGTTTTGTTGATAAGACTTCTGGAGAAACGTCTGGCCAAAAATAACTGTTTCCTGGGTTTAGAACAACAGATCCGAGACAGCTTAACCTTTGGTTATATTTCTGCTTTAATATATAGTAACATTTGAAAATACACAGATATCCAGGAAAAAAAGGTAAAGCAGTATGAGGTATTGACAGCACAACTGTGTTTTAATTTGGGAGTTAATTTGGGGTGTTATGTAACAGCAATCATACTTGTAGACAAACACATCCACTAGCTCTGCAAACACATTCAAAGGTAATAGTATATAGTACACTCCACCCTGTAAAATATGTCAAATACCCCCACTCTACAAATTCACTGTGTTTCATTATTTTTTTTTTTGTTTTTATAAGAAAAGGGGCATATCATTATAATTCACAATCCAAGTCAGAGTCTTAATTTAGGTATGAAATATTACCTGCCAATTTGCTTCTCAAGCTACTTTAAAAATATATATATATTCTTTAAAGCCATTTTATGGCCATGGGAATCTAATTAATTTCATAATGATGTTGGTTGAACATGATACCAAAAAATGCAGGTATTTTCAAGAACAATAAAATAGATAACAGCATTAAAGCATAATCCTTTAAGAATTCATGAGAAAAAAAAGGATGATAAAACTTAAGCTTCTTTTTCAGATGTTTAAAAATTTCTATAAAATTCTTTGTCCCAAGATTAATCATATAACCATGGTACATAAAATATGCTAACTACATTGCCTGGTGTCAAGGTGGGAAAATCCTCTTTTATAACATAAAATCCTCTTCTAATCCATGTTGACCCAAGTCCTGGCTGTCTGAGGGCAGATTCCTGTCAAGAGACCTAAGGTTGTCATGGAAAGCATCACTTTCGTCTACTAGTTGGTAATCCTGTTCCATTTCCGTTAGGAAGCCACTCCCAGATCCTGATCCAGAGCCGGAGCCGGAGCCGAAGCCTGATCCAGAGTAGTCCTCAGAAAGTGGGAAGATACGATTCAAGTCCTGGATTCTCGTCTTTCTGAAGTATGAAAGAAAAATGGGAAAAAAACCAGTGGAGTTTGATATGTGGGAAAGATAATTATAATAGTTTTTTTAATATAAGGAGATAAATACAGCCATCTAGTTGCTCAAATTAAGAGATTTAAAAGCTTCCCAATTATTCAATGTTTTAAAATCAACAAAAAAACAGGTCAAATGTTCCTATGTGTTTGCCTATACTTATTGCACCTATCAACTTCACATCTACCTATTGCAGACTTGCATAAACAGTGTTAATTTTGTTATCACTAGCATATACATTCTATATTTGAAATTTACTTAAGAAATCATTTTAATTTTTATTTTTGGAGGCAGAGTCTTGCTCTGTTGCCCAGGCTGGAGTGCAGTGGTGCCATCTCGGCTCACTGCAACCTCCACCTCCCAGGTTCAAGTGATTCTCCTGCCTCAGCCTCCCGAGTAGCTGGGACAACAGGGGTGCGCCACCATGCCTGGCTAATTTTTGTATTTTTAGTAGAGATGGAGTTTCACCATATTGGCCAGGCTGATCTCAAACTCCTGACCTTGTGAACCACCCACCTCCCAAAGTGCTGGGATTACAGGTGTGAGCCACTGCACCCGGCCCAAGAAATCATTTTTAAAAGAAGTCCTCTTGGCCGGGTGTGGTGGCTCATGTCTGTAATCCAAGCACTTTGGGAGGCCAAGGTGGGTGATCACTTGAGGTCAGGAGTTCGAAACCAGCCTGACCAACATAGTGAAACCCGGTCTCTACTTAAAATACAAAAATTAGCCAAGTGTGGTGGTGCATGCCTGTAATCCCAGCTACTCGGAAGGCTGAGGTGAGAGAATCGCTTGAACCCAGGAGGCGGAGGTTGCAGTGAGCCGAGATCGCGCCACTGCACTCCAGCCTGGGTTACAAGAGCAAAACTCCATACCCTCCACCAAAAAAAAGAAAGGACAAACAACTAACAACTAAGTCAGCCCAAACAGATGACATTTTTTCCTAAATTAAAATTTCCATAAAAGTTCTAACAATTTACAGGGCTTCAACAAAGCTCACTTTTGAGAAATTCTTTGTAAAAAGCTAAGCTTTATATTTACCAGCATATAAACATTCAATTTCCTATCAAAAAATGACCCTGCCTCCAACTTGCACTCATTCAGCTGAAGAGTGCTGAAAGGTAAGGCTGCCTTCTGGGTTGAGTGTGATGATTAGAAATTCAAAGAGCACAAAATGGCCAGAGCAATGACGACAGCCCTCGGTGACAGAACAGGGCAACAAAGCATCAGAGACAAAAGCTGAGTGTCACAGCCTACAAGTCATTTCCTCCATGAAAATAATAAACCACCAGCATACAACCAATTAGAGTTTTAATTCATGTACGCATTCAATAAATATTTGTTGAATATCTGGTCCTTGTTTTGAGGGCCTGGGATAGAACAGAGGCAGATCGATGAAGCCCCTTCTCAAGAAGTTTTTATTTTAGTGGGGAAGACAGACAATGAAAAGTGAATAAATAAATCAGGAAAATCATAGGTGGCACAGAGAAATGAAATTGACCAATGTAATAGGGAGTGACCAGGTGGCTACTTTAGCCTGGGGTGTCGGAGCTAGAATCACAGATTTGGTAGTTAAACCCATGCAACCGATGGAGGTCGTCGAGAGAAAGCATGTAGATAGAGAAGGGGGCCCAGGCCAGAGCCAGGGTCACACCAACATGTTAAATACTGAGCAGAGGAAAAAGCACAACCAGAGAAGTAGGAAGAAACAGGATAAGGCAGGGCATGGAAGCCTCAAGAAAAAAGCATTTCAAGGAAGGAGTGGTCAACCATTTTTTTTTTTACAGAAAGGGCCTCCTTCTGTTGTGCAGGCTGGAGTGCAGTGGCGTGATCATGGCTCACTGCAGCCTCACCCTCCCGGACTCAAGCCATCCTCCCACCTCAGCTTCCTTTGTAGCTGGGACCACAAGCATGAGTCACAACGCCCGGCTAATTTTTCTATTTTTTGTAGATAGGGTCTCACTATGTTGCCCAGGCAGGCTGGTCCTGAACTCCTGGGCTCAAGTGATCCTCCTGCCTTGGCCTCCCGAAGTGCTGGGATTACATGCATGGCCCAGTTAGCTGTTTTTGAAGGCAATTAAGGATCAAGTAAGCTGAAAATAGAGAAGTAATCAGTGACTTTGTCAACCAGGGTGGAGTGTAGGAACAGAAGTCCAGCCACAGAGGGGGTGAGGAAAGGAGGGGGCAGGCATGGGTGGCCCTTTCAGGAGGTGTTATTGTGAAGAGGAGCAGAGAAGGGCAACCACTGGAGAAGACGCAGAGTCAAAGGAGAGATGTTGCCTAAACATAGGAGATACTAAAGTCCACCCCTATACTGATGGGAAGAAGACACTGAGTTCAGAGAGATAACTGCAGAATGGAAGTCCTGGAGAAGATGCATGGGAAAAGGATACCAGCCACAAAGAGAGGTGGCCTTGGAAGCTGCAACAGCCAGGGTCCAATCAGGAAACTTCTCCAGATATTTAACACAGAGGGAATTCCTCATACAGGTGATGGAGGAGAAGTGAAGCTAAATGGGGGATAGCGAGGTAACCCAGAGATTAGCAATAGCAAGAAAATATTTCCTTCGGCCAGGCACAGTGGCTCATGCCTGTAATCCCAGCACTTTGGGAGGACGAGGCAGGCAGATCATTTGGGGTCAGAAGTTCAAGACCAGCCTGGTCAACATGGCAAAACCCCGTCTCTACCAAAAATACAAAAATTAGCTGGGCATAGTGGCACACCCTGGAGGCTGAGGCAGGAGAATCACTTGAACCCGGGAGGCAGAGGTGGCAGTGAGCTGAGATCGCACCACTGCACTCCAGCCTGGGCAACAAGAGTGAGACTCTGTAAAAAAAAAAAAAAAAAGAAAGAAAGAAAGAAAAAAATACTTCCCTCCTTGGGCTACAGCGATAGTGGAAGGAGGTTGTCTATTTCCTGAGCCCAGGGACTAGAGGCATCTGGTGGGAGCTGAGGCCATGGGCAAAACAGAGTCCTGCCCAAGGTGCCATCCCAGGCAGGGAGTAAGGAGAAGAAACATACCTCTCTCCCTTCCTCCCAAGCTCTCAGTCTCCCGTCCTTGCCTCCCATTGGCCAAAGTCAGCCACAGCCCTGGGAGCCTGAGAAATGCAGACGCCAGGGGTCAGTTCCACCGCCACCCCCACCCCACAGCCAATACAGAGCAGGGCCAGGGAAGGACAGGAGGATCTGAGGGCAAAAGGGTTTGGGATCAGCACAGAAGCAAGGACCATTCTTTCGCAATGACGGGAAAGAAAGCACAGGGTCAGGGTGAGAAGCAGTTACTGGCTTTGGGGAAGGAAAATAGAGATTTGAGAAGAGGAGGAATGGTGTGCAAGAGTTCTTTTGGAGAATTTGAGCTATTCTCTTAACATTTTATTTTATTTTTTAATTTTAGTTTTAATTGTATTTATTTATTTTAAATGTGTTTATTTATTTTGAGACAAGGTTTTAGTCTGTCACCCTGGCTGGAGTGCAGTGCCACACCATGGCTCACTTCAGCCTTGACCTCTCAGGATCAAGCAATCCTCCCACCTCAGCCTTTCGAGTAGCTGGACCACAGGCATGCATGGCTAGTTTTTGTGTCTTTCTATAGAGACGAGGTTTCTCCATGCTTGGCTAATTTTTGTATTTTTCTGTAGAGACAGGATTTCTCCATGTTACCCAGGCAGGTCTCAAAGCAATCTGCCTGCCTTGGCCTCCCAGTCTGCCTGCCTCGGCCTCTCAATAGCTGGGATTACAGGCGTGCCACCATGCCCAGCTAATTTTTGTATTTTTAGTAGAAATGGGTTTCCGCCATGTTGGCCAGGCTGATCTTGAACTCCTGACCTCAAGCTATCCGCCTCGGCCTCCCAAAGTGTTGGGATTACAGGCGTGAGGCACAGCGCCGGGCCACTAATTTTTAGAGATGGGGTCTTGCCGTGTTGCCCAGGCTGGTCTCAAATTCTTGGCCTCAAGTGATTCTCCCACCTCAGTCTCCCAAACTGGGGGGATTACAGGCATGAGCCACTGCAGCCTAACATTTTAGATTTAAATGAATTACTATTGAAACCAATGATTTAAAGTAATGAAGGATGCTGTAATATTACATTCAAACTTAATGCTGAGGCTTTAAAGTAAGAATGCAAGAGTAGGACTACAAAGTTGCATATTGAAGATTGTAATGATGTCATCACTAATGCAGTGAATACCAGTGATGGAGAAAGTCACCAGTGATGGAGAAAGTCACCAGCGCTGGGAATGGTGGCTCATGACTGTAATTCCGGCACTTTGGGAGGCTGAGGTGGGAGGACTGCTTGAGTTTAGGAGTACATGACCAGCCTGGGAAATGTACAGAGACCCCTGTCTCTACAAAAAAAAATTTTTTTAATTAGATGGGCATGGTGCTGTGTGCCTGTGGTCCCGCTACTTGGGAGGCTGAGGCAGGAAGATCACTTGAGGAGTTCGAGGCTGCAGTGAGCTATGATCACACCACTGCACTCCATCCTGGGTGACAGAGGAGACCCTGTCTCAAAAAAAAAAAAAAACAAAAGAGAAAGTTGCCAGGATCCCAAAGTGATGTGAAATGTACCTGGTTTGGAGCATGATGATTAACCCTGGCTTTGAGGAGAGTGATTTTCTAGGTTTGAGCCTGGAGATTAAAACTTTTATGATAATCCTTTTCTTAATATGTATATTTTGCTACATCCTACATAGCTTTAGTATTCATTGAATTAATGGTTTCTAATATAATTCAATTTTTTGTTACTTATGAATTTATATCAGGTCTTTTTTGCAAGTTTAAAGCAAGTTTTATGTGATCAAAAGAAGAGATTTGATTTTTGTTTTACAAGTCTTGGCTAATTATTCTTCCTTTCCCTAATTTTTTTTTTCTTTTTTTGAGACAGAGTCTTACTCTGTTGCCTAGGCTGGAGTGCAATGGCATAAATAGGGTTCACTGCAGGCTCAACATAGGCTCAAGAGATTCTCCTACCTCAGCCTCCCGAGTAGCTGGGACCACAGGTGCACATCACTATGCCTAGCTAATTTTTGTATTTTTTGTAGAGACAGGGTCTTGCTGTATGGCCCAGGCTGGTCCCAAACCTCCTGGGCTCAAGGGATCCTCCCACCTCAGCCTCCCAAGGTGCTGGGATTACAGGCATGAGCCTCTGCACCTGGCCATTTTTAAAAATAATTACCAACTACTTGAAGAACATTTTTTTAATATAAAAAATGTATTTGAAATAGAGATAGGGTCTCACTATGTTGCCCAGGCTGGCCTCAAACTCCTGGGCTCAAACAATCCTCCCGCCTCGGCCTCCCAAAGTGCTGGGATTACAGGCATGAGCCACCACACCTGGCAGAAGAACATTTTAATCACCTCCTCCAAAAAAAACCCTCATACCCATTAGCAGTCACTCCTTATTCCTCCCTTTCCCCAGCCCCTGTAACCCACTAATCTACTTTCTGCCTCTAGGGATTTGCCTATTCTGGACATTTCATCTAAATGGAATCATACAATATGTGGCTTTTGGTGTCTGGCCTTCCTTCACTCTGCATAATGTTTCCAAGGTTTATCTATGTTGTAGCATGTATCAGTACTTCATTCTTTTTATGACCCAATAATATTCCTTTGTATGCTTATACCACATTTTGCTTATCCATTCAGTTAATTATTGGATTTTTATATATAGTGTGTTCTGTTTACACAAATAAAACAATGTTCAATCATTTTCAATACCTGTTGATGAAAAGTCCTCAATGCTCCTCTCTACCATCCACAAAAAAAATTTCAAAAACATAGGTGAATCATGTATACTCGCACATGTCATATGCCAGTATATACAGTACACTTTTACCATGTACTGCAGAGTAAGAGCCAAACTACCAAAGCAAGAGCTCGAAGCAAAACACTCTGGACAGCTTGAAGAAAAACACTCCCACATCTGTGCCAAGAGGTTGTGAAATTACAGACACTTTAAAATTAGAGAAAAGGCCGGGTACAGTGGCTCATGCTTGTAATCCCAACACTTTGGGAGGCCAAGGTGGGTGGATCACCTGAGGTCAGGAGTTTGAGACCAGCCTGGCCAAGATGATGAAAGCCCGTCTCTACTAATAATACAAAAAATTAGGCCAGGCGCAGTGGCTCACGCCTGTAATCCCAGCATTTTGGGAGGTCAAGGCGGGCGGATCACTAGGTCAGGAGATCGAGACCATCCTGGCTAATAAGGTGAAACCCCGTCTCTACTAAAAATACAAAAAAATTAGCCGGGCGTGGTGGCGGGTGCCTGTAGTCCCAGCTACTCGGGAGGCTGAGGCGGGAGAATGGCGTGAACCCAGGAGGTGGAGCTTGCAGTGAGCCGAGATTGCGCCACTGCACTCCAGCCTGAGCGACAGACTGAGACTCCGTCTCAAAAAAAAAAAAAAAAATTAGCTGGGCATGGTGGCAGGCGCCTGAAATCCCAGCTGCTCCAGAGGCTGAAGCAGGAGAATCGCTTGAACCCAGGAGGCGGAGGTTGCAGTGAGCTAAGATTGCGCCATTGCACTCCAGCCTGGGCAAGAAAAGTGAAACTCCGTCTCAAATAAATAAGTAATTAATTAATTAATTAGAGAAAAGTCCACTTACGGAAAAAGGTCAGTCCTCAGACGGGGGATCTTGTTGGATTCACCTGGAAGTAGTTCGAACATTGGTCCTTTTTCTTCAAGGCAGTTTGCAGAATTACTGTCTGGATTGCAGCGCACCCATTGGTACCTGGCTCTCCGCGTAGGATAACCTGCCCGAGGAACCCACATTGTTACTAAGTATCTACTACACAGCTTCTAATCACTCTGTCCTAAGAAGTTTTTATTTTTATTTTTTTTTCGAGACAGGGTCTCAGTCGGCTGCCCAAGCTGGAGTGCAGTACTGTGATCATAGCTCACTGCAACCTTGAACTCCTGGGCTCAAGCCATTCTCCCACCCCAGCCTCTTGAGTAGCTGGGAATACAGGGGCACCACAACGCCCAGCTAGTTTTGTTTTGTTTTTGTTTGTTTGTTTGTTTTTTGGAGAGATGGGGGTCTCACTATGTGCCCAGGCTGGTCTCAAACACCTGGGCTCAAGCAGTCCTCCTGCCTTGGCCTCCCAGTGTGCTGAGATTACAGGAATGAGCAACTGCACCCCACCCGCCCTAAGAAGGTTTTAACTAAATAGATTCTAAATTTGGTAAAAGGCAAAATGTAGACAGATTTTGTGCCCATTCATATAACAGCAGCACCCACTATGTGCCAACATTTTATATAAATTGTCCTTCTTACAACACTCCAAAAAGTAGCAGTTTAAAGTTAGAATAGGCTTTGGAATCAGCTGCCTGGAGTGAAGTCCCAGGTCTGCTGACTAGTTATGGAACCTTAACTTCTCTGAACCCTCACTGTAATATGAAGATACTAATAGTGTCATAAGCCTATCACAAAAATTAAATGAGAAAATACACTTAGAGAATTTAACACAGTGCCAGGCACACAGTAAGCACTTGATAATATTAACTGTTGTTACTTTTGTACTATTATCTCAATTTTACACAAAAGAAAATTGCAGCCACACAGGCGCTAGGATTCCAACCCACATCTGACCCCAAAGCCCACATCTTTTCATAGAGATGAGTCAAATCAGGTTCAGAAAGGGGAAGGAACACACTGTGGAGTACCCGTGGTATCACAGAATTCTAGTTCTTGTGTTTTAGGGCCATACAGTATCCTTAGGAATGAAAAGTAGATAACAATTTGTCCTGTGTCTTTGCACTCAGATTTCACAAGAACAAGTCTCCTCTATTCACAGAGCACCAGGCAGCTTGGAATATCTGAGTCTCAGCTTCTTCTGAATTTCATTTCTATGGAAAAGGCTCCAAATCTGATATTATGAGGTTATATAGGAGATTTATTTATGTATTTATTTTATTTTATTTTATTGAGAGAGAGTCTTGCTGTGTCGCCCAGGCTGGAGTGCACTGTCACGATCTCGGCTCATGGCAACCTCCACCTCCCGGGTTCAAGCAATTTTTCTGCCTCACCCTCTGGAGTAACTGGGATTACAGGCACTCACCACCACGCCCAGCTAATTTTTAGTATTTTTAGTAGAGATGGGGTTTTGCCATGTTGCCCAAGCTGGTCTCAAACTCCTGAGCTCAGGCAATCCACCCACCTTGGCCTCTGAAAATGTGAGGATTACAGGCGTGAGCCACCATGCCCGGCCTATATAGGAGGTTCTTTGTTAGCTAATGAAATAAAATCTTCCTTCCTCAGTTTAGCAAAGACAAAGGCCTGGTGGTGAGAAATACTTCACCGCCCTTCAAAAAGTTCATCTCCTCCCCACTCCAAGCATATACTTTATTCTAATGAGTGCAACTAATAATTACCTAGCAAGAAGGAGCATGTCTAGGATTCTTGAAAGTCAGGAAGGGTAGTTTTAAAGCTCACCACAAAATAATGGAAAACATTCAGATAAATTACAAGGCATCAACTCATAAGAGAATACTAACCAAATGAAGAAAAGTACTTTTTTTTTTTTTTTTTTGAGATGAAGTCTCGCTCTGTTGCCCTGGCTGGGATGCAGTGGCACAATCTCGGCTCACTGCAACCTCTGCCTCCCAGGTTCAAGCGATTCTCCTGCCTCAGCCTCCCGAGTAGCTGGGATGACAGGTGCCCACAATCATATCCAGCTAATTTTTGTATTTTTAGTAGGGATGGGGTTTCACCATGTTGGCCAGGCTGGTCTCGAACTCCTGACCTCAGGTGATCCACCCGCCTCAGTCTCCCAAAGTGCTGGGATTACAGGTGTGAGCCACCACACCCGGCCGAAAGTACTTTTTATGGAAAAGACAATGTGGCATTGTAGAAAAACCTATACTTAAAAATGAGTGAGAGGGTGAGAGGCGGGTAGGCAAAAACTTTTTTTTTTAATAAAATAAAAATAAAAATTAGGTTGGGTGTGGTAGCTCATGCCTGAAATCCCAGCACTTTGGGAGACTGAGGTGGGAGGATCACTTGAGCCCAGGAGTTCAATACAGGCTGGGCAACATAGAGAGACTCCCATTTCTACCAAAAAAGAGAAAAAAGATTTTAAAAATTAGCTGGATGTGGTAGCACACATCTGCAGTCCCAGCTACTTAGGAGGCTGAGGCAGGAAGATTGCTTGAGACTGGGAGGTCACAGTGAGCCAAGATTGCACGGCTGCACTTCAGCCTGGGTGACACAGCGAGACTGTCTCAGAAGAAAAAAGTTTATTTACAAAATTAAAAATAAATAAAAATAACTGAGAAAATCAGAATACCTCTTTGCATGAATAATAGTTTCAATTATATAAACAGACATGGGGGGAAAAATGGAAGGAAATACACAAAAATAACTGGAGGTAGAATCTTTGGTGATTTTTTTTCTCATTTTGTTTTCTAAATTGCTATAATAAACAATATTCCTCTAAAAACATAAACATTAAACACTTTAATATAGAAAACAGTAAATATTCTCCCATTGGATTTTCTTTCTTTTCTTTGTAACTATATATTATTCTATCATAATCTTTCCTATGATTCCTGAGTATAGCTTACAATGTCTGGTCTGGGAGAGCTGTTTGTCCAAAATGAGCTAACTCTGCCACTGCCTGGAGGCTGGGGATAAGGCAGGCAAAATGACCTTTCAATGTCTGCCCCTTACTGGCTGTGTGATCTTGGCCAACTTAAACTTCCTGTGCCTCAATTTTCTCATCTGTAGGATGGGGCAGTAATAGAGTTAATAAGGAGATACAAATGTTAGGTTCTCAGAGTAGTACCTAGCACATAGTCAGAGCTCTTCATTGCTAGTTCCTGTCATGAAAAGGAGGAGGACAACAATGACCTATGATCTCCGAGAGTGAACATCTTATAAATTTAAATTCAAATTCCCATTCTACCATTTAGTATCTCTAGGAGTCTCAATTTATGGACTTTCTTTCTTTTCTTTTTTATTTTTCCTTATTTTGAGATAGAGTCTGGCTCTGTTGCCCAGGCTGGAGTGCTGTGGCACATCTCAGCTCACTGCACCCTCCGCCACCTGGGTTTAAGCTATTCTCCTGCCTCAGCCTCCCGACTAGCTGGAATTACAGGCACGTGCCACCATGCCCGGCTAATTTTTTGTAGTTTTAATAGAGACGGGGTTAGCCAGGAAGGTCTCGATCTCCTGACCTCGTGATCCCCTCGCCTTGGCCTCCCAAAGTGCTGAGATTATAGGCGTGAGCCACCGCGCCCGGCCTGGTTTCACTCTTTCTCTTTTGATTCTTTCCTGAGGCAGCATTAGTTTAGCATCTAATTGCTACTTAGACGTCTCTTCCTGTAGGTGAAATAAAAATCCAGCATCTTCTCCAGCAGAGGGCGGTGTCTTCACACCTTGTACTGTCTAGACCAACTTTGTCCAATAGAAACACAAAGCAAACCACATAGGGAGTTTTAAATGTTCCAGCGGCCATATTTTTAAAAGTAAAAAGAAACAGGTGAAATTAATTTTATTTAACCTAACATATTCAAATATTGTCCTTTAACATATCATCAATGTAAAAGTTATTACTGGGATATTTTGCATTCTTTTCTTCATACTAAGGGTTCCAAATCTTGTATATTTTGCATTCACAGCCTGTCCCAATTTGGCCTTGCCACATTTCAAGTGTTCAGTAGCCACAAGTGACTTGTGGCTACCGTACTGGACAGAGCAGGCCTAGGCAGTCTCTTCTGCAAGCCGCTGATGCACTGAGTATCAAGCTGAGAAAATGTTTGCTCACACAGGAAGCTAAACAGAAAAATAATGCTTAATGAGAAAGCATCCAGGTGAAAGACCACATCTTTTCACCAGCATGACAAATACAACTGTAGCATATTAGTAAAAAATATTTCTAGAATACAAAATTCCCCCAGAGTTCAGAATCTCAGCTAATTAAAATTCGTAACGAAGGCTTTCTTTTGGGGGATGATGAAAATGTTCTAGAAGCAATTATAGTGATGGTTGCATGACTCTGTGAATATACTAAAAAACATTGAACACTTTTTTTTTTTTTTTTTTGGAGACAGAGTCTTGCTCCGTCATCCAGGCTGGAGTGCAGTGGTGCAATCTCAGCTCACTGCAACCTCCACCTCCCAGGTTCAAGTGATTCTCCTGCCTCAGCCTCCCAAGTAGCTGGAATTACAGGTGCACACCACCATGCCCAGTTAATTTTTGTATTTTTAGTAGAGACAAGTTCTCACCATGTTGGCCAGGCTAGTCTCAAACTCTTGACCTCAAGTGATCCACTTGCCTTGGCCTCCCAAAATGCTGGGATTACAGGCATGAGCCACCACACCTGGCCTAATCACTGAATTGAACACTTTTAATGGGTGAACTGTATGGTATGTGAACACTATCTCAACAAAGCTATTTTAAAATTTTATAAAGAAATCAAAAGTAGAAGGGATCCCACTCCAAAAGCCTATCTAATTTGGGGCCGATGATGTTAAATGTACTTTAAAATAAAGAACAAGTTACAGACACTAAATTCTTGACATAGCTATTCAAGGGTGTTGGCAGGATGTGAAAATTTACAGTTCCAGCCCCTGAGGTTGTGAGAGTATCTTGACTCTATCTTGCTTGAGATAAATGTCTTGTGATTATAGTGGCTATGCTCATGGATAGAAATGTTATCTTCCTAAAAGGTCCACTTATGGGATTTGTTGGTTAATTGTGTAGTGGATTCCAAGGGAAAGAATGGTTTTTATTTGAATCCTATCCCTCACTGCCCACCTCCCCCACCACCCTGAGTCCTGCTTTACCAAAATACTTTCTATGAGTAAATGTTACCAAAGCAAACAACTTTCTCCAATAGTCCATACCTTTTTATATTATGGTACTAACTTTTCCCTCAACATAATCACAATATACTAATTTCTTTTTTTTTTCTTTTCTTTTCTTTTTCTTTTTTTTTTTTTTTTTTTTTTTTTTTTTGAGACAGAGTCTCAGTCTATCGCCCAGGCTGGAGTGCAGTGGCATGATCTTGGCTCACTGCAACCTCCATCTCCCTGGTTCAAGTGATTCTCCTGCCTCAGCCTCTCGAGTAGCTGGGATTACAGGTGCATGCCACTATGCCTGGCTAATTTTTGTATTTTTAGTAGAGATGGGGGTTTCACCATGTTGGCCAGGCTGGTCTTGAACTCCTGACCTCAAGTGATCCACACTCCTCGGTCTCCCAAAGTGCTAAGACTACAGACGTGAGCCACTGTACCGAGCCTAATTTCCTATTCTTAATGGAAACTTACTGCAGGCATGTTAGAGAAACTTAAGCAGCAACTACCATGAAGGGGAAAAGAAGACCATTTGATTTATTCAAAATGGTAGCATTATCTAAGCCGGAGTTACTTCCTCCTGGTCTATCAATTCCACAAGATGGATAAGCTTCCCCCACTCTTGCATGGTTTGACAAGCTATAAAAAGCTCCTAAGTTTACTTTCAATTTCTCCCTCAACTCAGTGGGAAACGTTATAGCAAGGGCTACGGTCAAAGGATTTTTTGTTTGTTTGTTTAAATAAAGAAAACCTCTGATCCATGAGCTGCAGTAGAAAGTTAATTCTGGCCTTGAAATCAGACGACCAGTTCAGCCGTTAATTAGTTGTAATGGGTCTTGGGCAAGACTCACAAATTTTTTGCAAGAGGTTAATGTATAGAGCAAATGAGATGAGAAATGTCAGATCCAGTTTTCTCCTCTATAATTGGTGCTAATTCCTCATCACAGGGAATGTGATGATGATTACCAGAGAATGGATGTGAAATCACTTTACAAAGAGCAGCACAAGGAGTGGATCAGTATCATTCCTGTGAGCTAGGAGACAGTATACAGTGGACACATGGCGGGCCTGGCCTCCTTGGCTGCACCTGTTCATGGATATTCCATTTTTTTTCTTTATGGGTGTCATTGGAAAAGAGAGGCAATAAAAGTGGAAGATTCACAGGCCTCATCAAATCCCCTGGAGCCCTACATTAAATAGATTAGTCATCTGTGCTCTCCAGAGTTACACATCCCCAAATTTCCATTTCTTTGTGCTTGGTAAACACAATCTTACCCCACATCTTTACTTGGGTTTGACTTATAATAAAAATATACCACCACCAAATTCATATGTTCCAGTTCTAACCCACAGAATCTCACAATGTGAAATTGTTCAGAAATAGGGTCATTGCAGATATAGGTAGTTAAGATGAGGCCATTAGGGTGGCCCTGATCCAATGCCTGGTGACCCTCTAAGAAGATGGTATTAAGACACGGATGCATGGAGGAAAGGCCATGTGCAGACAAGGGAGAAGGCGCCATCTATAAGCCAAGGAGAGAGGCCTCAGAATGCGATCGACCCTGCCAGCACCTTGATCTTGGACTCCCATCTCCAGAACTGTGAGGAAATACATTTCTGTTATTTAAGCCACTCAGTCCGTGGTACTTTGTTATGGCAACCCGAGCAAACCACTATAGTGACCTGAAATGGTTTTGAATATGCTCAGTAAAAGCAAGCCAAAAGCCTAGTTGATTTCATCTGCCAAACCAACGGGCTAGATAAACACTTTTTATAAGACAGGAAGAATGTTGTCGAATCATATCTGGCATTGCGTGGAGGTGTGAGGAAATGGTGTCACGACTCTTCACATCACAGCCTTGTGCCGCAGTCACTCACATGTGCAGCCAGTGGGGGACATCTATTTCCCTGCATGCTCAGATGTGGGCACAAGCCCTTGAGCCCGATACTGAGAGCCTTTTTTCGGAAACACCCTAGTTTGTCAGTTTCTCCCTTGTCTCTTTCTATGGTTTCCTTTTCTAACAAAGAGCTAAACCTACGAGGTCATGACATAAATGCTAGTATTCTATACAATTTCATGATGAATTATTTTCTTTCCTTCTCTTTCTTTCTTTCCTTTCTTTCTCTCTCTCTCTCTTTCTTTCTTTCTGACAGAGTCTTGCACTGTCACCTAGGCTGTAGTACAGTGGTGCAATCTCAGCTCACTGCAACCTCCACCTCCCAGGTTCAAGCAATTCTCCTGCCTCAGCCTCCTGAGTAGCTGGGATGACAGGTGTGTGCCACCATGCCCGGCTAATTTTTTTGTATTTTTGGTAGAGACGGGATTTCACTATGTTGGCCAGGCTGGTCTCAAACTCCTGACCTCATGATCTGCCTACCTTGGCCTCTCAAAGTGCTGGGATTACAGGCGTGAGCCACCATGCCCGGCCTTCTTCATTTCTTTCTAATGAATATTATACAAGGAACGTTTTTGTTTTCATTCTAGTTTTCCTTAATGAATCTTAGTGGGAAATTCATGTTTCTGGGAAATTTTGACAACATAAAGACTTACATATCTCTGGTTGGGGTATGCCCAGCACCATCTGGCCATTCAAGACTGTACTAAAGTATGGGCCTCATTACTCTCGATCTTGTCAGACCACTTGGCTATTCGGGAATTATTTCATCAAGCTGAAGATATTCCCTAAAAGATCCCAGTGAAGCCTGTTCCCTACAATTGACAATGTTTTATATTTTAAAAATACATAAATTAATAACGTTCCAGAAACATTACTTGCTCTTTTTTCAGCATTAGCATAACTAGAAGAAAATGATTTTATAAATTTCCAACATAAAATGAATGTCTCTGCGATCATCTGTAAGATTTCATCTCCACCGGAAGTAAGATCATGACAACCAAAAGTCGCTTTGACGAAACAAATCTAGGACATGTGTGTCATTGTGACTCAACATTTCCCTTACCATTTGGCGGAACCTAGTGTTTTTCTACTATAGGTTCAGCCATCTCTCTATCAAGCCATGACCTCCGTCTTATTTAGACATGATTCCTTATTTGCCAAAGAATAACAAATTGTATTTTTCTTACAAGCCTATCATTTTCATTGTCTTAGTCATTACAGGTTTTAAGTTGTTTCAGTCTGACTAAACAACACTAAATGGTAGATAAACCTAGGAAGATATTTCCGAATATGATGCTTCTCTGAGCAAGAGCACAAATACCAAATTATTTGGCCTTCTCTTTAAAATCTGAGAGGTTTTACATGAACTATGTCTAACCATAATTGAGTTTTCAGTAAGAACCAAGTTTATCTTTAAAAAAAAAAAAAAGAAAAGAAAATACACACAGTCAGATTCACCCCAATTGGAATATAACGTCTCCCAGTGTTAAAATAACAATGACACCGTCACAGCGCACTAAAACTTGGGGCTGATGTAGACACTTAGGGGTAGGCAGACACCCCCCAACAGTCAAAGGTGCCATCTCCTCCATGCAACAGGCACAGGAGTCATTTTCTAGATTCCTTTTTTGAGCTTTTAAAATTTATAAACCTCACATTTTCATCCCAAAATAGCACATTTCAATCATTGTAAGAGTTTACAAGACTGCACACGCCACAGAGTTTAATTTTTCTTGGTACCAAACTTAACAGAACTCATATTAAAGGGTTCAGCGACCCCAAATCCTTCTTCTTTGCCTCCTTTCTCACAATATTATACATTCTATGCCTTAAAATGAATATAATGACTTGCATGGACCACAGGGCTTACAGAGAAGATGGCTGGGGAACAAGACTCCTGAGTCTTACCTTGAACTGAGGATTCCAGAACCAGGATGAGGGCAAGAGCCAGGACAAGCCGACTGCATTTGAGTAGCTTCTGCATCATGACCAACTTAGTCTAGCTCTCCCAGCTGCACGCCAACTTCTTGATTAGGAAATGTAGCAGGGTGCTCTCTGTCCCTTTTAGAAAATGTTCCAAAACCTCAAACCCTGCCCAGAACACACGTCACAATTTCCTGAACAAATAGAAAGACATCCACATCAAAACCCAGAAAGAAAGGGGGTGGGGGGAACACAGTAAAATAACTATTCATACCCATTATGAAACTGTACTGGACTCCCCCCAGGCCTGCTTTTTCAAAAGTTTTGTTGTTTGCCACTTGCCTGCAAGACATTTTTTTTTCCCACCGAAACAGTAGAATCAGCATTTGGGACAGTTTGTTTTTCCTTTCTTCAGGTAACAATCTAAACACTAGATTGCTAATATTAAGAATCTGCTGCATTTTTTATGAGATAAGGGATCTAGGTGCTGCCTTTTCGTCACCAAGCACTTTCAACATAAAACATTCTCTTCATTTTCTTTTTCACCGGGGAGTAACATACCTCACTGAGCCAAGCTCGTGAAGTGAAACTTCAAAGCTGAGCTCTAACCTTCAAGAATGAGTTGTCGGATTTCAGATGAACAGTTTCTTCTTCTTCTTTTTCTTCTTTTTTTTTTTTTTTTTTTTTTTTTTGAGATGGAGTCTCACTCTGTCACCCAGGCTGGAGAGCAGTGGCGCGATCTCAGCTCACTGCAACCTCCATCTCCAGGGTTCAAGCAATTCTCCTGCCTCAGCCTCCTGAGTAGCTGGGATTACAGGCGTACACCACTGCGCTGGACTAATTTTGTATTTTTAGTAGAGACGACGTGTCACCATGTTGGCCAGGCTGGCCTCAAACTCCCAACCTCAGGCCATCCGCCTGCCTCAGCCTCCCAAAGTGCTGGGATTACAGGCGTGAGCCACCGTGCCCAGCAAACAGTTTCTTCTTAAACTCAGTTTCTTGCATTGGATCATTGGCTCTCTCTCTATCTCAAGAACATAGGATTTTCAGTTACAAAGACTGTGGTAAAACAGAAAAACTATTTTGCATTCCCCTCTCCTTCACATTGAGCATTTCTTAAGATGGATTCCATTTCTATTTTTATCTGTTCTCCTAGTCAAAATTTTCAACTCGAGTTTTGGGTCCTCTGGCCTTGAATAAGCCAGAAATCAGGAACGAGGGAGAGGTTGTCCTCACAGTGAGCTGCTGGACCTCAGCAAACAACACAAACCTCTGCCTCATGTAAATAAAGGAACAGCATTTTCCCTGGGCATGGTGCAGATTTCTGGAGGACTAAGGCTCCATATTAAAGTTATACAATAAAGGCCAGGTGCTGTGGTCCACACCTGTAATCCCAGCACTTTGGGAGGCTGAGGTGGGTGGATCACAAGGTCAGGAGATCGAGACCATCCTGGCTAACACCGTGAAACCCCGTCTCCACTAAAAATACAAAAAATTAGCCGGGCGTGGTGGCGAGTGCCTGTAGTCCCAGCTACTCGGGAGGCTGGGGTAGGAGAATCGCTTGAACCCGGGAGGCAGAGGTTGCAGTGAGCCAAGATCGTGCCATTGCACTCCAGCCTGGGTGACAGAGAGAGACTCTATTTCAAAAAACTAAAAATAATAAAATAAAATAAAATAAAGTTATACAATAAATACAAGCCTATCATACATCCTTGCCCTTGTGGCATATACATTTTCCTTACTTCCTTTCAAGATTCAACCACTCTCCATTTCAACATGTCTATCCCTACCGCTCCCCCAGACGGCTTAATGCACGTGCCCCACTTTCCATTCTCATCCTCGCCCTTGCCTGGCCTTTGATAGGAGGGAGGAGTTTCCCTTCCCTTGTTTTAGGCTTCCTGCTGATTCCTTTACCATTTCCTGCTAAGGACAGAGTCTCACAGTCTAATAGCCGTGGTGCAAGAACACAAAGAGTGTACATTTTGGCCCTCCTCAGAAGCCCCTCACATCAGCCAGAAGTGTGTCCTCCAACTCAGGGGCGTCTCCAAGCACAGTAACCAACCCCAAAATGCACTGGCCCGGAAAGTTTTCCACTGAGAAATGTCGGTTTCTGTTTGAAATATCAGATGTCATCTTTGGTCCTTTTAAATCTAACTCCCAATTGAAAACCCTGGCACCAAAACAATAGTTCCTATCAATAGCTTCGATGAGTTTCCTGCAAATCCCCAGAGCTGATTAGGGCTGTGTTTTAAAATGGTAATTTTAGGGGCTTTTTCCATTTGGGAACTTCATTTTTTTTCTTTCTTTCTCTGGGTCATGGTGTTGTTGTTGTTTTTTACCTCTCTCTCTCTGTCGCCCAGGGTGTACCTCCACCTCCTGGGTTCAAGCAAACGCATTTGACTAATTTTTTTTCTTTCTTTCTTTTCTTTTCTTTTCTTTTCTTTTTTTTAGTACAGATGGGGTTTTTGTCATGTTGGCCAAGCTGCCCTCGAACTCCTGACCTCAAGTGATCCACCTGTCTCGGCCTCCCAAAGTGCTGGGATTACAGACGTAAGCCACAACGCCCAGCTCATGGTGACTTTTAAAGCACAGGTGCAGTATTCATAAGCATTTGCTCTTCTCCCACTACGCTGATAATCAAGTCTCTTTTTCTAAGAAGTCCTCCAGTCTCATTTAGCCCTCTTCAAGCTGTAGGGGAGCAGGACACATGCTGCAGCAGCTGGAAGTCCTGGGTCCAAGCCCATGCCCTTCACTTACCAGCTGAGCCACGCTGGGCCACTCACTTTTTATGCGTCCTTTGTTCCAGATGTAATGATGGTGTGGGAAGCCAATGACAGGATGTCCTCAAGAGCACATGGCACACGTGGTGAGGGAGGCATTGGCAACAGTCCTCAGGGCTGGGCATGATCTTACCAAAAGATTCCGCCATTAACCCAATAGGACCCACATCTTTCCCTAAAAGTCAATCTACGATATGCATGTTTTCCACAATTTTAAAAGACAAACCCTATACCAGACTTAATCCTTCTTTCACCAGGCAACCTGAGATGCACCTACTTTACTTCACATTCAGTTTATTTGCCCATAAAATGAGTATTCTTATTCCTTAACAGTCACCTGGAACATGACAGAAATCAGTTCCTGTTGTTTAATAAAGTGACGGGTCGCCGGCAGGGCAGGGTGGCTCACACCAGCACTTTGGGAGGCCAAGGTGGGCGGATCACTCACCTAAGGTCAGGAGTTTGAGACTAGCCTGGATAACATGGTGAAACCCTGTCTCTACTAAAAATACAAAAAAATTATCTGGACATGATGGCGGGCACCTCTAATACCAGCTACTCAGGAGGCTGAGGCAGGAGAATTGCTTGAACCTGGGAGGCAGAGGTTGCAGTGAGCAGAGATCATGCCATTGCACTCCAGCTTGGGTGACAGAGCAAGACTCCATCTCAAAAAAAGAAAAAAAAAATGATAAATTGAGGTTATGAGAAGAGATACAGAGGGCACCATGAAACTGCACAAAGGGGAAGCTCCAAGGCCTATTTCTTTCCTAAAGCTCCAGGTTAAAGATTCCGCCACCAGCAGCCTCTAGGACTTTTGCTTGGCTCTTCATTGAGAGGGTCTTGACTCTGAACTGGGCACTGCACCAAAAAAACAAAACAAACAAACAAACAAACAAAAACCAGTAAATAGATACTGCACCAAATCTGTATGTCTCTAGAGGCTTGAAGGACGGCCCTTGCATGAATTTTTGATTTCTAGAACTAGAAGGGATCTTAGAAATCATCTAGTTCCCTCACTCAGGTGAGAAAAATGCAAGTCCAGAAAGGTTAAATGATTTGCCTCTGCTCACACGGTTAGCAAGGGGCAAACCAGGGTTAGAACTCACGCTTCCTAATCCATGCCCTGGGATAGATGAGGAATGAAGGGGAAGCAAGATTAAGATTTGTAAATAATCAGAAGTCCTTTTTGTTATTTTCTTGTAGAGGTACATGCTAAGCATTTCTGTTTAGCATGATAAAATGACTAGGATTTGCTTCTAAATAATCTGGTTTGAGGGTAGATGGGGAGGGTATACTGGTGGTTTGACAACTGCTGAAGTTGAGCAATGAGTAAAAGAAGGTTCATTATACTATCCTCCCTACTTTAATATATTTTTGAGAATTTACATAATAAGCCAGCACAGTGGCCCACACTCGTAATCCCAGCACTTTGGGAGGCCAAGGTTTGCGGATCACTTGAGCTCAGGAGTTTGAAACCAGCCTGGGCAACATGGCAAGACCCCGACTCTGTGAAAAATACCAAAATCAGCTGGGCATGGTGGCTCATGCCTGTAGTCCCAGCCACTTGGGAGGCTGAGTTGGGAGGCTAGCTTGAGCCAGAGAGGTGGAGGTCGCAGTGAGCCAGATCATGCCACTGCACTGCATCCTGAGTGACAGAGCCAGACCTGTCTAAAAAAAAAATTTTTTTCCATAAAACTTCTAAAAAATTATCCTTTTAAAAAGAGATCTTCATTTTATTTAGAGTCCATATAAATGAGAAAACATCTGATTTAAAAAAGGTGTTACAGAAAAAAAAAGGCATGTTTTTTTAAAAAGTGGCTTATTTTTTCACGGATCTCAGACAACTTTGAGTTTCCTATTATTTTGGTTCTACTTCCATTCCCACCCTCAATCATTTAGTGGACAGGGAGACTGTGGCCAAGACAAAAAAATCACCTTTTGTTTTTCTTACGACAAAGTCTTGCTATGTTGCTCAGGCTGGACTCAAATGCCGAGGCTCAAGCAATTCTCCTGCCTCAGCCTCCCAGGTAGCTGGGACTACAGGCACATGCCACGCACCTGGTCAGGAAATTATCTTGATGCTTCTGATCCCAAGGGAGCAGCTCTCATTGTGTCCTTGGTCTCCTTACCGAGGAACAACGTAGGGATGCCCTGGAAGAGGGCATAGTTTCAAGGGCATCCCTGGCAGGGCCGTGTAGCTCCTTCTCCAGCTCCTCCCTTCTCATCACCATAGCCACACATCTATTAATATTAGTTTCCCATGGCCGCGTGCGGTGGCTCATGCCTGTAATCCCAGCACTTTGGGAAGCTGAAGCAGACAGATGACTTGCGGTCAGGAGTTTGAGACCAGACTGGCCAACATGGTGAAACCCCTTCTCTACCAAAAATATAAAAAATTAGACAGGTGTGGTGGCATGCACCTGTAATCCCAGCTACTTGGGAGGCTGAGGCAGGAGAACCCCTTGAACCCGCCAGGTGGAGGTTGCAGTGAGCCGAGACTGTGCCGCTGTATTCCAGCCTGGGCGACAGAGGGAGACTCTGTCTAAAAATACATATATATGTATTTTCCCAAGAGCATGATTGCTCCCCTTCTTAAAATTTTGTCTCCAGAGTCCTAGTCCAGAAACCTCCCTAGGTACCTAAAAGTTGAGGAACTTGGGGTTATTGGCTTGGTTTTGTTTTTTTGTCTGCTTGTTTTGTTTTGGAGACAGAGTCTCGCTCTGTCACCCAGGCTGGAGTGCAGTGGCTCACTGCAACCTCCACCTTCCAGGTTCAAGTGATCCTCCTGCCTCAGCCTCCTGAGTAGCTGGGATTATAGTCATGTGCCACCATGCCCAGCTAATTTTTCTATTTTTAGTAGAGACAGGGTTTCGCCATGTTGGCCAGGCTGGTCTTGAACTCCTGGCCTCAAGTGATCTCCCTGCCTCAGCCTCCCAAAGTGCTGGGATTACAGGCGTGAGCCACTGTGCCCATCCTAAAACTGTTCTTTAAAAAAGTTGTTTTTTTTTTTAGGCCGGGCGCGGTGGCTCACGCCTGTAATCCCAGCACTTTGGGAGGCCGAGGCAGGAGAATGACGTGAACCCGGGAGGCGGAGCTTGCAGTGAGCTGAGATCGCACCACTGCACTCCAGCCCCAGCCTGGGCGACAGAGCAAGACTCCGTCTCAACTTTGTTGTCAGGCTGGAATGCAGCAATACAGTCATGGCTCACTGCAGCCTTGACCTCCTGGGCTCAAGTAATCCTCCCTCCTCAGCCTCCTGAGTAGCTGAAACTACAGGCATGCACCACCACACCCAGCTAATTTTTAATTGTTTTGTAGAGACGGGGTCTCACTATGTTGCCCAGACTGGTCTTGAACTTGGGTCTTGGCCTCTCAAAGTGCTGGGATTACAGGTGTAGGCCACTTTGTCCAGCCAAAAAATCCTATTTTAAAAAAAGAAAGGCATTGAATAACTTCTCAAAATGCTACCCTGAGTCTAATAGGACACAGAATTTCAATTCCAAAACTATAGGACTTACAAAAAACTATAGGATATTACAAATAGTGGAAACACATCTCTCGGGAAATTTCAGAAAGGGCACAGGAGTGGATATGTGGGTTAGAGAGAGCAGGACCCTTTGAATATGAATCAAGAAAAGAGGTCTTTATTTGACTTCTTAAGTCTTACCTTTCTCCCAAGACACACTATCTATCGATGCTATTCTAAAATTATTTTTGTCTATCTTTAGTTAGCTATCTTTTCTAATTAAAAAATTAGGGCTGGTCGCGGTGGTTCACACCTGTAATCCCAGCACTTGGGGAGGCTGAGGCGGGCAGATCACGAGGTCAGGAGTTCAAAACCAGGCTGATCAACATGGTGAAACCCTGTCTCTACTAAAAATACAAAAAAAAAGCCGGGTGTGGTGGTGCGCACCTGCAGTCCCAGCTACTCAGGAGTCTGAAGCAGGAGAATCACTTGAACCCGGGAGACGGAGGTTGCAGTGAACCGAGATTGTGCCACTGCACTACAGCCTGGGCGACAGAATGAGACTCTCAAAAACAACAACGACAACAAAACAATTAATAGGCCAGGCACAGTGGCTGATGCCAAGGTGGGAGGACCACTTTAGTCAAGGAATTCAAGTCTGCAGTGAGCCACGATTGTGACACTGCACTCCAGCCTGGACATCACAGTGAGACCCTGTCTCAAAAATAATTAACTAATTAATTAATGCTTACTATGGAAAAGTCAGCAGGTGAAGAATTGCAAGGAGGGACTTAAAAGAAAGGACAAGTCCGGGCTCAGTGGCTCACGCCTGTGATCCTGACACTTTGGAAGGCAGAGGTGGGCAGATCACGAGATCAGGAGTTCATGACCAGTCTGGCCAACATGGTGAAACCCTATCTCTACTAAAAATACAAAAATTAGCTGGGTGTGGTGGCAGGCGCCTATAATTCCAGCTACTCAGGAGGCTGAGGCAGGAGAATCACTTAAACCCAGGAGGCGGAGGCTGCAGTGAGCTGAGATTGTGCCATTGCACTCCAGCCTGGGCAACAGAGCAAGACTCTGTCTCAAAAAAATTAAAAAATGAAAGGACAAATCCTTTGTCACCTACCACACAGAGATTATGACTATCATGTCTTCCATCATGATGACTTGAGTGTGCAACTCAAAGTAGCACACACCACTCGCTGGTACACTGGATCCCCCTCAGCTTCCTTCATTGCTCTTATTTTATACCCTATCCTGCAGCAGTACATAGCCCCACCAATGTCCCCAGAACTCACCTGGTTCATTCCTGCCAATCCTATAACCCATCCATCCATTCTACCACCATAAGATGCTGAGCTCCCTCCAAAGATAAGCAACCTATCCAAATTCCCAAATTCAGTGACAATGTTTCCTACCTCACCCCTACTTCCTTCTCCTCCAGACACACACCGTTATACTCCATACCTGCAATTATACTTAAGGTTATGGGTCACTAAGGAAGAAGGAAGTTCTTGCCCCTTAATCTGTAATCACAGAACATCAACCGGATCTTCAACGGCCTCTTCATTTCAGTTCCCAGAGGCTGACCACATTTACCAATTAAGTTACTACACTTTAGTTGGTTCTTATTTTTTGCCAGACTCTAGGCTTTTTTTTTTTTTTTTTTTTTTGCTTTGGTTAAAAATTTAAAATATAAACAGCATCACTTAGTGAAATGCGATTTAGCAGCTTCATTGAGATGGTAAAAATTTTTTCCCATGATGAATTTTAACTTTTTTTTTTTTTTTTTTGAGACGAGGTCTGGCTCTGTCACCCAGGTTGGAGTGCAGTGGCTGGATCACAGCTCACTGCAGCCTCAACCTCCTGGGCTCAAGCAATTCTCCTATCTCGCCCTACCAAGTAGCTGGGATTACAGGCACTCACCACCACATCCAGCTAATTTTTGTATTTTTTGTAGAGACAGGGTTTCGCTGTATTGTCCAGGCTGGTCTCAAACACCTGACCTCAAGTGATCTGCCGGCCTTGGCTTCCCAAAGTGCTGGGATTACAGGTGTAAGCCACCGCACCCAGCTAAATTTTAACTTTTAATTCTCACTAAAGAATGAAAGGATACAGCCACCCTCCATCCAAAAAAATAGTATCTACTACTGAAATAGGTTGCTCCTCTTCCAACTTCAGTGAAATGCTCTACACCTTGATGACCTTTAGTTGATTATATCCTCAACTGGACTAAACTTCCCGATTAGCTTGACGTGCTTCTGCACCTCCGCTCAAGGCACTGAATGAATGAATAGATGAATAAATATGTATTGAATACTCCATACTCCATCTTTTTTTTTTTTTTTTTTTTTTTTTTTTGCATGTTCTTGTCTTGGCTTCACACCAAGATTATACTAGAGATGTATTTTTTTTTTTTTTTTTTTTGAGATGGAGTCCCGCTTTATCGCCCAGACAGATGGAGTGCAGAGATGCGATCTCGGCTCACTGCAAGCTCCGCCTCCCAGGTTCACGCCATTCTCCTGCCTCAGCCTCACGAGTAGCTGGGCCTATAGGCGCCCGCCACCACACCTGGCTAATTTTTTGTATTTTTAGCAGAGACAGGATTTCACCGTGTTAGCCAGGATGGTCTCGATCTCCTGACCTCGTGATCTGACCCCCTCAGCGTCCCAAAGTGCTGGGATTACAGGCGTGAGCCACCACTCCCGGCCGCTGCTCTAGAACTTAATCGGTTCAGCTACCCATTGACCAAAAAATTAACAGTGGTGTTTTCTGGACAGTAGGATCACAAATGTTTCTTCTTCATCTTTTCCAGACTACTCTAAATTTTGTAGAAAAAAATTATGTATATTAATAATCAAGAAAAAGGCTCAATAAAAATATTTTGGTTGTTTACAAAAGTTTTACTTTAGGCCAGGTGTGATGGCTCATGCCTATTATCCCAGCACTTTGGGAGGCCAAGGTGGGTGGATCACCTGAGGTCAGGAGTTCAAGATCAGCCTGACCAACATGGTGAAACCTTGTCTCTACTGAAAATACAAAAAAAAAAAAAAAAAAAAAAAAAAAAAAAAAAAAGCCAGGCATGGTGGTGCAAGCCTGTAATCCCAGCTACTTGGGAGGCTGAGGCAGGAGAATCACTTGAACCTGGGAGGCGGAGGTTGCAGTGAGCCTAGATTGTGCCACTGCACTCCAGCCTGGGCAACAGAGGAAGACTCCTTCTCAAAAAACAAACAAAAGTTTAACTTTAAAAATCTGTTAAAGGAGGATATACTTTAGATAACCTCCTTTGGAGTACAATGAGTCTAAAGAAATTGGGTTGAAGATTAGCACTCGGGACTGCCTGAAAACTCAAGACAATATAGTTAGGAATATTACAAGTTGGATGAGAGTAATACAGTAATCATGAAGGTTGAATGGCAAGAACATTTGTGGGTTAAGTAGATAATCCAAGTGTCACCACAAACGATTATTTCCACACCAGGTGCAGTGGCTTATGTCTGTAACCCAGCAGTTTGGGAGGTCAAGGTGGGAAGATTGCTTGAGTCCAGGAGTTTGAGACCAGCCTGGACAACATGGTGAAACATACCACCAACTTTAAAAAAAATACATAAATTAGCCAGGCATGGTGGTGTGTTCCTGTAGTCCCAGCTACACAGGAGGCTGAGGTGGGAGGATCACCTGAGCCAGGGAAGTCTAGGCTGCAGTGAGCCATGATCACGCCACCTTACTCCAGCCTGGGTGACAGAGCAAGACCTTGTCTCAAAAAACAGTATTTCTGGCCGGGCATGGTGGCTCACACCTGTAATCCCAGCACTTTGGGAGGCCGAGGGCAGCGGATCGCTTGAGCTCAGGAATTCGAGACCAGCCTGGGCATCATGGCAAGACCCTGTCTTTAATCAGAAATAAATAATAAAAATAGGCCAGGCACAGTGGGTCACGCCTGTAATCCTAGCAGTTTGGGAGGCCAAGGCAGGCAGATCACCTGAGGTCGGGAGTTCAAGACCAGCCTGGCCAACATGGTGAAACCCCATCTCTATTAAAATATACAAAAAATTAGCCAGGTGCAGTGGCACACGCCTGTAATTCCAGCTACTCAGGAGGCTGAGGCGGGAGAATCGCTTGAACCTGGGAGGTGGAGGTTTCAGTGAGCCAAGATCGCACCACTGCACTGTAGCCTGGGCTATAGAGTGAGACTTCATCTCAAAAAAAGTAAAAATAAAAATAAATAAATAATGAAATAGAAATAAATTAGCCATGTGTGGTGGTGTGTGCTTACAATCCCAGCTACTTGGGAGGCTGAAGTGGGAGGATTACTTGAGCCCGAGAGGTCGAGGCTGCAGTGAGGTGTGATTGTGCCACTGCACTCCAGCCTAGGTGACAGAGACTGTCTCAGAAACAAACAAACAAAACAATACTGTTTCTTTTCAGATTTTAGAGCATCCATGGTGGTAATAATAGTCTTAGCTTACGGAGGTGAAAGTGAGGTCCCTTTCACTTTTCCCAAGAACTTGGAAATAGGGATATGAGACCTCCTTCAAGAAAACTCTGGAGGAAAGGTGTGCACATTCACTGGAACATGACTGAATGGAGGGAGGGAGAGGTGAAGAGAAGAGATTCGTCCTCAAAGTCAAGCCAGCCTTCCCCAAGGTACATCCTACCTCGAAGACCAGCTGTCTCCTTGAACAGGGTCAAAGGGCGCTTCCCTAGGGAGAAGGGGGTAGTCTCTCCTTCTGGATGGGTAGGAATGGATGGGCAGGACAAATTTGCAAATTTTCTCCTTCACAGGACTCCTAATGTAGTTTTCAGATACAGACTCATTCATTTAGAAAAATATGGACCTGGCCAGTCACAGTGGCGCAAGCCTGTAATCCAAGCAATTTGGGAGGCCAAGGCAGGTGGATTGCTTGAGGTCAGGAGTTCAAGACCAGCCTGACCAACCTGGTGAAACCCTGTCACTACTGAAAATACAAAAATTAGATGGGCATGGTGGCAGATGCCTGTAATCCCAGCTACTCAGGAGGCTGAGACAGGAGAATTGCTTGAACTGGGAAGGCAGAGGTTGCAGTGAGCCGAGATTGTGCCACTGCACTCCAGCCTGGGTATCAGAGTGAGACTCTGTCAAAAAAAAAAAAAAAAAAAAAAAAAAAAATATATATATATATATATATATATATATATATATATATATGGACCCAAGGTGCCCAGCATTTTGAAGTCTGCTCTTGCTCACATAGCTGCTGCCATGGTTGATAAGGTTCCCATTAGGATAAAGTGTTGTGTACCGAAAGGACTCTTTAAAGGCCGGGACCCTAAAGACTCCATTGAGGGCCATCCTACCAATGCTGGTTTTTAAGCAAGGCCACTCCTCAGAGTTTCCAGACAGAACCCAAAAACATGTTCTGCATCCCGTCCTAATCTCTACCTCAACTACGTTAGTCTCAGCTGATACTCAATGAAGATATTCTCCCCAATATTCGCATCTTATTTGTTATGTTAATAGACAAATAAAAATTGTATATATTTATTGTGTACAACATAATGTTCTGGAATATGTACACATTGTGGAATCCCTAAATTGAACTAATTAGCATGCATTACTTCACATACTTAGTGTTTTCTGTGGTGAGAACACTTAAAATCTACTCTCAGTGATTCTCAAGAATACAATACATTGGTCTGGGTGCATTGGCTCACACCTGTAATCCCAGCACTTTGGGAGGCCAAGGCGGGTGGATCACCTGAGGTCAGGAGTTCGAGACAAGCCTGGCCAACATGGTGAAACCCCGTCTCTACTAAAAATATAAAAATTAGCTGGGTGTGGTGGTGCATACCTGTAATCCCAGCTACTCAGGGGGCTGAGGCGGGAGAATCACTTGAACCCCGGAGACAGAGATTGCAGTGAGCTGAGATTGTGTCACTGCACTCCAGTCTGGGAGACAGAGTGAGACTCCATCTCAACAACAACAACAAAAAAGAATACAATACAGTGTTATTAAGTATAGTCAAGGCTGGGCATGGTGGTGCATGTCTGTAGTCTCAGCTACTGGGGAGGCTGAGGCTAGAGGATTGATTGAGCCCAGGAGTTTGAGACTGCAGTAAGCTGTGATCGTGCCATTGTACTCTAGCCACTGTCTGAAAAAAAACAAAATTAACTATAGCCATCATGTTGTACAATAGATCTTTTGAACTTATTCCTCTTAACTGAAATCTTGTCCAACATTTGCATCTTAATAGAGGATGATAATCATTGAAGGACTGGTGATCATCTTAGTATTTAATCCTCAAGCCAGGATGAAGTAAGGGGTGCGGTTAGTAGAGAGGGAGGAAAAGACCGTTGGGGGCAAGCAAGAGCTTGCTCAATATACCTCAGTTCAAAACCACACTCTTGGAATATGGGGCTTGCATTGGGATCCTCCTTGTTCTTTTTTTTTTGAGATGGAGTCTCAATCTGTCATCCAGGTTATAGTGCAGTGGCATGATCTTGGCTCGCTGCAGCCTCTGCTTCCTGGGCTCAAGCAATCCTCCCATCTCTCCGGAGTAACTGAGACCACAGGCGAGTGCCACAACGCCCAGCTGATTTTTTGTATTTTTGGTAGAGACAGGGTTTATCCATGTTACCCAGGCTGGTCTTGAACTCCTGACCTCAAGTGATTTGCCTCCCTCGGCCTCCCAAAGTGCTGGGATTATAGGTGTGAGCCATGGCACCTGGCCAGGGATCCTCCTTGTTCTGTGTGACTAGAAGACACCCCCCATCTCAGAGGCCCATCATCATAGTGTGATTAGGGGGTCTGTGCTCAGCCTGATTAGCCCACTCAAGCTCACTGCCAAGAGCCATCCTCTTGGTCCTTAGAACTGCACTGTCCTACATGGTAGCCCCATGTGGCTGTTAAAAACTTGACATGCAGCTGGTCCAAATTGAGATGCACTGTATTTGTGAAATATACATTGGATTTGACATAGTAAGGAAAAAAGAATGTAAAGTCTCATTAATAATTTTTTATATTGATTATACATTGAAAAAATAATATTTTGGATATACTGGATTAAGACATATTATTAAAATTAATTTCACATGTCTTCTTTTACTTTTTAAAATATAGTTACTAAAAATTTGAAATTATGTTTGTGGTTTGCATTATATTCTGTTAGTGCTGGCTTAGAAAATGGTAACTTTTTTGAAATTAAGGAAATTTTTTTTTTGAGATAGGATCTTGCTTTGTCACCCAGACTGAAATGCAGTGACGCCAGTCATAGCTCATGCAGCCTTGAACTCCTGGGCTCAAGTGATCCTCCATCCTCAGTCTCCAGCCTCAGTCCTGGCCTTAAGCAATCCTCCTACCTCAGCCTCCTGAATAGTCGGGACTACAGGCACACATCACTACACCCAGCTAATTTTTCTTTTTTTTGCAAAGACGAGGTCTCGCCATGTTGCCCAGGCTGGTCTTGAACTCCTGTGCTCAAGCGATCCTCCTGCCTCAGCCTCCCAAAGTGCCGGGATTACAGGTGTGAGCCACCATACCCAGCCAAAATTAAAGAAAACCTTGATTAGAAAGAAGAGAGATTCATGACCTGAAAGTGTATCTGCACCAAAAAGTATCCCATAAATAGAGAGTCCTCAATGAAAAACACTCAGACATCATTTGGAAGAACCCATGTAACCCAAAAATAAAGCACCACTGGGGGGTTTCACTAGGATATTCCAGGTACCACGCTGAGGACTTTCTTTATCAGTCCAGTTTCCCCAGCAAGCCCATCCCACCTCTGCCCTGGCATTTAAAAAACAAACACTCCTGTCTGTCGTGAGCAGGGAAAGCCCTTCCTAGAATCACGGGGCCCTAAGTCTCAGAGTTTGGGCAGAACCCCGTGTCTGCCAAGATGATGCTCTCAAATCCCTCCTTTTAGCAACTTAATAGATTATGAGAACATGACTTTGTATTTCTGGTCCCAACAGCCTAAAGGCTAGGACACTCTGACAGGTTTTATTCTTTGCTAAGTTGTCAAAGACCGTTTTTTTCACCATTTGCATAATACTTTCCAAACCTTCCCAACAGACAGACGGTTGGTTGCTTGCGAATGTTCTGAACCTCAGCTAAGGAACTACTGCCAGGGAGCAGCTGAGAGGGTCCCCCCATCCCCCACCCACCACCCCAGCACAAGCAGCTGAGAGGGTCCCCCCAACCCCCCACCCACCACCCCAGCACAGTTCCCACAAAGTGAAGATGGTTAAATGGTGGCGAAAGGAAAACTTGTGTCTTTTTTTTTTTTTTTTTTTTTCAGAGATAGGATCTCACTCTGTTGCCTAGGCTGGAATGCAGTGGAATGATCACAGCTCACTGCAGCCTCAACCTCCCAGGCCCAAGGCTGGTCTTGAACTCCTGAGCTCAAGTGATCCGCCCTCCTCCGCTTCCCAAAGTGCTGGGATTACAGGTGTCAGCACCCCGCCCGGCCTCACTTCATCTTTCTTTCCTGCTTTTCTTTTCCTCAGAAACCACAGAAATCAGATGGTTTTGCTTTTGATTTTTAAAAGTCTCAATCATAAGAATAATTAACTTCTTCACCCTGGCAAGATGCTACAATTGCCATCTTATTTATAACATTGCTATTATTACAAAGCACACTCGGGCCTGCAAGCACCCAGTTTTCAGCTGTTTCCTTTTCCAGACGAGGCCATTGAGACCCAAGGAGCATGTGGCTTACTCAAGGCCGTGTCCTAGTTATGAAAGAGCCTGGATCAGAGCTATTTCCACCACCACATTGGTCAGATTTCCGTTAGCCTAAGGGTTTGGGCAGAGGGTGGTCCCGAGGTTGGGTAAATGACCCCACCCTCAGAGCAGCCACAATGCAATTAGCATAGGCATGAAACCCTCCTTCTTCCCTTCCCTTGGCGCTTTCTCAGACTCCTTATCTCTTAGGTGGCCCCTTCCTGATTTTGTGTTGGATTTTGTTTCTTTTAGGCTCTGGCTATTCCCTCTGACTGAAATGCTCCACTCCCACATACTCACATGGTTAAACCCCTCAGCTTCGAGAAGCTGAATCTCACCTTCTCACCCTCTTAAGGAGGCCAACCCTGGCGTCCCACCTAATCCTGCAACCTCCCCCACACCCTGCAGCATGCCATAGCCCCCTTCCTTTCCTTCATTCATTTATTTATTTATTTATTTATTTATTTAGAGACAGGGTCTTACTCTGTCATCCAGTCTGGAGTGCAGTGGCGCAATCTCAGCTCACTGCAGCCTTGACCTCCCAGACTCAAGTGATTTTCTCACCTCAGCCTCCCAAGTAGCTGTGACTAGAGGCATGTGCCACCAAACCCAGCTAATTTTTTTTAATCTTTTGTAGAGATGGGGTCTCACTATGTTGCCCAGGCTGGTCTCGAACTCCTAGCCTCAATTGATCCTCCTGCCTCAGCCTCCCAAAGTGTTGGGATTACATAGGTGAGCAACCATGCCTGGTTTCCTTTCCTTTTTTTTTTTTTTCCCTGAGATGGAGTCTTGCTTTGCTGCCTAGGCCGAACTGCAGTGGCGCGATCTCAGCTCACTGCAATCTCCGCCTCCCGGGTTCAAGTGATTCTTCTGCCTCAGCCTCCCAAGTAGCTGGGACTACAGGTGCCTGCCACCACACCCGGCTAGATTTTGTATTTTTTAAAAGAGATGGGGTTTCGCCATGTTGGCCAGGCTAGTCTCGAACTCCTAACCTCAGGTGATCCACCCACCTCAGCCTCCCAAAGTGCTGGAATTACAGGTGTGAGCCAATGTGCCCAGCCCAGAGCTGTTCTTGATACTCACAAGCTCAGATTGTGAGAACCTCAAGGCCAGGATCAAGAATGGGGTCCCTGCCATACCCTCGCAGTGCCGGGCACTTAGGCCCTCAGGTTCAAAGTCAACTCCAACCTGTATTAAAATGTCAGGGGAGGAGAGATTAAGGCTAACGTTTTCCACCTGCCCCCCCCCCCACCCCACTTCTTTACACCTTCATTTCTTTTTTAAATGTTCTGGAGTATAAAAAATAACAAAGTAAGCTAAAATAAAATTCTGAGCAGAGATGGAGGACCCCAAGCCACATGGCTTGCTTTGGACCCTGTGTGCACCCTCAGCGCCACCCTCATGGCCCAATGCATACCCAGTGGAAGGAGAGAGGCTGGAAAACTCTGGACACTTTTGTCAGGGCTACGAACAGGAAACCCGCCTAGTGGAAAGGAGCCAGGTCCTCTGGCTTTGGAGAAGAATGGGCTCAGAGAGATGTGAGATACCGGGAAGGTATTTTCAAGCATGCGAGAGAACGTGCTGATCAGTACTTTTCCATCTCCACAGGTGATGGAGCAAGAAAAAATAGTTCTATTTTTTAGTACAAGAGAATTCAGTGAGATTCAGAAAGAATGCCTTATTTAGAAGGAGGTTAAACACCAGCAGAATATAACCAGGGGGAATTTGAAATCTCCAATTTTGCAGTAAAATATCTTTCGACTGAAAAAAAAAAAAAAAAACAAACAACATTCATAGAACAAAGACCATGCTCCTTTTCCCAATTCCTATGGATTCTTATTTATTTATTTATTTGTTTACTTATTTATTTAAATTTAGGACACGCCAAGACCTTTGAGTATCCAATAGATTCTAAACATTAGAGTTACGATGGCAACAAAATGGTGTGGTTGGGAGCTGGGGCTTAGAGTCACACTACTTGGGTTCAAACTTACCGCTTTCTAACTGGGATCTCAGGCAAGTTGTTTAACCTCCTTGTGCCTCAGATTTTCTGTCTTTTAAATGGGGATGATAGGCCAGGCACGATGGCTCATGCCTGTAATCTCAACACTTTGGGAGGCTGAGGTGGGGAGAATTGCTTGAGCTCAGGAGTTGGAGACCAGCCTGGGCAACATAGCTAGACCCCATCTCTATTTTTTAAAGAAATAGAGATCAAAATTACACCATCCTCATAGGAACACAGTGAGGATCAAATAAGCCCATCTGTGTGAAGACCTGGAACGTGGTAATTAAGAACAATGCCAGCCACACAGTCAGTGCCCAGCTCACCATCAGAGTGTGGTAAAGTTAGAAGTTCTGGAAGGCATACGTCATTTCCCAGAGGGGAAGGGCTGGAATAGGGACCAAAAGGGCAATCCTTAGTTTAGACAGAAGCTGCAGGAGACACACTAGATCTGGACCTGAAGGATAGGGAGTTTGCAGGTACAGTAGACAATTGGGAAGCTGGGAAGGAAAAACAACAGAATCAAAACCTTCCTGAGAAATCATAAACCCATTTGCCTTGGTCTTCTTTAAAGAGGCGAGGAAGGGCTTACTACATGCCAGGCAGGGTGGGTGTGAGAGCTTACCTGGTCCTCACACAGCTCTGCCAGGCTGGCCTTCTGGGTCCCACCAGGGAGAAGGGTTCAAGCCTGGCAGATAAAGGGAAGGAGCAGGCTGAGCACAGTGGCTCACGCCTGTTATCCCAGAACTTTGGGAGGCCGAGAACAGAGGATCGCTTGAGGTCAGGAGTTCAAGACCAGCCTGGGTAACATAGGGAGGGAGACCCTGTCTCTATTTTAAAAATAAAGTGGGGTAGGGAGTCAGAACAGGCCCCAGGTTTCTTTATGTTGACCAGGCCAGGTGGGATTATAATGATAATAATCACATGTAAATTGTGAGCAGGCACTGATGTAAGCACTTCTCATGTACAGTAATAACAGTTTAATCCTCTCCACAGTCCTCTGAAGATTGTACTGCTGAGGAAGCCGAGGATATAATTTGATCGGCGGAGGGTGAGTGCCAGTGGGAGAAATGCAGGGTTCCTGTCCAATCCAGGGCAGGCTTCCAGTGCTCAAGCTGGGGTGGACTCCAGGAGGGCTGACCCCATAGCAGAGAGAGTCCAGATCCCATCAAACCTGTTGTGAAACACAAATTTGTTCAAGTTCAAGCTTGTGAAACACAAATTTGATGGTGTCTTGACCCTCCAAACCCTCCAAAGACACAGACATCTAAGCACGCACAATTTCTTCCTCACAGAAATGTCCATTTAAGGCCTCTTAATCCTGGCCTCAAATCTCATTGGGAAGGGCTTCTTGGATAGAGTCCTTCAACGGCATCTCTTATTCTGCAATGTGCATGTAAAGCAGAGATAGGGAAAGCCCCACAGTGGGTGTGTGAGACAAGACCCCATAGAGGTCCAAGTCCTGAGATAAGCGGGCCCTCAAGACACCTGGCCGCTTGCCTCAGTCCCCTAGAGAGGATAATCATTGCCTCAGGTTAGCCACACAGGACGAGGTCAGGGTCACCCCTGACTGCCCTTCCCAGGCAGGGGAGACAGGAATCAAGGCCACTCACTGCCTGGGCCCAATGTCCCCTGGATGTCCCAACCCTTTTGCTACCCTGGGCCATCTACGACCAGTTCTGGTGCGAGGATGCCAGCATGTAACCTCCAGTAGGCCAGGGCTGTCGGATCTCCAGGGTAACTGTATGCGCCTGGCACACAGCAGGCTCTCGGCACATTTTTGTGGCTCATACACAGATGGCTCCAACACTGCATGCAGCAGGGCGGCGAAGAGCAGGCTGACATCTGACGTCTGCCAGCTGAATGCCTCGGAGAGCCTGTTTAACCTCCCTGTACTCCAGTTTCCACATCTGTTAAAAGGGGGTTCCACAAGCATGTAATGAGGATCAAGTGAGTTGAAACAGGAATCCTTTGTAGTGCCTTGGCCCGCAGCACTCAATGGTACTAGCTGTTAATCAGCATAACTATGTTTAGCCGCATGACACTGGGCAAGTGGCTTATCTCTGAGCCTCCATTTTTGTTCCTATAAAGTAGGGATATTTCTACCTCACATGGTTGTTGGGAAAATTGAAAGAGAATATCACGTGGGTCGTGCGTGGTGGCTCATCCCAGCACTTTGAAAGGCCGAGGTGGGTGGATCACCTGAGGTCAAGAGTTCGAGGCCAGCCTGGTCAACGTGGCGAAATCCCATCTCTACTAAAAATACAAAAATTAGCTGGGCATGGTGGCACACGCCTGTAGTCTCAGCTACGTGGGAGGCTGAGACTGGAGAATCGCTTGAACCTGGGTAGCGGAGGTTGCAGTGAGCCAAGATTGTGCCACTGCACTGCAACCTGGGTGACAATGAGACTCTGTCTCAAAAAAAAAAAAGGAAGGAAAAAGAAAGAGAATATCACATGTAGAGGGCTTCGTGCACTGCTTGGGAAACAATGGGTAAGAAGCCAACGGTTGTCTGTATTGCATTCCATTCTCTCAGGGTCTTGCAAGTTGAGCAACCAACTAGCGGTGTGTATGAATTAATATCAGTAGTCCAGGCAGACTCACTAGGAAAGACAGAATTTGGTCTGAGCCTCCCTGGCTAGGGACACATCATGAATAGCTCCCAGACACAATTCCTTCCAACCTGACTTGGTGGTTCATTTTCCCCAGAGTGGAGTCACCTTGCAGCCCTTTTTCCCTTAAAGAAATGGCTCAGAAAGGCCCCCTTTCCAGATCTGTACCTGAGCAGGGATCTTCAAAACCCTGCTCTCAAAGACTGACAGGGATTTCAGACACAGAAGTGGTTGGTGAGGGAATATTTGGAGCAAGACCTTTACCAGTTAGCAAATATCAAACCATGCCAAAAACATCCCACTTGCTCCTCCCCGCCAAGCCAAGTCCACCCATGTCCTGACAAAGGTGCTGGTGAGGCTGGCCTAGTTGTGGACCCAGGCACCAAGACCCCAGGAAGGGAGAGCTGGCAGCAAACACCTTGCTGCTCAGCTCCACAGATGCCTGCATTGGAAGCAAGAGGGAGGCCATCCTGTGGTGACCGATTCTGGGTCCTGAGCCACAAGGAGACATGAGTTAGGCAGCCGCTCCTCCCTGAGAGCAAGGCTTCATCACCTTCCTTGGACTCTGGACTCAGAATGAGGTCCCACATCTAACAAGGGGTATTTCCTCCTCTTTTGTGATTTTATTTACATGCGGAAAAGCTTAGGAGTTCAAATAAACAGATAAGTAATTTGATAATACATTTACTAAATCACATTAATTGAAGAGAACCAACTTATATGCAATCAAGATGAGAGTTGACAAGACTTATTTTCCTTTGGATGGTGGTTTTCAGGTCAGATACAATTTCTTTTCCCAAGTCTTCTCTTCCAATCAAAATGCCTCTGGAGGCCTGGCAAGGTGGCTCATGCCTATAATCCCAGTACTTTAGGAGACCAAGCTGGGAAGATTGCTTAAGCCCAGGAGTTCAAGATCAGCCTGGGCAACATGGAGAGACCCCGTCACTACAAAAATCTTTAAAAATTAGCTGGGTATGGTGGTGCACACCTGTAGTCCCAGCTTCTTGGGAGGATGAGGTGGAAGGATCGCTTGAGCCCAGGAGGTTGAGACTGCAGTGAGTCATGTTCACACCACTGCACTCCAGCCTGAGCAACGAGAGAAAACTTGTCCCCTAAGCACCTCTCAAGTACAGTAATAATCGTTTGTTGTGTCCCCTCACCGAAAAGAATGCCCCTGGGTACCTCCAAAAAGATGTCACCCTTTGGCATAATCTGCACACTGAACCACTAATTCAATGAGTATTTACTGAGCACCTATTATGTGCTAGGTGTGGTCCTACTAGGTGTGAGGCCATGGGGAGATGCATGAAAAAAGTGGACCCATTCCTCAAGTAGTTTCATCTAGCCAGGACACCAAAGGACTTCTGCCATGCAAGCCCTGGCTGTGTCCATCATGAAGTATAGCCACAAAGGTTTGGTTTTTATATTGCAATAATGGTGTAACATTTAGAATTTAAGAAAAACCTTTAACGGTCGCTGCCCGTAATCTCACTAACACAATCATTTCCATTTGCCTTTGCCTTCCAGGTTTTCTTCTTTTCTTTTTTTTTTTTTTTTTTTTTTTTTTTTTTTTGAGACAGAGTTTTGATCTTGTCACTCAGTCTGGAGTGCAATGGCGCGCAGTCTCAGCTTACTGCAACCTCTGCCTCCCGGGAGGTTCAAGTGATTCTCCTGCCTCAGCCTCCTGAGTAGCTGGGATTACAGGCACGTGCCACCATGCCCGGCTAATTTTTATACTTTTTTAATAAAGACAGGGTTTCACCGTGTTGGCCAGGCTGGTCTCGAACTCCTGACCTCAGGTGATTTGTCTGCCTCGGCCTCCCAAAGTGCTGGCATTACAGGCATGAGCCACTGAGCCCGGCCAGTTTTGTTTGTTTGTTTTGGATTTTTAGAGATAGGGTCTCACTCTGTCACCCAGGCTGGAGTGCAGTGGCTCAATCATAGCTCACTGTAACCTCCAACTCCTGAGCTCAAGCAATCCTCCTGTCTCAGCCTCCCAAAGCACTAAGATTACAGGTGTGAGCCACCATGCCTGGCCCAGTTTTTAACTACATCATGTTTTAGAGTAGTAGCAATCACAACATGCTTACCAGATTGTATTTTTCTACCATTTATATTTTTGTATCTTCCTGCCTAATCTTCCTTATTAGCTTTTTTGGAAGAGCTACATGCTTTTCTCTCCTGGCTCCTGCCATTCTGGTTCATGTGCTAAAATGACAAAACCATTCCCCATGACAGGACTGGCGTGATTTGGGTTGTTTGTTTGGTGGGTTGGTTGGTGTTGTGGAAAACTGCAGTGTTTGTGGAACAAGCCATGTATGTGGAGAACACAGTCTGTCCAGGTCCTGTGCTGAGGTCACTGGAGGCCCAGCGAGTCACCAGGCAGCCATGGTCCTCACAGAGCTTAAGGTCCTTGGGCCTTAAAGACACAAGAAACCAGCAAACCATTTTTGTTAAATGTGAAGACACCTTGGAAGACATACAAAATGAGTCACACTAAAAGCCCCAGCAAAACAGACTCCAGTCTGAGGGAGCCAGAAGAGTCAGACATTTTCAAAGTGACTGAAGAAAAGTGTTTGAGGAAGTCCCCACTCCCAAGCTTTAGTCACCAGCAGAGCTGAAACTACCTCCACACAGGGTTGTATTTCCAAACGGTAGCTCTTCTGATCTCATTGGTGATGGAGGGAAAACCCCCTTTATTTCAGAATGAACCCTCTAACCCTACTGACCAGCCAGGAAATCCCGAACCCGCCTCCTGCCCGCTGGGATTGCAAGTTCAGCCTGTGTCCCTGGGGGAATTACTGCGTGGGTTGGCTTCCCTCTGAAACTTTCTCCTCTCCACTTGCCACTCCACACAGAGGATGAGAAAGAAACCCCAGAAAGAGACCCACAGCTTGGGTTTCCACATTTAGCAACTTTTCCACTGTTTCCCTAGAAACAAAAACAAGAGCACACATTCATTTACTCCACCCCACCAAGACTGTCTCCTACATAAATGCAGCTCTCTGGTCCCTTACCCCAACCCCAGCTGCCAGAAGCTGAAGTGGAAGAAAAACCAAAGGTGCCCAGCTGGAAACCCGGGCAGCCTAGAGCAAGCTTATGCATGTCTGTGGGTTCTCCCTCTTCCTCTATACTCCAAGGCCCCAGAGGGCCAGCTGTACACCCATGGTGTGGGGAGGGAGGGATGGTTCTTGGTCAGGTTCGCTCTTCTGGAAGCTTCCACACAGCAGAGCCCTGTATTATTTTCCCCTCCAAAGTGTACGTCCAGTGCTTTGCAAACCTTGGTTGATTTGGCAGAGCATTTATCACATAGAATCACACTGTACTCCGAAGAGCAGTTTGCTTGACCCTATAAAGCCTTGAGCTCTGAGGGCAGGATACAGAACCCACAATGACAGCTTGGAGAGTACCCTGGAATGAGCGAATAGGGATCCCTCTCCAGAAGCTTCATTTCTTCCCAGTCTTTTGTTAGATAGGAGGTCTGGGACAAGTCACCTCCAGATCGTCAGGTCTTGGTGGTGGTGGCACAGCAAGACCCTCCCCACCAGTAGAGGACCTCACACTGAGTACACGGGGCTCCTTAGTCTGAATTTTCCTGGCTTTAAAACATTTCGGAAGAAGAAATCTACCACTAGAGTCAGCTCAAGGAAAGGGGAGCCTCAATGGTACTCAGTAGGTGCTCAATAAATGCATGTATTCTTGTTCAACAAACCCTTAGGGATGGGGAGGGCATCACAGAGAACCCCAGATCATAGCCAGAAAGAGCTTTACAGAGCAGGAGCCCAGAAACTCTAGCTCTTGGTTCTCAAACGTGGCTGAATATTGGGGAATTGAGGCTTTAAGAAATCCTGATGTTAGAGGAATGAGTGTTGGGATTGATGTGTGACAAAGCATAGTCACATGTCCAAGATAGAATCTAGGTGGTAGATACACAGCTGCTCACTGTAGGATTCTTTCCATTTTGCTGTGTGTTTAAACATTTTATTTTATTTTTGTTTATTTATTTATTTCTGAGACAGGATCTCACTCTGTCACCTAGGATGGAGTGCAGTGGCGCAATGTCGGCTCACTGCAACCTCTACCTCCCAGGTTCAAGCGATTCTCCTGCCTCAGCCTCCCGAGTAGCTGGGATTACAGGCACGTTCCACCACACCTGGCTAATTTTTGTATTTTTAGTACAGATGGGGTTTCAACTTGTTGCCCAGGCTGGTCTCGAAATCCCGACCTCAGATGAACTGCCTGTCTCAGCCTCCCAAAGTGCTGGGATTACAGGCGTGAGCCACCGTGCCGGGCTGAACATTTTCATAATGCAATGTTGAGGGGGAAGTCCTGAGGCCTGGACTTGCCTCAAAGATTCTGATTTAATTGGTGCAGCCTGTGTGTTTGCAAGAGCTCCCAGGTGAGTCTACTGTCCAGGTGAGTCTATTGTCTAGCTGAGGCTGATCTCCATGGCTGTAGTTTGGGCTCACTGTGGGCCAGAACAGCATCATAAGTGTCACCTGGGAACTTGTTAGAAATGCAGATGTCCAGGCTCCACCCTGCCCAAGTGTGCAGAGCCAGAAACTCTGGAGGTGGAACCAATGATTGGTGTTTTAACAAATGCCTTCCTGTGATTCTGGTGCATGTTAGCTGAAGTTAGTGGTTCACAAACTTGGGTGCATGCTGGAATCGCTTGAGGAATTTTGGGGACAAAATAGACAATATTCCAGGATAAGCCTCATACCCCTTGAATTAGGTCTGCAAGGTAGGCGGCTGCAACATAAAGGAAAAGTGCCCTGTCTAATCCAGAGCAGTCAGGGGCATCCACTGCCCTCAGGGCAATCCAGTGCAACAGAGGACATTCTTTCCTCCCAGGCTTGTCACCAAGGACATAGGAGAAGGAGTGAATAGGGTGATGAGGATCAAAATGGATCAGGGTCTCTTCCTACAGATAAGGAAACTGAGGATCCCAAAATGGAGTAACTTGCCCCAGCTCATACACCAAGCCGGGGGGCAGCCAGGATTGAACCCAGTTCTGTCTCCAACTAAGTGGTTTTTAGTATATTCATAACCATCATCACTATCTAATTCCAGAACATTCTCATCACTCCAAAAAGATACTCTTCATTCCCCATTCCTCCCTCCACCCAGCTCCTGTCCACCACGAATCTACTTTTTGCCTCCATGGACATGTCTGTTCTGAGCATTTCATGTAAATGGAACCATACATTTTGTGGCCTTTTGTGACCAGCTTCTTTACTTAGCATAATGTTTTTGAGGTTTACTCATATTGTTGCATGTCTCAGCACTTCGCTCTTTTTGTGACCAAATATGTGCTTGCATGGATCTCCTTGGTTTTGTTTATGCACTCACCTGTGGATGGGCATTTGAGTTGTTTCCACTTTTTGGCTATCACGGATAATGCTGCTATGAACATCCTTGCATAAGTTTTTGTGTGGACATAACTGTATTCTCAATTCTCCTGGGTAAACACCCAGGAGTGGAATTGCTGAGTCCTATGGTGACTCTATTTTTTAACTTTTTAGGAACTTCCAGACCATTTTCTGGAGCTTCACTTCTGTTATCAACCCCATTTTGCTGATGACAAGGGAGGGAGAGAAGTGAGTTTGCTCATATTCGTCAGCTCTTGAATGGCGGACTCAGAGGGTGGGGACTGCTCGTGGAAAGGAATCCTCTGTTTCCCTCAATGCATTTCATCCATTCTTCGAAACTTTTGAGACCCTTCTATGTGCCAGTCACTAGTCTAGGTGCTGAAATTACCTCTGAGAGCCAGACAGACATAGTTCCTGCCCTCTTGGAGACATAGGTTAGAGGAGAAAACAGACAGTAGGCAAATAATTACAAATTTGACAAGCATAATGGCAAAATCTATTAGAGTATTTGCCAACTTATCCTCTACTTTGTACAGTGATCAAGAACTTGGGCTTGGAGTCAGCCCGCCTATGTTCGAGTACTGGCCACTTACTAGCTGGGGGGCCTGGACAATTTCCCTAACCTCCCTATGTCTCCACTATTCACGTGGAAATGGACAGAGTAATAGTACCTACTTTAAGGTTTACAGGGTGGATTCAAAGCATCAAAACCTAGAAAGCACTTCAAACCTGGCTTTGGCAAGTCCAAAATCAATACAAGCTATCGAGGTTGCTGTTATACTGTCTACACCTTATCCATCACTCTGGGGTATGAATCCTGGTCCCTCCAGCTTTCACTGTTTCCCACCTCCTCCCCATGCCTGGCTACCCATATACAAACTCTGACAGTAAGCAGAATTCCCACAGTGCTCTGTTCCAACATCCTGCATTGAGCTAATCTGGTTTGATGCTTCAGTTAGAATCCCTAATTCTAATTGAATGCCAGGCTCCTCATTGCACAGAGTGCCAGGCTCCTCATTGCACAGAGAAGAAAATGCTTTTTAAATATTCATCTTTTCTCCTTCACTAGACTGTGAGCGCCCTGAAGCTAGGCCTTCTTTCTCCTGTAGTGCTAAAAGTTTTTGGCAAGAAAAACAAGTGGAGGTAAAGTCGTAAAGTAGGGTGGTAGGGTTGAGAAAGGACAGGCTCTGGAGCCAGACAGCCCTGGGGCTATCACACCTGCTCTGCCACCTGTAACCACCTGACCAGGACAGCTTCCTTGGGGAGCCTCCTTCAATCATCTGTGAAATGCAGGAGGAGCAGCCGCCCGTCAGACCTGGTGGGGATCAGCAGTGACCTGCAGAAGTTGCTGGTGTGGTGGGCACCGGATACCTGGTGTTTCTGCTGCCTCGGTGCTGCTGAGGACCCAGAGCCCTGCCTGAGCAGCACGCTCACAGAGGCAGCGAAGTACAGGAAGTACACAAGGTCAAAAGGAAAACACGCTCTCCAGAGACGTCCTCTGATCACTATCGTGTACGTTGGGTCGAATGGAACAGAATTTGCTGCTAGAGTGTTTTTCCTCTCCTAACCCCATAGACGCTTCTATTTTGCTATTTTTACTAAACTCGAACAGGAACAGAAAGTATTCATGCAACTGTATCCAGTGAATGATTAAGAAATGCGTAAGAGCGGAGATTGTGTAATTCCCAGGCTGCTGTGCCTTGTCATCAGCCGCAAGTCCGAGAAATACTGCAACCGTCAAGTTGACCTCTGTTCCTAAGAAATTTCCTGGGTTGGCTTTAACACATTCTTTGAGAGTTATGACATAGGATATTAAAAAAATTCCTCCCACTTAGTGAGCCATACAAAGCCCACCACACATCAGTAGTGTCCATCCCATGTTTAATCTTCAGAAGGTGTGTGAGGAATAACATGTTTGCTTTTGAAAGATGCCTTGTAGACTGTGCGCAGTGGCTCATGCCTGTAATCCCAGCACTTTGGGAGGCTGAGGAGAGCGGATCACCTGAGGTCAGGAGTTTGAAACCAGCCTGGTCAACATGGTGAAACGCCATCTCTATTAAAAATACAAAACTTAGCCAGGCGTTGTGGCGGGCACCTGTAATCCCAGCTACTAAGGAGGCTGAGGTAGAAGAATTGCTTGAACCTGGGAGGCAGAGGCTGCAGTGAGCTGAGATCATGCCACTGCACTCCAGCCTGGGCAACAGAGCAAGACTCCATCTCAAAAAAAAAAAAAAAGATGCCTTGTCTTCAAGCAAACTATTATTAAGGATGAGTTGCTTATTTGTATTAAAAAGAGGGCTGGAGGATAGCTTGAGCCCAGGAGTTCAAAACCTGCCTGGGCAATATAGTGAGACCCCATTCTCAAAAAAAAAAAAAAAAGAAAGAAAAGGTGGGGATCACTGAATTTTCTATTGCATTAACCAAGAATCTTAAAAGTCATATTTTTAAAGATTATTGAAGATTTAAAATGTGTCTTGTTTTTTTTTTTTTCATTTTGTTTTATTTTATTTGAGACAGGGTCTCATGATGTTGCCCAGGCTGGTTTTACTCCTGGGCTCAAACTGTCTTCCTGCCTCATCCTCCCAATTAGCTGGGATTTCAAGTGCATGCCAACCCACACAGCCTTTTCTTTTTCATTTTCCTTTCTTTTTTTTTTTTGAGGCAGGATCTTGCTGTGTTGCCCAGGCTGGAGTGCAGTGGTGCAATCGCACTTCATTGCAGCCTGGACCTCCTGAGCTCAAGTGAGCCTCCCACCTCAGCCTCTTAAGAAGCTGGGACTGCAGACACATGCCAGCAATACACCTGGCTAATATTTTAATTTAATTTTTTCTAGAGACAGGGTCTCACAATGTTGCCCAGACTGGTCTCGAACTCCTGGATCAAGCAGTTTGCCCACCTCAGCCTCCCAAAATGTTGCAATTACAGGCTTGAGCCTTTTTATTATTTATTTATTTATTTATTTATTTATTTATTTATTTATTTTGAGATGGAGTCTTGCTCTTTGTTGCCCAGGGTGGAGTACAATGGCGCGACCTTGGCTAACTGCAACCTCCACCTCTCGGGTTCAAGCGATTCTCCTGCCTCAGCCTCCTCAGCAGCTGGGACTACAGGTGCGTGCCACCACACCCGGCTAATTTTTTGTATTTTTTTGTAGAGACGGGGTTTCACCGTGTTAGCCAAGATGGTCTCAATCTCCTGACCTCGTGATCTGCCCGCCTCGGACTCCCAAAATGCTGGGATTACAGGCGTGAGCCACCGTGCCCGGCCTGAGCCTTTTTATTTTTAAAAGTGGCTTTCCATTTTCTTTCTGTGGCAATTTCAAGAGGCATGGTGTGTTATTATCCCTGAGCTTTCTTGGGTATTAAAAAAAGGCCATGGGACTGGGCGCGGTGGCTCACGCCTGTAATCCCAGCACTTTGGGAGGCTGAGGTGGGCGGACCACCTGAGGTCAGGAGTTCAAGACCAGTTTGACCAACATGGTGAAACCCTATCTCTACTAAAATACAAAAAAATTAGCCGCGCGTAGTGACAGGTGCCTGTAGTCTCAGCTACTTGGGAGGCTGAGGCGGGAGAATTGCTTGAAACCAGGAGGCAGAGGTTGCAGTGAGCCAAGATTGCGCCATTGCACTTCAGCCTGGGCAACAAGAGACTCTGTCTCACATAAAAAAAAAAAAAAAAAGAGGCCATGGGGCTGGGCGCAGTGGCTCACACCTGTAATGCCAACACTTTGGAAGGCCAGGGTGGGAGGATCACTTGAGCCTAGGAGTTCCAGGCTGCAGTGAGCTATGGTCATGCCATTGTACTCCAACATGGGTGACAGAGTGAGACCTTGTCTCAAACATAATAATAATAATAATAGTAATAATAAAATGAAAATAGGTGGTGGCAGCTCCCACTTCATCTTTATTTTTTATTTCAGAGGCACTTATAAACCAGGAGAATTATGTGGAAAAGGAGTCCCCCGATATAACCCAAGACTCAGGAAATTCTTGCTCCTCTTGGCAGGGATGCAGCTGAAATTTACCTTTAGTTAGCATACTCCTCAGATAGGGCAAATGAATTGTGCAAAGATCAAAATGGGGCTTTTTTTTTTTTTTTTTTTGAGATGTCTCGCTCTGTCACCCAGGCTGGAGTGCAGTGGCACGATCTCAGCTCACTGTAATCTCTGCCTCCCAGCTTCAAGTGATTCTCCTGCCTCAGCCTCCTGAGTAGCTGGGATTACAGGTTCTACCACCGTGCCCAGCTAATTTTTGTATGTTTTAGTAGAGATGGCGTTTCGCCATGTTGGCCAGGCTGGTCTTGAACTCCTGACCTCAGGTGATCCGCCTGCCTCAGCCTCCCAAAGTGCTGGGATTACAGGTGTGAGCCAGTGCGCCCGGCCAAGGTGGAGTTTCTTTATTTTATTTATTATTTTTTTTTTATTTTTTTGAGACAGGGTCTCATTCTGTTCCCCAGGCTGGAGTGCAGGGGCATGATCACAGCCCCAGGACTCAAGTGATCCTCCCACCTCAGCCTCCCAAATAGCTGAGACTACGGGTATGCACCACCACACCCAGCTAATTTCTTTTTTTTTTTTTTAGAGATGGGTTTTTGACATGTTGCCCAGGCTGGTCTCAAACTCCTGGGCTCAAGCGATCCTCCTGCCTCAGCCTCCCAAAGTGTTAGGATTACAGGTATGAGCCACCATGCCTGGCTGGGGAGTATCTCTTAATGACTTAAGAAAACTTAAAAGAACAAACTCTTCACTATTTGGTCCGTGTGTTTGCTCCAAATTAGTAAAATTTGACCATGAAATAAAAATTGGAGGCAGGTACGAGGAGTTGGCATCCCTTTGGTGGTTGCTAAAGTTGGGCAAGAAGGAAAACAGAAAACAGAGAAGAATGATAGTGAAGTCCACAGTGAAGTGATATTAACAGAAACCAGTGTAGCCGCAACAGGGAAGGCTGGGGACAGAACTCTCAAAGCCATATACTCGCAAGGAAACCACTAACTCCTGCCCATACCAGGCACCCCAGGACTGTGCCCTAGACCCTTAATAATGACAAATTTTTTCAAATCAGTAACCGAGACCCAACAACAAAAGGGTAACCACATATATGAAATGAATACCAACTCAGAAAATCCAGGGCTCCTGGGCATAACTCTCTTGAACCTCAACTTGGGATGCCTGCAGCCTGAATCACTTCTGAGCCCTTTGGGGATGGGGATCAGCCCTGAGTCCAGGCTGGGATTCAGCTCACTAGAAGCACATTCCCCACCCTTTCCTCCTTATCTGTAGGTGGAGGCAGCTGGGAGACTGTGGGTGATCCTCCACTTATTTCCAGTAGGTTCCTTTTGTCACCAGCAGTCTCTCCTCTAAAGCCAAGAGGAGTCAGGGAGAAGAGTCTGTCCTGGGCTGCTCGACTCGTGCTGAGAAGACACCACTTCCAGGAAGCCTGGGCACAAACGACTCTGACCACTTTGCTTTCAGATTTCAGCGAGGACAGACACTGTGGGGTCACTGTGGTTGGTTCTTGTTAAAGTTCTGAATGCTTCCATTGCTTGAAAAGGGAGGTCTTAGAGAACAGGCCAGAAGACAAGTCTTTCTACCTTCCCCAGGAGGAGGAAGTCACAGGTTAGGCCTCAGGGAGAAGAGCTGCTGATCTTTTGCACTGGAATCAAGAAGTCAGGGAGAGGGTGAGAACTGGGGTGGACCCAAGGCCTCTGCCGCCTTTTGTACCTGCGCTGTCCCGTGTTTATTTATCTACCAGTTAGTTTCCCCCAGCATGGTGTGGAACTGGAAGTGCATGTGGGCTCCCGCCGGCCCCAGCCCACTTCCTCCTCTCCAGGGAGACAATAAGGGGAAGGGAAAGCGTGGCACACTAAACCTGCCAGGGACCTGAGGTCCTGGCTCTGCTGCCCCCCTGCTGCCGAGCCGTCGATCGTGGGAAATTCATCCACCTCTCTAACTTTGCCTCTTCCTCCTCCAAACATGGGGAAGAGAACCTCTACAATGGGGTACAGAATTTGGATGATACATGTGTATTTTCCTGAGGAGATGGTTCTGCAGCTTTCGCCAGAGGGCTGAAAGAGTTCCCGGACTCCAAGGGAAAAAAGATCCAGTCTAAGGGCCCTGTTCCGTGGCTCCGAGCAGCACGGCAGACACTTCCTGGGTCTGTCGTTTACTTCAGGCACCTCTCACTCGCACCTCAGACATCTCCTCAGACACCCAGGTCTCCAGCCATCCACAACTATGATTCTTTTTGCTTTAATCAACCTCTGTTTTAGGCTGCTGGGCCAGGAGGTCAAGTTCCCCTGTGGTGACACCACCACCTCTCGCCAACTGGTCACTGTTGTGCACGCCCCACACAGCATGTGTGCCCACCCACAGGGGCAGGTGGATCCAAAGGGTACTGCTGTGAGTTGGGCAGCTAAGACTCTATCTAGCCTTTAAGACTCAGCTCAGCCACGCACCAGACAACCCAGGGTGGGTGTGAGAGAGTAGAAACATCATCTGAAGTTAACCCATTTGTTTCTGGTTTGCTCTACACACCTGTACCAGGCCCCAGCTGCAAACCTCTTCCTACTCTGAGTTCTTGGCTCAGATCCCCTGGCCAGACTGTGAGCTCCCTGAGGGTGGGGGACTGTGCCTGGGGCAGGCTTGGATCACAGGGGCCAAGCGTCTGCCGAGCTGCAGAAGGGCTCTAAAGGAGCGCCAGCAGGCATCAGTGGGTCTCCCAGGTCCCTCCTCTGGCGGGAACACTAGCAATCAGGGCAGGAAGGAATTGTGAGGGGCAGCAAGGAGCTGGCGGTCAGCATCTACCTGTCGAGGCTCAAGGAACAACTGCTCTCCTCCAGTCCAAGCTCTTCTCATTCCCTCACTGTTTGGGTTGCCCCCTCCCCCTTGGGTTAACAAGGCTGGAAAAAAGCCCTATTGCCCTCCCCCAGGGCTGCCATGGGAGGCCAAGGGGCACTTCTGCCAAAAAATGAGAAACGAGTAAGTGAGGGGGTGCTCTCACCCCAAACGGAAGTGAGACAGCCCTGACCGTGAGCGGTGTGACCTTTGCCTGCAGGCCACACAGGAAGAGAGAGGGAGTTACTGTGTCCACTACATACCACTCTGCCTTCTCTGGGGACAAGGAGCCTCCTCTGAATGTTCTTTACCTTCCGAAGATCTTTGCTTTGATCAGGGGCCCTTTTGGCCATCTGGCCAGCCTACAGACCCCCTTCTCAGAATGCTGTCTTAAAATACATCTAACATAGCCGGGTGCAGTGGCTCACGCCTGTAATCCCAGCACTTTGAGAGGCCGAGGTGGGTGGATCACGAGGTCAGGAGATTGAGACCATCCTGGCTAACACGGTGAAACCCCATCTCTACTAAAAATACAAAAAATTAGCCAGGTGTGGTGGCGGGCAACTGTAGTCTCAGCTACTTGGGAAGCTGAAGCAGGAGAATGGCATGAACCCAGGAGGCAGAGGTTGCAGTGAGCCAAAATCATGCCACTGCACTCCAGCCTGGGCGACAGAGCGAGACTCCGTCTCAAAAAAAAAAGAAAAGAAAAAAATCTAAGATACATAGGATTTCTATTGAAACAATTATGTTGAATGCCAGTAGCCAAAAATATTGTAAAATTTGTGATATGGTGATATATGTGCATCTTCATTAATGCATTAAATAACAAAATCTAGGAGGAATCTAATAATCATCTTACTTTTTAAGTGCAGATGAGCTTAAATCATATTTCAAGATACCCACAACAACCATAAAATGATATGAGAAGATCTGATTTCTAGGGTGACAAAGTCACAGGTACTGTTGACACTGCTGTGGTTTGACATTTACATTCATAACGGAAGAAAACACTCAATTTCAGTTGGAGGTTCATGAAAATTAAGGTGTCATTTATTCCCATTCAAGTTCATCAATTCTTTTGAATGCTCTCTGCGGAGCCACTGTAACTGCATCAGACCAATCTGGTTCAGCTTTTTTTTTTTTTTTTTTTTTTATACTTTAAGTTTTAGGGTACATGTGCACAATGTGCAGGTTAGTTACATATGTATACATGTGCCATGCTGGTGCGCTGCACCCACTAACTCGTCATCTAGCATTAGGTATATCTCCCAATGCTATCCCTCCCCCCTCCCCCCACCCCACCACAGTCCCCAGAGTGTGATATTCCCCTTCCTGTGTCCATGTGATCTCATTGTTCAATTCCCACCTATGAGTGAGAATATACGGTGTTTGGTTTTTTGTTCTTGCGATAGTTTACTGAGAATGAGCTTTTATGTAACAAAGATGTGAGTTGTTTCCCAGTTGCCTCAGACCCTCGGGTCACAAAACCTGAGCATGCGCAGATGAACCAAGCCTGCAACCACAGGGGAACCCAAGTGGGGGCTGAATGAAGAATCAGACACTGGGCCAGGCGTGGTGGCTCATGCCTGTAATCCCAGCACTTCGGGAGGCTGAGGTGGGTGGATCACAGGAGGCCAGGAGTTCGAGACCAGCTTGGCTCACATGGCAAAACCCTGTCTCTACTAAAAATACAAAAAGTAGCCAGGTGTGGTGGTGCTTGTCTGTAATCCCAGCTAGCTGAAGCACAAGAATCGCTTGAGGCTGGGCTTGGTGGCTCACGCCTGTAATCCCAGCACTCTGGAAGGCCGAGGCGGGGGAATCATGAAGTCAGGAGATCGAGACCATTCTGACTAACACAGTGAAACCCCATCTCTACTAAAAGTATAAAAAGTTAGCCGGGCGTGGTGGCGGGCACCTGTAGTCCCAGCTACTCAGGAGGCTGAGGCAGGAGAATGATGTGAACCCAGGAGGCGAAGCTTGCAGTGAGCCGCGATTGCGCCACTGCACTCCAGACTGGGCAACGGAGCCAGACTCCATCTCAAAAAAAAAAAAAAAAAAAAGAATTGCTTGAGCTTGGTGGGTGGAGGTTGCAGTGAGCTGAGATTGCGCCACTGCACTCCAACCTGGGTGACACAGTGAGACTCCATCTCAAAAAAAAAAAAAAAAGAAGAAGCAGGCACTGCATGGCAGGATCCAGTCGGATCACTACCCTATGCTTATAAAACGTGACCCAGTCCCCGGCTCAGGGGGACACTGCTTTGGGACTTGTTACAAGTCATAAAATCCCCTTGCTACATCCTCTCTGGTGGCGGTCATTGAACTGATACCCACCAAGTGGCCGAACCCACCAGTTGTGTGGATAACACTACAGGGTTATGAATCTTTTACCCGGGTCCTTCCATGTCACCGGGACAGCTTCTAGAGCAGGGGTTCTCAAGCCTGGCTAACACAAGTATCACGTGGTGAGGGGATGTCCAGTCCCGCTCCTCACCACCTGAATGGAAATCCCCGAGGATGTGCCCCCTGACTCCCCTCGCATCCCATGTTTTCTAAAATTCCCCAGGGGATTTTAGATTCTATCAGGCAGCAAAGTGAAGAGCCAGCAGCAAGGGGAACAGAGTCAAGAGGAGTGAGCCCCACTGGACAAGAGGGCCAGGTGCTAGAGCAAACCTCAGCTCTGCTCCCAAGCCAGACCATCACAGCCCCTCATCAAGACTTCACCTCCTAGGCCCAGCACGGTGGCTCATGCCTGTTATCCCAGCACTTTGGGAGGCTGAGGTGGGAGAATTGCTTGAGTCCAGGAGTTCAAGACCAGCCTGGGCAAGATGGTGAAATCTCGTCTCTATAAAAAAAAATTTTTTAAATTAGCTAGGCGTAGTGGCCTGCAGCTGTTGTTCCAGAAATTCTGGAGGCTGAGGTGGGAGGATCACTTGAGCCTGGGAGATCGAGGATTCAGTGAGCCCTATTGAGGCTTCAGTCAGCCCAATGCAAACAGCATTGCTACACTCCACCCTGGGCGGTAGAGCAAGACCCTGTCTCAAAACAACAACAAGAATAAAAGACTTCACCTACTGGGCACCTTGGGCGACTTCACCTACTGGGTTGGCCAGGCCTTGTGCTGGGCATAGAAAACACCAGAGATGGTGTTGGGAGTGTGTGTGTTGGATCTCTGTGTGTTGACCGTGGTGCCCATCCTCCACCACACCCTTCCTGGCCCTGGGCTGGTGATGTTCTTTCTTGGGTTGGGCCCTTTGAGCTGTCACACCTGCACTCTCTCTTCTGAGCCCCACACCATGGTCCGGCCACAGTCTCTCCTCAACTACCTCACCCCCAGGCCAGGCACCACTCCAGGAGCACCACCTATACTGTGTTCAATGAAAATGACACCCCCTGGAGTTGTGCAAGGAGGTGGCACTGCCCACCCCACCCCCAATTCGTGTAAATTTCCTGAGGGCAAGCTCTGTGTCCAGCCTCCCATCCGATTCTCTAAAGAATTCCTTTCTGTTCTCTGCATCTCAGTTCCCTCGTAGGGGCAGCACAGGGGAATTCCTGTGCGAGTCTTCCAGTTCAGCCATTTAGGATTCTACCCTACAACCCATTCACTTGTTTATTCATTTCAGTCCGCAAATACTTTTTGAGTACCTACTGTGTGGCAGGCATTGCTCTAGGTGCTTGGGCTATATCCATGAACAAAAAGTACCCATCTTTGCCCTCGTGGAGCTTACAATCTAGTAGATAGCAGTGAGGGTGACAGAGACCCAGAACAACACATAATGCCTAAGGAAATTCTACAGCATGCCGTGGGGGAAAGGAGCAAGGTACAAAGGCAGCTGGGAGAGGAGTGCATGTTCCTTCAGTAAGGTGGTCGGGGCGCTCATCCAAGAAGGAAGACTCGCAGGAGGTGAAGGAGGGAGCCAGGTAAGAAGCCCACGCACCAGCCACCAGGCAGTGGTGAAAGCGGAGGCAGAGTGAAAAGCCTCAGGCACACCCTGAGATTAACAAAGAAGTGAGAGAAGGGGCTTTAGGACCTGGAGGTTTAAAGCCAGCAGCAAAGAAAGGACGGAATTCTGTTCTTATTGTATGGAAAAGACAATGACAATGGCACTGGACTGCTCCAGCCAGAGCCAGGGGTAACCAGCCTCCACCCCAGCTGAACAATGGGGGAAGCAAGGCTGAAGGAAGTGAAACCCTTGACCAGAAGCGGGAGAAATCTCCTCCCCACCACCTTCCCCACTCCAGACCAGCAGCTCTGGGCCAAGAGGCCTGATACCCAGCTCCCAGCCCAGGTCATGGTGGGTGAGACACATCATCTGTCCCCTTCCGTGTGCTTTGAACTTACCAATCATATTCCTGCCTCAGGGGCTTGGTGCTTTTTCTCCTCACTAAATCACTACTTCTGCAACTCAATGTCACCTCACAGGTGACAGTGGTCTTCCCTGCCATTCTTTCCTATCGAAAATAGCCTACCACCTCTACCGGCCTGTTCCTCTCCATGCCTCTACTCTGCTGACACAACCCAATATCATATTACATACTGACAGATATCCACGTATTGATTGTCCGCCTCCATCACTAGGATCTGAGCTCTGCGGGGGCAAAGACTGTGTCATGTCCATCATCGTGTCCCTGGCATCGAGACCATTGCCTGGCACACATAAGCACTCTGTTCTGTCCCTATTTGGGGTTAGAAGATGCTGGAGAAATTACCTAAGCTCTACCCAAACTCTTTGGAAGTATCTTTCTCACAAAATGTACTCATCAATCATACTGGATTGAACAGTGTCCCCCCAAAATTCATGTGTACTGGAACCTCAGAATGTGACCTTATTTGGAAATAGGCTATTTGCAGATGTCATCAAGTTAAAATGAGGTAATAATGGATGAGGATGGGCCCTAATCCAATAGCTGATGACTTGTTAGCAAGAGGGAAATTTGAACACAGAAGGAAGAGGATGTGAGACAGAGAGATGACATCAAGTGACCACGGGGGCCACGATGAGGGCAGTGCATCTGCAAGCTGAGAAGCACTGAAGATTGCCAGCAACACCAGAAGCCAGGAAGAGAAAAGGACATGCCTCCCCCAGAGCCTTCAGCAGCAGCATGACCCTGCCAGCAATTTGATTTCAGACTTCTCGCCTCTAGAACAGTGAGGGATGTCACTGTAAGCCATCCAGTTTGTGGCACTTTGTTGGATCAGCCCTAGGAATATAATACAGCAATGTTACCTGGAGCTCCAGTCCCACAGGTGGCCAAAGATCGGTCACTCCATCTGCCAGGTGCCCATCCCTGGAGAGGACCCAGAAGCCTTACACATTAGACATGTCTTTGCAAGAAAAGTGCCTTTTTTTTTTTTTTGAGATGGCGTCTCACTCTGTAGCCCAGGCGGGAGTGCAGTGGTGCGATCTCGGCTCACTGCAACCTCCCCTCCCAGGTTCAAGTGATTCCCCTGCCTCAGCCTCCCAAGTAGCTGGGACTACAGGTGCGTGCCACCACACCCAGCTAATTTTTATTTTTTTGTATTTTTAGTAGAGACGGGGTTTCACTGTGTTAGCCAGGATGGTCTCGATCTCCTGATCTCATGATCCACCAGCCTTAGCCTCCCAAAGTGCTGGGATTACAGGCATGAGCCACCGCGCCTCGCGCCCCCACCCCCAGTTTTTTTTAAGAGATGGGGGTCCTGCTATGTTCCCCAGGCTAGACTCCAACTCCTAGACTCAAGCGATCTTCCTGCCTCAGCCTCCCAAGTAGCTGGGATTATAGGTGTGCACCACTAAATCCAGCTAGGAGCTTTCAACTTTTTTTTTTTTTTTTTTTTTTGAGATGGAGTCTCACTCTGTCGCCCAGGCTGCAGTGCAGTGGCGCTATCTCGGCTCACTGCAAGCTCCGCCTCCCGGGTTCACGCCATTCTCCTGCCTCAGCCTCCTAAGTAGCTGGGACTACAGGCGCCTGCCACCACGCCCGGCTAATTTTTTGTATTTTTAGTAGAGACGGGGTTTCACCGTGTTAGCCAGGATGGTCTCGATCTCCTGACCTCGTGATCCGCCTGCCTCGGCCTCCCAGAGTGCTGGGATTACAGGCGTGAGCCACCGCACCAGGCCTTTTTGTTTGTTTGTTTGTTTGTTTGTTTTGTTTTGAAACGGAGTCTTGCTCTGTCACCAGACTGGAGTGCAGTGGCACAATCTCAGCTCACTGCAACCTCCACCTCCCGGGTTCAAGTGATTCTCCGGCCTCAGCCTCCCAAGTAGCTGAGACTACAGGCACACACCACCACGCCCAGCTATTTTTTGTATTTTTAGTAGAGACAGGGTTTCACCATGTTGGCCAGGAAGGTCTCAATATCTTGACCTTGTGATCCACCCACCTCAGCCTCCCGAAATGCTGGGGTTACAGGCATGAGCCTCTGCGCCCGGGCTTATTTTTGTTTTTTTAAATGAAGGGTCTCGCTCAGTTGAGATGCATGATTATAGTGGCACAGTCGTGGCTCACTGCTGACTCAGATTGCTGGGCTCAAATAATCCTCCTGCCTCAACCTTCCCAGTAGCTGAGACTTTAGGCACGTGCCACTGTGCCTGGCTAGAGCTTGCGATCTTGTCAGGAAAACACAACTTACAGCTTGTTCTGGTGAAGATTTCCCTGCCCATTCTCTTAACTACAACTTCCAGAAAGAGGAAGTGCTGGGCTTTCCGTGAAGGGCCTACACTGACTTTAGAGGTCCGGCCATGAGGCCATGCCTCCAGGGTGTCATCACAGAGCAGCGGGGACCAGTCCATACATAATGCCGGTCACATACTGCATTTCAAATGTTCTAGCCACACTTTTAAAAAGTAAAGAGAAACAGGTGAAATTAATTTTAATAACATATTTTATTTGACCCCAAATATCCAACTTATCTTTTTCTCTTTTTTTTTCGAGACCAAGTCTCGCTCTGTCACCCAGGCTGGAGAGCAGTGGTGCGATCTCGGCTCACTGCATCCTCCACCTCCCAGGTTCAAGCGATTCTCCTGCCTCAGCCTCCTGAGTAGCTGGGATTACAGGCACGTGCCACCATGCACGGCTACTTTTTGTATTTTTAGTAGAGACGGGGTTTCACCATGTTGGTCAGGCTGGTGTTGAGCTCTTGACCTCGTGATCCGCCCACTCCGCCTCCCAAAGTGCTGAGATTACCAGCATGAGCCACTGCGCCCAGTCCCAACTTATCTTTTAATATATAATTAGTATAAAAATTAGTCATGAGATATTTTACGTTCTTCTTTCCTATTAAGTCTTCAAAATCCAGTGTGCACTCCATGTCTATAGCACCTTTCAGTTCACACTTGCCACCCTGCACAAGCTCAGGGCCTCATGTGATGAGAGGCTGCAGCACTGAACGGTGCAGTCATAGAGGCTTCTGGACAGACCAGCAGTGCTTAACATAGGCCAGTGACCCCCAGAGCTTCCTGAATGAGCTTGGGGAAGTCCATTCATTTCCCTGAAATTGTCAGCCAAAATTTGGATGTCTGCTTTTTTTCCCCAAGAGAGGGTTGATCATTTTATTAGATTTTCAAAGGGGTGTGCCCCCCACAAAAAGTTCGGGACCCCTGCAGTGGGTACAGATTTATGGGCTCAAGACTGCTTCCAGCTGCTTCATTTTTTTCAGTACAGGAGCCTGTGGACAGAGGAGGGGCAGGGTGTCTTACTCAGGGGATCACAGTTGCTTTGAGGCACAGCTTGCACTTGAAGCCCCCTGCTCAGGACTCAATCAGTTCCCTTCACTGCCCCCAGCCCTGGAGGGCAGCTAAGATTCTTTTTTTTTTTTTCTTTTTTGAGACAGGGTCTCGCTCTGTCGCCAGGCTGAGTGCAGTGGCACGATGTTGGCTCACTGCAACCTCCGCCTCCCAGGTTCAAGCGATTCTCCTGCCTCAGCCTCCCAAGTAGCTGGAATTATAGGCATGTGCCATCATGTCTGGCTAATTTTTGTGTTTTTACTAGAGACGGGGTTTAGCCATGTTGGCTAGGCTGGTCTCAAACTCCTGACCTCAAGTGATCCACCCACCGCGGCCTCCCAAAGTGCTGGGATTACAGGCATGAACCACCGTGCCCGGCCTTAAGATTCTTTGTTGACATCAGCAGCTGGAGGGTGGAGGGTGTGGGGGAGCTGAAGTCAGCAAGCAGCAGTTTCCACAGCTTCTTGCGCCTATGAGAGTGACACATGCTGCCATCTACTCAGTTCTCAAGTTTCCACAGAAAGGACACAACTTCCTCTTGCTTGCTCTTCCCCATCTGACTCTACCATTGGCCAGAGCTTCCACCCTGCCACTCAGAGAGAGGCTCCCAGTAGAAATCCTTCATCCCAGGCCGAGCGCAGTGGCTCATGCCTGTAATCCCAGCACTTTGGGAGGCTGAGGCAGGCGGATCACCTGAGGTCAGGAGTTTGAGACCAGTCTGACCAACATGGAGAAACCTCATCTCTACTAAAAATACAAAATTAGCCGGGTGTGGTGGCAGGCGCCTGTAATCCCAGTTGCTTGAGAGGCTGAGGCACGGGACACGGAAACACTTGAACCCGGGACACAGAGGTTGCAGTGAGCCGAGATCACGCCATTGCACTCCAGCCTGGGCAACAAGAGTGAAACTCCATCTAGGTCTCTAGGGACCTAGAGTGAAGGCTCTTTACAAGGTGGTCCCAGGATCTGGCTGGTCCTGAGAATCACCTGGGGAGAGGGGAGAGGGTGGAAACCCAGGTGCCCAGGCCCCAGAGCCACTAACCTGAATTTCTAGGGAAAGGACCAAGGAAGCCTCGCTGCTGATGAGTCCTGGTGATTCAGCTTGTGTTCACCTTTTGGTGTGGGTTTGGTTGTTCTCTAAGGAAGGTGGCCTGGCTGAGAGGGAACTGGGGTGTGTAGTCATCTGAATTTTGAAGCCGGACTCCTGCCACTTTCTAGCTCTGTGACCTTGGGTAAATTTTCTTTAACTTCTTGAGTCTCCATCCCCTTATATGCAGAATAGAGAGATGAGGTTAAACAACTCACAGACGCAAGAGCCCTGCTCTTGTCCTCACAGATGCCAGCCCACTGGGCCCCCCTTCTGCCTGCTCCCCATGCCCCCAGACTCCTCCTCAGTGGCCCCACCATCTATCAGGGACATGTGATCTAGTGGTTTGAAGAGTAACCAAATGTTTCAGATACCAGCACATTTGGGGTCAACATTCTTCCTTAAGTTTCTCCCAAGATGCCAAAATAAAGATAACCACAGTAGAGTTATTTTCTTCAACGGATGGAAAAAGAAATATTTCTGCAACCAATTTTAGGATCTTGACATGATCCCAAGTGAAGGTCATGGTCTAGTTCTACCTGCAAACCTGGAATGCAATGCTGACCTGCAGGTTTTCTACAAAGCTAGCAGCTGGGATCTAGCAATTTCCATTGGACAGAAATGTGAATGTTGACCACTAGCCACACTCACTTAGAGATGATTTTTTTTTTGAGGCAGAGTCTCTCTCTGTCACTCAGGTTGGAGTGCAGTGGTACAATCGCGGCTCACTGCAACCTCCGCCTCCCAAACTCAAGCGATCTTCCTATCTTAGCCTTCAGAGTAGCTGAGTCTACAGGCATGCACCGTCACACCTGTCTAATTTTTGTATTTTTTGTAGAGATGGCGTTTCACCACACTTAGCAGCTATTGCCCAGGCTGAGCTCGAACTCCTGGGCTCAAGTGATCCTCCCATCTTGGCTCCAAAAGTGCTAGGATTACACATGTGAGCCACCACACCTGGCCAGATGATATATATTTTAATGTTCATAAATCCCTAAGTAGCAAATTGTTTCAAAAAGTCTCATATTGGACTGGGCACATTGGCTCACACTTGGAATCCCAGCACTTTGGGAGGCCGAGGTGGGTGGAACACTTGAGGTCAGGAGTTCAAGACCAGCCTGGCCATAATGGTGAAATCCCATCTCTACTAAAAATACAAAAATTAAGCAGACATGGTGGCACATGCCTGTAATCCCAGCTACTCAGGAGGCTGAGGCAGGAGAATCACTTGAACTCGGGAGGCAGAGGTTGCAGTGAACCAAGATCGTGCCATTGCACTCCAGCCTGGGTAACAGAGCGAAACTCTGTCTCACCAAAAAAAAAAAGTCTCATATTGGATTCTTCTCTAGGATCCCCTGAGGTGGGCAACAGGAGGAGCAAGGATTTCCCTGACTCCCATGTCAGGTAGCTGATGTGGGGAGCAGGGAGCAGCTGTAGCAGCCTTGGGCTCCAGGACATCCTGACGTCCACACCCTCCCTCTCTCCTCCCCTCCACTCCAAGTAGGTCAGGCTCTTCCTGGAGTCTGAACACCACTGGACCGTGGCAGCTGGAGTCCTTCTCATCATGCACAGCCTCTTCTCCTTCCTACCCCCCTCATCCTTCAAGTCCTACCTCCACCATGAAGTTTCCAGGCCTCTCTAGCTTCCTGAGTTTACAAGCTCCCTCCTGAGTTCTCAAAACCAGGGTTACCTGCCCCTCCTTCTTGACCCCCATTACCTCAAGCTGGAAGCAAGGTTCCCAGGCAGGGCCTGGGACAGGGGCCTTGCACAAAGAAAGTGCTTGATAAAGCCTTACTGATTTGCTGTGTTACATACGTTGCACCACAGATTGGAAGTGGAAATTCAAATCAACTCAGGGCCCAGACAGTGGTTATATCAGCCTGAGCACTGGACTTGCACATTCATGTTTAGATCAAGTCTGACAGAACCTGAAATTGCAAAAGAGTGGAAACAAGTGTTGCTACAAAATAGCCTAACCACAGTGAGACACATCTCCTTTGTTATCTGTATGACGCTTTTGGTTTCAAAAACACAGCCCTATTGCAGGATCAGTTCTCTGGGCCAGGAACTAGATCTTCTCTATTACTAACAGATCAGCTGAAGACAGCGAGGGGTGGGCCTCTACCAAGGGCCAGGACTCCCATCGCATTCAGAAACACTTTCCAACAAATGGTCTTCCCTTCAGCAAAATGAATCACAAGGTCAAGAAGGAAGTGAGAAGGAAAAAAAGAATGTCGCCCAGGTGTGTTTCTCCTGAGCTATTCGCTTGTTTTATTTCATGGACAACAGTGTTACATTATGTAACTAATTCAGTTTCTTTCATCTCATTGGGTGCTAGGAAGCTTAGAGCCAATCCTGTGACCCACTAAAGTAAGGATGTACTTTCTGTATTAGTCTCTGCTGGCTCCATTTTATGTTTATATCTTCATTTTCCCTCTATTTTTCTCATCAACTTGCTGAAATTTGCCATAAGTCCTATTTAGAACAAGGAGGAGGGTAAGAGGAGAAGGGGAAAAATGGTCCTTGCCCTTGAATAATGAAAAATACATAAGTAAGGAGATAAGTAACAATAACAAAAATAATATTATAGAAGTTAACATTTATGGCTGGGCACAGTGGCTCACCCCTGTAATTCCAGCACTTTGGGAGGCTGAGGCAGGCCGATCACCTGAGGTCAGACATTTGAGACCAGCCTGGCCAACATGGTGAAACCCTGTCTCTACTAAAAATACAAAAATTAGCTGGGTGTGGTGGCAGGTGCCTGTAATCCCAGCTACTCAGGAGGCTGAGGCAGGAAGATCATTCAAACCAGGAAGGTGAAGATTGCAGTGAGCCGATATCATGCCACTGCACTCCAGCTTGGGTGACAGAGAGACTTGGTCTCAAAAAAAAAAAAAACTTAAAAAAAGGAAGTTAACATTTATTTAGCACTTTTGCAAGGGACTTGCCTTTAGCACTTTTGCAAGGGACTGTGGCAGGTAACATTATTTGAAACTTATGCAAGGGACTATGGTATGTATCATCTCACTAATCTCCCTAACAGCCCCACCAATAAAAGTACAGAGCTATTATTTTCCCCCAAATTAGTATTATAGATGAGGAAAGGGAAGCTGAGAGAGGCTAAGTCGTGAGGCCAAGATCACACGGCTAGAAATGGTGTGGCTGGGACCCAATCCCAGGTCTGGGTGAGGCCAAAGCTCAGCCTGTGGACACCACATCTACAAAATCACATGGTAGGGGCAGAAAGTGAAGGTGCCACGGTGAGATGCACAGAGAAGCTGTGGAGGGAAGGTTGGAGAGCCCACTTCCGGCTGGCTGGCTCTAAAAAATGCTAATGTCTTTGACTCAAACAGAAAATATTACTAGGTTCATAGAGCCCCGTTGTAATGATAAATAGCCAAATAGTTAAGAGGCTGCAGGCCCCAATTCTAACGCTCCTCACTTCCCTTCGAACCCAGCCTCAGAGATGACACTTAGGCTGCACATTCCCTGTGGGCAGGGACTGTGTCTTGTTCCCTGTTGGGTCCCCGGAACCCAGTGTGGTGCCTGGCACAGAGGAGGCCCTGAGTAGCATGTGCTGCATTAGTAAAGGAACTCATGGCTCACAGATACTTCACAATCATTGTTGGCGCCATGCAGATGAAGGGAGCTAGACAAAAACCCACACACGTGTATTCTGATGACACACATTACGCAGACACATGCTGCCCTGTGTGTCTCCTCTGGAGGCACCTGCCTTTTCCATTATAACGTGGCTCACATAAGTGGTGTGCAGTTTTTCAAATTTCAATAAAAAGGAAAGACATAGTAATCTAGCTGCTTTTATAGACAGAAATAACAAAATAAAAACAGGTCTCCATCCAGGGCAAGGCAGGAGATTTGAGGGGCTTCAGCAGACAGTTCATGCCTAGATGGCGGGAACATTTTTTTTTCTTTGAGACAGTCTCTGTCTGTTGCCCGGGCTGGAGTGCAGTGGCACGATCTCGGCTCACTGCAGCCTCCGCCTTCCGGGTTCAAATGACTCTCCTGCCTCAGCCTCCCGAGTAGCTGGAATTATAGGCGTCCACCACCACACCAAGCTATTTTTTTTTTTTTTAATTTTTAGTAGAGACAGGGTTTCGTCACGATGGCCAGGCTAGTCTTGAACTCCTGACCTCAGGTGGTCCACCCGCCTCGGCCTCTGAAAGTGCTGGGATTACAGGTGTGAGCCATGGTAACTGGCTTGATTTGATTTCTGCCAGCAGGAAAAGCAGTGCTGACATGGAATCAGTAGGAAACGGGGTTTGCCCCAGGGGTGCCCCTCACCAGGCGAGGCCATGAGAGTCGCCGGAACTTCCATCCCCAATGCTTTGCCTGATGAAGCCCTGGATCACCCTTCCGGGCAAACACACGCACCGCCAGCAGCTGGAAGGCAGAATGGGGTAATCGGGTCCCACCTCAGGCACTGTAGTAGTCAGGTTTTCCAGAAAAACAGCAGGAGAGACTTTAAGGAATCGGCTCATGCGATGATCTGGTCAGGCAAGTCTGAAATCTTCAGGGCAGGCCAGGAGGCTGGAAATTCTAGCAGAAGTTTATGTTGTGGCCTTAAATCCTAAGGTGGTCTAGAGACGAATTCTTTTCTCCTCGGGGGACCTCAGTCTTTTCTCTTAAGGCCTTCAACTGATTGGGTGAGGCCCACCCACACTGTGGGAGGTAATCTGCTTTACTCAGAGTCTACTTATTTAAATGTTACTCTCATTCAAAAAAATACCCTCATAGCAACATCTAGAACAATGTTTGACCAACAACTGGGCACCAGAGCCTAGCCACGCTGACACATAAAATTAACCATCACAGGCACTTACTAGCATTGGGTGTGGCCATGGTGAAAATACCTGCTTCCTAAAAGTGTCAGAGGGTCCGGCAAGTGGCCCATGTGAGCACTCTGTCCCATCTGGCATATGATGGGTTGGCTCAGGTCTGAGTGGGGCCCTGGCTGTATGAAGGGGAGCCCAGCCTCTGGATTCCCATACGTGTCAGCAACAGTTGGGCCTCCTCTATGACCAGGGGCTGCATTCCACAGGTTTGGAGGGCAGCCTGGGTGCAGGGACGCATCCTCCTGCCTTGTTCTTCCTGGCAGCACAGAAGTCCCGGGTGTCAGCAGCCTGTTTCCAGATGGCCTAACCATGGGGTCACTGTTGAGCTCCACCCGAGGGCAGTGATACAAATGCCCTAGCTGAGGGGACTGGATTGTATCCCAAGGAGAGCCAGCTCCAGTGACCCATCTCTGTGTCCTTTGACAAGCTAAAGGAGGGACCAGGCCCTCAGAGACAGCCATCTGAGAACGCCTTGCAGATCACCAAGAGGCCCTTGGCAGACAGTCCATGTTGTATATGACGAGGTTAAACACAAAAGAGCACAGCTTACAGCAAAAGCATGGACAAAGGAGAATTCTTTCCCTAAGCATTCATGTGCAGTCTGTGTAAGTTCCCAGATCTCCTCTATCCAATAGTTTTCAACCATTGACATTGACTTAAAACACCTGAAACAAAATTTAAAATTGAGAAAGGATGACTTTGTTGAAATCATACTCACCTTAAAAATGTCCATTCCAGCTGGGCGAGGTGACTCACACCTGTAATCCCAGCACTTTGGGAGGCTGAGGTGGGTGGATTACCTTAGGTCAGGAGTTCAAGACCAGCCTGGTAAAACCTCATCTCTACTAAAAACACAAAAATTAGCTGGGCATGGTGGCGGACGCCTGTAATCCCAGCTACTCAGGAGGCTGAGGCAGGAGAACTGCTTGAAATGGGGAGGTGGAGGTTGCAGTGAGCCGAGATCACGCCACTGCACTTCAGCCTGGGCGACAAAGCAAGGCTCCTTCTCAAAAAAACGAAAAAAAAAGTCCATTCCAGGCTTGATGGAAGAATGATGGGGACATGTGCACTGCTGCTTCCAAGACAGTGGGCTTCATGCGTATCCAGAACAGGAGTGCACTGGGCCACGGGGAGGGTGAGCAGAGGGTCTGCCGCTCTGTGCATCCTCTGCACACCCATGGCAGGAGTGGATGAAGATGGAAAAGAGATGTTGGAACTTGTCCTGCAGCTCCTCTTCATTCTTCTGTGAGACAGTAAAGAAGGACTTGAATATTGATGAACGTCTACCACAAGTCCCAGTCACAAGAATCACACACCTTCTCTCCCTTCCACAAGGTGAAACAAGACAACTCAAGGTCAAGGTAACCTGTGTAAAAGGACGACTAAATGTGAAACGGTGCCTGAAGGACCAGCGGACAGCAGGCACCTCTCTCTGAACTCCAGCTCTTGAGCCAAATCAAATGGTTGAGCTGGTTAAGTGGTCCCAGTTTAAAAGATGGGTGTCTGTCTTGACCGGGCACAGTGGCTCACATCTGTAATCCCAGCAATTTGGGAGGCTGAGGCAGGAGGATTGCTTGAGTTCAGGAGTTTCAGACCAGCCTGGGCAACATAGCAAGACCTCATCTCTACCAAAAAAATTAATTAGCTGGGCACGGTGGTGCGCACCTGTAGTTCCAGCTACTTGGGAGGCTGAGGTGGGGGGATTGCTTGAGTTCAGGAGGTTGAGGCTGCAGTGAGCCATGATCATACCACTGCACTCCAACCTGGGCAACACAGCAAGACCCTACCTCAAAAAAAAAAAAAAAAAAGATGATGTCTCAAGCAAACGCTTCAGGAAGGATTCCCTGGTGGTTAAAAGCAAATGTTTCCAGAGGAAATTGGCATCGCTGTGAGTCTCAGAACAGCTTTGTCTCAGACCCCGCCCTTCCTACCCATGGCCTCAGGACTAGTTGTCTTTCTCTTTCCCTGATTTCATTTACACTTCAACAGTTACTGAGGGCCTAGCTCACGCCTGTAACCCCAGATACACATGGAGGCAGCGGGGGATTGCTTAAGGCCAGGAGTTTAAGACCAGCCTGGGCAACATAGTGAGTCCCTGTCTTTAAAAACAAAATAAAAATAAAAATTAGGCCAGGCACGGTGGCTCACACCTGTAATCCCAGCACTTTGGGAGGCTGAGGAGGGTGGATCACCTGAGGTTAGGAGTTCGAGACCAACTCGGCCAACACGGTGAAACCCTGTCTCTACTAAAAATACAAAAATTAGCCAGGTATGGTGGCGGGCACCTGTAAGCCCAGCTACTCGGGAGGCTGAGGCAGGAGAATCCCTTGAACCTGGGAGGGGGAGCTTACAGTGAGCCGAGATTGCGCCACTGCACTCCAGCCTGGGTGACAGAGCGAGACCCCATCTCAAAAATAAATAAATAAATAAGCCAGGCTGGAGGCCCGTGCCTGTAGTCCCAGCTACTAGGCTGAGGTGGGAGGATCGTTTGATCAAGCCCAGGAATTGGAGGCTGCAGTGAGCTGTGATCTGATCGCACCACTGCACTCCAGCCTGGGCAACAGAACAAGACCTCTATCTCTTAAAAAATATAGGCAAATAAGTAAGAACCTACTTTGTGCCAGGCACTGTTCTTAGACCCGGGGCTCCAAGACCCTTCCTGCCCTCACAGCGCTAACATTCTTGGCCCTCACATCCTTCATTTCTACCTCAAAACCTACCACTCACAAATCTTGATCTCCAGTTGAGACCCAATCCCAGAGCTCTAGCCCAGCTGCTCCACCTGGATGGCACATCATCAGCTCTAGCTCACCACGACCCAACTGAACTTTTCTTACCCCCTCACCAGCTCCGGCCCTTTATGTCCCTATTACTGTCAATGACACTGCCATTCACCCCCCCACCCCAGCCCCAGACCTCAATAACAATAGGATCAAATCCCATCTACTGAGTGCTGAACATGAACCTGGCACGAATATTGTCTAATTTAACCCTCAACACAAATCTATGAGACGGGCTTCATTACAGAGGAGAAAAAAGAAGCTCAGAATGGTTAAATAATTTGCCCAAGGTCACACAGCTAGAAAGCCACATAGCCAGAACTCAAATCCAGGTCTCTTTCCAATGAACAGCTGGGTTTTTCCAGTGAGTCTGGGGACCCTTGGGATCCCCAAGACCTTCTCAGGGTGTTCATAAGGCCAAAACTATTTTCACAATAATACTAAGATGTTATTTTAGTCTTTTTCTCTCAAAAGGGTACAGTAGAGTTTCAGAAGCTTTGTGATCGGTGGTGTCAAAATAGCTTGAATGAAGAGACAGATAAGAAAATCCAGCAAGCTGTCTTGTCTCTTAAGTCGGACATCAAAGAGACTTGAAAAAATATAAAACAGGCCGGGTGCAGTGGCTCACGCTTGTAATCCCAGCACTTTGGGAGGCTGAGGCGGGTGGATCACAAGGTCAGGAGTTCGAGACCAGCCTGGCCAACACAGTGAAACCCCTTCTCTACTAAAAATACAAAAATTAGCTGGGTGTGGTGGCAGGCGCCTGTAATTTCAGCTACTTGGGAGGCTGAGGCAGGAGAATTGCTTGAACCCAGGAGGTGGAGGTTGCAGTGAGCCAAGATTGCGCCACTGCACTCCAGCCTGGGCGACAGAGCTAGACACTGTCTCAAAAAAAGAAAGAAAGAAGGAAAGAAAGAAAGAAAGAAGGAAAGGAAGGAAGAAAGAAAGAAAGAAAGAAAGAAAGAAAGAAAGAAAGAAAGAAAGAAAGAAAGAAAGAAAGAAAAAGATTATAAAATATAATGCCACTTTTCTCAGTAATTTTTAAAAATTTTAGAATGTATATGGGCTGGGCACAGTGGCTCATGCCTGTGCATGGGAGGCCGAGGCAGGCAGATCACTTGAGGTCAGGAGTTCAAGACCAGCCTGGCCAACATTGCGAAACCCCGTCTCTACTAAAAATAGAAAAATTAGCCAGGCATCGTGGCATGCGCCTGTAATCCCAGCTACTTGGAAGGCTGAGGCCTAAGAATCGCTTGGACCCAGAAAATGGAGGTTGCAGTGAGCCGAGATCACGCCACTGCACTACAGCCTGTGTGATAGAGTGAGACTCTGTCTCAAAAAAAAAAAAAGAAAAGAAAGACTATATAGCTATTTGTCATAAAATATATTAATCGTGTTAACATGTAATTGGTTTATTATTGCCATTTAAAATTATTCTCAGCCAGGCACAGTGGCTCATGCCTGTAATCTCAGCACTTTGAGAGGCAAAGGCAGGCAGATCACTTGAGTCCAGAGGTTCAAGTCCATCCTGGACAACATGGCAAGACTCCATCTCCACAAAAAAATACAAAAAAATTAGCTGGGCATGGTGATGCATGCCTGTAGTCCCAGCTACTCAGGAGGCTGAGTCGGGAAGATTGCCTGAGCCCAGAAGTTGGAGGCTGCAGTGAGCTGTGATAGCACAGCTGCACTCCAGCCTGTGCGACAGAGCCAGACCCTGTCTCAAAATAAATAAATAACAAGAAAAATAAAATAAAATTATTGTTTTAATTTCTAACATGGCAAACATCAGTAGATATATCCCACATAAAGAAAATTCAATAATTTTTATGTATGTATTGATTGATTTTGTAGAGATGAGGTCTCTCTATGTTTTCCAGGCTGGTCTGGAATTCCTGGATGCAAGTGATCTTCCTGCCTCAGCCTCCCAAAGTGTTGGGATTACAGGCATAAGCCAACATGCCCGGCCCAAAATTTGATAATTTTTAAAAGTATAAGGGGATCCTAAGACCAGAAAGTTTGAGGATTGCTGATTTAAAGCTTCTCTTACCATCCTTCCTTTCCATTTTCTCGACATCTTACATCTACATTTGTTTAAGAACATTCTGCTGTTTTCTGGCCTTTAGACTGTCCTTGCTTCACCCTTGTCCAGGAATTGCTGTTTGTAGATTTATCTTGCTGCTTCCTACCCACCATCCCTTGTACTTTTTGTTTTTATAAGTCTGGACTCTTTTAATGGCCAGTTCAAGCTCAAATTGAATTGATCTAAGCATAAGGACTTTATTGGATAGATGAGGGCTTCAGGCACAGCTGGGTCCAGGTGTCCCAGTCATCATCAGGAACCTGCCTGCCTGCATCTCCGGGCTCTGCTTTCCTCATGTTGTCTTTGCTCTCAGGCAGGTTCTTTCCTCACCTGGGGACATGATGGCCCCAACAGCTCCATCCTAGGCTCAGACCAGCCTAGCATCCTCAGTAGAAAGAGAAAGATCCTCTTTTTTAGCAGGTTCATCAAAAGTCCATGGGTTGATGCTATAGCCTAGACTGATTCTGTGTTTTTGTGTGTGGCAAAATATACGTAACATAAAGTTTAACATTTTAATCAATTTTTTATTTATTTGAGACAGGGTCTCGCTCTGTCACCCAGGCTGGAGTGCAGTGATGTGATCATGGCTTACTGCAATCTCTGCCTCCCAGGTTCAAGCGATTCTCCTGCCTCAGCCTCCTGAGTAGCTGGGACTATAGGCACGCACTGCCACACCCAGCTAATTTTTATATTTATAGTAGAGTCGGGGTTTCACCATGTTGACCAGGCTGTTCTTGAACTCCTGGGCTCAAGTGATCCATCCCCCTCGGCCTCCCAAAGTGCTGGGATTACAGGCATGAGCCACCATGCCCAGCCTTACTCATCTGTAAGTGTACCGTTCTGTGGCATTAAGTATATTCACACTGTTGTGCAATTATCACCGCCATTGTTGTTTTGGGGATAGCAATCTGCCAGTTTTCCTCTAAGGAATCACCAGCCCCCAGGTCTCATTCCCTGTGCTTTAGGGGGGCTTCTGAAGTTTCAGCTTCAGGGATGCATATGAAATTCATGCCTGACCCATGAGAATTTCTCCTAGGCCACAGGGTTTGGTCCAGGGACAGCCCTGGACAGAAGATGGGTTAGTGAGAGTCAATACTCATCATCCTGGGTTATGCTAAAATTACCAGGAGAGAGGACCCTTCGTTAACATTGCTAAGCTGGTAGGATGTAAGCCTGGGGCTCCAGGGCCACTCATGGAAAGAGACTGCCCAAAATCAACAGCAAGGAAAGCAGATCCAAGAGGTAAAGCGAGAAAGATGCTGAGCACTCGGTTATCTAAGTCAATACATGGTTCTTTTCTTTTCTTTTTTCTTTCTTTCTTTTGTACTTGCAAAGAGACCCGACTAATACAATGTAGTAGGGAGAATAATAGCACCACCACCTCCCCAAAGATGTCCATGTCTTAATTGTCCTAATTCCTAGAAATGGTGACTGTTGCCTTACACAGCAAAGGGAAATTGGGGATGCAGATGGATTAAGGCTGCTAATCATATGCCCCCCCCCCTTTTTTTTTTTGAGACGGAATCTAGCTCTGTCGCCCAGGCTGGAGTGCAGTGGCACGATCTCAGCTCACTGCAAGCTCTGCCTCCCGGGTTCACGCCATTCTCCTGCCTCAGCCTCCCAGGTAGCTGGGACTACAGGTACCCGCCATCAGGCCTGGCTAATTTTTTATATTTTTAGTAGAGCTGGGGTTTCACCGTGGTCTTGATCTCCTGACCTCATGATCCGCCTACCTCAGCCTCCCAAAGTGCTGGGATTACAAGTGTTAGCCACCGCGCCTGGCCAATCATATGCTCTTAAAAAAGAGAGATTCTCCTGGATCATCCGGGTGGGCCCAACATCATCACAGAGGTCCTTTCTCACAGAAGTGGAAGAGGAAGACAAAAGACAAAAGATAGGTCCTAATGATGTGATGTGAGAGGGGCTAGACTTGCCTTCGCCAGCTTGAAGACGACAGAAGGGGCCACAAGCCAAGCAATGTGGGCAGCCTCTGGAGGCTGGAGAAGGTAAGAAAACTCTCTCTAGAACCTCCAGAGAGGCCTGCAGCCTTGTCAACACCTAAGTTTTATGCCACTAAGACTCATGTCAGACTTACACAGAACTACGGAACTGTAAAATAGTAAATTCATGTAGTTTTAACCACCAAGTTTGTGGTAATTTGTTACAGCAAATGGAAAACTAAAACATCCAGTATTTCAGCAGTTGGTTCATAACACACCTCTGTTAAAGCATAGCCAGTGACTCCACCTGCCTGCCTGCAGGACAAGCCCACACTCCTCACCCGGAATTCAGGTCCTTCATGGGCTGCTCTGTCTGGCCCCAATCTACCCTCTGGCCTCATAGTGCGATCTCCCAGGCTCAAGTAATCCTCCCACCTCAGCCTCCCAAGTAGCTGGGTCTACAGGCCTGTGCCAACATGTCTGGCTAATTAATTAATTATTTTTTTCCAAGATGGGGGTCTCCCTATGTTGCCCAGGCTGGTCTTGAACTTCTATGCTCAAATGATCCTCCTGCCTCAACCTCTCAAAATGCTGGGATGACAGGTGTCAGCCACCGCACCAAGCCGGGCCTTCTGTCTTGATCAGTACTTCTTTCAGTGTCTTCAGCCAGGATTGATCTCCTTATTTTTCTCTCTGAGCCTTTGGTGCTAAAACTAACCCAAGTCTTTCCATCTCTTCCCCTGCAAAACATGCCATGCTTCCTCTGCCTATCGTAACTGCATGTGTCTCTTCCTTCATCCCAGCTCGGCCAGGTGAACTTCTTTCCTCGGTGTCGACACACAAGACTCATTTTGGGTGAGCCTGCTGACTTGCAGATCCAAGAGGGCTCGCCTCCTTCCCAAACTGTGCACCTCACCTCCCAGCTCATCTTTTTTTTTTTTTCGAGACAGAGTCTCGTTCTGTCACCCAGGCAGGTGTGATCTCACCTCGCTGCAACCTCCACCTCCCGGGTTCAAGCAATTCTCATGCCTCAGCCTCCCAAGTAACAGGGACTACAGGTGCCTGCCACCATGCCCTACTAATTTTTGTATTTTTATAGATACGGGGGTTTCACCACGTTGGCCAGGCTGGTCTCGAACTCCTGACCTCAAGTGATCTGCCCACCTTGGCCTCCCAAAGTTCTGGGATTACAGGCATGAGCCACCTCACCCAGCCCCAGCTCATCTTCTTAGAGAGGCATCTCACCTCCACCTCCACATTCCAGGGTGGTAGCTGAGCAGCAGTCAGAGAACAATCAGCCCGGACTGGAGTAGGAAGGGGAGCTCCTGGAGGGAGGTCTTTGGGGGAGAAAATAACTCTATAGAATTGGTTATGATGATGGTGAGTTTGACAATCTGAAGATATTAAGGGCAAATACTGAAAGGAAAAAGAGCAAAGTTAGGAACTCCAGGAAGAACACAAATCTGTGCAGGAAAGGAACATAATCAAAGTATATTTCAGGCTGGGCACAGTGGCTCATGCCTGTAATCCCAGCACTTTGGGAGGCCAAGGTGCAAGGATTGCCTGAGCCCAGGAGTTGGAGACCAGCCTGTGCAACATAGGGAGACCTTTATCTCTACAAAGAATAAAAATAAATTAGCCGGGTGTGGTGGTGCATGCCTATAGTCTCAGCTATATGGGAGACTGAGGTGGGAAGATCACTTGAGCCTGGGAGGTTGATGTTGCAGTGAGCCATGATCACCTCACTGCACTCCAGCCTGGGTAACAGAGACGGACCCTGTCTCAAATCAACAACAATAATGGTGACGTATATTTTACTTGATTCTGCAGTGGGCAATATATATATACACAGTCATAATGTAGACAATATTTGTTGATTGATTACTAACCTTCAGGATCTCCCTACAGACAGAGATACAGTAATAATTTTTTTTTTCTTGAGAAGGAGTCTCACTCTGTTGCCCAGGCTGGAGGGCAGTGGCACGATCTCGGCTCACTGCCACCTCCACCTCCCAGGTTCACACAATTCTCCTGCCTCAGCCTCCCAAGTAGCTGTGATTACAGGTGCCCACCACAATGCCCGGCTAAGAGACATACTAATAATTATGACCACATAATAGAATGTATGCATAACCCCTGACAATGTATAAATGAGAATACAGAGGATTTGTGAGGTTGATGAAGAAAGGGAAGTTTGAAGGGTAGGGGCACTAATATTCTTATCTTAGTGGGTGGTCAAGAAATAGAACAACACACACCTATATCTACAAATTTACTATATGTATTATACATATGCAAGTAGATATATGTATATATATTACATATATGGTTTAACAAAAAAGTGTTATATTGGGAGATACATTGAAAGAAGTGAGGAGGGGAAGTGGGGTGTTGTAAGTGAATTAAATCATTTGCCATCATTGGAGAAATCAACAGATAATGTTTTAAATTGCTAAATCAAGAAATAGTGATATGAACATGTTATTACAACATGTCCAGGTAACCACCAAAAGACGGTTAAACAGATTTTCTCCTGGGAGTGGTGGAGGGGAATGAGTAGGGAACAATAGTACTAGAGACTGGGACTGGCACTTTCATTTTAAACTGCTTGCAACTATTATTTTCAAATTGGGGTGTTTCTTTTTTTTTTTGAGACAGTCTTGCTCTTGTCCCCCAGGCTGGAGTGTGATGTCGTGATCTCGGCTCACTGCAACCTCCCCTTCCCGAGTTCAAGTGATTCTCCTCCCTCAGCCTCCTGAGTAGCTGGGATTACAGGCGCGTGCCACCATGCCCAGCTAATTGTTGTATTTTTAGTAGAGACAGGGTTTCACCATGTTGGCCAGGCTGGTCTCGAACTCCTGACCTCAGGTGATCCACCCGCCTCAGCCTCCCAAAATGCTGGGATTACAGGCATGAGCCACCATGCCTGGCCAAATTTCGGGTGTTTCTTAAATTTATTTTTTTTTAGGAGATGGATCTTGGCCAGGCGTGGTGGCTCCCACCTATAATCCCAGCACTTTGGGAGGCCGAGGTGGGTGGATCATGAAATCAGCAGATCAAGACCATCCTGGCTAACATGGTGAAACCCTGTCTCTACTAAAAATACAAAAAATTAGCCAGGCGTGGTGGCATGCACTTGTAGTCCCAGCTACTCAGGAGGCTAAGGCAGGAGAATCGCTTGAACCTGGGAGGCAGAGGTTGCAGTGAGTGGAGATCGTGCCACTGCACTCCAGCCTGGGCAACAGAGCGAGACTCCAACTCAAAATAATAATAATAAATTTAAAAATTAAGTATATATGTACTTATTTATAATAAAATAACTAAAAAGGAAATGAATAAAAGTATATGTATGTGTGCACATGTGAGAGAGAGAGAAAGAGACAGTAGCATTCAATAAATTCTAATTTAAGGATAAGTAAGCCAAACAGATGAAGAACTAATGAAAAAAATAAAAATAAAAGCCAGTCACAGTGACTTGAAAATATAATCCCAGCTACTTGGGAGCCTGGGGAGGGAGGATTGCTTGAACCCAGGAATCCAGGGCAATATGAATATAGTGAGACCCTCATCTCTAAAACAATTTTTTTTAAGATGAAGAATTAGATATAGATGGTAAGTAATATGTCTTAAGTATGAGGCCAGGCGAGGTGGCACATGTCTGTAATCCCAGCATTTGGGAGGCTGAGGCAGAAGGATCCCTTAAACCCAGGAGTTCAAGACCAGCCTGGGCAATATAGTGAGACCCCCTCTCTACAAAAAGTGAACAGAATTAGCCAGGCATTGTGGCATGCACCTGTAGTCTCAGCTATTCTGGAGGCTGAGGTGGGAAGATCGCTTAAGCCTGGAAGGTCAAAGCTACAGTGAGCCAAGTTCACGCCACTGCACTCTAGCCTAGATGACAGAGTGAGACCCTGTCTCAAAAGAAAAAGGAAAAGAAGAAAAAAAGGAATGAACAGCATTGCCCTGGGGTGCCTGGAGAGGCTAGAAGCCTACATCACAATCCTAAGGATCATTACAGTCAAGTGATAGATTGAAAAGGCCCTAGAGGAAACATAAGGAAAGGCTGGTAAGATAGAAGAATAGAAAAGTGCAGTGTTGTAGACGGAAAAGGAGGAAGGAGCTTCAAGGAGGAAACAGTCAGCCAGGTGCAGTGGCTCACACCTGTAATCCTTGCACTTTGGGAGGCCAAAGCAAGCGGATCACTTGAGGTCAGGAGTTCAAAACCAGCCTGGCCAACATGGTGAAACCCTGTCTCTACTAAAAATGCAAAAAAATTAGCCGAGCATAGTGGCAGGTGCCTATAATTCCAGCTACTTAGGAGACTGAGGCAGGAGAATTGCTTGAACCCGGGAGGTGGAGATTGCAGTAAGCCGAGATCACGCCACTGCACTCCAGCCTGGGCAACAAGAGTGAAACTCTGTCTCAAAAGGAAGAAAAAAAAAAAGGAGGAAGCAGTCAGTCAATTAAATGCCAGGAATCGTGAGGACTGAAAAGTTAGCATTAGGACAGCAGCAAGGAGGTCCCTGGACCTCCAGTCAATGGCTAAGTCCACTCTGTGCTGTATGCACTGTATGTGCATATATTAATAAATTGGGCTGCCTGGCTGCAGAAATATGAGGGGAGAACTGCATTTTTCTCATTCACCAAGTTCCAAGCTCTCATCCACCTGGCATGTGACTTTTATCCCCTTCAAAGGAAGATAGTACTGATCGGGCACAGTGGCTCACGCCTGCAATCCCAGAACTTTGGGATGCCGAGGCAGGCAGATCACTTGAGGTCAAGAGTTTGAGACCAGCTTGGCCAATATGGCGACACCCTATCTCTCCTAAAACTACAAAAATTAGCCAGGCATGATGGCACACATCTGTAATTCCAGCTACTTGGAGGCTGAGGCATGAGAATCACTTGAACCCAGGAGGTGAGGTTGCAGTGAGGCAAGATCCAGGCACTGTACTCCAGCCTGGGTGGTGGAGTGAAACTCTGTCTCAAAAGAAAACCAAACAAACAACAAAAAACAAAGGAAGATAGCACTAAATGTAGGTTTTAGATACAAAATGTCTCCATCCTGCAGATGTGGATTTCCCCGGGGAAGGCATGCTCTGTCTGCTATAGGAGGAAAGATTGCTTCTCTATAAGCAGGCATTCAGTTTTTATTTTAACCAGACATCACCAGAATATAACCCTTCTTGGGGTGTTAAAGTGTGGCAGGCCAGGTCTCACTAATGCACGCCTCCATAACAACTGTTTGAGTACTGAATTAGTGGTTAAGTTGAATATTAGAAGCCAGTTTTCTTATACAAAGGCTGGGATGTAACAAAAGCCCATCAAGAGTTTTGCCTATATGCCTTTCCTGGGCCTTGAAGCATCACAAAATAAGGAAGGAATTCTTAACAGGACCCATTTAAGATTAAACAAGTTTTATTGTGGATCTGAAGAAATTCCGCAGGTGTCCACAAACAAGTTTACTGGGGGTCTAAAGGAACTCCCCAAACCTCTATGATTTAGCAGGAGACAAGATAAAGGTAATCACCCCAGCACCTGGACTCATTTAGATTAAGTAAACCTACTGAGGCTCCAGAGGAAGGTCTTCAGGACTCACACCTTAGTTACGGATTAAAAGATATTAATCACTTATGTCTTTAGACGAATGCACACTTACACGTAGACATATAGCTTAAAAGGTATATAAGCTCTGGAAAACTTTGTAGTTTTGAGTTGGTCTGGCGATAATTTCTAGGCCTTCTCCCTGTCGCTGGTTGCAGAAATAAAAACTCTCTTCCTCCCCAGTTTCATCTGGGTCTCATTATTGGGCCACGAGAAATAGCAGCCCGATCCTCAGTTTAGTCCAGGAACAAAAGTGGGGGAATTCTGGAGTATTTGCTCTACTCCAAACTTGCAGAGTTCCTGAGAGATGGTCCTGGCTCTAGATTGCCGAGGAAATAGTTAATTACCACAGCCCTGGGACAACCATTTGGGTAATTCCATTCAAATGCCCCAGGAATGACTCCTGCCCAGTCTGTGTTCCTAGTCAAACAATCTCTCTTTTCTTTTTCTCATCTTCCTTGAAGCAATCTAGAATATTCTTCAAAGGTCATTAGAGAGTGCCTACCTTTCATCTCGGAGATCTCCCCTTAGATCCCTGAGAGACCCACTGCTGTGGTTACCAGGCTTAGCCCCCAGTTGGGGTCCACACAGCAGAATTCTCCTCCCAGCACAGGGAGCTCCAGGGAAGGAGAGGGTTGCAGCTCCTAGGCTCCTAAGGCAGCTGGGAACACTTATTGTGTCCCTCTGTCCCCAGGCTGGGTTCCCCTTGGGAATAACTTTCTGATTCAGATGCTTCTCCCTGTAAAAGCTTTTCCAATACTCTGTAGTTTGAGCTTCCTTAATTACAGAAGCATGGGGTTCTAGCACCTTAATGTACATAAATATCACATGGGGTTCTGCTAAAACGTAGATTCCTGGACCTCACCTCCCAGAGTTTCTCATCAGGTCTGAGCCAGAGCCTAGGAATCTGCATTTTAATAAGTATCACTAAATGTTTCTGATGCACATAGTCCTGGGACTTGACTCTAGGAAACAATGCCTTACATTGAATGCAGATACAATCTATATTAAAATTATGATGTTAAGTATAATTACCTCCATTATTCAGCATATCATTGTATATTATTATTAAGTTAAATTTGTAACTATCATTAAATAATTGAATGATACAAACAAATCCCTGCTGCTGACCCAGGAACACAGAGTTGCTCATGTGAGAAGCAGATTAATTAGCAATCAATACTGAAATTTGGAGCTCATAGCTGAGACCTATTTGTTTTCTGTGTCGGCTTAGTAGCATCTCGGCCTCTTGCACCTTCTTTTCTTTTTTTTTTTTTTTTGAGACGGAGTCTCACTCCGTCACCCAGGCTGGAGTTCAGTGGTGCAATCTTGGCTCACTGCAACCTCTGCCTCCCGGGTTCAAGCAATTCTCCTGCCTTAGCCTCCCGAGTAGCTGGGATTACAGGTGCCCACAACCACGCTTGGCTAATTTTTGTATTTTTAGTAGAGATGGAGTTTCACCATGTTGGCCAGGCTGGTCTCGAACTCCTGACCTCAGGTGATCCACCTGCCTCTGCCTCCCAGAGTGCTGGGATTACAGGTGTGAGCCACGGCACCCCACTTCTCTAGCACCTTATCAGCTGCTCTGAGAGTTCTGCCTAGTTCTCTATGCACCCCAATGTAACACAAAGTGATTTCCATTCATAACACAACCATATTTCAAGTCAGATCATCCCAAACATACTTTCTATATTTAGTATCCACGCCTTAGTGTATTCCTACGATGAGATATATATGATTTTCGAACTAAGAAGGTAAGAAGCAAGCCTATGGAATTAACTTTTTACAACTTGGGACACTGGCACATCCTCAGTGAACAAAACCTGGCCGGGCTCAGTGGCTCACACCTGTAATCCCAGCACTTTGGGAGGCTGAGGCAGGTAGATCACTTGAGGTCAGGGGTTTGAGACCAGCCTGGCCAACATGGTGAAACCTCATCTCTACTAAAAATTTAAAAATTAGATAGATGCAGTGGTGCACACCTGTAGTCCCAGCTACTCAGCCGAGGCAGGAGAATCACTTGAACCTGGGAGGTGGAGGTTGCAGTGAGCCAAGATCACACCACTGCTCTCTAGCCTGGGCAGCAGAGCGAGACTCTGTCTCAAAAAAAAAAAGCTACTTTTCCAGACGAATTTGGGAGTCATTTCTCTTTATTTAGAAGCGGAATGTAATTAGATTTTATGGGCTCCATGCACAGAAAACACGGATGAAGGATTAACTCTTTGGAAGCAGAGTTCAAAACTCTTGAGTCTAAAAGGGCAATGATTCTGAACATAAAGCCATCCTACAGTTTTGCACAATCAATCAGTGGAGCAGATTGGAAATTATTCTGTTTTCATTGTTAACATTTCTTGCATGTTTGTTCCATTTTCTTAGTGTCTAAGCAATAGGTTTTGGGTAAATTTAAAGCATAAAAATCATCCACACAAAAGTATAGATAACTAAAGGGTGATGAGTTCTTATAACAAAACCTGACTTAGAGTGGTAACAGGAAAGGCAAAATGATTAAGATAACCAGTGGAGAAAAAGTGGGTGAGATAATTCAGAAGGAAGTGGGGAGAAAGAGCTGTGTACTGGTAGAGTTGGTGTGTGGCTGCTGTAGGTCATGTCAGATTCAGCAATTCATAATCATCTAGCACATTCTCAGGTCTGTTTCTATTAACTACATTTTGAACTCCATTTTTACACAGCACATGTATAAAGCCTTCTTGTCACTTCCTGTAGATGAAAAATTAATATTGGGTCATGACCTTCCTGAGAAAGAGGTTACTGGCTTAAAGAGTGTGGTTGGGGCCAGGCAAGGTGGCTTATGCCTGTAATCCCAGCACTTTGGGAGGCTGAGGCTGGAGGATCACCTGAGGTCAGGAGTTCTCAACTAGCCTGGCCAACGCAGTGAAATTCCCGTCTGTACCAAAAATACAAAAATTAGCCAGGTATGGTCACGGGCACCTGTAATCCCAGCTACTCGGGAGGCTGAGGCAGGAGAATCGTTTGAACGTGGGAGGCAGAGGTTGCAGTGAGCCGAGATCATGCCCCTGCACTCCAGCCTGGGCAACAGAGCGAGACTCCATCTCAAAAAAAAAAAAAAAAAAAGAAAAAAAAGACTCTGGTTGCATTATGAGTTATATGGGCGAGGCTTAACGAAAGCTATACTTTCTCTGGGATTTCTCCTTGACACATAGTTCCTGGTTGCATTCTTGAATTTTGTTTTCCCATCCTAGATTTTTTTCAAACCCTAATAATAATAAATAACTTAAAAATAGTAATAGACATTGCAGCCTCTAATAAATTTTTCTTAATTTTTATTTGTAGAGACAGGAGTCTCCCTATGTTGCCCAGGTTGGTCTCGAACTCCTAGTCTCAAGCAATCCTCCTGCCTCAGCCTCCCAAAGTGCTGGGATTATAGGTGTGAGCCACCATGCTCAGCCTTAGAATCTTTTTAAAAATATTTATTTATGTTTATGACACAGGGTCTCTCTCTGTCACCCAGGCTGCAGTGCAGTAATGCAATCATGGCTCACTGCAGCCTTGACATCCCAGGCTCAAGATGAAAGCAATTAATTTTTTTAAAAAAGATTACATCTATCTAGAATGCAAAATGACTGAAAGGCTCATTTATGTACTGCAACATCAATGCATCTATATATAATTTATTATTGCCCTAACATATTTGAATTCTATATTTTTATAACCCACGATTAGCAACTGTGGTAATCAAAAAGCAGACATGCACTGAAGGTGTCTATGGCAAGCTTAGAAACAGACTCATGCCTCAAGTTTAGTTACAGGCTCAGGCCTGTAATCCCAGCATTTTGGGAGGCTGAGGTGGGAGGATTGCTTGAGCCCAGGAGTTTGAGACCAGTCTGGACAACATGGCAAGACCCCCATCTCTATAAAAAAGAAGAGGAAAAATACATACACATATAATATATTATATAAATATATTTTTATATAAATATATATTTTTCCCTTTCTTTTTTATATAAATAAATATATTTATTTATTTATTTTTTGAGAAGCATCTCACTCTGTCACCCAGGCTGGAGTACAGTGGTGCAATCTTGGCTCACTCCAACCTCCACCTCCCGGGTTCAAGCGATTCTCCTGCCCCAGCCTCCTGAGTGACTGGGATTACAGGTGTGTGCCACCATGCCTGGCTAATTTTTGTATTTTTAGTAAAGACAGGGTCTTGCCATGTTAGTCAGGCTGGTCTCAAACTCCTGGCCTCAGTGATCCACCCACCTTGACCCCCCAAAGTGCTCGGATTATAGGCGCGAGCCACTGCACCCAGCCAGTATTTTTTTTTTAAATTAAAAAGAAGAAACATTGCTACAACTACTTAGAAACAAAATGGATAATTTTTAAAACTCTCTATCTGTATAGATACAGCTATAATTCTGATTTGGACATTGTGTGATTTGAGGTTGATTTCTTTTGTCGCTTCTGTCTGGCTTATCAGCAATTTTACGTGAGGTGTAGTTGTCCCTTCTTACAGTCCATTCAAACTAAAATTGATAGAACTAACTTCTTGTTAACTTTATAAAAGATATTCATGTTGACATTGGTTCAAACAGCTCTGCCATTTACTAGCTATCTGACCTTGGGCAAGTCATTGAAGCTCTCCCTAAGCCAAAGTTACACATTCTGTGGGAGGGTAATAGTATCAGTGTCATGGAGTTTTGAGACAATTACTTGAGATAATGTATATAAACTGCTTAGCAGAGTGCCTGGAATAGATTAGTTAGCACTCAATAATGTCAGCCTGTATAAACACATTGTAAGGTGATTACAGGTTCACGCCTGTAACCCCAGCACTTTGGGAGGCCCAGGCAGGCAGATCACCTGAGGTCAGCGGTTCAAGACTAGCCTGGCCAACACAGTGAAACCACCATCTCTAGTCAAAATACAAAAATTAGCCGGGCATGGTGGCAAATGCCTGTAATTCCAGCTACTCCAGAGGCTGAGGCAGGAGAATCACTTAAACTCGGGAGGCAGAGGTTGCAGTGAGTCAAGATTGTGCCACTACACTGCAGCCTGGGCAACAGAGAGAGACTCCATCTCAAAAAAAAAAAAGTTATCTTTAAATGCAATGGGTTTATTATTGTCATTTTAACATAAATTATTAAAATGTATCCACTTAAATTTCAAATGGGGTAAATATAGAAATATATAATGTACATAAACAAAAGATCTTTGGTGTCCTCAATAATTTTAAGTGCAAAGGGGCCTTGAGGTCTTGGAAGACAGCTGTCTCTGGGAAGCCAGGCTCAGGGAAAGCAGTGTTTGTGGCATAGGCTATGTGAACAGAGGGCAGGACTGCAAAGCAGCCAATGAGATTTTCTTCTGATAACTAAAAATACAGTCTTAAAATGTAACAAGTCACTACAGAGAACAAATGACAAACAACAGAGTATGTTGATGGCTATTGGGATAAAGACTGGTTTTAAGACCACTGTCTGTTATACTTGAATTTTATCTTTTTTTTTTTTTTTAAGGTGTGCACTTTTATTCAACTGGTCTCTACAGGTAAGCCCTGAATGCCTCCACACCTCCACCCACTCCCAGGGAGACCAAAAGCCTTCATACGTCTGAAGCTGGGGGACAAAAAAGGCGGGCCACGATGGCTGATCATTCAAAATAAAACAAAAAAGTATAAGGGGGAGATTTTAAAAATTTTGCATTACATAATTTACATGAAAGCAATGCTATCACCTCCCCTGTGTGGACTTGAGAGTGGACTCGGCCATTCTCCTTAGACAGAAGTGGGCTGGATTTTGGGAGGGCAAGGGACTTCCTGTAACAATGCACCTCACAATATTTAGAATGACTATTTAAAAAAGAATAATGTGGCCTGACACGGTGGCCCACGCCTGTAATCCCAGCACTTTGGGGGATGAGGCAAGCAGATCATTTGAGGTCAAGAGTTTGAGACCAGCCTGACCAACATGGTGAAACCCCGTCTCTACTAAAAAAAGACAAAAAAAACCTGACCAACATGGTGAAACCCCATCTCTACTAAAAAAATACAAAAAAAATTAAAAACCTGACCAACATGGTGAAACCCCGTATCTACTAAAAAAATACAAAAAAAAAAAACAAAATTAGCTGGGCGTGGTGGCACATGCCTGTAGTCCCAGCTACCAAGAGGCTGAGGCAGGAGAATCACTTGAACCTGGGAGGTGGAGGTTGCAGCGAGCCAAGATCACATCACTGCACTCCAGCCTGGGCAACAGAGTGATACTCTGTCCCAAAATAAATAAATAAATAAAATAAATATTAAAAAAAGAAAAAAAAGAACAATGTACAGTCAAAGTCCTTGGCCACACTGTAGAACTTTGGAGGATGCTCACTCCAACCGACTGCTGTCACCTTCACAGTTTCAGTTTTTAAACCCAGAGTCAAGCCAAAAACAAACACAAACACAAACACACACACACACACAAACAAAGCCATGCCAATCTCATCTTATTTTCTGCGCATTAGGTTTTTGTCAAGAAAGGGTGTAACGCAACTAAGGAACAGTCCGCCTAGGAGCATTTTCAGTGGACAATGGAAGGACTGGAGTCATCATATTCTTGCTTGCTCATCCATAACTGCTGGAAGGTGGACAACGAGGTCAGGATGGAGCCACGCATCCACAGAGTATGTGCACTCAGAAGGAGCAATGATCTTGATCCTCCTCATGCTGGGAGCCAGGGCAGTGATCCCCCTCTGCATCCTGCAGAGCGATGCCAGGGTACATGGTGGTGCTGCCAGATAGCACTGTGTTGGCGTACAGGTCTTTGTGGATGTCCACGTCACACTTCACGATGGATTTGAAGGTAGTTTTGTAGATGCCACAGGATTCCATGCCCAGGAAAGAAGGCTGGAAGAGCGCCTCGGGGCAGTGGAACCGCTTGTTGCTGCTGGTGATGACCTGGCCATCTGACAGCTCATAGCTCTTCTCCCAGGAGGACCCGTGGGGCCATCTCCTGCTCAAAGTCCAGGGCGACTTAGCACAGCTTCTCCTTGATGATGTCACACAGGAGCTCTCCCTCTGCGGGTGGTAAAGCTGTAGCCGCACAATGTGAGGATCTTCATAAGGCGGTCGGTCAGGTCCTGGCCAGCGAGATCCAGACGCAGGATGGTGTGGGGGAGGGCGTGCCCCTCATATATGCACACAATGTGGGTGACCTGTCGCCAGAGTCCATCACGATGCCAGTGGTATGGCCAGAGGAGTACAGGTACAGCACGACCTGGATGGCCACGTGCATGGGTGGGGTGTTGAAGGTCTCCAACATAATCTGGGCCATCTTCTCATGGTTGGCCTTGGGATTCAGGGGGCCTTTGGTCAGCAGCACAGGGTACTCCTCGAAAGCCACATGCAGCTCATTGTAGAAGGTGTGGTGCCAGATCTTCTCCATGTCATCCCAGTAGATGACCATGCCGTGCTAGATGGGGTACTTCAGGGTCAGGATGCCTCTCTTGCTCTGGGCCTCATCGCCCACATTGGAGTCCTTCTGGCCCATGCCCACCATCATGCCCTGGTGTCGCGGGCGCCCCAAGATGGAGGGGAAGGCGGCCTACGGGGCATCGTCACCTGCGAAGCTGGCCTTGCCCTTGCTGGAGCCCAGTGATATCACCCTGGTGAGCTGGCGGCACATGCGGACCGGCTGTGGAGTGGCGAGGGCGAGGCTCTGTGCAGGTGGGGCAGATGTAGTCTTGGCGGTCTGAATTTTATCTTTTTTGTTTCTTTCTTTAAGAGATGGAGTCTCACTCCGTCGCCCTGGCTGGAGTGCAGTGGCGCGATCTCGGCTCACTGCAACCTCTGCCTCCCGGGTTCTAGCAATTCTTCTGCCTCAGCCTCCCGAGTAGATGGGATTACAGGCGCGTGCCACCATGCCCAGCTAATTTTTTGTATTTTAGTAGAGACAGGGTTTCACTGTGTTGCCCAGGCTGGTCTCAAACTCCTGAGCTCAGGCAATCCACCCGCCTCGGCCTCCCAAAGTGCCAGGATTAGACGTAAGCCACTGCGCCCAGCCGATTGAATGTTATCTTTTGAATTCAAGTTGAATAACACAGTCAAGAAGAATAAAAGCTAAGGTTTAAGAGACAGTGGCTTAGAGATCATGTCCTCAAGGTACCTAGCACACAAAAAGTGCTCGGTAAAAAAACCTCTAATGAAAACCTAGTGTGTTGTCTGAGAATTTTCAAATGTTCATTGGAAAGATAAAGATCACAATATTAAGGAAATAATAACAAAATGCTTTTAATTGTGGCCGGGCGCAATGGCTCACACCTGTAATCCCAGCACTTTGGGAGGCCAAGGCAGGCAGATTGCCTGAGGTCATGAGTTCGAGATCAGCCTGGCCAATATGGTGAAACCTTGTCTCTACTAAAAATACAAAAATTAGCCAGGCACGGTGGCACATGCCTGTAGTCCCAGCTACTTGGGAGGCTGAGGCACAAGAATCACTTGAACCCAGGAGGCGGAGGTTGCAGTGAGCCCAGATCATGCCACTGCCCTCCAGCCTGGGCGACAGAGCAAAATTCCATCTTAAAAACAAAGTTTATAATTCCATTACAATATGACTATTTCCATTTTTTTTACATTTCCACTAACAGGTATATCTTTTTTTTTTTTAAAGAGATAGGATCTCACTGTGTTGCCCAGGCTGACCTCAAATCCTGGGCTCAAGCAATCCTCCTGTCTCGGCCTCCTGAGTAGCTGGGACCACAGGCACATGACACCACCTCTGACTAAGTATACATTTTTATTTATTTTTATTTTATTTTATTTATTTATTTTTGAGACAGTGTTTTGCTGTCGCCCAGGCTGGAGTGCAGTGGCACGATCTTGGCTCACTGCAGTCTCCATCTCCCAGGTTCAAGCGAGTCTCCTGCCTCAGCCTCCTAAGTAGCTGGAACAACAGGCATGCACCACCATGTCTGACTAATTTTTTTTTTTTTTTGAGACAGAGTCTCGCTCTATCACCCAGGCTGGAATGCAGTGGCGCGATCTCGGCTCACTGCAAACTCCGCCTCCTGGGTTCACACCATTCTCCTGCCTCAGCCTCCCGAGTAGCTGGGACTACAGGCGCCGGCCACCACGCCCGGCTAATTTTTTGTATTTTTAGTAGAGACGGGGTTTCACCGTATTAGCCAGGATGGTCTCGATCTCCTGCCCTGGTGATCTACCTGCCTCGGCCTCCCAAAGTGCTGGGATTATAGGCGTGAGCCACCGCGCCCGGCCATGCCTGACTAATTTTTGTACTTTTAGTAGAGACGAGGTTTCACCATGTTGGCCAGACTGGTCTCGAACTCCTGACCTCGATGATCCGCCTGACTCGGTCTCCCAAAGTGCTGGGATTATAGGTTTGAGCCACCACGCCCGGCCTTACATTTTTATATTTTTAAATATTTATTTATTTATTGAGAGACATGGTCTCACTTTATCACCCAGGCTAGCGTACAGTGGTGCAATCATGGCTCACTGCAGCTTTTTTTTTTTTTTTTTTTTTTGAGATGGAGACTCACTCTGTTGCTCAGGCTGGAGTGCAGTGGCGCGATCTCGGCTCACTGCAACCTTCGCCTCCCTGCAACCTTCGCCTCCCAGGTTCAAGTGATTTTCCTGCTTCAGCCTCCCAAGTAGCTGGGATTACAAGTGTGCACCACCACGCCCAGCTAATTTTTGTATTTTTAGTAGAGACGGGGTTTCACCATGTTGACCAGGATGGTCTTGATCTCCTGACCTCTGCCCGCCTCGGCCTCCCAAAGTGCTGGGATTACAGGCGTGAGACACCGTGCCCGGCCGGCTCACTGCAGCTTCAACCTCCCAGGCTCAGGTGATCCTCCCACCTCAGCTTCCTGAGTAGCTGGGGCTACAGATGCACATGACCACCCCCTGCTAAATATACATTTTTAATTGTTGAAATTAGATGTTAAATGTATATCTATAAATTAATATGTTGCTATCCTCTTGACATTTAGCCATGCATTTTCCATGCTTTTACATTTTATAATTACTTGTACTTGTATGCTGTAATATGTACAAATCTATATAATATTCCATTGTATTGATATAGCTATCTTTATCCCCCTTAATATAAGACCTGTTTTTTTGTTGTTGTTGTTGTTGTTTTGTTTTGAGACAGGGTCTCACTCTGTCACCAGGCTGGAGTGCACTGATGCAATCTCGGCTCACTGCAACCTCCGCCTCCCTGGTTCAAGCGATTCTCCTGCCTCAGCCTCCTGAGTAGCTGGGACTACGGGTGCTTGCCATCAGGCCTGGCCAATTTTTTTTTGTATTTTTAGTAGAGGTGAGGTTTCACCATGTTGGTCAGGCTGGTCTCAAACTCCTGACCTCAGGTGACCCACCCACCTCAGCCTCCCAAAGTGCTGGGATTATGGGCATGAGCCACCGTGCCCGGCCCAGACCTGTTTTTTACTCCCCAATATTTTTTATCTTCCATTACAAATAAAGATACACATTGGATATACTTGTGGGGAAAAAAAGAGCTAAGTACTTCTTAAATAAATGAATGGATATATAAATGAAGTTATGAAGTTGATTAAGGTTGAGAGGAAAATGGCTACATGAAGGAAGGCTTTTAACAGGGGGATTTGTCTTAGAATCAGTTCTCAAGAGAGCTGAAGTGCCATATATCACTATCCTCAAGAAACTTCCCTCCCTTCTTTGCCTCCTCTTGATCCTCCTCGCTTTCCTTTTAAAGTCTGATGGGCAGATATTATTAAATAGCAATCATTTCATCTCAAGCTTAACATCCTAAACTCAACATGACCTAAACAAAATTCTTAATTCTAAATCCACGTATCCCCCATAAAAACATGCTTTGCATCCATACTTCCTCAACTTAACATGGTTCTTCTTTTCCCCTCATGCTCTACACTTTACCTTCTAGCGTGTTCAAAACACATCCAGAATTTATCCACTTTTCTCTATCTCTACTCCCTCATCCTATTCCAAACCACTTTCATCTCTCACTTGGATTAATCTTAACAGGATCTCACTTGTCTCTCTTCTTCCTCTGGTTCTTGACTGTCCCTTCCCCCTTCCTTGCCCTAAGAGCCAGAGTAGTTTCTTAAAAATTCCAATCAGATTGGCTGGGCACGGTGGCTCACGCCTGTAATCCCAGCACTTTGGGAGGCCAAGGCGGCCGGATCACAAGGTCAGGAGATCAAGACCATCCTGGCTAACATGGAAAAAATTAGCCTGGTGTGGCGGCAGGCACCTGTAGTCCCAGCTACTCGGGAGGCTGAGGCAGGAGAATGGCGTGAACCCAGGAGGTGGCGCTTGCAGTGAGCCGAGATCGTGCCACTGCTCTCCAGCCTGGGCCACAGAGCGAAACTCTGTCTCAAAAAATAAAATAAAATAAAATAAAATAAAATAAAAAAGAAATTCCAATCAGATCATGCTGCTTCCCTTTTTAAAATTCCATGAAGTTTCCCACTGCACCTCGAATAAAATCCAAACTCCTTACCCTGATCTACAAAGCCCTCTCCATCTGGACTCCCCACTGCTGCCCCCACTCCTCACCCTTATCTGCTCCAGCCACACTGGTCTTTCTCATGCCAAACTCCTTCCTGAGCTTGTTCCAGCCTGGCTTCCCGGGAACACCCTACCTAAAGATGACTTGGCTGCTTTCTTCCCCCATTTCATTCTCAGCTCGGTGTCACCTCCCACCTTCTCAAAGACCTTTCCAGATCACCACAGCTAAGACAGCACCCCTTCCATTAAAAGTTTACCATTTCAGGCTGGGTGTGGTGGCTCACACCTGTAATCCCAGCACTTTGGGAAGCCGAGGCAGGTGGATCACTTGAGGTCAGAAGTTCAAGACCAGCCTGGCCAACATGGTGAAACCCCGCCTCTACTAAAGATACAAAAAATCAGCCAGGTGTGGTGTTGTGCGCCTGTAATCCCAGCTACTCAGGGGGCTGAGGCAGGAGAATCGCTTGAATCCGGGAGGCAGAAGTTGCAGCGAGCTGAGATCACGGCACTGCACTCCAGTCTGGGCGAGAGAGTGAGACTCCGTCTCAAAAAAAAAAAAAAAAAGCTTACCATTTCAGTTTTCCTTTCTTAACAGCATTTATGGCCCGAAATTATCTTTCTTAGTTGTTTATTCACTCTGTGAGAACAGGTCCTTGTTTATCCTGTTTATCACCATATCCTCTATGATTAGAAGAGTGAGAGCAGGGCCTGACCTTAGTAAAGACTTGAATAAACATCAGTTAAATATTGAGTGAATTACACATTTCTGACTGTTATACTCAAAGATTTTTCTTCCTGGAAAATTGATCTCAAAGGGAAAGCAAGGTGATTTTCACATGTGTGTGTGTGTGTTTTTACATAAATGTTACAGGATCTTAGTGTTGACCAGACCTAGGCTTTGAGAAGCAAAGTAACAGGCAGGCTAAAGCACAGAGCTATTCTCTATATTAAATGTTACGACTGATCTTGACAATACACCGGATAGGAACTCCATTCCTGCATTTCTTAACATGACTAACACATATTAACGAGGTTTAATTATGACGTATATATCCTTTCTCAACAGTGCTTAAAAGTTTATAAACATGCCAGGATCCTCTGATGAGAAATCAGTCAGTGAGGTTTCCTGGGACACAGTAGTAGCTCAATAAATATTCACTAAGTGAATATTTTATTTTATTTTGAGACAGGGTCTCACTGTCACCCAGGCTGTAGTGGCAATTATGGTTCACTACAGCCTTGGCCTCCTGGGCTTAAGCAATCGTCCCACCTTAGCCTCCCAAGTAGCTGGGATTACAGACAGGTGGCACCATGCCCCAGCTAATTTTTGTATGTTTTGTAGAGATGGGGGTCTCACTATGTTGCCCAGGCTGGTCTCGAACTCCTGGCCTCAAGTGATCCTCCTACCTCAGCCTCCCAAAGTGCTGGGATTACAGGCATAAGCCACCACACTCAGCCATGAATGATATTTTTTTTTTGAGACAGAGTCTCGCTCTGTCACCCAGGCTGGAGTGCAGTGCCACAATCTCGGCTCACTGCAAGCTCTGCCTCCTGGGTTCACGCCATTCTCCTGCCTCAGCCTCCCAAGTAGCTGGGACTACAGGCGCACGCGGCCACGCCCGGCTAATTTTTTGTATTTTTAGTAGAGACGGGGTTTCACCGTGTTAGCCAGGATGGTCTCGATCTCCTGACCTTGTGATCCGCCTGCCTCAGCCTCCCAAAGTGCCGGGATTACAGGCATGAGACACGGTGCCTGGCCCATGAATGATATTTTAATGTTTTCTAACTGTGCAATGTTATTGAAGAAATATTCTTCTCTAGCTTCAAATAAGCTAGTATCTTTGAGGTATCAAAAAATACCTCAAAGGTATTGAGGTATCAATGTATTGAGGTATCAGTGCTCACAAGAAAACAAAAAGGAAACAGAAGTTTTCATTAGTGAAATAAGTCAGTTTATTTTATTTCTAACAAGGCCTTTTTCTCCTATAATTAAGACAAACCATTTTACACTTTATAATAACATAACTTAGTTTTTAGTATTTTCAAAAGGGAAAGATTTTGGGTGGGGGGAATTTAGGAAGTCAAATATTTTAGAAGGAGTAACTATAGAAGTTACTTTTTCAATCTTAATATATTAACAGGCTTGTTACCAGGTACATTACCCAGCATTTTTTCTTACAAGGAATCTATCAAGTACTAGCCAACAAATAGTCTACATTTAGAAACTGAGGGTAGAAATGTCTGTATTTTAATAGGAAACAAGCATCTAAAATACAAATCACATGTCTTTAACAAGGCAATTTACATAATTAGGTGTAAGTTTTTAATTAACTTTATGTTCCTTAGGATCCTAGCAAACACTCAGTTGACTGTATCTCAAGTTCAAACTGCACTCACCTGGCTATAAAGGTAAACATCACAATGGAATTGGGCCTGTCTGACTAGGGAAAAAGATCACTTCAATATTGCACATTTCCTTTCTTTAAAAACAAGGATTAAGTCAGGGCCATCTTGGTTCTGAATCTCTCCATTTTTGTTGGGAGAAGACTAACCATCTCTTTACTAAGTTCTAGCTCAACTTCTATTTCCTGGGCGGCCTCAGGATGCTTTTCACAGTAATCAACAATAAATTTGTAATGTTCCAATGATGTTGCCAAATTTTCCAGCTCTTTCTTGGGATCTGCAGTAATGATTTTGCCATAGAGACGGGCAACTCGAAACTTAGCTAACATGGCAGGGCGAAGAACATCTTCCCCTATATGCTCAGGGAATACTTTATTTGGGTCTCTCAGGGAGTCTAAGAAGAGCTGGTAGTACTTCAGTGCTGACTTATTAAGATTATTTATTTTTTTTACAATGTGTGAATCAGGATCCCTTAGCCTGTCAGCAATGGCAACCTTCAAATCCATCATATCATAGTAAGCATGTGCAATTTCAAACTGGATCTGTCTGTTGACCAACAGATAATACTGTGGATTCAGGTCTACAGTTAGGGGCTCTAGCATGGCTATTCTGCGTTTATGCATCTTGCACCGTCTCTCCATGTCAGTTTCAAAGAATGCAAGCACCTTAAACAGAGCACTGTGGTCTTGGACAACTTCAATATGGTCAGTGACATAACCATCAATCTGAAAGAACTCTTTTGCCTCAAAGACATAGTGCTGACCCAATAAGAAAAGTTCTCTGGCTTCTTCAAAATCTAAAGGTCTCAAGTAGCTCACTTTCTCTTCTACTGCAGAGATGGCATCACACAGTTCACCGGTTCCAAACTGCACAGCTTTTTTCCGAATGCTTTCCTCCTCATCTAGTTCTTTTTTCCTTAAAGCTCTAAGTTCAGACTGTTTATCAAGATCAAGCTCTCCTATGTTGTCCTGAAGGAAAAAAAAATAAATTATGGTTAAGTAGGACACTCACCTCCTGCTGTTAAATAATATTAAAGCAAACTTCAGAGTTTTTTAGAAGAGAAGTCTCTTACTTTCCAGCCTGGTTTAGAAGGGTATCATAATCTTAAACACCTTTGAAAACTTCTTTCTTTCTTCCGATTATATTAAAAACTCAAGAAATGTGGAAAAAAAAGTATTTAAATAGACAAGCTGCTTACATATCATTTATTCTGAGGAACTGAAATTTATTTACAGTTACTCCTTCCAATAAGATAAATGCTACATGTAAAAGTACTTTGAGAATTGTGAAACATTATATATATGTGATACATTACTCCCAGCACTTTGGGAGGCCAAGGCGGACAGATCACGAGGTCAGGAGTTGAAGACCAGCCTGGCCAACATAGTGAAACTCTGTCTCTACTAAAAATATAAAAAATTAGCCAGGCATGGTGGCAGGCGCCTGTAATCCCAGCTACTTGAGAGGCTGAGGCAGGAGAATCGCTTGAACCCAGGAGGCAGAGGTTGCAGTAAGTGGAGATTGCGCCACAGCACTCCAGCCTGGGTGACAGTGCAAGACTCCATCTCAAGAAACAAACAAACAAACAAAAAGACTGTAATCTACATCATAAAAATGTTTCACAAGGATGCCATTAAGATTAATGCTACCATGTTTATGCTATTAGTTATTTAGTGAAATATATCAGACAGAAATGCTCTAGGTCTCTTAAAGACATCAAAGTGAACAAAGAGTTAAATCTACCTTCCTAGTTAAAGTTTTATCTCCTCTACCTCTTGGGGGTGGGGGGGGGCAAATAAAAAAAGAAAGAATAACTAAGGTGGTTAAGAAATAGGGTAAGCTCTTCTTGGCCAATAAAAATAAATAATAGATCCCAAGGCCTTTTCTTCTTTTCACTTGACACTGTCTCACCAATGATCTTTCCACAAACCCTTCAAGGTTTCCAAATGCTCAGAAGATGAAGACAACAATGCTTCAAAGCCTTGATTGCTCCAGCCCCTTTCTAACTCTAACTTTAGCTTATATCACACTCCCTCTCCCTCAGCTCCAACCTCACAGCCTTTGCTCCATCCCTTCTGATATCATCCTCCCTTACGCCACAGAACTTCTAAACATGTTGCTTCAGCTCCTTGACATGGTGTGCCTTCTTTTCTTCAGTCTAGGTAACTCCTACTTACTCATCCCCAGAGCTTGCTTGTTATTTCCTCCTATTGTGCCTTCTCATATCATGTGTCTCTCCTTTGTGGAACTTAGCAAAATTGTACTTTTACATGAAGTTAAAGGCTAGGTTCATTTTTGTTCATCATAGTATCCTTGGCCAATGACTAGCACAGGGTTGGCATAAATAAATACTTAATTGAATAAATTTATGTATGTCTTAAAGCTTGAACTGAAGAAGGTCTTTCAGATAAATATACAGATGATAAAGGATGAAGTTAAGGTTAAAAAATAAAGTCAGGGGTGAGCGCAGTGGCTCACACCTGTAATCCCAGCACTTTGGGAGGCCGACGTGGGTGGATCGCTTGAGCTCAAGAGTTCAAGACCAGCCTGGGCAACATGGTAAAACATCGTCTCTAACAAAAATACAAAGAATTAGCCGGGCACAGTGGCACACACCTGTTGTCCCAGTTACTTGGCAGGCTGATGTAGGAGGACTGCTTGAGCCAGGGAGGTGGAGGATGCAGTGAGTGGAGATCATGCCACTGCACTCCAGCCCGGGTGACAGAAACCCCATCTCAAAAAACAAAACTGGGTTTAAGGAAAATCTGAGTAGTTTAGTAGCATGGCAAATATGTGAGTTTAAACTAACCAAGTGATGAAGTTTTAAGTTCCCAGACTAGAAACATCAACTAAATGAAAGGTAAGGGTCAAATCATAGTGCGATTTGCTTGACACAATTACTTCAAATGTAGATCATAAGTCTCTAAATCTTGTATACTTCCTTCCTTCTTGGGCTGCTTGTTTACTTACATGTTCTCTCTAGGATGCTTATTTAAATTAGCCTACTGTTTTGCTCCAATAGTCCCTGCAACCCTCCTTTTCCAGCTTTCTTTACCTGACCAGAATAAACTTGACAGCTCTTCCTGGCTCCAAATTCTCTACACATAAAGCCCCACAGTTATTCTCCCTACTTCCTGTCTTTCCTTAATATGCCTCCTCTTTACCCTCTGACCTCTAAAATTATCTTCATCTTTTCAAGACCTATGCTTCTGATGTGTTGAGGTTTGTTTGTTTGGTTTTCTTTCGTTTAGTAGTTTCACAAGGTTCTATATTATTTACCACTGATATGGTTTGGATTTGTGTCCCTGGCCAAATCTCACATTAAATTGGAGGAGGGACCTGGTGGGAGGTGACTGGATCACTGGGGGCAGATTTCCTCCTTGCTGTTCTTGTGGTAATGAGTGAGCTCTCTCATGAGATCTGATGGTTTTGAAGTGTGTGGCATTTCCCCCTTTGCCCTCTCTCTCTCTCCTGCTTGCCATGGTAAGACATGCTTGCTTCTCTTTCGCCTTCCGCCATGATTCTAAGTTTCCTGAGGGCTCCTAGTCATGCTTCCTGTTAAGCCTGAGGAACTGTGAGTCAATTAACCTCTTTTCTTCATAAATTACCCAGTCTCAGGTAGTTCTTTTGTTTTGTTACCCAGGCTGGAGTGCAGTGGTGCAGTCTTGGCTCACTGCAACTTCTGCCTCCTGGGCTCAAGTGATTCTCCTGCCTCAGCCTCCCCAGTAGCTGGGACTATAGGTGCACACCACCATGCCTGGCTAATTTTTTGTATTTTTGGTAGAGACAGGGTTTCAACATGTTGTCTAGGCTGGTCTCAAACTCATGGGCTCAAGTGATCCACCCACCTTGGCCTCCCAAAGTGCTGGGATTATAGGCATGAGGCGCTGTACCTGGCCTCAAGTAGTTCTTTATAGCAGTGTGAGAACAGACTAATACAACCACTAAAGATTATTATACTTTTATCAAGCAGAGTCCCATGTAAAAAAAAAAAATTATCATACTTTAATACACAATATAAAAAAATAAAAGCACAATGAATCCCCCAGGAAATCTTCCTATGTATCTACACTTAGTATATTGCATCTAAATGATTAATTTTATTATCCTCCCTAGTGCTTAGAAACTAGGATTGGGCATAAATTAATAATGATGATGGTAGTTAACATTTATTAAGGACTTAGTATGTCTCAGGCACTTTTCCGAGGCCTTAATATATACTGACTTAACTCCCATAACAACAGTATTAAGTACTATTATCTCCAACTTACTTGTGAGGAAATAGAGGCAAAAATATATTAAGTAAATTGCCACAAAGACATAGCTACGAAGCGGCAGAGCTGGAGTTCATACCTACCTAGTGTATTTCAAGTCCATGCTCTTCACTGCCATCAGTTCTGCTTCTATTTTTGAACTATTACATGAGCTATTTCTTAAAAGTCTACCCTTTTAGATTTTATCAAGTCCATGCTGTGTGTAAGATAACACTGGGAAGTATATAAAGATTAGTAAGGGCTTGGCCAGGTGTGGTTGCTCACACCTGTAATCCCAGCACTTTGGGAGGCCGAGATGGATGGATCACTTGAGGTCAGGAGTTCGAGACCAGCTTGGCCAAAATGGTGAAACCCCATCTACACTAAAAAGACAAAAATTAGCCAGGCATGGTGGCAGGCACCTGTAATCCCAGCTACTCAGGAGGCTGAGGCAGGAGAATCCTTTGAACCCAGGAAGCAGAGGTTGCAGCTGCGATCACACCACTGCACTCCAGCACGGGCGACAGAGCAAAACTCCGTCTCAAAAAAAAAAAAAAAAAAAAAAAAAAAAAGATTAGGCACAGTGGCTCACACCTGTAATCCCAGCACTTTGGGAGGCCAAGGCAGGAAGATCACTTGAGCCCAGGAGTTCAAGACCAGCCTTGGCAACACAGTGAGAGCCAGTCTCTACAAAATAATTTAAAAATTAACTGGATATGGTGGCACACGCCTGTACTCCAAGGATGAGGTGGGAGGACTGCATGAGCCGGGGAGACCAAGGTTGCAGTGACCCATGATCACGCCACCACACTCCAGCCTGGGAAACAGAGCGAGAGCCTGTCTAAAAAAAAAAAAAAAAAGAATATGATATCGTTCCCAGCTCTCAAGAAGCTTATATTCTAACCAAAGAAAAGTCTTCAAGGAAGAGGTAGTATTTAAGATAGGCCTTGAATGATGAGTAAGATTTATTTTATTTATTTATTTATTTAGAGATGGAGTCTCGCTCTGTTGCCCAGGCTGGAGTGCAGTGGTCCAATCTCGGCTCACGCAGCCTCTGCCTCCCGGATTCAAGCAATTCGAAGAATACGATTTAAAACCAAGAAAGAAATATTTACGAAAACATTCTACACACCTTTCATATTAAACACAATGTGACCCCAATGAGCACAATCCCCACTATGAGTTTTTACTTACAATTTCCTCATTTAAGAAAGAAAAAGGCAGCTTCTGACTGCATTACCTGCATGGAGAGTTGGGCATTCTGCATGAGAGTCAAACAGTATTTGATCCAGCACCTTGCTATTTCCCCCTTTCTTTGATGATAAAGCTCTGGCACTTCTCCTTCAGCTTCAGGAGCTAAAATATACATGTGATTTGTTTAAGTTAATGGTCACAACTGTAATTTTCATTGGGTACTGTAATTTTTTTAATATCACTTTTTCCTGACTATAAAAGTAACAGATCTTTACTGAAGCAGGGGGCTTGGGGAAAAGGGAAGAAAGATCCCCCCCCAAATCCTACTACCCAGAAGCACTCACTATTATTTTTGCATATTTCTTTCTCGCACCACAAACACTTTACTCATATCATTATCAACTCTTAGCTTCATTTTTAAGTACACCATTATATACAATTAAATAGATATTCTATTATTTAACCATTCTTCTAATTCTAACCTGGAATTTGTTGTTTCCAATTCTTTACTATCACAAAAACGTCTATGTCACACAACAGATGGTTGTGGAGAACCTGGTGCTAAACTATTCAGATGACCTGCTTCTGGGTCAGAGTGTCATACATAGCAGAGCAGCTTTCTTGCTGTAATCTACAAAGTCAGCTGTCAACACAAAGCTTTGTAAAGTTTATACACATACACACATTTTTTTTAAACTTGAAACATGAGTATAATTGTGCAAAAATCTGTCTGGATTTTGGATTTCTTCCTTAGGGCAGATTCCTAGAAGTGGAATTTACTGAGTAAAAGAGTTTACACAATTTTAAATAATTCACAACATACAGCCAAATTATTTTCAACAAATATGCCAACCAACAATATATGAGAATGCTCAATAAGAACATTTTGAAAACACTGGTCACTGTCATTTTTTCAGCTATTATGAAGAGTAAAAACAAAATAATATCTCACGATATTACTTTAAATAAAGTGAATTATTAAATAATATCTCAGCAATTTAGTTTTTATTCATTTTTTGAGACAAGTGCCTCTTAGACTTCAACTAATCTATAATTAATGTAGTTAATATATTAGGGGAGAAAGCAACTATTTACTTTGATAATGTACATTCCTTTAGCTCTTAAGAGTCTCTGCATTTTTCAGATCCACAATTAGAATGTCCATTTGTAAGGAAGACATGATGTTTCAAAATCTAAAACATCGTAAGAAGGTTGGAAACTGTTCAACAGTGAGCAATAGAATCAAACTATTTTTAAAAATAAACTATTTTTAAAGAAAATGATGAACTTATTAAAAAACCTGTTAAATGACTCAAAGACACATGTTAACTGTGATTTTCTAAGACTAAAGGAAACACTATACTTAAAAAGATGGGTATTTGGCAACATCGCTTATGCATGTAGTATTCCAACCAAAAATATATCATCTGAATCATGGCATAAGGAAACATCACACAAACCCCAGCTGGCAGTAATTCTATGAAATAACTGGCCTATATTCTTAATATTAAGTGATGAAAGGGAAAGAAAGGCTGAGGAACAATTCCAGACGAAAAATGCCTGAAGAGATGTGACAACTGAATGCATTATGCAATCTTGAACTGTATAATCCAGTACTGGCAAACAAATGCTAGAAGGAATATTATGGCAACAACTGATGAAATAGAAATATGCAGTGTAGATAAAAGAATTGTATCAATGTTACTTTTTTTTTTTTAATTTCTTTAAAAACATAGAGATGGGGTCTCACTATGTTGATCAGGCTTGTCTTGAACTCCTGGCCCCTCCCATCTTGGCCTCCCAAAATCTAGCATTACAGGCGTGGGCCACCATGCCTGGCCAATGTTACATTTCTTGAATTTGATAAATGATCTATGATTATGTAAGAAAATATTCTTCTTAGGAAATATATACTAAAGTATGAAAGGGTAAAAGAGCCTAATGTATGTAACCTTCTCTCCAATGGTTCAGAGAGAAAAATAAAATTTGATTCCAAGCGAGGAAAATACTAAAAATTGGTGCATTTAGAAGGGCATATGATAGCTCTTCTGTTCTTGCAACTTTTCAAAAGTTTAAAATAATTTCAAAATAAAACTTTTTTTAAAAGCTATGTAAAACATGCAAAGGTAAACTTACTGTCTTCTGTGGCTGAGATCTTTCCAGTTTGACCAAAAATGACATTAGCAGCTGATAAACAGTGCCTGGCCTCCATAAAGCATAGCTATTGGGGAAATAAACAACAGTGAATGCAACTATCACACAGCTTTATTTGCAACTGATACTTGCATAATTTCTTTTAATATGGGAAAAGGTATAAAATCAGATAAAAATACTACAAAGGAGGCCCTGTAGAGTTGCAGATCATTCAGAAGGTACAAAAGATATATTATCATATTATCTGGTTAAAATGTAACCTCAAAGGTTAAAATATTAATGCCCCCAAACTCTTAATAATAATCCACTCGGATTGAAAGACAACTGCCAACTGAAAGTTAGCTCTCCTTATACAATCAATAGATATACAGGAATGGCTGTCATCCTAGACTTAAACTGTCTCAAAAACTCCTTTAGGTTCAGTCTAAGTAGCCAAAATCCCATGCACAATAAATTCTTAGACTATTTACATTGTGTCAGAAGACTGAATATATATATATATATATATATATATATTTTTTTTTTTTTTTACGAGACAGGGGTCTCACTCTGGCCCAAGGCTGGAGTGCAGTGGCACAATCATAGTTCACTGCAGCCTCAACCTCCTGGTCTTAAGGGATCCTCCCACCTTTAGCCTCCAAGCCTGACTAATTCTGGGGTTTCTCTATGTTGCCTAAACAGGTCTCCAACTCCTGGCCTGAAGCAATGCTCCCACCTTGGCCTCCCAGGGTGCTGGGGTTATAGATGTAAGCCACCTTGCCCAGCCTGAGGATTTAATTTTTATTAGGTTTAGAGAGCCCCTTTACATCCTACTATACAAAGGCAAATAGGATAAACTCAGGTAAGAAGATATTCCTGTGTTCTAAAATCTTTAAACTTTACATACAATAAGGCTTCCCACCAAGTTTTAAAGTCAACAGACTTCTACAGATGAACCTTATGGAACTGCTTTACCAACACTCTTGAAGACTTCATAATTCAATTCCGGGCATGGCAAACTTCTCAAACAATTAGAGAAGATCTCCTTGTTAATAGAAACATTTTGTATTTGTCATGTAAGTCAAAGGACCACCCAGCAGAAGTTCAAAGTTAAAGTCCAACTTTTAGTTGGAAGCCACCCTCATTAAATAGAATGTCTACTTAATATTAGTAATACCTGAAAGGCTTTAAATGGTTGGCTATAACTTTAAAATTGCAGCATTAAATGTATCTTTCCATTATGGCAAATTCAGAAGCCATCTTGAGAATAGCTGGACACGTGTAGTATTAGCCCAGCAACATCTATAGATAAAAATGTGTTAAATCTTAAAAGCCAAAAGAAAGTTAGAGTTTATATAATGAAACTTTAATTATCTCTCTATAATCCAATCCCTTAACATTTATCGTCATTTCAGCTTTGTCCAGATTGGCTCCCTGTGAGCAACCACTGCTAGAACAGTGAGTGTCTTATGCCCTCTAGGTGGCTGGTAAATGTGGGACTTTAGCAGCTGCCAGGTAGGGATTCACCAAGTAGCAAAACCTCATCACTGGAATCAGATGAAGATGACAATGATATAAATGACAATTGCATTTTTAAAAACATGGTTCAAATCCCTCTTTTTGCAATACGACTTAGTTGGTTTTAACAAAAACTTAAAAAAGATTTTGGTAAAAAAATAAAAGTGCAGGGTGTGGGAGGTCTCATGAAAATTACTGCATGCTCCACATAAGTAATGCTTAACAACTTTAAATTTTAATCACACTTTAATATCTAGATATCTTAGTACTGCCAATTTCCATGGAGTTTTAAGTATAAATTAAAGTCACAGTGAATATGTAATTTTAAAGTTGCTAAACAGAATGAATAAGGGGCCTCCAACAGCTGTAAAAAAGATGTCACAAGCGGAGGCACTGGATAACACTTTGGATGAGGACAATGAAATGGATTCATGAGAATTAGTTAACTGAATGCTCTGATATATGCAGTAGCGTTACTTACACACTTGATCTTAGACCAAAGTCCTAGAAGCGATGCTGCAGTCACCACAGCCCTTTCTCTCCTGCTAATAGCTTTTCTGAATGAAATTCTGTGGGACAATACTTTAATCATCGGGCGCATTTACAGAACCAACGCTAACGAAATGCTCAAAAAGGATAAAGGCCCAAGGATAAGGCAGCGGGTTACCAGAGAGATGAAAGAAGGAACTCTGATAAGCAGAGAACTACCAAAATTTCAGAGAGGCTTGCGAATTCGAAATATAAATAAAAGTAATTTATATTGCTGAGATGTCTTATTAAGGATTAATAGGAAAATCTGGTTAGAAAAGGTGGTGTAAAATTATTTTAGCATTAAAAACTCTCAAGGATTAAAGGAATAAATGGGTCAATTAAGAGTACACCAACATGATGTGAGCAATGCTTTTTTAAATTTTTATGAGAAATTCTGATAAACAACTAAGAAGCTCAAAAACATTGTCCCTGTGTAACAATCCAAAAGAAGTATGGTATAAAGACCTAGAACTTTGGAACTCAGCAGACATATTTCCAACATTAAAAAATTATTACAGAGTTAATTCTGAAAAATAACTGAAATGCATCACATGCTTTTATCAAAGCCCACATTTAACAGTCAACTTCCTCAGTCAAATTCTCAGAGTTATGAGATTACCATTACGTAAAGATAAAGCTATATCTACAAGGTAAAATCTGCAATTTAAGGTAATATCTCACTAAAATGAGTTGAGATAGCGTGCCTATGTTAAAAAAAGAATTGGTCTTAGGTAACATGTAAAACAATGATAAAACTCGGTATTTTAAAACTCAAAATAATTCATACAACAAAAAGCTACAAAATTTTAGTACACGGGCAAACTGGGCTGCATTTTCGGCTTCAGTTGTACATCATAAAATACAAGCTACCTGTTTTTAAAAGATAGTATTTTCAAGGTACTACTGGTTCTATTTTTATACTCACTATTGGTACTCTGTTAGATAACTACTTCAAGAAGCTTACCTTATTGATGTAAAACTGTGACAAGGTAGCAGCATTGATAGCCCACTCTATAGGATGGTAGGCATTGTGCTCAAGCTGGCGTTTTAGTGTACTATGGCAATAGTGAGCAGCCTTCTCAAACATTTCCAGATGCTGGTAGACTTGAGCTAGGTAATATAGGTTATGAGTATAAACCTTTTCAAATCTGTAAAGAAAAAATAAACCAATATTTGTGTAATGGTTTACTTGTTTTTTTTTTTTCCTGAGACAGAGTCTCGCTCTGTTGCCCAGGCTGGAGTACAGTGGCACGATCTTGGCTCACTGCCTCCGCCTCCTGGGTTCAAGCAATTCTCCTGCCTCAGCCTCCCGAGTAGCTGGGATTACAGGCGCCTGCCACCATGCCTGGCTAATTTTTGTATTTTTGGTAGAGACGGGGTTTCACCATAATAGTCAGGCCAGTCTTGAACTCCTGACCTTGTGATCCACCCGCCTCAGCCTCCCAAAGTGCTGGGATTACAGGTGTAAGCCACCGTGTCCGGACCATGGTTTACGTTTTATAAGTAAATTTCATATATATTTATTTTGATTATCCCACCAACCCTTTGAGTTGGATTTGTTTATTGTATCTATTTGACAGATAAGGAAACTGAGTCTCAGGTTTGAACAAGGTCAAATAACAAGTAAGTGGTAAATGGAGGTTTTACTCCTGTCAGAATCCACATTCTATAACCTTTATAAGTGACTTTTTGAACAATCACTAATCTATGATATGTGGAAATATTTGCAAGGGCTGATTTCTATACCTACTCACCTTTTTGATCTCTCTTGTTCAGTAAGTTTCTCTTCTTCAGGAAGAAAACGCTCAGTAGGATCAAGAGGAGGACTCCCAACCTACAATTAAGAAAAACAAAAGCTCTTTAAAGTTTTAAACTGTAAACACCAAGTGCCCTCTTCTGGAGGACCTGGAGAAATCAACTTCTACAAGCCAAATACATTTCATTTTTTCCTAGTTCATTTTTATGTTACTCAAGAAGTAATTTTCTGTTTTTTAAATTTTTATTTATTTATTGAGACAGGGTCTCTGTCACCCAGGCTGGAGTGGAGTGGCACAATCTCGGCTTACTGTAACCTCCGTCTCCCGATCCTCCCACCTCAAGCAATCCTCCTACCTCAGCCTCCTGAGTAGCTGGAACCACAGGTGTGCACCACCAGTCCTGGCTAATTTTTATATTTTTTGTAGAGACAGGGTTTCGCTATGTTGCCCAGACTGGTCTTAAAACTCCTGGGCTCAAGCAATCCACCTGCCTTGGCCTCCCAAAGTGCTAGGATTATAGGCGTGAGCCACTGCACCCGCCTCAACAAGTAATTTTCTTAACCATAAAATCTGAGTCAAACAAATAAAAGATACCCTTTTATTTGTTTTAACCAAATGTCAAAAGTTCACATTTGACAAAATTTTACTGTTGTTGCAGTTAAACTGCAAATATGCAAAAAATCCACCAATCTGCTTTTAGACATATATAATTCTTGAAGTATTTTTTCTTTTTTTAATTCTTATTTATTTATTTAGAGATGGGGGTCTTGCTCTGTTGCCCAGGCTGGTCTTGAACTCCTAGCCTCCAGTGATCCTCCTGCCTCAGCCTCCCAAAGTGCTGAAACTACAGGCATGAGCTAAGGTGCCCAGCCTCTTTAAGTTTTTTTTTTTTTTTTTTTTTTTGGAGATGGAGTCTCGCTCTTTTGCCAGGCTGGAGTGCAGTGGTGCGATCTCGGCTCACTGCAACCTCCGCCTCCCGGGTTCAAGCGATTCACCTGCCTTAACCTCCTGGGTAGCTAGGATTACAGACACGTGCCACCACCCCCAGCTAATTTTTGTATTTTTAGTAGAGACGGGGTTTCTCCATGTTGGCCAGGATGGTCTCAATCTCTTGATCTCATGATCCGCCTGCCTCGGCCCCCGCAAAGTGCTGGGATTACAGGTGTAAGCCACCGTGCCCGACCCCTCTTTAAGTATTTCAAATGGCAATTTTGTCTGGTAAAAGGGCTCTTTTAAAAACATGCATAAGCAAAACAAATAGGAAAAATGTATATATTTCTACAGTAGTAGTATTCTAAACTGACCACTAATAAAAATCAAATGAGAGATTTTAATATTTATTCTAATATTTTTTTCTCAAGGAAATAACAAAAGTGTATTACCCCCTTTCAATACAGGGACATTAAAACCAGATTCCATTATTTATTGCCTTGGGCAAGTCACTTGATCTCTTGTGCTTCTGTTTAGTCATCTATAAAATAAGGGTAATAACAGTATCTATCTCATGAGGATTAAGTAATATTTATAAATCACTTACAACCCCCTCTTACGTCTTCCAAAACAGAACTACCTAACCTCTGCCTCATTCTACTTCTATGAGGATAGTCCCATCTAGAAACACACTCTTGCTTTTAACTGAATTCATTAAACTCAAAAAGGAACAACGTCTTTCATAAAAATATGATTTTACATTCTGGATGTAAACACTAAAAGCATCACAACGTGGGCTCCCAGGATTCACATAAAGTAAAAACAACTAAGACAGGAAGCAAGGCCCAAGGCAAACACAATAGATAAGTAATTCTTCAGAGAACTCTTCAACAATTCCGAGGGCTGCTTACCATGCTTACCCCTGTCTAGATGAGGGGAATTAATCAATATATTATTTTATGTACATACTTCACTGTTATGGCTTTCACACATCATACGTAATATTAATACAGTCAAATCAGTCTCTTAACTGAAACAGAGGTACAACTAAACACAAGGAATTTCACTATATGTGTTATGTTTCCATACAAATACTATTTTTAATGAAATACTATTGATGCTTAGTAACTTTTTTTTTTTTTTTTTTTGTAAAGACGGGTTCTTGCTTTGTTGCTCATGTTGGTCTTGAACTCCTGGCATCAAGCAATCTTCCCACCTCGGCCTCCCAAAGTGCTGGGATTATAAGTGTAAGTCACCGTGTTCAGCTTTTACATTTTATTTTACTTATTTTTGAGACAGGGTCTTATTTGGTTACCTAGGCTGGCGTGCAGTGGCAGGATCCTCGCTCACTGCTGCTTTGACCTCCTGGACTGCCCTCCCGGACTCAAGCCATCCTCCCACCTCAGCCCCCGAAGTAGCTGGGACCACAAGCACACGCCACCACACCCAGCTAATTTTTTTTTAGTTTTTGTAGAGACAGCGTATCACTATGTGGCCCAGGCTGATCTTTGAACCTCTAAGTCAGGCAATCCACCCACCTCAGCCTCCCAAAGTGCTGGGATTAAAGGCGTGAGCCACTGTGCCTGGCCTCAGACCTTACATTTTAAATTAACAATTTCACATATAAGACTGTGAGCCTAAAAGCAAGAAAGGGTAGACTAATATCTCTATTTGGTTTTGTGGCACTCTGCTCTTGTTAGTACTTCAGGAAGAAAGTTAAAATGCCAAGGTACGAGGCTGGGCATGGTGGCTTATGCCTGTAATCCCAGCACTTTGGGAGGCTGAGGTGGGCGGATCACTTGAGGTCAGGAGTTTGAGACCAGCCTGGCAACATGGTGAAACCCGGTCTCTATAAAAATACAAAAATTAGCTGGGAATGGTGGCGGGCACCTATAATCTCAGCCACTTGGGAGGCTGAGGCAGGAGAATTACTTGAACTCAAGAGGTGGAGGTTGCAGTGAGCCGAGATCACGCCACTGCACTCCAGCCTGGACAACAGAGCGAGACTCCATCTCAAAAAAAAAAAAAAGACAGAATCTTGCTCTGTCACCCAGGCTGGAGTACAGTGGTTCGATGATAGCTCACTGCAACCTCAAACTCCTGGGCTCAAGCGACCCTCCTGCCTCAATCTCCCAAGTAGCTAAAACTACAGTGTGTGCCACATCTGGCAAATTTTTTAATTTTTTGTAGTGATGAGGTCTTCCTGTGTTGCGCAGGCTGGTCTCAAACTCCTGGGCTCAAGTGATCCTCCAGCCTCAGCCTCCCAAAGTGCTGGGATTACAGGCATACCAAGCTTCTTATATCCTTTTGCAGTCAAGCATTCTGACGCATGAATTTAGCAAACATAATTTTGTATGTTTAGTCTCTTTTATGTGATATCTAATGTTATTTCAACTTTTTTAATGTTATAAAAGCACTTTATTAATGGATTTTTTTTTTTTTTGAGACAGGGTCTCACTGTCGCCCAGGCCGGAGTGCAGTGGCGTGATCTCAGTTCACTGCAGCCTCTGCCTCCCAGGTTCAAACGATTCTCCTGCCTCAGTCTCCTGAGTAGCTGGGACTACAGGCGTGCGCCACCATGCCTGCTGTTTTGTATTTTTAGTAGAGATGGGATTTCACCATGTTGCCCAAGCTGGTCTCGAATTCCTGATCTCAAGTGATCCACCTGCCTCGGCCTCCCAAAATGCTGGGATTACAGGCATGAGCCACCATGCTCAGCCGTATTAATGGATTTTTAAAGCAGATAGCTGTGACAAATAGTAATCCACAAGAAAATATTGTGCCTGATTATTTCCCTTTCATATTAAAAAAAAGTTTATTAAGGAAACAGATGGTAACACAGTGGCTTGTCACCTTTGCAGGCTGTGACCCCTAAAGTGAGAGTTTTCAATGTTGGCTCCCCAGACCCCTAAAAGTTCTACAGCATCTCTTTTGTGCTACTGCAGTGGGGAGGAGGAAGAATCTGTAGTGGAGTGGGCTCTGGGTCCTTCTAACCTGCTTAACCAGAGTAACTCAATCAATTTTTATATGCTGCATTTTCAGAAGGGTTTCACGGGTTAAAAAAAAAAAAAATCATTGAAAAACCATTGCCCTGAAGCAGTGGTTCTCAAAGTACAGTATAGTACTTAGACCAGCAGCATTTAAGCATCACCCAGGCAGGATCTTATTAAAAATGCAAATTCCTAGGCCCCACCCCAGAACTACTAAATCAGAGCCTGGATGCCCAGTCTGCTGTGCTTTCATGAGCTCTCCAGATTTTGATGGGTGCTAACATTTGAGAACCATTGCTTCAAAGATTTCAGATGTTTTGTTAAAGTAGTTCTTGTTTCCTTCAAGTAGTGCTATTTTCATGGAAAACTAAAATAGAATGTTTAGATTATAAATACAAAAACATGCAAATAGTATTTTAGGATAACACTAGAATAATATTTCCTTTATAATTGTATTTAGACTAGGTGGCCATTATGTCCTATACAAGGATTATTTTTTTAAAACCCTGAAGTCTTTAATATGCAATAATTTCAGCTATGAGGTGACTTCCCAGATGGCTCTATAGAGAAGTTCTAGGGCACAGTGAAGAGTCACACCAATATTACGAATGAGGGATTCTTACTATCAATTCTTAACTAGTTTCAATCAAAACTTAAAACTCATCTGACATGTAACATACCTCTTTCATATACTGATTATATAGTGCTTCTGATGACTCTAGGTAAGCCTGTGCAGTTTCAATTTCTTCTCTTTCAGACCACAAGATACCCAGGTTATTCTGGAAAATAAAGAAAAAGAGAAACAAACAATGATATAAGACTTCCAATTAAAGTAACTTTCATAGTTTTGAAGTCAATACTTATAACCAACCAAATAGTAGAGTTGGATTACCAATGAATTAATTATTCACAATGATATTGACCTTATGTAGTGCAGCAGGTAGCTGCTAAAATTAACCCCCAATGATCCCTGCTTCGGGGTATTCATGCTCTTAGGTAACCTCTTCCCCTTGAGTACAGGCTGGTTTTAGTGATGTGCTTCTCACGACTAGACTATCACAGAAGTGATGGAAAGTCATTTCCAAGATTAGTTAACAAAACCCTTGATTTCCATTTTGGATGCTATCTATTGCCTGCTTTTTTTTTTTTTTTTTTTTTGAGACGGAGTCTCGCTCTGTCGCCCAGGATGGAGTGCAGTGGCATGGTCTCAGCTCACTGCAAGCTCTGCCTCCCAGGTTCATACCATTCTTCTGCCTCAGCCTCCCAAGTAGCTGGGACTACAGGCGCCCGCAATCACGCCCGGCTAATTTTTTGTATTTTTAGTAGAGACGGGGTTTCACCGTTTTAGCCAGGATGGTCTCAATCTCCTGACCTCATGATCCACCCACCTCAGCCTCCCAAAGTGCTGGGATTACAGGCGTCAGCCACCGCGCCCGGTCAATTGCCTGCTCCTTCTTAAGGAAGCCAACTGCCATGTTGTGAGCCACCCTATGGAGAAGCCCATATGGAAAGGAAATGAGAGAGGTCAACAGTCTGAGGCCCTCAGTCAAAAAGCCTGTGAGGAACTGAATCCTGCCAACAACCATGTGAGTAAGTTGGAAATGGATCCTCCCGGCGTCCCAGTCTTCAAGTATTACTGCGAGCCCCAGCAGGTCAACAATATGATGTGGGCCTTTGAGTAAGGAACAATCAGCTAAGCCATGGTGAGATTCTGAGATAATAGACAAAGATGGATCAGAAACATATAATACTTTCAAAATACTATGCTCTTCCAGAGAACTTTTTTTTTAAAAAAAAAAGAAATAGGCCAGGCATGGTGGCTCACGCCTGTAATTCTAGCACTTTGGGAGGCCGAGGCAGGCAGATCACTTGAGGCGAGAAGTTCAAGACCGGCCTGGCCAAAATGGTGAAACCCCATCTCTACTAAAAACATAAAAATTAGCCAGGAGTGGTGGCGTGCACCTGTAATCCCAGCTGCTTGGGGGGCTGAGGCACGAGAACTGCCTGAACCTGGGAGGCAGAGGTTGCAGTGAGCCGAGATCGTGCCATTGCACTCCTACCTGGGTGATGGAGCAAGACTCTGTCTCAAAAACAAAACCAAAACCAAAAAATTATATATATGGGCCCGGCACAGTGGCTCACACCTGTAATCCCAGCACTTTGGGAGGCCGAAGTAGGCAGATCACTTGAGGTCAGGAGTTCGAGACCAGCCTGGCCAACGTGGTGAAACCCCATCTCTACTGAAAAATACAAAAAAAATTTAGCCGAGTGTGGTGGCAGATGCCTGTAATCCCAACTACTTGGGAGGCTGAGGCAGAAGAATTGCTTGAACCCAGGAGGTGGAGGTTACAGTGAGCCGAGATCGTGCCACTGCACTCCAGCCTGGGCTACAGATTGAGACTCTGTCTCAAAAAAAAAAAAAAAAAAAAAATATATATATATATACATATATGTATGTATGTATGTATGTATGTAGTGGGGTTAGTCTACCTCACTTCCCTTGGAATAGTCAGTCCTTCAGGCACAAGGATACTTCTGAGGCTGGCCTTCTACCATCTTTTGCCACTAGGGAAGGAAGTTTTTAATGCAGAAATTCTTAACCTCAAGTCTAAGGATCCCCAAGGCATCCATAAAGAGAATTCAGAGTCCATGAATTTGGACAGGGAAAAAAATACAAATTTCTTTTCACCAATCTCCTATTAAAATACAGCATTTCTTTTCATTATGAACACAGGAAATAAATTGTAGCAGTATTATAGGACCTGGGACTTTGTGAACAATAGAAATGAAAAAAAAAAACCTTTCTATTATGCTAGTTTGCAGATATCTCAAAATATCATTTATGCTCATCATTACTTTACAATCATCATAGATATTAGACACATTATATAATGTGTTAATAAAGAAGCATATATATTACTATATCACACATTTTGTTTTAAAAATCTTTTGGGCTGGGTGCAATGGCTCACGCCTGTAATCCCAGCACTTTGGGAGGCTGAAGCGGGCAGGTCACGGGGTCAGGAGTTCAAGACCAGCCTGACTAACATGTAACATGACCAATCAGTAAGTTATTAGGAAGGCAGAGCCCTTTGTATTAGTCCATTCTCATATTGCTATAAAGAACTACCTGAGACTAGATACTTTATAAAGAAAAGAAGTTTAATTGGCTCACAGTTCCACAGGCTGTACAGGAGGTATGGCTGGGGAGGCCTCGGGAAACTTACAATCATGGTTTCATGGTTTCAGATTTGTCACATACCAAGAATTGTTGCTTTCTGTGGCACAGTCTACCCTGAATATAGCAGGCCAAACACAACCCTGTCCCAAAAATAGAGTGTGACTAACCAGTTTCTGGTACTAGGTGAGTCTCTAGACTACCTAGGTTAGTTGCAGTGTGCTGCAGTGGGGCTTACTGGTGTCATGGTCAAAGGAGTTTCCCAAGCACTGTCTATCATCAAAGGAGAAATAAGTTGAACTAAAGAGTAAGGAAAAGGTGGCCTGTAGGTCTAAGATCAGGAAATTACAATCAGTAAGTTATTAGGAAGGCAGAGCCCTTTCTATTAGTTCATTCTCATATTGCTATAAAGAACTACCTGAGACTAGATACTTTATAAAGAAAAGAGGTTTAATTGGGTCACAGTTCCACAGGCTGTACAGGAGGTATGGCTGGGGAGGCCTCGGGAAACTTACAATCACGGCAAAAGGTGAAGGGGAAGCCCAAACATTCTACATGGCTGGAGTAGGAAGGGGAGAGAGCAAAGAAGGAAGTGCTATACACTTTCAAACAACCAGATCTCATGAGAACAGCAAGACGAAATCCACCCCCATGATCCAGTCACCTCCCACCAGGCTTCTCCTCCAAGACTGAAGATCACAATTCAACATGAGATTTGGGTGGGGACACAGAGCCAAACCATATCACCCTTCAAGTCTCTATTACTTATGAGGTTTAATAAGGTCCTCTATTATGTCAAGCCTCTATTACTTATGTAGTTTAATGAGGTCCTGGAAAGGACCTCATAAGTAACATAGAGGAGAGAACTATCCAATCTCAAAACATTATCAGTATGACCTATAGTCCTGGATACTGAGGACTGATCAAGTCACTTAAAAAAATATATATACAATGGATATATTTTGTAAAGCCGGAAGACCAAAGTGCTATGTTCCAGTGGAATGATCAAATCACTTTTATTTTATTTTTCTTCAAATAGAGACAAAGTCTCACTATGTTGTCCAGGCTGGTCTCAAACTCCTGGACTCAAGTCTCAGCCTCCCAAAGTCTTGGGATTACAGGCATGAGCCACTGCGCCTGGCCAAAATATTTTTTATTTTATTTTATTTTTTGAGACAGTCTCTCACTCTGTTGCCCAGGCTGGAGTGCAGTGGCACGATCTTGGCTCACTGCAACCTCCACCTCCTGGGTTCAAGCGATTCTCCTGCCTCAGCCTCCTGGGTAACTGGGATTACAGACATGCGCCACCATGCCCGGCTAATTTTTGTATTTTTAATAGAGACGGGGTTTCACCATGTTGGCCAGGCTGGTCTCGAACTGCTGACCTCAGGCAATCCACCTACCTCAGCCTCCCAAAGTGCTGGGATTACAGGTGTTAGCCACCATGCCCAGCCTATTTATTTTTTTGAGAGTTTCCCTCTTGTCGCCCAGGCTGGAGTGCAGTGGCACAATCTCAACTCACTGCAACCTCTACCTCCCAGGTTCAAGCTATTCTCCTGCCTCAGCTTCCAGAGTAGCTGGGATTGCAAGCGCCCAACATCACGCCCAGCTAATTTTTGTATTTTTAGTAGAGACGGGGTTTTGCCATGTTGGCCAGGCTTGTCTTGAACTCCTGACCTTAGGTGATCCACCCACCTCAGCCTCCCAAAATGCTGGGATTACAGGCGTCAGCCACCACACCCGGCCCACCTTTATTTTTAAAATTAAATTAGGTTTGGTGTTTTGGATTTTTTTTTTAAAGCTTGACTCCACAGAGATAATCACTATTGACATTTTATTTGAATTATTATTACCATTTTTTTTTTTTGAGATAGAGTCTTGCTCTGTTGCCCAGTCTGGAGTGCTGTGACATGATCTTGGCTCACTGCAACCTCCGCCTCCCGGGTTCTAGCGATTCTTGTGCCTCAGCCTCCTGAGCAATTGGGATTACAGGCACCTGCCACCACACCTGGCTAATTTTTGTATTTTTAGTAGAGATGGGGTTTCATCATGTTGGCCAGGCTGATCTCAAACTCCTGACCTCAAGTGATCCACCCGCCTTGGCCTCCCAAAGTGCTGGGATTACAGCCATGAGGTACCGTGCCCAGCCTTTATGTGAATTATTCTTTAAATACAATATAAATCCTACTAAGGGTAGAAAAGCTACAATGGAAGGTCTTGCATCTTTCACATATCATATCCTTGCCACTATCAAACTAGGTAAGGAGAAAAGTAAAATATAAAATAAAAACAGCTAAAAAAGTATTACTGGTAAATTCTGCCAAACATGTAATGAAGTTTAACACCAACACTACACAAACACTTCCAGAAAAGAGAAAAGGACAGTACACTTCCCATCTCATATTAAACAAAGATATAACAAGAAAACTACAGACTGAAATCCTTCATGAACACAGATGCAAAGATTTTAAACAAAAATTTAGTGAATTCAGTTCAACAATATATAAAAAGAATACGCTACGACCAAATGGAGTTTATCCCAGGAATGCAAGATTAGTTTAACATTTACAAAAATCAATGTAATCCACCCTATTAACAGACTGAAAATGAAAAGACACGATCAGCTCAGTAGATACAGAATGAAATAACGATGTTGAGTGGAAAAAAGGTATACCAAAACAAGAGTATATACAATATGATTTCATTTATATAAAATTCTACATAGGCTGGGTACAGTGGCACATACCTGTAATCCCAGCACTTTGGGAGGCCAACGCAGGCGAATCACTTGAGGCCTGGGCAACATGGTGAAACCCTGCCTCTACAAAAAATACAAAAATTAGCTGGGCGTGGTGGTGTGACCCTGTAGTCTCAGCTACTTAGGAGGCTGAGGTGGGAGGATGGCTTGAGCCCAGAAAGCAGAGGTTGCAGTGAGCCGAAATCCCACCACTGCACTCCAGCCTGGGTGACAGAGCCAGACCCCGTCTTCAAAAATAAAATAAAATTTCTACATAGTCCCAGCTATTCAGGAGGCTGAGGTGAAAGGTTCACATGATCCCAGGAGTTTGAGGCCAGCCTAGGCAACATAGTAAGACCCTGTCTCTAAAATAAAATAAAATTCTACAAAATGCAGGGTTGGGGGCAAGCAGAAGGGAGGAAAAGAATATAGGAGAGAGGGAGGGACTACAAAGGAGCACAAGAAAACTTTTGGTGGTGACAGATATGTTCATATCTTGATTGCAGTGATTGTTTCACAGGTATAAATATATATGTCAAAACTCATCAAACTGTACCCTTAAAAATATGTGCAGTTTATTATATGCCAATTGCAACTCAATGAATCTGTGAACAATAACAACAAAAAGTACTCCTATACATATATAACCTGGAGTGGGGACAGCAATCTACTAATTTCCTAGGAAATTTTACTAAAGTGAAGTAATCAAGATGGTAGTGCCAGTGTGTACTGGTGATAACAAGGATCAGAAGGAATACCAGATAAAAATTATTCCTAAGGCACTGGAACCCAGAGAAGACAGAAATCTCTTGATAATCTAATGTAATATCAATCTCTTTTGATAAATAATATAGAGCCAAGTTCTGTAGTTCCCCAAGGAGAATACACCAGATTAAGACAAAGCAGTTAGAATATCATGAATTCCCATTAACTGATACTTGCAAAACTCTTCCATATACACACACATACATACGTATTTGTATATATTCACATGTATATAAACTTTTTACTATATGTGTATATATAATGTAAGTATGTGTGTGTGTGTGTATACTTAGTCTTATACAAAAATAGGATCATTCTATAAATTTTTTTTTTTTCTGAGACAGGGTCTTACTCTGTCACCCAGGCTGGAGTGCAGTGACACCATCTTAGCTTACTGCAGCCTTGATCTCCCAGGCTTAAGCAGTCCTCCCACAGCCTCCTGAGTAGCTGGGACTACACATGCATGCCACCACACACAGCTAATTTTTGTTTTTGAAAAACTGCTATTTATTTGACCAGAAAAACATTTTGGACTTAAGAAATGGCAATAACTGGCACATATACTAATTCAAAATATTTTCACAAAGCACCAAATAGAATAGTTCCCAATCTTTTCACTGAGAAACCTTTGAAAGAATGCCTAAAACTTAATCAGTTTACTTAGGTTTTTAATCAAGAAATCTAAAGCAGCCAATCAGAGTTTCTAATTACCATGAGATGACCAGGTTAACAACCTTGAGGTTGCAGGAGCTTTTAAAAGCTTTGTTTAGGCTGGGCTCAGTGGCTCATGCCCATAATCCTTGCACTTTGGGAAGCCGAGATGTGAGGATCACTTGAGGCCAGGAGTTTGAGACCAGCCTGGTCAATATAGTGAGACCCCATCTCTATAAAGATAAAATTAAATTAAATTTAAAAAAAAAAAAGCTTTGTTTAACCTACGCATTCTAACTGAGATTTGTTGACCTCAGGCTACTAATCACAGGTCCATGTGCCAGATACCTTGCACACACAAAATTGAGTAATAAGTATCATGTATAAAAGATAAAGACTATATGGTCCCTGTATATTTAAAAGGAATAATACCTAATTCTCATGGGTGAACAATTAGTGAGGGGCAAAGAGACAGACAGAAATTACTAACCCACAAGGGAGAACCAAGCAAGGTCAGTAGAAAAGAGAAAAGTCCTGTGCTCTGGGAATGCAGCAGAAAGGGCATTGGGAGGTTGCAGGGACCAGGCAGCAATCCAGGTCATACCAGGAACATGAGTGGATGTCAGTAAGTGTGGGAAGGAGCCTTCAAGGCTGAAAAAAACTAAACAAGCCAAGACACAGAGCCACAGGAGTACTGCCTGTTCAGAAGACAGTGAAGCATGTGTTCTGGGTAACACGATGTGAACTAAGAAGAGACATAAAACTCAGGAAAACCTCACCCAACGAGAGCCCAGAAACAACACTGGTCTGTATTTCTTAACAGCAATTCAACAGAGAATCTGAGGTGGCCTGCAAAACTAACAAGAGAGTAAATTATCTTGAAAGGGCAGGGGCACCACATGCTCTCTGTGGAGGTTCAGTAGCCAAGGATCACCCTGCAGCCCCTCCCCAACCCTACTGTGACACCCCAGACCCTTGGAATCAAATCCACTAGCAATAACCTTCCTTAATGGAAAATCTCTCCCCTCCCCAAATGTAAAACAAAAGATAAAAGCAAAGAAAACAAAACAAAAAGAGACCATCAGAGCAAGCTTTAGCCCTCATAACTCATCTATGCCCCACTGACAACAGGGTCTACTCCATTACTTAAACTGATTTGTAACACTGCTCCTACTACATCCTCCTCTTCAAAAAAAGTAAATAAACACCACACAAAATATAAACTTACCCCAAACAAAAGTCAGCATCAACCTAAGGATCCTACCGTAATGTTACTACGCTAACCCAGGATATTTTAATCTTCTTCCAAACCATTTACAAAAAAATTCCTCATCTGAGACCTCTGGAAGCGTTACAAATACTGTTACATTAGATTGTTCTTCTTGAGGTAGTTTTAAGTCTTGAAACAAAAAATTTACCTATTTTTCTACACCACTGCTAAGGGGTTAATTATTATAAAATGCCTACAACCAAAATCCCCATCCCCTTGATTCTCAAGCTATTAGAAATTTTTCCCTCATATCAAACAAATGGGAAACACACATAAAAAGATGAAAAGTCATGCAAAAATTTTTAAAAGGCCAGACACAGTGGCTTATACTGGTAATCCCAACACTTTGGGAGGCTGGGGTGGGTAGAATTGCCTGAGCTCAGTAGTTCGAGACCAGCCCGAGCAACATGGTGAAACACCGTCTCTCTAAAAATACAAAAATTAGCTGGGCATGGTGGCAGGCACCTGTGGTCCCAGCTATTTGGGAGGCTGAGGTGGAAGGATCGCTTAAGCCAGGAGGGTGGAAGTTGCAATGAGCTGTGAAGGTGCCACTGCTATGTAGCCTGGGCAACAGAGGAAGATTCTGTCTCAAAAATAAAAATAAAAATAAAAAACAAGCAAAAAAAAAAACCCACATAAAAAAGAAAGTGTATCATCATACGAACAGTCTAAACTTTGCCTAAGACAAAAAAAAGTTTACTTGGTTTACCCAAGGTACAGGCATGTTATAAATAAAGTACTCAAGAAATTAACATCTTATAAAAATAGTGAAAAAATTTTAGGTGGGAGCATAAAACTAAAATCAACTCATTCTCTGTCAAAGAGTTCTTCCAAAATGCCAAGTCTACAAGAAGGGATGTGTGGCAAACCATCTGCATGGGGCTCTCCCACACCAGCCCACTCTCAGGCCCACAGCCTTTACCCTTTTGCTCAGGTGCACTTCAGAAGTGCAGGGATATTGAATGCCTGCTCAAGGTAGACCAAGGAGCCTTGATGGATGTCAGCTAGCTTTTTGTACTGCACGTGATGACCTCCAGCACTTGCTGCCAATGCCTTAGCTTTGTCAAGTGCTTCTGGACCAGTGCATGTCTCCAATGTTATTCATTTCTTAGTTCGGAGACATCGACATCCTCATTGATAACTTGCTCTGGTTTCTGGACAGATAATTGCAATCTTTTTTGTAGGAAAGAAATATTCTGTCTTGCAATATCCAGAAACTTGTGTATACACCGATCAACACCAGTTCCAATTTCTTCCTGATTGCTGCCATTGACATAGTCCTGACTTAACGGAGAGGCAAAGCAAGTCTGGAAAGATGACTCCATGTCATCCACCAAAGTACTGTTAGAAGGTCTCAGAGGCCCTGGAGCTGCTGGTAAGTAAAGGAAGCCTGGCCCCAGAGCCCCGGTGGTGGTTGGGGCCCCGATGGCTGCCCAAAGAACATACTGCCTAGCAAAGCAGCCATGCCTGGAATAATTTTTTTTTCTTATTTTTAGTAGCGATGAGGTGTCACTATGTGCCCAGGTTGGTCTTGAACTCCTAAGCTCGAGTGATCATCTCATCCCAGCCTCCCAAAGTGCTAGGATTACAAGTGTGAGCCACCACATCCGGCCTTTTCTACATAATTCTAAATATGGCTTATAGTCTTCTTCCTCCCTCTTCATATTGCCAATTTTTGTTAATATAAATTATTATTTTTAATAATTGTGTACTGTTCTTCTGTTTGGATGTAACGGAATTTAATCATATTCCTACTGACATTTATATTGTTTTCCTTTTCTTTGCTTTTTGAGACAGGGTCTCACTCTGTTGCACAGGCTGGAGTGCAGTGATACAATCTTGGCTCACTGCAGCCTTGACCTCCTGGGCTCAAGCGATCCTCCTGCCTCAGCCCTGCGATTTTCCTTCTTTAATAATCAACACTGCTGTGATAAACATCCATGTTCACCTGTCCCAATATTATTTTAACTTTTTAAAGTATTTTTCTTTTTTTCACCCCTTCTTTTCACAGGTGTTGACCAATATTACTTTAGAATATTGATGTGGATTTTGTTGTTGTTGAGAAAAGGTCTTGCTCTGTCACCCAGACTGCAGTTGCAGTGGCATGATCATGGCTCCTCCAGGGGCTCAAGTGATCCTCCCAGCTCAACCTAGCCTCCCCAGTAGCTAAGACTACAGGCGTGTACCACCATGCCTGGCTAGTTTTGTGGGTTTTTTGTTTTGTTTTGTTTTGTTTAAGAGACAGAGTCTCACTTTGTTGCCCAGGCTGGTCTTGAACTACTGACCTCACGCCATCCTCCCACTTCGGCCTCCCAAAATGCTGGGATTACAGATGGGAGCCACTGTGCCCTGCCCAGATTTATTTAAGAAACCAAGTACCATATAAATGGGAAACAAAAAGTATTATAAGAATTCAAAGGTAGGAGGGAGAGATCAGTTTGGCCCAAAATGGTCCCAAGAAAGTTATTAATACTAAAGGAAGTGATTCTTGAGATAGGTTTTCAAGAATGGGGAAGAATTCCCTAAGATGCAAACAAATGAATTTGGTAAGAAAGGAAGCTGCAGATTTTGGACATTTTATTTTGAATTAAGAATGTATTCCGAGCCAGGCACAGCGGCTCAGGCCTGTAATCCCAGCACTTTGAGAAGGTGAGCCAGAAGGATCACTTGAGTCCAGGAGTTCAAGACCAGCCTGGGCAATATAGTGAGACCCCCATCTCTACAGAAAATTAAAAAAATTACCAAGAATGGTGGCATGCGCCTGTGGTTCCAGCTACTATGAAGGCTGAGGCAGGAGGACTGCTTGAGCCCAAGAGGTGGAAGCTGCAATGAGCTATGATGGTGCCACTTAACTCGAACCTGGGCGACACAGTGAGACCCCATCTCTAAGAAAAAAACAAAAACAAGACAAAACCAAAAAAGAATGTACTCCGGTCATTGTCATTTCCTTGAGACGTTAAGATTTAAATTACTTTGGATTTTCTTAACAGAATGAACAGGAGTTGGACTGGTGGAGAGGAAAGCGCATGACGATGTAGGAGGGTCTCGGACACCAATGCATCGCCACGTCTAAGTGAAGCAGCAGCAAGCGATATTGGTGTGGGCGACGAGGGTGGACACGGAGTCTGGGGACGGCCGACTGTGGGAGATCTAGTTACAAGGCAATAAGTCCATAAGACTGGCTTTTTTGAAGACCACAGACGCTCTTTGGGACTCAGTCCAGAGCTACAAAAACGTGGGGACGAATTGCGCCTTACAACGTCTGCCCTTGGCCTTGGCAGGGGCTCCTCCCCATCCCTCGCCATTTGCCAACAGGGGCCGGCCTGGCCGGGCTCGCTCTCACCTGCGCCTGGATGCAGAGAGAGATGCAGTCGTGCGAGAGCCGGTACCTGCGCAGCAGCCGCAGGCATTTCACCAGGTGCTCCTCCCCCGCCGACAGCTCCTCCGTGTCGATGTGGTTCACCCCGAGGTGGAACTCGATGACTGCCAGCCTCACCGCTCGCTGGGCGACGGGCCCCTCGGGCTCCACCACCTCAGCCGGCAGCCCCAGGGCGTGGTCACCGGCACCCGGGCCGTCCTCGGCCTCAGGCCGCTCATCCTCGTCCTCAGGCGCAGGGCCGAGCAGCGCCTTGACCTCTTCCAGTAGCGCCCGGGCGCTGTATTTGGACTTGTATGGTTCCTTCTCCGGATTTTTATGCAGTTCCACCCGCGACAGAGCGAGCGCCGCCTGGAATTTCTCGCAGACCTCTGCCCACGGAACGTTCGCCATAGCGGCCTCTACTGCCTGGCTTTCCTCAATGTTTGCAGTCGGGACTCCCGCCTTCCTTCTGCTTTGCGACACTTTACTTACGGCTCTCGACACGTTGCGGCCGCTGTGGAATGGGAACCAATATAACCCTCCCGGAGAACCGCAATACGCTCGGCAATGACCAATGGGAAGACGCAGCAATCACCACAGCAACCATTCTCATGGAAATGAAGTTGTCAATGAGCGTGTTCCCACCTCCTTCCCCGCCCCCTGCAGCGGTGAGTTTATCTCCAGATTGACCCTGTGAGGATGGATTTATATAAATGTTTAATATCGGCTTACTTTAACGAAGCATATCGGAATATTGTTTACAAACATAGCTAGCTAACTCTACTCGCGTTGATATGAACTGAAAGGCAAAAACCTTTAGACATTAAGTGTATAGCCCAGCCTGTCACTGGATAAAACTTTTTTTAAAAAAGGCCAGGCGCAGTGGCTCATATCTGCAATCCTAACATTTTGGGATGCCAGTAACATTTTGGGATGCCCACTGGAGTGGGCAACATAGCAAGACCCATCTCTACATAATTTTTTTTAAAAAATTAGCCGGGCGTGGTGGCGCGCGACTGTAGTCCCAGCTACCATGGAGGCTGAGGCGGAAGGATGGCTTGAGCCCAAGAGGTGGAGGTTACAGTGAGCGAGACTGCCTCAGAAAAAAAGAAAACACGAGCATTAGAACAAATACCTAATGTATGCGGGGCATAAAACTTAGCTGACAGGTTGATAGGTGCAGCAAACCACCATGGCACATGTATACCTATGTAACAAACCTGCATGTTCTGCACATGTATCCCAGAACTTAAAAGTAAAATAAAAGAAAAAAAATTGAAATGTAGCCAAGAGCTGATTATTATCATTGACACATAATCTCTTGATCGAGAGCCATAAATATACAAAACACTCAGTGATAGACAAATATTTTCACTTCGACCCTGAAATACAGGTTGTAGGAATCTGTACAACTGCCCAAGGTAACAAGAGCTAAGTCCCACAGCTGTGAAAGCCGCCTCATGCCTTTTACCTTCCTAAGTTATCAAGTCAAATGGGGAGGGGTGATAGAAGATTTTAACTATTAAGCACCAGCTGTGTACAGTGCTTTGAGACATACAAAGGAGCATTGATTTTGGGAGCTCATAGACATATGGTTTGAACCTCAGACCAACCAGCTTTCTTATTGACAAGTTAACTTTTTTAAGCTTCAGGTTTCCCACAGTAAAATCTGAATGATACTACTTACCTCGACAGAATTATTCTGAAGAATAAATAAAATTAAACGTCTATCCTTTAAGTGTTAATGCTCCTAAAAAGTCCTTCCTAAACCTTATCCCTGGGAGATCTCATCCATTTCCAGGTCTATCATTAAACACGCTGCTCACTCCCACTTTGTCTCCAGGCCAGATGGCTCTCCAGAGCTCCAGACTGGAATATCCAACATCCAGCTACAACAATCACACCTGAATGTTTCAATAGCTGCTGTGTGTCAGTATGTTCAAGTCTAAATGATCTTCCTCTTCACATGCCCCTTCCTTCCCATACCAAATTTGCCACATTTGCAGTTCTACATGTCAGTGAATGGCACCACCATCCACCAGGCTGATTTCCTGCACTTTTTTTTTTTTTTTTGGTAGAGATGGAGTCTTGCCATGTTGCCCAGGCTTATCAAGCAATCCTCCCACCTCAGCCCCCTAAAGTGCTGGGATTACCAAGCCCAGCCTGTTCTGTCATTCTTTTTTTTTTTTTTTTTTTTTTTTGAGACGGAGTCTTGCTTTGTTGCCCAGGCTGGAGTGCACTGGCGTGGTCTCAGCTCACTGCAACCTCAACCTCCTGAGTAGTTGGGATTACAGGTGTGCACCACCACACCTAGCTAATTTTTGTATTTTTGGTAGAGACGGGGTTGGGGGGGCGGTTCACCATGTTGGCCATACTGGTCTCGAACTCCTGACCTGAAGTAATGTGCCCGCCTTGGCCTCCCAAAGTACTGTGATTACAGGCGTGAGCCACTGCACCAGGCCTCTTCTGTCATTAAACCTAAAACCAGATAGTACTGCTTAGTCCACCTCCTAAAGAGCTCTGTGTACATCTTTTTATCTCCATTAGTTTAGGCCACCATCATCTGATTACTTCTAACAGGCAGTCCTGCTGCCAGTTTGGCCTCCTATCAGTGCATCTCCCAGTACATTTAAAATGATTTGGGCCAGGCGCAATGGCTCACACCTGTAATCCTAGCACTTTGGGAGGCCAAGGTCGCGGGATCGATTGAGCCCAGGAGTTCAAGACCAGCCCGGGCAACATGGCAAAACCCCGTATCTACAAAAAAATAAATAAATAAATACAAAAATTTGACAGGCATGGTGGTGGATGCCTGTAGTCCCAGCTACTCAGGAGGCTGACATGGGAGATCACCTGAACCTGGCAGTTGGAGGCTGCGGTGAGCTGTGATCAAGCCGCTGCACACCAGCCTGGGTAGCAGAGTGAGACCCTGTCTCAAAAAAAAAAAAAAAAAAAAAAAATTTGTTCACCTGTTCAATATTTAGTTATCTATTATTTGCCAGCACTGTTGTAGGTGCTGGGAATTCAGCAGTAAAAAATGGATAAAAATTCACCAGCCTGGACAATATAGTGAGATCCCTGGCTCTACAAAAAACATCTTTTTTTTTGAGACAGAGTCTTGCTCTGTCACCCAGGCTGGAGTGCAGTGGCATGATCTCAGCTCACTGCAAATTCTGCCTCCCGGGTTCACGCCATTCACCTGCCTCAGCCTCCCAAGTAGCTGGGACTACAGGCGCCCGCCACCATGCCCAGCTAATTTTTCTACAAAAAACATTTTTAAAGAAATATTGGCCAGGTGTGGCGGCACATGCCTATAGTCTTAGCTAAGTGGGAGACTGAAGTAAGAGGGTCATTAGAGCCCAGGAGTTCAAGGCTGCAGTGAGCTATGATCATGCCACTGAACTCCATCCTGGGTAACAGATAGAGACCCTGTCTCAAAGAAAGACAAAAATCCATGCCCCGGTATAGGGAAAACACTAAATATATTAAATACATAAACCTCAATGCAATGACTGGAGATCCATCTCATGACAGATAATTAGAAGAGGGCGGGCATGGTGGCTCACACCTATAATCCCAGCACTTTGGGAGGCCAAGGCAGGACGATTGCTTGAGGCCAGGGGTTCACAAACAGCTTGATCAACAGAATGAGACTCCATCTCTATAAAAAATTTAAATATTAGCCAGGTTTGGTGGTACCCCCCTGTAGTCTCAGCTACTTGGGAGGCTGAGAGGGAAGATCACTTGAGCCTAGGAGTTCAAAGCTGTAGTTCTACCTTTAGAAAACGTATCCTAAGGTGACAGACGAGTATGCAAACACATATGTGAGGATATTAACTTTAGGGTTGTTTATAATGGTGAAAAATTAGAAATAACCAACATGGACATCGAGTACTGGTTAAATGTGTAGTGGCATATCCATACAAGAAAACATGTCATCAAAAATGTCCATGTAAGCCTGTACAAAATTGTGCACAACATGTTGAGGGGGGAAAAGCAATACACAAAATCAAATAATTCCAATTTTATAAATGAACATGTGGAAGACTGCTCACTAAAATATTAGATAAGGGTGACTGGTTTTTTTTCTCTTTAGATTTTTATATCTAGCTTTTATTATTTTTATAATAAATATTTCAAGCTATTTTCATTTTAGAAAACAAAAGCCACTAAAATCAAGTATTACTATCTTTATTATGGTATACAGCAGTATTTTATACATTAGCTCATTTTATAGTAAAAACATTTATGCACAACTGTAGAGAAACTGCTGCACAGATAGCTCCAACTTAAATTAGAAAATATTTTCTTTGTAGAAAATAGTAAAAATTATAACATTTACCAAGCTAACCCAACAAGTTCATTTAAACCAAAAAGTAGCTAAATACATTATACATTTATAAATACAGGTTGAATTCTGGGATCCAGGAGAAACTTTAGTCCTTTATTGAAATAGCCATGTTTTAAGTTATGTGAAGTGAAATTTCTATTAATCTTCTCTCTTACTCTTAATTTATGCCAGATTATTTTTCTTTAGGCTAAATCCATAATCCACAACAAGGTTTTAGCTGTTCTTTTCTAAAGGACGGGTACCATATCCTTTTAATCTGCTTGATAAGGTACCCATGCCTATCCAAATAATGAAATGGTTCAGTTATTATTAAAGCATGCCCAGTATTTGGGCAAAACCAGAATCTAATAAATTACACTGTCACCTAATACCCATGGCTTGATGGGAAGCCATGAGGAACAAGGGTAAAGTGATAAAACTGGCAAGTGGATCAAGGAATAAAAGCCAAGAGAATTCTGAGACCAGAGGGCAAGAAATATCTAGTCGGGATTCAAGGACAGAACTGAAGTTCAAATAGAAAAAGAATGTTGCCTCAAGGATTAGGAGCTGAGCTGGCTATCAGAGCTCCTAGTACATGGTGATCAAATAAGGGGCAGTTAGAGATAAAGACTGGATTAAGCAAGAGAAATCAGGACCAAGAAAGATTCTAGGTATTCACAATAATTAAATGAAAACAAGACAGACCATGCAGCTTTAAATTTCCTAGCATAGTAGTTCCAGGATTCTCAGTACAGAAATAATCTCTGGAAATTAAGGCGAGAAGATAATGCCACTCTTAAGCTCCTGTGCTATGTAGAATGTTTCCCAGAGAAATAATATCTGAGAAATCAGGCAGTTATCTGGCCAGGGGCTACATCAGGTTCTTCAGTTCCCTCAAAACAACTTAATCACATACAGTTTGTCTTAAAAGGAAGCCTCCAAGCAGCTAAAACAAACTTTCAACAGACATTCAGTTTAACAGATCCTATACTGTGGCTTTAGGAACTAGGCCACTGACTACCTAAAAACCCCAGCTTGCCCACTTGAAGTTAACCTCTAGAAACATTAGTGATCTGTGAAGTTTTCACCATTAAAACAATGCTTTATCATCCAAATCATACTTGTTCTTCTCTTTGCTTTCCAGTTATGAATTTGTTACCTTTTTGCATTTGATTATTTCCAGTGGTTTGGTTCTTTTTTTTTTTTTTTTTTTTTACATACTCTTGAGCAATGCTAATCTGCGCCCCCTACTCCCTTAAGTCCTTCTTGGTAAATAATGTTAATCTTCCAATAGGAAGAAGTGGAGTACATTACCATTTAAGCACCATTTATCCAGCCTACTTACAAATAAAGCTATGGAGCCACCTTATACATGTGAAATTCCTTAAAACCCTGGCTTTCTATTAAAATGTACTTTTATATATACTATCTATGAAGAATTCACTAAAGCATGAATCACCTTATAATGAGAAGCTAAAAATGTATCAAAACGAACATAAGTATAGGTAATCCACATCAAACATACTACATCTTCCAAGTCTAGAGCATACACTGGTATAAACTGTATTACAACCCAGATTAGTTTGAAATCTTGTTTCAAAACATTGCTCAGTATTAAGTCTCAGTAGACAAATAATAGGACCACATGAGAAACTGTTCGGCAGGTGGCTGAGGAAACCTTAACTTCCAAAGGCTCAAAGTGGTCCTCCAGAGACTGTTACACTCCCTTAGGTATTTATTTCAGGGAAGGACACTATTAAGGGACACTTTTGAGTATAAAGACAGGTGAACTCACAAAGTATAGGCAGATACATGCTTGATTTTATCTTCTAATCTACAGATAATACATTAGAATAAAAATGTAATGAATTCATACACCTTTCAAAAGGAAAAACTGATGAAGAAGTAACAATAAAGTTATAAATGATAATGATCAGATGAAATAATTTAAATGAAGCTTGTCTGTGTCTGAAAGAGACAGGGACTTGGCAAGTGGTCAAAAGGAGGCACAATGTGCTTTTAACTTTGCATGAAAAATAATGTTCAGTTCTATATTGCCAAACATCATTCTCTTTTTGCTATATAAATCTTCTATTTCTAATTATTGACCAAATGCTTTACTGAAACTCCGCTTCTGGCCTTTGTTTTGGGATCTGTTACTTTTGTTGCCACCTCCTGATCGCTGTCCTCTCGGGCCTCTACTGCCTTCCCGCTGTCCTCTGAATCTTCTGTTTCCGTCCCGCTGTCCCCTGAAGCCTCGACTGCCTTCCCGCTGTCCCCTGAAGCCTCCATATCCTTCCCGTGGTCCTTCCAGTTCTGGTTGCTCTGTGGCCACAGAGAGCTGCCAGCGTCGTGAATCATGCCATTTCTCCTGTTGAGAGAATGTTTTGTTTTTGTGTGCTTTAATTAGTATTCAATTTTTAAAAAGCATGAGAAAAACAAAATATTTGCCACTTCTTCAAAGAAAAGGTGATAACATAAGTGCTTAACAAGTCACTGGTCAAAAATAACACTGGCCACCCATCATGGTCCAAAAGCCAGTGTCCCTGAAGTGTGGGAAAACACAGTTTCATTATGAGAAATAGCCCTCATCACTACTTCATTTATTAAGTTATTAAACCATTTATTCAACTCAATTGCTACAGGGTATCTACAGCCAAAGGTAATAAAACAAATATATTAAGCACACATTTCTCACAGTATTGAATAAAGATGTAACAATTTTAAATGTCTATGAAAACCTGTAGGCTGGACGTGGTGGCTCATGCCTGTAATTCCAGCACTTTGGGAGGTGGGTGGATCACCCGCGGTCAGGAGTTCGAGACCAGCCTGGCCAACATGGCGAAACCCCCGTCTCTACTAAAAATACAAAAAATTAGCTGGGGGTAGTGATGGGCCTATAATCCCAGCTACTTGGGAAGCTGAGGCAAGAGAATCGCTTGAACCCGGGAGGCGGAGGTAGCAGTGAACCGAGATTGCACCACTGCACTCCAGCCTGGGCGACAGAGCGAGACTCTGTCTGAAAACACACACACACATGCACACACACACACACACACACAAAATCTATATACCATATATAAGTGTTAAAGGGTGGGGAGAGCTGGATATCGTTCACAACTTTGTATAAAGGAAATATAGAAACCAGGTGGGTTCAACTACAAAAATATCAGAATTAAAAAGTTAGGGGGGAATATTCCAAAATTTAATTATCGATTATCTCTTACTAAAGGAACCAGAACTATTGTTTCCCAATCTATTATTCTCTATTTTCATAATTAACATTCTACAATTTAGGTATGTTAACTTTAAAATCTAAGGGAAAAGAATACCTGTATTTCTGTTACTGATGCGGTAGGTACATCAAAGCAAACACCCTAGAAATCAAAGCAAATGGAAGTTAATCCAACCAACGCACATGAAAAATACTCCCTTTAAAAGACCACGTATTCTTTAAAAAAAAGAAAACAAAAAACATAAAGCAAAAAAACCACCAGGTATAATTTTAGATGAACTTTAGACCAAAGCTAATACATTATAGCTGCCAAAAGTACACTGCAGAAAGACAAGGAACATTGAAAAAAAGAACCCCAAATGATTTAGAACTTTCTAACTATAGACAGAGTCTTAGCTATTACACTGTGCTAACCCCCTAGTGGCTATTAGCTACATTTTATTGCTGAGCAAACAGGCTTGGAAAGGTTAGCTGACTTGTCTAAGGCCCCACAGCTATTAAATGGCACAAGTATTTAAAATCTAGTCTGTATGGCTCTAAAACCTATAGTCTAAACTATATACTGCCTTCCATCAGAAAAGCAATGCCAGCTATTCAGAATGACCTAATTAAAAGCAGAAAAACAAGTGATCTTCTATTGTTGATTTTCTGGTTTTTCTTAATTCAGCCTTCTGTAAGAGTATGAAAAAAATAATACAGGACACCATCTTTTTTTTTTCCCTCTTAAGATAGGGTCTTGCTCTACTGCCTAGGCTGGAGTGCAGTGGTGCAATTAACAACTCACTGTAACTTTGAATTCCTACAGGTGCATGCCACTACATCTGGCTTTTTTTTTTTTTTTTTTTTGGTAGAGACAGGGTCTCACTACATTACCCAGGCTGGTCTCAAGAATTATCTTCCCAGCTCAGCCTCCCAAAATACTGAGATTACAGGTGTGAGCCATGGCACCTAGCCAGGACACCATCTTTAATATTAAGTGCCATCCTCTCCAATCAAGGAAATCGTCTAAAAATATAGTCAAACTATGTGTTAACTAATACAGGCACTCCTCTCCCTGCTGTCTTCAACTGCAATATTTTATAAGGAACACCCCTTTCACCCCAAAATTTACCCAATCATAACATAGGTATCATCACCTACTGGTGGATTTTGCCATTCATGGGAATCTTCGCTTACATATTTACGAAGTAGAGTATAATCCCAGGCATTCACTGGGTATAGAGGTAATTAGAAAACAGTTTTTGCCTTTGAGTGTTCTTGAGGCTCTCCATTAGCAAACACAGCAAGGTAAAAGTTTACCTGCATAAACATGTGTCCTAAAGACTCTGAAGTACAGATAAAGACGCCCCTAACATTGCCTGGTAAGATTTAAGGCTAAGCAAAGTCATAAAAGCTACTTTGGAGGAAAAGATTTATATATATATAAAATTTTTTTTTTAAGACGGAGTTTCACTCTTGTTGCCCAAGCTGGAGTGTAATGGCGCGATCTCGGCTCACCGCAACCTCTGCCACCCGGGTTCAAGTGATTCTCCTGCCTCAGCCTCCTGAGTAGCTGGGATTACAGGCATGCGCCATTATCCTCGGCTAATTTTGTATTTTTAGTACAGACAGGTTTTCTCCATGTTGGTCAGGCTGGTCTCAAACTCCCGACCTCAGGTGATCCGTCCACCTCAGCCTCCCAAAGTGCTGAGATTACAGGCATGAGCCACGGGGCCCAGCCGAAAGATTACTATAAATAGTAGGTTCAGCATGCACTGAGGATGAGATAAAGCATGGTGTACTGGGCACTGCTGGAGTAAATGGTGTTGGTAGCAATGAGGTAGAAATTAAGCTGTAAGGTTAGCAGAGGCCAGGACATGAAGGATCTTATCCTCCTATGAAAGGGTTGAGACTTTATCCCACAAGTTTTGTGGAGTTGCTTAAGGAGATAACAACATGGCTAGACATGCAATAAGTTGAAGATAAATCCGATTAGTTCACTAGGCCAATGGAAACCTGGAAACCTGAGATCTTTTAGGGGCTTCGCCAAGTCAAAATTATTTTCATAATAATGTTGCCCTTTCCACACTCATTCCCTCAAGGGTACAGTGGAGTTTCCTAGACATATATGACGTGATAAAATCATTGCTCTGATGACTAATGGAACATGATATTGTGTTTTAGAGTTCCAGTTTTAATTTCTAATACAGTAAGTATCAATAGATATAACCCATGTAAACAAAAGCTTTTGGGGGTCCCTAACATTTGCTAAAGGGATTGTGAAACCAAAATGTTTGAGAATCCTTGTGATAGTCTATGGCATAAACAAAGAGAAGGCCTCAGAAGAAAGAACACCAGGTTTGGGAGGCAAATTTTTTCATTTTTAATTTGAATTCAAGATTCTGAATAAGTCCAGTGCTAGAATAGCATTGCTAAGAAAAAAAAAGATTCTGAAAAAGTTACTTTAAATAAGCTATTTAGGTAGAGATGTCAGGGAAGCAGCTGGATCAAGTCTGGCATTGTGAGAACGGTTCAGGCTGGAGATAGAGGTACAGTAGTTGTCAGTGGCAGAGTGGCATCTGAGGATCACGGATGAGATTACCCAGGGAAGATGAGAGAGTGAAGAGATGCAGCATCCCCACAGAACAGGAAGAACCCACACCACACTGTTTTCCTGCCCACATAAAGCCCCATCAAGGTTACAACAGAGACCCCAGCCTTACCAGCTTTCCTTTGAGAAAAACCATTCCCTTCACTTTGGAATCAATCTCCTCGCCCAGCTGCTCTTTAAGTTCTTTCCAAGCATAACTAATATTTGGCATTTCAATTGAGCACTGCAAGATCATGGTCACAAAACCCTTACAACACAAGAAAGGAGAATAAAATTAAAGTGCTGAAAATAAACCTAATTGATAAATACCTGCTTTTGTGATTCTAAAATATTTCTTGAAAAGTTATTCCTAAAAACATACATCTCACACAAACAATTAGTACGAACAGTCCCTCGTTTTACTTGGGGAACTCTGAGTAAGACTGGTTGATTGTACCAATGTCAATATCTTGGTTGTGGTATTATAGTTTTCCAAAATATTGCCATTTAGGGAAGCTGAGCAGAGTATACAAAGGATCTCTCTGTATTATTTCTTACAGCTACATGTAAATCTACAATTATCTCAATAAAAATTTGAATTTACAGGAAAAGAAAAGCATACACCTTCTAAAGTTTCTAGGTATGCTGGCTAAATGTATTATATGCATTTATGCGCATATATATGTTTGGGCTACTTTAGGATTAAAACAATTAAAAATCACATACCACAAAATTCACCATTTGAAAGTATATAATCCAGTGTTTTTTTTGTTTGTTTTAGTATATTTGTAAGATCTGCAACCATTCAGCACTATCTAAAATTTCAGAACATGGCATAATCCACCCAAAAGAATCCTGCATCCATTACTAGCCACTGCCATTCCTCCCTCCACACAGCCAGTCAGGACCACTCATATTTTCTGCCTCTATGGATTTGCATGTATGTGTGTGTGTGTTTAAACATGGGAATTATTGGTTCTTTTCTTTTCTGAGACAGAGTCTCACTCTGTCACCCAGGCTGGAGTGCAGTGGCACCATCATGGATCTCTGCAGCCTCAACCTCCTGAGCTCAGGTAATCCTCCCTCCTCCCATCCCAGCCTCCCAGGTAGCTGGGACCACAGCATGTCACCACGCCCAGCTAATTTTTTTTTTTTTTATTTTTTTGTAGAGACAGAGTATCACTAGGTTGCCCAGGCTGATCTCAAACTTGTAGGCTCAAGCCATCCTCCTGCCTGTGCCTCCCAAAGGGCTGGGATTACAGGCATGAGCCACTGTGTCTGGCCAGAAATTGTAAAATACAATTAATACTTTACTAACTTCATGAGAAAATGAAAACAACTGGGAAGCTTAAATGAAACCCTTTCATATCCTGCTCATACCCCAAATTATGAAGTGTCAGGAATGTGCTGCAGAACCTTACCACATTTGAGTTGATCAAGGAGCGCTGGTCTACGGACGTGGCACCTGAAATATGGGCCAGTGCTGCTGCCAGAGCTTCCACAGCTCCCTTCTCCTCTATCAGCTTCTCAGCTGATTGTTTGAAGTGACTAATGGCAGTGGGAGGCACGGAATCCAAAAGCCTGTTGTTTGAGAGTGTGTTAGGAGAAAGGATACTAGAAGTGGACACATTTCATTTCTAAGACATCTCAAGATAAATGAGTAACTTTCCAAATCTTTCACATGTGTAACATATTTATTTTTGATGCAGTATATAATAATCATATTTCTATAGTAATAAATCCATTCCTTTGACTGTATGTAATTCTAATTTATCACCTACCCCACCATTTTATCCTAAGGAAATAATAAAACAAGAAGTTCACCACGGTGTTACTTATAATACACAAAAAGTACAAACAATTTTAAAATGTGCATCATTTGGGCTGCTTATATAAGCCACAAAACAGACATAATAAAATGTCATACTACCATTAGATGTGATGATGAATTATGTCAAGAGTTTTTATACAAGAAGCATGTGTTACTTTTAGGATCAGAAAAAACCTATTTCCATTCTGAAGTTTAAAAAAAAAAGCTGGGTGTGGTGGCACATGCCTGTAGTCCCAGCTACTTGGGAGGCTGAGGTGGGAGGATTGCAGTGAGCTATGACTGTGCCACACACAATCATTTTAAGAAACTCCGTCTCTTTAAAAAAAAAAGAAAATAAAAGAAATAAGAAAAAGACCTCCAAAGTCAGTTTAAAAAATGATAAGGACCTTTATGGGACTATTTGTACATTCTTAAGGGGGTCACTATTATCTTGGCAATAATAAATGTCCCATTCAAAGTTGAAAAAGATCATCCAGTAAAAAGGGGAGAAAGTGACATGCAGCCGTGTCAGGGCTGGCACGCTGGAGGCTGTTTGTTGTATACCACCAGCATCTTTGTCCCATTCCCCTTCTTGGCCATCTAACCCCAACTCTCCTTAACTGGCACCCAAGGGAACCCTGTCTGTAGGACACTTAAAAAAACATGCCATGCTAAAATAAATTTGAAAAATGCAGTTAAAATACACTCTTCCAGGCTGGGTGTGGTGGCTCACGCCTATAATCCCAGCACTTTGGGAGGCCAAGGCGGGCGGATCATGAGGTCAGGAGATTGAGACCATCCTGGCTAACACGGTGAAACCCCGTCTCTACTAAAAATACAAAAAATTAGCTGGGCGTGGTGGCAGGTGCCTGTAGTCCCAGCTACTCGGAAGGCTGAGGCAGGAGAATGGCGTGAACCAGGGAGGCAGAGCTTGCAGTGAGATGAGATTGCACCACTCCACTCCAGCCTGGGCAACAGAGCAAGACTCTGTCTCAAAAAAAAAAAAAATACACTCATCCTTCCTTTCCTCCCTTCCCTGTCTTCTTTCTTCCTTCCTTCCCTCTTTCTTTTTTTTGAGATAGTCTCACTCTGCCACCCAGGGTGGAGTACATTAGCACAACCACAGCTCACTGCAGCCTCAACCTCCTGGGCTCATGCAATCCTCCCATCTCAGCCTCCAGAGTAGCTGGGACTACAGGCACTTGCTACCACATCTAATTTTTGTATTTTTGTATTTTTTTTTTTTTTTTGAGACAGAGTTTTGCTCTTGTTGTCCTAGCTGGGGTGCAATGGTGTGATCTCGGCCCACTGCAACCTCCACCTCTCGGGTTCAAGTGATTCTCCTGCCTCAGCCTCCCAAGTACCTGGGATTATAGGCGTGCGCAACCACGCCTGGCTATTTTTTTGTATTTTTAGTAGAAATGGGTTTTTTCCATGTTAGCCAGCTGGTCTTGAACTCCTGACCTCAGGTAATCCACCCGCCTTGGCCTCCCAAAGTGCTGGGATTACAGGTGTGAGCCACCGCACCCGGCCTAATTTTTGTATTTTTTATAGAGATGGAGTTTCACCGTGTTGCCCAGGCAATCCGCCTACCCCAGCCTCCCAAAGTGCTGGGATTACAGGCATGAGCCACCATGCCTGGCCCAAAACTCTTTCATTAACAAAACTTTCCTGAACTATTAATATGCTGATTGACATCCAGGATTTCCTTTGATCATGGACTCCCTGTGTCTGTTTTTTAAATAAGCATTTACAGTAATTGTGAAAACTACTATAAAAATGATGCCCAAACTCAGTGGTTCTTTAACAGAGAACATAGGTCACCATCAGGAGGCATCTGGAAAATGGTTTCTGGTTTTTATAATGCCAACCCTACTTACCCTGAGTATGTGGCACAGGGGAATCAGCCACGGATCCTAAGCAGCTAAATATCCTTCCATTTGCAGGACAATCCCATAAAAAATAATTCTCTTGCCTCCAATGCCAGCAGCACCTCCATTTGACAAACTGTTAATTAACCTAATCCTCACCATCTAGACATTTACTATTAACGAAGCAATCAACTTTCATCCTACCAGGGAAGGAACTGGATTAATGTAGATTTGGAATGTAATCTGTGGTCTAATCAGCCAGTGGGTGAGAAGCACCTATACTATACCTAAGATATTATCCCTTAAAATATCCTAGACAAAGCAAACTATTTTAATAGTGGTTTCCTCTGGTAAACAGGATAGGACAGGAATGAGTAGAAACGAGGGTATCCACTTTGTGAAATTCTACTTCAGCACGGTCTGGTTTTTTTTTGATAAACAGGTTATCAGTTAAAAAGAATAGGCTGTGCATGCTGGCTCACACCTGTAATCTTAGCACTTTGGGAGGCTGAGCTGGGAGGACTGCTTGAGACCAGGAGTTGAGACCAGCCTGGGCAACATAGTGAGACCCTGTCTCAAAAATTTTAAAAAAAAAATTTTTTTAAGTCAAATCTTATTACTGTACAAAGACATGCAGTATTTGAACCAACACTAAAACAGACCATAGCAGTGGTAGGGAACATACCTGATGGCATCTTTGCTGGAAGCTTTTATTATTTCTGTTGCAGAAGGAACACCTATTCGTTTGAACTTAATTCCCTACAGGAAAATGAACCACAGTTTAATGTACAGTGGCCATCAATTGTTTCCAATAAGATAAGCAGTCCCCTAATTTTTTAATATAGGCCAAATGTATGTATTACATTAAAAAATGAACTTTTAATTTTAGACTTACAGAAAAGCTACAAAGACAGTACAGAGAGCTCCAGGTTTCTGCTATTATTAACATCTTACACTGTTAATGTATATTTGTTTCAACTAAGAAACCAACATGGCTAAACTATTAATCAAACCCCAGACTTTATTCCATGTCTGTCTTTCCTTCTTTCCTTGTTTTTCATGACTTTGACAGTTTTAAGGAGTGCTGGTCAACAGTTTTGTAGAATGTCCCTCAGTTTGAGGTTGTCTTGTGTTTTCCTCATGCTCAGGGTTACATATTTGGGGGAGGAATACCCGAAGTGAATGCTCGCCTTACCACCTCTTATCAGGGGCACATGGCTATGTGCCTATCACTAATGATGTGACCCACGATCAACTGGCCCAGGTAGTGTTTGTTCATCTCTCCTCGGTAAAGTCCTCACTCCCCACCTTACTCTATTCTTTGAAAGCAAGTCCCTAAGTGCAGTCCACTCAAGAGGAAGGAGACGAGTGAAGCTCCTGAAGGGGCAAGAATCTACATACACTATTCCAATTCTCCTGGAGGAAAAATTAGTCTCTTCTCCCCTTTATCCTTTTGACATACCCTCATTCATTTGATTTTCAAGCAATTCCTACAGCCCCTCAATCTTAATTATCTCTGGTTCATATTTATCATTGTCTGAAAACTTCCTTTCAAACATATGAAAACAAAATCACTGTTTTCAAATGCAAAGTTACTTCAGAATGGGCCTTTTATCACAGGACAACATATGTACCTAACAATAAGCTTTCAGTCATTGCCACACACTAGAAATAAAAATATTTTAAAGTGGATAAAAATTGAAGAAACCAAAGACTGACTTTAGAACTCAACATTTGCTTAATGAAAGGTAAGAATAGTTTTACCGCTTTTTGCTCCACTTGTACTAACTGATATTCTTCCTTGTGCTGATAAAAGCAGATGCACACCCCCGTCCTTCCAGCTCTGCCTGTCCGCCCGGATCGATGAATGTAGGACTCTACATCCTATTGAAGTAAAATACATGAGTAACACTAAACCAAAAAAGAGAGACAAACACCTGAGTAGCCTATGCAGGTCAGTGAACACTAGCAATTGTGGTTATAAACCTGGGGACATGAGGGAGAAGGTCCCTTAGCACTTCAATTTAAAGACCTCTGGCAATTTTTAAAGCTTCTAGAACAATGGTCCCTGTCCTGCAGGCAAATTTACAAAGAGCATTGTCTAAATAGTGCTTGTCCATTAGAGGCATATATGTAATTCCAATTTTCAGTCTTCCAGTAGACAGACTGAAAAGATTTCTTTAAGAAGCTTAATGTATTTTAACTCAATATATCTAGTCTTTTTTTTTTCTTTTGAGACAGAGTCTCACTCTGTCACTCAGGCTGGAGTGCAGTGGCATGATCTCAGCTCACTGCAACCTCCGCCTACCGGGTTCAAGTGATCTTGCTGTCTCAGCCTCCCAAGTAGCTGGGACAACAGGCACCTGACACCAGGCCTGGCTAATTTTTGTATTTTTAGTATAGACAGGGTTTCACAGAGTTTCACCATATTGGCCAGGCTGGTCTCGAACTCCTGACCTTAAGTGATTCGTTTGCCTCAGCCGCCCAAGGTGCTGGGATTACAGACATGAGCCACCACGCCTGTCAGAATATCCAAGTCTTATCATTTCAATATACTATCTATACAAACCAGGGTACCAATGCAATATTTTGTATTTTTTCGTAAGTCTTCAAAATCCAGACCGCATAATAAAAAGTTAGGCAGTATGTATTTTACACTTGCAGTACACAGATCAATTCAGACCACCTACATTTCAAGTGCTCAACACAGCTAGTGGCTACCATATCAAAAAGTCTAAAGGCTCGTGAAACAATGTTTATACCACACACTCATGGGACTTCCTTTTTAAGAATTGGTGAATTCATAGTCTTCAGTTATTTTTCCCCATTGTTGTAAGCAGCCTTTAACCATGGGGGATTTGCCAATTTGGGTGAGATTTTGGGGTCCTCATGTTGGAAGTGATTGGAATACCTTTGGAACAACCTTTATTTACGTGAAGAACTATCCACATCAAGTAAACTATGATTCAGGGTCCTCCTTGAGAGGTTCCTATAACTCACAAACCTAAGCATCTCTAACCACAGAGGTTAATTACAGGCCCTTTCTCTCCCCTGTCCTCTAGGCTCATGCATTTATCTACCTTACTTACCCCTATCCCATCTCAGTCCTTCCACCCATCTTCAAGGTTTGGCTCAAAAATCACACTATATCCCCAAGTCACCTTTTGAACCTCTGTCTGCTGACTGCACTTCTACTCAAGTGTCAGTTCTGAGGGGGGTGTCTGATAACAGGTTCATTCTCAAAATCACCCTTAGCATCCCAGCACTCAAAAGATAGCTATATACTAATGACATGAAAGTAAATAATACAATTTCCAATTTGTTTTAATACCCAAAAAAAACAAAACAAAATAAAATCTAAGCATAAAGCACATACCTTTGGTGGAGAGCTTTGTATAACCAAATCAACCTCAGGGATGTCTAACCCACGTGCAGCAACATTGGTTGCCACCAAAACTCCAAAACTACCATTTCTAAAACCTTTCAGGGTGATTTCCCTTTGCTTCTGTGGAATGTCTCCATGCAAGGACTGAGCATCCTGCCAATAAATAAACGGATGTAAGAACACCAGTTCCAACAATACAAGTACTTTTTCTCTTCATCAGTTAGGCCTGTAAAAGACATTCATATTTTGGTGACATGCCTGTTGAAAACATTACAAAGGGGAAAATGTGTCTTGAATGGATAAGCCTCAATATTATTTCCAAATCCTCAGTTATCAATTCCAACTGTATCCAACTTTACTTATTGAAGTTGAGAATGAGACAAGAGTGATCAAACCTATTTTATCAGTGTAACCTTAGGTCTGAGCCACCCTTTCCTCATTTGTGTGATGAGATGCCATGACAGATTAAGTGAGTTCTAACATGTACCCTCTGATCATTAGAAAGAAGTGAGGCCAGGTGCAGTAGCTCATGCACTTTGGGAGGCCCAGACAGGCAGACTGCTTGAGGCTGGGGTTTGAGACCAGCCTGGGCAATATGGCAAGACTCGGTCTCTACTAAAAATAGAAAAAAAATTTAAAAAAATAAAATTAGTTGGGGGTGGGTAGGAGAATAGCTAATCCTGCTAATAAATGCTGGGCTTAATACCTAGGTTATGGGATGATCTGTGCAGCAAACCACCTTGGCATACATTTAGCTATGTAACAAACCTGTACATCCTCACATGTACCCCTGAACCTAAAAGTTGAAGATAAAAAAAGTCTTCCCAATTAGATAGTGGTGACTGTGGCACAACCTCATGATTATGCTAAAAGCCACTGAACTGTACACTTTAAAATGATAATATGTGGCACATGAATTATATCAATAATAAAACACCATCCAGAAAAAAAAAGCCAGGTATGGTGGTGCATGCTACCTGGAGGTTGAGGCTACAGTGATCCGAGACCACGCCAATGCACTTCACTTCAGCCTGGGCAAAGGGAGTGAGACCCTGTCTCCAAAAAAAAAAAAAAAAAAAAAAAAAAAATTAGGCTGGGCGCAGTGGCTCATGCCTATAATCCCAGCATTCTGAGTGGCCGAGGCAGGTGGATCACTTGAGGTCAGGAGTTCGAGACCAACCCGGCCAACACGGTGAAACCCCATCTCTACTAAAAATACAAAAATTAGCTGGGCATGCTGGCACGTGCCTGTAATCGCAGCTACTTGGGAGGCTGAGGCAGGAGAACTGCTTGAACCCAAGAAGCGGAGGTTTCAGTGAGCCAAGATCACACCATTGCAGTCCAGCCTGGGCGAAGAAGCGAGACCCCCTCTCAAAAAAATAAAGAAAAAACAAAATTAACCAGGAATGGTGGTGCTCACTTGTAATCCCAGCTACTCGGGAGACTGAGGTGGGAGAATCACTTGAACTCAGGAGGCAGAGAGCCCAGATCACACCACTGCACTCCAGCCTGGGTAACAGAATGAGACTCTGCCTCAATTAAAAAAAAAAAAAAAAAAGTAGCTTCCTCTCATTTCTAAACTAAACTAAACTGGTATTCACTGAATGAATGAAAATCAGACCAAGAGCAGATATGCCCAAGGTGAAGATTTGTTGATATCCCCAGTTTTGCTGGCATAAGGGGAAGGACCAACCTGCTTTATAGCTGAATTCTGGGACAGCTCCTGGGCTTCTTTCTTGGTTTCACAAAAGATGATAGTGCGTCCTTGATGACCACTATATACTCGGATGACATCCCCAATAACTGCTGCCCTCTGAGTCCAGTGGCACTTAATAGCCAGATGCTTATGTAAGAAGAAAAAAAACATCTATTTAGTAAAGCTTTGCTGGAAACTAAAATCACAACACAATGATCAGTGAGCACAACACTAATGTTCTAATGTCTTGCTCCTGGAAACAACTACTCAAGCCTGATAAGAGCTGTCTGCAGCCACCACTGACAGAAAAAAACCTAAATAAGCCAGTAAAGCAGAAAGCAACATGATCTGCCCATCTCCCCATGCCTCTCCCCTTTCTCTAAAGAGCATCTAACTTCTTTATTTTCTGACAACCAGGAAAATGCAGGAAAGGAAATGCCACTCCCTAGCTTTCTACAGGAAACCAAATAACCAACAAATTTCTGTATGTTTTGCCTTTTCATTTACTTAAAAACCCAATCTGTAGTAGATTAATATACAGGTCTGTTCCTCAGTGAAATTAATTCATCTAGATTATCAGAATCAAAGGTGAAATTTTAAACTTCAACACTTTTAAGCTTAAACACAAAGCACTAGATTTCTCTGCTGCCCTCTAATGTTTAAATTTTAAGTGTGATTTATGTTTACATAACTCAGATAGATTTAAGTTCCAAATCATTCTGAAATGAAATGAGGCCATAGATGATGAAATTTTAAAAACACAGATATCGGGCCGGGCGTGGTGGCTCACACCTGTAATCCCAGCACTTTGGGAGGCCGAGATGGGCAGATCACGAGGTCAAGAGATTGAGACTATCCTGGCCAACATGGTGAAACCCTGTCTCTACTAAAAATACAAAAATTAGCTGGGCGTGGTAGCGCATGCCTGTAGTCCCAGCCACTCAGGAGGCTGAGGCAGGAGAATCACTTGAACCTGGGAGGTGGAGGTTGCAGTGAACGGAGATTGCGCCACTGCACTCCAGCCTGGTGACAGAGCGAGACTCCATCTCAAAAAATAAAAATAAAAACACAGATATCATATACAGCTCAAATAGAAATATTTTTCCTTGGCTTTTCACATGGATTTAGTATTTATCTGGAAAAAGAGCATTTGCCAGTCTTAATACTAACAGACAAGAAAAAAATATATACAATTTTATATTCTGGCAACTAAGTAAATAATTTACCTCCACAGTTATTGCCGTTTTCTGAGTCTTTTTACCAATCAGGTCCACCTGTTCATATGTAGATTTCATGTATTTCTTGGCAACATTAAATACCCAATGAGGGCAAGTTGCAGAAAAAAGCAATGTTTGGGGATTGTCTTCAGAATCTTTGAGGAGGGGGAAAAAAAAAGTCAGTATGAATAATCCAAACAAGCCTACATAGTATTCCACCTAACCTAATACTTCCACAGTCCATCAATGTTCACCAGCAACCACCTGAGGCCAAGTCGGGCACTGAGGACACAAAACTGGAAGACAGAGGTTTCCCAATGGGCAAAGAAATACCGCTAGGTAATTTATCTAAAAGATCCTTAAAATAGTGAAAGTACTTTAAAGTTATTTTGCTTTCTGACCATTAGGCTTTTGAATTACAAACGAAATCTATTCTAAGATTTCTATTCTCAATATTTTATGAATTTAGAATTCTTGTCCAATCATTGAGTCCAGCTACTATTTTTGTTTGTTCAATTCTACTTAAGAGTGACATCACATTCTCAAACATTCCAAATAGAAGTGTGATAGAACCCTTCTGGAGAGAATTTGACAATGTATATTGAGGAGCATGAATTTTTTACACTTTTAAGCTCAGTAATTCCACTTCTGGAAATCTATCCTAAAGAACCAATTCCAGGCCAGGCACAGTGGCTCATGCCTGTAATTCCAATGCTTTCAGAGGTGGAGGCAGGAGGATCACTTGAGGCCAGGAATCAAGACAAGCCTGGGCAACACAGTGAGACCCTGTCTCTATCAATAATAAAAACATTAGCCAGGCATGGTGGCGCACGCCTGTAGCCCTAAGCTACTCAGGAAGCTGAGGCCCAGGAGTTTAGGGATGCAGTGAGCTATGATGGTGCCACTGTACTATAGCCTGAGTGACAGGGTGAGGGCCTATCTTAAAAATAAAAAAAGGGCGGCCGCGGTAGAGCACATCTGTAATCCCAGCATTCTGGGAGGCCAAAGTGGGAGGGAAGATCACTTGAGTCCAAGAGTTCAAGACCAGCATGGTGAAACCCAGCTCTACAAAAAACAGAAAAATTAGCTGGGCATGGTGGCGCACATCTATAGTCCCAGCTACTCGGAGGATTGCTTCAACCTGGAAGGTGGAGGCTGCAATGAGCCAAGATCCCACCACTGCACTCCAGCCTGGGTGACAGATTTAGACCCTGTCTCAAAAAAAAAAACAAAAAACAATTCCAGATATTGAGGTGAGAAGCTATCTGTATAAAAGTGGCTAAACAGAACTATTTATATTGAATAAAAATCAAACTAGGCAGATGGTAGAATTAAGTCATGGCCAACCACTTCATACAGTATTTTTGCTGAATTTTTATATGTATAGTCAGAGTATAATCAACACATATATACAATAAAATGCAAAACATCAGGAATACACCAAAAGCAGACCACATCAAGATGACAGAAGATGGTATTTTTCTTTACTTTTCCAAGTTTTCCCCATTGTGGTAATATGATAAATCATGACTTTTTTTTTCCTCACCAGCTTTAATCCCAGAGTAATGACTTTTTTTTTTTAATCCAAGTTTCTAGATAAAATGAGCCCCATTCCAATTTCCCAAGGCTTTATTAATCTCTTAGAAAACTACTTAGTCACCAGGCCAGGCGCAGTGGCTCATGCCTCTAATCCCAGCACTTTGGGAGGGTGAGGCAGTCGGATCACCTGGGGCTGGGAGTTTGAGACCAGCCTGGGCAATATGGCAAAACCCCATCTCTACTAAAAATACGAGGCCAGGCGTGGTGGTGGGTGCCTGTAATCCCAGTTACTAGGGTGGCTGAGGCATGAGAGTCACTTGAACCCAGGAGACAGAGTTACCACCCTTCCTTTGGTCTTTTTTATCAGCTTCTTGAATTTGTGGATTACCTTTCTTGTATGCCACACTTAAAATCTCTTCCACTTGATCAGCAAATCCCATATCCAACATCTGGTCCACTTCATCCAGGACAACATGCTTAAGTTTGGTGAGATCTAGTTTGCCATTCTGTATGTGGTCTTTGATACGACCTGGTGTTCCAACCAGGATATCAATCCCATTCCTCATGCGTTCAACTATAAAAAACAATGACAAGATTTGCTGGGTTTTTAGTAAGTACTTTTATCTGTGTGGGGTACCACAGTTAACTGTATTGTTACTCTAAAATATTTGTTAAATACCTACAAGTACAAAGTAATATGCTAAGTAATAATGATAAAGATACTCATGGCACTCCTAATCTAGTGGGAAAAACATTAGAAGTGAAAAATATCAACAAAATTTAAAGCACCCAATTATAGTAAATATTTGAAGTGACAGTCTAGTGTACAAAGTGACATAAAAGAAATATGCAGCCGGGCGTGGTGGGTCACGCCTGTAATCCCAGCACTTTGGGAGGCCAAGGTGGGTGGATCATGAGATCAGGAGTTTAAGACCAGCCTGGCCAACATGGTGAAACACCATCTTTACTAAAACTACAAAAATTAACCAGGCGCAGTGGTGGGCGCCTGTAATCCCAGCTACTCGGGAGGCTGAGGCAGGAGAATCGCTTGAACCTGGGCAACAGAGGTTGCAGTGAGCCAAGATCACGCCACTGCACTCCAGCCTGGGCCACAGAGTGAGACTCTGTCTCACCAAATAAATAAATAAATAAATGAAAAAGAAAGAAAGAAATATGCACTACTGGAGGACAATAGCATCAGGAAAGAAATTACTTCCGGCTGGGCACGGTGGCTCACGCCTGTAATCCCAGCACTTTGGGAGACTGAGGCTGGCAGATCATGAGGTCAGGAGTTCGAGATCAGCCTGGCCGATATGGTGAAACCCTGTCTCTACTAAAAATACAAAAATTAGCCGGGCGTGGGAGCCTCCCAGGTTCACGCCACTCTCCTGCCTCAGCCTCCCGAGTAGCTGGGACTACAGGTGCCTGCCACCACGCCCGGCTAATTTTTTGTATTTTTAGTAGAGACGGGGTTTTACCGTGTTAGCCAGGATGGTCTCGATCTCCTGCCCTTGTGATCTGCCCGCCTCAGCCTCCCAAAGTGCTGGGATTACAGGCGTGAGCCACTGCGCCTGGCCAAAACTATGATTTTTTTAAATTCCTTAAATCCCTTCCTAATTTATACATCTGCTCTAATAATAAAGCTCCAAGGCCTTGAACTGGGAAGTAATGGAATATAAGAGTAGAGACTAACATTTGGCCCTTGAGCCCCAAGGAAAGAAAGCCTGCCTACATCAAGAAAGAAGCAACCATGCAGAAAGAGGGACAGACCCAAGGTCCTGACAGACAAGAGGAACCTTGAATTCTGACTTCCTATTTCCTAGAGCCCAAATGGACTGTCTTTTTGGGTTCAATAATAAATTACTTTTGTAGCCCCTAGATAAATATAAATAGATAAAAGTCCTAAGAACGATATACAGGATTTGCCTATCATCAAGCAGGACCATGTTCTTGACCATGTTTAAACAATGGCAAAAGAAAATCCCCATAAACGACTATCCTATATAGAGAAGCCAGATGTCAAGGTGAAAAGAAATCCAATCAGAGCAGTCAACAATGGGTGGCATTATACCTCCCTCACTTTTTGAATGTACTCACATTGACCTCCATAGGGAGTTCCACCATAAAAACAAGCCACTGACAGCTTTTTTGTGATGTCACTGAAGTCTTTGCTTACTTGATTTGCCAACTCTCTTGTAGGTGCAAGAACCAGTACCTGATAAAGAAAAATAATTGAATTCAAATTACTGTGTAGTATTTGTTTCTTAATCTAGTCCTTAAAGAACAGCATTCCAGGAAAAGAACGACTTGAACAAGGTCTAACGCTGATGATGACGATAACATTATCTAATATTTTTGTCTAATAGATCTGAGACTCTACTAAATTCTTTATATATATTATTCTGATTCAATTCTTGCAACCTTTTGAGCTAGGTATTAGAGGATAAATAACTTGACTAAACCCCAAAGGCTAAGAAGGAGCAGAGCCTTCAAGCAATTGGGATCCAAAACCTATAGTCTTAACCTCTACAGTAGAGAAAATTTGAAGCAGAACAAAATCAGAGAAGTAAGGTAGAGCCAACAATGTAAGGGGCTTTGAATCCTAGAGCAATATGAATTTGATCTATATATATATAAAACATGAAACTGCTGGCCAGGCGCAATGGCTCATGCCTATAATCCTAGCACTTTGGGAGGCCAAGGTGGGTGGTCAGGAGTTCAAGACCAGCCTGGCCAACATGGTGAAAGTCTATCTCTACTAAAAATACAAATGAGCCAGGCGTGGTGGCTCACACTTGTAATCCCAACTACTTGGGATGTTGAGGCGGGAGGATCACTTAAACCTGCGAGGCAGAGGTTAAGATTGCACCACCGCACTCCAACCTGGGCGACAAAGCGAGACTTTGTCTCAAAAAAAAAAAAAAAAAAAAGTCCAGGTGCAGTGGCTCAAGCCTATAATTCCAGCACTTTGGGAGGCTGAGGTGGGTGGATCACTTGACGTCAGGAGTTCCAGACCAGCCTGGCCAACATGGTGAAACCCCATCTCTACTAAAAATACAAAATTAGCCAGGCATGGTGGTACACGCCTGTAATCCCAGCTACTTGGGAGGCTAAGGCAGGAGAATTGCTTGAACTGCTACAGGTCCTCAAAAATAGGGTAATGGTATGAAACTAATATGATTCAAGAACACCTAATACATTCATCTAAAATGTGCTAGGGATATAGCAGTAAACAAATTAACAAAGGGGGAGCATGGACACTGGAAGGCCAGTGAGCAAGTGAGGTTAGGCCAGAAAGACAACTGCAAGAACCCACAGCCAAAGTGACTACATGGGCATTCGCAGTCATTTCAATGAGGTTAATGTTTGTTAAATGTCAAGTTCTCTAGAAATGAACCCAATGGACTCACCCTAATATGGGGGCTTGGCGTTTTCACCTCTGACTTGCCCTTCTTTCCATTCATGCTTTTCTTTTTTTTTTTTTTTTTTTCTTGAGACGGAGTCTTGCTCTATCGCCCAGGCTGGAGTGCAGTGGTGCATCTCGGCTCACTGCAAGCTCCGCCTCCTGGATTCACGCCATTCTCCTGCCTCAGCCTCCCAAGTAGTTGGGACTACACGCGCCCGCCACCACGCCCGGCTAATTTTTTGTATTTTTATTAGAGATGGGCTTTCATGTTGTTAGCCAGGATGGTCTCGATCTCCTGACCTCGTGATCCGCCCACCTCGGGCTCCCAAAGTGCTGGGATTACAGGTGTGAGCCACCGCCCATTCATGCTTTTCTACCAAAAATGCTTTCTCCATCTAGGCAAAAATGGTCAGACACTTGACGAAAGCTATGAGCCCCAGGGACATCTAATGGTTTGAAGGAAATATGATAGCATTAATTATATAGATGATCAAAACTGTGGGAAAGATTAAAATATTGAAATATACAGAGAATGATCTGTATATATTAATTATTAAATATAAAAGAATTGTCCTGGATTACTTTCACATAAAGATCCACAGTAAATAGAATGGGTGACTATAAGAACTCAATAAAAAATAGTAGGGTATGTACACAATGCCCAAGTGGTGGTTTTTCCTATGCTGACTGAGAGCCCTTGTATTTAAGACAGTTACCTGAGGGGCACGGCCTCTCTTCCTGTCTTGCAGTTCCCCATGAAGTTTCTCAATCAAAGGGATGGCAAAGGAGAATGTCTTCCCAGTTCCTGTCCGTGCCTGTGCAATTAAGTCCTTCCCGCTGTAAACATGATGGAATGTCTTTGCTTGTATAGGAAATAGGAAGGTCACTCCTCGGCCTATGAACAAATTAACTGTGTTATCTCACACTGCAATTCTTAAAACATTAGCCATACTGACATACTGAAGTATACTACTCATGCTTCTGGTCCTGCAGAATTAAGGAATTCTACCTTCTGGTCAACATCTACAAAGTTAGGCTCAAATACGTATATTTTTTAAGAGACAAGGTCTTGCTTTGTCGCCCATGCTGGAGTACAGTGGTGTGATCATAACTCACTTGCAGCCTTGAACTCCTGGGCTCAAGTGATCCTCCTGCCTCAGCCTGATGGACAGCTGGGATTACAGGTGCAAGCCATCATACCTGGCTCAGAAATATTCTGATAGTAAAGAATCTGCTTGACTGAAAAATATCAACAAACTTTAAAGCATCCAATTATAGTAAATATTTGAAGTCTCATCCATAAGCCTGAAAATCTGGTGCTTTGCAATCCAACTGTGCTGCTCCTGATTTAGGAAGCACCTACTTGAGTAACTGTGACTCCAGCTACTTCAGAAGCAGATTATTAAATGAATTCTGGGTTTATGCCTATAAATTAGGCTCATTAATCTAGAGATGCCTCAGAAGTGAAAGAGATAAAACATTAATATGGCATCACCTAATTGCTTAATTTCACCAGCACCATTAGTCAATACACTTCTGAATACACACTGTATTAAATACAATTTTTTTTGAGACAGGGTTTCATTCTGTCACCCAGGCTGGCGTGCAGTGGTGTGACCACAGTTCACTGAAGCCTTGAACTCCTGGGCTCAAGCGATCTTCCTTCCTCAGCCTCTGGAGTAGTTAGGACTATAGATGTGTGTTACCACGTGCCCAGCTAATTTTTAAACTTTTTGTCGGGACAGGTTCTCACTATGTTACCCAGGAAGATCTCAAACTCCTGGCCTCAATCAATTACAGGTGTGAGCCACCACAGAGGGCCTGAAAAAGCTTTAACCACTTGTTTAAGAAGCATGAAGAACCATCACTACTATAGTACTAAATTGAATACACAGGCCTACTTCATTATATGACTGCATATATCAGCCTACAATAAGAATACATCCTGGTTCATCTTAACAAAAATAGTGGAGTGCTTCTGTTAAAATAATACGTTCTAACATCATACGATATTTCCAAGAACATTACCTTTGAGAAGTTTAATAGTTTCTTCAGATATGGGAAAATTAGAGAAAGCGCCTTCTTTTTGTTCCACAGGTATTTCCTATCAAGTAAAGGGCCATAGAAAGAAATCAATAATCACCTACACAAATTAATAGAGAACCTTCTGAGAAAGAGACAAAACAAGCTATCCTAAAGCAATTCTTCTAAACACATCACTTTAAAAATCAACCAAAAAGATACAAAAACCTTGATAGGTAACTCGAGATCTGAAAAGGAAACATTGTCATAAATCTATAAAACTTTAACAAAAGAAAAATCTGAGGCAAATATATACTGGGTAACTAGATCTCAACTAAGATCTCAACTAAGATTATGTGTGACTAGATCTCAACTAAGATCTACTCCATAACCATAATCAACAATATACTGATGGAAATGTCATTAGCCCTCTTCCAAAGCAGCATCTCTTGTATACACACATCCATAGAAAATGAACAAACATTTTATGAGGTAGCAGTCACTGTGGCATTATTTGATAGTAAGATATCTGAATGCTCAATACAAGTAGTAAGTAGATTTCAAGACATTTATATGAAGGATTATGTAACCATTAAGCGTACTTAACGAGGAAAATGCTTAGCTAGAAACAAAAAAGATACAAGATTGCACAGTACAATCCTAATCTGATTAAAAATAATAGATGCATATACTAAAAGTACTACAAGGAAACACCAAAAATTAACAAGATGACTTCTGTACTTGAAAAGTACAGGTATTAATATTTACTAAATGAATGGTGAAATTCCAGGAAGCATTTCTTTCTTTTTGCAAAATGTCTGCATTTTCTATTTTCTCTGGATCACATATTTTTTATAATCAGGAAAAAAGTTACAAATGTTGACCATGATCTATAGCAAAAAGAAAATCTATTAGAATTAGTATTTTTCAGCTGGGTGTGGTGGCTTGTGCCTGTAATCCCAGCTACTCGGGAGGCTTAGGCGGGATTATCGCTTGAAGCCACAAGTTCTAGACCAGCCTGGGCCACACAGCGAGATCCCATGTCTAAAACAAATTTTTTTAATACAATTCGTATTTCTTTCATAACTGAGTTTCTGAAAGATAACAGAATTAGGTTCTGGACAGACATTTTATCATCCTGTTCAACTCCAGGATGATTACTTAATGGCCTAACCAAAAGGACTTATGCAATCAACCTTTTCAGTAATTCCAATAATTTATTTGGTTAAACCCCTCAGAGGGAAACTAGGGCCCATTTACAAAACTGTATCTCTTCTGTTGACTGACTTGCAAATAAGCAGACCAAGACTCTCCCTAAGCTTAAGCAGTATCTGCTTATTTGTAAAGGAGGCATTGTGACACTATGCTAATTTTTTTTTTTTTTTTTTTAAAGACAGAGTCCGCTGGGAACAGTAGCTCATGCCTGTAATCCCAACACTTTGGGAGGCCCAGGCGGGCAGATCACCTGGGGTTGGGAGTTCGAGACCAGCCTGGCCAACATGGTGAAAGCCCGCCTCTACTAAAAATACAAAAAATTAGCCAGGCGTGATAGCACACACCCGTAATCCCACCTACTGAGGAGGCTAAGGTAGGAGAATCACTTGAACCCAGGAGGCAGAGGTTGCAGTGAGCTGAGATCGTGCCACTGTACTCCAGCCTAGGTGACAGAGCGAGACTCTGTCTCAAAAAAATAAAAAAATAAAAAAGACAGAGTACTCTTAGCTGAGCCACCATGCCCTGTCGTATGCTAATTTTTAAGATGAAGTCCCAGTCAGCCTAAGGTATCCCCCAACCCACAAGGTGCTGACACATCACATTTTCTCCTACTATTAAAGAGTACATATAGCAGTTACCTACTTATTTATCTGAAACAACAATGAAAGATATCTTCTACCCAATGAAGTGCAAATGTACCTGCTCTATCTCACTGTTACTTTCTTCACTGGCAGCTTCACTGGGGTTACAGTCCGGTTCAGGATGAGGAAATCCATTCTTCAGTTTGGGGCTTTTCTCTCTAGTTTCTCCATTCATTTCCTTTTCTTTCTTCATCTTCTTGGGCTTAGGAGCATCTATTTCTTCCTCAGAAGGCTCCTCATTTTTTGTCACTTTTTTGGTTTTAGAAGAAACCACTTTCTTTTCAATGGGCTCCTTTTTCTTTCTCAAACTTTTGGTTTTAGGAGAAATGTCATTTTGAGATGGCTCCTCTTTCTTTTTTGCCTTTTTGGATTTAGGAGAATTCATGTCAACTTCAGAAGGCTCTGCTTTCTTTTTAACTTGTTTAGCTTTGGGGAAAACAGTTTCTTCCTCTTCTGCTATCTCTTCAGTCTTATCAGATTTTGGCTTCTCTTTTTTCTCTTTCTAAAAAAAATTCATAAGGAAAATACAAACACTGAATAAGGCATTTATACATTTGCAACATTCATCAATTCTGGATTATTTCAAGATCATTTTCAACTTTAAAAAATACAATTTTGGGGCATTTCGACATTTGTACTTTCATGCTGTGATAAGGTAAAAATCAAAATAGTAAGCTTTTTCTAAAATCGCTTCTTAGCTATATATATAGACGGGTATATATCAATAGTTTCACTATCTTGGAAAATGAAGAGTGCCCCTTAGTAACTATTCAACTCATGTGGGTCAAACAGTTGTAAAACAGATTTTCTTTTTTGAGACAGAGTCTCGCTCTGTCGCCCAGGCTGTAGTGAAGTGGCACAATCTCAGCTCACTGAAACCTCCACTCCTGAGTTCAAGTTATTCTCATGCCTCAGCCTCCCGAGTACCTGGGACTACAGGCGCCCACCACCACACCCAGCGAATTTTTGTATTTTTAGTAGAGGTGGGGTTTTCCCATGTTGCCCAGGCTGGTCTCAAACTCCTGAGCTCAGGCAACCCACCCACTCCGGCCTCCCAAACTGCTAGGATTACATGAGCCACCGTGCTTGGCCTATAAACCAGATTTTCATAAGGGATTTGGATAAGCTCATGGGATACTCCAACAGGCTCCAAACTCAATACTATAAAAAGTCCAAATTCAATTCCAATAGAATAAGGCAAATGTATCTACAGATTGATGATGTTAAGCAGGTTTCTTTTCTTTCTTCCTGCTAAAATCCCAGGTAAAACAACAGGGATTTTTTTTGTTTTTTTAAGAGACAATTTCACTTTTTCACCCAGGTTGTGGTACAGAGGCATGATCATAGCTCACTGCAGCCTCTAACTCCAAAACAGGAATTCTGCACTTTGCCTATCTTACAAGAGCAAATGAATTTATACAAAGACAGTTTAGGGCCAGGTGCAGTGGTTCATGCCTGTAATCTCAGCACTCTGGGAGGCCAAGGCAGGAGGATTGTTTGAGGCCAGCAGTTCCAGGCAAGCATGGACAATATAGCGAGACCCCGTCTCTATTGAAAAAGTTTAAAATTTAGGCTGGGCGCGGTGGCTCATGCCTATAATCTCAGGACTTTGGGAGGCCAAGGAGGGCGAATCACGAGGTCAGGAGAAGGAGACCATCCTGGCTAACACAGTGAAATCTCATCTCTACTAAAAGTACAAAAAAATTAGCCAGGCATGGTGGCACGCACCTGTAGTCCCAGCTACTCGGGAGGCTGAGGCAGGAGAACTGCTTGAACCCGGGAGGCGGGGGTTGCAGTGAGCTGAGATCATGCCACTGCACTCCAGCCTGGGCGACACAGCAAGACTGTCTCAAAAAAAAAAATTTTTTTTTTAATTAGCCAGGTGTAGCAGCACACCTATACTCCTAGCTACTTAGGAGGCTGAGGTGGGAGGATTGCTTGAGCCCAGGAATTCAAGACTGCAGTCAGCTATAATCATGCCACTGCACTCTAGCTTGGGTGACAGTAAGACTCTGTCTCTACAAAAAATAAAAGGGCAGGATGCAGTGGCTCACACCTGTAATCCCAGCACTTTGGGAGGCCGAGGTGGGCGGATCACCTGAGGCTGGGAGTTTGAAACCAACCTGACCAACATGGAGAACAAGCCTGGGCAACGACAGCAAAACTCCATCTCAAAAAATAATAATAATAAAATAAAGAGACACTTTATGAAACAAAAAGTTATAAAAACTCACAGTCTATCACTCATGTGTAAAAAAGATGTACTTAATTTAAAATAAAATAAATAAGTTACAAGAATATGGAAGGAGTGACACCTTAGAACCAAGTAAGACAGATGACTGTGGCTCCTATTTGAACTTTCTGACCCTCTACAACTTTTCATACTACTGAAAACAATTAGACATGTGTTGTAGCCTCCTTAGAAGCCTGTTCTGGCAGAGCCCCAGAACAATGTTGGAAGTACATATTACGCTGAATTCTGCCTCCCGGAAATTTCAGGCCTGGTCTCTGTTCTCAAATCATAGATTAAGAATAATCTCCTAGCCAACAAAAAACAAGCTAGTCTCCTTCCAAAATTTTATTCGTTTTCATCCCTTGGTTCCACCAAATAAGACTGAGTTTCCCATCCTGGTGGTCTCTTTTGGAATATAACAGAGTTTGGTCATGTACCTCTGGATTTGAGCATGCCAAATTGAACGCAATTGACTGATGCAATGTAAACCAGGACCACGACCTTCTTGCACCTGAGTACAAATCTGCCGCGGCTTCCTACAATTCTAAAATATTGCTATTGTAAGAACTCCATATCAAAAGACAGAGAAACCAACAAGGAAAGTTAATTCTAAGTAGCGTACAACCTAAGTTCAAGGACAATCTTTGTTCCCACTGACTTGATCTCAGAACAGAGACTCAGTCACAAGTTAAATCACTAGGAAGCAACAGCAAAGCACCGGTCAGCTATCAAGGTTAAAACTACTGCACACTGCTGGCCTATATAAAAAATATGGTGTACACTCAGCACCGCAACACATGCCTTTACATTTCCATGGGAAATCCAGTCAACTCATGTGGGTCAAACAGTTGTAAAACAGATTTTCGTAATAACTGAATTACGTCATCTTCTCAGGGCGGCTTACCGGAAAACAAACTCTACTTCCCTTACGAGAGTTTAAAAAGTCACTAAAGACGCGGCCCACGTGCGCAGATGAAGTTAAGACCTCTCCAGTCTACTCTAAAGCTCCAGTGCCCACATTTTTTTTTTTTTTGAGATGGAGTTTCGCTCTGTTGCCCAGGCTGACGTGCAGTGGCGCGATCTCGGCTCACCACAACCTCCGCCTCCCGGGTTCAAGCAATTCTCCTGCCTCAGCCTCCCGAGTAGCTGGGACTACAGGCGCGCGCCACCATGCCCGGCTAATTTTTGTATTTTTTAGTCGAGACGGGATTTCACTATGTTGGCCAGGCTGGTCTCGAACTCCTGACCTCATGATCCGCCCGCCTCGGCCTCCCAAAGTGTTGGGATTACAGGCGTGAGCCACCGCACCCGGCCTCCAGTACCCACTTTGACTTGACGTGTAACTTCCTTCGCGCACGCTCATGCCGGGAGTTCTGTCTTAGCCAACAACGTGGAGCCTGACTGAAGGTCCAACTCTGCGCACTGTGTGAGGCGCGCCCAAGTCGCCGGGGACCACGTGGGACACCCGGCCCTCTCCCGAGCTCCAACAGGGCCTCTCTACCAGAGTTCCGACCTGTGGATGCCTATAAGCTCAGAGGAAGAGGTCAGCGCACGGCGGACCTGGCTCGGTCGGGCAAACGACGCGTCCACTGCCCGGGGAGCGCACCACTCCTGGGCGACCGCCCGCCAAGACCCACGCCCGGTGTCTGGACGCGCTGTTATCCGCCGCGCGCTCCCACGATCCCAGCCCGGGCACTTCTCCCGCACCCCGGGGTTCCGCTCCATTCAGCGTCCCTCCTGGCCCCAGGTCCCTCCGTTTCACCTCCTCGGTTTGCTTTCGCAGTGTCTCCCCTTTTTTCATTGCGGTGTCTGATTCCAAACCAGCGTCACTACGGAGTTTTCCCGGCATCTTCAGCGCAGGTTGCCCAGGCCGACCGGTCTTCTCAACCGCGTGGAGAGGAAGAGGTAGTTCCCCACCCTGGGTCCACCCGGCTCTCGTCACTTCCCGTAGCAAGGCACTTCCGGGGGAAGCAGGAAGCACAGGAAAAGCTGCTTTCCGCGTGGTAAATTCAAAGCAGCGGCCTGTGACTGTGGTTGGATTTAGTGAATTGACCACTTGCGGCCCTTGGTCTAGAAGGCACCTACGGAACGGTAGAACCGCAAGGAATTGCAAAGGTTAGCTTTGTATTCTTCAACACTGGCCAGATTTTCCCTAGCCCCAGCCTGATAAATGAAGGCTTCTAGTTGCTTTTGAGTGGCGCCATCTTCAGTGCTTTATGTTGTATTGCTCGAGTTTGCACGTACAGACGCGCGGATGTGTGTCCTTAATCATCTCTTGGAAACGTCTACTCTGAAAGTGTCGACCAGACTCAGGAGCCTGAAGAAAAAAAATAATTCAGTCGGGTCTGGTCGTTCATTCATGCGAGCACTCAAACATCTTATGAGCGTTCACTGTGTCAGGTAGGAGAAACAGGACTAGTATTCACTAACAAGCACAAAAGCCTTATCGTCAAGAAGCTTTATAGACTAGCGGGAGAGAGAGGTCTTGTGGGTTTGAGACAGAGTCTCGCTCTGTCATCCAGACTGGAGAGTGCCATGGCGTGACCTGGGCTCACTGCAACCTCTGCCTCCCGAGCTCAAGCGAATCTCCTGCCTCAGCCTCCAAAGAAGCCAGGACTTAAAGACTAGCCCTGGCGACACAGCAAAACCCCTATGTCTATATATCTATATATACACACACATATATAATATATAAATAAAATATTTCATATATATAAAAGAAAAAATAAATTTCAAAAATGGGATAGAATAATATCTGACATTGAAAATCGGCCTTTTTGTTTTTTTGAGACGGAGTCTCGCTCTGTTGCCCAAGCTGGATGAAGTGGCGCTATCTCAGCTCATTGCAACCTCTGCCTCCAGCGATTCTCATCCTTCAGCCTCCCGAGTAGCTGGGATTACAGGCCTGCACCACGACACCCAGCTAATTTTTGTATTTTTAGTAGAGATGGGGCTTCACCATCTTCACCAGGCTGGTCTCGAACTCCTGACTTCAGGTTATCCACCCATCCGCCTCAGCGTTCCAAAGTGCTGGGACTATAGGCATGAGCCACAGCGCCCAGTCTTTATCTATTTCATTTTTTTGAGACAGGTTCTCCCTCTGTTGCCCAGGCTGGAGTGGAGTGTAATGGCGTGATCATGGCTCATTGCAGCCTCGACCTCCCAGAGTCAAACGATCCTCCCACCTCAGTCTCCCGAGTAGCTGGGACTACAGGCATGTGCCACCCTGCCTGGCTAATTTTTTAATTTTTTTTTTTTTTGTAGAGACGGAGTTTTGCCATGTTGCCCAGGCTGGTTTTGAACTCCTGAGCTCAAGTGATCTTCCCACCTCCGCCTCCCAAAGTACTGGGATTACAGGCAGGAGCCACCATACCCAGTCTGCTCTGTTATTTTTGGAAACATTACCTTATCTGAACCCAAGTTTCCCTTGTATGAAATGAGGATAACAAAACCTACTTCATCAATTGAGAAAATTAAATAAGATAATGGCAGAAAATGGTCTGGCAGTGCCTGACACACAGAGCACAATCAATGAAAACTATTAAAACTTAGTGTGTCACAAGGATTTGAAAACACAATTTAAAATATTACATTTTATGATAAAGGAAAATGCTGGAAAAGTATTTCTGTATTTCTGATTACTGCACTTTTTTTTTTTTTGGAGACAGTCTCACTCTGTGGCCCAGGCTGGAGTGCAGTGGCGTGATCTCAGCTCACTGCAAGCTCTGCCTCCCGGGTTCACGCCATTCTCCTGCCTCAGCCTCCCAAGTAGCTGGGACTACAGGCGCCCACCACCACACCCGGCTAATTTTTTGTATTTTTAGTAGAGACGGGGTTTCACCGTGTTAGCCAGGATGGTCTCGATCTCCTGACCTCACGATCCTCCCGCCTCGGCCTCCCAAAGTGCTGGGATTATAGGCTCGAGCCACTGTGCCTGGTCTACTGCACATTTTTTAATCTGAGAGTTTCAAGGAAAAATTTTGTTTCACCTAAACTATTATTTGATGTTTCGTGGTCTCAATTTTTTTTTTTTTTTTTTTGAGACAGAGTCTCACTCTGTTGCCCAGGCTGGAGTGCAGTGGCGCGATCTCAGCTCACTGCAACCTCCGCCTCCCAGGTTCAAGCAATTCTCCTGCCTCAGCCTCCTCAGTAGCTGGGATTACAGGCGCCTGCCCCCACACCCGGCTAATTTTTCTATTTTTAGTAGAGACAAGGTTTCACCATCTTAGCCAGGCTGGTCTCGAACTCCTGACCTCAGGTGGTCCACCTGCCTTGGCCTCCCAAAGGGCTGGGATTACAGGTGTGAGCCACCACGCCCAGCCATGGTCTCAAATTTTTTTAACAATTTGTGAAAATGTGCAACAGTGCTTTAACTTATATTCTGATATCCCTGAGCCAGGAGCCTTGATTTATTCATCTTTGTGTCCTCAAAATTTCAGACAGTGCCTGGTACATAGTAATCTGTAATTAAGTGTTTAATGAATGTTAACATGGCAGTGGTGGAGGGGAACCCCTTGAAATAAATTTTAGCTATATGCCCAGGTACGAAAGTACCTGAGTCATCCTGGTGTTAGATGTGGAAGAAAGGAGAGCAAGCATGAATGCAGTCAACTAATTGGCCAACAAAATGCTTAACATCTCTGGTTTCACCATTGTATCATGTAGTTTAGATACTAAGTGGAGGCCCAGTCCCCACCTCAAAGAACCTGCAGTCTGGTTGACAAACCACAACACTACATGATCCTGCTATATACATGATACTACTGCATACAGTACAGGGACATGTTTATTATCAAGAGATATTCAACAAGAGAGTAAGCCCCAGAATGGTACTAAATGGAAAACTTTTCAAAGCTTCTAAAATAAGTTCCTTTGTAACCTGCATATAGGGACAAACCCAAATTTCCACCAGGAAACATGCAAAAGGCCCATTTGACAAAAGGTAGCCAATTAATTATCTTGTCATCAGTATAAAATTCAATAACAAGACGAAGAATAGCTTACATAAATTTGATAGGAGCTGGATATGGTGGTGCACACCTGTAGTCCCAGCTACTTGGGAGGCTGAAGCACAAGAATTGCTTGAACCTGGGAGGCGGAGGTTGCAGTGAGCCAAGATTGCACCACTGCACTCCAGCCTGGGTGACAGAGCAAGACCCTATCTCCAAAAAAAAAAAAAAAAAAAGAGGAAAAATTTGATAGGAAATGTTGAATATCCTTGAATGCTTAAATATCAATATTTTGCCAGGCCTATTTCCTCTGATCTGGATGATGTAATGTTTTCACAAAATTAGAGGGAGAATTTGTATTTTTAAAAGCATGTATACACACACACACAACGAATTCAAAAGTCTACAAAATAAAATGTTAGCAGTCATTCTTTCTGAGTAATGTGACTGTGGGTGGTTTTTATAGTCTTCCATTTGCTTCTCTACTTTTTTAGATTCCCAACAATGGACATGTATCTTTTTTTTTTTTGAGGCGAAGTCTCACTCTGTCGTCCAGGCTGGAGTACAGTGGCGCGATCTTGGCTCACTGTAACCTCCACCTGCTGAGTTCAAGCAATTCTCCTGCCTCAGCCTCCCAAGTTGCTGAGATTACAGGCGCCTGCCACCATGCCCAGCTAATTTTTGTCTTTTTAGTAGAGATGGGGTTTCACCATGTTGCCCAGGCTGGTCTCAAACTCCCGACCTTCAGTGATCCACCTGTCTCAGCCTCCCAAGTGTTGGGATTACAGGCGTGAGTCACTGCGCCCTGCCTGACATGTATACTTATAAGGAAAAAAAAAAGGAATATGGTTTTTAAAAACTACTGTTAAGCACTATCCCCAAAATACAGGAAACAAAAACAATGTGAGAGAAGACTCTCAAGATATTTAAACCTAAAAGTGAATTCATAATTCTAAAGCTGGAGAGAATAAAGCAGATGTTATTTCATTTATAAATTCAAAAACTGAAGATCAGAGTAACTGATTCTAGTTCAAATAGCTGTTAAATGACTAGAGCACAGAGTACCAAACAGGAGGCCAAAAGCCAAAAAAAGGGAGCCATGAAGGTACTGGCTTCTAAAAGGAAGAAGAGTAAAGATACCAGTGGCCGAGTGCAGCCCAAAGCTGAGAATTTGATGAGAAATTTGCCTGGCCCCATCCTACTTTCAAAACATGTGGAAAGCTATTATTTAATTTTGTTAGGACCCTTGCTAATAGGGCATCTGACCTTTAGCAGGTAGACTCTCTTAAACCCATCCACCCTGTTGGCATTTACCTATATACTTATCTTTTTCACTCTTCCCTGAAACCCTCCAACAGCTATCCAAAACAAGACCTACAAAGCCCTCCAAGATATAACACATCTTGCCTTGTTCTCACCATTGCCTTCCTCACAGTCACGATCCCAGCAACAAGAGCTACTCATAGTTCCCCATACTTAAGACCATGTTGTTTCATCAGCTTTTCTGTGCCTTTGCTTGGATGCAAGGTTTCCTGTTTCTTTTACCTACTTAACGCTCAGCCATCACGTCTAAAAAGCCTTCCCTGAACCCCCACTCCCATTCCAGGGCCAGGTGCCCTTGCTCAGTGTTCACAAATCATTGTAGTTAGTCATTCCCATGGACATAGGTTTATTTGTCCACTTATTTCACTAGATTCTGAGCTCCAGAGTAGAGACTAGGCACTGCTTATTAACCCAAAACATATTGCCTGGGACACTGTAGTCACACAACATATTCTGACTGAACATAGTAGTACTCATGCAACTTAATATGAATGGAGCCCCTGTTTCATCTTGGTTATACTACAACTCAGTTGCTCAAATGCAAAGCAGACTGAGATTTTCCCCCCAGTTGTGTCTGTCTGTAACACTAGCCCCCCAAATCAAAACTTCCACCTTCCACAATCCAGCACTGAAAGTCCTTCCCTGCCTCCTTGGCTTAACTGAAATCTGGCTCTTTCTGAAAACCCACCCTCTGCAGGTTTCACACACAAGATGTTGCCCATTCCCTGAAATTCCCCATATCCCAGTTGATGTCAGAGTCCTCTTTTCCTCAAATCCATTTCCAAACCATTACTCCACTTTCATGTAAAAGCTCTCATCCCTTTGAAGATAAGGCATAATGTCACCCTACCCCTCCTCATTCAGGTTATTTCCTAGCCTCCACCATTCACTGATATTTTCGAATCGGGTTAGTCTTCCTTACTGCAGTGTTGGCTTGTTTTCATCATAGGAGACCTCACTGTCCTTGAGTACCACCCACATACCCACTGCTTTGACCACTACAACTGAGGTGACCTTTGTCCCAACAGACAAAGGTCATACCCTGCACTTGCTTCTCCCCAGTTGCTCCATTCTTGAAATCTCAAGTTCAGACAGCCTTCATGGACCTTCAGTCCCTTGCCTCCTCTACATTCTCCGTTATCAACCCCATCTCCACTTCAATCCCTAGGCAGTCTAGACTCCATGGACCATTACTCCAATCACTTTTGCCAGAGTCTTCGGCATCTTTACCTCGTCATCCTTTCACTCACAAAGTAAAACTCCAATCCTGGGTCAATCAACTATCCCTCATCTCCATTCCTACAACAGAATGCTGTGTTAATATAGGAAATCACTTAATTGTTCCACCTGTAGTTACCTTAATATCTGCAAGATAATCATACTTTCTCCCTGACAAAATGTTATGCTATCTAAGGCTAAAATCTCTAGCCAGGAACAGTGGTATGCACCTGTAATCCTAGCTACTCAGGAGGTTAAGAGGATCACTTGAGTCCAGTTCAAGACCAGCCTGGGCAACACAGCCAATAAAAAAAAAAAAATGCCTAGGCACAGTGGCTCACATGGCTCACACCTGTTAACTGAGCATTTTGGGAGGCCGAGATGGAAGGACTGCTTGAGCCTTGGAGTTTCAGACCAGCCTGGGCAACATAGTGGGACTTGATCCCTACAAAAAAAACCCACAAAAACTAGCTGGGTATGGTAGCACACACCTGTAGTCCCAGCTACTCAGGAGGCTGAAGTGAGAGGATCAGTTGGGCCTGGGAGATCGAGGCTGCAGTGAGCCATGAATGCACCACTGCACACCAGCCCGGGCAACAGTGCAAGACCCTATCAATCAATAAATATATTTTTTCTTTTTTTTGAGACAGAGTCTCGCTCTGTCACCCAGGCTGCAAGTGCATTGGTGCAATCCCAACTCACTTCAGCCTCCACCTCCCAGGTTCAAGCGATTCACCTGCCTCAGCCTCCTGAGTAGCTGGGATTACAGGCACCTGCCACCACGCCTGGCTAATTTTTGTATTTTTAGTAGAGACAGGGTTTCCCCATGTTAGCCAGGCTGGTCTCGAACTCCTGAGCTCAGGTGATCTTAGCCTCCCAAAGTGCTGGGATTATAGCCTTAGCCTCCCAAAGTGCTGGGATTATAGGCATAAGCCACCACGCCTGGCCTAATAAGTAAACTTTTAAAAAATAAACAATGAATAAATAAAGCTAAAATCTCTAGTTGTGTGCTTGATCCCATATATTCCTTCTCCTGAAACTTCATGTTGCCCTCCCTCCTTTAGGGCTTCTTCCTACCATATTTCAACATGCTCAAATACCCCACCTCCCACACATACACAGAAAATCCTTGCCAGAATTTCATGTCCTTGTAAGCAAAAGAATAAGCTTTTGCTTATTCTTCCCTATTCACAATCAGATTTCAGAATGAGATCTTCATGTTTGTTCTCACCACTTCATCTACCATTTCCTACTGAACCCACTGCTAACTAGCTTCTATTCTCAATACTCTTATTACTATGTGCTCCCTATGAAGTTTCTTTTGCCACAACCAATGACCATTTCCAGCTCGTCCTGTTTCCTCTAAAAGCCACACACTCCTGGGCTTTCTATCCTCCTCATCTCTTCTCAATGGAGTCCTCTTTCTTCTACTATGAATTAAGTACATTGGTAGCCCTCTGGCTTCCCTCCTCAGTCCTCTGCTCTTACCATACTTGGATAATCTCATCTACTAGCTTAACTACAATTATCATTTTTTGGTCTATCATTCCCAAACTTTTATCTCTAGAACAAATATCTCTCCTGAGCTTCAGACTTACAAATCTAATTGTCTACTGTTTATTTCCTTTTACATATTTCATGGGCTACTTAATATTAAAATATATCTAATCCTGAACTAATCATATTCCCAACCCCTCTTAACTTTTCTTGCTCTTCCTCCTTGTACCCTATCTCAGGGACAAAATCTAGGTTTTTTGCTGGACTTGGTGGCATGCACCTGTAGTCCCAGCTACTAGAGTGGCTGAGGTGGGAGAGTCACTTGAGCCTAGGAGGTTGAGGTTGCTGTGAGCCTGGATTGAGCCACTGCACTCTAGCTAGGGCAACAGCGTGAGACCTCATCTTAAAAAAAAAAAACAAAAAAAACTAGGTTTTATTCTGTTTCCCTCTCATCTTTCAATCCACTATCTGAGTCCTAAGAATTCTGTCTCCTAAAAACCTTTGAAACCGGCCGGGCGCAGTGGGTCACACCTGTAATCGCAGCACTTTGGGAGGCCAAGGCAGGCAGTAAATCACGAGGTCAGAAGATTGAGACCATCCTGGCTAACACGGTGAAACCCCGTCTCTACTAAAAATACAAAAAATCAGCTGGGCATAGTGGCACGTGCCTGTAGTCCCAGCTACTCGGGAGGCTGGGGCAGAAGAATCACTTGAACCCAGGAAGCGGAGGTTGCAGTGAGCCAAGATCGCGCCACTGCACTCCAGCCTGTGTGACACAGCGAGACTCCGTCTAAAAAAAGAAAAAAAAACCTCTGAAACCTATCCATGTTTCTCAGTGTCCACTGCCACTATTTAGTGCAGTGGTTAAGAGTGCTGGTTCAGAAGCTAGACATTTTTCTGGGTTCAAATCCTCATTTACCTCACATCATCCAGCTGCATGATTCTGGACAAGTAACAACCTCTCAAGTGCCTCAGTTCTCATCCCTCAAAATATGTTACTTAGCATTAGTTCAGATCACCAGCATCTCTACCATAGATTACTCCTATGGCATCTTAAGAGGTCTCCAGGCCTCCAGTCTGGCTTTTCTCCAATCCAGTCTCTTCAGTGTGGCCAGCATTCTTTCTAAAATGTAAATCAAATCATGTTACTCCTTACTTTAAGCCCTTAAATGATTACCCACTGTCTTCAAGAAAAGCTTTAAACTCCTTAACAATGTACATAAGGCCTTTAAAATCTGTCCCTGTTAAATACTGAACCAGTCTCTTATTCCTGTTCTCTATCATATGGAAACCTCAGACTTACCATGCTATTCTTTGCCTCTGGTGTCCGCATATGTTGTTCTCTCTGCCTGCAAGCCCTCTCCCTTCTAAACTCCTCTTCCCACCTGTACATACATGTGGCTAAATGGATACTTCTTTATTTCTCTGTTGGGTATCACTTTTAAAAGGCCTTCCTGACTGCTAAAACTGGTCAGGTGTACCCCAAGTAGGTCCTTAGCATACCATACCTACCACTGTCTTAGCTTTTATTTGTTAGTCTGTAATAATTGACTCTAAGTTCCTTAAGGATAGTGATTATGCCTTATTCACAACTATACTCCCCAGTGGTTAGCATAGTGATGGAAACATAGTAGAAATTCAATAAATATCTGTGGAATAAATTAATGAGTATGCACTGTTGGCACACTCTTTTAATTAACTGTGTCTAGACTAAAATGATACACCTAACTAACCATGTCAACAGTTTACACAGCCCTTTAATGTAGAAGGGAATTTCTTATTTTTATCACATAACCTATGGGAGGAATTATATGAATACAAATACATCACATTTTGTAAAATGCAAGTAATCTTATGTTATGATTAGCTTGACTACCAAGTTTTGTTTGTTTGTTTTGAGACAGAGTCTCACTCTATTGCCCAGGCTGGAGTGCAGTGACATGATCTCGGCTCACTGCAACCTCTACCTCCTGGGTTCAAGTGATTCTCCTGCCTCGGCCTCCCGAGTAGCTGGGATTACAGGCATGTACCACCATGTCCAGCTAATTTTTGTATTTTTAATAGAGTTGGGGTTTCACCATGTTGGTCAGGCTGGTTTCAAACTCCTGACCTCAAGTGATCCGCCCAACACAGCCTCCCAAAGTGCTGGGATTACAGCCATGAGCCACCGCACCTGGCCTGATTGCCAAGTTTTTAAAGAAATTTTTGAGATTACATTGAGAAAATTCTTAACACATAAGTGAAAAGAGACAATAAAAGGAGGTTTTTTTATTCAAAGGTATAACTGGATAAGTAGATTTGTTCCATTCTTGTGAAATACTTTTTAAAAAAATACGACCAACTTCTTTGCAAATAGCAGACACATACCTCAACTATGATGACCTAATTTTTGGTGGATAATGTACATGATTAGGCAGAAATAGGCAAGCTCACACTGGTAGATTAACTATCAAATACTCAGTCAAAACTCCGTTTGTGGCCCCCACTTCTTGATCGATTTCTATTCCCACTTCGTCTTCTACCATCTTGTCGACTTCCTGAGCGACTTCCTTGTCGACTCTGTCTACCTGACCGGCCGCCAGATCGACCACCTGACCGGCCTGACCGGCCTGATCGACCACTTGACCAGCCACTCCTCTGTCTGGAATTAGAAGATGTGTTTCCATCATAATATTCTTCAATTTCAGGTAATTTGGCTGGCACTGAGAGTATCCAGTCGGAATCATGCCACTCTGCCTGTTAGGGGAATTTACAGGATTAATATAAATGCAAAATAGAAACCATAAGCAAACATGTTAAGTACAAGAAGACACCTTTTTCATATCTATTAGCTAAAGGCCATCTATTCTGTTAACGTATCTGGAACAAAAATGAAAACCAGAAAATAAGCAAAAATATTTTCAATTTTCGAGATCATAAATTCATACTCAGTTTATACATTCTAAAATTAAACTATGTATTACTAATTACATGTACTAATTAAATACATTCTATAAATATACATTCTAAATATACATTCTAAATAAATTCTAACATTCTAAATATACATTCTATTCTAATACTAACATTCTAAATATATTCTATTCTAATAAATATACATTCTAAAACTATACTATGTATTACTAATTAAATAAATATACTAATTAAATAAATGTACAAAAATATACATTATACTCAGTTTCTACATTCTAAAACAGCACTATTTGGTATCTCAGCACAAAGCAGACAGGCCATTAATAAGTAGTGCGTTGTTTTCAGCAGGTATACTGACAAGCAAAAAGTAAAAGAGCCCATGATGGAGATTAAATACAAGTCAACACCAGCCAAGGACTAAAAAATGTAGCCACTGGAAACACTTTGATATTGGAGTAAACAAGTGAAGATATACAAATCAGTAACCCATAAGAGCATCACTATTTTATATCTTGCTACACTAACTGTTCCTTATTGTGATCATGAGTTGGCAAGGAAAGTTGTTATTGGCCGGGCACAGTAGCTCATGTCTGTAATCCCAGCACTTTGGGAGGCCGAGGCGGGCAGATCACTTGAGGTCAGAAGTTCGAGACCAGCCTGGCCAACGTGGTAAAACTCCAACTCTACTAGAAATACAAAAATTAGCCGGGCATGGTGGTGGGCGCCTGTAATCCCAGTTACTCGGGAAGCTGACGCAGGAGAATTGCTTGAACCTGGGAGGCAGAGGTTGCAGTGAGCCGAGATCGTGCCACTACACTCCAGCCTGGGCGACAGAGTGACTCTTGTCTCAAAGAAAAAAAAAAAATGTTGTTATTAAGACACCCTGTTGCTAAGGCTATCTTTCTTTCCAATACTGGTACTTTTTGGGAAAAGACAAACGAACATTCCACTGGTGGGTTTGGCAATATATAACCAAAGTAAAAAAAAAGGCACAAACCTTTTGGCCAAGCAATCACATTTAAAAACTCATCTTAAAGAGATAAACATGGCAATGCATAAAGAATTCGCTATACCAATGTTTAGGGCAGTCCTAATAATAGTAAATTATTAGAAATAATCTAAATTTCAGAAAATAGGACACTGGTTAAGAAAACCAGCCACCCAAATGGCCAAATGCCTGGGAGTCATTAAAAATAAGTAACTGTGGCTGGGTGCAATGGCTCACACCTGTGAACCCAATACTTTGGGAGGATCACTTGGGACCAAGAGTTTGAGACCAGCCTGGGCAACATAGCAAGACCCCATCTCTATTTAAAAATATAAAAAGAAAGGCCAGGCACAGTGGCTCAAGACTATAATCCCAGCACTTTGGGAGGCCGAGGCGGGCGGATCATGAGGTCAAGAGATCAAGACCATCCTGGCCAACATGGTGAAACCCCGTCTCTACTAAAAATACAAAAATTAGCTGGGCGTGGTGGCATTTGCCTGTAGTCCCAGCTACTCGGGAGGCTGAGGGAGGAGAATCGCTTGAACCCGGGAGGCGGAGGTTGCAGTGAGCTGAGATCACACCACTGCACTGCAGCCTGGCAGCAGAGCGAGATTCTGTCTCAAAATAAACAAACAAAAAATTAAAATATAAAAAGAAAAGAAAAAAAGAACTGTGTTATTGACACAAAAATGTGTCTTTAACATATTCTGAATTTTTAAAAAGACTTCGAAAGCAAAATACTCATTTTTGTTTCAAAGTAGGTATATAAGTATGTACTGAGATACAATAGACAAATTCTTCATTATGGGAATCCAGTAGACAACTTCCTTCTTCAACAGATAAAGATACTTTACACAGTAAAGTATACACAGGAATACTTTTTTAAAAGAGAGAGAGGGAGGAGGAAGAACCTATAGATTAAAAGAGACTTAAGAAACATCAAATTACAATCTATGAGCTTTATGGACCCTGTATTTAAAAAGTTTAGGAAACAAATGGAAAAATTTAAATAAAATTGGATGATATTAAGGAATTATTTTGGGGGAGTTTAATTATGGTATTATGATAAGGTCTTTTTTAAAGTCATTAATATTTAGAAATATGCAAATATTTATGGTTGAAATGATAGAATACCTAGAATTTATTTCAAAAGAATGCAGAAAAGTGGGTAAGTAGATGGACACAGAAATGAAACAAAACTGGCTATGAACTGATAATTGTTGAAGCTGAGTGTTGGGTACATGGAGATTCATTATACAAGTCCCTCATCTAAAAAATATGTTTGAAATGATTTATAATAACAAATTTTTTACTGGGTATGGTGGCTCACACCAATATTCCCAACACTTTGGAAGGTCAAAGTGGGAGGATCACTTGAGGCCAGGAGTTCAAGACCAACCTGTGCTACAGACTCTGTTTCTACAAAAATTTTTTAAAAAAATTAGCCAGGCAGGGGGCCAGGAGCGGTGGCTCACGCCTGTAATCCCAGCACTTTGGGAGGCCAAGGTGGGTGGATCACCTGAGGTCGGGAGTTTCAGCCCAGCCTGACCAACATGGAGAAACCCCATCTTTACTAAAAATACAAAAAGAAAAAAAAAATTATCCGGGCATGGTGGCTCATGTTAGCCAGACATAGTGGCACACGCCTTGTAGTTCTAGCTACTTGGGAGTCTGAGGTGGGAGGATCACTTGAGCCCAGGAATTCAAGGTTGCAAATGAGCTATGATTGTGCCACTGCACTCCAGCCTGAGAGAGACTCCATCTCTTTAAAAATAAATTTAAGTTTGAGACAGACTGGTTATTTTATATTAAGGAATTCCTCATTGATTTAGGCATGATAATGACATTGTGACTATGTTTCCCAAAATATCCCAATCTAAATGTTAGAGAATGTACTCAACCATTTAAAAGATAAAATTTTAAAAATACCTGTAACCTTTCTGACTCAGTTGTAGGAACATCAAAGCAAACACCCTAAAAGCAAAACAAAGCAAAACATTTTAAATTAGATGCATATGTGTAGATTTTTTTTGTTTTACTAATAATGCATGACTCAGTGGCTGCTTAATGTATTTTCTAAATTTAAAAAGTAACTAAACACAGTATCCAATAAGAATTTACAACTACTGCTAAGAATCTACAGTATTCTCTAGAAGAGTTTGTGTAGACCCTATATGTTGTTCCATGTCCCTTGTAAAATGATCCTTCTAATAAATTTCTTTTAAAATTTAATGATAGAAAGTCTCATTTACAAAGAGCTACAATGGGCCAGGCGTGGTAGTTCATGCCTGTAATCCCAGCACTTTGGGAGGCCAAGGTGGACAGATTGTTTGAGTCCAGGAATTCGATCAAGACCAGCCTGGGCAACATAGGGAAAACTCCATCTCTACAAAAAAAATGCAAAAATTATCCAGGTGTGGTGATGCATGACTGTAGTCCCAGCTACTCAGGAGGCTGAGGTGGGAGGATCGCTTGGGCCTGGGAGGCGGAGGTGGCAGTGAGCTAAGATCACGCCACTGCACTCCAGCCTGGGTGACAGGGTGAGACCCTGTCTCAAAAAAAAAAGAAAAAAGCTGCAATGTTTGTTAGATAATAAGAATTATATAACCCAAGATGTTTCTTCTATGGTCTTAGTTGTCAATAAGCTGAAAGTTAATTTAATACTCAAGTATAGCAACTAGTTTGGCCTATGGATCTTGCTATTTTTTCCCTCCCCTCTACATTTTTTTCCTGAAAGTATATATTTGTCTCATACTTGCCCCACATCCTTTTACAAGGCAAGTAATATTAAACTTTGAGAGAGATGATTATTTGCAATAAACAATCTAGTTAATAAATTCCAAGCTAGAATGAACCTATGCAGTAAAGTTAAATTAATAACATAACATCATTTTTCAAAACCATTAGAAGAAATCAGTCACAAGATTACAGTTTTAATTTTGCTATATAAATGTATTAAAGTATTTATTTAATTCATATCATTAATTCATTAACAACAAAGAGCAGGCCATTTAAAAACCAAACTGCATGTCCTCAAAATTATAGAGCTGTTTAACTACTGCAATCATAAGCTACTTAGTCTTACAAAATAAACACACATGCCAGGTGCAGTGGCTCAAGCCTGTAATCCCAGCACTTTGGGAGGCTGAGGCAGGTGAATCCCTTGAGCTCAGGAGTTCAAGACCAGCCTGGGCAACATGGCAAAATCCCATCTTTACCAAATAATAATCACAATAATAATAACATGGACAGGGTATGGTGGCTCACGCCTGTAATCCCAGCACTTTGGGAGGCAGAAGCGGGAGGATCACCTGAGGTCAGGAGTGCGAGACCAGCCTGGCCAACATGCTGAAACCCCATCTCTACTAAAAATACAAAAATTAGCTGGGCATAGTGGCGGGCACCTGTAATCTCAGCTACTCAGGAGGCTGAGGCAGGAGAACTGCTTGAACCCAGGAGGCATAGGTTGCAGTGAGCCGAGATTGTGCCATTGCACTCTAGCCTGGGCGACAAGAGTGAAACTCTGTCTCAAAAATAAAAATAATAATAATAATAATACAAAAAGGCCAGGTGCAGTGGCTCACACCTATAATCCCAGTACTTTGGGAGTCCAAGGTAGGAGGATCACTTGAGCCCCAGAGTTCAAGACCAGCCTGGGCAAATAGTGAGACCTCATCACTATAAAGTCGTAAATAAATAAAATTTAAAAAATAAAAAGAGAATAAACACATGTACACAACCACATACAGTATGTGGCAGAAACTTAGATAATTTGGGTATTAGATAGTCAAACTGAACAGAATGACTTACAGCTCTGGAGGAATGGGTTACATATATAATGCCCCAAATTTATAACTGGAAACAAACTAACAGAGAAAAAACAGCATTATTCATGCCATTAGGCTTCAAAGAGAAAGAACAAAATTTGCTAGTGTTTGTAAACATTTGGGGTAGTTGATTAAAAAGCTTTTTAATTGTCTGGAAAAGCCTACCATATTTCCTTTCAGGAGGCACATTCTGGTAATCTGAGACACTGCATTACTACTCAGCTTTCTGTTAAGTTCTTTCCAAGCACAGCTGACATCCTGTATTTCCTCTAGGCTTTCCAGAGTCATGGTCACAAACCCCTTAAGGAATAAAAACCACATTATGTTTGGAAATAAATCAGCAGCAGTACAATGAAATTCTAACTCTATAATCCTTCAAGACTTAACTGTGCATTTCTTATGAGCCAAAAGTATAACATTGCAGCTAAAAAATTTTTTTGAAACTACATTATTAGAAGAATAGTGTTTATAGATAATTGAAAGTACTATCCTATGTATTGCTGTAAGACTCTATTTAATTCTAACCATTATGCTTTAAGAGAGAATTAAGAATTAAGCAAACCAGAGCCAAGAAAGACAACAAGGTAGTGAAGAATTAAGGAAATGTTGAAGGAGTCAAAGTCAGCTTGGAACGAAAACCTTGGCTGGGTGTGGTGGCTCACACCTGTAATCTCAGCACTTTAGGAAACCGAGGCGGGAGGGTCACTTGAGCCCAGGAGTTTGAGACCAGCCTGGGCAACATGGTGAAATAACCATTGCTACAAAAATAATAATAATAATAATTAGCCAGGCATGGTGGCCTACTCCTACAGTCCCAGCTACTTGGGAGGCTTGAGCCCAGGAGCCCAGGAGGCAGAGGTTGCAGTGAGCCGAGATTGCACCACTGCACTCCAGCCTGGGTGACAGAACTAGACCCTGTCTCAAAAAAAAAATAAAAAGTAAATACAACATAAATTTCTTTAACCTTTTTTTTTTTTTTTTAAGACAGGGTCTCGCTCTGTCACCCAGGTTGGAATGCAGTGGCACGATCTCAGCTCACTGCACCCTCAACCTTCTGGGCTCAAGCAGTCTTCTCACCTCAGCCCCACAAGCATCTGGAACTACAGGTGCGTGCCACCATGCCGTGCTAATTTTTGTATTTTTAGTAGAGACGGGGTTGCCCAGGTTGGTCTTGAACCCCTGGACTCAAGTGATCTGCCTGCTTCAGCCTCCCAAAGTGCTAGGATTACAGGCATAAGCCACCATGCCTGAACAATTTCTTTAAACTTTTGAAGGAGTGTTACATAAGCAAAAATTATTTGTTCTGTAAAGCTTCACTAACAGCAAAAGAATCAACATTAAGAAGATATGGGGATGCATTCAGCAAACAAATATTTATTGAGTGCGCCCTACGTATGTGCCACAGACTGTACTAGGTGCTAGAGATTCAGCAGTAAGTAGTCCTTTCTCTCATGGACAGTAAATTCTAGTGCATGTGCATGTACCTACACCTGTATGTGGGGTTGGGTGGGGGGGTACACAGTAAACAAAAAAGCAAATATATGGAATATCATATAGTAATAAGCGTCACGAACAGGAATAAAGCAGGGCTTAGGGAACAAAGAGTATAGGGAGGAGTAAGCTATTTTAGAGTGATCAAGAAAGACCTCTCTGGTATGATATTTGAGCAGAGACCAGAATGAAGTAAAGGAGGAAGCAACATGGTTATTAGAGGGGAAGAACATTCAAGACAATGAAAGTATGTACAAAGGCCTTGTGTAATAGTTAAGTTTATGTCTGAGGAAAACCAAATAGGTTAGGGTGGCTGAAATAAGAAAGGGGAGAGTGATAAGACATGACGTCAAGAAGATAGCAAGAGGAAAAGCCTATAGGACATTCCTGATAAAGACTGGATTTTGGTTTAACCCATGAAAGAAATTTAAAGCCACTAACACCCTGTTTCTAAGATATTTAATCAGAGATTAAATGACCCATCTGCCAAAGAGGGATTCTTCATTGGATGAGAGTTGAGACTAAATAACTTCTTAGGTACTTCTTAGCTCAAATCTCAATATTTTCTAAAGAAATATGTTTTAAATACTGTCTTAAGCATTTGGTGGGTTACTAGGGATAGGATATCTGCTCAATGCTAAAGTATCACCCCACAAGTTACTAATTACAGAGAGTAAAATACACCTTTACAATATGGCAGTTTCCATCTTAAACAAATGCAAATTAAGCATTACTAGTACTGGAACAACCTAACATTTTATGCCTCTTGATGTGATGCAATATGAGGTACATATTAACTATAAAGTACCCTTGCCAAAAACATTTCACCTAAATATAAAAGTCAAGCTTTGATATTACTTTCAGTTTAAAAGAGGATAAAGGCAAAAGTTAAATGATGCTTGAAGAGATTCGGACAAATCCAGACAGTGAGATATTCTACCAAACAACCGACCAAGACTCTTCACCAAATCAATATCAGAAAAAAATTAAAAAGATGAGAAAACAGTTCCAGACTAAAAGAGACTAAAGAGACATAATACCAAATGTAACATGTAAAACTTAACTAGGTCCTGAATTTTTAAAAACATACATACAAATAGGTATATGTACACATATGGATAAACGGAATGGAGCCCAATAAGTCACTCAAAGCAAAATGACATTTAGCTAAACTATTAACACCTACCAGGTAGAAACCATCAGATACCCCAGCAGCATTCATTTGTGCTACACCAAATAAGTCACATCCAAGTGAACCTGCCCTGCCCTTTTTGTTTCCTCCTCCCCATCACAGGGATGTGCTGCCCAAATTAGTCTGTTTTGTTATTATTTGAAAATCCCACCAGCAGGCTCTAGTCTTATAGATGTCTCCAGGACCAGGTTCGCTCACTCACTCTCTCCACTCAGACATAACAGAACTCTTATTTAAAATTCTCTTCACCAAGAAACTCCCCTCACTTATACTTGAATAAGTAAAAAATCTCTGAGCTACCTGCACCAATGGTTCTGGTGTGGTATGTTTTGACATGTGATACGAATCTGGCAGCAGGCCAGTTCAGATGGTGTTACACTTACACAACCCCTCCACACACACACAGGCATTTCTTACTTACTTTGCATGCTACTGTGTTAATTGTGCAGAGTCTATTTCTTACTTTGCAGGATTCCATGGAAACTTACAAAATGAAATGTAGGTTCTGGGATACAAGTTTCAGTTAACAAAGGTCTGTGCAAAGTGAGCATTTCCTATATTTCTCTCCAAATACCCAGACAGACAGACATTTTCAGGATAATGAGAAAAAAATGGATATAAACTAAATATTAGATGATGATACAGAACTATCATTAATTTTCACAGATGAGCTTATTATATTGTGGTTATGTAGCAGAATATCCTTATTCTCAGAGGATGCATGTTGAAATATTTAGGGATGATATCACGGTGTTTCGACTTACTTTCAAATGATTTAGAAAAAAAATACAGGCCGGGTGAGGTGGCTCACGCCTGTAATCCCAGCACTTTGGGAGGCTGAGGAGGGCAGATCACCTGAGGTCAGGAGTTTGAGACCAGCCTGACCAATATGGTGAAACCCTGTCTCTACTAAAAATACAAAAATTAGCCAGGCATGGTGGCGTGCGCCTGTAGTCCCAGCTACTCAGGAGGGTGAGACAGGAGAATTGCTTGAACCCGGGAGGGAGAGGTTGCAGTGAACCAAGATCACGTAATTGCACTCCAGCCTGGGTAACAGAACAAGACTCAATCTCAAAAAAAAAAAAAAAAAAACTTATAAAGTTATAAAGCAAGAAGGAAGATATTGAATGGTTCCTAAAACAAAGAAATGATAAATGTTTAGACGATGGATACGCTAATGATCCTGATCTGATACCTATACATGGTATGTACGGATGTACTGAAACATCACCACATACCCTATAAATATGTACAATTATTACATGTCATTTTTTTTTTAATTACAAATTAGAGCTAAAAAAGGATATAAAGCACATGATACAGACTTTTAACAGTTGAATCTAGGTGGATCGTATGTGGTTACTGCATTATTCTTTCAGTTTTTCTGTGGGTTTGAAAAATTTGGAAGAGGTGATTGTCAAAAAAGGATTTATTAGGGAGTAGAGGAAAATAAGGAGACCAGTTTCTCATAGAGCAAAACAGTTTTTTTCTGCACAAAAAGCACAATAATTCACTACAATATTTCCTATGTTCAATTTTAACCTTTTCCCACTCATGTACAATTTTCTCACAGATTTCTACCTTATCAGAGGTGATCAAAGATCGTGGTTCAAAGCTTGATGCACCAGAAATGTGGGCTAAAGCTGCAGCCAATGCATCCACTGCACCTTTCTCTTCTATCAGTCTCTGAGCTGATGGTCGGAAAAAATCAACAGCAGCGTAAGAAACGGAAGCCAGAGACCTATGGTTTAAAAATAGTATTCTTGGTCAAGACATAGGGAAAAAATAAAAGATAAGAAGAAAAATGGGAAAAAGAAGGAGTAATTTTTTTTTTTTGAGATAGAGCCTTGCTCTGTCACCCAGTCTGGAGCGCACTGGCACGATCTTGGCTCACTGCAGCCTCAACCTCCCGGGCTCAAGCAATCCTCCCACCTCAGCCTTCCAAGTAGCTGGGACTACAGGTGCACGCGCCACCACTCCTGGCTAATCTTTGTATTTTTTGTAGAGACAAGGTTTCGCCATGTTGGCCAAGCTAGTCTCAAACTCCTAAGCTCAAGCAATCTGCCCACCTCAGCCTCCCGAAGTGCTGGAATTACAGGCGTGCACCACAGTGCCCAGCCACATTTTATATATATATATATATATATATATATATATATATTTTTTTTTTTTTTTTTTTTTTTTTTTTGAGACAGAGTCTTGCTCTGTCGCCCAGGCTGGAATGCAGTGGTGCACTCTCGATTCCCTGCAAGCTCCGCCCCCCAGGTTCACACCATTCTCCTGCTCCAGCCTCCCAAGTAGCTGGGACTACAGGCGCCCACCACCACGCCTGGCTAATTTTTTGTATTTTTTTAGTAGAGATAGGGTTTCACCGTGTTAGCCAGGATGGTCTCAATCTCCTGACCTCATGAGCTGCCCGCCTCAGCCTCCCAAAGTGCTGGAATTACAGGCATGAGCCACTGTTTTATATTTTAATATAACTAAATGTCTGCTGGTAAAACTGGTGGTAAAATTTTCTGCTATTTGAACTGGGAGAGCTTACAGATGAATAGCCTAATACAAAAGAAACAATTATTCAGCAAGTTCAGAAAGCATACCTGATGGCATCCATGCTTTTAGATTTAACTAAATCCATTGTAGAAGGAACACCTACACGTTTAAAAGTAATTCCCTGAAAATGAAAGAGTTACATTAAAGAAAAATGGAAGTCTTTACAATTAATTCCTAAATTAATATTTTAATAGTTCGTTGAATTTCTATTTCTTGCATTTAAAGATTTCATAGCCCTAGCAGATTAAAAGATCAGTTTTATCTTTTTTGTTTTTGTTTTTGTTTTTGTTTTGACACAGAGTCTTGCTCTGTTGCCCAGGCTGGAGTGCAGTGGCGTGATCTTGGCTCACTGCAACCTCCACCTCCTGGGCTCAAGCAATTCTCCTGCCTCAGCCTCCATAGTAGCTGGGATTACAGGTGTCTACCACCATGCCCAGCTAATTTTGGTATTTTTAGTAGAGATGGGGTTTCACCATGTTGGGCAGGCTGGTCTCAAACTCCTGACCTCAAGTGATCTGCCCATCTCCGCCTCCCAAAGTGCTGGGATTACAGGCGTGAGTGACTGCACCCAGCCAAGATCTTTTTTTTCTCATAAATCATCAATTACAAATTTCAGAAAGAGAAAAATAATTTTTTGAATTGCCCCTTAGTTACAATCATGGAATTTCACTTGTAAAACAAGCCTGATTTGAAAAAAAAACAAAACAAAACAGATGTTTAAATCTATCAGCTTTTTTCCTTATTACACTATCTCATTTTACAAAGTATATGAAATTGCATATAAAAACACATATAAAAATAGGAAAAAATGTGAAATACCACAAAAAATCCAGACCACAGAAAATGTACAGTTTCTTTAGAAACTGTCTATTGTACCATACTTAAAAGAATCTTAACTATTATACCAAGACAATCTTTTAGTCACCCATTTACACTAAGAAGTACTGAAATCACAATGCACTTCTGATTTTAGTATGAAGAGAGAAATTCAAGGAAAAGATGAGAAAGTCAGCTCCACTGTCTTCACAATAAAAGCTGTATTAAAGTCTTGAAGCTAATATAAATTTAGATCTCCACAGGCTTCACAGCCAAATGCAGCTTAAACTGAGAAAAGTTATGAAGACCTACTTGTAAGAATAAATATAAGAAGAGCTCTCTTTTAAGGCACCATTTAGACAATAAGCCTGAAATAATTTAACTCTACTTACTGCTTTTTGTTCCACATATCTTAGTTGACCTCTTTCTCTTGGTTGATAAAAACATATACAAATCCCTGTCCGTCCAGCTCTACCTGTGCGTCCAGAGCGATGGATATAGGACTCAACATCCTAAAGATTATAAAAGGTAATATTTTTTAAAAATCTAGCAAGTTGCAGTCATTCCGGAATCCAAATAATAATGTTAATAATAATATATTTATTTCAATCCTGTTGCCCTTTTCAACATTCCAAACAATTTATATGTGTGGATTTTGGGGTAAAGGCAATATGATTTAAAACCTTTTAATCCACCTCATCCCAGGTTTCTTTATGGCAACTTTTTGTAATTCTCTGCCTGATTTTGTTGCTCCATGCTTCAAATACAAACAATAGAGTTAATCATCTGCAAAAGTATCAGAATCTGATAAATTTAATAGCACACTAACAAAAAATGGCTAAGAGCAAGAAGAGATGACATATTTTTCACATCCCAAGCAATATGTTGTAAATTAAATGGGAATTTATAAAATTGCTCTTATTTTTCCCAAATCAAATCCCATTTCCTACCTGAGGAGGAGAACTTTGAATCACCAGGTCAACTTCAGGAATGTCCAAACCACGGGCAGCCACATTGGTTGCCACCAAAACTTTAAAACTACCTTCTCTGAAGCCTTTTAGTGTAATTTCTCTTTGTGACTGTGCAATGTCCCCATGTAAACACTGGGCATTCTATTTGAGAAAGGGGGAGAAAATTAAGTGTACAGCTCATACTTGCAACTGATAGCACAACAACATCTAGTCTGTGCTCCTTTTGCATGTTTTTAAATCTTACTTTGATGATTTTAACAATGCATGCTTACTGTAAAAAAAAAAAGTCAAACATGACAGAAAATATTTAACATAAAATGTAAAAGCTTCCCTAATACTAGTGACTTAGAAATAATTCACTGCTAAGAGTTTGGTAAATATTCTGTCAGATTTTTTTTTTTTTTTAGACAGAGTTTTGCTCTTATTGCCCAGGCTGGAGTGCAATGGAGCGATCTTGGCTCACTGCAACCTCTACCTCCCAGGTTCAAGCGATTCTCCTACCTCAGCCTCCCGAGTAGCTGGGATTACAGGTGCCTGCCACTATGCCCAGCTAATTTTTGTATTTTTAGTAGAAACAGGGTTTCACCATGTTGATCAGGCTGGTCTTGAACTCGCTGACCTCAGGTGATCCGCCAGCCTCTGCCTCCCAAAGTGCTGGGATTACAGGCGTGAGCCACCACACCCGGCCACTTTTTTTTTTTAATACACACATACTCACATTACACTAGCATATACTATGACTTTATGTATTTATTTATAACGTGGATATTACATAGGTAGGGTTTTGTAACCTACTTGATAAATTTAGTGTATCTTAGCTATCCACATCTATAGATAAAATGCTACTTAATTTTTTTAAACTGTATATAATTTATTCATATGGATGCACCAGCATCTATTTTAGCAATATCCTACTGATGAACTTTTGGGCTGTATTCACATTTTCACCTTTAGAAACAATGCTGCAATGGGCCGGGCATGGTGGCTCACACCTGTAATCCCAGCACTCTGGGAGGCCGAGACAGGCAGATCACCCGAGGTCAGGAGTTTGAGACCAGCCTGGCCAACATGGTGAAACTCTGTCTCTACTAAAAATACAAAAAATTAGCTAGGCGCAGTGACAGGCACCTGTAATTCCAGCTACTTGGGAGGCTGAGACAGGAGAATAGCTTGAACCCGGGAGGTGGAGGTTGCAGTGAGCTGAGATCGTGCCATTGCACTCCAGCCTGGGGGACAAGAGTGAAGCTTCATCTCAAAAAAAAAAAAAACAAACAAACAAACAATGTTGCAATGAACAACTTTGTAACTTTGTACTTGTATCTCTGGATGCCTCAGTATCTGTATATTTCAGTAGGATACATATCTAGAAGTTGAATTTCTGGGTCAAAAATTATGAACATGTAGCATTTTAACAGAAACTGTATTATTTAAAAAACTGTATTATAAAAAAAGTTGTGTACCTTTTATTCTTCAATACTCTATGAGTATTTATTTCAACATACCCTACCCAGCTTGTGTATATTATAAATCATTGTAATCTTTGTGAATTTAATAGGCAAAAATAATTTCCCAATGTTGTTTTAATTTACATGTCTGTAATTTTTAGTGACACTGAACCTATTTATATTAGGTAGATCTTCATCTCTGCTGCATTAGTGACACTGAACCTATTTATATTAGGTAGATCTTCATCTCTGCTGCAAATTTCCTGGTATTATAAATACACTTCCTAGTATTCCTGGCCACTATATTAAAGTCAAAAAGTTCATAACAATGATCAGGCCAGGCTCAGTGGCTCATGCCTGTAATCCCAGCACTTTGGGAGGCTGACGTGGGTGGATCACTTGAAGTCAGGAGTTCAAGACCAGCCTGGCCAACATGGTGAAACCTCATCTCTACTAAAAATACAAAGATTAGCCAGGTATGGTGGTGCATGCCTGTAATCCCAGCTACTCGAGAGGTTAAGGCAGGAGAATCATTTGAACCCAGGAGGTAAAAGTTGCAGTGAGCCGTAATCGCTCCACTGCACTCTAGCCTGGGTGGCAGAGTGAGACTCTGTCTCAAAAAACAGAAGTTCATAACAGTAATTTAACCCCAACAGTATTTCAGCCTTGGTATCTAAATAGCTTAACATATACATGAATGAATTCAGTGAGCACTTGCTATCTGCCTGGATTATACCTGGTTCCAGAACATTCATAAAGAAATGGCTCTGGGACAACCAGCTGACAGGCATCTTCAATACAGTATGATGTGTGCTATCACAGGTATAGGTTCAGAGTGTTACAGGAATACTTAAGAGGGAAATCTAACTCAGTCTTGTTTGAGGGGAAAGCAGCACTGAAGCTGAGACCTAACATCATAAGGAACTACTAGGTAAAAGAAGGAGCAGAAGGCTAGGGAGTTCCTGGTAGAAGAAATATCATACATAAAGAATGGGGAGTGGAACCTACAAATATTTGAGCACTGCTGGAACAGACTGAAAAGGGAGCGGGGATGAGGGGTTAGGGAGTGAGAGATGAGATTGGAATAGAATATGAACTTTATCCTGAGGACAATATGAAACAACTGAATGATTATAAGCAGAAAAATATCATGAACATATTAAATTATACGACCAGGCACAGTGGCTCATGCCTGTAATCCTAGCACTTTGGGAGGCCGAGGTAGGTGGATCACCTGAGGTCAGGAGTTCGAGACCAACATGGTGAGACCCCGTCTCTACTAAAAAAGTAGCCGGGTGTGGTGGCGGGCGCCTGTAATCCTAGCTACTTGGGAGGCTGAGGCAGGAGAATCACTGGAAACCGGGAGGCAGAGGTTGCAGTGACCCGAGACTGTGCCACTGCACTCCAGCCTGGGCAACAGAGCAAAATTCCATCTCAAAAAAAAAATTGTGTGTGTGTGTGTTTGTGTATATATATATATATACATATATATATATATATATTTTTTTTTTTAATGATCCGTCACCCACCCACCAGCCTGGGTGACAGAGCAAGACCCTGTTTCTGAAAAAGGAAATAAAGAGGTTATCGGTGGCCTAAGATGGTGGCAATGACCACCTATTTACTCCACAAATATAATAATGACCTACAACATGTTGGGCACTAGGGATAAAAAGGTGAACAAAAATAAGACTGCTTCTGTCCTCATAGTCTTTATATCCTGGTCAGAAAGATGGACATTAATCAAATAATTAGGACCACAAATAAATTTAGACAATGAATGTAATGGATGATGCACGGGTCTAAGAGGCAATGAGGCTTTATAAGAGGACAATCTGACCTAGCTTGGGGCAAGAAAGGATTCCCTAAAAAGTGATGCTTTGGACTGAGATCTGAAGGATGAGTAGGAGTTGCTAGGCAAGGTAGACTACAAATTCAAGAGCTGACCAGCATGGTGGCTCATGCCTGTAATCCCAGCACTTTGGGAGGCCAAAGCGGGAGATGGCTGGAGCCCAGTAGTTCAATACCAGCCTGGGCTATGTAAGGATATTCCATCTCTATAAAAAATAAAAAGTTAGCCAGCTGTAGGGGCACATACGTGTCGTCCCAGCTACTTGGGAGGCTGAGGTGGGAGGATCACTTTGGCCCACGCAGTTGAGGCTCCAATAAGCCATTGTGCCACTGTACTCCAGGCTGGGGGACAGAGTGAGACCCTGTCTCCCCACCCCCAAAAAAAACAAAACCATGGCATGTATGGAGTGTGTGCACAAAATGAAAAAATGAGAGGGAAGTGTAAGATGAGGCTGGAAAGGTAAGTAGAGGCTAGAGGCTACACCATAACTGAATTCAAGAACTATTAGTTGATGAAATTGGAAGGACATACTCAAGGGAGTAGAAATGATGTATAAAGGAAAGAGATACATTATACATGATTCTCAGATGTTTAGCTTCTGCAACTGGTGTAAGAAATAAATGAAGGCTGAGCACGGTGGCTCACGCCTATAATCCCAGCACTTTGGAAGGGCAAGGCGGGTGGATTACCTGAGGTCAGGAGTTTGAGACCAGACTGGCCAATGTGGTGAAACCCCGTCTCTACTAAAAATACAAAAATTAGCCAGGCATGATGGCAGGCACCTGTAATCCCAGCTACTCAGGAGGCTGAGGTAGGAGAATCGCTTGAACCCGGGAGGCAGAAGTTGCAGTGAGCTGGGATCACATCATCGTACTCCAGCTTGGGCGACAAGAGCGAAACTCCATCAAAAAAAAAAAAAAAAAAAAAAGGAAAGGAAAGAAAGGAAGGAAGGAAGGAAGGGAAAGGAAAGGAAGGAAAAGAAAGGAAGGAAGGAAGGAAGAAAGGGACCAGGCTGGGCACAGTGGCTCACACCTGTAATCCCAGTACTTTGGGAAGCCAAAGTGGGCGGATCACTTGAGGTCAGGAGTTCCAGACCAGCCTGGCCAACATGGCAAAACCCCGTCTCCACTAAAAATACAAAAATTAGCCGGGTATGGTGTTGCACACCTGTAATCCCAGCTACTAGGGAGGCTGAGGCAGGAGAATCACTTGAACCCGGGGGCAGAGGACGGAGGTTTCAGTGAGTCGACATCGCACCACTGCACTCCAGTCTGGGCGACACAGTGAGACTCCATCTCAAAAAAAAAAAAAAAAAAAGAGGCCAGGCGCAGTGGCTCATGCCTGTAATCCCAGCACTTTGGGAGAGCAAGGTGGGCGGATCATGAGGTCAAGGGATTGAGACTATCCTGGCCAAAATGGTGAAACCTCGTCTCTACTAAAAATACAAAAATTAGCTGGGTGTGGTGGTGCACGCCTGTAGTCCCAGCTTCTCAGGAGGCTGAGGCAGCAGAATCACTTGAACCCAGGAGGTGGAGGTTGCAGTGAGCCAAGATCACAACATTGCACTCCAGCCTGGGCAACAAGAGTGAAACTCCATCTGGAAAGAAAAGAAAGAAAAGAAGGAAAGAAAGGAAGGAAGAAAGGAAAGAAAGGAAAGGAAGGAAAGAAAGGAAAGGAAGGAAAGAAGGAAAGAAGGAAGGAAGGAAGGAAAGAAAGAAAGAGAAAGAAAGAGAGAGAGAGAGAGAGAGAGGAAGGAAGGAAGGAAGGAAGGAAGGAAGGAAGGAAGGAAGGGACCAGGCTGGGCATAGTGGCTCATACCTGTAATCCCAGTACTGTGGGAGACGGAGGTGGGTGGACCGCTTGAGGTCAGGAGTTCCAGACCAGCCTGGCCAACATGGCAAAACCCCCTCTCCACTAAAAATACAAAAATTAGCGAGGCGTGGTGGCACACGCCTGTAATACAAGCTTCGGGAGGCTGACGCAGGAGAATCGCTTGAACCCAGGAGGTGGTGGTTGCAGTGAGCCGAGATCGCGCCACTGCACTCCAGCCTGGTGAAAGAGCAAGACTCCGTCTCAAAAAAAAAGAAAAGAAAAAAGAAATAAATGGGACACTTTAAACCATAGGAGATATAATCCAAAAATACTATGTAGTTGGCTGGATGGCCAAGGGTAAGGAATAAATTCAAGAATAATACATAAATTTCTGGTTTAAGCAATGGGTAGATGTATGATTTAGCCCTAGGGAATGCTGGAGACAGAGTGGGTATAGGAGTGTAGAAAGTTAATTAATTTAGGTTTAGGAACATAAAGGTTGGTGTGTCTGTGGCTAGTAGGTCTAGTATTCTTGAGGCAGATCCCAGTGAGAAAAAGATTTGGGTATCATTACCATATACTCAATGACTGGAGCCACAGGAGTGATTAGACCTATCTATACATATCTATACTTCTATATTCCTATACTAATTGACTCCTTGCTTCAAGAAAAGAAATGCACTACGCAAAATGCTTTAAATAAACAATTTTTTAAAAAATAATATAGAGATGAAGTCTCACTATGTTGCCCAGGCTGGTTTTAAACTCCTGAGCTCAAGTGATCCTCCTGCCTTGGCCTCCCAAAGTGCTGGGATTACAGATGTAAGCCATCGTGCCTGGCCCACCTAAATCTTAAAATGGTAAAAAAGAAAGTAATTTTTAATACCACCTTTTAAATTTTATTTATTTATTATGGAGACAGGGTCTCACTCGGTCGCCCAGGGTGGAGTGCAGTGGCATGATCATTGCTCACTGTAGCCTCGACCTCCTAGACTCAAGAAATGCTTCCCACCTCAGCCTCCTCAGTAGCTTGGACCACAGGTGTGTCCCACCACACCTAGGCAATTTTTTTATTTTTTGTAGAGACAGATTCTTGCTATGTTTCCATGCTGCTTTTGAATGCCTGGCCTCAAGAAATTTTCCTGTCTTGGCTTCCCAGGGAAATTCTTTTAATTTCAAAAACATCCTTTTATTATTCATTTATTTTAAAGAGATGGAATCTTGCTCTGTCGCCCAACCTACATTGCAATGGCAAAATCATAGCTCATTACAACCTCAAAATACTGGGCTAAGAGATCCTCCCACCTCAGTCTCCTGAGTAGCTAGAATTACAGGCATGAACCATGGCGGCCAGCTCAAAAGTATCCCTTTAAATAGGAAGCTTATACAATTTCCATAATACATTTTAAGATGTTTAATTCATGCATAAGACTCCCTTTAAAAATATATCTACTATATAAATGAAATGCCCACGCTAGTCTCAAATTCCTGGGCTCAAGCAATCTTTCTGCCTTGGCCTCCCAAAGTGCTGGGCTAATAGGCATGGGCCACCATGCTTGGCAAATATATATTTTTTTAATTTACTTTTTCTTCACCAAAAGCAGATACTTGAAATACCACTTCTTAAAAGCAGGACAATATATGTACGTAAGTATGTGTGCATATGTACGTATGTACAAAATTATGCTAGTAAGTAGCATAACTGAGATTTAAACCCCAATCTGACTCCCAAGTCTGTGCTATTAATCACTATTCTTTTTTCCTCCATGAAAAATATGTAGAGTAAGAATCAGATCTGTAAGGAATACCAATATTTAAAGTATAGACAAGAATATAAAAAGACCTCAACAGAAACTGGGAAAGGTTAGCCAAAGAAGAAAATAAACCTGTGTGGTTATCATATAACCCAAGTTAAGAAAAATATTTCAAGAGAAGAAACATCTAATTTTTGAAAAAAAGTTATAAACAAATATACTATAAATAAGTTGGACAGTTTTTCATAGTGAATTTTTCAATTGCAACACAGGTTTTTTTCTCATGCCTGTAATCCCAGCACTTTGGGAGGCCGAGGTGGGAGGACTGCTTGAGGCTAAGAGTTCGAGACCAGCCTGGGTAACACAAGGAGACCCTGTCTCTACAAAAAATAAAAAATTAGCCAGGTGTGGTGGCGCATGCCTGTAGTCCCAGCTGGTTGGGAGGCTGAGGTGGGAGAACCACTGGAGCCTGGGAGACTGAGGCTGCAGTGAGCCGTGATCACACCACTGCACTTCAGCCTGGGCGACGGAGTAAGACCCTCTCTCAAAAAAAAAGAACACAGGGGTTTTTTTTACTTGATAATTTGTCCTAAGAGGAACATACTACATTCATGGTATCAGTGATGGTTTCCAGGTCTCCAACTTTTGAATAATTTTTTTTTCCAAAAGTGTGTGTGTGTGTGTGTGTGTGTGTGTGTGTGTATCTCTGTGTGAGACACAGAGACTGTTTAATGATTCATTCATTCATTCATTTAGAGAGTGGGTTCTTGCTGTGTTGCCTGGGGCTTAATCGATTCTCCCGCCCCAACCTCCTGAGTAGCTGGGATTACAGGTGCACCACCAAACCCAGCTGTTTAGAATTTAGAAGGCATTTGTTTCTGGGGGAAACCAAGTAAAACTTGACTTTTTACAAGTAAATTACAATTTAAAAATAAAAACAAAAAACTATTCAGATTCTGTAGTTAATCCATAAAATCCCATATAACTCATAATGAGATACTACTAGTACTTTCTATCTAAATAGCAAAGTCACCCAGCAGAATGGAGGATGGAGAATTCCATTCTCCAAATCACAGAAACAGATTACTGTCCACTGAAAGGGGAATTCTCCCCCAGCCTTTGTAGCAAGACAATTTCTTCAAGATTAAAAAACAGCTTCTGCAAGACAACCGCTACTGAATATTTTAAAGCAACGAAAAGAAAGGTAAATCAATTACCCTCTACCACTCTTTCACTATTTACCATCTATCTGTTTATAAAGGACTTTATTTATTTTATTTTATTTTATTTATGTTTTTTGAGACGGAGTTTCGCTCTGTCGCCCAGGCTGGAATGCGGTGTCATGTTCATAGCTCACTGCAACCTCTAACTCTTGGGCTCAGGCAATCCTCTTGCCTCAGCCTCCCAAGTAGACAGGAATACAGGAACGTGCCACCACAACTGGCTAATCTTTTTTTTTTTTGGAGACAGAGTCTTGCTCTGTTGCCCAGGATGGAGTGCAATGGCGCGATCTCGGCTCACTGCAACCTCTGCCTCCCTAGCTCAAGTGATTCTCGTGCCTCGGCCTCCCACGCAGCTGGGACTACAGGTGTGCATCACCACACCTGGCTAATTTTTTGTATTTTAGTGGAGACCGGGTTTCACCATGTTGCACAGGGTGGTCTCGAACTTCTGAGCTCAGGCAATCTGCCTACCTCGGCCTCCCAAAATGCTAGGATTACAGGCGTGAGCCATTGCAGCTGGCCCTGGCTAATTTTTAACTTTTTATAGAGACAGTGTCTCATTATGCTGCCCAGGCTGGTCTCAAACTCCTGACCTCAAATGATCCTCCCACATCAGCCTCCCAAAGTGCTAGAATTACAGGCATGCCTGGCCTATACTGGACATTTAAACATCAAAGCTAATGCTACACAATTAGTTAAAATGACACTGGGGAAGACAGTGACTTTGAGTCTCTAGTTCCCACATAACACACATCAACTAGGATAACAAAACTAAAAATCCACAGATGACACATGTAACAAATAACTGACAAAATGGTCTCATGATTTCTAAAACATAAGCAGAGGCTGGGCGCGGTGGCTCATGCCTGTAATCCCAGCACTTTGGGAGGCCGAGGCGGGTGGATCATCTGAGATCGAGAGTTCGAGACCAGCCTGACAAATATGAAGAAACCCTGTCTCTACTAAAAATAAAAAAAAAAAAATTAGTTGGGCATGGTGGCGCATGCCTGCCATCCCAGCTACTTGGGAGACTCAGGCAGGAGAATCACTTGAACCCGGGAGGCAGAGGTTGTGGTGAGCCAAGATCGCACCATTGCACTCCAATCTGGGCAACAAGAGCAGAACTCCTTCTCAAAAAAAAAAAAAAAAAAAAAAAAACCATGAGCAGGGAAGGATAATTCTTGTATCTACGTGGGGGAATTTGCTAGTCCTAAGAACAGGTGATTCAGGGACCCAGTCTTTCAGGTCTGACATCTTGAAAGCATACTGAAAAGCTACCTGGAAGGCATATTCTCAAATTGTTGACAACAGCAGCTGAACCTGGGAGGATTTTTATATACTTGAGGGTGATTGTGAGGAGCCAGAGTTAAGGTCTGCAGGGATTGGAGCAAGCTGGGCCCTATAAAAACTTTCTAAATTAACAGCCAATGCTCACTTTCCAGGACAAAGCCCCATACTGAGGAGAAACTGCTGGACAGAGGATCTAAACTAAGGATGCCAAGAATAACAGGATCAAAGAAAAAAAAAGATACAGAGAAAAATGAGGAAAGACACAGCTAGAACTAGAAAGTAGACCTTTTTTTTTTAACAGCTTTACTCAGATATAATTTACAGACTATATTTTTAAGCACTAACAAAAATAACAAAAGCAGCAGCTCTAGAGCTGTGACGCCAGAAGTATTCTCACCAATGCCTTCCCATCTAAGGTTCAAAGTTTAACTTAATTTAAAAATGAGCAACAGAAGAGATCACAGTCAAATCTCACAGAAAGTAATTAGGAAGGAAAAAAACAATAAGAGGCAGAATAAGCTGGGAACAGTGGCACATGCCTGTAGTCCCAGTTACTCAGGAGGCTGATGAGAGAAGATCCCTTAAGGCCAGGAGTTAGAGGCTGCAGTGTGCTATTATTGTGTCTGTGAATAGCCAAGGCACTCCAACGCTGGCAACATGGTGGGACCCTGTCTCTTAAAAAAAAAAAATTTTGGCAGACACGGTGGCTCATGCCTGTAATCCCAGCACTTTGGGAGGCCTAGGCAGGTGGATCATTTGAGGTCAGGAGTTCTAGACCAGCCTGCCCAACATGGTGAAACCCCATCTCTACAAAAAATACAAAAATTAGCTGGGCGTGGTGCCACCGACTATAATCCCAGCAACTCTAATCCCAGCTACTGTAGTACTGTGGATGCTGAGGCAGGAAAATCGCTTGAACCTGGGAGGCAGAGGTCACAGTGAGCTGACATCACACTACTGCACTCCAGCCTGGGCCACAGAGCTTGACTCTGTCTCAAAAAAAAAAAAAAAAAAAAAAAAAAAAAAGCAGACTATCTCCTCAAATAAAGTGATCTAGAAAAGCTTATCCACAAAACAAATAAAAGCATACCATTGTGAATGAACTCAAACAAACATATATGGCCGGGTATGGTGGCTCACGTCTATAATCCCAGCACTTTGGGAAGCCGAGGCAAAACGATCACTTGAGGTCAGCAGTTCGAGACCAGCCTGCCCAACATGGTGAAACCCCATCTCTACTAAATATACAAAAATTAGCCGGGTGTGGTGGTGTGTACCTGTAATCCCAGCTACTCTGGAGGCTGACCCATAAGAATCGCTTGAACCTAAGAGGCGGAGGGTTGCAGTGAGCCGGGATCTTGCCACTGCACTCCAGCCTGGCTGATAGAGTGAAACTGTGTCTCAACAAAAAATTAAAAGATAATAAATAAAATAAAATATACATATATATCATATATTGGCTGGGCACAGTGGCTTTCGACTGTAATCCCAGCACTTTGGGAGGCAGAGGCAAGTGGATCACTTGAGCTCAGGACTGAGAGCAGCCTGGGCAACTTAGAGAAATCCCATCTCTACAAAAATGAAACTTAGCCAGGCATGGTAGCATGCACCTGTGGTTTCAGGTACTCAGGAGGCTGAGGTGGGAGGATCACTTGAACCTGGGAGGTGAAGGCTGCAGTGAGCCAAGATCATGCCACTGCACTTGAGCCTGGGTGACAGAGACCCCATCTCCGAAAAAAAAATAAAATATATATTATATATATTAAATATATAAATAATATATAAAAGTTTTTAAAGTTTTATATGTATATATACACACACACAAACAGAATTTTTTTTTTTTTTTTTTTTTAAGAGAAAGGGTCATACTCAGCCAGGTGCGGTGGCTCACACCTGTAATTAATTCCAGCACTTTGGGAGGCCAAGGCGGGCAGATCACGAGGTCAAGAGTTTGAGACCAGCCTGGCCAATATGGTGAAACCCGTCTCTGCTAAAAATACAAAAACTAGCTGGGTGTGGTGGCATGCGCCTGTAGTCCCAGCTACTCAGGAGGCTGAGGCAGGAGAGTCGCTTGAACCCAGGAGGCAGACAGAGGTTGCAGTGAGCCGAGATTGTACCACTACACTCCAGCCTGGGCAATAGGAGACTCTCAAAAAAAAAAAAAAAAGAGAGAGAAAGGGTCATACTCTGTCACCCAAGATAGAGTACAGCATCACGATCACAGCTCATTGTAACCTCTAGCTCCTGGCCTCATGAAGTTCTCCCACCTCAGCCTCCTGAGCAGCTGGGAGTACAGGCACACACCACCACCTCTGGCTAATTTTTTTATTTTTTGTAGAGACAGGGTCTTGCTATATTGCCCAGGCTTTTCTTGAACTCCTGGGCTCAAGCAATCCTCAACTTAGAATCCCAGAGTGCTGAGATTACAGGTGTGAGCCACCATGCCTGCTAAAAGAAAAAATTTTAATGCTGTAATAAAGAACAAAAATCAAGAAAAACTTTTCAGTTTTTCAATGAGATAAAATAACTCAAGAAAGAAGTAGAAATAAAAGATAACTTTTCACAAATTAAGACTATACTAGAAAGAGTAAAAGACTGAATAAACACAACAGATTTTTTAAAAATGCGAAATTTTGAGGCATGTGTAGTGGTGCATGCCTACAGTCCCAGCTACAGGAGCTCAAAGCTATCAAGTGCCATGATTACATCTGTGAATAGCCACTGCACTCCCATGTGGGCAACACAGCAAGATCCTGTCTCTTAAAAAAAAAGAGAGAAATTTTGAAAACTGAATAAGGAAAAAGAGGAAAAAGATTTGATGTGACAAGGGAGATTCAAAACAAACAGTCAATATATGCACAACAAGAGTCCTTAAAGAAGAAAACCAAAGCAACTGTAAAACCAAATGCTAAAAATTGTAATTCAAGAAAATTTTGTTGAAACTTTTAAAAAATACATATGAAACTACAAATTGAAAGTGTACACTGCGTACCCAGAAAAACTGACAAAGAACACCACCAAAATATATTCTAGTAAAACTACCGATTTTTAAAGGAAATCACTTAGAAAAAAGATTTTAAGAAAATCACATATAAGGAAAAAAGATTAGACTGGCATCTCACTTTTTATACCGATGCTTTATTCCAAAAACAGTAAAGTAACATATTTAAGACAATGAAGGAAAGAAAATGTGAACCAAGAATTTTATATAGAGCCAAAATAATTTTGAGGTATAAAGACACAAACAAGATATTATCAATAGGCGATACTGTTTCCATAAGCCCTTTCTCAGGAATCTACTTAATAACAAGTCACAAACAACAAAAATGACTGGAGAGACAGTGACATAAGGACTGATGGCACTGATTATTGGTGGATGTTAGCATCACAAAAAGAACTAGACATATATACCTCCTGCCGGAAGTACACCACCTATGAAGTAGTTCTGCCCTAAACAAACAAACAAACAAACCTGAATATTCAGAAAATATGGAAGACAGAGGAACATGCTAAATGACATCATGGGGAAGCAATACTCTAGATTTATGGCAATGTAGTTTCTCAAACAAAAAAAGCTACAAAAAATGCATAAAGGAGTAATCCATATATTAAAAGCAACTTAATAATCACACAATGTAAAAACCTTATTTGGACTCAGATTCAAGAAAACAAACAATAAAAGAAAATAACCATTTGTAAGACAATTGATAATGTGAAATGAATTAATATTTCTAAATATTAATTTTTTAGATGTGATAACAGTATTGTTATTTTTTTTTTTGAAAATCCTTTTTAGAGATACATAACCAAACATTTATGGATATAATAATATGATATCCAGGGTTTGCATCAAAATACTTCTGAAAGAGTAGGTAGGTTAGCATATAGATAAAATAATTACTGAAGCTGGTGGATGAATACATAGGGGTTCCTTACATGATTCTACCAACTTTTGTCCATGTTTGACATTTTCTTTAAAAGGTTTTTTTTTTCCCTTTCTTTTTTTTTTTTTTTTTGAGATGGAGTCTCACTCTGTCATCCAGGCTGGAGTGTAGTGGCACAATCTCAGCTCCCCGCTACATCACTGAACTCCTGGGTTCACGCAATTCTCCTGCCTTAGCCTCCTGAGTAGCTGGGATTACAGGCGCCCACCACCACACCGGCTAATTTTTATATTTTTAGTAGAGATGGGGTTTCAACATGTTGACCAGGCTGGTCTTGAACTCCTGACATCAGGCGATCCACCCACCTCAGCCTCCCAAAGTGCTGGGATTACAGCCATGAGCTACCGTGCCCAGCCAAAAGATATTTTTTAAGAAAGAAAAAAACACATGGATTTAGTATTCTGATTTATTAATTTAATAAAAATTTGTAGTTTTGTAACACAACTCTAAAATATTACCCTCTCTTACCCATAGAAATTCATTTTGTTTCAACTTTTATATTTTCCAGATCACATTTTCAAAGTCTTAAAAAAAAACTGATAAAATCTGATAGAGGTCAGGTGTGATGGCTCACACCTGTAATCCCAGCATTTCGGCAGGCCAAGGGGAGGGCGGAATTGCTTGAGCCCAGGAGTTCAAGACCAGCCTGGGCTACATGGTGAAATCTTATCTCTACAAAATACGCAAAAAATGAGCTGGGCATTGTGGCACGCACCTGTAGTCCCAGCTACTCAAGAGGCTGGGGTGGGAGAATCACCTGAGCCCAGGAAGTCAAGAATGCAGTGAGCCATGATTGTCCCACTGCACTCCAGCCTGGGCATAAGAGGGAGACCCTGTCTCAAGACAAACAAACAAAACTGATAAAATTCTATCCTGACTTATCAGGTCACAGGATTACAGGTGTGGGCCACCATGCCCAGCCTTACAACTCAGTTTTGAGAATGACTATCAAATCTGGTCCACAAAGGACAATATAATTTTCGTTCAGTGATTCATCCCCATAATTTCAATTAGAGAAAGCATGAAAAAAAGACTTACCTGTTTTATGTGTGGATTCATGGCCATTTCAGTTACATTCTTCTTGGTCTCACAGAAAATAATAGCCCTCCCTTCAGACCCACTGTAGACTTGAAGGACATCTCCAATAACTGCTGGCCTCTGAGACCAATGACACTGGATGGCCAAATGCTTTGAAGAAAGAAAATACCACATTATTTGTTTCATTAAAATTATTTTAAAATATTTCTCTTGTGTATTTTTTCTATCTGGTCAAGAATTAGCCTTCCTGGGAGACTGTAAGACAAAGACTCTCCTCAACAGCACTTAAAAACAATATAGACAAATGGTCATCAATAAACTGACGAAAGAATAAACAAACTGCAGTATATTCAAACAGAATACCATTCAACAATTAAAAGAAACCAACTACTGATATACATGGAACAATATGAACCTTAAAAAAAATGCCGAATAACATCTTACAGAAAATGAGCACATACAGTATCATTCCATTTATATGAAGTTCTAGAATAGGCAAAACCAATCAATTGTGGAAGAAAAATCAAACAGTGGTTGTCTCTGAACTGGGGATACTGACTGGGACGGGGCATGAGGGAACTTTCCAGGATGATGGCAATATTCGATATGATGATAAAGGTTTGGGTTACACACATATGAATTTTTCAAAAATAGGCAAATGTACACAAGATTTTACATTTCATTGTACATAATAAAAATTATATGAATGAACCTCAAAAACATTATGCTAAGTGAATGAAACAAGACATAAAAAGTCACATATTGTATGATTACATTTACAGTCATGCGTTGCTTCATGACAGGGATATGTTCTGAGAAATGTATTGTTAGGCAGCTTCATCATTACGCAAACATCAAAGAGTGTACTTACACAAACCTAGGGTATAGCCTACTACACGCACCTAGGCTATATGGTATGTCCTATTGCTCCTAGGCTACAAACCTAAACAGCATGTTACTGTACTGAACACTGTAGGCAATGGTAAGTATGTGCGTCTCTAAACATATCTAAACATAGAAAAGGCACAGTAAGAATATGGCATAAAAGATAAAAACTGATACACCTGTATAGGACAGATTCATTTTAATCTTATGGGACCACCATCGAGCATATGCCATCATATATATGGTCCATCACTGACCAAAACATCGTTATGCAGCACATGACTGTACATGAAATATCCAAAACAGGTATATCCATACAGACAAAAAACAGACTAGTGGTTGACAGCGGATAAAGAAAGGAGGGAATGGAGGCTGGGAATAGTGGCTCACGCCTGTAATCCCAGCACTTTGGGAGGCCAAGGCCAGCGGATCACCTGAGGTCAGGAGTTCGAGACCAGCCTGGGGAACATGGTGAAACCCCATCTCTACTAAAAATACAAAAACTTAGTCATGGGCACCTGTAGTCCCAGCTACTCGGGAGACTGAGTAAGGAGAATTGCTTGAACCCGGGAGGTGAAGGTTGCAGTGAGCCAAAATTAGGCCACTGCACTCCAGCCTGGGCAACAGAGCTAAACTCTGTCTCAAAAAAAAAAAAAAAAAAAAAAAAAGGAGGGAATGGAGAGTAACTGTTTAACGGTTGTTGGGTTTCCTTCTGGGGTGATGAAAATGTTTGGAACTAGATAGAAATGATGGCTGTATACTGTAAATGTACTATATGACACTGTATACTTTAAAATGGTTAGTTTTAGTTATGTGAATTTTACCTCAATTTAAAAAACTGTAAATATGGCACTCTAGTTAAAGATATATATAGGCAGGGCGCAGTGGCTCATGCCTGTAATCCCACCACTTTGGGAGGCCGAGACGGGTGGATCACCTGAGGTCAGGAGTTTGAACCAGCCTGGCCAACGTGGTGAAACGCCATCTCTACTAAAAATACAAAAATTAGCTGGGCATGGTGGCAGACGCCTGTAATCCCAGCTACTCAGGAGGCTGAGGCAGGAGAATCGCTTGAACCCCGGAGGCAGAGGTTGCAGTGAGCTGAGACTGCGCCACTGCACTCCAGCCTGGGCGACAAGAGTGAAATTCCATCTCAAAAAAAAAAAGATATGTATGTTAAAATACTTACGGGGAGGCCAGGTACAGTGGCTCACACCTGTAATCCCAGCACTTTGGGAGCCGGAGGCAGGTGGATCACGTGAGGTGAGGACTTCCAGACTAGCCTGGCCAACATGGCAAAACTACATCTCTACTAAAAACACAAAAATTAGCCGGACATGGTGGCGCATGCCTGTAGTCCCAGCCACTCAGGTGGCTAAGACAGGAGAATCTCTTGAACCTGGAAGGTGGAGGCTGCAATGAGCTGAGATCATGCCACACTGCACTGCAGCCGGGGCGACAGAGCAAGACTCTCAAAACAAAAACAAAAACACAACACGAACAAACAAGAAAACCCACCACATCTTTGAGTGGTGTTAACAGTAAAAAAATAAGGAAAAATAAAAACCACAGGGATGCAAATCAGCAAAACAGACTGTGGGAAACTCATAAGGCAAATGAGTTTTTTTGTTGTTTTTTGAGACGGAGTCTCACACTGTTGCCCAGGCTAGAGTTCAGTGGCACGATCTCAGCTCACTGCAACCTCCGCCTCCTGGTTCAAGCGATTCTTCTTTCTCAGCCTCCCAAGTAGCTGGGACTACAGGCACGTGCCACCATGCCTTGCTAATTTTTGTATTTTTAGTAGAGACAGGGTTTCACTATGTTGGTCAGGCTGGTCTCGAACTCCTGACCTCAGGTGATCTACCATCCTCGTCCTCCCAAAGTGCTGGGATTATAGGTGTGAGCCACTGCGCCTGGCCAACAAATGAGTTTTTTCAACAGAAAATTGCAAAGAAAAAAAAAGGAACTATAGATTATAAAATGTTTAAGACGCATATCAATCAGTAGCAACGTCAAGAATTGTATTTGGATCCAGATTCAAACAAACTATTTAAAAAAGACAGCAAGGGCAATGTGCACACTAGGTATTTAATGATATTAAAGAATTACTATGCCAGGCGCAGTGGCTCACGCCTGTAACCCCAGCACTTCGAGAGACCAAGGCAGGCGGATCACTTGAGGTCATGATTTCGAAACCAGCCTGGCCAACATGGCAAAACCCAGTCTCTACTAAAAATACAAAAAATTAGCCAGGTGTGGTGGTGGGCGCCTGTAATCCCAGCTACTCAGGAGGCTGAGGCAGGAGGAATCACTTGAACCAGGGAGGTGGAGGTTGCAGCGTGCTGAGATCACACCATTGCACTGCAGACTAGGCAACAAGAGTGAAATTCCATCTCAAAAAAAATTACTGTTTTTCTTCTACTGATAATGACTGTGGTTTTAAAGAGCCCTTAGTTATCATTTTGGAAATACATACAATTACTTGAAGATAAAATGATGACTGGGATTGTTTCAAATGCAGGGGTGAAGAAAAGATCATTGTTAAAGACTGGTAATAGGTAATGGGTATATCATGTTCTTTATACTATTCAATCTTTCTATTCAATTTACTATTCAATTTTATATGTTTGAAAATGTTCTTATCAACTGTTTTTTACTATACATTTTACATTCTTACTGCAAAACTTTCAACCATTACAAAATAAAAAAGCTTCTTTTTTCTTATTCTTTTTTTTTTTTTTTTGAGACAGAGTCTCAATCTGTTGTCCAGGCTGGAGTGCAGTGGCGCAATCTCAGCTCACCGCAACTATCACCTCCTGGGTTCAAGCAATTCTCCTGCCTCAGCCTGCCGAGTAGTTGGGACTACAGGCGTGCGCAACTATGCCCAGCCAATTTTTGTATTTTTAGTAGAGAAAGGGTTTCATTATGTTGGCCAGGCTGGTCTCGAACTCCTGACCTCGTGATTCACCCGCCTCGGCCTCCCAGAGTGCTGGGATTACAGGCATGAGCTACCACGCCCGGCCCACAAAGCTTCTTTTTACCATCCAGCATGCCCCTTCCCAGAAGTAATCATTATCTGATGTTTATTCTTTCAACCTGTGTTTGTATATTTACATAAATGCCTAAGGAATCCATTTAGCACTATTTATTTTTTAAAATAGTGTAATTTTTGTATACATCATTGTATAATTTGGTTTTTATCACTGATTGTTTTTAACCACTGCATTACATTCTGCAGATACTACTATTCACTTAGTCACCTAGTCTTTCCTACATACACATATATATGCATCTATTAAATAGAAAGATGACATGTTACCTAGTTGCCTGTCATAAATACGGTAAATATTACCTTTAGTTCTTTTTTCTTTTTTTTTTTTTTGAGATGTTGTCTCACTCTGTCTCCAGACTGGAGTGCAGTGGCACGATCTTGGCTCACTGCAACCTCCGCCTCCCGGGTTCAAGCAATTCTCCTGCCTTAGCCTCCTAAGTAGCTGGGATTACAGGTGCGGGTCACCACACCCAGCTAGTTTTTGTATTTTTAATAGAGACGAGGTATCGCCATGTTGGCCAGGATGGTCTCGATCTCCTGACCTCGTGATCTGCCCGCCTCAGCCTCCCAAAGTGTTCAGAATACAGGCGTGAGCCACCGCACCCAGCCTTTTTTTTCTTTTATTTTTTTTTGAGACAGAGTCTCGCTCTGTCACCCAAGCTGGAGTGCAGTGGCGCGATCTTGGCTCACTGCAAGCTTCACCTCCCGGATTCACGCCATTCTCCTGCCTCAGCCTCCCGAGTAGCTGGAACTACAGGCGCCCGCCACCATGACCGGCTAATTTTTTGTATTTTTAGTAAAAATGGAGTTTCACCGTGTTAGCCAGGATGGTCTCGATCTCCTGACCTCATTATCCGCCTGCCTCAGCCTCCCAAAATGCTGGGATTACAGGCGTAAGCCACCACGCCCGGCCCTAATTCTTTTTTTAAACATACCATTGGTTTAACTTTCATGGAGTCAAAATTATAAACCTTTTCCTTTATGGATTCTTCTTCTGACTTCTGTGGTTTTTTTTTTTTTTTTTGAGACAGGGTCTCCCTCTGTCACCCAGGCTGGAGTACGGTGGCGCAATCTCAGCTTACTGCAACCTCCACCTCCTGGGTTCAAGTGATTCTCATGCCTCAGCCTCCCAAATAGCTGGGACTACAGGGGCCCGCCACCAGGCCGGCTAATTTTTCTATTTTTAGTAGAGACAGAGTTTCACCATATTGGCCAGGCTGGTCTCACACTCCTGACCTCAAGTGATCTGCCCGCCTTGGCCTCCCAAAGTGCTGGGATTACAGGCGTGAGCCACCATGCTCAGCCCAACTTCTATGTTAGAAAAGCATTCCCTTTCCTGAAATCAAAAAACTCTTTATTCACCTACGTCTGCTTTAAGTTATTTTACAGCTTAATTTTTTAAATCTTTGAGAAATTTTTTTGGTTTGGGGGAATGGGATGAGGATCTATCTTTTTTTCACCTCAGCTTTAACAAATTATCTCCGCACTATTCTTTTCTAGTCAATATAAATCGCCTTCTTTGTCACGTTGTAAATATTTTGTTTTTTGTTTTTGTTTTTGAGCGGCTTTAAAGAGAGAAAGAAAGAAACACTTCAAATCTGTCTCTATGGCTGCTTGTGTGTTTCCTATTAGGACTTGCCTATTCACGTGCTTTTTTTCCCCCTATTTATTCTATTCTGCTACTCAGTCTCAGACTATAAAAATATATAGGTGTCTTACTAAGAGCAGAAAAGGAAGATTAGGCATGAAGAGGTACCCAAAACTTAAATTTAGCTTCAACAAATGTCAAAAGTAAATACCAACTAAAAGCTAAAATCTATCATGCTAGAAAGCTACTTACTTCCACAGTAGTTGCAGCCTTTTGAGTCATTTTTCCAACAAGGTCAACCTGTTCATATCTGGATTTCATGTATTTTTTTGCAACTTTGTATACCCACTGTGGGCAAGTTGCAGAAAAAAGTAAAGTCTGAGGATTGTCTTCAGAATCTTAAATAAACAAAAAGAATTCAAATGTTTTCTTAATTTCCCACGATGTAGCCCGCTCTTAAAAATCCTCCCAAGCTTCAAAAAAATAATGAAAAATGTAAAACTTGGGGTGAATTTTTAACACACAGACTTCATTGCAATTATTAAAACTTTCAACTTGCAAAACTGGGGGACAATATGAAGAGAACTGAACCCAAAAGGAAAGTGAGAATTTAAGCAGGAACAATGAACAAAGAAATCAATAAAATGAGTTAGTAAATCTAACTACTGACTATAAAAAAATAGAATAAAGCACAGAAAGCTAAGAAAATAGTTAAAATGATGCTATCATACTTTCTTTTTCAAGGACAGAACAGATACCAAATTATTTTAGTTTTGTTAGAACGCAGGGGACACTGCAATAAAAATTATTAAATAAAAACTCGTTTGCATTTAAGATCGAACAATAATTGCTAATGTGCTTATTTTGAATTAGGATATACCAGTTTTGTAGGATTCATGAATAATATCTTCAACTTGTTCAGCGAAACCTAAATCTAACATCTGATCCACTTCATCAAGCACAACATGTCGCAGTTTAGAAAGATCCAATCGGCCACTCTGCAGATGGTCTTTGATACGACCAGGTGTTCCAACCAAGATGTCAATACCATTTCGAATATGATTAACTGTGAGAAGAGAGAAATGCCACCAATATGTAAAATTCAAACTTTCACATTATTTATTTAAATATGAGTATCAAATATGCCTTTGCACGTCTATCAAACATATTTACTCACTTTGGCTTTGATATGATGTTCCACCATAAAAACACGCCACGCTGAGTTTCCTAGTTATATCTTTGAAGTCTTTGGCTACTTGGTTTGCCAGTTCCCTTGTTGGAGCCAAAACAAGTACCTGAGCAAGAGGTTTAAAAAACAAAAAGATACTTTTCTAAAGACATATCTAAATTAAAACCAAGAAGACTTTTTTTAGGTGCATTTAAAACCAGGAATCTCAACATTAATGTCGAAGTATTTAAAGACACATCACAAATAGCAAAAGGAACAGCAGCATGTATTTATTACATTCCCCCCTTACTTCCTTCAGGTCTCTTCAGTGAGGTTCCCAAGCCCATTTTCATATCCCCCTGCCCCTCTTTATCATTTCTCCTCAGCACTTAAACCACCTAAGATACTGATATTTTACTTATTTGCTGATTGTCTATCTCACCCAATAAAATGTAAGCTCCATGAAGGCAGGAATTTATGTCAGGTTGGGTTACTGTATTCCTTACACTTCAAACAGTGCCTGGTACAGTACAGGAAACTCAAAAATGTTAAACGAATGAATGTTCACCATGTGCTAGGAACTAATGCTTTACAGGAATTATCTAATTTGATTCTCATAAAAACCCATGAGTGGCATTATGCCACCATTTTCGTAAATGAGAGACTTGTGTCTCAGAGAATTAAAGTCTTGCCCAAAATCAAACACCTAGAAATGGCGGAGCTGGAATCTCCAGTAACATCTTTCTAATACAAAAGCTTTTTAAGGCAGCTTTGGGGCCAGGCGTGGAGGCTCACACCTGTAATCCCAACACCTTGGGAGGCCAAGGTGGAAGGATCACTTGAGGCCAGGAGTTCAAAACCAGCCTGGACTACAGAATGAGACCCCAACTCTACAAAAAATAAAAAATTAGCCAAGTGTGGTGGCACCTGCCTGCAGTCCTACCTACTGGAGAGACTGAGAGGAAGAGAGAATTGCTTGAGCCCAGGAGTTCATGGCTACAATGAGCCATGATCACCCCACTGTACTCCATCCTGGGCAACAGAGAGAGACCCTGTCTTTAAAAAAAACAAAAAACAAAACAAAACAAAAAAAAAGCAGTGTTGAGATTATATCCTATGTCCTATTTCAGTCTTTTCCTAATTTCACCCGAAAAACATAACTCTCCAAAAATATTTATCCTGTAAGTCAACACAGCCAACCTGATTTGGGATAGCTGATCCAAGACTATTATGATTTAATTATATTTATGTATGTATGTTAATTTGCTCTTATAATACCACTCAGGAGTCTTACAAAGAACAAATTACTTTTAGTCATACAGTTGTTCATATTATGATGCTGATTTTTTTCTTCACTTTTACAAACCTTAAGTGCACACAGCTTTTTAGGTCAAATTTTAGGCTTACATTTTACTAGTCCTCTCTGTTGGTTGATTTTACATTTATAAAATAAGATGTCTAGTACCCCAATAATATATAAACTAGCAGTATCATTTCTATAATACTCTTCTTAAAAAGTCCATCTGTGTGTGCTCACTTCAGCAGCACATACGCTAAAATTGGAATGACACAGGGAAGATTAGCATGACCCCTGCACAAGGATGACATGAAAATTCATGACGTATTCCATACTAAAGGGAAAAAAAGGTAACACTGAAATAAATGATGCTGAACATTTACTGAATGACAAATAAATGAACACCTCTTTAGAAAATTCATTTATTTAAAAGCAAAGGTCAGGACTGAAGAAAAGAGAAGAAAAGGGTCAACTAAATATAAAAACTGTAAATAAGATATACCGGCTTTATAATTCATGAAATTATCAAAGACATCTATGGATCCATACACATCACATTCATATGCAAAAACTACTTCACTTTAACTTTGCTTGAAATTTCTTTTTGTGAAAAACAACATATTTTTGTTTTATGCCACAGCGCTAACTTTTCTATTTTGGGGGTACTAGAACTTAGGACTCGTGTAACTTTCTTTCCCTTTCTGTTAGAGTAACATTTAAAGCTTTTACCCCCTATAACGATTACCTTTGGTGAGCGGCTTTTTTTAATTGTTTCTTGATTTCTTTGGAGTCTTTCAATTAAGGGGATGGCAAAAGAGAATGTCTTTCCTGTTCCTGTCCGTGCTTGAGCTATTAAATCTTTTCCTTCATATACAGGACCAAAGGTCTTAACTTGAATAGGAAAGAGATATGTTACCCCTCGACCTGTAAAATGAGATTTAATTAAAATACTTCTTTACGACTAGCATTAGGAAAAAATATATTCATTTGAAAATGACAATCATAATTCTTCTATGTCTGCCTAAAGACATGCCACCTGGTGACACAGTTATTCCTACCACAAACAAGCATTACTAAAAAATTAGTCTAAACTTTTGACGAATGCATATAAATCTTAAAGCTAAAAACAAGGCAGAATATTGAAAAGGATGATGTAAAAGTAAGTGCAATTAAAGAAGAGCTACTTCTCTATGCTTTTTATGTTCTCCTTTTGGTCAGAAAAGGCACAGGAGTTTTACAAAATCTAGTGATAGATTTTTAATTGCATATCCATTAAAACTGCAAACCTTTGGGCCAGCCGTGGTGGCTCACGCCTGTAATCCCAGCACTTTGGTAACCCAACTGGAACAGATCAGGAGGTCAGGAGTTTGAGACCAGCCTGACCAACACAGTGAAACTGCGTCTCTACTAAAAATATGAAACTTAGCCGGGCATGGTGGCACACGCCTATAATCCCAACTACTCAGCAGGCTGAGGTAGGAGAATCGCTTGAACCCAGGAGGCGGAGGTTGCAGTGAGCCAAGACTGCCCCACTGCACTCCAGCCTGGGCAACAGAGCGAGGCTCTGTCTCAAAACAACAACAATAACAACAACAACCAAACTGCATACCTTTCAGAAGCTTTATAGTCTCTTCAGAAATAGGAAAATTGGAGAAGGCTCCTTCTTTCTGTTCACGTGTTAAGGTCTGTAAAAATGAAATCAATGGCCTAAATAATTTATACTCAACTCTTCCTCATTTACTGTTTTTAATTTTTTACAGATTAACTTACAAGGAAAATTAGTGGAACACTTTTTTTTTTTTTTTGAAACAGGGTCCCACTCTGTTGCCCAGGTTGGAGTGCAGTGGCACCATCACAGCTCACTGTGGCCTCAACCTCCGGGCTCAAATCCTACCAACCTCAGCCTCCCAAGCAGCTAGGACCACAGGCGCATGCCACCATGCTCACTTAGTTTTTTATTTTTTGTAGAGACAGGGTCTCACCATGTTATCCAGGCAGATCTTAAACTCCTGGCCTCAAGAGATCCTCCTGGCCAGGTGCGGTGGCTCATGCCCGTAATCCCAGCACTTTGGGAGGCCAAGGCAGGTGGATCATGTGAGGTCAGGAGTTCAAGACCAGCCTGACCAACATGGAGAAACCCTGTCTCTACTAACAATACAAAATTAGCCAGGCATGGTGGCGCATGCCTGTAATCCCAGCTACTCGGGAGGCTGAGGCAGGATAATTGCTTGAACCCAGGAGGCAGAGGTTGTAGTGAGCCGAGATTGCACCATGGCACTCCAGCCGGGGCAACAAGAGCGAAACTCTGTCTCAAAAGAAGAACAAGAAAAAAAAAAAGATCCTCCTACCTTGGCCTCCAAACTGCTGGGATTACAAGCATAAGCCATTATGCCCAGCCAAAAAGGTTATTTATTCATCTAAATCATACAGATGTAGACAAAATTATAAAGATTAACACAAGCCTATAAACTAAGCTAAAAGAAAGTATATAATGAGGAATGTAAAGTTTTTCTGAAAATAAGTTAAAAATTTATTCTACAGCGTTTGAAAGCTTATTTAGGTTGCTAATACAAGAGAAAGTTACCGTAAGCTTGAAGATTTCTTTAACATATATACAAGTTACCATGAGATTATCATTTAACATTTATTGAAAACTTTGTATACTAATGTGCACATAGAACAAAAACAGTGTGTCTACCCAGTAAGCTTTATTGTTCATGTGTTTAAAGAAACACACACTAACAATTTTCAAACTTGGAATTAGATAAAAAATAATTTCAAATTCAAATGGCATGCCATTTAAACAAACTTCAATGCTGCTGTTACCTTTTTATGATAAAAAAAATTATAAAAATAATACACTGTCGGCCAGGCGTGGTGGCTCATGCCTGTAATTCCAGCATTTTGGGAGGCCAAGGTGGTAGGATCACTTAAGCCCAGGAGTTCAAGACTAGCCTGAGCAATACAGTGAGACCTTGTCTCTATAAAAAACAAACAAACAAACAAAAATAAACAATACACTGTCATTGTAGAAACTTTTGAAACTGGCAGAGCCCAGTGGTTTATGTCTGTAATCCCAGCACTTTGGGAGGCCAAGGTGGGTGGATTACTTGAGCCCAGGAGTTCAAGACCAGTCTGGGCAACATAGTGAATGAAACACCATTTCTCCCAAAAATACACAAATTAGCCAGGCATGGTGCTACACGCCTATAGTCCCAGCTACTCAGGAGGCTGAGGTGGGAGGATCACCTGAGCCCAGGGAGGATGAGGCTGCAGTGAGCCATGATCACACCACTGCACTCCATCCTAGGTGACAGAGTGAGACCCCATCTCAAAAAAAAAAAAAAAAAAAAAGGAAATTTTAAAAACTACAGAGGAAACAGAAACAAATTTAAAAATTATTTATAATCCACTCAGCTAAAGCCATATTTGAAACATACTCCTCCAGTCTTCACTCTATGCACATAAAATTTTTTAAATAGAAATAAAATCACACTGTATATACCATTTTATAATCTTTTTTTTTTTTTTTTTTTTTTTGAGATGGAGTTTCGCTCTTGTTGACCAGGCTGGAGTGCAATGGTGCAATCTCGGCTCACTGCAACCTCCACTTCCCAGGTTCAAGCGATTCTCCTGCCTCAGCCTCCCAAGTAGCTGGGATTACAGGCATGCGCCACCACACCCAACTAATTTTTTTGTATTTAGTAGAGACAGGTTTCACCATGTCGGTCAGGCTGGTCTTGGAACTCCTGATCTCAGGTGATCCACCTGCCTCAGCCTCCCAAAGTGCTGGGATTACAGGCGTGAGCCACTGCGCCCAGCCTATTTTTTTCTTTTAACAAGATACAATGACTACCTTTTCTATTGTACACCCTTTGGGATAGCTGTATTCTATTATACAGCTATAGTATGTTTTATTTAAACCAAATGTCTACTATCAGACATTTAGGATGTTTAAATATTTTCCTATTATCAACAATATTACTATGATAAGAGTACTTATTCATACAGCTCTGCACACCTCTTCATCATCTCCTTAGGATAAATTCCTTTAAGTAGAATTCCTGAACTCTCATGTGATCTAAACAAAATAATAAACTGTTAAACCTATTATAATACAGATTTTACCAGGCAAAATCCCACCAAAGTGAGAAGCAAGCCATACATTCCACTGCTAGAAATACAGATTTAAAGGACCTTATTTAGATCAACAAACACATGTGCTTCCTGCCAAACAGCAAATTCACAAATTAAAAAAAAAAAGGCCATAACACAAGGATTCAACACTTTTCCCCAAAGATTATGCATTAAGCTCAAATGTATATGAATATCAGCAATTATCGTATTTATATAATATAAAGAATTACTAATTATCAGCCCAGTGTGGTGGCTCATGCCTGTAATCCCAGCAATTTGGGAAGCCGAGACAGGTGGATCACTTTGAGGTCAGGAGTTCAAGACCAGCCTGATCAACATGGAGAAACACCGTCTCTACTAAAAATACAAAAATTTGCCAGGCATGGTGGTGCGTGCCCGTAATCCCAGCTACTTGAGAGGCTGACTCAGGAGAATCGCTTCAACCCGGGAGGCAGAGGTTGCCATGAGCTGAGATTGTGCCATTCCAGTCCAGCCTGAGAAACAGAGAGAGACTCTGACTCAAAAAAAAAAAAAAAAGAAAAAAGAAAAGAAATTCAAGTAGATAACCATCAAGCAATTCCGAATAACTTTAGGAACCCAAATGTACAGAAAAGGTTTAAATTTAACTATTGCTCCCACCTCGCCCCAAGAAAAAGGCCATACAGTGAAATAAACAAGGGCCAAAGGAAAAAAGGCTCAGGCTTCACCTGTACAGACTCTAGTGCAACTAAGAATACTAGACACTAATCAAGAAATGTTATAGAATCAATTCTAATTAGCCTAAAAAAATTCAAATCAACCTATAGTTCAACAACAATGTCAAATGCAAAATAAAAAGCTTCCATACCTCCTCTAGTTTATTATCACTTGATTTATGAGTAGAAGTATCTAAAGATGATACTCGCTTTGATTTTTTTTCATATTCATCTATATCTCCATTTGGTAGATCTTTTCTTCTTGACTTATGAGATTTGGAGAATTCATCTGAAAGTCTATTAAATCCTTCTTCAGTGTCTCCATTTAGCTTCTCTTTCATTTTAGATTTTTTGGCCTTGGGAGCATCCAGGTCATCTGTAACACCATTTTCTCTTGTTTCTGATTTCTCATCCGAGTCATAATGGTGCCTTGACTTCCTTCTGTCACTCTGTGAACAAACAAAGAAGCAATGACAAGATGGTCAGAGGTTTTCTTTTAAGACTCTAGAGAAGTTAGAGCATGACTCCCCCACCAGTTCAGCTCAATCTACAGTTACTTTGAAAACCTGCCTGGTAGAAATCCAGACTGCTTACTAATGCCAAGCTCTAAGCCTCAACTGTTGCTATCTTTCTCATCCCCTTCCTAGCATTCTCAAGACTCAGCCTCTAGCCCCTCTCTAATCCCATCATAAGATTTAAGGAAAATTAAAACGGTTTCTCCTCAGGGAAAGAAAGACAACCCCAGAATTATAAATTACTAAACAAGCAAAAACTTCCAACATTTCCAAGAGAAAAAAAAATTAATACTTATTGAATACCTACCCAGCACTGTGTAATGTGTTTTCAGCTTATCTTGTTTAAATCTTCATAACAACCCTATAAGGGAAGTACAGGTCCATAATCCCTTATCCGAAATTGCGATATCCATAAAGCTCTGAAAACCGAAAGTTTTTTTTGTAACTTATTTGGAGGCAAAACCTTACCTGAACTCATTTGATGGCAAAATTTAACTTGAACTAACGTGAGGCTCTTTATAGTCTTCATTTATCCTGCTTAGTATGACCACTCATATTTAATATTAAGGTGTTTGATTACAGGTTTCAGGCCCCAAACCCTACCGGGGTGCTACCTTTCTAAAAATCCCCAGAATTCTGAATTCCAAAATACAACTAGTTCCAAGGATTTTGGATAAGGGATAGTGAACCTGTATTACCTTTGCCATTTTATTTAATTATTTATTTATTTTTGAGATAGAGTTTTGCTCTGTCACCCAGGCTGGAGTGCAGTGGCGCAATCTTGGCTCACTACAGCCTCCGCCTCCCGGGTTCAAGTGATTCTCCTGCCTCAGTCTTCCAAGTAGCTGGGACTACAGGCATACGCCACCATGCCCAGCTAAATTTTTGTATTTTTAGTAGAAACGAGGTTTCACCCTGTTGGCCAGACTGGTCTCAAACTCCTGACCTCAGGTGATCCACCAGCCTCGGCCTCCCAAAGTGGTGGGATTACAGGCGTGAGCCACTGTGCCCAGCCACCTTTGCCATTTTATAGACAAGGAAACAGAAGTTGTAAGAGGTTAAGCAACTTGCCAAAGATCCACATGTGGGATTTCCTGCAGCTATAAGTACTAGAAACTGAATCTAGCACTGCCTGACTTGAAAGCCCATTCTCTTTTCACATTATGCTTCCTCCCTGCACTTTGACAATTCACAGGCTAAAGGAAAACAAAAAGAAACTATATAATTCATATAGAAGTCCAATTGTTATACTTCCACGGAAGGACAGTAATCCTGGATTTTTTTTTTTTTTTTACGTTTTAAATTCAGTTAATTTTTTTAAAAAACACTATTTTTCAACTTCAATTTTAAAATCTCAAACTAGTGGCCAGTGTTGTGATATTTACAGAACACAATAAATGATTTGGGAATTTAGGACTTTAGCCTGGTGGCTAGCCGTGGTGGTTCACGCCTATAATCCCAGCACTCTGGGGGGGCGAGGTTGGGCGGATCACCTGAGGTCAGGAGTTCAAGACCAGCCTGGCCAACATGGGGAAACCCCGTCTCTACAAAAATACAAAAGTTAGCTGCATGTTGTGGTACACGCCTGTAATCTCGGCCACTCTCAAAAAAATGAATTACCTGGTCAAATATTCAAAATAGATAGCAGTAATTAGTGATAGTAAAAACTACTACCACCAAAATGTTCACCATAACTTACACAACTTTTAGAGTTATTTCACATATAATTTTCTCATCCATAAAATTGGAATTGCTGTGAGAATTGAACAATATGTGTGAAAATGCTTTGCAGTTACACATTACATCATATGATCTGCAGTTAACTACACTAGACCACATCTTTCCAAACCAATAGGTTCTACAGAAAAATAAGATTATTTATCGATTCAGCCTTGGGGCTTGAATTGCTTCTGGGCCCTGCACTACAGAGAGAAGTTGAAGCAAGGCAAAAGGAGACCTCTCGGTCTAAGCCCAGTAACATCTCAAGGTGATTAAATAAATAATTCCACTTTAGACCCACAATGCTTGGCACTCTCCGTCTACTTGGTTTCAGTTACACTTTATATTCCCTTCTTACCTCTATCTTCTTACCTCTACCACATATCTTCTTCAATGGTTCCTCTCCTTCCTCCTCCAGTGGATGCTCCTTGAGTATCTGTTCTCTATGTTCACTTTTAGTACTATTTTCATGGCTCAATACGTACTTCCAGACTCCCTTCCTCACCTACATTCCAACTCTAAGAATCTAAGCACCAGCTCCATATCTCAACACGTCCGAACCAAAGTTATCCTCACCTCAATACCAGACCACTATTCACTTCAGTTTTGTTTTTTTGAGACAGGTCTTACTCTGTCTCCCAGGCTGGAGTGCAGCAGCTCAACCATGGTTCACTGTGGCCTCAACCTCCCTGGCTCAAGTGATCCTCCCACCTCAGTCTCCTGAGTAGCTAAGTCTACAGGCACGAGCTACAACGGCTGGCTAATTTTTTTTTTTTTTTTTGAGACGGAGTTTCGCTCTTGTTGCCCAGATTGGTGTGCAATGACGTGATCTTGGCTCACTGCAACCTCTGCCTCCTGGGTTCAAGCAATTCTCCTGCCTTAGCATCCCGAGTAGCTGGGATTACAGGCGTCTGCCACCACGCCCAGCTAATTTTTTTTTTTTTTTTTCTGAGACGGAGTCTTGCTCTGTCACCCAGGCTGGAGTGCAATGGTGCGATCTCGGCTCACTGCAACCTCTGCCTCCCAGGTTCAAGCAATTCCTGTATCTCAGCCTCCCGAGTAGCTGGAATTACAGGCACGCGCCACCACACCCAGCTAATTTTTGGGTTTTTTGGGTTTTTTTTTTAAATGGAGTCTCGCTGTGTCACCCAGGCTGCAGTGCAGTGGTGCGATTTCAGCTCACTGCAACCTCAGCCTCCCGGGTTCATACGATTCTCTTACCTCAGCCTCCTGAGTAGCTGGGATTACAGGCATGTGCCACCATGCCCAGCTAATTTTTGTATTTTTAGTAAAGACGGAGTTTCACCATGTTGGCCAGGCTGGTCTCGAACTCCTGACCTTAGGTGATCCACCTGCCTCAGCCTCCAAAAATGCCGGCATTACAGACGTGAGCCACCGCACCTGGCCTTTTTTGGTATTTTTAGTAGAGATGGTGTTTCACCATGTTGGCCGGGATGGTCTCGATCTCCTGACCTCACGATCCACCCGCCTCAGCCTCCCAAAGTGCTGGGATTACAGGAGTGAGTCACCATGCCCGGCCCAATTTTTATATTTTTAGCAGAGATGGGATTTAACCATGTTGGCCAGGCTGGTCTTGAACTCCTGACCTCAGGTGATCTGCCTGCCTCAGCCTCCCAAAGTGCTGGGATTACAGGCATGAGCCACCGCACCCGGCTAATTTTTTTATTTTTTGTAGAGACAGGGTCTCTACAAAACTCTACCTAAACTTCTGGGCTCAAGCAATCCTCCCATCTCAGCGTCCCAAAGTGCTAGGATTACAGGCATGAGCCACTGCAGCTAGCCACCAGACCTGTATTCTAATGCTCTATTTCTTTTAGTTGGTATTCCAATTCGTTTCCAAATCTCTGGTTATCTTTCATAGTTAAAGGGCAGTCAATATGTATTTCTGGAGAATTTACAATGTGAAAGCCACCAATTTAAAACAACATAGTGAAACATAAGGATGGATAAAGATTTGGTCACTTTCCTCAAGAACTTTTGGGAAATATGTGGGATACATACAGGAAAAATGAACTAATTTTATATAGACATGCATAACAAATGTCAATCAAATGATGAAGATAGCCACTGAAACTAGATAACGGTACATTCGGGTTGTCAGGAAAGACATAAACTAGGCCTTGACCGCTGGACAGGATTGGGATGCAAAAGACAAGAATTTCAAAAGAAGCCTTTTTTAAAATACCTGCTTGGTTTTCTGCTTACACTCTAGGTAACTTCAGTAGTCAAATTCACAGAGCGAAAGTAGAATGGTAGTTGCCGGGAGTGGAAGGAGAGAGGAATGAGAAGTGAGTGTTTAATGGGCACAGAGTTTCAGTCTGGGACAATGAAAAGTTCTGGAGATGGATGATGGTGACAGCTGCAAAACGATGTAAATATACTTAATGTCACAGAGCTATATACTTAAAAATGGTTAAAATGATAAACGTTATGTGTATTTTAGCACAATAAAAGTGTTAGCTGAAATGGCAAGTTTACCTTAGTGATAAGGTCAGAGAGGTAGATTCTGCTTTCTAAGGCTATACAAAATAAGTCTCATTCTTTTGTCGAATGTCAGCCTTCGAATACTGCCACCTTAGCCTCTTCAGCTGATTTCTTTTTTCCAGGTCAAATGTCTCCAGTAATAATTTTACCTGGGCATTTTTTCAGCACCTTGTGATCCTCTGAGTGTTTCAGGATGTTTTTTCTTTTCCTTTTTTTTTTTTTTTTTTTTTGGAGGGCAGGGGGCTGGGAGGAGGAAAGACTACAACTCCTCTACAGGCTCCTTGAGAGCAGAGACCATTTCTTTACTTATTTAGTTTAACCTCCTTGGTACTCAGCAAAGAGTATGGTACAAATTAGGTTCAATAAACACCTGCGGATTGAATGAAAATACTGACAGTAAAGGCTATTAATAATGCAACCCACACGATCTCCATCACTGACAAATCCTGGCAAGTCTCAGTGACACTTTTCCTTAAGCCTCTACAGACTAGTTATTGAGGTCTGTAAACCTAAGATCGCTTTCCCCAGGATTCTTGCACAGGGGACGGGGTGACAGAAGCAACACATATTCAAAGCAATCATTTTTTCTTAATCATCTTCTAAGAGGGCCAATGAAAACGAAATGGCAAGCGTCACTGCTTCAGGAGAGAAAGAACAGATTCCATGGTGATGGGAGCTTGAGTCTGCCCATCTGAGATTCAGGCGCCAACGGGAAGGGCTGAGGGGCCACGCGGAGGAGAGGCCCAAAGCCCAGGGCCATCTTTCTCCAGGTCGGGAGGGTGGAGGTGGAAACGGTCCCTGAGCGACCCCAGAGGGCCGAGGGCGGCGCGAAGGGAGGCCCTCGGATGCTCCGGCCCGGTTCTGACAGGCCATCATCAGGGACAGACAGTTCCCCTCCCCGCCCAAGCCGGCGCAGCCCAAAAGGAGGCGCGGCCCATGCTCAGCGCACCTTTTGCCTCTCCTTCTTCTGGCTCTCGGACTCCTCCAAGGGTGCTTCCAGCTCCATAATGTCCCCCCAGAGGAGTTTCCCAGGCATTACTGGCCACCGCCGCCTCCCTCCGGGCACAGTGGCCACAACCACCTACGGGCAGCGACAGCGTGAAAGGAAGCGGGGGCAAGGCGGCCGCCCGGCCTTGGCCATGCGTCACTTCCGGGACACGCACCGCACGGCGGGGAAAAATAATCCCGGATACTCTCGGTTTAAGACCTTCCATTGCGCCGCAACCTCTCAACCAATGAGTGTGAGAGATATCAACGGGCCCGCCCTTGTTCTGAAGTGATTGGTTACTAGAGTAAAACCCTGGCCAATCTCCATAAAGGAAGCATGCACTGATTAACATAAATAGTTCGGTTTATCTTCCCCTCCCCCACTCCGAACGGGTCTCCTCGGCCTCGCAGAGCCTTTTGGGGGCTTCCCAGTACGCACTGCTAGGGCTGGGAAGCCCTTCAACGGCGGTAGACAGGGTCCGGCGCGCGCTGGGCGGGTGCGTGGGCAGGCCCATGCCGAGGCCAGTGGGCAACGCCGCGCGCCGCCTCGCCATTTGCAGCCGGAAGCTGAAGCCCTCCATCCCGCCCATTGCGGGGGAGATGTTAACGACCAACAGCTTCGCGCGAGGCCACAGGCCTGGCGTCGGTGGAGAGGGGCTTCGCGCAGTTTGGGGTGGGCCAGATGGGCCGGAGGTGTAGCCAGGAACGGACAGATGTCCGTCTCTTAAGTCTTAGGTTTTAATCGTGAAGCTGATCCCTGGTTCATTGTGATCCTTCTCACGCTGTCCATTTGACATAAGAAACCCGAGAAAGGAATGTACTTGTCTGAAGTCCCACAGTCTGTTAGTGGCACAGTCAGGACTAGAGAATTTAGCTCCTGAAGCCGAGATCAATGCTCTTTCTGCCACATCAGCCTGAGAACTTTGAGTTTTGCAGTGTTTTGGGGAAGATGCTCCCGTGAAACAATGAACAGGAAAAACCTGAAGAAGCCTCACATTTTCTGCTAGCGAGAAAAGCCAAAATGTCTTCCACAGATTATCTATTTGCAATGAATAAAAAAGGATTTAATTTTAGTGATGGAGATTAACTGCCCGTGAATCACCACCTTACACAAAACTGAAACCTTTGACAATACAAAGGGTAACTTCCTTAGTGTTTCTATACCTTTGCTTACTATCACCGAGGCTAGTTGGCTTTTCACAGCCATTTCTTCATCTCTTCATGATCCTTGCGACCCAGCTACTCTACCCAATGGAGACACAGGGCTACTCTCACAAACCACTTGATAACGTCTAGCACACCAGCCTTAAAACCTAAGCATCAAACTGTGTCCTAGCAAAATTACAAATTGTTACATGTCGTGGAGTTTGGGAATTGGTCCTGAATAGCTGGAACCACAAATGTTAAATCTGTGATTGCTTCAAGCCTTCTGCATAACTACGGCTTGGCCTGAAGGCAAGGGCTGTATGTTTGCATGTAACTTTATGGATTCAATACTTAGAAACACAAGGAGTGTTCAGCTATTGATGACGGAGAAATCCACCTCTCTTCCTAGGTTATGAGAATAGCTATGCATCTCTAGATCTGCGGTTTTCCACATCCTTTTGTCCTAATCCCTCAGTCCACTCCCAATTCTACCATAGTAGGGTCTTTATAGCCCTACAACAGGGTATGATGATGTGCATAAAAACACAGTGTAGATATGGCTAAGAATGCCGCACGTAAAATTGGGATAAAAGGAACAGATGTTATTGTCTTGTGGTTGAAGGTTAATAACAGCTGAAGTAAAAGTTGAGCTCCTGAGCACTCTTTGGCATTCATTTGTATGTCAGAGGTCCTAAGAGCGGGCCTGAAAAAAAAGAAAGGAGTAGACTGTTCAAATCTCCCTATTCAAGTGATTAACAAGTATACGAGTGTTTTAGAATGACCTTCTGTGACTTGCAACACTACAGACTCTGCCTTTCTAAGCCCTAAATTCACTGAACCAAATCTCTGGCTGCTGTCTGTGTCAGATGGAAAGGGCAAGTATAAACCGATGTGTCAGTAATTTGACCAAGGAGTGGCTTAGCTGAAAAAAATATGTACCACATTACACATGTGTTCTCCGGGGATATCATTTTTGCCTCAATCAACTAGAAAACGTGGGAACGGGATGCAGGAGTGGAGAACTTTGTTTTCTTCATATTTGCTCTGTCTGTAAATCTCAAGAGATTGTGTCTGATGAGATTTGGGGTTAGGGGGAGGCATACTGTGCATGAATAATTAAAATGCACAATAATTCAAGATACAATCTTATTAGAACATCTTTATTTTCCAAACATCTTACCAGAGTCACTGATGTACTTTCTTTTACAACACTTAAGAGTTGGGTGCTTCAGTTGCTACTCCTGTTACAAGGTCCTATAAAGATTTCCCTTGCCCTTTGCCTCAGCTTGTTTAAACTGACCATTAAGATATAAAAAGAAAAGGGCCGGGAGCGGTGGCTCACGCCAGCACTTTGGGAAGCCAGGGTGGGCGGATCACCTGAGGTCAGGAGTTCAAGACTAGCCTGACCAACATGGAGGAAACCCATCTCTACTAAAAATAGAAAATTCGCGGGGCGTGGTGGCACATGCCTGTGATCCCAGCTACTCAGGAGGCTGAGGCAGGAGAATCGCTTGAACCCGGGAGGAGGAGATTGCGGTGAGCCGAGATCAAGCCATTGCACTCCAGCCTGTGCAACAAGAGTGAAAGTCCATCTCAAAAGAAAAAAAAAAGATATAAAAAGAAGATGACTATTTCCAAACTTGCCTCTCTCTAATCTTTTTAGAACTACAGGACTAGGTTAGTTTTACTCTGTAGTTAGAGAGTTGAAGGTAAAAGTCATCAAATAACCTGTTTGCGTCTGCACGTCAATCTTATGTGACAAGAGGAATTGAACGTTTTATCCCCAGCAGCTTCGTCATGAACCATCATTTTTAAATGCTGTGACATGGAAATAGTTTAAGTGGCAGTTAAAAACTGATTTAAGACATATTGGGGGCACAAAATAAGTGTTGAGTATGGAAAAGCAGAAAGAGCGTAAAGGCAAAGAGAATGGGAGGGAAGGAGGAGGGTATTTTTCCCATTGCCATGGAACCTAAACCAAGTCAGTTCTAAAATCTTGCTAGAAAAGTGAGAAGAGTAATGCTGATAGCACAGGAAATTGGATCCGCTGATATAACAGCACTATGGAAATGAGGTACAGAGGTGCTTACATTAGCTTGAGGTTTTGACAGCATTGGAAAAGAGACATCTTTGGCCGGCGCGGTGGCTCATGCGTGTAATCCCAGCACTTCGGGAGGCCGAGGCGGGTGGATCACGAGGTCAGCAGATGGAGACCATCCTGGCTAACATGGTGAAACCCCGTCTCTACTAAAAAGTACAAAAAATTAGCCGGGCGTGGTGGCGGGCGCCTGTAGTCCCAGCTACTCAGGAGGCTGAGGCAGGAGAATGGCGTGAACCCGGTAGGCAGAGCTTGCAGTGAGCCGAGATCACGCCACTGCACTCCAGCCTGGGTGACAGAGTGAGACTCTGTCTCAAAAAAAAAAAAAAAAAAAAAAAAAAGGAAAAGAGACATCTTTGAATACATTTATCATATGTATATTTATGCATGTATCTAGCTCCTAAATTCAAACTTTTAAATGATTTTGTAAGTGCTTAACCTTTAGTCTCATTGTTTCTTTAGTCAATTACTTTCTGGATGTTTTGAACCAAGTAGTAGGAGACAGGGTTTCAGAGTCACATTGTCACATCAGTCACCCCAGAAGAGGGCACCATTATCCAAGTAATGTTTGGAAGCGGCTTCTGCTTCTTCCAGACATCTACTCCTTTCTTTTTTCAGGCCCGCTCTTAGGACCTCTGACATTTTTTCCAAAGGGGAAAAAATGTTACTAAGGTTTCAAAGGGAAGAAAGTCCTGTAAGACACCAGCAAAGTAATGATGAATTTGTCTTTGATGCCCCCATTCTTGTTTCATGACATTCATGTCGCTCTTCCCCACCCTTGTTAAGCAATAGCCTGTTTTCCCAACACCCAAAAAGCCTTAGTAGCTGTAGATAGGTTCTCAAAATGCCATGGTTCCCAATCTTTTCCCTTCAGGCTCTTTCCATTGCTCTTCCTCATAGACTTGACATTTTGGTTTGGGGTGTGTGTGTGTGTATGTGCGCGCCACTACATAAAAAAAGATCTGGGGCCGGGCGCGGTGGCTCACGCCTATAATTCCAGCACTTTGGGAGACTGAGGCGGGCAGATCACCTGAGGTCAGGGGTTCGAGACCAGCCTGGCCAACATGGCAAAACTTTGTCTCTACTAAAAGTACAAAAATTAGCCAGGCGTAGTGGCAGGCACCTGTAATCCCAGCTATTCAGGAGGCTGAGGCAGAAGAATCGCTTGAATCCGGGAGGCTGAGGTTGCAGTGAGCCAAGATTGCGCCACTGCACTCCAGCCGGCGTGACAACAGCGAGACTCCGTCTTAAAAAAAAAAAAAAAAAAAAAGGAAACAAGAAAAAAGATTTGTGCCAAGCATGGTGGCTCACACCTGTATTCCCAGCACTTTGGGAGGCCGAGGCAGGCAGATCACCTGAGGACAGGGGCAGGAGTTCTAGACCAGCCTGGCCAACATGGTGAAACCCGTCTCTACTAAAAATACAAAATAGGCCCGGTGTGGTGGCTTATGCCTGTAATCCCAACACCTTGGGGGGCCGAGGTGGCGGATCATGAGGTCAAGAGATCGGGACCATCCTGGCCAACATGGTGAAACCCTGTCTCTACTAAAAATACAAAAATTAGCTGGGCATGGTGGCATGTGCCTGTAGTCCCAGCTACTCAGGAGGCTGAGGCAGGAGAATTGCTTGAACCAGAGGTTGCAGTGAGCTGAGATCATGCCATTGCACTCCAGCCTGGGCAACACAGTGAGACTGTCTCAAAAAAAAAAAAAAAAAAGATTTGAAATTTTGTAACATTTTGTCTGATAAATTGTATTTAGGGATGATTGATCCATGGTCATTATTCTAATCTATGAATAAGACACAAATGCAGTTTAACTGCCACACCAGCATGGGATAGTGTTGCATTACTGAGCTGGTGTAATTTCAACTATTTGCAAAGAAAGGATCTTTTAGCTAGCAAGGAATTAGAGTAAGGCAAAGGAATTGAGTACAATTTCTATTAGGATTTTTGAAATAATGAAAATGGTTTGCAAAAAACCTAGCTATGCCAGGGATCCCTAGGAGTCTGAAATCTCAGATGAGAGAGGATGTATGTTGTATGAATGTCTACAATAAGCCCATATTTTGCATATTTTATTCCTACTTATAAAATAAGCTATCAACTGAAAACTTGTTAGTGAAAGGCATAATACCTCCCCATGGCATACCTGGATTTTGATGGCAGATACATCCTATAACCTTCCCAAAGGACTAAATCTGTAATGGAGTAATTCCAGACAACCTGACAAAAACAGGGGACCGGTATAGTGGGCCATGTATTTATTTACCTATCAAGCAAGTTTTGTTACTATAAAATATATTAAAATACATACATACATATATATGTATAATAATATTAGGTACCTCCTGCATTGGGCACTTTTCTTTTCAAGACCCAAAGCCATTCCACAGCCGCGCCCACAGTGGGGTTGCTCAGGCCTACATTGGGCACTTTTGATAGATCATCCCCAAGCCTCACAACAATCCCGTAAGGGAGACATCATTACTATCTCCCTTTGACAGATGAGAAAACCAATTCAGAGGAATTTGGTGACTTGCTCCATCACACAGCTACGAAGGATTTGGAATTGGAATTCAAACTTGTGCCTGACTCCTAACCTCAGATCATTAAGCTGCCTCAAAAAAACAGATTTCTCATTAGAGAATAGACTGCATTAGGAAAGATAAATCAAGAACTAAAGTTGCCACAAAAAGCAGTTATTTCTAGGGAGAAAAATGCAGGTCACCTATTTTAGAGTAGAATCTCCCAAACAATTTAATCGCACATATTCCCATCTTTAATGTCTGTGTTATATGATGAGTTTCATAGGAGAAAATTTTACTGGTTTCATAATGAGCTTGATTCATTTAATACATTCCTTTAAAACAGGGAGAGTGTCATAATGCATCCAGTGGCAAAATTAGATGGACTTCATTAGTTGCGCAACATGGCAAAACCCCATCTCCTAAAAAAACAGAACAAATGAAAAACCTTACAGTTGGAAGGATTCTTCAAAATCATGTAGTTCAGCCAGCCAGTTAAACTAAATTCTGGAAATTGCCCTCCAACATATCAGTAAAGGGATCACCAAGCTTCTGCTTGAATGCCCTAAACAATGGGAAATTCATTCTTTTCCAAAGCTACCTACTTCATCTTCAGATAGCTTTGTCTAATATAAAATTCTGCCAGGCACAGTGGCTCACATCTGTAATTCCAGCACTTTGGGAGGCCCAGGTGGGAGGATTGCTTGAGGACAGAAGTTCAAGATCAGCCTGGCCAACATAGTGAGATCCTGTCTCTACAAAAAATAAAATTAAGACAAGCCTGGTGGCTTACGCCTGTAGTCCCAGCTACTCGGGGGGCTAAAGTGGGAGGATCACTTCAGTCCAACAGGTCGAGGCTGCAGTGTGCTGTGATCATGCCACTGTACTCCAGCCTGAGTGACAGAGACCCCGTCTCAAAAAAATTTTTTTTTCGTTGTTAAAATACTTCTCTTAACTTCCATTCACTGGTGCTGATTCCATGCTGTGAGACCCCCCTAAAACTATACTCTCACCTCTACTTCCCCTACAAGTCTTTTCTATACCAGATTACCCACCTCTCTTGGCACTTAGAGCAGGGTTTACACTGTTGTTTTGACAACAATTAATCTTCTAAGAATGCAGTGGTATGTCAGTCAGTTGGGGTCCACTGAAAGCCAATAGTCAAGAGTGAGTGAGCTGACCACTGCAAAAGAGAGCAGTGAATGTCATTTGCACTTCCACAGGGACTGCACAAAGTTCTCCAGTGCCGGGCTTCTCTCTGGACTTCACTGTTGTCAGTATGGTGAGAGTCAGAAAGAGACACTCTCCAATTATTCAGTCATTCACACCTGTAATCCCAGCACTTTGGAAGCCGAGGCAGGCGAATCACGAGGTCAGGAGTTCGAGACTAGCCTGGCCAACATAGTGAAACCCCATCTCTACTAAAAATACAAAAAATTAGCTGGGTGTGGTGGTGCACACCTGTAATCCCAGCTACTCAGGAGGCTGAGGCAGGAGAATCGCTTGAACCTGGGAGGCAGAGGTTGCAGTAAACCGAGATTACACCATTGCACTGCAGCCCTGGCAATAGTGCGAGATGCTGTCTCAAAAAAAAAAAAGAAAAGAAAAGACATTCCCTCAACCATAAATCAGCACCATCATCTTCTCGACATGCTGAAACCAGTCTTGATTGCTCCATATTCCCCAAACCCAAGAGAACTGACCATTCTACTACTTGGTCTGAAAAAGCTTAACAGAAAAAATTCTAGGTCTTACCATGAGTGGAAATGGACCAAAATGCAGATGAATTGCTAAATGTCTACCAGACTCCTTCCACCTTTCTCTAAACCTCTCATTCAGAACCTCCCTTTTACTCCCAAGCCATTCGGTAACCATTCTGCTTCCCTTCTATCTCCACATTCTATCTCCACCATCTGACTTCTCACTGCCATCTATAAAGAAGGCCTGGGTCAGGTGCGGTGGCTCATGCCTGTAATCCCAACACTTTGGGAGGCCGAGGCGGGTGGATCACGAGGTCAGGAGATCGAGATCATCCTGGCTAACACGGTGAAACCCCGTCTCTACTAAAAATACAAAAAATTTGCCGGGTGTGGTGGCAGGCGCCTGTAATCCCAGCTACTCGGGAAGCTGGGGCAGGAGAATGGCATGAACCTGGGAGGCAGAGGTTGCAGTGAGCCGAGATTGTGCGACTGCACTCCAGCCTGGGCAACAGAGCAAGACTCCATCTCAAAGAAGGCCTGAAATGTAGGGAGGAACCAGAGGAACAGTAGTACAGCCAGATGCCTCTTGCCACAGGAATTTTCGACATTGTCAGTCACATTGGGAACCATTTGTTCATGTCCAAGCTGGTCAAAGAGAAGCCCCTGGGCAGCAATGATTAAAGGAATTCTTGTTGCAGAGTAGCCAACACATTTATGTAAACTCTTTCTTGGTAATGATAAAGACCTAGGGTTGCATAGATATCTTGCAGCAGACACTGTTTTCTTGCAACAGACACTGCTTCAACACACACTGTTTTCTGATTTTGTGTTGAAATCTGGTGAGATCCACTTAACTTAGAACTCAATATTAGTGTAGGTTAAAAAAAAATTCACTACAGGAAGTAAATTGGCATTCTATATATTTGAGAAACTAATGTATAAAAATTCAAGATAATTACAATTGGAAGGGGACCAATAATTCCACTTTTTAATCGAAAATAATCTATATACTCCCAATAAACTCACAGTAAAATAAGCTTCAAAAAGCCTTAAGACACCAAAAGAGGAAAAAAAGCCAGTAATTAGAACAAAATGTGTAATGTGGTTAATAGTATAGATATGCTTGCCTTTAGACAATTCTTATATACTCAATTCTTACATGATTGAAAGATTCTGTAATAATGCTCTACCTTTTTATAAAGAAAAAAGTAGGTTTCCAAAAGAAAATTAAACGTTTATGACTGGAGTTAGCGGTAGTAAGGAATTAGATGTGAGTGGTTGACTGCTCTTTGTGCCTTCGACATTTTGCAGAAAATTCTGTCTTCTTTTTAGTCCATCCAAAATGACTGAATTATTAGATCCCAGACTCTGTGTCCTAAAGATATTAAAAATAACAGAATTATTGGCTTCGAAGGGAACTTGAATTTCTAACCAAGGCATTATACTTCCATTTGCTACTTTGAAGTAGTACATTTACTAATACAAAGGTACACTTATCAAATAAGTTAACCTTTAAAAATCCGAAGTGCTCTTTACATTTTAAAGGCTTCACAATAGCATCTCAATTATTTGACAGCTGCCTTCACAGAAGTTTATATTTTCTGAAAAACATCTCTTCTCAGATCTAGTATCAAGTATGTTCTAGTCAGAAACAGTAAGTTCCCCGAAAAACTTCCATATATCTGAAGTGGCCAATATCTTCCTGTGAAATTTATTACTTTTATGAGAAATCATATGGAAGAGAAAAGCAAATTATTATATTTTTAATATTACAATGTTCTTTTCTAGAAGGAACAAGCTATATTAGCCCATTATCTAACACATATGCCTTGCTTCAGCTAACTCACAATACTGTTTGGTAGGCTCTGTAATCCCAGCACTTCAGGAGGCCAAGACAGGCAGATCACTTGAGGCCAGGAGTTTGAGACTAGCCTGGACAACATGGTGAAACCCTGTCTCTACTAAAAATACAAAAATTAGCCAGGCATGCTGGTGCACACCTGTAATCTCAGCTACTCATGAGACTGAGGCATGAGAATCTCTTGAACCTATGAGGCAGAGGTTGCAGTGAGCCAAGATCGCACCCACTACACTCCAGCCTCAGCAACAGAGTGAGACTCTGTCACACACACAAAAAAAGTATTTTTGCTTTTTTTTTTTTTGAAACAGAGTCTCACTCTGTTGCCCAGGCTGGAGTGCAATGGTGCAGTCTTGGCCCACTGCAACCTCCGCCTTCCGGGTTCAAGTGATTCTCCTGCCTCAGCCTCCTGAGTAGCTGGGATTACAGGCGCGTGCCACCACGCCTGGCTAATTTTTGTATTTTTAGTACAGACGGGGTTTCACCATGTTGGTCAGGCTGGTCTTGAACTGCTGACCTCGTGATCCACCCGCTCCAGCCTCCCAAAGTGCTAGGATTACAGGCGTGAGCCACTGCGTCCAGCCTATTTTTGCTTTTCGACATTCCCTTTTCCCACTTTGCTACTCTCCATCAACTGTCCATTACATTAAAATATATCTCAAACATATTTCGTCTAATAAGTCTTTCTCTAAACAGCCCATCACTCAATTCCATCACTCTTTGACTGTTAAAGTCTCATGCTTTGTTCTTAAGTTCAACTTGCCTATGTTTATTGTTTGTCTCCCCAACTAAATTGTATACTTCCTGTAAGTAGAAACAATGTCTTGTTCATCTCTATCCCCCTAATCCTTATAACCATCATGGCACACAGTTGATGTTCAAATGTTACTTTCCTTTCCCTTTCCTCTAAATGCCTGTCAATTATAGCTAGCCTTTCAGGAAAGCATATTGCTTAAAAATAAGCAATCCTTAAGAAATTAAATTTCTCAAAATTTTGCAAATCAAAATTCCTAGTCACCTATCAAGGAGTAATGTCTCTCATCTGTTTTTGTTTTGTTTTTGCCACAGAGAAAGAAAAGGAACCCATGGCTTTTTGGTTTACACCACCATTGTTCACATTTGAAGACATGTTTTGATTATCTTAAATACTTAATAGCTGGGCATGGGGGCTCACACCTGTAATCCCAGCACTTTGGGAGGCTAAGGCAGGTAGATCACTTGAGGTCAGGAGTTTGAGACCAGCCTGGCCAACATGGTGAAAACCTCACCTCTACTAAAAATACAAAAATTAGCTGGGCGTGGTGGCGTGTGCCTGTAATCCCAGCTACTCAGGAGGCTGAGGCAGGAGAATCAATTGAACCCGGGAGGCAGAGGTTGCAGTGAGCTGAGATTGCGCTACTGCACTGCAGCCTGGGTGACAGAGCGAGACTCCATCTCAAAAAAAAAAAAAAAAAAAGAAAAGGTCTTGCACCCCCAATAAAGAAGTAATGATACGTTTTTAAAATGTAGATTTCTAGGAATATATCCTAAGAAAAAAACTCAGAAATGCCCACAAACATTTTTATGTAAAAATAACTCACTGCAGATTGATTTGTTAATAGCAAAAAATTGGGAATGATCTAAATGTCAAAGAAAGGAAAATAGGCTGGGCACAGTGGCTCATGCCTACAACCCTAGCACTTTGAGAGACCAAGATGGGAGAACTGTTTGAGCCCAGGAGTTTGAGACCAGCCTGGACAACATAGTGAGACCTCATTCTTAACAAAATAATAATAAGCAGCAGCAGCTGGGTGTGGTGGTGCAAGCCTGTGGTCCCAGCTACACAGGAGGCTGATTTGCTTGAGACCAGGAGGCCAAGGCTATAGTGAGCCCTGACTGAACCACTGTACTCTATCCTGGGCAACAGTGTGAGACCTTGTCTCTTAAAAAAAAAAAGGAAAATAATAGTTACATATATATATAGTCCACATAACAGAATGCTAAACAGCCATTAAAAAGAACAAGCTTGTGGCTCACGCCTGTAATCCCAGCCAAGGTGGGTGGATCACTTGAGACCAGGGAGGCCAAGGTGGGCAGATCACTTGAGGCCAGGAGTTCGAGACCAGCCTGGCCAACATGGTGAAACCTCATCTCTGTTAAAAAAAAAAAATACACACACACACACACAAAATAGCTGGGCATGGTGGCTCACGCATGTAGTCCCAGCCACTCAGGAGGCTGAGGCAAGGAAAAAAAAAGGCTTGAGGCCAGGCGCAGTGGCTCATGCCTGTAATCCCAGCACTTTGGAGGCTGAGACGAGTGGATCACCTGAGGCAGGAGTTCAAGACCAGCCTGGACAACATGGTGAAACCCTGTCTCTAATAAAAACACAAAAATTAGCTGGGCCTGGTGGTGTGTGCCTGTAATCCCAGCTATTTGGGAGACTGAGGCATGAGAATTGCTTGAACCCAGGAAGCAGAGGTTGCTGTGAGCCGAGATCGCACCACTGCACTCCAGCCTGGGCGACAGAGCAAGACTACATCTCAAAAAACAAATAAGCAAACAAACACCAAGCTTAAGCTACATTTATCAATAACAGGATATACATAAGTTACATGAAAAAAGAAAGCCATGGCTCTGTATGATTTGTTGTTAAAAATACTTTTATTAAGCCCTGGTACAGGGCTCATGCCTGCAATCCCACAACTGGGAGGCCAAGGCAAGAGGATGGTTGAATCCAGTTCAAGGCCAGCCTGGGCAACATAGCAATATATTGTCTCCACAAAAAAACGTTTTACACTTGATCTTAGCCAAAAGGCCGAGAAGTGATCAAAAAAACTTTTTAATTAGCCTGATGGCCAGTGCGGTGGGTCATGCCTGTAATCCCAGCACTTTGGGAGACTGAAGCGGGAGAATCCCTTGAGCCCAGGAGTTCGAGACCAGACTGGTAACACTGTAAAACCTCATCTCTACAAAAAATTAGCTGGGTATAGTAGCATGTGCCTATAATCCAAGCTACTCCAGAAGCTGAGGTTGGGGGATGGCTTGAGCCGAGGAGGCCTAGGCTGCAGTGAGCTATGATTGTGTCATTGCACTCCAGCTGGTGACAGACTGCAACCCTGTCTCAAAGAAAAAACAACAGAGCAACTTACAAATGCATAGAAAAAAGTGTAGGGCCAGGCACGCTCAGTGGCTCACACCTGCAATCCCAGCCGTTTGGGAGGCTGAATTGCTTGAGCCCAGGAGTTTGAGACCAACCAGCCTGAGCAACATGGTGAAACCCCATCTCTCCAAAAAAAAAAAAAAAAAAAAAAAAAAAAAAAATTAGCTGGGCATAGTGACATATGCCTGTAGTCCCAGGTACATGGGAGACTAAGGTAGGAGGATCACTTGAGCCCAGGGAGGTTGAAGCTGCAGTGAGCTGTGATTGTACCACTGCACTCCAGCCTGGGTGACAGAGTCAATCACTGTCTCAAAGCAAAAAAAAAAAAAAAAAAAATACTGGCAAAGATATGAACCAAATTTTAGAATGACCTTTGAGAAACTATTAAATAACATAGGGAAAATGTTCATATGATAGGCTATTAATTTTAAAAAGCAACATGCAAAATAGTAACTCAGTACGAGCCCAGTAGACAAAATCTATAGATCTATACATTTGGACTGAAGTGTTATACAGAAACAAACCAAATATAAAATGATTTTTAAAAAATATCTAGATGTTAGGCCAGGCACAGTGGCTCACACCTGTAATCCCAGCACTTTGGGAGGCCGAGGCGGGCAGATCACCTGAGGTCAGGAGTTCGAGACCAGTCTGGCCAACATGGTGGAACCTTGTCTCTATTGAAAATACAAAAAATTAGTCAGGCGTGGTGGCGGGCACCTGTAATCCCAGCTACTTGGGGGACTGAACCAGGAGAATTGCTTGAACCCAGGAGGCGGAGGTTGCAGTCAGCTGAGACCACACCATTGTACTCCAGCCTGGGCAACAAGAGCAAAACTCCATCTCAAAACATATATGTGTGTGTGCGCGTGTGTGTGCGTGTGTGCGCGCGTGTGTGTGTGTTAGAATAAGTATAGGTGTTTTAAAAAATATTTTTCAACCAGTAAGATTGTTAGCTATTTTAAAAGAAAAAAAAATACTTTTCAGTACTTAAGTGTTCTATCATGGCTATACTATTTTTATAATCCAAACAACATTTAAACAAATTGGCATGGAAAACATTAGTGGAGGCCGGGCATGGCAGCTCACGCCTGTAATTGCAGCACTTTGGGAGGCTGAGGAGGGCGGATCACTTGAGGTCAGGAGTTCAAGACCAGCCTGGCCAACATGGCAAAACCCCGTCTCTACTAAAAAATACAAAAATTAGCTGGGTGTTGTGGTGCATGGCTGTGATCCCAGCTACTTGGGAGGCTAAAGTGGGAGAATTGCTTGAACCCGGGAGGCGGAGGTTGCAGTGAGCAGAGATTGCACCACTGCACTCCAGCCTGGACGACAGCAAAACTCTGCCTCAAAAAAAAAAAAAAAAAAGAAAGAAAATATTAGGCTGGGCGCAGTGGCTCACGCCTGTAATCCCAACACTTTGGGAGGCCAAGGTGGGCGGATCACCTGAGGTCAGGAGTTCAAGACCAGCCTGACCAACATGGAGAAAACTCGTCTCTACTAAAAATAAAAAATTAGCTGGGTGTGGTGGTGCATGCCTGTAATCCCAGATACTCGGGAGGATGAGATAGGAGAATCACTTGAATCCAGGAGGCGGAGGTTGTGGTGAGCCGAGATCACGCCATTGCACTCCAGCCTGGGTGACAAGAACAAAACTCCATCTCAAAAATAAAATATTAGTGGATAGTAGCCACATCCCTTTCTCAACCTGTGTAGAGCCAGGAATAGAAGTGAAAACTTCCAACCCTCAGTTCAGAAAGTGCTTGGCTTACAGAAATTTCTATTTTTAGAAATAATTGAAGATTTATGAGTAGTGGGGACAGTCAAATTTGGTTCACATTAAAAATAAACTGTATCCTACTATATAAGAGATTTCATTGTAACTTTATACAATTTATTCAGTAAAGGTATAAAAGCTGGCAGAATTGTATCATTATAGAAGTGTGATAGTAGTCTCTGACTAGTTAACAAAATACCCTTGATTTTCATAATTCCTGTAGAACTGTGGCTAATCAGCCATTTTCTTTTTTTTTCTTTTTTTTTTTGAGGCAGAGTCTTGCTCCATCACCAGGCTGGAGTGCAGTGGCACGATCTCGGCTCACTACAACCTCCACCTCCCGGGTTTAAGCGATTCTCCTGCCTCAGCCTCCCGAGTAGCTGGGATTACAGGGACGCACCACCACACCTGGTTGTATTTTTAGTAGAGATGGGGTTTCACCATGTTGGCCAGGATGGTCTCAATCTCTTGACCTCGTGATCTGCCCGCCTCGGCCTCCCAAAATGCTGGGATTACAGGCATGAGCCACTGCGCCCGGCCTAAATCAGACACTTTTGTATGGACCTACCGTGGAGAATCTATTCCACTATCTCCTGCCATGCTGTGATTTTCTGTCCCTTCCAAGTGACTGTGTTCATATTGGACATCCTGAGCCAACACTGGCATATGTGAAGTGTTGAAAAGTTGGAACTTTTGTGGGAAATGTTTTCTCATTTCCTGATTCTGAGGACTCTGACTCCAGCTAGCTGGCTTCTTTCCTGTGTCACCAATAGTGTCTTGTATGACTTCAGCTTCAAAACTGGCTTTTCTTGCGCTATAGTAATCAAAGATTCTTTCATCAGCAGGTGCTGAGGCCTGTACACATTTAGCAACACTGGGTTCTTCTTCGTAGTTAAAACCAAACTGGGCCCCTGAATTTAGGCCACAACTTTCAGCAGAGAGGTTAGGTTCTTGGCTTTCACCTGGGGTAGCATGCAGCCCAGTGGGTTTGTAGCATTCATTTCTTTTAAGCACCTGAGACTCAACCCTCTCCATTGTGCTGTTGTACTCGGTCAGAGATCTCTCAATCACTTTTTGTTTTCCTAAATGATTTCCCTGGCTTCCACCTGTGAAGGAATACTGACTGTGGCCAGGCAGCATTTGACGTAAGTCGTCATTCTCAGAAATGTCATCCTCCTCTAGATATAATGAACTACAGGCACCATCATCATCTTCCACTTCATTCTGATACAAGGCCTGGTCATCGTTAGAAAGCTGTTCATTTTCTAGGCTTGTAGTCTCTGCATCCTGGACAAATCCTTTTCTCAATAATTCTTCTGAGTCTTTGTCTTGTCTTGCAGCTTGTCTTAAAGGGTTCACGCCAACTGGGTAATCCAAAAGGCCAAGATTTTGAAACTGGTGTATTGTGTTATCCACTAATCTACAAGCAGAGGGTGTTCGGTCTGAAAAGGAGGCACCTCGTGATGGCAGACTATGCGGAGTCTGTTTGGTCTCCCCTAATTTGTCAAAGTGGGAATGACTTTTCCTCAAGACTTCAGGAATTACCTCATTTTCTCCACCATACACTTCATATCTCAACATGCTTTCCATAAAGGGACAGCATTTACCATCATTTTGCAACATGCTCTGTTGAGGGTGACTGAAGAGGTGACCTCTGAAGTCATCATTGATGGGTTTGACAGTAGGGTCATTTATGTAAATGGATTCTGCTTCCATTTTATCATTAGGTTGTTCAGCATATGGCTCTTTGGCTTTACCATCAAAGATTCTTGAGGAATCCAAGGACCTAGGCTTTTGGAAAGGCTTTTCCTTTGGTCCAGTCTGGCTGGGTTTCAGATCACTCGTCTTCTGAATTTTGTGCCCTTTGGATATTGTGCTTCCTCGGTGAGACAAACCCTGGAAAGGATTACTGATTCGCTTTTTGTAAATCAAATGGGAACCTAGCACTGTTGTAATCTCACCAAGTGGTTTCTGACCTACCATTTCATTTGGGCTTTTAATTCTGGGGATGGGCTGTGTAGCAGGGAGCTTGGGGTGTTTCTCCAGTCTAATGCTTCCTGGCTGAAACTCACTTCCCTGATTCCTGGCTTTGTGTCTATCCCTTCGAGAATGGCCCTGCCCTTGAGGTTTTGCAGACAGACCCTGCCTTTTCTTAACCCCCTCTTTTGAAGGATACTTATGCCCGATTGTCAGCATGTCAGTGGAAGTGCCCTGGCTATTATATTTTTTCTGTTCTTCGTATTTTTGCATTAGGACAGTGTGTTTGATTAAATTGTCAACAGTCAAAATGGGGTTAATTCGTTTGATTATCTCATGTTCAACATCTCGAGGGATATTGTCCAAGTCATCTTCATCTCGGACGGGCCATTCTTCAGGTGGGAACTGAGCAGAGAAACTGCTGTGTTCTGTTTTGGGCTTCTCCTTTCTAGATAAGCTGCGCCATAAGAGACTAAAACCAAACTTCTTGCCTTTTTCTTTATCTCTTGTGTATGGTAAAGGTTTGGTGCTCTCACAAATGTGGTGCTCCGCAGACACTGAAACTGCCCCATTCTGTACCCAAGATACGGATTCCCCAAGACCTCTGTGACTCTTCCTAGTCACTTCTGCAGCAACTGGTGCTTCCTGAACATCCTGAGTGTGCATGTCCCGGAAACACTGGCAAGACTGACAGTGGGATATGGGGGCAGCATTCTCTTGGGCTGACTCTGCACAGCTCTCCATGCTCACCAGATATGTCATGGAAGCTGGCATCAGGCGACTTTCATCTGATGGCAGCATTCTCTTATTTTCCTGGGTGGTTGTATTTGTAATGAAGTAAGTCTGAGGAGTAACTATGAAGTATCCTTCTCCAGTGTGATAAATCTTCCTTTCTTTAATCAGCGTTCCCAGAGTGGTATAAAGAATATCTTCCGATGGAATTGCAATGCCTAAAACAGACAAGCATTTTACAGATAGATTTTGAATAAGAAAAATTTTAATGAGTGAAATCAGTAACTCTGAAATGACTACACATTGGCTTGATAAACCCAGAGCTGATTGTAACATAATACATGTGATTAAAATGCCAGGGATGGGTGTGATGGCTCATGCCTATAATCCCAGAGTTTTGGGAGGCTGAGGCAGGAGGATCACTTGAGCCCAGGAGTTCAAGACCAGGCTAGGCAACATAGCAAGACTTCGTCTCTACAGAAAAATTTTTAAACATTAGCCAGGTGTGGAAGGATCATTTGAGCCCAGGAGTTCAAGACCAGGCTAGGCAACATAGCAAGACTTCATCTCTACAAAAAAATTTTTAAACATTAGCCAGGTGTGGAAGGATCATTTGAGCTCAGGAGTTCAAGGCTGCAGTGAGCTATGATTGTGCCACTGTACTCCAGCCTGGGCAACAAACCAAGACCCTGTCTCAAAAAAAAAAAAAAAAAAAAAAAGCCAAAGAAGCATAAATAATATTTATAACTTAAATAATAGGAATAGGCCAGGCATGGTGGCTCACACCTGTAATCCCAGCACTTTGGGAGGCTGAGACAGGCAGATCGCTTTAACTCAGGAGTTCAAGACCAGGCTGGGCAACATGGTGAAATCATTCCTCTACTAGAAATACAAAAATTAGCAGGGCATGGTGGCGGGTGTCTGTAGTACCAGATGCTTTGGAGGCTGAGGTGGGAGGATTGCTTGAACCCTTGGAGGCAGAGGTTGCAATGAGCTGTAATTGCACCACTGCACTCCAACTTGGGCAACAGAGTGAGACCCTGTCTCAAAAATAAAAATAAAAATAACAGGAAAATAATTTGGTCCACACAAAGTCATATGGGTAGGTTAATGAGTAAATAGACAAAAAAAATCTGAATTCACTCAAATAAAAACCCATTATAAATTTAAACTGTGACTGAGGAAAACATTCGTTTATTTAGTAGCTAGGATTACAGGCACCTGCCACCGTGCCTAATTTTTTTTTTTTTTTTTTGTAGTTTTTAGTAGAGATGGGGTTTCACCATATTGGCCAGGATGTTGTCAATCTCTTGACCTCGTGATCCGCCCACCTTGGCCTCCCAAAGTGCTGGGATTACAGGCGTGAGCCACCACACCCGGCCCAGATGCCATTCTTGAAAAGGAAGAAAATAAATAAATAAAAGAATGAGTGGTGCGCACCTGTGGTCCCAGCTACTTGGGAGGCTGAGGCAGGTGGATTGCTTCAACCCACGAGTTTGAGGCTGCAGTGATCTAAGAAGGTGCCTCTGCACTCTAACCTGGGCAACAGAGTGAGGCCTTGTCTCAAGTAAAATAAAGAATGAGACATATCAATATATGTTAGCATGGAAAGATCTCCGAGATGTGTTTTTAAGTTAATAAGAGAAACGTGTTGAGGGAATGTATAGAATGATCCAATTTATGCCGGGCATGGTGGCCCTTGCCTGTAATCCCAACACTTCGGGGGGCCAAGGCGGGTGGATCATGAGGTCAGGAGTTCGAGACCAGCCTAACCAACATGGTGAAACCCCATCTCTACTAAAAATACAAAAATTATCTGGGCATGCTGGCAGGCGCCTGTAATCCCAGCTACTGAGGAGGCTGAGGCAGAAGAATCGCTTGAACCCGGGGAGGCGGAAGTTGCAGTGAGCCGAGATGGTGCCACTGCACTCTAGCCTGGGTGACAGAGCAAGATTCTGTCTCAAAAAAAAAAAAAAAGATCCAATTTATGTTATGAAAAATTTATTATATTATCATATATAAGAAATGATAATAGCAGTTATTACCTCTGGGAAGTGAGAATGAAAAAATAGGAGATGAGGGGAAATAAACTTTACTTTCTCATTTTGCACTCCTTTCCACAGAGTGTGATTTATTTATTTATTTATTGCCATAAGCATTTATTTTTGGAAAAGTTTATCTGAAAAGTAAAAGAAATACCCTTATCAAATTTGTTGATGCAGGACTTCTTCTGGCAGGGTTCTGATATAAAGTTCTATAGAAGAGGGGAAAAAAGGATATCACCCAGTTTATGTGCTTAAGACTAATTATAAATAGAAACCAAACACATACAGTGAAGTACAAATAGACAAAAATTTATTACTCTACCTGGGTAATGTTTCATCAAACGCTCCAAAAGTGATTCCTGCGTTACTACAATCTGAGCTGTATTCATATCAGATATAGCACAGCAAAGAACTTCACCCAAAGGTACGAACTGAGATTGAGTTATTGGATTCATTTGCACTGGAAAGACATCACCTAAATTGGAGATTTAAAAAAAAGGGGGAGGGGGTTGATAAATTTGATATAGTATAAAATGTTTGGAATTAGTGAAACAAAAATAAAGACTAATAGGTAGAATTGCAATTCTTTCATCAGTCTTTACTCAGAATCTGTTAACATGACATGTACAATGACAGAAACTATGCAAGAAAAAGATTTACATTGTGGTCTCTACTTTTAAGAAATGTGTATTAACTGTCTCTACAAGTAAGAGATGGCAAGATTCCATTAGAAAGGCTCAAAGTATTATCAGAGTTCAGGAGGTCATGCAATACTTAAATACTAAATATACTATATACCAGCAGTTTACCATCTTTCAAACTATTTTTTCATATTAGCTATCTTGAGAAAGGCAGACACAGGATTATTTCTTTACTTAAAATATATAAAGTTATAGAAAACTCAAGTAATGGTCCCAAGTCTAAAAGCAAGTAAAGTGACAGAAATAGGTCTTCTGACTCCTGATCCAGTATTTTCACCATTCCACATTTTCCTGATTGGGATGATCAGGAAGATTTGAAGAAAGGCAGAAGTGTTTTCCAATGAGCAAGAAGACATGAAGCAAAACCATGGAAAGCACATTTAAGGGCATGGATAGAGTTATCCTGGTTCAATAGAACTTAAGGCTTAATACAGGACCAAAGTGGAAGACAAGGCTGGAAATGTAAGCTAGACTATATTGTCTTTCCTCCTAGCCAGTCTATTAAATGTTCTTCTTAACCTGCCATTACTCAGGTTGAGTATTGGATTCTGCTGGATATCCATGGAAACCCCTCAATCAATTGGAAATGAAAGACTAAGACTCAGGAAAGAGATCTGGGAATCAACTAATAGAGATGAGATCTGAAGCTAGAGTGGAATAAATTATTTAATAGGAGAATAAAGAAAAGCACCAAGAAACATCAAACTAAGAAACAATCTACATTTAAGACAGAGTAGGGACCAGATGTGGTGGCTCAGGACTGTAATCCCAGTATTTTGGGAGGCCGAGGTGGGCGGATCACCCGAGGTCAGGAGTTTGAGACCAGCCTGGCCAACATGGTAAAACCCCATCTCTACTAAAAATACAAAAATTAGCCGGACACGGTGGCGGGCTCCTGTAATCCCAGCTACTCAGGAGGCTGAGGCAGGAGAATTGCTTAAAACCCAGGAGGTGGAGGTTGCAGTGAGCCGAGATGGCGCCACTGCACTCCAGCCTAGTGAGTGAGCCTAGGCAAAGCCTAGACAGACTGAGACTCCATCTCAAAAAAAACAAAAAACAAAAAACAGTAGGAATTAGGAACCCACAAAAGAGCACATACCTCTTGGCACATACCAAAAGTATGAAAAAAAAAAGGGCTTCAAAAAAATAGTGGTCAACAGTATCAAATGCTTAGAAGGAAATCCAAAGGGTTGAGGAAGGAGAAAAGCCATTGGATTTATTGATTGGAAGGTGCCACTGGTGACTTTTAAGAAAACAATTTCAGCCTGGCCACAGTGGCTCACACCCATAATCCCAACACTTTAGGGAGATCACTTGAGGCCAGGAATTCCAGATCAGCCTGAGCAACATAGCGAGATCCAATCTCTACAAAGATAAAAATTTTAAAAATTAGCCAGGATGGTGGTGTGCCTGTCGTAGCTGCTAGGGGGCTAAGGTGCGAGGATTACTTGAGCCCAGGAGTTAGAGGCTGAAATGAGCTATGACTGCACCATTGCACTCCTGCGTAGGTGAGGGTGAGACCCTGTCTCTAAGAAAACAAAACAAAAACAAAAAAAAAAAAAAAAAAGGAAAGAAAGAAAACTATTTCAGTAGAAAAGAAGACAGAAATTAAAGTTCCAATTGAAGGAAAGGAAGTTGGTGAGAAAAATGTAAAGTTAATGGGTGTTCCTTGTAGAGCAGCGTTTCTCAACTTTGGCACTTTTGACATTTGGGGTGAGATATATATAGGATGAACAATGGTCCCAGTATGCCCAGGACTGAGGTGCTTCCTGGGACACAGGACATTCAGTGCTATAAGCCTATAGCCAGGAAAGTTACTGGCAAACTGGGATAAGTAGCCACCCTAGCCAGATAATTTTGCGGTGGGAGGCTGCCCTGTGCATTGTAGGATATTTAATAGCATTATGGCCTCTACCCACTAGATGCCAGTAGCATTTCCCACAGTTGCAGCAACCAAAAATGTCTCCAGACACTTCCAAATGTCCTCTCGATGGCTAAGTCATCCCAGTTGGAAACCACTGCTCTAGACCATTTGTATGCAAAATCTGATGGTGAATAAGGAGAAATAGATCATAAACCAGAAAGGAGTAGGATCCAGTGAATATGACTGGATGCTGTGGTTTTCTTAAAATAAGATCTGTGTCCCTTTGGATGCAAAAAGGAAGGGCTTAGTGGAGATGGTGGACATGATTCTGGGAGAGGGGAGATCAGTAAGATAGCAAGATCCCAAAGAAGGGGAAAGGGAAAGTGTATCAAGGGCGTAAGTAGAGAGGCTAGCTTACAAATGAGGAAGATGCTACTCTATCTGAGACTTGAGAAAATAATACAGAGGGTGGCAGAAGACCACAAATATATTGAGGCAGAGAAGGAAAAAAAATATTAGCACAGCAAAGTCATCTGACTTCTGTCAAGTTAGAAAGAAAATAGAAATGAGAGGAGGGAAAAATGGGAATGAGAGGATGGCGGGTGGAAAGGGGGTTTGAGGAGCTATTCTCAAAGTACTAGGAAATAAAAAATGAGTAAGAAGATTGTGAAGGAGCCCTAAGTCCAGGTGATTTATGCATAGTTTTTGGCAGAGGGGTGGCATTTTGTAATGGAAAAGGGTGAGAGCTGGGGGAGGCCAGCCCATGCCTCTAAAACTTTAATGTGCATATGAGGATCACCAGTAGATCTTGCTAACGTGGATTCTGATTCAGAGCCCCTGATCCTGCACTTCTAACAACCTCCCAGAGATGTTCACACTGCAGGTCTGAGTACTACTCTTTGGACTGGTAGAGGGTTAGGGTGTTAATGACAGCAATGTTAAAGTAGCTAACCATTTAACAAACATGATCCTGGGGCTGAATGGGGAGTCAAGTATAGCCAGAAGGAAGCTAAAGAATTAAGAAAGCTTGATTATGCTCTGCAGTTAAACTCTCCCAGTGACAGTAGAGAAAGCAGTACATTGTACTGGTTGTTGAGGGGCCAGGTGTGAAGGGTTGAAGCCCAGAGCTGGTAAGTGGCCAGTACTGTATTCTTATTGTATCTGCATGAAGATAAAGGACTTCAACAAGGAAATCATAAGCAGTTTGCTGTTATACTTTCCATTGTTCCCTTGTTTGCTTAAGCTTCTCTATCTGGCCTTGGAAGGTCACATCACAAGGTAGAATTGCTGTCTGCTTCTGCAGCCTGGGAATGATCTCCTCTAGGTGTGGCTGTGGCTATCCCACTGGGTGATTCTCAGAGGCCTATACCACTCTGAAAAGCTAGGATGAATGGCTAATCAATTAATTAGCATTTCAAAGAGTGGCGATAGATGATGTCCTGAAAATCTGTCCAAGCGGGGCATTAATTTACCTAAAACTCAAAATCCTCCTTGAAACTCAACTTCTGAACTGAGGGTAACAAGCCTCTATCCTCACTCCCTCTTTTCTTTTTTCCTTCCTCATCTGAGTTTTACTTTCTTGGCTTTCATCTCCCCACTCAACCAGACAAAATGTGAAATTAAAGTACAATTTTAAATATTTTTATGCTTCTTTGATATAACTGTATGTGCTTAGTTAAAATAAGTGGCTTTAAGCTTTTATATCTCTCTTCCCTACCTCCCTAAAAACATCTTTTCCTGTGATCTTGAATTGATTACCCATCCCCACTGCACTTGGAACTCAGAAAGTAATACTCCATAATGAAGGCCTCAGAAGCAAGAGGTTTTTTCTGGCCTTTTCCTATCCTCCTATCTTGTTTCTAAGGACAGCCATAGAAACAAGAATCCTTCTTCCCCAAGGCAGGTCATAGAAACCAGAACCCCCTTTCTCCAAATCCAGCCATAAAACCTAGAGGATTAGAGGCCCTTAATTTTAAAAGAGGGGGGAAAAGTTTCCCTTCCTTGAAAGACAAGGGCTAGATATAGAGGGCAAAGCCTGAAGGCTTTCCTTAGCCACATAATACCCATTTGAGCCTCACTTCACCTTTTCTTAAAACCAGGCACTGTGAACTTGGAGGTGGGGTGGGGGAGAACACTGAAAGAGAGAAAATCAGCATGTCATCTGGTGTCCCTGCTGTGTCCGCCTGCAGGTGGCTGCCCATTTCTGTGCACTGGAAAACATAGTAGGGCTGTCTCCACTATGCCTTTGGGCTAGAACTGAAGCAGCCCATTTTCTAGTTCAATCCTTAGGTTTGTTTCCTCTTTTCATAAGAAAACTAATAGTCAAGATAGATTTTCATGGGGCTGGGAGAGAGGTGCAAAGGGCTTCCTGTATCTTTGTTTGCAACCTCCTGTGAATCTATAATTACTTCAAAATAAGAGCAAAAACTTGATTTTTCAAAAAGCACTACTTTTAATTACCAAGGAGAAATGTATGAAACACAACTTTTTTCTTACATTTTTCAAACCCCACCTTTTTAAAACAACCCTAACACTGTTTGCCAAATCCAAAGATACTCTTAAAAAATTTATTCATAATTCCTACTATGACATGGGGATGGGTATTTTAAAAGAGTGAACAAATCTACTATCAACTAGGAAGACTAATTGCCTTTTTTCCCCCCTTAAAATTAATACAACTAAATGTAAACTTCACTTTAGAGGACACCGTTAATTGCTATTCGCCTCTGCTGTGGAGCTCCTCTAGACAAAGCCTAGAGAAAGTTTCTCAGTACAGTTCCTTCACAGTCGTTGCTAAGATACATCCTTCAGGTGCACAAATCATCGAGTTTCCTTTGTGCAGGAAAGCTGAGTGCACCCTGACACGGGAACACTTATGACAGACATGGGGATCATTTTCGAGCTTCAGTTATGGTCTGTTTCAGTGACTTTTGCACTCCTTTGCTTTTTGGAATGCATCTCTTAGAGTTTTTCACCAAAAATTAACTTTCTATGCAGAAGATCCCACTTATAGATGTAACCAGATTCCACAATAAGAGAAGGCCAGACCTTTGGGTCTGTCCTCAACTATGAGGGAGTAAACTGAAGAGCACTCTTCAGTCGAGGCCAGCTGTGGACTTTTGACCCTTGAGCTTAGCGGGGCTCAGAAGGCTAAGGAGAGACTTTGAGCCAGAGCATAAACAGTTGACAACAGCGTTCTCTGTTTACACAGTCTTGTGCTCTTTGGTGCCTCAGAAATGAAAAAAGTGTTTAGGCTGAAAGACTGGTTTCACAAAAAATAACAACAAAGTAGAACCATAGAGCTGAGGTTATTTGTGCCTGCTACACTTTCTGAAAAGGTTTGTTGTTGTTAATTTACTGATTCTTTGCTGTACTACGAAAGGATTTAGTTGCTGAATAAAATTTTTTTGTTGGCCAGGTGTGGTGGCTCATGCCTGTAATCCCAGCACTTTGAGAGGCTGAGGGGGGCGGATCACCTGAGGTCGGGAGTTCGAGACCAGCCTGACCAACGTGGAGAAACCCCGTCTCTACTAAAAATACAAAATTAGCTGGGTGTGGTGGCGCATGTCTGAATCCCAGCTACTCAGGAGGCTTAGGCAGGAGAATCATTTGAACCCGGAAGGCAGAGGTTGCGGTGAGCCGAGATCGCGCCATTGCACTACAGCCTGGGCAACAAGAGTAAAACTCTATTTCAAATATACATATTCAGAATATATATATATATATATATATATATATATATATATATTCTGGTAAAGACCAGAAAGCAACCCCCACTCCTCACCGCCACAAAAAAAAAAAGTCAAAAGTAATGATAAAAGCAAAGTATGAGGAGTTTAAAAATTATTCTTTTACAAGTCCACTCATTTGAGGAAAAAAAGTGCAAAGCAAATTAAATGTAGCATGTGGATGCCCAATTCACAAATGAAAATACTGAGCTCTTCACTATCAAAAGCTTTTCATCCAGTGAAGTCTAGAGCAGGCCCTTGTAGCAGACAATGTTAGAATCAGCCTCCTGTAGGATGGACGTGGATTCATACAACCCCAAGCAATCAGTCTCTGCTCCCTGGTGCCTAATGACAGTGGCCTAGAAAGCCCCTGGCCAATAGGAGCAGGCCCCTGGGAAAGTGTGACTTGCTCTTGGAGTTGGTGACAATAGCTCAACAATATTGTTCCAGTGCAACCCAAGACCTCATCAAAGTTCTGAGGAAAAAGAAGTGGTTTCTTTATGTAAGGACACAAAGGCCCCTTCCATAAGCCTGAAGAAGAAGGCCTCTAGAATATCCTATCCTGGCTGTTTTCTATCAGAAAAACAAGGGGCTCAAAGAGCCACTTCCTGGCCAATTCAGGAGGTGTGAATACTCATACCCCAATGTAGAATATCAAGAGGTGCACCCATGACAAATAGAAACATCTCAAGATTGCCTTCCTGCCAGACCCAGCAGGGTAGCTGTAGTGGAGCCAGTGAACACTCCCAAGAACTGTGGTACTGGAAAGATCTTCAACCAGGGGCCCTGTGGACTCCTAAAATCTTCCAGTTACAGATGATCACTGGGAAACATTAGCAAAATGAAAATAAGCCTAAACTTTGCACTCTTGTAAGAGGGAGAGTTGGCGTCAGCACATGGGCCTACCCAGTGAAGTGATTTTCCCCCAGGTTGGGGGGCGTGAGGATCACAAGCCGAGGGATGTGGACCTTGACAAGACCTGCGCCCTGAGAGAAGGTCTGACACAGGGCAACAATGCCAGGCTTCAAATAGTACATTCACTCCACATCTTGAAGGTAACTAAAAATTAGTTGAAGGTGAGCTTTGGTATCATAAGCATTTTAGTGGAAACCCAGCCAGACACAAAGAAAGCCTGTGACCCTGGGTCACCAAGTGACTAAAAAAATCCATTTCCCGGCCATTTCAGGAGGTGTGAATACTCACACCACAATGAGAATCATTACAAAATCATTACAATCCACCTGGCCCAATTCTGTGTTTGCCTTGTCCACTCACAACACCCTTGGAGGGTTAACTGAACTGGGGTCTGCTCGCCTGGCACAGTAAATCCAGGTATCTACATCAAGGCTTCTTACAGCTATAGAAGAGAAGGCATTTATTTGTAGGGTGCCAAGGAAGGAGGACCAGGCAGCCATTGTTTAAATCCTGACCTCCCAGTGTCTTGTAAGCAAGGGTTTTTTTTTTTTTTTTTTTTTTTTTGAGACGGAGTCTCGCTCTGTCGCCCAGGCTGGAGTGCAGTGGCGGGATCTCGACTCACTGCAAGCTCCGCCTCCCGGGAAGCAAGGGTTTTTAAAGGCAGGGGAAGGAGAGTAGAAGTTACAAGCAAAATTATAAATTAATATATGGAGGTTATACATTGGTTTTGGCTTAAAAGGGCAGGATATCTTGAAGGGGCTTACAGATCGTAGGTACATTTAAAGATTTTCTATTTTAATTGGTTAAGGAAGAGAAGCTTTGTTTAAAAGTCTGGGGTCAGTAACTGGCTCAGGGGTATGACTCCCTCCAAGTCCACTAGGAAGAAATTTAGAACAAAGAACGCAGGTCAGGGTTTTGTACTTAATTTTTTCTTATCTGAGGTTTATGTGCCAGTGAATCTGTTGGGTGAGGGTCTTCAGAGTAGGGGTCCAAGTTTCTGAAAGACAACTCAGGGACATACGTTAAGATGTTATCTTTAGTTTTTATAGGGAAACCAAACACCTCTGGATTCTAACTTTTTTGGCTATTGTTTTAGGTTACTGCCTTTTTAATAAGTTACTTACTTTTTAGGACTAGGTAGCAAAAGAAAAAAGACAAGATGGTAACTTTCCCAAGGTGGATTTAAGCAAAAAAAAAAAAAAAAAAAAAAAGGCTACCTAGCTATCTGCAATTTTTCTTAAACTCAGGATTAAAAAAAACAAAAAACAAACAAAAACGCTGGGTGCAGTGGCTCACGCCTGTAATCCCAGCACTTTGAGAGGCCGAGGCGGGTGGATCACGAGGTCAGGGGTTCGAGACCAGCCTGACCAACATGGTGAAACCCAGTCTCTACTAAAAATACAAAAATTAGCTGGGCATGGTGGCGGGCGCCTGTAATCCCAGCTACTAAAGAGGCTGAGGCAGGAGAATTGCTTGAACCCGGGAGGTGGAGTTTGCAGGAGATCGCACCACTGCACTCCAGCCTGGGCGACAAAGCGAGACTCCGTCTCAAAAAAAAGAAAAAAAAAAAAAAGAAAAAAAAAGAAGAAGAAGAAGAAAAAAAAAGGACTAGCTAGCTATCTGAAATTTTTCTAAAACTCAGGATTAAAAAAAAAAAAAAAAAAGGCCAGGCGCGGTGGCTCACGCTTGTAATCCCAACACTTTGGGAGGCTGAGGCGGGTGGATCACGAGGTCAGGAGATCGAGATCATCCTGGCTAACACGGTGAAACCCCATCTCTACTAAAAATACAAAAAAATTAGCTGGGCGTGGTGGCGGCCGCCTGGAGTCCCAGCTACTCAGGAGGCTGAGGCAGGAGAATGGCGTGAACCCGGGAGGCGGAGCTTGCAGTGAGCCAAGATGGCACCACTGCATTCCAGCCTGGGTGACAGAGCGAGACTCCGTCTCAAAAAAAAAAAAAAAAAAAAATGCTCTTGTTTGGGCACAGGCCCCTAAAAAGAGGGTCCCTGCTCCGTCTCAGAAGTAAAAGAATCCTTATCAAATCTGAATGTGGCTGGGCACAGTGGCTGATGCCTGCAACCCCAACATTTTGGCAGGCAAGGCTTGGAGGATTGCTTGAGCCTAGGAGTTCAAGGCTGCAGTGATCTATGATGATGGCACTGCACTGAAGCCTGGGTGACAGAGCAAGACCTTGTCTCTAAAAAAGAAAAAAAAAGTGTTTATTTTGATATCTGAGCACTCCAGTAAAACCTCAGGGACAAAATTAAAGTTTTAATAAAAACTGTACCGTTAAGGGGAAAAAAAAAAAGAACAATTACGCTTATTTTACATTAATCTTATGCTTTTAAAAGACCAAAACCAATTCCAAGAGGGTCTGCTCTTGGAATTTAAATTCTAACATTTTAAATCAGGATGCTTGAATCTGATTTTAAGGCCCATGAAAGACTGTGCTACTAATCTGCAAGACAGAGGAAAGATTTTCTTTCAGAATTCAAAAAGCACCCACATCCTAACATTTTTGTGTCATAATAAAACATGAATTTGTCATAGAATTAAATTCTAGAAAAAAATGAATCCTAGACCTGGTGCAGTGGCTCACGCCTGTAATCCCAACACTTTGGGAGGCCAAGGTGGGCCAATCACCTGAGGTCAGGAGTTCGAGACCAGCCTGGCCAACATGGTGAAACCTCGTCTCTACTAAAAATTACAAAAATTAGCTGGGCGTGGTGGTGGGTGCCTGTGATCCCAGCCACACTGGAGGCTGAAGCAGGAGAATCACTTGAACCCAGGAGGTGGAGGTTGCGGTGAGCCGAGACTGTGCCATTGCACTCCAGCCTGGATGACAAAAGCGAAACTCTGTCTCAAAAAAAAAAAAAAAAAAAAGAAAAGAAAAAGAAAAAACTAATCCCTAGCATTACTTATTTTATATTTAGAACACGAGTTTTTCTCTACTATAAGAACATTTAGTCCCTATGCAAGTGTGTTTATGGACTCAGAGCTAGGAAGTCTGCCAGAAATTCATGCATTATTGACCTTCAAGTGGTTTAACAGAGCTGCTCTAACTCAACTAATTACCCAGACACATGAAATCTGAGACCATCTTTCTGGGCGCCTGTATTGAATCACACTGTGGGAAAGGTATCTTCTATGCGCATTAGGGATGACAACAGCGTGCAAATAAAACAGCCTGCAGGTACACTCAAGTTTAATTTAAAAAAAAAGGATGTTTTGTTCAAAGTAATCCAAGAAGCTTTCGTGATTTTAAACTGCTCTTTTATCCAGTACAGAATTTCCACCAAATGTTTTTAACATTAAAATTAATCCTGAACTTTGAAAAATTGAAGCATTTGTAACAACATGCCCCTCATTAAAGATAAGATGCTGTGCAAATCTTTGATGGCTTTAAACAATTAGATCTATTGTGTTACAACTTCAAATAGGTTCAGAAAATCAAATGAAATGGAAACAATAAGAAGAAAGGTTCCAGGCCAGTAAACCAAGCCCCTCTCCACATCTCCCTTTTATTTTAGTAAAGTAAAAGAATGCAAAAACTTTCCTCCACATTCAGAAACAAAAGAGTACCAAGACAGAAGCTGGCTGCAGATCTAAGGGTAATCGGGTTATCTGCCATGGAAGCTGGAATTCTTTCTCAAGCATGGTAATGTTTATTTTTAACTCCTAGACAAATGGCTCCCTTCTGGGAAATACCCTCTGCTGGAAAGCTAAAGGCTTCCCTTGGGAAGATGAGCTGTTCAACAGCAGGAGTCCTTAGTAATGTCTTCTTTACTTATCACACTTCAACCTGCCAGAATTTAGTTAGTGGCCTCCTTTTCGGGTGATATATTCACTAATATTGACTATCAGTTGGGTCTCAGAGGGCCTGGAACAGACCCCACAATTTGGTTGTCAGCACACTGATACACCAAGAAGACAGGTGGCCCCACCCGGGGGTGCCCTTTGAGCCTCTAGCTCCCTTCCCCCATGGCCACCACCCTCACTGCGGATAGAGATACAAGGAGCCTCAGTCAGGAATGACCGACTCAAACCAGCTGAATGACTCAAACCAGCTGGCTTTTGAATAATACTAAAACGAATCCACATTTGGCCCAAAACCCTTAGGCTCTGAAGTGCCCTTTCCTACACTCTTTCCCTTCAAGGCTTCCACCCTGGATATGTTCATGACTTTATTCAGTCGTGTTAGTTTTCAATGGCTGTCAAAATCAATTACAGCAAACTTAGTGGCTTAAAACAACACAAATTTATTATCTCACAGTCTATAGGTCAGAAGCTCTGGGTGTCAGAGCCAAAACCAAAGTGCTGGCCAGCCTAGGCTTTATCAGGAGACTCTGGGGGTAGAATGTTTTCACTCTCATTTAGGTTTTTGGCAGATATCAGTTCCTTATGGTTGTAGGACTGAGGACGGCAGTCACTATTTCCTTGATGACTGTCAGATGGGAGCCTCTCTCAGTCACCTCTATTTCCTGTCATGTTGTCCCCTTCATCTTCAAACACAGAATTAAATCTGCCCACACTCTCTGACGTGCACTTCCATTGCATTGCTTCTGCTTCTTGCCAGAGAAAATTTATCTGCTTTTAAGAGTACCTGTGATTAGACAGGATCCACCCAGATAATCTAGAATAATCTCCCTAATTTAATGTCCATAACCTAATTACACCTGAAAAGTCTCTTTAGCCATGTAAGGTAACATATTCACAGGTTCCAGGTATTAGGACATGGGCATCTTTGGTGAACCATTCTACCTACCACACCAGTTACAAGCGTTGGGGGCAAGGAATAGCTATATAAATAGCAAGAGAGGCACAGGTTGTAAACTGCTGTAGTACCTATATGTCCCTAAAAGTAGTCATGCAGGAGAACATCCTTTTTTTGACCTCCAGGAAACCTGGAACAGATTATGGTGCCTCTTCTTCCCAAGATTCTGGAGGCCACAAAGGCAATGACAGTGACTAACAGGTCTAGTCATGGTGATTAACAGAAAATACCACTGTACAAAACGGGGGTAAAAAGCCCAGAACTTAACAAGTTTAGGAAGTTAGGAGAGAAAGAAAAAAATAAAATAAATAAAAATTTAAAAGTCCAGCACAAAGGTGGTTGTTTGAATAAAAAATTAAAGTTTCCCTAGATTTTTTTTTAAAGCTGTCCTTTCTATTTTCATGATCCTCACATTACAAACAAGTCCTATACTGGGGGCCAAGCAATCTGATCAGGGTATTGGGGTTCTAATCCAGATTCTGCTCTGTGACCCTGAGTAAGTCGCCTCTCTTCTTTGGGTCTCAGTTCCCTTGCCCATACACAGGGAACTGAACTAGATCAGCATTTCGCAAAAAGAGTTCTGTGGAACATTCATTCCATGAAATGCTCTCTACAAGAAAAAGGGTCCCCATGCCAAATGTTTGAGAAATGCTGCTTGGAGCCACAGTGGTATTGTGAAAGGCTCTGAAAACTTCTATAACAAACAACTACCTAGTTTATTTAACCCAATGTTCCCTGATCATATTTGACAGCAAACTCCTTTTTCCTAAGTACTGTACTACCCTTCAGCTAAGTACTGTACCTTCAGCTGTGACTTCCCTCCATTCAGATTGGCCTCTCCCTGAATAGTCAGTATCTGTCCATATCCTGTCCCTTTGTCCCTGTATCCCCCACCTACAGCACTCTTCCCCATACCTCAGCGTTTCAAAATCCTGTCATTTAAGACTAACTAAAATGCTCAGTGACTCTATCATGGATAGTTTTCTGATCCCATCAGCTGGAAATATATTCTCCTTCTTCATATGTACTATTTAATAAACATTTAACGAATGGCTACCATTGTTTAGCATCAGACACTCAGAGTAAATTGATATTATAACAGCACAGTCCCTCAATCATTCCTTATCCAGCATATATTTATTATCTACTATATACCAGTTACAAAGGTTACAAGAGCAAACAGGATACAGTCCTCACACTCAATGGGCTTTGACTGTCATGGAAGAGCAGCAGTTGGTTAAGACAATCTTAACCTATCATGAGGCCATAATTGGTAGGACTAGGACTCAGTATTCCTGGGTCCCAAGCCTGAATGCTATTCCCGGAAGTCTGTGGCTGCCTGGGCCAGGACCATCACGAGGAAGAAGAGCCAGACTGTTCCTCATAGGGCCTTGGGCCACTAAGGCAGCACGGGATAAATAAAGGAATAGTGGAGTTGGTCAGGTAGACCTGGGCTCACATTCTCTACTTCCACTTACTGTCAGTGTACCCTCTTTGAGTATTAATTAGTGACCTCAGCTCTTCAAGATGAATAATAGTATCTGGCTAAAAGGTTACTGTGGGAAAACAATCTGAAAATGCCTGGAATAGATTTGACACGTGTCAGTTCTTCTACTGATATCAGCGCTTTTTAACTTTTCTTCCCAAATTAAGATATTAACTTGATCAGACCCTGTTCCATGTCATTACTAGTACTTCAAGTTTCTCCTGTAGGGCACCAGTTAGGCACATGGATGGATTTCTTGGCCAATTCTGACTTTTCTTTTTTTGAGATGGAGTTTCATTCTTGTTGCCCAGGCTGGAATGCAAACTGCCTCCTCGGTTCAGGAGATTCTCCTGCCTCAGCCTCCTGAGTAGCTGGGATTATGCTAGGAACAGGCCCCAAGACTGGCCATAAACAAGATCTCTGCAGCACTGTGACATGCTCGTGATGGCTATGATGCTCACGCTGGAGGTTGCTGGTTTACCAGAATGAGGGCAAGGAACACCTGGCCCACCCAGGGTGGAAAACCGCTCAAGGTGTTCCTAAACCACAAACAATGGCATGAGCGATCTGTGCCTTAAGGACATGTTCCTGCTGCAGATAACTAGTCAGAGCCTGTCCCTTTGTTCTTGTGAAGAATAGTTTTAGTTAATCTATAAACTGCAGAAACGATGTTTATCTCGGGCTTACTGCCATTAAATAGGTGGGTCAAACTCTGTTCGAGGCTCTCAGCTCTGAAGGCTGTTAGCCCCCCGATCCCACTTTGCACTCTATTTCTCTGTCTGTGTCTTTATTCCTCTAGCACCGCTGGATTGGGATCTCCACAACCAAGCTAGTCTCAGCAAGCAGCACCCAAACTTGGGGCTCGAACCCGGATCGAAGGGTCGCCAGAGCGACGGTTGGAGAACGTGGAACTACACTGGAGGACACCCGAGTACTCTTAAGCAATCCCCGTGGTGAATAAAAAGGGGAGCTTAGAAGCATCAGGGTAAAAATAAGACAAGGGTCGAACAGGCATGAGGCTTATTTGAGTCTGCTTCAGCAGCTCCTCAGAAAAGGAGTGAAGGTTAGCACTAGCCGCCTTATGCGGCTTTTTAGTGCGGTAGAGAAATATTGTCCCTGGTTTCCGAACTGAGGAACTATGGATGTAGAGGTCTGGAAGAAGGTAGGCAGTGCACTCAAAAAGGCATATAAGGATAGTGCTGAGGATATTCCTGTAACTGTCTGGTCAGTGTGGGCTCTGATTCATTCCACCTTGGAACCTTTTCACACTGACAATGAGGAGGAAGGAGATGAAGGAGAGGAGTGTGATAATGTTGCGGAAGAGATAAAAGAACAGATCTGTCAACCACTTAAAGAGACCCAAGAAGGGGAAGCTTGTCCCTGCCCCTTGGCACCCCCTCAATACCTTGAAGATAATGGCCTGACCCTCTGGATCTTTCTTTTCCAGAGGACACTGGGCAAAAAGTAGTCACCCCAGTGGCTATTAGAACAGCGCCCTGAGCAACCACCCTCAGTTCTATTCAGGCAGGAATTCAGAAAGCTAGAAGAGAGGGTGATTTAGAGGCTTGGCAGTTCCCTGTTAGGATATACCCCCCAGATCAACAGGGGAATGTTATGGCTACATTTGAGCCTTTTCCCTCTAAATTACTCGAAGAGTTTAAACAGGCTGTCAATCAGTATGAACCAGGTCTATGCCTGAAGTGTAAAAAAGGAAAGCATTGGGCCAGGCACGGTGGCTCACACCTGTAATCCCAGCACTTTAGGAGGCTGAGGCGGGCGGATCACGAGGTCAGGAGATTGAGACCATCCTGGCTAACACAGTGAAACCCTGTCTCTACTAAAAATACAAAAAAAATAGCTGGGCGTGGTGGCGGGCGCCTGTAGTCCCAGCTACTCGGGAGGCTGAGGCTGGAAAATGGCGTGAACCCGGGAGGCGGAGCTTGCAGTGACTGAGATCGTGCCACTGCACTCCAGCCTGGGTGACAGAGCAAGAGGCTGCCTCGAAAAAAAAAAAAAAAAACAAGGAAAGCATTGGTCCAATCAGTGTCATTCTAAATTTGATAAAGACGGAAACCCGATTTCGGGAAATGCCATGAGAGGCCCGTCCTGGGCCCCGTTCCAAACCAGGGCATTCCCAGTTCAGGCCACTCCCTCACCCCTATACAATGCTTGTCCCCCGCCACAGCCAGTAATGCTGCAGTAGACTGTGTTGCACCAGGGCTGTGAGTGTGCCTGGAGAGCCGCCACAGAAAGTAGAAACAGGAGCCTGCGGACCCCTGCCAGAAGGAACGGTAGGACTACTTCTGGGAAGATCTAGTTTAAATTTAAAAGGGGTGCAGGTTCATACAGGAGTGATTGACTGGGATTGTAATGGGGAAATTCAAATCATTTTATCTACCTCTGTTCCTTGGAAGGCAGAACTGGGAGAGTGTATAGCACAGCTTCTGATTTTACTGTATGTGGGACTAGGAAAAAGTGAAACTAAAAGAACAGGGGGATTTTGCAGTACAAATAAACAAGGGAAAACCGCCTACTGGGTAAATCAAATTACGGATAAACATCCTACCTGTGAAAAAACTATTCAGGGAAAGAAATTTAAAGGTTTGGTAGATACAGGAGCAGACATTTCAATCATTTCTCTACAGCACTGGCCATCCACATGGCCAGTTCAACCCACTCAATTTAACATAGTTGGAGTTGGTAAAGCCCCTGAAGTATATCAAAGTAGTTATATTTTGCATTGTGAAGGGCCCAATGGACAACCTGGGACTATTCAACCAACTATAACTTCTGAACCTATAAATTTATGGGGGAGAGATTTATTACAACAATAGGGAGCACAAGTTTTAATTCCTGAGCAATTATACAGCCCTCAAAGTCAATCTATGATGCATGAAATGGGGTATGTCCCTGGTATGGGACTAGGAAAAAATTTGCAAGGTTTGAAGGAACCACTTCAAGCAGAAAGACAAAGTTCTTACCAAGGTTTAGGATACCATTTTGATGGTGGCCATTGTTAAGCCTCCAGATCCTATCCCGTTAAAATGGCTGACAGACAAGCCAATATGGATAGAACAGTGGCTGCTGAGTAAAGAGAAACTGGAGGCTTTAAATGAATTACTCAAAGAACAGCTTCAAAAGGGAATCCCCTTGGAATTCCCCAGTTTTCATAATTAAGAAAAAATCAGGTAAATGTAGAATGTTAACTGACTTAAGGGCCATTAATTCAGTTATACAACCTAGGGGGCATTACAGCCAGGACTGCCTTCTCCTGCTATGATTCCAAAAAATTGGCCTTTTGTTTGTTTTTTTGTTTCGAGATGGAGTCTCACTCTGTCGCCCAGGCTGGAGTGCAGTGGCAGGATCTCGGCTCACTGCAAGCTCCACCTCCCAGGTTCATGCCATTCTCCTGCCTCAACCTCCCGAGTAGCTGGGACTACAGGTGCCCACTGCCACGCCTGGCTAATTTTTTGTATTTTTAGTAGAGACGGGGTTTCACCATGTTAGCCAGGATGGTCTCAATCTCCTGACCTCGTGATCCACACGCCTCGGCCTCCCAAAGTGCTGGGATTACAGGCGTGAGCCACTGCGCCCGGCCAAAAACTGGCCTTTAATAGTCACAGATTTAAAAGACTGTTTCTTTACTATCTCCTTAGCTGAGCAGGACTGTGAACGGTTTGCATTTACGATTCCTGCGGTAAACAACCTGCAGCCTGCTAAGCATTTTCATTGGAAAGTGTTGCCACAAGGCATGTTAAACAGTCCAACAATTTGCCAGACGTATGTAGGGCAAGCAATTGAACCTACTCGTAAAAGATTTTCACAGTGTTACATTATTCATTATATGGATGATATTCTTTGTGCTGCCCCCACTCGGGAAATATTACTCCAATATTATGATCACTTGCAAAATTTGGTTTCTTGTGCCGGTTTAATTATAGCTCCTGGCAAAATTCAGACTACTACTCCTTACTCCTACTTGAGGACCTTAGTAAATGACACTACAATAGTGCCACAAAAGTAACCATGCATAAGGATCAATTAAAAACATTGAATGACTTTCAAAAATTACTAGGGGACATTAATTGCATACGGCCTGCTCTAGGCATTCCTACTTATGCCATGAGTAATCTGTTTTCTATCCTTAGAGGAGATCCTAGTCTCACAAGCCCTTGGCAATTAGCAAAAGAAGCTGAGGCAGAGCTGCAGCTAATTGAAAAGCAAGTCCATAAGGCCCAAATAAACAGATCCAGAGAAGACTCTAGATTTGCTAATTTTTCCAACTTATCATTCACCTACTGGTGTTACTGTTCAAGAGCAAGATCTTATGAAGTGGATTTTCCTTCCACATACTAATTCACTGACTTTGACTCCTTATTTGGATCAAATCGCTACTATGATAGGAAATGGGAGAACTCAGATTGTTAAATTACATGGATATGATCCTGGAAAAATTATTGTCCCTCTCACGAAGGCAGAAATACAGCAAGCTTTTATAAATAGTCTTACTTGGCAAACCCATTTATCTGACTTTGTGGGTATTCTAGATAACCATTTTCCTAACACAAAACTGTTTCAATTTTTGAAATTAACTAATTGGATTCTCCTTAAAATAACTAAATTCAATTAAAGGTGCTGAGAATGTCTTCACAGATAGGTCTAGTAATGGTAAAGCCTCTTATTCTGGATCAAAAGGTAAAGTTTTTCGGACGGCCTATACTTCAGCTCAAAAAGCAGAACTTGGCCGGGTGCGGTGGCTCACGCCTGTAATCCCAACACTTTGGGAGGCCGAGGCGGGCGGATCACGAGGTCAGGAGATCGAGATCATCCTGGCTAACAAGGTGAAACCCCGCCTCTACTAAAAATACAAAAAAATTAGCTGGTGCGGTGGCGGGTGCCTATAGTCCCAGCTAATTGGGAGGCTGAGGCAGGAGAATGGCATGAACCTGGCAGGCAGAGCTTGCAGTGAGCCGAGATCGCGCCACTGCACTCCAGCCTGGGTGAGAGAGCGAGACTTTGTCTCAGAGAAAAAAAAAAAAAAAAAACAAGCAGAACTTGTAGCTGTAATAGAGGTATTGACTGCTTTTAATATGCCTATTACTTCAGCTCAAAAAGCAGAGCTTATAGCTGTAATTGAGGTATTGACTGCTTTTAATATGCCTATTAAAGTGATTTCTGATTCTTCATATGTGGTTCATCCTACACAGTTGAAAATGCTCAGTTACGATTCCATACAGATGAGCAACTTGTGACTTTATTTACCCAATTGCAAACAGCTAGGAGTAAAATGCACCCTTTTTTACATCACTCACATTAAGGCTCATACACCTCTTTCAGGACCTTTGAATGCAGGGAATCAAATGGCTGATGGCCTAGTTGGTACTGCAATATCTAATGCTAGACACTTTCACAATTTAACCCATGTTAATGCCTCTGGTGTCAAACACAGATACAGCATTACCTGGAAAGAAGCTAAAGCTATTATCCAGTGATGCCCAACTTGCCAAATGGTGCATTCCTCATCTGTTTTTTTTTTCCTTTTGGGTATCTGGCCCTATTATGAGCCAGATACCCAGGAAGAGGTTTTGGGAGGATCCCGAAGAACCTGAGGAAGGCGGGACAACCAGTCACAATGAGTAATTTAATGATAGCTATGATAGCGGTGATCAGCATTGCCGTGAGTATTCCTTCAGCAAGGGCTGACACAGAGAACAATTCTACTATTGGGGCATATTTACCTTTTCCACCACTTCTATAGCCTGTAACTTGGCTGGATCCCCCATTGGAGGTATACACTAACGATAGCTCTTGGTTGCCCGGTCCTACAGATAATAAAGGCCCATCTCACCCACATGAAGAAGGAACTGTTATGAATATTTCTTTAGGATTTGAACATCGGCCTATCTGTTTGGGAAAGGACACTAGTTGCCTACCCCCTTGCTATCAATCTTGGCTGGCAATAATGCCTGGACATATCACTCTATGGCACAGTTACTCATGCTTTCTGGTCTCCACACTTACCATAATGAATCTGCTCCTGTAATTGAGGCATACCGCCCTCAAAAACCTATTTGTAAACAAGATTGGACCTGGTCAGAAAAAATGAATGTACTTGTTTGGGAAGATTGCATTGCAGAATAGGCAGAGGTGCTGCACAACGATTCCTATGGAATCATTATTGATTGGTCCCCTAAGGAGATGTTTAGCATAAACTGCACCTCTCAGTCTGTGTGCCATGGCCACACTATGTTCAGCTTGTCTGAACAGAACGATCAGATAGCAGAAATGATAAGAAGTACGGCAAGAGTTCCTATTATCTGGAAACATGGCAGTATAGTGGCACCTCAACCTCAAATGATATGGCCTGCTGTAGGAGCTAAACAAGGATTTGTGGAAACTATTAATGGCTCTTAATAAGATCAAGATTAAGGAAGGAAAATATACTATGCCATCACAATATAATCCTAATTACATTTTAGAACTTGTTGAAAACAATACAATTTGGATACAAAGTTGTGTTCACCCTCCTTTTCTGTTGGTAATGGGCAATCTAAAGGTTGACATCCCTAATTATTATGTAACTTGCCAGGAATGTAGATCGTTCTCTTGTGTGACCTCTAATACTAATCATTCTATCCTAGTAGTGAGAGCTCAAGGAGTATGGTTACCAGTGAAGTTTTCCCATCCTTGGGAAGCCTCTCCCTCTGTACATATTATTACTGAAATTCTTCAGAAAATTCTGAGACACTCTCGGTGTTTCATTGCTACTTTAATCTTAATTATTATGGGACTGATCACTGTCACAGCCTACTGGTGCAGCAGCTGGAGTTGCGCTACATTCATCAGTGCAGACAGCAGATTTTGTAACTAAACGGCAAAAGAATTCTACTATGCTGTGGAACTCTCAAACTAAAATAGACCAAAAGATAGTTAATCAAATCAATGATCACCCACAAACTGTAATGTGGCTAGGAGATAGTTAGTTTGGAATATACAATGCAGCTAAAATGCAACTGGAATACTTCTGACTTTTGTATCACTCCTCACCCTTATAATGAATCAGAGCATGAATAGAAAAAAATAAAAAAGCATCTAGAAGGACACTCTACAAACTTTGTCTTTGGATATTGCAAAATTAACAGAACAAATATTTAAAGCATCCCAGGAACACCTGACCTTAATGCCAGGAACTGGAGTGCTTAAAGGAGCTGCAGAAAGATGGGCAGCCATAAATCCTTCCAAATGGATAAAAACACTTGGAGGCTCTGTGATTTCTGTGATGGTTGTGCTATTAATCTGTGTTGTTTGTCTTTGTGTAGTCTGCAGATGCAAATCCCAACTCCTGGGTAAAGTAGCTCACCATTATAAAGCTGCCTTGGTTTTTATTGCCGTGCAAAAACAAAAAGGGGGACATGCAAGGAACAGTCCTCAAGACTGGTCATAAACAAGATCTCCACAGCACTGTGACATGCTCATGATGGCTATGATGCTCACGCTGGAGGTTGCTGGTTTACCGGAATGAGGACAAGGAACACCTGGCCCACCCAGGGTGGAAAACCACTCAAGGTGTTCCTAAACCACAAACAATGGCATGAGCGATCTATGCCTTAAGGACATGTTCCTGCTGCAGATAAAAAGCCAGACCCTGTCCCTTTGTTCTTCTGAAGAATACTTTTAGTTAATCTATAAACTGCAGAAACGATGTTTATCATGGGCTTACTGTCAATAAATAGGTGGGTCAAACTCTGTTTGAGGCTCTCAGCTCTGAAGGCTGTTAGCCCCCCAATACCACTTTGCACTCTACTTCTGTGTCTGTGTCTTTATTCCTCTAGCACTGCTGGGTTGGGGTCTCCATGACTGAGCTGGTCTCAGCAGGATTATAGGCATGTGCCATCATGCCCGGCTAATTTTGTATTTTTAGTAGAGACAGGGTTTCTCCATGTTGGTCAGGCTGGTCTTGAACTCCTGAACTCAGGTGATCTGCCCACCTTGGGCTCCCAAAGAGCTGGGATTACAGGTGTGAGCCACCGCGCCCGGCCAATCCTGACTTTTCTTTTCCCAACTCCCATAGCCTATTTGACCAGGCATCAGTCCCCATGACCTTCTCCTCACCTAAGAAGAAGGAACATACACTGCCAAAGCCTTCTACTAGCCCTACTTCATTTCTGAGAGGCATACCTCAGTGGCCCATCCTATTCAGTGATATTTTATTGTGATCCCTTGTGGCAGATAACACTGGTTGGCCCATTTAACACACACACCCAATCAAATTTTCCCTCGCCTTCCTCTAGTATGGAGGCAGGAAAGCATCATGCTCAATTTCCCAGCCTCATAACTTAACAGACATATGACATAAGTGTGGCCAATTAGACCTTTTTTTTTTTTTTTTTTTTTTTGAGACAGAGTCTCACTCTGTTACCCAGGCTGGAGTGCAGTGGCATCATCTCAGCTCACTACAACCTCTGCCTCCCAGGTTCAAGCAATTCTCCTGCCTCAGCCTTCAGAGTAGCTGGGATTACAGGCTCCTGCCATGCCTGGCTAATTTTTTGTATTTTTAGTAGAGATGGAGTTTCACCATGTTGCTCAGGCTGGTCTCAAACTCCTGACCTCAGGTGATCCACCTGCCTCAGCCTCCCAAAGTGCTGAGATTACAGGTGTGAGCCACCATGCCTGGACCAATGAGACTCTTTCCCCCACCGAGACAGAGTCTTGCTCTGTCACCGAGGCTGGGGTGCAGTGGCATGATCTTGAGTCACTGCAACGTCCGCCTCCTGGGTCCAAGTGATTCTTCTGCCTCAGCCTCCCGAGTAGCTGGGATTACAAGCACCCGCCACCATGCTAATTTTTGGGGTTTCACCATGTTGGCCAGGCTGGTCTCGAACTCTGGACCTCGTGATCTGCCCATCTCGACCTCCCATAGTGCTGGGATTACAGGCATGAGCCACCACGCATAGCCGCCAGTGAAACTTTTTTAAAGGCCCTTCCTTCATCTCCGATTCTTTCTTCCTGCTTGGATCTTGCAGAGGATGCAACCATTTTCTGACCATGATGTCAAAAGATCATGGTTTTTCATTTTCTGACCATGATGTCAAAAGACAAGCATGATGTCAAAAGATCATCTACTAGGAAGATGAAGCAGAAATCAAAGGCCCAAGTCTCAGACAGCCTTGCTGAGCCAAGCTCACCCAGGCTACCTACTTCCAAGCTTCTTGTTGGAATCTGTCCCTCATTTGTTCAAGTCATTTTTAGAAGACTTTCTACAATCTGCAACAAAACACCGCTCTAACCAAAATACCTAGCCAAGGACATTAGGCATTTATTGCCTCCTCATTTTTTCTGCTGTGAGCAAAACATTTGTCTTGCTAAGGGCTTGATTAGACCTTCTGGATTTGACAACACACTAAATACTTATTTTCAACACATTAACTCCCATGAGCTGGCTACACGATAGATATTTACAGAAAAAGTGTCAGGACTGCTGCTGCTTTACCTGCATCACGTCAAGTTTGGGATGCAGAAGCTTTGAGATGAGATGCAGAAGCTTCAACTAGGATTGCCTAGTTTTTAATTCATACTGATAAGATAGTGATAGGCACTCTTCCTGGATGAGGAAGTATTTCCTTACAGCATGCAGAAATCACAGAGGGGAAGATAAGAACTGTCACAGCTGTTCAAAGAATAGGTTGCTCTCAAAATGGGTATCTACAGTTATGGCCCTGAGAATGGGATGCCTTTCAATCACTTCTGAAAGGAAGTCTTGTGAAATGGAGACAATAAGCCACTATCACTGTTAACATCAATACAGGATTAGCTCAGAACTTAGAGGGGCAAATAATGACTAACATCATGTATATTTCAGAAGCAGGCAATCCCTGCCATTTGCTGAAGAAAGTTGCTGTGAGTCCCCAAAGAACCTGGATCCACCCAGGCCCCAGGTCTCTGTGGGCAGGGTTGGTGTGGAGGTGACGAAGCCCAGCAGAGGCCTCCCACTCCCAGGCTTTGTGGTGACAGGAGCTGGGATAGGGCTCCACTTTGCATCATGAGATAAAACATGTGTAGTGCTACCATTTAGCCCAGACTATACACATATACATATACGTTACCAAAAGCATCACAGAAACTGCAGCCTTGCCTGCTTCTCTCCTACTGATGGAAGAGGGGCTCAAGTGGCCCAGAATAATAAACAGGACCTGCACAAGAATCCAGGAAGGCCTATCTACACCCTCAGGTGCTTCCCCATCCCTGCTTAGCCACTCTACCCCATTGCCCACCCTCTCTCCCAACCTCTGAACCGCTCGTGTCCCAATCTGGAAAGCATCACTGAGTTTCTGCATTAATAGTGTCTTTCAGGTCTCCCAGCTGCTTTCAAGTTGATTACAGACTCTGTGGCCTCTGAAATATTAACTTTTAAAAGATAAAAGCCACTTCAGGGATACAATTCACATAAATGTAGTTTTACTAAGAAGCATTTCTAGGCTGTTAGAAATTTTAAAGACACAAACTGTTCAACTTTAAGACTGTGAATTCCCTTTTCTTCAGCACAGAAGGAAGGTTTCAGGTTATATCTGGGTGGAGGTGACCGCTCCTCAGCAGGACTGCAGTATATGTTCACAAGGCCATTGCCTTAGAAACCAAATGTAAAGTTTGCAACTCTTAAGAAATCTCAACTGAGGCTGTAGGTCAGCAGCTCTGATCTCTACGTGGGAGGGTCACCCGACTTCTGCTTCTAGGAGCTGGCCACCTTCTTCACACTAAGCCATCCATTACTGTACCATTGACCCATGGCATCCTGGAGGTTTTCTCAGTGTGACCAGGCAGAACAAGCGAGGTCCATCTGCACAGGCTATCTGGCTTTTCCAGGGACTTTGCACACTGACACAACAACCTAACCCCATTCTAGACAAGAACTCAGATTCTCTTGGGTTTCAGTCTAGAAAAGGAGCTCCAACATCTCTTTTAAATACACTTGCTTCCTGCCTTATTGCTTTTCTAGCCCCTTCTTCCTTTTTAGGCACCTAAGACTGATGTTCTCCACTTATGAGACATCCCCTCTCCCAAGTGCCCCACAGCCAGTTCTCCTGCTCCTACCAGGCTTTCTCACCTGAAGCTCCCTTCACCAACCCTCATGCCCAGGCCACCTCCTCCCTTTCCCACCACCACCTCAGGCTCCAGCCTGGCAGCCCAGTGCATGGTGCCTCAGCTCTAATTTAGGGGGCAAAGCCAATTCTCATGAGCCTGGAGCAGCATGGACTGCTGGGTCACCACTCCACACCCATCCTGCTTCTAATGTGACCCAAAGGAGCAGTCAGTAGCAAGAGAAACAGAATCTTTGTCTTTTAAGAATTGGGTTTAGGATAAATGTCACTGCAAACTTGGGATCCTTAGCTAAGTTATTTTACAACTGTATAGTGAGAGACTCCAGAAAGATTTACCTAACTCTGAGCGTGTGTTTACATCTGAAGGGAAAATGAGGCCCAGGACCTTGGAGACATGCCTAGGACATAAAAACTGGAGCCACCAGAGCTGACCTGGCTCCCAGAAAGATGTATATTCCAGAAGGTTAAATAGAGAACCCGGGATCCTTCCATTTTGTCTCCAGGCAGCAAAGATGCTTCCTCCCTCCTTTCAGGAGGGGAGGGAAGCAGTTGCCTTTTTCTCCTTCATGTAAACAAAGAAATTCCATTTTTCTCTGTCCCTCACCTATGAAGTGTCTGACCACTACGGCTGGAGATTTTTCCATCTTTCATCATACCACCCTGGGGTAAGCCCTGGGGTAGGGAGTGCCTATGTAGTTATAATTATTTGCATATTATTTTTTTCTCTTACTCTGTAAATAACAAATGCTTCTGATGCAGAAGACACCATGTTTGCATTCAAAATAAAATTAATAAAGATGACTATTAAAATCCCAACAGTTATGGCAACAAAGATGATAGGGTCCTACTTGTCACCTGGTTTACTGGAAGAGACAGACAAGGGCCTGTAGTTGGTTAGGAGGATTGGAGCAATATCTATGGGAACCAGCACAGACCTACTGAAAGGACTGGAAAATGTGTTAGCCAGGGATCAGGAGGTAGGCTTGGAAAATGCTGCCAGAATGGCACCTTTGGATTTTGCTGTCCTCCCCAGGTGGGAGGGGAAGGGACCTGGAAATTCTTAGAGATGAGCTTTAGGTGGAACGAGAGAAGTTTCTGTCGCTGTCTCCTTGCAGTGAGAGGGAGAGGGTTCTTGAGGCTCCCTCAGCCAGAGTGGGTCTATGAGGGCTGCAGGGCCACGCTGCAGCAAGGAGGAGGGTGTCTGGCCTACTGACTTGGAGACACTTTTCTGTTCTCCTCTAATCCTTAGTTCCCTTCCTACCCCAGCTGATCTTCCTGTCTCAGGAGGTACTGCACTAGTCCCCTACACAGGGGAAACAACAGTGTAGGGGAGAGATTTGAATGTTGATAGTTGTGTCAGGTACTAGCACCCTCGTGCCCACGTGGGAGACGGATGCTGAGGAATGCAGACAGAAACCTCTGTGAGCAGCAGAAACAGTCCTGGAGACTTCTCTCCTAGGGTCCAAACGGGGAGAAGGAGAAGGAGAGCTCTCATACGCCATGCTGTCACCTGCATTCTGCCTCCCTTTTTGCATTTCCTCCAAGCAGGGAGGAAATAGCTTCTCCCTGCAGCTGCAATTTTATCCCTGTAAATGCTGAATTTAACTGTTAGGGTTTGAGCAAAACTTTGGAAAAAAAGAGGAGTTTAAAAACAGCTTTGGTCCAGGTGCAGTGGCTCACACCTCTAATCCCAGCACGTGACCCGTCTTTAGCTGAACTAAGGAGGAAGTCCTAAAACATGAGGAGAGCATTTTGCCCTGCTCTCCCAACCTGCTACCCTGTGCCCTCTTCCTGACTGCTCTTCTGGGTGCAGTGAGCACTCTGAATTCAGACTGACTGCTGAGTACACCATTTCTGACTGACAGCTCTGGTCACAGACAGTAGGGGATGGTCCCAGCTCACATACGGTCCACACATAACATCTTGCACACCTCCAGATGTCATAACACAGCAGGACAGATGAATTGGGCAGGACTGCTTAAAACTGCCCCCAGGAAGTCCCTCTGAAAACAAGAACTGACCTGAATTATTTGGGCTGAATTGGGAGGGGCCCCCAAGTTTATCAGCTGATGGGAGATGAGAGGACACATTAAGAGTCTTTTTTTGTTTTTTTTTTCCTTTTTTTAGCCAGGTGCAGTGACTTACGCCTATAATCCTGCCATTTTGGGAGGCTGAGGTGGGAGGATCACTTAAGCCCAGGAGTTAGAGACCAGCCTGGGTAATATAATGAGATCCCATCACTACAAAAAATTTAAAAATTTAAAAATTAGCCTGGCTTGGTGGTGTACATCTGAGGTCCCAGCTATGTGAGGCTGAGGCGGGAGGATCGCTTAAGCTGGGGAGGTCGAGGCCGCAGTGAACTGAGATCATGCCACTGCACTCCAGCCTGGGTGATACAGCGAGACCCAGTCTCAAAAAACAAGTCTTTAAGAGTTAAAAAAATTTTTTTGGCCAGGCACCGTGGCTCATGCCTATAATCTCAGCACTTTGGGAGGCCAAGGCGGGAGGATCACCTGAGGTCAGGAGTTCAAGGCCAGTCTGACCAACATGGCAAAACCTCGTCTGTACTAAAAATACAAAAATTAGCTGGGTGTGGTGGTGCATGCCTGTAGTCCCAGCTACTCGGGAGGCTGAGGCAGGAGAATTGCTTGAACCCAGGAGACGGAGGTTGCAGTGAGCCAAGATCACGCCACTGCACTCCAGCCTGGGTGACAGAGCAAGACTATCTCAAAAAAAAAAAAAAAATTTTTTTTTAAGAAACAGTCTTTCTGTCACCCAGGCTGGAGTGCAGTGGTGTGATCACAGCTCACTATAACCTCAAACTCCTAGGTTCAAGGGATCCTCTCACCTCAGCATCCCAAGTAGCTGCATCTCCAGTACCTGGGACCACAGGCATGCACCACCATGCTTAGCTAATTTTAAAATTTTTTGTAGAGATAGTCTGGCTATGTTGCCCAGGCTGGTCTCCAACTCAAGCAATCCTCCTCCCTAGGCATTAGGAGCCTTATCTACTGTGCATGCCTAGAAGGTAATGTCTTACTTGGTAGCCCTAACAACTGTAAACTCTTTGTTACCAGGGGTGCCATGTGTGCCCTCTGGGGTCATGCATATGAAAGGTAGGCATTAATTTATCTCTGGTAAAAAACACTGGCTTATACCTAGAGGTGGTTCAAGTCTTTGAGAAAACACCCCAGGTAGATCAAGTAGCCCTCAGACATGCACTCTGTGGGCAGCATACCTGTAGTGAGTTATGCCATTGGAAAGGTGGTATGGGCCAGGTGGAGTGGCTCACACCTGTAACCCCAGCACTTTAAGAGGCCAAGGTGGGCAGATTCCTTGAGTTCAGGAGTTCAAGATCAGCCTGGACAACATGGTGAAACCCAATCTCTACTAAAAATAACAAAAATTAGCCAGGCGTGGTGGCATGCACCTGTAGTCCCAGCTACTCGGGAGGCTGAGGTGGGAGGATCACCTGAGCCCAGAGAGGTCAAGGCTGCATGCAGTGAGCCGTGATTGCACCAATAGACTCCAGCCTGGGTGACAGAAAGAGACCTTGTCTCAAAAGACAAAAAACGGGCTGGGCACAGTGGCTCACACCTGTAATCCCAGCACTTTAGGAGGCTAAGGCGGGTGGATCACCTGAAGTCAGGAGTTCGAGATCAGCCTGACCAACATGGTGAAACTCCTTCTCTACTAAAAATATGAAATTAGCCCAGCGTGGTGGCGCATGCCTGTAATCCCAGCTACTTGGGAGGATGAGACAGGGGAATCACTTGAACCTGGGAGGCGAAGGTTGCAGTGAGCTGATATTGTGCCACAGCACTCCAGCCTGGGCAACAAGAGTGAAACTCTGTCTAAAAAGAAAAAGAAAAAAAAAAAGAAAAAGGCTGGGCGCGGTGGCTCACACTTGTGATCCCAGCACTTTGGGAGGCCAAGACAGGCATATCACCTGAGGTCGGGAGTTTGAGACCACCCTGACCAACATGGAAAAACCCTGGCTCTACTAAAAATACAAAATTAGCCACGCATGGTGGCTGATGCCTGTAATCCGAGATACTTGGGAGGCTGAGGCAGGAGAATCACTTGAACCCAGGAGGCGGAGGTTGCAGTGAGCCGAGATCATGCCATTGCACTCCAGCCTGGCAGCAAGAGTGAAACTCCGTCTCAAAAAACAAAAAACAAAAAACAAAAAAAAAATGAAAGGTAAGAAAGGTGGTATGAAATTTGTTCCATACTTTAATTGAAGTGACTTATGACCCTGACTCAGCCTGAAAAGCCCTGCCATTCAGGTCAGTTTCAAATCACTGGCCAATTATACAGAAGACAGAATTTGCTACAGATTTCTCCCTTGCAGGCCATGACAAAGTCTTACCAAATTAATAATACACCCAGCTATATGTCTTGAGCCAGGTTAATTCAGAAACTTGAGAGTCACCAGCCTTTCTAAAGTAAACCTTTATGGTAAATGAGATTTGTTCAACTGACTAAAACCAGAAGCCTTGGAGGGTGAGCTAAGACCACACAGTGGGGTTGATCTCATCCTGCCCTCGCGAGTTCTGCAGGCAATAGCTGAATAAGTGCTGCTTAAGGCGAACCCAGCGGATTGGGTCCTAGCACCTGCTGATCACATTAAAACAAAATGACCGGCCGGGCACAGTGGCTCACGCCTGTAATCCCAGAGCTTTGGGAGGCCGAGGCGGGTGGATCACCTGAGGTCAGGAGTTTGAGACCAGCCTGGCTAACATGGTGAAACCCCGTTTCTACTAAAAATAACAAAAAATTAGCTGGGCATGGTGGCGCATGCCTGTAATCCCAGCTACTCGGGAGGCTGAGGCAGGAGAATCGCTTGAACCCAGGAGGTGAAGGTTGCAGTGAGCCAAGATTGCACCATTGAACTCCAGCCTGGGTGACAAGAGCGGAACTCTGTCTCCAAAAAAAAAAAAGAAGTGTTTCCCAGTCACACAGGTAGTAAGAAATATACTCAGACAACTGCCAAGTAAGGCTTCCCTATGACAAGTAAGTCTGACTTCACTTTCAATACAAAATGAACCTAACACCACCATCTCACATATGAATTCTGATTCTGAGTGACAGAGCGAGACTCCATCTCAAAAAAAAAATTAGCCAGGCATGGTGGCATGTGCCTGTAGTCCCAGTTACTCAGGAGGCTGAGGCAGGAATATCTCTTGAGCCCAGGAGCTGAGGCTGCAGTGAGCTATGATCGTGAGACTGCGCTACAGCCTGGGCAATAGATTGAGACCCTGTCTTGGAGAAAAAAAAAAAAGACAAAAAAATCTTAAAAGCAGTAAGAGGGCCAGGCGCGGTGGCTCATGCCTGTAATCCCAGCACTTTGGGAGGCCGAGGCTGGTGGATCATGAGGTCAGGAGATCAAGACCATCCTGGCTAACAAGGTGAAACCCCGTCTCTACTAAAAATACAAAAAATTAGCCGGGTGCGGTGGCGGGCGCCTGTAGTCCCAGCTACTCGGGAGGCTGAGGCAGGAGAATGGCGTGAACCCGGGAAGCGGAGCTTGCAGTGAGCCGAGATTGCGCCACTGCAGTCCACAGTCCGGCCTGGGCGACAGAGCGAGACTCCGTCTCAAAAAAAAAAAAAAAAAAAAGCAGTAAGAGAAAAACTTAAACTCATACAGGCAAATCACAATAAGATTAACAGCTGACTTCTCATCAGAAACAACAGAGGTCAGAAGACAGTGAGATAACATATTTATTTATTTTTGAGAGGGAGTCTCACTCTGTCGCCCAGGCTGGAGTGCGGTGGCACAATCTCGGCTCCCTGCAACCTCCACATCCCAGGTTCAAGCGTTTCTGCTACCTCAGCCTCCCAAGTAGCTGGCATTACAGGCATTCACCACCACGCCTGGCTAATTTTTGTATTTTTAGTAGAAATGGGGTTTCACCATGTTGGCCAGGTTGGTCTCGAACTCCTGAACTCAGGTGATCTGCCCGCCTCGGCCTTCCAAAGTGCTGGGATTACAGGCGTGAGCCAACACGCCCGGCTGTTTGTTTTTAAGACAAGAGTCTCGCTCTGTTGCCTAGGCTGGAGTACAGTGGTGCAATCTCAGTTCACTACAACCTCCACCTCCTGGGTTCAAGCAATTCTTCTGCCTGAGCCTCCCAAGTAACTGGGATTACAGGTGCACACCACCACACCCAGCTAACTTTTGTATTTTTAATAGAGACAGGGTTTCACCATGTTGGCTAGGCTGGTCTTGAACTCCTGACCTCAAATGATCCACCTGCCTCAGCCTCCCAAAGTGCTGGGATTACAGGTGTGAGCCACTGTGCCCAGCAAATAGATGTACATATTTTGGGGGGTACATGTGGTAATCTGGTACATTCATACATTCATATAGTGCATAAAGACCATATCAGGGTAATTAGGATATCCATCACCTTAAATATTTATAAGTTTAATGATTTTTTTTACTACCACAATTGGATCATAATTATATTAGAAAGTGAATTAAAACACAATTAAGTTTACTCTTAGAACACTCAACTTCCTAGAATCTCCCTTTCTCCACTCTTTTTTCTTTTTTTTTTTTTTTTTAGAAAGTCTCACTCTGTAGCCCAGGCTGGAGTGCAGTGATACAATGACAGCTCACTGCAACCTTGACCTCCCAGGCTCAAGCAACCCTCCCACCTCAGCCTCCTGAGTAGCTGGGACCAAAGGTGTACACAACACACCTTGCTAATTTATTGTTTGTGGAGATAGGCTCCTCCCTATGTTGCCCAGGCTGGTCTCTAACTCCTGGGCTCAAGTGATCCTCCCCTCAGCTTCCCAAAGTGTTGGAATTACAGGTGTGAGCCACCGCACCTGGCCTCTCTTGCTTTTTTTGTGTTTGTTTGCTTTTTGCTGGTTTTTTAATTTTTTTCTTGAGACACGGTCTCGCTCTGTCACCCAGGCTGGGGTGCAGTGGCTCGATCTCGGCTCACTGCAGCCTTGATCTCACGGGCTCAAGCAATCCTCCCACCTCAGCCTCCCAAGTAGCTGGGACTACAGCTGAACGCCACCATGCCCAGCTAATTTTTGTATTTTTTGTGGAGACAGGATTTCACCAAGTTGCCCAGGCTGGTCTTGAACTCCTGAGCTCATGCAATCCACCTGCCTTGGCCTCCCAGTGCTGGGATTACAGGCGTGAGCCACTGTGCCCAGCCAAATGTTTAAAAGTGTATCTAAATCAACTTGTGCACCACCACAATGACCACCACAATAATATACATGCCACACTTTGGGAAATATTGCCCTAATCCATTGTGTGGGATGAAAGTGTGTGAATGGAAATAGAAGGCACTGTCTTTGCAAAGTGCCCTGGTTTGATAACCAGGCTTCCTTCTGAAAAGGATGTCTTCAACTATTTTATGCACTTTGTGCTGAAGGCCCATCAAGTAACCAATGAGCTCTACAGCACTTTAAGTTGGAAAGTGTTTAAGGTGGGAGGGAGGGGAGCTCTTTTTATTACCAAGGCTTTCAACCAGCAAATATAACTATGGCCAACTGCAGGGCTAGAGAAATAAGCTTCGGTTTAAAAACAAAAAACATTCTGGGTGCAGTGGCTGATGCCTGTAATCCCAGCACTTTGGGAGGCCGAGGCAGGCAGATCATGAGGTCAGGAGATCCAGATCATCCTGGCTAACATGGTGAAACCCCATCTCTACCAAAAATACAAAAAATTAGCCAAGCGTGGTGGCCTGTAGTCCCAGCTACTCAGGAGGCAGAGGCAAGAGAATCACTTGAGCCCGGGAGGTGGAGGTTGTAGTGAGCCGAGCTCACACCACTGGACTCCAGCCTGGGCAACAGCAAGACTCCATCTCAAAACAAAAACAAAAACAAAAAACACAGCTCTGGGCTTTCTGAAAAGCCCCATCCCCAAATGCTATTGCTTTCCAGGTACTGGCCATTTTACATGACCCACAATTACCATTTAAAGGGCAAGCCGTATCTTTCTTAGGGTTGTGAAGAGTCAGATGAATGGTAAGTTTAGGAGAAGAGGATTCGGAAAAATGCTGTGATAAAAAATCAATAAACACAAAAACTCCTCCTTGCAGGTAATTTTTCAACCTGTATTGCAACAGAAATCAAAATCTAGAACAAGGATGAAAGAACAATCATGAGAGGAATTTGAGTAACATATCTCACCCTGTAAGCTTCCACCCTTACTAGCTTTCTGTGTACAAGCGCTTGGCCCAATCAGATGGGAGAGGCCTTGTGCACAAGGCCGGGCAGGAGGTGCCCTGAGCTCCCTGGGTCCTCCCCAGCATGATCCACAGATGAACCTCCCCTGGTTGAGGGCTCCTTCCACAGCTCCCTGAGACTGAAACTCCCTCTCTCAGATGGGCAGAAATCACAACTGTCCATTTTTCAAAGCATAATTTTCATCCTGTATAAATTAAAAATAATATGAGCCATTCCATACTATTAAGAAATGGTAATTTATAAATTAAATAATCGGAAGAGTTCGGGAATTACTGGCCTAAGAGAATCACTCAGTGATTCAATGGGTTGAGAACAGTACATCACAGCATGGAACACATCTATGCCACAGACTGTAGCTAAAGTTCAGAGACTGGAAGGAGCTGGCCAGTTAGGGGAGAAGTTAGGACTGGAATCCAGGTCTCATGGACACACAGGGCCAATAATGCCTGGTTGAACCTGAAAAAGCAAAGCCTGAGCTACAAGAATGTAGTCCTAATTCAGAAGAAAGTTGTTCCTGTGTGTTAATACCATGGTGATTTTTCAGCACATGAAATCAAGATGGCCGAAGGATATGCTCCAGAGTGACAGAATGAGGCCTCCAGGACAGCCTGAGATGCCAGACGTGGGTCCCATGCCTGGCTTGGCACCCTATGAGTTCCACAATAATAATTAACTGCTAACGTTGTCAGGCACGGTGGCTCATGCCTGTAATTCCAGCACTTTGGGAGCCCAAGGCAACAGGATTGCTTGAGCCCAGGAGTTTGAGACCAGCCTGGGAAACACAGCAAGAACTCAACTCTACAGGAAAATTTTTTAAAAAATTAGCCAGGCATGGTAGCAAGAGTGTGTAGTCCTAGCTACTTGGATGGCTGAGGCAGGAGAATCACACGTGCCTAGGAACTTGAGGTTACAGTGAGCTATGATCATGCCACTATACTCCAGCCTGGGAGACAGAGTGAGACTGTCTCAAAAAACAAAACAAAACAAACAAACTGCTCACATTCACTGATAGCTCACTGTGTGCTGGGCCCTCTCCTAAGTGCTTTATATGTATTGTTTCATTTAATCCTTGCAACCACACTATGAAATTGGTAGTATTATCATCTGTTTCACAGATCGGGAAGCAGAGGCATGAAAGGTTAAGCAAACTGCCCGTCATCTCATATCTGAAGGCCCTCCTCCCCCTTCTTAAATATCTAACCTGACCAGTGGCATTGCAGCTCCAAGCAGTAGCATGGAAAGCCCACACAAAAGCTGGGTGGAAAGGTGAAAGGTCTTGCAGGCCACTGGGCTTAGGTGGCAGGGAGTAGTACAGCTGGGTTGTGCCTGACCTGGCTGAGGTCTGGGTGGAATTAGCATCTTCCAGTTATGATCCATTAGCAGGGACTAAGGGCCAGGCTCCTTGCCTCTGCCCTGAAGGAGACATGGGAAGGAAAATGCCAGATGTGTTTTCCAGGTGTGTCCTCAGGGCAACAGGACCTAGTGTCCCTCACTATCTCCCACCTGGCACCCAGGTCAGGGCTGGCCCAGCATGGTTCTTGATCAACAACTAAAGGAAAGGACTTGATCTATTCCAAGCAAGATGGAGGCAGGAGAAGAGAAGACTTAAAAATACTTCTATTGGCCAGGCACAGTGGCTCACGCCTGTAATCCCAGGACTCTGAGAGGCCGAGGCGGGCAGATCACCTGAGGTCGGGAGTTTGAGACCAGCCTGACCAACATGGAGAAACCCCGTCTCTACTAAAAATACAAAATTAGCCAGGCTTGGTGGTGCATGCCTGTAATCCCAGCTACTTGGGAGGCTGAGGCAGGAGAACTGCTTAAACCCAGGAGGTGGAGGTTTCGGTAGTTGAGATCATGCTATTATTGCACTCCAGCCTGGGCAACAAGAGCGAAACTCCGTCTCAAAAAACAAAACAAAACAAAAAAAAAACTTCTACCTTCCAGCGGTGCAGTGGCTCATGCCTGTAATCCCAGCACTTTGGGAAGCCGAGGCAGGTGGATCACTTGAGGTCAGGAATTCGAGATGAGCCCAGCCAACATAGTGAAATCCCATCTCTACTAAAAATACAAAAATTAGCCGGGCGTGGTGGTGCACGCCTGTGATCCCAGCTACTTGAGAGCCTGAGGTAGGAGAAACGCTTGAACCTGGGAGGCGGAGGTTGCAACGAGCTGAGAGCGTGCCATTGCACTCCAGCCTGGGCAACACAGTGATCTCGAGAAAAACAAAACAAAACAAAACAAAACCTTCTACCTTCCAATCCCCAAATCCACCCGTGACCCAACAAAACAAACTCCCCCACAACCCAAGCCACCATAATAACATGTGTCTGCTGATGCTCTTTAAACTTATACTGGGGTCATCTTTTGTTGCTGTTCAAAATATTTTTTCCCCTCAGTTGATACAGATGTTCTAATTCTCCTCAAGGGATTTTGTTCCTTTTTGATCCTCAGTGCCACTGTGCCTCTGGAGAATTTAAATGAGTCTACTGAGGTTTCCATTTTCTGGCTTTTTCAAGCACCTGAATTCCTTATTCCTTGGTATCTGGAAGGCATTTTGTTTCACAGAAGGTGTTCAAAGACTCAGGAACTCCAAGGTCAAAAGGTACATTTGTAACAGAATTAGAAACCAAGATTTACTAGAGAGATATACTGCTTCCATAGCTCAGGAGACCCAATATTGATTGTTAAGATGTGAATTCTCCCGAAATTAATCTATAGATTTAACATAATCCTTTTCTTTTTAATTGGAACCCTTCATTAATTTGTATGTCACCCTTGCACAGGGGCCATGCTAATCTTCTCTATATCGTTTGAATTTTAGTATATGTGCTGCCAAAACAAGCACTAACACAATCCTAATAAAAACCTAAGCAGAATTTTTTTTAGAAATAGACAAGTTGATTCTAAAGTTTACATGGAAAAAGCAAAGGACCAATAATAACCAAATAAAAAGAAACAAACTTGAAGGACTCAGAATATCTGACTTCTATACAGCTACAGTAATGAAAACACTGTAGTATTGGAGAAAGCATAGGGGTATCGATCAAGAAAAAAGAACAGTCTAGAAATAGACACACACATGTGGTCAATTGCTATTTGACAAAAAGCCAGGGTTATCCAATGGAGAAAGGACAGTCTTTTCAACAAGGGAGTTCCTGAAGAATTGGACATCCATATGCAAAAAATAATAATCAACCTCTGGCCAAGAGTGGTAGCTCATGCCTGTAATCCCAGGACTTTGGGGGGCCGGGGCAGGTGGATCAACTGAGGTCAGGAGTTCAAGACCAGCCTGGCCAACATGGTGAAATCCCATCCCTACTAAAAATACAAAAAACATTAGCCAGGTCTGGTGGTGCATGCCTGTACTCCCAGCTATTCAGGAGGCTGAGGCAGGAGAATAGCTTGAACCCAGGAGGCAGAGGTTGCAGTGAGCTGAGATCACACCACTGCACTCCAGCCTGGGTGACAGAGCGAGACTCCGTCTCAAATAATAATAATAATAATAATAATAATAATAATAATAATAATAAAAACCTCAAGCCATAACTTGTACCACATACAAAAATTAACATGAAATGCATTATAGATTTAAATGTTAAATCTCAAAATAGAGGTGGGCACAGTGGCTCACACTTGTAATCCCAGCACTCAGGGAGGCTGAGGTGGGAGGATCACTTGAGCCCAGGAGTTCGAGACCAGCCTGGGCAATATGGCGAAATCCCATCTCTACTAAAAATACAAAAATTGGGGCTGGGTGCGGTGGGTCACACCTATAATCCCAGCACTTTGGCAGGCCGAGGCGGGTAGATCACCTGAAGTTAGGAGTTCAAGACCAGCCTGGCCAAGATGGTGAAGCCCCGTCTCTACTAAAAATACAAAAATTAGCCAGGCGTGGTGGCATGCGCCTATAATCCCAGATACTCGGGAGGCTGAGACAGAAGAATCGCTTGAACCCAGGAGGTGGAGGTTGCATTGAGCCAAGATCTTGCCACTGCACTCCAGCCTGGGCAACAAGAGCGAAAATCCATCCAAAAAAAATAAAAATAAAAATAAAAATAAAAAAATTAGCCAGGTGTTGCCGGGCGCGGTGGCTCATGCCTGTAATTCCAGCACTTTGGGAGGCCGAGGCAGGTGGATCACGAGGTCAGGAGATCGAGACCATCCTGGCTAACATGGTGAAACCCTGTCTCTACTAAAAATACAAAAAAATTAGCCGGGCATGGTGGCAGGCGCCTGTAGTCCCAGCTACTCAGGAGGCTGAGGCAGGAGAATGGCGTGAACCTGGGAGGCAGAGGTTGCAGTGAGCCAAGATGGCGCCACTGCACTCCAGCCTGGGTGACAGAGCAAGATTCCATCTCAAAAAAAAAAAAAAAAAAAATTAGCCAGCTGTTGTGGTGCGCAACTGTAGTCCCAGCTACTTGGGGGTGCTGAGGCAGGAGGATCACCTGAGCCTTGGGAGGTTGAGGCTGCAGTGAGCTGTGATCGCACCACTGCACTTCAGCTCGGGTGATAGAGCGAGACTCCATCTTGAAGAAAAAAGAATTAAAACATTCAAAAGACACTGGTAAGAAATTAAAAAGACAAGCTGGCCAGGCACTGTCGCTCACACCTATAATCCCAGCACTCTGGGAGGCCGAGGAGGGTGGATCAATGGAGGTCAGGAGTTCAAGACCAGCCTGGCCAACATGTCAAAACTCTGTCTCTACTAAAAATACAAAAATTAGCTGGGCGTGGTGGTGTGCACCTGTAGTCTCAGCTACTTGGGAGGCTGAGGCCGGAGAATCAATTGAAAGTGGGAGGTGGAGGTTACAATGAGGTGAGATCGCACCACTGCACTCCAGCCTGGGTGACAAAGTGAGACTCCATCTCAAAAATAAATAAATATTAAAAAATAAAAAGACAAGCCACAGTCTGGGAAAAAACATTTGCAAAACACACATCTGACAAAGGACTTGTATCTAAAATATATGAAGAAATCCTACAATTTAATAAGGAAAAAAACTTTTTTCATGGGCAAAACATTTCGACAGACACTTATTAAAGAAGATACAGGCGAGGCATGGTGGCTCATGCCTATAATCGCAGTGCTTTGGGAGGCTGAGGCCAGTGGATCACCTGAGGTCAGGAGTTCAAGACCAACCTGGCCAACATGGTGAAACCCGATCTCTACTAAAAATACAAAAATGTGCTGGGTGTAGTGGCAGATACCTGTAATCCCAACTACTCAGGAGGCTGAGCCAGGAGGATCACTTGAACCCAGGAGACAGAGGTTGCAGTGAGCCAAGATCACGCCATTGCACTCCAGTGTGGGTGACAAGGGTGACATTCTATCTCAAAAAAAAAAAAAAAAAAAAAGAAGATCCAGACATAGCAAACAAGCACACATGAAAAGATGCTCAACTCACTAGTCATTAGGGAAATACAAATTAAAGTCACAATGAACTACCACTATCCAACAATTTTTTTTTTTTTGAGACAGATTCTTGCTGTCTCCCAGGCTGGAGTGCAGTGGCGCGATCTCGACTCACTGCAAGCTCCGCCTCCCGGGCTCATGCCATTCTCCAGCCTCAGGCTCCCAAGTAGCTGGGACTACAGGCGCCCACCACCACGCCTGGCTAATTTTTTGTATTTTTAGTAGAGACAGGGCTTCACCGTGTTAGCCAGGATGGTCTCGATCTCCTGACCTTGTGATCCACCCGCCTCGGCCTCCCAAAGTGCTGGGATTACAGGCGTGAGCCATGGCGCCCGGCCCACTATCCAACTATTAGTCCAGCCAAAAATAATAAAATAGGCCGGGCACAGTGGCTCACACCTGTAATCCCAGCACTTTGGGATGCTGAGGTGGTTGGATCATCTGAGGTCAAGGAGTTCAAGACAAGCTTGGCCAACATGGTGAAACTCTGTCTCTACTTAAAATACAAAAAATTAGCTGGGCGTGATGATGGGCACCTGTAATCCCAACTACTTTGGAGGCTGAGGTAGGAAAATCGCTTGAACCCGGAAGGCAGAGGTTGCAGGGAGGCAGAGGTTGCAGTGAGCCGAGGTCGCTCCATTGCACTCCAGCCAGGGCAACAAGAGTGAAATTCCATCACAACAACAACAACAACAAAAAAACCGGTAACAAAAATAATAACATACTGATAATATCAAATGAACTGGAATTCTCATACATTGATGGCACGATTGCAAAGTGGTACAATCATTTTGAAAAGCAGCCCTCCAATTCACACCTGGTTATTCACCCAAAAGAAATGAAAACATGTCCACAGACCTGTTGATGAATGTTATTATAGTTCTATTCAAAATCACCAAAATCTCACCTAGGTACAGTGGCTCACGGCTATAATCCCAGCACTTTGGGAGGCCAAGACGGGAGGATTGCTTGAGACCAGGAGTTCGGGACCAGTCTGGGGAACAGAGTGAGACCCCATCACTACAAAAAAAAGTAGCTGGTGTGGTGGCCCACGCCTACAGTCCCAGCTATTCAGGAGGCTGAGGCAGAAGGATGGCTTGAGTCCAGGAGTCTGAGGTTGTAGTGAGCTGTGATTGCACCACTGCACTCCAGCATGGGTGACAGAGTGAGACTCTGTTTCAAAAAATTAAAATATAAAAATATAATTTATAAGTAATTACCATTATGTAGTACCAGTCAGCCATGCGTTGCCAGACCCTACATCTCCCTTCCATCAAATGAATACAGTCACAGCTGATGGCTTTAGACTCGGGGAGTCAAAGGCTCGTTTGGTTTACAAAGAATTTCACAAGGGACCTCCTAATCCTTAATGAACTGCTAAAGAAATGGCACAGAGCCGGCCAGGCGCAGTGGCTCACACCTGTAATCCCAGCACTTTGGGAGGCCAAGGCAGGTGAATCACGAGGTCAGGAGTTCAAGATCAGCCTGGCCGAGATGGTGAAATTCCATCTCTACTAAAAATACAAAAAATGAGCCAGGTGTGGTGGCGGGTACCCATGATCCCCGCTACTCGGGAGGCTGAGGCAGAGAACTGCTTGAACCCGGGAGGCGGAGGTTGCAGTGAACCGAGATCGTGCCACTGGACTCCAGCCTGGGTGACAGAGCAAGACTCCATCTCAAAAAAAAAAAAAAAAAAAAAAGAAATGGTACAGAGCCATGGAGAGGCACCTCGCATCAACAAGAAAAAGGATCACTTTGCATACCTTTTCCTCAAAAGATAAATTAAGAGAAAAAAGAGTCAATTATCATGGAATAAGCTTAACATCGCAAATGATCTTGACAAGCAGTTTCTGTCTCATCTATTAAAAGCCAGCTGTTCTAGAAATTTCTCTACATTGTAAAAGCTTAATGTGACTTTCCACTAGCACAGAATGTAGCTAAACCTCCAGGATGGCCTCTGAAAGCCCTCTGATCTATGAAACCTATGAACCTATGGGATGTCCAAACTCTGCCCCTTCCTGAAACCTCCACTGTGGGGTTGAAGGTCTGGGGAATAACATCTTCAAATAGGGCATTTCTGCATCCCAATGCCACAACTTTGGAGCAAGGCAAGCATGGTGGCTGCCATTTATAAGGGGAGGACTGCTCTGCCCCAGGTCACATGGTTAATACTCTTCAGATGGCCCGGACTTCATGTCTAGTGTTCTTTCCATGATCCTCCAACACACACACCTCCCTGGGTGCGGGACGTGGGTAGTTTTTACTGTGATCTCTGTCCACTCCACAATGGGGCTCTGAGACATGGCTCTCTGTAAGGTGGGCCCTGGGCTCATGGGACAAGATGATCAGCTCCTTCCACAGGAAGATACTCCAAAGGGACCCAGAGTTTCCCAGGAACGCCTCCAACATCTACCCACAAGGAGCTCAGCAAAAACAGGCTTTGCTGGTAGAATGAGACTGGAGCATTCAGATTATTCCCCTGCCTCTTGGATGGAGACCATCAGCATACCAAGGTCTCCCAAAGCCTCTGCACTCATGAAACCTGTTTAAACATGGTATCCAAACACACTGAACTAGGAAACTCTCTTTCATGTAATCCCTACTTACATCCTACAGAACTAGTGTTTCTGTACCCTAGAACAATGCTATTAACTTCCTTGCACTTATACATGGATTTTTTTAATGACTTAAGAAAATTTGTTTCCAAGAAAAAATAATACATGTAATATGCTAACATTTATGTAAAAATGGAGGCAGATATGTCTATCCATATTATTTGTAGATTTATAAACTATCTATAGAAGGATTAGAAAACTGGTCACTGCAGCCATTTCCAGAGAAAGGCAATCAGTGGTTGGGATAGGGAAATGAGAGACTTTTTCCTGCATACCCTTTCATACTATGTGAATGTGTTACAGGAGCAACCCACCAAGTGAAACTCAAATTAAAATAAAAGGTACTAAAAGTAATATATATTTAAAAATCAAAAACAGGCCGGGCATGGTGGCTCATGCCTGTAAGCCCAGCACTTTGGGAGACCAAGGCGGGCAGATCACGAGGTCAAGAGTTCAAGACCAGCCTGACCAACATGGTGAAACCGCGTCTCTACTAAAAATACAAAAATGAGCCAGACTTGGTGGTAGGCACCTGTAGTCCAGCTACTCAGGAGGCTGAAGCAGGAGAATCGCTTGAACTCTGGTGGCAGAAGTTGCAGTAAGCCAGGATCGCACCACTGCACTCCAGCCTGGGCAACAGAGCGAGACACTGTCTCCAAAAAAAAAAAAAGCAAAAAGCAAGAACATTTACAAGTGCATGTGTGCACGTACACACACACCCCACAGCCATATTCCATACCAGAGATAAAACAACCACTGTTGGCCGGGCACGATGGCTCATGCCTATAATCCCAGCACTTTGGGAGGCCGAGGCGGCAGATTACCTGAACTCAGGAGTTCAAGACAAGCCTGGGCAACATGGCAAAACCCTATCTCTACTAGAAATACAAAAAATTAGCCAGGCGTGGTGGCTCATGCCTGTAATCCCAGCTACTTGGGAGGCTGAAGCATGAGAATCGCTTGAAGCAGGATGGTGGAGGTTGCAGTGAGCCAAGATCACACCAGTGCACTCCAGCCTGTGTGACAGAATGAGACTCTGTCTCAAAAAAGAAACAAAAATAAATAAATAAAACAAAATAACCACTGTTAATATTTGGTGCTTGGGCCGGGAGCAGTGGCTCACGCCTGTAATCCCAGCACTTGAGCCGAGCCTGGGCAATGTGGTGAAACCTCATCTCTACCAAAAAAACCCCACAAAAATTAGCCAGGCTCATAACCCAGTCTTGAAATAAATAAATAGATAAAAATTTAAAAATAAAGTAAAATAAAATAAATAGTTGATGCTTGTACTTAGTCCCACTTCTCTATTTTTGCTTTTGTTGCCTGTGCTTTTGGTGTCATATCCAAAAAATCATTGTCAAAATCTATGTCATTAAGCTTTTCCCCATGTTCTCTTCTAGGAGTCTTAGTGTCCGGTCTTAGATTTAACTCGTTTTGAGTTGGCTGTTGTGGATGGTATAAGAAAGGGGTAGAATTTCATTCCTTTGCATGTGGAGATTGTTTTCCCAGGACCATTTGTTGAAGAGACCCTTTTGTCCCCATTGTGTGTTCTCGGCACCCTCAAGGAAGATCAGTTAACTGTATATGTGTGGGTTTATTTCTGGGCTCTCTATCCTGTTCCATTGCTGTATATATCTGTGTTTATGCTGGTACCACATGTTTTAATTACTATATCTTTGTAATACCTTTTGGTTTTTGTTTTGTTTGTGTGTGTGTGGTTTTTGTTTTGTTTTGTTTTGTTTTGTTTGAAACGGAGTCTCACTCTGTGTAGTGGCGCAATCTCGGCTCACTGCAACATCTGCCTCCTGGGTTCAAGCGAATCTCCTGCCTCAGGCTCCAAAGTAGCTGGGATTACAGGCTCCCACTACCACGCCTGGCTAATTTTTGTATTTTTAGTAGAGATGGGGTTTTGCCATGTTGGCCAGGCTGGTCTCAAACTCCTGACCTCAGGTAATCCACCTGCCTTGGCCTCCCAAAGTGCTGGGATTATAGGCGTGAGCCACCATGCCCGGCCTGTAATGTATTTTGAAATCAGGAAGTGTGATGCTTCAAGCTTTGTTTTTTATTGTTCTTTTTTTCAGGCAGCCCCCAAGCCAGAGAGACTCCCAGCTGTGTTTTTCTTTCCAAAGTCATTTTTGGCAGAGGCCAAAGTGGGAGGATTGCTTGAGCCCAGGGGTTCAAGACCAGCTTTGGCAAAAGAGCGAGACCCTGTCTCTACAAAAAAATTAAAAATTAGCCGGGTGTGGTGGCACGCACTTCTGGTCCCAGCTACTCATGAGACTGAGGTGGGAGGATCGCTTGAGCCCAGGAGATCAAGGCTGCAGTGAGCTGTCATTGCACTGTTGTACTCCAGCCTAGGTGACACAGCAAGACCCTGCCTCAAATAATAATAATCGTTTTGGCTATTTTGGGATCCTGTGTGAGTCCATACGAATTTTAGAATTGTTTTTCCTATTTGCATAAAAAAGCTGTTGGGATTTTGATAGGGATTGCATTGAATCTGTAGCTCACTTTGGGTAGCATGAACATTTAAAAAATACTAAGTCTCCCAATCCATGGATATGGGATGAAATTACTTCAACACAACAAAGGTCATATGTGAAAAGCCCACAGCTAACATCTTATTTAACAGTGAAAAACTGAATGCTTTTCCTCTAAGACTGGGAAGAAGACACAGATGCCCACTCTTGCCACTTCTTTTTTTTTTTTTTTGAGACAGAGTCTCGCTCTGTTGCCCAGGCTGGAGTGCAGTGGTGCAATCTCGGCTCACTGCAACCTCCGCCTCCTGGGTTCACACCATTCTCCTGCCTCAGCCTCCCGAGTAGCTAGGACTACAGGTGCCTGCCACCACACCTGGCTAATTTTTTGTATTTTTAGTAGAGATGGGGTTTCACCATGTTAGCCAGGATGGTCTCAATCTCCTGACCTCATGATCTGCCTGCCTCAGCCTCCCAAAGTGCTGGGATTACAGGCATGAGCCACCGCGCCCGGCTCTTGCCACTTTTTTTCAACATATTACTGGAAGTCCTACCCAGAGGAATTAGCCAAGAAAAACAAATAAAAGACATCCAGATCAGAAAAGAAGTAAAATCATCTCTGTTTACAGATGACATGATCTTACATAGGAAACCCTAAAGATGCCACACACAAAAATTCTTAGAACTAATCAGTTCTGTAAAGTTACAGAACCCACACTGAACATAAAATCAGTTGCATTTCTATACATTAACAATAAACTATCCAAAAAGGAAATTAAGAAAACAGTCCTAGCTCACGCCTGTAATCGCATCACTTTGGGAGGCCGAGACGGAAGAATCACTCGAGCCCAGGAGTTCAACACTAGCCTAGGCAACACAGTGAAACACCATCACTACTAAAAACACAAAAATTAGCTGGGTGTGGTAGCACCTGCCTGCAGTCCCAGCTACTGGAGAGGCTGAGATGGGAGGATCACTTAAGTCTGGGAGGTCGAGGCTGCAGGGAGCCATGATCACACCACGACACTCCAGCCTGGGCAACAGAGCCAGACCCTATCTCAAAAAGGAAAAAAGAAAAAAAAAAAAGAAACGAAATGAAAACAATCCCATTGACAACATCACCAAAAGGAATAAAATACTTAGGAATAAACTTAACTAAGGAGGTGAAAGACAGGCATACTGAAAACTATAAACACTTATGAAAGAAATTAAAGAAGGCACAAATAGATGTAAAGACATGCTGGTGTTTGTACTGTGCACTTTTCAAAGTGTTTGCATAGATGGTATCTTATTGGAGTCCGATGCCAAATCTGTGCAGTAAAAAGGGCAGGCAGAATACCTACCAACACATGAGGCAACCAAGGCCCCAAGAGGACTGGATGAGAAGCTGGTCACTCAGCTGCTTAGTGACAAGGGATTAGATCCTAGGTGTCCTGCATGGCTCCTGAGGTCTTTCTCAGATGTCAGATCTGCCACTGAACAAGCACCATGGGCACTCCCGTAGGCCCATGGGGGCTTACATCACCCTTCCAAGGCGCCACCATTCCAGACAACCATTGATGAAAGATAATGCATACTTCAGGCTGAGAAGTATCTGCCATGTATATCATGTAAACAGGATTATAAATATAATCACATACATGCACTTTATTGCATAATACTCTTCAGTGACCTCAGGCTCAGATGCATGAGTAGAGTACTCAGGGCCCATTCCACGTCAGCCCCTCTGCAGGCCCTTTGTGCCAACGCCCACCTCCCGCTCCATACTCCAGCTGCACCCAGAAGCTTGTGGTTCCACATGTGGGTCATACAACCGGGACACATGCCCCACTCTCAACTTAAAATGTGCTTCTCACTACGCTAACATCTACTTATTCTGTGTATCTTAGTTTAGGCATCACTTCCTCCAGGAAGTCTTCCTTGAATACACATACACATATGCATGGGATTCTTGATCAGCTATCCTTTTATTGCTCCCTATAACTGTGTATCACTTATTCATCCATCTGCTCCCTAGACTATGAGCTCCTTGAGGACAGGGCATGAGCCTTTTGCCCCTCTGTATGGACCAACCAGTCAGGCTGGGCAGAGGGTAAATGCTCAATGCATACCTAACAAACGACTGCAAGCGCAAGGGCAGCCCAGCATGGTGTGGGTGCTTCAACAACTGTGTAGCTTCAGTTGCTTGGTGAAGGGGGAATGGTATTAGAGAACCAAGATGTCTGGGCAGTACTAAGAGGAAGGTATACTTCCCCTGTTTGTGGAAAATATCTTAAGCAACTTTGATGTGAGCTTCTGTCTGTTCTTCCCGAGGCCTCCTGACACAGATGACTGGGAGGCTGACCCAGGTGAGGCCAGGGCCAAGCTAGGTGGGAAGGCTTAGCCAGTCAACAGAGTCAAAGTGAGCAGGAAGCCGTTCACACCTAAAGAACTAGAGGCCCAGAGAAGTGAGAGGATAGGCTGGGGGGCTCCCAGCTACTTAGCAGCAGGGTTGGTTGCAAACTCAGGCATCAGAATCCCAGTACAGGCTCCTTCTCCGACACCAGGCAGCCCTTGGGACCTGGGCTGAGGCACAGGACAACACACGGCTGTGGACGTGACCAGCACTAAGCACAAAGGACAGGACAGAAGGACGAGACAGAAGGACAGACGGAGGTCTTGAACATAAGTATATGTCAGGCAAGCAATGATTAGCACAAGTCTTAACAGAGACAGGTTTGTCTAGTGAACAAGAATCCAGACCCATTCTCTTCTTCCTCCATGCTGGAAATTGCCTTGTATTTGTTATTTTCCTGATGCTGACTCTGAACCAGGCACAGGCTGAAGGCTCTCAGGTACCTTATCTTCAAAACAACCTGAAAAGGGGCTACTGTGTCCTCATTTGTACCCATGTAGACAATGGAGCTGAGAGAGGTTAAGTAACTAGCTCAAGGACATACAGCTAATAAATAGCAGCACAAAAAATTGAACTCAAGGGCGGGGCGTGGTGGCTCGCGCCCATAATCCCAGCACTCTGGGAGGCCGAGGCAGGTGGATCACAAGGTCAGGAGACTGAGACCATCCTGCTAACACAGTGAAACCCCGTCTCTACTAAAAATACAAAAAATTAGCCTGGCGTGGTGGCACGCGCCTGTAATCCCAGCTACTTAGGAGGCTGAGGCAGGAGAATTGCTTGAACCCAGGAGGAGGAGGTTTCAGTGAGCCGAGATCACACCACTGCACTCCAGCCTGGGCGACAGAGCGAGACTCCATGCAAAGAAAAAAACAATTGAGCTCAAATTTTCTTCACTAACCACAGTGGTTCTGGGTCATCTGGAAACTTTAAACTACAGTTTTCAGTGACTCCTCAAGTCTCACTTTTGCTGCCTGTAACTGAAAATAATTTTGCACTGGTGTTTTTCAGTAGGAATGCGCATAAGCGGAAGGATATCGAAAAGGCCCAATGCATAATACGATGAGAAGGTAAGTAACTTAATGTGTTTAAAAACAGGCCAGGCACGGTGGCTCATGCCTGTTATCCCAGCACTTTGGGAAGCAGAGGCAGGAAGACGTTCATACCTAAAGAACTAGAGGCCCAGAGAAGTGAGAGCCCAAGAGTTCAACACCAGCCTGGACAACACAGGGAGACTCCATCTCTACAAAAAATAAAAATAAATTAGCCAGATGTGGTGATGGGTGCCTGTAGTCCCAGCTGCTCAGGAGACTGACAAGGGAGGATCACTTTAGCCCAGGAGTTCAAGGCTTCAGTGAGCTAGCCTGGATGACAGAGTGAAACCCTCTATCTAAAAAATAATAATAAAGCCAGCCGGGTGCGGTGGCTCATGCCTGTAATCCCAGCACTTTGGGAGGCCGAGGCGGGCAGATCACTTGAGGTCAGGAGTTTGAGACCAGCCTGGCCAACATGGTGAAACCCCGTCTCTATTAAAAATACAAAAATTAGCCGCGCATGGTGGCAGGCGCCTGTAATCCCAGCTACTCAGGAGGCTGAGGCAGGAGAATTGCTTAAACCCAGGAGGTGGAGGCTACAGTGAGCCGAGATTATGCCACTGCACTACAGCCTGAGCAAAAGAGCAAGGCTCCATCTCAAAATAAATCAATAAACAATAGTAATAATAAAGCCTGGCCGTGCATGGTGGCTCACGCCTATAAGCCCAGCACTTTGGGAGGCCAACGCAGATGGATAACCTCAGGTTTTGAGTCTGAGACCAGCCTGGCCAACATGGAGAAACCCCGTCTCTACTAAAAATACAAAATTATCCGGGTGTGGAGGCAGACGCCTGTAATCACAGCTACTTGGGACGCTAAGGCAGGAGAATCGCTTGAACCCGGGAGGCATAGGTTGCAGTGAGCCGAGATCACGCCACTGCACTCCAGCCTGGGTGACAGAGTGAGACTCCATCTCAAAAAACAAAAAAAGAAAAAATAATTCCAAATAGTGGTTATCTCTGAGAATCGAGGCAGAGCTGACTGGGAAAGGACAGGAGGGAACTTTCTGGGGTAATGGTAATGTTCTAATCCTGCTAGGAATGTGGGTTACCACATGTATGCATTTGAAAAATTTATCAAATAGTAAACTTAAGATGTGTGCATTTCCCTAAATATAAATTTCACCTACAAAATTCCATTAGCTACGAAGTGCTGTAAGATGTCCTACTGTCATTCAAGGTAGGACTTCAGAAATAAAACAGAATAGGAATCAGACCACTCCCTTTCCTTACCATTTGTACACACTCCCCCACACCATTCCCTAAGTCACAGAACAAATAAGAACAGTGGTCCAGAGACTTGCCCAATTCTTGCAGCATCAGGCACCGAGTACCCTAGCACTGTTCTTCCTCTCCCAAACCAGATCCCAGGATAGATTCTGAAACCAGTCAACATCTAGCGTTAGTGCAGATACTACACTCTACACTCCTAGAGTACTTGCAATTTTGCCTGAATATTTCTCTGTGATTGGAAGGCCATGCTCAGAGGGATTTGGGGGATCAGGTAGGAGGAGCACGAGGAGATGTGGAAGATCCTCCCATCACTTCCCTTTCGCCAACCTGATGTGCCTGATCTTCAGTACCTCCCAAAGCACAAAGAACTCCTGCCTAATTAAAGGCAGAAACTGCAGTACCCAGAGTCACTGTGGGATGGAGAAGATTGTGTGAACCAGCCAGTTTCCAGAACATGGCCTCCCACTCAGCTATCCCCTCTTGAACTAGATGTGGAAAATAAGCCTGACTCTATTTCCCTTGAGCAGAGGCAAATCTGAATGAAAGATGCATTAAAACACAGAAGCGGGCCGGGTGCAATGGCTCACGCCAGTAAGAGAAGAGAGACAGACCCTCTCATATTGTTTTATAATGTTTTATACTCAGAAAAAGAAAGAAAAGCAAAACTAAAGGCAGGTAGCCCGGCGCCTAGGAATCAGACCCGAAACCAGTCCTGGGCCTGCCTGACCTAAGCCTGGTAGTTAAAGACCACCCCGACCTAACTGGTTATGTTATCTACAGATTCCCGACATTGTATGGAAAGGCATTATAAAACTTCCTGGTCTGTTCTGTTTCACTCTGACCACCAGTGCATGCAGCCCCTGTCACGTACCCCCTGCTTGTTCAATTGATCATGACCCTCTCACATGGACCCTCTTAGAGTTGTGAGCCCTTAAAAGGGACAGGAATTGCTCACTCGGGGAGCTCAGCTCTTGAGACAGGAGTCCTGCTGATGCTCCCGGCCAAATAAACCTCTTCCTTCTTTAACTCGGTGTCTGAGGAGTTTTGTCTACGGCTTGTCCTGCTACACCAGTACTTTGGGAGGCTGAGGCGGATGAATCAACTGAGGTCGGGAGTTCCAGACCAGCCTGACTGACATGGAGAAACCCTGTCTCTACTAAAATTACAAAAAAACTTAGCCGGGCGTGCTGGCACGCGCCTATAGTCCCAGCTACTCGGGAGGCTGAGGCAGGAGAATCCCTTGAACCTGGGAAGCAGAGGTTGCAGTGAGCTGAGATCACACCACTGCACTCCAGCCTGGGCGACAGAGTGAGACTCTGTCTCAAAAAAAAAAAAAAAAAAAAAAACCCACAGAAGTGGCTAGGCAAGGTGGCTCATGCCTGTAATCCCAGCACTTTGAGAGGCAGAGGCAGGAGGATTGTTTGAGCCCAGGAGTCTGAGACCAAAATGGATAACATAGCGAGCAAGACCTGCCTCTACTGAAAATTTTTTTTTAATTAGCTAGGCACAGTGGCACGCAACTGTGTTCCCAGCTACACAAGAGGCTGAGGTAGGACGATCATTTGCACCCAGGAGGTCGAAGCTGCAGTGACCCATGATTGTACCACTACATTCCAGCCTGAGTAAGAGAGCAAGACTCTGTCTCAAAACAAAAAACAAAACACAGAGAAACACCTAGAACAGTACCTGGCTCATGAATGAATTCATGAAGCAAGTATTTAAAAAGAGCCACCAGCACTTGGTGCTTTCTTTTTTTTTTTTTTTTAAGACATTTTCCCTCTGTTGCCCAGGCTGGAATGCAGTGGCACAATCTCCACTCACTGCAACCTCTGCCTCCCGGGTTCTCCTGCCTTAGCCTCCCAAGTAGCTGGGATTACAGGCACGTGCCACCATGCCGGGCTAATTTTTCTATTTTTAATAGAGATGGGGTTTCACCACATTGGCCAGGCTGGTCTCAAACTCCTGACCTCATGTGATCCACCTGCCTCAGCCACCCAAAGTGCTGGGATTACAGGCAAGAGCCACCAGGCATGGCCTGGGGCATTTTTATTCAGTGAGAAAAGATGAAAGGCCCTGCTGGGGGTGACAGGGTGGAGACACCCCAGCTATAAATTTCAGAAGGGAACAAACTTGTTTGGCCAAGTGGCCGCCCACCCCCACCGTTAATCTTTCCTGTCCCGTTAGGTGTATTCTCAGAGTAGCAACAGATTCTTCCAAACAAATACAGGTGCCCCACCTCCCTGCAGTACCTCCTTCCCCAGTGGCTCAGCTGGTTAGGCAGCAGTCTCCCTCCAGCTTCCAGAACTCACTCTTTCATTTGTGAAAGCCACTGGCTAATGAAAAACAGAAAACAAAACATTTGAGCCAGGTGCGGTGGCTCACACTGGTAATCACAGCACTTTGGGAGGCCGAGGGGGGAGGATCCCTTGGACCCAGCAGTTAGAGACCAGCCTGGGAATCAGAGCAAGGCCCTGTCTCCACTTAAAAAAAAAAAAAAGAAAAGAAAAGAAAATACAACATTTGAGGACTGGAGCACAAAAACAGAGTTAGCCCCTTGTTAATCAAGCTAAAGATCCAATGTCTCTCTTTTTAGAGAAATACTCTCTGCCTGGGAACTACTTTCCTTACCAGAGGAAAGGTAAGGTAGAGAGAATGAAATCAGAGAGAACTAAGGCAGAAAACTTGGAGAAAACATAAACCTCTGCATGACTTAAGTTCAGGTCTACAACTGGGGCTCCAGTCACTCCAGTCGGCTTGGCTAGGGTGCTCCCTCCTCTTACCTTGTAAGTCCCAGGTCTTATAAGACCCAAGGCAGCACAGTTGGACTTATAAAGCTGACCGCCATCCCTCTCTCCCTGCATTTTCTGCCTGAGCTGGCCAGCAATACTTCCTATACCCTAATGCTTTTATGCAGCAGTAAATTAGCCTTTAAAAAAACATCTAGCCAGGCGCAGTGGCTCATGCCTGTAATCCCAGCAAATGGGAGGCCGAGGCGGGCGGATCACCTGAGTCAGGAGTTCGAAACTAGCATGCCCAACATGGTGAAACCCCATCTCTACTAAAAATACAAAAATTAGCTGGGCATGGTGGCGGGCACCTGTCATCCCAGCTACCGGGATGCTGAGGCAGGAGAATTGCATGAACCCAGAAGGTGAAGGTTGCGGTGAGCTGAGATTGCGCCATTGCACTCCAGCCTGGGCAACAAGGGTGAAACATCGTCTCAAAAATAAATAAATAGATAAATAAATATCTATGGCAAAGAGATCAGATTGACTCTTTTTGTCCTTTTCTAGCATTTTGCTCTTTCCTACAAAATAACAGTGAGAATGGAGCAACAACCTGCAATAGTCCACAGCAGCTCTTTCCCCGCCCTCCTGGAAGTCAGTGCTGCAAGAGGCAAGAGAGCAAGCCGACACAAACTTTCAATTCCTTTTGGGGAAAGCAGCTTCTCCTGCCTTCGCCACCCTCCAGGACTCTAAGGTAGCCCAAGAGCTGCCTCTTCTCTTTTGATATGAACCTAGGGACCCCAAGTTAGACCAGAAATCAGCAATTAGCAACGCTATTCAAAGCAAAAGCATCCCTTTGTCCCCCATGTGTATCCATCACTCAGCATCAAATAAGATCTTTCTCCATTTTGCTCCTCAAAATGTCCTAATGGGTGGCTTTGTCCAAATCCCAGCTAAATGTTCAAATTTGTATCAGGACTCGTTAAAAGCTTCAAAATCTGTCCTTGCCATGGTCAAGGCTTAAAAAAAGGAATAAAAATATTATAAAGAACAAAAATCGTCAGGCGCGGTAGCTCATGTCTGTAATCCCAGCACTTTGGGAGGCTGAGGCAGGCAGTTCACTTGAGGTCAGAAGTTCGAGACCAGTCTGGCCAACATGGTGAAACCCTGTCTCTACTAAAAATACAAAAATTAGCCAGGTAAGGTGGCGGGTGCCTATAATCCCAGCTACTCCACAGGCTGAGGCAGGAGAAGCACTTGAACCCAGGAGGTGGAGGTTGCAGTGAGCCAAGATTGTACCATTGCACTCCAGCCTGAGCAGCAGAGAGAGACTCTGTCAAACAAAAAAAATTAAATTAAATTAAAAACAAAATTTGAAAACCTCAAAATCATTCCTGCCAGGAGACCCAAGTCAAGGGTGATGAGCCGGCGGAAGTCCACTGCGTTGCACACCCCACAGATGGGGTCATAGTGTCCACTGCATCCTGAGTTGTGCTATGAGGCAGCATTACCCACTGGGCAGAAGAGAATGGGAGCAACAGGTGACGTGTGATACATATTTCAGATGGCAGCAAACAGCACCAACACAGACACCAGCATTTACCACTGCTCACTGGGGCATTAGTGGCAGCCCGTGACTTAGCACAAGCCCTCTCTTATTTCGCCCCCAGGTCTAGACCCCCCACCCTGCATCCCACTCCCTCTCTGCAATATACTCTGTGCTCACCCTTTGAAAGGGGGGACCTGAGAATGTAACCACTAATTCAAACCAGAAAAACTGAGGATGCAGAACTGAAAAGAGTTTTTCATCGAGCCTGTCTGAAAGACCTCTTCGCTCGTGAGGATTTTGGCTTGGCTACTTGGCTCACTGCTCTCAGAGCCAGAAACCTATTTTCTTCACTCCTGCAAGTAAAAGGAGAGGAAATGTGTATATGTGGTTTTGCAAAGAGCTCTTTTTTGAGCTTAAGAAAAACGGGGGCGGGGTGGGGAGGAGAGGGAACAGACAGCATGGAGGTGAGAAGTGAAGGTTTAAAGCACTGGCTGCTGGGATGTGGTAATACCATCTCTGAATGGATGATACAGTTATCGGTGGGTCAGGTGCTTGCTTCTTGCTGCCCTGTTTTCAAATCCCTGGAAATTAAATAAGTGCTTTTTTTCTTTTCTTTCTTCTTCTTTTTCCTTTTGAGACGGAGTTTCGCTCTTGTCACCCAGGCTGGAGTGCAATGGCCTGATGTCGGCTCACTGCAACCACCACCTCCTGGATTCAAGCGATTCTCCTGCCTCAGCCTCCCAAGTATCTGGGATTACAGGAACCTGCCACCACGCCCCGGCTAATTTTTGTATTTTTAGTAGAAGCGGGGTTTCACCGTATTAGCCAGACTGGTCTTGAACTCCTGAGGGGTTTCAGCATGTTAGCCAGGCTGGTCTCTAACTCCTGAACTCAGGTGATCCACTTGCCTCGGCCTCTCAAAGTGCTGGGATTACAGGCGAGCGCCACCGCGCCTGGCCAAACAAATGTTTTTTATTTGCGACTCCTTCTCCTCGGATGGAAGAGGATGATTTATGGACTAATACAGAGGGGTTCCTTGGTAAGAATGAAAATTAAGCGCGGAACAACTGGTGACTTGTCAACACACCATCAAATGGCCCTTGCAGCCTCACATAAATGCAGACAAGAACAAGGTTGTTACAGGGAGCTGACACACCTGCCTGGGTTTAGTGCCCAGAGTCAGAGACCACTCACGGGTGCGGTGGTTTAGTTTCTCAAATGAGAAGCTATTTTATGAAAAAAGGCAAAAAGCTGCTGTTGTCTAACAAACAGTTAAGTTTGAAAAGACTGGGAAGGTGGAATCCTGTCTATTCAGCTAAAGGGATGAGACGCTACTTGTTTTCCCCAAGAAGTTAACGACCCCAAAGCTGCTAGGTCCCGACCCAAGACCACCACACTGCAGAACATGAAAACCAGAATGCCGTTCGCTGCAGATCTGTAGTTCAAAAAATAATAATAATAAAGCTGCCAGATATGGTAAACTCTGGCCATTCCCCTGGGGTACCCTTCCTAACCGCCCCGGTGGAGCCTAGACAGTGGCCCCTAGCCCAAAGCCTCTCTATCCAGAGCATCACTTTTCTAAGCAGAAAGTTCCTTCTGTGCACTCCACGGGCTTTAAGAGTTGAGGAACGGACTCAGCCCGGAGCCAGTACTAGCAGCGGCCAGGCACACCTTGGGGACTATAGCTGCAGTGTCCTAGCGGGAGGGAACGTCTCCGGGGCGTCTTGGCCCCCCGGACCGGCCGCCCAACCGCAGCCCCCGGGCCCTCAGAGCAGCGCCTAGCCTCTGTGGCAGAAGACGGGGCCGCGCTCGCCCCTGCAGCGCGGAGCTCCGCGCTCACAGCTGGCGCGGGACGCCCCTCCCCTCCGGGTCCCGCACTCACCCACCGCCCTGATGCGGAAGCCGCGCGGCGGCCGCAGGGCCCGGCGCCGCCAGGCATCGCGCAGCACCTGCAGGCAGGCGGGGGGCGCGCGCACCAGCAGCACCCCCCGCCGCAGCCAGCCCTGGAAGGCCAGCCGCGAGGCGGCGCGCGCCAGCCGCGCGTTCCAGAAGCAGCGCGCGTTGGCGCGACGGAAAGCGCGGAACACCGCGCGCCCACCAGGCTCCTCCGCGGCCCCCGCCGCCTTCTGCGCCTCCAGCCGGCACAGCACTAGCGCCAGCGAGCCCGGCGCCAGCTGCACGGGCCGGGACGCCCCTCCCCTCCGGGTCCCGCACTCACCCACCGCCCTGATGCGGAAGCCGCGCGGCGGCCGCAGGGCCCGGCGCCGCCAGGCATCGCGCAGCACCTGCAGGCAGGCGGGGGGCGCGCGCACCAGCAGCACCCCCCGCCGCAGCCAGCCCTGGAAGGCCAGCCGCGAGGCGGCGCGCGCCAGCCGCGCGTTCCAGAAGCAGCGCGCGTTGGCGCGACGGAAAGCGCGGAACACCGCGCGCCCACCAGGCTCCTCCGCGGCCCCCGCCGCCTTCTGCGCCTCCAGCCGGCACAGCACTAGCGCCAGCGAGCCCGGCGCCAGCTGCACGGGCCGGGCCATGCTTTCGCCGGCGGCCGGGAGCCCGCAACGCAGGGCCTCGGCGAGCGCGGCGGCTACGACGCCGCTCGCTCGGCGGGAGGATCGGCCGACTGCGCGCGGGTCCGCGGCGCTGGCTGCCGGGGGAACGGAGCTCCAGGGGGCGGGGCCGACTGCGCCTGGCGGGCCGGGGGTGGGGCGGCCGTGCTTAGGCCGGCGGAGCGCTCTGGAGGAGAATCCAGAGCCCAGCGTTCGGCTTCGTTCTCCACACCCGGGCCCAACTCGGCCCCCTGGCGATGCCCTCGACTTCCAGCCGCCTCGAGGTCCCGAGCTCCCCTTCCCCCAGGGGCGCGCTCTGGGGTTTTTCCAAGTCCTGGGGCTCCTCGCAGCTCCCTGGAGAACCTGACTGCGTCCATCCGCCGTGCGAACTGCAGCGCCAGGAGTCCCCAGGGCGGGGAGACTCGCCTTCGACCTGGCTTTGGGGCCGTTCCAAGTTAGCAACCACGAGGAACAGCCTGAGGGTGTCAGCGGGGGCCTGGGAGGTGTGGGGGTTGAGCAGGAAACCTAGGTTTGAGTCTCAGTTCTGCGCCTAAGCTAGTTGTTTGTTTCTATTTTTGTTTTTTGAGTCGAGGTCTCGCTGTGTTGCCCAGGCTGGAGTGCAGTGGCTATTCACTGAGTTCTGGGCTCAAGCGATCCTCTGATCTCAGCCTCCCGAGTTGGGACTACAGGTGCCCGCCACATCGCCTGGCCTGCTCCCAACCTGTTCATTCAAGTTATTTCCCTTCTCTGGGCCTCAGAAATGTCCCAGCTACTATTTCACAGGATAATAAACTAAGGACCCTTTCATCCATGACTTTCTTTTTTTTTTTTTTTGAGGCGGAGTCTCACTCTGTCGCCCAGGCTGGAGTGCAGTGGCGCGATCTCGGCTCACTGCACGGTCCGCTTACCTGGTTCACGTCATTCTCCTGCCTCAGCCTCCCGAGCAGCTGGGACTACAGGTGCCCGCCACCACGCCCGGCTAATTTTTTGTATTTTTAGTAGAGACGGGGTTTCATGGTGTTAGCCAGGATGGTCTCGATCTCCTGACCTCGTGATCCGCCCGCCTCCGCCTCCCAAAGTTCTGGGATTACAGGCGTGAGCCACGGCGCCCGGCCGGCCTCATCCATGACTTTCTGAAGTTGTAGGATCTGGTCCTACCCCGGGGATATCCCATACTCTTGAGTGCTGAGGAAAGCAGAGTGGAGAGGTGCCACCCTGATTGGTGTGGCGCTGTGGTGATATCGTAGGATTCTGCCCTGGGTTAGATGTGGACATTCTGAAAAGACGGACACCGTCCTGCCCCAGAGGCAAAGGGAGAGCTTGTGATGCGTGGCGGTAGAATGTGACCTGTGCCTCAAAGCAGTGAAGGCCGATTCAGACTGAGGACCCAGACTGAGGCCCAGCGGGAGGGCTCCTTGAGAAAAAAACCCATTTGAAAATACAACATGTTAAAAGAAGAGGAAGGGGCCAGGCGCGGTGGCTCATGCCTGTAATCCCAGCACTTTGGGAGGCCGAGGTGGGCGGATCACGAGGTCAGGAGATCGAGACCGGCCTGACCTACAAGGTAAAACTCCATCTCTACTAAAAATACAAAAATTAGCCGGATGTGGTGGCACGCGCCTGTAATCCCAGCTACTCAGGGAGGCTGAGGCAGAAGAATTGCTTAAACGCGGAGGCGGAGGTTGCAGTGTGCTGAGATGGTGCCACCGCACTCCAGCCTGGGTGACAGAGCAAGACTCCCTCTCGGGAAAAAAAGAAAAAGAAGAAGAAGAGGAAGGGCATTATGCTTGGTACCAGAACACAGTACTGTGAGGGAGCAGAGGTGCTTGGCAAAATCTAGGAGTCATTCCAGACTTCCCACTCCCTCAGCTCATCAGTCCTCAATAAAAACTATAAACATGGAGATAATTTATACCCTGCCCCCAGTAAGCACGCAATAAATGATAGATAATAACAATAGCTAACATTTATTGAACACTATATGCTGGGGCCATTAATTTCAAGACTGTCTTTTTTTTTTTGAGACTGTCACCCATGCTGTGCCACCCATACTGGAGTGCAGTGGCGAGGCTCACTGCAGCCTGGTCCTCCGGGCTCAAGTGTCCTCCCACCTCAGCCTCCGGAGTACCTGGGACCACAGGTGCATGCCACCACACCCAGCTAATATTTGTATTTTTGGTAGAGAGGAGGTTTCACCATGTTGCCCAGGCAGGTCTTGAACTCCTGGGCTCAAGCAATCTGCCCACCTTGGCCTCCTAAAGTGTTGGGATTATAGGCATGAGCCACCATGCCTGCCAACTCTGTGTTTACTATTAATATTATTATCCCTGGTTGTTTTGTTTTGTTTTTACAGATGAGGGACTTGCAGCTAGTTGGATTAAGAAGTGTTTCCCAGTCACACAGGTAGTAAGAAATGTACTCAGACAACTGCCAAGTAAGGCTTCCCTATGACAAATAAGTCTGACTTCACTTTCAATGCAAATAATCACGTGAACCTGAGACTACCATCTCACATCTGAATTCTGATTCTGAGGTGGATGGATGGATACAGCCCATAGGACAAACACAGTGAACTCCTATGCATGTATACTCTCAAGAGGGGTAAAGCTTCTCTTCTTCTGGGTTCTATCGTGGCACTCTCATCTTGCTGGATCAAGGGTGGCCTTCCTGTGTCCCCATACTGGAGAACCATGACTTTGGGCTCAATATCTGTAGCATATAGTACAGCATCTTTCCCATTGTAATAAGGTCGGTGATAATTTCCATTTACTCTCAGCTCAGTTTGTGCCTAGAACTGTACTAAGGAATTTTACATATGTGAACTAATTTTATCCAAAAATTAGTTCTCCAAAAGGGATAATATTATTAAGCCATGACTTCCCCAGGAGAAACGAAAGCTTAGTGAGTTTAGGCAACTTGCCCGTGAAGACAAAACTACTGGAGGGTGAGGAGGTGATCCCAGTGTCTTCTTGCCCACACACCTGATGAGGACAAGGCCATACCCTGACTTACTGGACCGTGGCCTGGTGTCAGAAGTCCTAAGTGTGATTCTTTCTCCTAAGAATTTGAATTGGAAATACACAGAAACAATAAAGCCTTGTTAGCAGGGGCTACAGCCGCAAGGATGCTGCAAGGCAGAATCTAGCTATGAGGTTTCATGGCCTGAAATTATTAGGTAGAACTGTCTTAAGCATTAGAACCTTTTGTTCAGATGTATGAAATTCCTTTTTTTTTTTTTTTTGGTTTTTTTTTGAGACAAAGTCTCACTTTGTCACCTAGGCTGGAGTGCAGTGGCACCACCTCTGCCCACTGTAGCCTCAACCTCCTGGGCTCAAGCAATCCTCCCACCTCAGCCTCCCGAGTAGCTGGGACTACAGGTGCACACTACGACCCCTAGCTAATTTTTTTGCACTTTTTGTAGGATGGGGTTTTGCCATGTTGCCCAGGCTGGTCTCAAACTGCTGAGCTCAAGCAATCTGCCTGCCTCGGCCTCCCAAAGTGCTGGGATTATAGGCATGAGCCACTATGCCCAGCTGAAATTCTCTTATCATTTTACTTAAGCTAGTTCAATTAACAGTCCAATTAACAAAAGAAGAGGAAGATAATTTAAGGAGAAAAATTTTAAACTACAGCCAAATACTTAGCCATTTTTTCCCTAAAGGGTCAGCTACTTCCTGAATATCCCCAAGCTCCTACAAAATGGAGTATGTCTTAAAAGTTAAATGAGAAGCTGTGGGCCTCTGACCTGAATGGTTTTGTGTTCCATGGCATAACTAGAGAAACAGAAAATCTTTTTTTTTTTTTTTTTGAGATGGAGTCTCACTCTGTTGCCCAGACTGGAGTGCAATGGTGCCATCTCGGCTCACTACAACTTCCGCCTCCCAGGTTCAAGTGATTCTCCTGCCTCAGCCTCCCAAGTAGCTGGGATTACAGGCGCCCACCACTATACCCAGCTAATTTTTGTATTTTTAGTAGAGATGGGGTTTCACCATGTTGGTCAGGATAGTCCCGAACTTCCGATCTCAGGTGATTCGCCCGCCTTGGCCTCCAGAAGTGCTGGGATTACAGGCATGAGCCACCACGCCTGGCCAAGAAACAGAAATGCTTAAGGGCTTTCCATCTTTGTGATCTCTGCAGATCAGACAAAGAAGCATTTAAAAAGAATTAGTATCATTCTTCACTTAAAGTGGCACATGAGTAGTCAAGTCACATTGGAACTAAAAAATGTCAAGATGGAATTATTTTTTATCTTATATTTGCAATGGTCTCTGTATGCCTGAGAAATATGGAGTATTCTTTTTTGTTGTTGTTTTTTGAGACAGAGTCTCACTCTGTTGCCCAGGCTGGAGTGTAGTGGCACGATCTTGGCTCACTGCAACCTCCACCTCCCAGGTTTAAGCAATTCTCCTACCTCAGCCTCCAGAGTAGCTGGGATTACAGGAGCCCACCACTGCATCTGGCTAATTTTTGTATTTTTAGTAGAGACTGGGTTTCACCATGTTGCTGAGAGGTGAAGCCGGCTGGGCTTCCAGGTCGGGTGGGCACTTGGAGAACTTTTATGTCTAGCTAAAGGATTGTAAATGCACCAATCAGCACTCTGTGTCTAGCTAAAGGTTTGTAAATGCACCAGTCAGTGCTCTGTGTCTAGCTAATCAAGTGGGGACTTGGAGAACTTTTCTGTCTAGCTAAAGGATTGTAAATGCACCAGTCAGCGCTCTGTGTCTAGCTAAAGGTTTGTAAATGCACCAATCAGCACTCTGTAAAAATGGACCAATCAGCACTCTGTAAAATGGACAATCAGCTCTCTGTAAAATGGACCAATCAGCAGGATGTGGGTGGGGCCAAATAAGGGAATAAACACAGGCTACCCCTGCCAGTAGTGGCAACTGGCTTGGGTCCCCTTCCATGCCGTGGATGCTTTGTTCTTTTGCTCTTTGCAATAAATGTTGCTGCTGCTCACTCTTTGGGTAGGCACTGCCTTTATGAGCTGTAACACTCACTGCGAAGGTCTGCAGCTTCACTCCTGAAGCCAGCGAGACCACAAACCCACCAGAAGGAAGAAACTCTGGACACATCTGAACATCTGAAGGAGCAAATTCCGGACACACCATCTTTAAGAACTTTGGGCCAGGCGTGGTGGCTCATGCCTGTAATCCCAGCACTTTGGGCAGCCGAGGCGGGAGGATCACGAGGTCAATAGATCGAGACCATCCTAGCCAACATGAGGAAACCCCGTCTCTACTAAAAATACAAAAATTAGCTGGGTGTGGTGGCATGCGCTTGTAATCCCAGCTACTCAGGAGGCTGAGGCAGGAGAATCGCTTGAACCCGGGAGGCAGAGGTTGCAGTGAGCCGGAGATTGTGCTGCTGCACGCCAGCCTGACGACAGAGTGAGACTCCGTCTCAAAAAAAAAAAAAAAGAACTTTAACACTCACCGTGAGGGTCCACGGCTTCATTCTTGAAGTCAGCGAGACCAGGAACCCACCGGAAGGAACCAGTTCTGGACACATTGCCCAGGCTGGTCTTGAACTCCTGACCTCAGGTAATCTGCCCGCCTCTGCCTCCAAAAGTGCTGGGATTACATGCATGAGCCACTGCTCCCGGCCAAGGATTCTAAACACTATATAAAATCCAGTGATTCTACTATGTAGTCATTAAAAAGTTTCAGGCCAGGCACTGTGGCTCATGCCTGTAATCCCAGCACTTTGGGAGGCCGAGGCAGACGCATTACCTGAGGCCAGGAGTTCAAGACCAGCCTGGCCAACACGGTGAAACTACATCTCTACTAAAAACACAAAAATTACCCTGGTGTAGTGGCGGGCACCTCTAGTCCAGCTACCCGGGAGCCTGAGGCAGGAGAATCACTTGAACCTGGGAGACAGGTTGCAGTGAGCCAAAATCGTACCACTCTACTCCACCCTGGGCGACAGAGTGAGACTCTGTCTCAAAAAAAAAAAAAAAAGTTTGAAAGCTGGATGCTGTGGTAGTCCCAGCTACTCAGGAGGCTGAGGCGGGAGGATGGCTTGAACCCTGGAGTTCCAAAGTGAAGTGAACTATGATTGCATCTGTGAATAGCCACTGCACTCCAGCCTGGGCAACATGGCAAGACTCCCTCTCAAAAGAAATAAAAGTAAGGCCTGGTGCAGTGGCTCATGCCTATAATCCTAGCGCTTTGGGAGGCTGAGGCAGGAGGAGCATTTGAGGTCAGGAGTTCTTCAAGACCAGCCTGGATAATACAGCAAGACTCCATCTCTATTTATAAAATAAAAAATTTAAGTTCAAATTTTTAAAAAGTTATTTAAAAACATGTATCAGGACATTAAGAGATCAGCTTTGGTCATTTTGAGAATGACTGTCCATGTTGAGTTTGACTGTCCAATTTATTCCCTCCAGAGTAATTTTATAAAAATTTACTTCTCTCCTGTTTCCACATGATCTCTCTTGCCCATCTTGTCAGGCCTGAAATCCCTGCCCAGACAGCTCCAGCCTAGGAAAGGAGATGTCTCCAAAGTCCACTTTTAAGGGTACATATGGCCAGGCGCGGTGGCTTATGCCTGTAATCCCAACACTTTGGGAGGCCGAGGTGGGCTGATCACAAGGTCAGGAGTTCGAGACCAGCCTGGCCAAGATGGTGAAACCCTGTCTCTACTAAAAAATACAAAAATTAGCTGGACGTGGTGGTGGGCACCTATAATCCCAGCTACTCAGGAGGCTGAGGCAGAGAATTGCTTAAACCTGGGAGGCAGAGGTTGCAGTGAGCCAAGATCACGCCACTGCACTTCAGCGGGGGGGCCGGTGAGACTCCGTCTCAAAAAAAAAGGGTACATACATTGCCTCTCCCATTATCACATTATTTGTGAAGATTTATTTAGCTCATCCAATTTGCTATTGACTCCAAAAGTACAGTGGGCTTTCATGGGACAGGACACAGGATCTATAAAGAGTTTTGGGACAATAAGAAAGACATGGAGTCAACTTAAATGACCATGAACAGATTGGATAAAGAAAATGTACATATGCACCATGGAATACTACATAGCCATAAAAAGGAACAAGATCATATCATTTGCAGCAACATGGATGGAGCTGGAGGCCATTATCCTATGCAAACTAACACAGGAACAGAAAACCAAATACTACATGTTCTGACTTATAAGTGGGAGCTAGGCCGGGCATGGTGGGTCACACCTGTAATGCCAGCACTTTGGGAGGCTGAGGCAGGTGGATCACTTGAGGGCAGGAGTTCAAGACCAGCCTGGCCAACATGGTGAAACCCCATATCTACTAAAAACACACACACACACAAATAGCACACTCCTGTAATTTCAGCTACGCAGGAGGCTGAGACAGGAGAACCCCTTGAACCCAGGAGGCGGAGGTTGCAGTGAGCCAAGATTGTGCCACTCACTCCAGCCTGGGTGACAGAGTGAGACTCTGTCTCAAAATAAAAATAAAAATAAAAATAAAATAAAAATGAGTCAGCGCTAAACATTGAGTACACATGGATACAAGGAAAGGAACAACAGACAGAGGCTTACTTTAGGTTGGAGGGCAGGAGGAGTGAGAGGATTGAAAAACTACCCATCAGCTACTATGCTTATTACCTGGGTGATGAGATAATCTGCACACCAAACCCCTGTGACATGCAATTTACCTGTATAACAAACCTGCACATGTACCCTTGAACCTAATATAAAAGGTTTGTTTTGTTTTGTTTTGTTTAAAAAAAAAAAAAAAAAAAAAGAGCAAGGCCGGGTGCGGTGGCTCATACCTGTAATCCCAACACTAAGAGGGTAAGGCAGTGATTGCTTGATCCCGGGAGTTCAAGACCAGCCTGGCCAACATGGCAAAATCCCATCTCTACTGAAAATACAAAAATTAGCCAAGCATGGTGGGACACACGCCTGTAGTCCCAACTACTCTGGAGGCTGAGGTGGGAGAAACCTGAGCCCAGGAGGTCGAGGCTATAGTGAGCTGAGATTGCACCACTGCACTCCAGACTAGGTGAAGGGAGTGAAACCCTGTCTCAAAAACAAAAAACAAAACAAAGAGCCGGGCATGGTGGCTTACGCCTGTAATCCCGACACTTTGGGGGGCCTACGTGGGTGGATCACAAGGTCAAGAGTTCGAGACCAGCCTGGCCAACATGGTGAAACCCCATCTCTACTAAAAATACAAAAAATTAGGTATGGTGTTGCGCACCTGTAGTCCCAGCTACTTGGGAGGCTGAGGCAGGAGAATTGCTTGGCCCCAGGAGGCAGAGGTTGCCGTGAGCAGAGATTGCACCATTCATTGCACTCCAGCCTGGGTGACAGAGCAAGACTCTGTCTCAAAAAAAAAAAAAAAAAAAAAGAAGGGTTTTCCGCTTCAGAACCATTGAAGGTCTGGGTACAGTGGTTCATGCCTATAATCCCAGCACTTTGGGAGGCCCAGGCAAGAAGATTGCTTGAGCTCAGGAGTTCAAGACCAGGCTGGGCAACATAGCAAAACCCCATATCTACAAAAAATTAGCTGGGCGTAGTGGCTCACACCTGTAGTCTCAGCTACTTGGGAGGCTGAGGTGGGAAAATTGCTTGAGCCCGGGAGGTTGAGGCTGCAGTGAGCCAAGATCACGCCACTGCACTCCAGCCTGGGCGGCAGAGTGAGACCCTGTCTAAAAAAAGAACCGTTGGGCCTGGAGCAGTGGCTCACAACTGTAATCCCAACACTTTGGGAGGCTGAGGTGGGCATATCACCTGAGGTCGGGAGTTTGAGACCAGCCTGACCAACATGTAGAAATCCTGTCTCTACTAAAAACACAAAATTAGCCAGGCATGGTGGCTCGTGCCTGTAATCCCAGCTACTTGAGAGGCTGAGGCAGCAGAATCACTTGAACCTGGGAGGTGGAGGTTGCAGTGAGCCGAGATTGCACTATTGCACTCCAGCCTGGGCAACAAGAGCAAAACTCCATCTCAAAAAAAAAAAAAAAAAAAAAAAAGAATCATTGAGGAAGATTAAGATGGCTTATCCTAGAGAGGAGGGAATGAGAGGTGGCCAGTGCCTTACAATGAACTGAGAGAGTGACCCCAGGAGTATGCCATATGGAGGGAAACTTGCCTGTGCTTATGGAGACTAGACTCCAAGATGTCTCTGAGGCAATGCAGTAAGGACCATTGTAGGGCCTTTTTGAGCCAACATAGAGCTTTGGAGCTTGGTGGTTGGTGGAGGTGGAGGAGTAGCCCTCCACATCCGTACCCCATGGCCGCAGGTACTAAGGTAACCATCATAAGCATCAGGGTGCCTTTCCCCATTTTCTGGGGCTGGGAGTCAGATTTTATTTGGTTTAGAAAACTCAACTTGAGGGCCAGGCACGGTGGCTCATGCCTGTAATCCCAGCACTTTGGGAGGCCGAGGTGGGTGGATCACGAGGTCAGGAGATCGAGACCATCCTGGCTAACATGGTGAAACTCCATCTCTACTAAAATATGTAAAAAATTAGCTGGGCATGGTGGCAGGAGCCTGTAGTCCCAGTTACTTGGGAGGCTGAGGCAGGAGAATGGCGTGAACCCAGGAGGCAGAGCTTGCAGTTAGCCAAGATTACGCCACTGCACTCCAGCCTGGGCGACAGAGCAAGACTCTGTCTCAAAAAAAAAAAAAAAAAAGAAAACTCAACTTGAGGCCAGGTGCAGTGACTCATGCCTGTAATCCCAACACTTTGAGAAGCTGAGGCAGGAGGATCACTTGAGCCCAGAAGTTCAAGACCAGCCTAGACAACATAGTAGACCCCCATCTCTACAAAACTATTTTTAAAAATTAGCCAGGCATGCTGGTGTGTGTCTGTAGTCCCAGCTACTCGGAGGCTGAGGTGGGAGGATCTCTTGAACCTGGGAGGTCGAGGCAGCAGTGAACTGTGATCTCACCACTGCACTCCAGCCTGGGCCACACAGTGAGACCCTGTCTCAAAAAAAAAAAGAAAGTAAAGAAAAAGAAAACTCAACCTGAAGGGAAACAAATTCATACCTGCTTTATTATAACCTCTACAGAAGATAAGTTTGACCTGTTGATATTCATGTATGCCTTATACCTCTCCTAAGTAAGGCAATCAGTGTTTTTCACACTCTGGACCCTAGCCTGCCCTTTTAGCTTCATTTCCACTTCCATCAGTGCTCTCCTAGTCCACACCGAGGACCTCATGCTCCCGCCACACAGTACAAACCTTCCAAGAGCACATGCTCCCACCATCTTTGCTCACATTATTTCTTCTGCCTAGAAGGCCTTTGCCCCTTTCCACCAGGTATTATCCTACAAAACCCAGCTCATAAAATCTGTGACACATACAGAAAAATTTCATCTGCTCTCCAAGATGTTGTTAACCCTTTTAACTTTTAGCCCTGTTAGATTGTCTGATAAGAGCTATAATATGTAGTTACCTGTCTCATCAGGCAACCTGAGATTCCTTGAGGGCCCTGGCACCGAGCCTAGTGTCAGGCACAAGGATTTCTTCAACCTGAATCAAATCAAATTTAATTAGTACTTGTTACAAAATAATACTGTTTTTGCTGCTTTCTCACTAGCCTGGTTTACCATACACAGGAGCATTTCTGGTTTAGAGGGTGAATCACTCGGTTATCCAATAGTCAATGTCCAGGATAGAGCCTCAAGGAACAGGTCTCCTCACATACCCAGACATTTGGATGTCCGTAGTTTCTCTGGAGTCTGTTTATAGCACATATGTACTCAGGATGATGTTTGGATTCACAACCTCAGATTTTTTTCATACCAAAATTCATAAGCTGAAGTTCCCTTCCCTTAACTCCGACAAGCCTTGACACTTAAGGCTGATTTAGAAAGCATTTCCTATCTGGATTATCTTTATTAGAACCATTTCCTCTTCTACAGCACCTTTCTTCCCCTTGCCCAGGAAGCAAACAAACAAACAAACCTGGAGACGCTTCTTTCTAGTTCTCAGAAGGAAATGTGAGGCTTTGCTAAACAACTGTGTTGACTCAAAGGAGTTGAAGGGCAGGGGATGTTAAAGAAAAAGAGAAAAGGCTGGGCAGGGTGGCTCACGCCTGTAATCCCAGCACTTTGGGAGGCCAAGGTGGGCAGATCACGAGGTCAAGAGATCGAGACCATCCTGGCCAACACGGTGAAACCCTGTCTCTACTAAAAAATATAAAAATTAGCCGGGCTTGGTGCCATGTGCCTGTAGTCCCAGCTACTCGGGAGGCTGAGGCAGGAGAATCGCTTGAACCTGGGAGGCGGAGCTGGCAGTGAGCCGAGATGGCACTACTGCACTCCAGCCTGGCGACAGAGCAAGACTCCATTTCAAAAAAAAAAAAAAGAGAGAGAAAAGGAGATGAGGGGCAGGGGATGTTAAAGAAAAAGACATTTGTGACCCTTGCTAAAGATAGTAACAGGAAGGCTTTATTTAGGGAGACCATGGCGATAGGTATAGGAACTACTGCAATGGGGTCTTGCAGTGGGGGAGGGAGGGGACTCGACTCCCCTCTTGTCCAACAAGGAAAGTTACTAAGAGGAAACATCAAGGGTAAGTAGGATTCTTTTTCCTTTCTTTCTTTTTGAGAGGGGGTCTCACTCTCACCCAGGCTGGAGTGCGGTGGGGCTATCTCGGCTCACAGCAACCTCCGCCTCATGGGTTCAAGTGATTCTCCTACCTCAGCCTCCCGAGTAGTTGGGATTACAGGCGGACACCATCACGCTTGGCTAATTTTTGTGTTTTTTGATAGAGAAGGTATTTCTCCATGTTGGCCAGGCTGGTCTCGAACTCATCACCTCAAGTAATCTGCCTGCCTTGCCCTCCCAAAGTGCTGGGATTACAGGTGTAAGCCACCCCGCCCAGCCTCTAAGTGGGATCCTTGTTAAAACAACTCAACAAAATTCTTGCTGAAAGCAGGACAGGGTAATAAGATAGTGAGGGTGGTCAGGTATCGAGGGTAGGCGATTTTCACTAAATTGACGATTCTCGCTCAAACTGGATTCCACAAGGACAGAGAGGGAAGTCCAGTGTGAGGCCTAGTCAGAAGGGACTCAGAAGAGTTCAACTAAAGTTTTGATCAAAGGAGACTTTGTTAGGGAAGGACATTTAATACCTTTTTAAAACATTTATTCCATTTGGCCCGGCGCAGTGGCTCACAACTGTAATCCCAGCACTTTGGGAGGCCTAGGTGGGTGGATCACCTGAAGTCAGGAGTTTGAGACCAGCCTGGCCAACATAGAGAAACCTCTTCTCTACTAAAAATACAAAAAAATTAGATGGGCATGGTGGTAGGCACCTGTAATCCCAGCTACTCAGGAGGCTGAGGCAGGAGAATCACTTGAACCCAGGAAGTGGAGGATGTAGTGAGCTGAGGTCATGCCACTACACTCCAGCCTGGGTGACAGAGCAAGACTCTGTCTCAAAAAAAAAAAAAAAAAGAAAAGAAAAGAAAAAAATAATTCATTTGCTTTGTCTTTGCAATGGTCAGTGGCAAGAGGCCAAAAATATATATATATATTTATTGGAGAAAAAAAGATTCTTAGTTGGAACAGTGAAAAGTTGACTACTAGAAATCCTTTTTTGGGGTGAGCAGGGGTAAGGTCTAGTTCTGTCACCCAGGCTGGAGTGCAGTGGTGCAATCTTGGCTCACTACAGTCTCGACCTCCCAGGCTAAAGCGATCCTCCCACCTCAGCCTCCCAAGTAGCTGGGACTACAGGAATGCCACCAGCATGACCAGCTAATTTTTGTTTTTGGGTTTTTTGTTGTTGTTTTTTTTTTTTTTTTTTTTTTGTAGAAGCAGGGTCTGTAGAAATCTTTTTTTTCTTTCTTTTCTTTCTTTTTTGGAGACAGGGTCTCACTCTGTTGCCCAGGCTAGAGTACAGTGGTATAATCTCAGCTCACTGCAACCTCTGCCTCCCAGGCTCAAGCCATCCTCCCATTGCAGCCTTCCTAGTAGCTGGGACCACAGGCATGCGCCACCATGCCCGGCTAATTTTTGTATTTTTTGTAGAGACAGGGGGAGTCTCACTTTGTTTCCCAGGCTGGTCACGAACTCCTGAGCTCAAGTCATCTGCCCGCCTCAGCCTCACAAAGTGCTGGGATTACAGGAAAATCCTTTGATTCTGAGGTGAGGAGCCAGTTCACACTTCCCAGTACTCTGCCTTTCCCCACTTTCTTAAAAGAACAAACACCCACGAAGCATTGAAAACATCCCATAATGTTTGAGGAGGATTGATTGAGGATTGGAATAATGATCATTATGTTAACAGAAATTATTCTGGGTGGTGAGATTACAGCAATTTTCTTTCTTTCTTTCTTTCTTTGAGCTTTTCTATACTTTCCAAAAATTCTACAACAAAGAAAGGCCTCAATAATTTTTGGTTTGAAGGAAGTTAAGGCAGCTGGCTCTCCTGCACTTGGGGCCATCAAAGCCAATAAGCTTTCTAACCAAAATGAGGAGACCCCACCATTCTATCACCCCATTAGACTTGGGGTCAAATGGCAGGTCTCAAAGCCTAAAAATGTTACTTCCTTGAAAGAATGCTAGAGCCCCAGTCTGTCAAGAAAGCTTGCAACCAAGCCCCCTGGCACAGGAGCAAGTTAGCAAAATTCTTATAATTTGAAACATGGAAAATCAGACTAACCCTTCCGGCTACCAAAAAAAAAAAAAGAAGAAAGTATGAAAGCCTAAGGCAAGATGCCAAACCTAGTTTCAGGATTATAAAGGAGAAACCACTTCTCTTTGGTTTTATTATAACAGAGGGTGTAAAGCTGGGCCTCATATCCCACTATTTACATGCAAATCCCATCAAAAATGAGCTGGCTGCACTCCAGGTGCCCAGATCTCAAAGGAACTCTGTTTCCAGTGAAGACCCTGCCCTCTAGCCCCAACTTTCTCTTTTTTCTGCTTTCTTATGGGAGGGGAGAAAGCATGCCTTGGCTCTCTTTCCTCTCACCCTGAAATTAATTGAAAAACAAACTGTTGCTTTCTCCCTTCTCACATTCCACCTATTACTTTTTTTTTTTTTTTTTTGAGACTGAGTTTCCCTCTTGTTGCCCAGGCTGGAGTGCAATGGCACAATCTTGGCTCACTGCAACCTCTGCCTCCTGGGTTCAAGGGATTCTCCTGCCTCAACCTCCCTATTAGCTGGGAATACAGGTGCCTGCAACCACACCCGGCTAATTTTTTGTATTTTTAGTAGAGATGGGGTTTCACCATGTTGACCAGGCTGGTCTTGAACTCCTGACCTCAGGTGATCCACCTGCCTTGGCCTCCCAAAGTACTGGGATTACAGGTGTGAGCCACTGCACCCAGGCCTATTACCACTTTTTTTTTTTTTTTTTTTTTTTGAGACGGAGTCTCACTCTTTTGCCCAGGCTGGAGTGCAGTGGCACGATCTCAGCTCACTCCAATCTCCACCTCCTGGGTTCAAGCGATTCTCCTGCTTCAGCCTCCCGAGTAGCTGGGACTACAGGTGCCCACCACTACGCCCAGCTAATTTTTTGTATTTTTAGTAGAGACAGGGTTTCACCGTGTTAGCCAGGATGTTCTCGATCTCCTGACCTCAAGATCCACCCACCTCGGCCTCCCAAAGTGCTAGGATTACAGGCGTGAGCCACAGCACCTGGCCTCAAGACTGAAAACTTATACATGATACCCACTCTACTCTAGCTAAACCTCATAGAAAAAAACTGGCTCCACCCACATCTCACAAGTAAAGGCCAGTTGGAGAGCCTAGACTGCCACCCTTGCCAGGTTGTAAAGATGTATCCCCAGTTGTCCTCATGCCCCACCCAACTTGTGCAGTGGTGATGGAGAAGGCACAGTGGGGAGCACCCCATCCCAGACAGTGTCAGAGGAGACCACATGGGGAGCTCGGACTTCTACTGGTACCAGCTAGGGATAGAAATTCAAGCTCCGCATGGGGAGAACCCCTTCCCGTCCCCACTGAGGTAGTGTCAGAGGCAGCCTAGTGGAGTGAGGACTTTGACCACAGCTCTGCAATAACAAGGCCACCCTCTGCAGTGTCAGTGGAGGCCACGTGGAAAGCAGTAACAAGGAGCCCTTCTACTTCCTAGCCAAGGTGGTACCAGCAGAGGCCTAGTGGACAGCCTGAACTTCTCTCCCCACCCAGAGGCACCAACAACCTCCCACTTGTCTCTCCTTTCACTGTCAAGGGTGCCTGAGTGGAAAACCTGGACTTCCACCCTGATCTGGCAGTAAAAAGGTGGCAACCGTTTTCTCCCACTAGAGTGGTGTCAGAGGTTTGAGTGGTATTGGCTAAAATACCAGATTTAAATAAAACCCAGAGTTTTACAATATCAAAATGTCCAGGTTTCAATTACAGACCACTTGTCATACCAAAAACCAGGAAGATCTCGAAGTGAACAAGAACAGACTCTGGCTGTGCGAAGTGGCCCATGCCTATAATCCCAGCACTTTGGGAGGCCGAGGCGAGTGGATCACTTGAGGCCAGGAATTCAAGACCAGCCTGGCCAACATGACGAATCCCCGTCACTACCAAAAAATGGAAAAATTAGCATGGTAGCATGTGCCTATAATCCCAGGTACTTGGGAGGCTGAGGCATGAGAAGCACTTGAACCCAGGAGGTAGAGATGGCAGTGAGCTGAGGTCATGCCACTGCCTCCAGCCTGGGCAATAGAACAAGACTCTGTCTTGAAAAAAAAAAGAAAAGAAAGAAAGAAAAAAGGACAGATACAAACGCAGGCATGACACAGATGTTAGAATGATCTGACAAGGACTTATGTGAGAGGCGTCTGAACCAGAGGAACTCTATCTTGAATAGGGGCTGAGTAAAATAAGACTGAGATCTTCTGGGCAGCATTCCCAGGAGGCTGGGCATTCTAAGTCACAGGATGAGATAGGAGATCAGCGCAAGATACAGGTCACGAAGACCTTGCTGATAAAACAGGTTGGGGTAAAGAAGCTGGCCAAAACCTACCAAAACCAAGATGGCCATGAGAGTGACCTCTGGTCATCCTCACTCCTCATTATATGCTAATTATAATGCATTAGCATGCTGAAAGACACTCCCACCAGCACCATGACAGTTTACAGATGCCATGGCAACGTCAGGAAGTTACCCTATATGGTCTGAAAGGTGGAGGAAAAAAATTTTTTTAATTAAATAAATAAATAAAAGAGGGAGGAGCCCTCAGTTCTGGGAATTGCCACCTCTTTCCCAGAAAATTCATGAATAACCCACCCCTTGTTTAGCACATAATTGAGAAATAACTGTAAGTATCCTTAGTCCAGCAGCCGTGTTACTGCTCCGCCTGTAGAGTAGCCATTGCTTTTCCCTTTACTTTCCTAATAAATTTGCTTTCACTGCACTCTATGGGTTGGCCTCGAATTATTTCCTCTCTTGGGGTCTGGATCAGGACCCCATTCCAGTAACACTTATAGCAGCCATCGTAAAAATACTTCAGTGAGCAATTAAGAACATGATTGTGCCAGGCAAGTTGCCTATAGTCCCAGCTACTGGGAAGGCTGAGGCAGTGAGATCACTTGAATCCTGGAGTTCAAGACCAGCCTGGGCAACACAGAGAGACCCCGTCTCTAAACTACAACAACGAAAACACACTTGAGGCCGGGCGTGGTGGCTCACGCCTGTAATCCCAGCAGTTTGGGAGGCTGAGGTGGGCGAATCATGAGGTCAGGAGATCGAGACCAGCCTGGCCAACATGATGAAACCCCATCTCCACTAAAAATACCAAAAATTAGCTGGGTGTGGCAACAGGCACCTGTAATCCCAGCTACTCGGGAGGCTGAGGCATGAGAATCGCACCACTGCACTCCAGCCTGGGTGACAGAGTGGCACTCAATCCCAGGGAACAAAAAAAATCCAAGATGACAAAGAAAGCAACTTCTGATTGTCCTCGTGCTCATTATACGCTAATTATAATATATTAGCATGCTAAAAGACACTCCCACTAGCACCATGACAGCTTACAAATGACATGGCAATGTACCTATGTGGTCTAAAAGGGGGAGGAAACCTCAGTTCCTGGAAATTCTTGCCCCTTTCCTGGAAAACTCGTGAATAATTCACCCCTTGTTTAGTATATGATAGAGAAATAACCATAAAAATAGCCGGGCCAGGCGCGGTGGCTCACAGCTGTAACCCCAGCACTTTGGGAGGCCAAGACGGGCGGATCATGAGGTCAGGAGATCGAGACCATCCTGGCTAACATGGTGAAACCCCATCTCTACTAAAAATACAAAAAAATTAGCCGGGCGCGGTGGCGGGCGCCTGTAGTCCCAGCTACTCGGGAGGCTGAGGCAGGAGAATGGCGTGAACCCGGGAGGCGGAACTTGCAGTGAGCCGAGATCACGCCACTGCACTCCAGCCTGGGCGACAGAGCGAGACTCCATCTCAAAAAAAAAAAAAAAAATAGCCAACCAGCAGCCCTTGGGGCTTCTCTATCTGTGGAGTAGCCATTCTTTTATTTCTTTGCTTCTCTAACAAACTTGCTTTCACTTAAAAAAAGTCTCAGCAAAGAAATAAAAAACCTTGGTCGGGCATGGTGGCTGGCGCCTGTTAATCCCAGCACTTTGGGAGGCCGAAATGGGTGGATCACTTGAGGCCAGGAGTTCGAGACTAGCCTGGCCAACTTGGTGAAACCCCTCTCTCTACCAAAAATGAAAAAAAAAACTAGCTAGGTGTGGTGGCATGCACCTGTAGTCCCAGCTACTTGGAAGGCTGAGGCAGGTGAATTACTTGAACCTGGGAGGTGAAGGTTGAGCGGAGATCGCCCCACTGCACTCCAGCCTGGGCAATAGAATGAAACTCTGTCTAAACAAAAACAAAAACAAACAAACAAAAAACCCTGAGCAATGGAAGATACAAAAAAGAACCAAATTAAAATATTTGAATTAAAAAAAAGAAGACATTAAAAAACTCAATGGATGACCCAGCAATTCCATTCCTAGCTATATATCCAAGAGAAATGAAAACATATGTCCACACAAAAATGTGTGCATGAATCCTCATAGCAGCATTATTCATAATAGTCCACAAGTGGAAACAGTGCAAATGTCCCTCAATTGAAGAATGGATAAATGAGGTTTGTCCACACAATTACTCATCCATAAAAAATAAATAAAGAGCCGGGCGCGGTGGCTCATGCCTGTAATCCCAGCACTTTGGGAGGCCGAGGCGGGCAGGTCACCTGAGGTCGGGAGTTTGAGACCAGCCTGATCAACATGGAGAAACCCCGTCTCTACTAAAAATACAAAATTAGCCGGGCATGGTGGCGCATGCCTATAATCATAGCCAGCTACTTGGGAGGCTGAGGCAGGAGAATCGCTTGTACCCGGGAGGTGGAGGTTGCAGTGAGCTGAGATCATGCCATTGCCCTCGAGCCTGGGCGACAAGAGCTAAATTCCATCTCAAATAAAATAAAATAAAACAAATGAAGAGCCGGGCGCAGTGGCTCACGCCTGTAATCCCAGCACTTTGGGAGGCCGAGGCAGGCGGATCACCTGAGGTCAGGGGTTAGAGACCAGCCTCAACATGGAGAAATCCCGTCTCTACTAAAAATACAAAATTAGCCAGGCGTCGTTGTGCATGCCTATAATCCCAGCTACTCGGGAGGCTAAGGCAGGAGAATTGCTTGAACCTGGGAGGCGGAGGTTGTGGTGAGCCGAGATTGTGCCGTTGCACTCCAGCCTGGGCAACAAGAGCGAGACTCAGTCTTAAATAAATAAATAAATAAATAAATAAATAAATGCAGTACATGCTATAATATGGATGAATCTCAAAAACATCCTACTTTCTTTTGACCCATTGTTTTATGAAAAAAGAGAGAGAAAACCTCACACTAAGTGAAAGCAGCCAGATGGAAAAGGTCACACATTGCATGATTCTAGTTATTTATTTATTTAGAGACAGGGTCTTGCTCTGTTACCCAGGCTTGAGTCTAGTGGCAAGATCTCAGCTCACTGCAACCTCTGCCTCCCTGGTTCAAGTGATTCTCCCACCTCAGCCTACCGAGTACCTGGGATTACAGGCGCATGCCACCCCGCCTGGTTCGTTTTTTTGTATTTTTCTTAGAGACAGGGTTTCACCGTGTTGGCCAGGCTGGTCTCAAACTCCTGGGCTCGGGCAGTCTACCCACCTTGGCCTCCCAAAGTGCTGGGATTACAGGCATAAGACACCACGTCCAGCCAACAATAGTGACTTTAATGCTATTTGAATTTTATTTCAATTTTAAAAATTGCAAGCAAATGACAACAAAACTGTCCTCACATTGCTGAGCACCAAGCGCTTAGGAAGCGCTGAGGAGCTGAGGAGCTGGCCTGAGAGGACTTACTGAGGTGCCTGGGCTTCTAGGTGGGCAGAGATTGGCTATTCTTGGGGACTGACTGGCAACCTCACCCTGTCACAGAAATGTCCATAGCTATAGCCAGGTGTGGTGTGTCATGTCTGTAGTCCCAACTACTCTGGAGGCTGAGGTGGGAGGATGCCCTGTACCCAGGAGTCTGAGATCAGTCTTGGTAACATAGCGAGACCCCTGTCTCATAAATAATTTTAAAAAAAGGAACTCTCTATCCTCAACTAATTCCTCCTCAAAGGAACAAAAAACAAAAAAAAAAACAACTACCTAGACTGAGTCAAAGGATTACAAAAAACCTAGAGGGAAGTACATTTCATCTTTAGAATTTATCTAGTGTGCTCTTATTTTTTTTTCCTCAGACAGAGTCTTGCTCTGTCACCCAGGCTGGAGCACAGTGGCATGATCTTGGCATCACTGCAACCTCCATCTCCTGGGTTCATCTCCTGCCTCAGCCTCCCGAGTAGCTGGGATTACAGGCACACGCCACCATGCCTGGCTAATTTTTGTGTTTTTACTAGAAACGGGGTTTCACTATCTTGGCCAGGCTGGTCTTGAACTCCTGACCTCGTGATCCACCTGCCTTGGTCTCCCAAAGTGCTGGGATTACAGGCATGAGCCACTGCGCCTGGCCAAAATCTATTATTTCTTTTGCTCTATGGATACATCTCTCTTCACCTCTCAGGATTCAAGAAAATTGAGACAAAGCCCTTTAGGTCACAGGGTTTCTATCTATTGCTATAATACTATCTCCTTCACCCCATTCCACCTCTAAAGCTCCACCTTAACTAAGAAGCTAGGTCAGAGATCATACAAATAGTGGGGATGGTTTGGTTTATCCCCAGCTCCACCTCTCGGACAGAAACTGAGTCTCTGTAAGAATATTATTTGCTTCTCCTGTGGCCTGACCTTGCTGTTTTATCAGACTGCTCTAATCAAGAATCCAAGAATATTCGTTTTAAGACTCTGGCATGCCAGGCGCGGTGGCTTACGCCTGTAATCCCAGCACTTTGGGAGGCTGAGGCGGGCGGATCACGAGGTCAGGAGATCGAGACCATCCTGGCTAACACAGTGAAACCCCGTCTCTACTAAAAATACAAAAAATTACCCGGGCCTGGTGGCGGGCGCCTGTAGTCCCAGCTACTCGGGAGGCTGAGGCAGGAGAATGGCGTGAACCCGGGAGACAGAGCTTGCAGTAAGCCGAGATTGTGCCACTGCACTACAGTTTGGGCAACAGAGAGAGACTCTGTCTCAAAAAAAAAAAAAAGACTCTGGCACTTGTGGAAAAGATGCATATTGTTTCAAGGTATGAGAAGCGAGGTGTCAACTCAGCCTGCACCTTCACTTCATAGTAGCTGTGGCTACCCTTTTGATGGAGGTGGGAGTTTTCCCTCTATTTTGTTATTTTTTTTATTTTTAGTGGGTTTGGATGGAGAATAGTGAGCAAAAAGAACTTTATTTCACAATTTTTCTCTTTTTGATACAGGGTCTTGCTCTGTCTCCCAGGCTGGAGTGCAGTGGCATGATCACAGCTCACTCCAGCCTTGACCTCCAGGTTCAAATGTTTCTCCCACCCCAGCCTCCCAAGTATCTGAGACTACTGGCACACACCACCATGCCCAGCTAATTTTTAAATTATTGTAGAGATGGGGTCTCACGATGGTGCCCAGGCTGGTCTCACATTCCTGGCCTCAAGAGATCTTCTGGCCCCTATTTCACATTTTTTACATTGATATACCATTTCCCAACGCAAATGTCTAGCACATTCCCTTGCCAGGCCCAGAATGAAGATGTCTGCCCTCTTAGCTTTCATTCATCCACTCTTCACCCTCAAATGTTTTACCTAACTCAATTGGTGGCTGAGCACAGTGGCTCACGCCTGTAATCCCAACACTTTGGGAGGGTGAGGTGGGCAGATCACTTGAGGTCAGGAGTTCAAGACCAGCCTGGCCAACATGGTGAAACCCTGTCTCTACTAAAAATACAAAAAATTAGCTGGGCATGGTGGCGCCCACCTGTAGTCAGTTGCAGCTACTCAGGAAGCTCAGGCACAAGAATCACTTGAACCCAGGAAGTGGTGGTTGTAGTGAGCCAAGATCACACCACTGAACTCCAGCCTAGGTGACACAGCAAGACTCCGTCTCAAAAAAATGCAAAAAAAAAAAAAACCTCAATTGGTTGTGAAACAGCAGTGTAGATGCTCAAAAATAAGTTTCTGATAGTAACCATGTTAAGGCACTAGAAATACAGTGTGAGCAAGAAAGGAGTGATGAAGTTATTGCAGAAGTGGCAACAAATCAGTTTCTTTCTTTTTTTTCTCTTTTGAGACAGCGTCTTGCTCTGTCGCCCAGGCTGGAGTGCCGTGGCGCAATCTCGGCTCACCGCAATCTCTGCCTCCTGAGTTCAAGCAGTTCTCCTGCCTCAGACTCCTGAGTAGCTGGGATTACAGGTGTGCACCACCACACCCAGCTAATTTTTGTATTTTTAGTAGAGACGGGGTTTCACCATGTTGGTCAGGCTGGTCTCAAACTCCTGACCTCGTGATCCACTCGCCTCGGCCTCCCAAAGTGCTGGGATTACAGGCGTAAACCACCACGCCCGGCCATCTTTTTTCTTTTTTTTTTTTTTAAAGACGGAGTCTCACTGTGTCACCTGGACTGGAGTGCAGTGGTGCAATCATGACTCACTGCAGCCTCAAACTTCCGGGCTTAAGTGATCCTACCGCCTTGGCCTTCCAAAGTGCTGGGATTACAGGCGTGAGCCACCACACTTGGCCAGCTACATCATTCTTTTTTTTTTTTTTTTTTTTTTTTTTTTGATACAGAGTCTCACTTTGTCGCCCAGGCTGGAGAGCAATGGCACGATCTCGGCTCACTGCAACCTCCACTTCCCAGGTTCAAACGATTCTCCTGTCTCAGCCTCCCAAGTAGCTGGCATTACAGGCACGCACCACCATGCTCGGCTGTTTTTAGTATTTTCAGTTGAGACAGGGTTTCGCCATGTTGGCCAGGCTGGTCTTGAACTCCTGACCTCAAGTGATCTGCCCACCTCGGCTTCCCAAAGTGCTGGGATTACAGGTATGAGCCACCGTGCTCAGCCTTACATCATTCTTACACTGGATCTATCCTAAACTATTTTTCCAAAAATAGGACAGCCTATCAAAGAATAATTTTTAGTAAAATTCTCTGAATTCCACTTCATTATGAAAAGGATCAAAAATATTTTGTCTTTATTTGACACCTATCATGATAACTAAGAAGAGCAATCTAAAATTTTAGATTGTTTATGAGGCGGGGGAGGGTCTTCAGTTGGTATTACATGGTTCAGCCAGGAAACATTCTTCTAAGTGTATGTGTGACCTGAGGTAAGTCACCACTGTTCTGGTTCATTGCCTCAGTGTTCTCACCTATGAAGTGGGCAGATGAGGAAAAGCCATATCATACAACATCCAAAGATGATTGAGTGAAGCATAATTTAGGGTGAGGGTTGGTTTAAGACAGGGATAAAATAATACTAAATAAAGATGATACATTATACTATGAAACATGTTTTATAAGTTCAAAACTTTTTATATCCATCTTGTAATTATATCTTATTGACAGAAAATTCCAAAGTTATGTCATAATAATTTTTTCTTATCCCAAACTTATTAAAGTTCTATCTTTCATCTGTCATGCTCTCAATTAATATTTGGGTATATCACCATTTTCATTTGAGAGACTGCATTGTTTTGAAGGTAGTTAGCAAAGGTATGAGAATCTTTGCCTTAACCTGAAAGAATATGCTTATCTATGGAATTATATGTATTAAGTAGGGATAATATACATTGGCTCAAAGCAATTTACATTAAAAAGTTAATATTAAAAAGTCCCTTTACGTATGGAAGACATTTTAAGCTGGACAAGACTAGGGCTAAGAACAGTACAAGACAGGAGTGGCTCTAACTCCGCAGCTTATTAGGCTTTCAACTCTGCTATTTTAAGACATTTAATGAAGAGTTTTACCATCAATATAAGCACCATTAAATCACAGCTGGCCTGAATCAACTTTATTTTATTATTTTAAGCATAGAATGAAGTGAGAAATTGGATTCTTCTTAAATTTTTTATTGGAATGAAATCTGTTTTAGCAAGCCAGATCAATCAATTAATCTACATTGACTAAACCCCATATGCTATACCTTTATTAGGTTCCTGTCTCTTATTCTTTTTTTTTTTTTTGAGATGGAGTCTTGCTCTGTTACCAAGCTGGAGTGCAGTGGCGCGACCTTGGCTCACTGCAATCTCTGCCTCCCTGGTTCAAGTGATTCTCCTGCCTCAGCCTCCTGAGTAGCTGGGACTACAGACGCGTGCTACCACACCCGGCTAATTTTTGTAGTCTTAGTAGAGACGGGGTTTCACCATGTTGGCCAGGATGGTCTCCATCTCCTGACCTTGTGATCCGCCCACCTCGGCCTCCCAAAGTGCTGGGATTACAGGCGTGAGCCACTGTGACAGGCCTTTTTTTTTTTTTTTTTGAGACAGAGTATCACTCTGTTGCCCAGGCCATAGTCCAGTAGTGCAATGTTGGCTCACTGCAACCTCCACCTCCTGGGTTCAAACGATTCTCCTGCCTCAGCTTCCTGAGTAGCTGGGATTACAGACACATGCCACCACTCCTGGCAATTTTTTTTTTTTTTTTTTTTTAGTAGAGATGGGGTTTCACCATATTGGCCAGGCTGGTCTCAAACTCCTGACCCGAAGTGATCCACCCGCCTCAGCCTCCCAAAGTGCTGGGATTACAGGCATAAGCCACCACACCAGGCCCCACATGGGAAACCTCTTATTCTTACTTTATATTATAGAGATGGGTTTCTGCCATGTTGCCCAGGCTACTCTCGAACTCCTGGGCTCCAGCAATCCGCCTGCCTCAGCCTCCCAAAGTGCTGGGATTACAGGCATGAGCCACCGCACCCAGCCCCTCTTATTCTTATGCTGTGACACTTCAACCTCTTACTTTTTCCAGGTGTCATTTTGGATATAGGTATATTAACAAAGTAACTGCCATCTCTCTCTATAATCAAAACAGAAGTATATATGTGACTTCATAATCTTGGGCAACTGAATCTAATGAAGTAAAGACTTTAAAACCTTTGCTATCCAAGCACATAAATATTGGCTCCCAGGAAACAAGAGCTGGTTTGCTATTAAAGAAAAATCTTTTTTTTTTTTTTTTTGAGACAGAGTCTTGCTCTGTCACCCAGGCTGGAGTGCAATGGCACGATCTTGGCTCACTGCAACCTCCACCTCCCGGGTTCAAGTGATTCTCCTGCCTCAGCCTCCTGAGTAGCTGGGACTACAGGTGCGTGCCACCATGCCCGGCTAATTTTTTGTATTTTTAGTAGAGACAGGGTTTCACCATGTTAGCCAGGATGGTCTCGATCTCCTGACCTCGTGATCCACCTGCCTCGGCCTCCCAAAGTGCTGGGATTACAGGCGTGAGCCACCGCACCCGGCCTAAAGAAAAATCTTTAAGTAATAATTTATTTACAACAAATCCTTAATAATTTAAAATAAGAGTACTGCTGAAGCAACACTGAAAGCCTGGGAAAGCAAGACGTTTGTGAATCATAGATTATTACCTCTGGGCTTCCGTTTCCCAAGGTGATCTTTATGCAGACTATTGGAGGTCCCAGCTACTAAACATGACCAAACCTTGTAACAGAAACAAACTGTGGAGCTGAAGGCTTAGCTTTGGAATATCAGACTTCTCATTTTATTCCAAATTCTGATTTCTTTTTAAGAGACTAGGTCATATTATGTTGTCCAGGCTGGAGTGCAGTGGCTATTTGCAGGTGCAGTCATGGTGTGCTATAGCCTTGAACTCCTAGACTCAAGTGATCTTCCTGCCTCAGCCTCCCAAGTTCTGGGACTACAGGTGCATGCCACCACGCCTAACTGCAAATCCAGAATCTTATAGTGACGGTTGGATGGTTCTCTTCTAGAAATAACAACTCAAAGATTGCACATTCATCTCCTGGAAACATTTTTTTTTTGAAATGGAGTCTCGCTCTGTTGCCCAGGTTGGAGTGCAATGGCATGATCTTGGCTCACTGCAACCTCCACCTCCCAGGTTCAAGCGATTCTTCTGCCTCAGCCTCCTGAGTAGCTGGGACTGCAGGCACTTGCCACCATGCCCAGCTAATTTTTGTGTTTTTAGTAGAGATGGTGTTTCAACATGTTGGTCAGGCTGGTCTCGAACTCCTGACCACATGATCCACCCGCCTTGGCCTCCCAAAGTGCTGGGATTACAGGCGCGCACCACCACACCCAGCCTCCTGGAAACATTTCTAAAACCCAGGTGAATACGCCTCCTAAGTTTTCCAAGCTGGCAAAAACTCTGGGATAAGTAACAGATGGATTTGGGAAATTGCAAAAGTGTAGCCCAAAGCTAGTATAGTTTATGCCTTATAAAAGAATGGCTCAGAGTAGTTTTTCCTTTAATTAAATATTTATGTTATAGCCAGAAACAGCAAGTGGTCTTTGTGTGGCCAGGACTGGCTTACAATATGTCCATCTATTTAAGAAAGAAAATGAATGGCCATGAAATATTAATTCTTTACGTGTTAACAGTAGATTCTGCTCTTTCTCTGCCTGAAGGCAAACAAAAAGGCTAGAGATAACCAATGAGCTGCATTTGGAAACACACTTTAATAAAAAGACTGGGAGGGCAGGTTTAATTAGGAAGTGGATCTGAGGTTTTAGTGAAGCCAGATGATGAAAAATATTAAGCCCTTTACCATTTATCTGGGGGACACGAAGGTGAACTTTTTTACTTTAGTTGCATTTTCTCATCTTTAGAATGGGGAAAATAACATGAGATGACCAATTTTCATGAAGCTTAGATTACTAACTGCTATATCAATTTTCCAAACTCTTACATGACCCTTGCAAAGGGTAATCTGTTGCAGCAAACTAATCTCAAGTATAATTTTGTTTTTAGTTTTTCTTCAATCTGAAAATTTAGAACTGATCGTGAACCAGAGCATGCAAATTCCTCTTATTTAGTTTTGTTATATTTTATTACACAAATTTACTTTTTTTAGAGATTGGGTCTTGTGATCTTGCCCAGGCTGGAGTGGAGTGGCATGATCATGGCTCACTGTGACCTCCGCCTCCTGGGCTCAAGTGATCCTCCCACCTCAGCCTCCCGAGTAGCTGGGACTACAGGTGCACACCACCATGCCTGGCTAATTTTGGTACTTTTTGTAAAGATAAGGTTTCACTATGTTGCTCAGGCTGGTCTCCAACTCTTGGGCTCAAGCGATCTGCCTGCCTCAGCCTCCTAATGTGCTGGGACTATAGGTGTAAGCTACTGCACCCGGCCTAGATCAGTATTTTAATAACCTGCATTTGATGGCTTAAAGTTGTTCCCTGAACTTAATATTAAGTTTAATTTGCCTGAACTGCTAGAGCAACACTGCAATATCAATTATTGTTGGAACTAAATACATGTATGTATATATGTAATGAAAGGCAAAATTTGCACTTGGTTTTGGAGCTCAGAAAACTTTTCAGGGCAAAGGCCATGAAAATACAAATTCATGCTAATTAATTTTTTTAAAAGGGGGTGTTGAAAAAATCTAATTCTGACATTTAAATTAATCCCCCAAATTTGAGAACCTAGAACAAAGTTCATACCAAGAGGTACCCTCTTAACCACATGTTAATAATGAAACTGCAGTCGTGCAATAAAGGAGAAAAATTAAAGTGATGAGAAAAATATGGCATTCTTTGATGTTGAGTCTAGGACACATGGGTTCTAAAACTGCTGAATTGGAAAGGCATCTGCTCTCGACATTGTAAAACAATGCCAAGAGCTAAATATTTAAAAGGTAATTAGAATATCTAAACCTAGGCTTGGAAACATTTTTAAAGCTTAAATACCTAAAAATAACTGTTTCAAAATAGCCACTTAGAAGTATGAGTGAAAAAAAATCCCATGAGATTTAGGCCAGAAACTAGTTACACCACAAAAAGATTTTAGCCTTGGAAGGAAGCTTTCCTGATATATTCATGCACTTTGCATGAACAATTTTTTTTTCTCTTAACACACAATTCACAAGTTTAGGATCTCCTAAATAAAACACACTTTTTTTTTTTTTTTTTTTTTTAAACACGGAGTCTTGCTCTGTTGCCAGGCTGGAGTGCAGTGGTGCGATCTTGGCTCACTGCAACCTCCACCTTCCGGGTCGAGTGATTCCCTTGCCTCAGCCTCCTAAGTAGCTGGGATTACAGGCGTGCACCACCACGCCTGGCTAATTTTTTTTATTTTTTTAGTAGAGACAGTTTCATCATGTTGGCCAGGATGGTCTAGATCTCCTGACCTCGTGATCTGCCCGCCTTGGCCTCCCAAAGTGCTGGGACTACAGGCGTGAGCCACCATGCCTGGCCTCTTTTTTTTTTTTGAGACATGGTCTCGCTCTGTCAACCAGGCTGGAGTTGCAGTGGCACAATCTCGGCTCACTGAAACTTCCACCTCCCTGGTTCCAGTGATTCTCCTGCCTCAGCCTCCCAAATAACTGGGACTACAGGTGCACACCAGCATGCCTGGCTTATTTTTGTATTTTTAGTAGGGACGGGGTTTCACCATGTTGACCAGACTGGTCTCAAACACCTAACCTCAAGTGATCCTCCCACCTCAGCCTCCCAAAGTGTTGGGATTGCAGGCGTGAGCCACTGTTGCCCAGCCACGAACTCTTTAAAAGTATTAGTTTTGTTTACTGGTCTTGAGCTCACTTATAAGCAAGAGTACTGCTGGATCAATGTCGAATGCCCAGGAAAGCAAGAAATTCATGGATCGTAAGTTTTACCTCTGGGCCTCAGTTTCCTGAGTTGATCTTTATCTGCAGACTAGTGGAGGCCCTAGGCAACCAAGAGCTAAATGTGACCAAGTCTGAAAACAATAAATTAACTGTGGAGCAGAAGGTTTATCTCTAGAATAGTAAGATTCTTATTTTATTCCAAATCCAGATTTACTCTGAATTTGATTTCACTCAAGTTGAAATTAAGTTGGCTCACACTAGCGAACATTAATTGAATATATTAAAATACTTAGATTTTATTAATAAAAGCTCTGAGCTAATCCAAAACTGTGCCTAACAATGTTTACCACACCAATGGATTTACAATTAGTTTCACTGTACTTAATATAGTGTGATCCGAAATGCCACCATCACCAAGCTCTAGTCCTCACTCAAAATCTGTATGGATGAGCCTCTACTTTGGTTCTTGGCTTTTTTTTTTTTTTTGTGAGATGGAGTCTCACTCTGTCGCCAGGCTGGAGTGCAGTGGTGTGATCTTGGCTCACTGCAACCTCTGCCTCCCGGGTTCAACCAATTCTCTACCTCTCCCAAGTAGCTGGGATTACAGGTGCCCATCACCATGCCAGGCTAATTTTTGTATTTTTAGTAGAGATGGGGTTTCACTTGTTTGGCCAGGCTGATCTTGAACTCCTGACCTCGTGATCCACCCACCTCGGCCTCCCACAGTGCTGGGATTACAGGCGTAAACCACAGCGCCCGGCTAGTTCCTGGCCTCTTGCCAAGTTGTCTGCTGAATTTGGGACCCAGGCTTGAATCCTGCCTCCTCTGTGGTTAGAGCCTCAACAGTGCAAAATCCTCTCTACTTTAGGGGGCTGGACTGTGTCTTCATGGCTCTGCCACTGGCTGAGGTGTAATTCAAGCGGATAAACTTCCCTGGAACTAAGATGATAATCTGTGTGATTTGTAGTAATACGGATACTGGATGGACTACCATTTCCTCAGCACCTACCAGATTAGACACTTGGATAGTAAAATTAGACTGTATGCAGGTCTCTGGACTGTTAGTCACCCCTGGGGAGGGGGACAGCACAGTTAAGATAATTCCCTTTATCATCAGTCCAACTATTTACCAACATACTCTACAATTCCTTCATTCCTATCCCTTATAACTCCAATATGCCTCAAGGGAAAGCTATACATCATTCTGGTAAGTTACCATCCCAGAAGGACTTGTGGGAAAATAGGGCTCCCTTCTTTGGTACATAGTAAAGGTATTTATGAAAATGAGAGACTAGAAGCAGCTTTGACATAATTTTTGCCTGAGAAACTAAAGCATATGGAAATATCTGGTTGTGCCACAACATCCAGCTGATATGCAGTTTCAAAAGATCATACCAACTTTAATAAATATTTCTCATCCCCCCTCCCAAAAAAATTTCCCATCCTGCATATTCCTAAAGAAGGTAAAATTAAATGACAAATTTGGCTGGGCGCAGTGGCTCATGCCTGTAATTCTAGCACTTTGGGAGGCACAGGCGGCTCAATCACTTGAACTCAGGAGTTCGAGACCAGCCTGGGCAACAGGGAGAAATCCCGTCTCTACCAAGAGTGCTGGGATTACAGGCTTGAGCCACTGCACCGGGGCTAAAATCTTTTTTTAAAATGACCAGATCTTGCCTGCCTGTAATCCTAGCACTTTGGGAGGCCAAGGAGGATCACTTGAGGTCTGGAGTTCGAGGCCAGCCTGGCTAACATGGTGAAACCCCATCTCTACTAAATATACAAAAATTAGCTGGGCATGGTGGCAGGTGCCTGTAATCCCAGCTACTTGGGAGGCTGAGGCAGGAGAACTGCTTGAACCCAGGAGGCAGAGGTTGCAGTGAGCCAAGATCGTGCCACTGCACTACACCTTGGGCAACAGGAGTGAAACTCCATCTCAAAAAAAAAAAAAAAAAAAAAAAAAAAAAAAAAAAAAAAAAGAATAAAAAATTTAAGTGACTATCCTGCAGGTATAGACTTGTATTCATTCATTTAATAAGTATTTCAGTGTCAATTATGGCTTATCCAATGTAGTTTTTTTTTTTTTTTTGAAACAGGGTCCTTGTTGCCCAGGCTGGAGTATGGTGGCATGATCATGGCTCACCACAGCCTCAGCTGCCCAGGCTCAAGCATCAAGCGATCTTGCCAGCTCAGCTTCCTGAGTAGCTGGGACTACAGGCACTTGCCACCACGCCTGGATAATTTTTGCATTTTTTGTAAAGACGGGGTTTCACCATGCTGCCCAGGCTGGGCTTGAACTCCTGGACTCAAGCATTCTGCTCCTTGGCCTCCCAAAGTGCTGGGATTACAGGTGTAAGCCACCATGCCCAGCCCAATGCCGGATTATCTATCCCTGAAGAAAAAGCTCTAATGGTTCAGGTAGTGTCTCCAAGGCCATTTACTCTTCTCTATTTAAAAAAATCACGTATTAACTAGGGAAAACTGCTCTAAGTTTTCCCTAATTAGAACACCTTAGTTAGGAGGTTCTCCAAGTGGGTTTGCTTAGACCAGCAATAGCAGCAGCAGCACGTGGGAACTTGTTAGGAATGCAAATTCTTAGGCCCTAACCCAGACCTGGTGATTCAGACACATACTTGTTTGAGAACCTGCATTAGATTAGGCATAATGATCACATTCAGACCACCATTAATAAGGAGCTGACTCAGTACTTAAGTAGTACTCCACCCCTCTATACACACAAGAAAAACCAAGTGCATAATTTATGTCAAAAGTACTCTGGGACTCTAAACTTAATCTTCATTCATGTGTAAGCCTGAGGCTCATTTTTTAACTAGTGAACACCAAACGCAGGTCAATATTATCCACAAGATGAATGATAAATAGGCAGTAACTCTATGTTCCAGTTTGCCTCCTGGTTATATCTCGTGTTATGACGTAGTTATTCCTGGCACCTTTCTTTTCTCTCTAAAGGTTCCCAGTTTAGACAGTAAGTTATTGGCTACATATTGGGAGACAGAGGTGGAAGGATCACTAGATCTAGGTCAAGCCTGCCATGAGCCATGATTGTGCCACTGCACTCTAGCTCAGGCAACAGAGCGAGACCCTGACAGCTCACTGCAGCCTCCACCTCCTGAGATGCAGTGATCCTCCTGCCTCAGCATCCAGAGTAGCGCCTCAGCCACTGTGCCTGGCCCACCCATCCTATGAATAAAAGATAAAATAGAGGCTGGGTGCAATGGCTCACACCTATAATCTGTGCACTTTGGGAGGCTGAGGCAGGCAGACTGCTTGAGCTCAGGAGTTCCAGTAGCCTGGGCAATAAGGGGAAACCCCGTCTCTACCAAAAATAGAAAAATTAGGCATGGGCCAGGTGCAGTGGCTCATGACTATAATTCTAGCAGTTGGGGAGTCCTAGGTGGGTGAATCACCTGAGCTCAGAGAGTTTGAGACCAGCCTGGGCAACATGGTGAAACCCTGTCTCTACTAAAATACAAAAACAATTAGCTAGGCATGGTGGCATGCACCTGTAATCCCAGCTACTCAGGAGGCTGAGGTGGAAGGATCACTTGAGCCCGGGAGGTGGCAGTTGCAGTGAACTGAGATTGTGCCACTGCACTCCAGCCTGGGTAACATAGCCAGATACTGTCTCCCCCCCCAAAAAAAAAAAAATAATAATTAAAACAAGAGTAAATCACTCACAAATTTGGAGCTCTTTTATAAAAAACAAAAATATTAAATACGGCAGTAAACTATATTAATATTGAATCCTGAAAAATTCTCACCATTTCACTAAGCCTCATTTAACAAAAATAATTTGTGTTCTTACACAATATTTTTAACTCCAAAATAATCTGAACATAAAATTAGTGGGAAGAGGTCAGGCGCAGTGGCTCATACCTGTAATTCCCGCACTTTGGGAGGCAGAGGTGAGTGGATCACCTGAGTTCAGGAGCTCGCGAGCAGCCTGGCCAACATGATGAAACCCCATCTCTACTAAAAATACCAAATTAGCTGGGCGTGGTGGTGAGCGCCTGTAATCCCAGCTACTCAGGAGGCTGAGGCAGGAGAATCGCTTGAACCTGGGAGGCGGAGAGTGCAGTGAGCCGAGATTGCACTACTGCACTCCAGCCTGGGTGACAATAGCAAAACTCCGCCTCCAAAAAAAAAAAAAAAAATTAGTGGGAAGAATTAAAGTGGGCAAAATTTCCTTCCATAACCCATAGCACAGCAGCTGCATTGCAGTCAAACAAGGAAATGTGCTGTACCTTACAAAGCACCTTTTATGGTGCCTCTAATTACTGTGTACACTTTTTTTTTTTTCCTTGAGACGGAGTCTTTTTCTGTCGCCCAGGCTGGAGTGCAGTAGTGCAATCTCGGCTCACTGGAACCTCCACCTCCCAGGTTCAAGCGATTCTCCTGCCTCAGCCTCCTGAGTAGCTGGGACTACAGGTGCGCACCACCATGCCCGGCTAATTTTTGTATTATTAGTAGAGACGGTGTTTCATCATATTGGCCAAGCTGGTCTCGAACTCCTAACCTCATGATCCGCCCGCCTTGGCCTCCTAAAGTGTTCGGATTACAGGCGTAAGCCACCGCACCTAGGCTACTGTGTACATTTCAGTCCTTTGCCTAAAATCTCTACATGCTTCTGGTATGTGATGATGCCTGCTTTGATTCACAATCTATAGGATGTCACATCACTAGGAGAAAACTTACATAATTTCTGACAATGAAAACAACCTCAGATTATCTCAGACCCACAAAAAAATTCAAAGCCACGTCAGTGTTAACTTGTGGACTGCAAATGACTGATTAAAAATAAAGGGCATGCCGTGCTATCAAGAGGCTTCATCAAAAGAAGTAGGGAAGGAGTGTCCATTCTACTCTATGTATGTTAACGTCAGAGTGCTCTGAAAGCCCTTCAGTATCACGTAAATCCCTAACAAAACATACAGTAACCACTGTAATATTTTTTGACAATTCTAGCCAGTATTTAGATCTATAGCTAAGGCTCTCAAGGGTCATTTATCACCCAGATCAGAGAAACTCATGTGGCCTAGACCCAGCCATCCACTGAATGAATATACAATTATTTTCCTCTGGAATTGCCAACAATACCTATTTAGGTACCTTAAAAAAAAAAAAAAAGTAAGTTTTCTTGCTCTGTTGCCCAGGCTGGAGTGCAATGGCTCGATCTTGGATCACTGCAACCTCTGCCTCCCGGGATCAAGCCATTCTTCTGCCTCAGACTCCCAGGTAGCTGAGACTACAGGAATGCACCACCACACCTGGCTAATTTTTTTTTGTATTTTTAGTAGAGACGGGGCTTCACCATGCTGGCCAGACTGGTCTTGAACTCCTGACCTCAAATGATCCGCCTGCCTTGGCCTCCCAAAGTGCTGGGATTACAAGCATGAGCCACTGTGCCCGGCCAAAATCAATTTTTCTGTGTGCAACTTGCTTTTTTCCTTAGTCATCTCAATTTGTACTTCCAAAGATATTATTTTATAAGAAATTTACCCCTAAGTAACAATGTGATTGAAAGGTTCAGTCTTTTTCTCTGTCATCCCAATTTTATTCTGATTTAAATTTATCTGGAGGAAAAAAAGTCTCACAAATGTACTTTATATAATGTTTCTTATTAACAATATACTCTTTTCAAGGAACTCTATCATTACTGTCTTTTACTATCATCACTGTCTTTTAGTTAAAAGTTTATCTTCAAGATTGTCCCTTGAAAAAAAAAAACACTTTGTGGGCCAGGCACGGTAGCTCACGCCTGTAACCCCAACATTTTGGGAGGCCATGCTGGGTAGACCACTTGAGGCTAGGAGTTTCAAGACCAGCCTGGCCAACATGGCAAAACCCCATCTCTACTAAAAATACAAAAAACTTGGCCGGTGTGGTGGTGCATGCCTGTAATCCCAGCTACTCAGGACGCTGAGGCACCAGAATTGTTTGAACTCGGGAGGTAAAGATTGCAGTGAGCCTAGATGGCACCACTGCACTCCAGGCTGGGAAACAAACACTTTATCTCAAAAAAAAAGAAAGAAGGAAAAAAACCATTTTCAACAACTGTTTCATCTCACCTTAAAGATGAAGGAAATATTTATATCATAATTATGTAATAATTATAGATCAATCTCTAATCTGGTTTTGGAGAAGGTTAACAAGCCATATGACCACCAACAGTAACTTAAGACAAAAATTGGTCTAAAAGAATTTGAGGTATTATAATCCATTTTTTAGTAATAGCCATGTGAATTCCATTTAGCGTAAGTCACATATAAATGGCACTTTACATTTTCATATTCATCTATTTGGAACACCTAGCCATTATTCTAACAAAATAAAATAAAACAAAATGAAATAAAATAAACTCTAGGCCGGGTGCAGTGGCTCATGCCTGTAATCCCAGCACTTTGGGAGACCAAGGTGGGTGGATCACCTGAGGTCAGGAGTTCGAGACCAGCCTGGCCAATGTGGTGAAAACTCATCCCTACTAAAAATACAAAATTAGCTGAACATGGTGGCAGACGTCTGTAATCCCAGCTACTTGAGAGGCTAAGGCAGGGGAATCGCTAGAACCTGGGAGGCAGAGGTTGCAGTAAGCCGAGATCAAGCCACTGCACTCCAGCCTGGGTGACAGAGCGAGACTCCGTTTCAAAACAAAATAAAACAAAACTCTAATACACCATATATTTATATGACAGTGAAACATTCCAGTAATGGATTCCATTAAGTTTTCACTAGTAAAACTTGGAAGACAAAATGTCATTTAACTTTACATTCCTTTAGAGCAGGGTTTCTGAAACTGGACACTATTGACATTTTTGGCTGGATAATTCCTTGTTGTAGAGGGCTATCCTCTGCAACAAAGGATGTTTAGTGATATCTTTGGCCTCTACCAACTAGATGCCAGCAGCACCCACCCAGTTGTGACACCAAAAAAACCTCATTAGACACTGCCAAATGTCCTCTAAGGGATAAATTCACCCTCTGTTGAGAACCACTCATATTTACTACCGTTTTTATTCTACAGTTAAGTCACCTCATGTATCCACTAAAATTCTGAAGGAAGTACACAGGTTAATTTAAAAAAATATCTTTAATTAAAGAAGACTTAATTTAAGGCATCATACTGACATCTACTGGCTTGGTACTAAACTGTAAATTTGACATACACTGCATTTTTTTTTAAACCCTCAAAATTAAAAGGAATATAGATGCTATTCTGGGAAAGTAGAAAAATTAATTGAAAGCAGTAACATTGACATCAGGACAACTAATATTATGTAAAGTCTAACCCATAAAGAACAATACTAGTTCTCTATTGCTTCTTTCTTTCTGATATACTGTCTTTCAAATAAACTGATTTTTTTTTTTTTTCTTTTTGAGATGGAGTTTCACTCTTGTCGCCCAGGCTGGAGTGTAGCTGCATGATCCTGAGTGACTGCAACCTCCGCCTCCTGGGTTCAAGCGATTCTCCTGCCTCAGCCTCCCAAGTAGCTGGGATTACAGGCACCCACCACCATGCCCAGCTAATTTTTATATTTTTAGTAGAGACCGGGTTTCACCATGTTGGCCAGGCTGGTCTCGAACTCCTAACCTCAGGTGATCCACCTGCCTCGGCCTCCCAAAGTGTTGGGATTACAGGTGTGAGCCACCGTGCCCGGCCTGAACTGAATTTTTAATGAATGCTTTTAGAGACTGATCAAGAGGGGATTTTTTGGTGATGAGTAAAAAAAACAAAAAGTTTCAAAAAACTTGCAAAAATTAAGCATCATGCTATTTTATGATTTTGACTGAAATTTTAACAGATGAACTAAAAATTTTAAAACCTAATAATTCTATAAATTAAAAATTTCTAGGCATTTTAATAAAAGAAATTTGGTAATTAAATACTACAGTCAATTAAACTGATGAACTTTATTGGAGTTAAAACTATAACAAAGTTCATCCTAAAACACTTTGCAATGCAAAATTATTTCACTCAAGGAGTGTTTAATAATTTGAAGGCTAGGAATTACAAGCAATTTTCAAAAGCAGAAACTCACATTCATAAAACTTTATACATCATTTGAACTAAAATACATTTATACTACTAAAATCAAACATGCATCACCTTCAAACATTCTTATATCATGATTTTTATATATTACATTATTTAACACCATTCCTCATCACTACATGGATTTTATCATACACTGGCACCATTCTCCTTGGATTTTTGATCTTTGTCTTCATTCTTTACATTATCCTATAAGACAATAGAGAAGGAAAAAATACATTTTATTAGATTATCTTAAATGTTACTTTGATTTTAGAGTACAATGGTATTCAGTTTGGTATACTTTTTTCTAGTGATAAAGAACAATAAATTAATTTTAGTATCTTAAAATTAATGGTGACGAAGCATTTACCTCAATTCTGCCCAAGAATAAATGGGGTCTAAAAATGCAGTGAATGGGGCAGGTGTGGTGGCTCATGACTGTAATCTCAGCACTCTGAGAGGCCAAGATAGGTGGGCTGCTTAGCCCAGGAGTTGGAGACCAGCCTGGGAAAGATGGTGAAACCCCGTCTCTATTTTTTTTTTTTTTTTGAGACAGAGTCTCGCAGTTTTTTTATATTTTTAGTAGAGACGGGGTTTTACTGTGGTCTCAATCTCCTGACTTCGTGATCCGCCCACCTTGGCCTCCGAAAGTGCTGAGATTACAGGCATGAGCCACCGCGCCCGGTCTGAAACCCTGTCTCTAAAAAAAATATAAAAATTAGCTGGGTGTGCTGGAGCACACCTGTAGTCCCAGCTCATCAGGAGGCTGAGGTGGGAGGATCACGTGAGCCTAGGAGGCAGAGGCTGCAGTGAGCCAAGATAGCGCCACTAACAAACCAGCCTGGGCAAAAGTGCAAGACCCTGTCTCAAAAAGACAAAACAAAACAAAAAAAACACAGAGAAGTGAAGTGAATGGTTTAATTCAAATTTATACTCTGGATTAAAAAGAAATAAAAATGAAATTTGCTTCAAGAAGTCTGTATACTTAAATCATGTTGACATTCCAACTAAGATTTAGAAAAACAACATCTTTTGGGAATCACTTTTTTTTTTTTTTTTAAGATGGGGTCTAGTTCTGTTGCCCAGGCTAGAGTGCAATGGTGCAATCTAGACTCACTGAAACCTCTGCTTCACAGGTTCAAGTGATTCCCGTCTCAGCCTTCCGGGTAGCTAGGATTACAGGTGCCCGCCACCATGTCTGGCTAATTTTTTTTGTATTTTTAGTAGACATGGGGTTTCACCACGTTGGCGAGGCTGGACTTGAACTCCTGACCTCAGGTGATCCGCCCGCGTTGGCCTCCCAAAGTGCTGGGATTACAGGTGTGAGCCACTGTGCCCAGCCTGTGAATCACTTTTTACTAATCTCAGGAAGGTCACAATGCTATCATTATTTGCTTTTAGAATAATCACTAAGAGCTTAATAACATTAAAATACATTAAAAACACCAGAGTTAGATTTTTAAAACTAAGAAAATGTTAAAAGTACAAAATTTCTCACCTTCTTGAGAACAGTGTGGATTTCATCCATTACCGTAGATAAGTTTCTGATTGTCTTATTCATTTGGTTTTCAAATTGTAAATTCATGTTTTCCGAAATCTTTAAGTTTTCTTGTAACTGACTAAGGTCCTTTTTAACTTCTCTGAGTTCACCAGAGAGGCTTTTGTTGGAATTCTCCAAATTTAATATGGTTTTTTCATCTTCATCTGTTTAAAAAAATCCAAAAATTAACATTTTACTTCCTAAAATTTCAAATTTAACTTTGAGGTTAAAATATTTAAGCTGTGAAAATAAAAAGCTGATAGAATTCCATAAAATGGCAATGTCTGTCAATTTCATTAGTCATAAAGCACACTGCAATATTCATTTATTTATGTATTTACTTTTGAGACTGAGTCTCACTCTGTTGCGCCAGCTTGAGCGAAGTGGCACGATCTTGGCTGGGATTACAGGCGCGTACCACCACACCCAGCTAATTTTTGTATTTTTAGAGACGGGGTTTCACCATGTTGGTCAGGCTGGTCTCGAACTCCTGACCTCAAACAATCTGCCTGCCTCGGCCTCCCAAAGTGCTGGGATTACAGGCGGGAGCCACCATGCCTGGCCTGTTTCATTTAAATTTTTAACTTGTATTATTTCAAAACCTATGTTCTATTTTTAGATGACTGTATAGATTAGAGAACACAGACTGGTAAAAACTAAGTGGAGGCCAGGCGCAGTGGCTCATGCCTGTAAACCCAGCACTTTGGGAGGCTGAGGTGGGCGGATCACGAGGTCAGGAGATCGAGACCATCCTAGCAAACATGGTGAAACCCTGTCTCTACTAAAAATACAAAAAATTAGCCAGGCGTGGTGACACGCACCTGTAGTCCCAGCTACTTGGGAGGCTGAGGCAGGAGAATCGCTTGAACTTGGGAGGTGGAGGTTGCAATGGGCCAAGATAGCCCCACTGCACTCCAGCCTGGGTGACAGGGCAAAACTCTGTCTCAAAAAAAAAAAAGTGGAACCAGAAGATGATTAAAAGGATGCAACAGGTAACAATGAACCTGAGAATACACAGGAAGACCTAAGATTCAGATAAAGCTAAGCAATTTTATAACCTGAACCAGAAATAGTGAAAAGTAAAGGTCCCTGCAGAGCATGGTGGCTCCTGCCTGTAATCCCAACACTATAGGAGGCCAAAGTGGGTGATCCCTTGAGGTCAGGAGTTTGAGACCATCCTGGCCAACATGGTGAAACCCCATTTCTACTAAAAATACAAAAAATAGCTGGGCATGGTGGCGCATGCCTGTAATCCCAGCTACTTGGGAGACTGAGGTGGGAGAATCACTTGGATCCGGGAGGCAGTGGTTGCAGTAAGTTGAGATTGTGCCACTGCACTCCACTTGGGTAACGGAGTGAGACCCTGTCTTAAAAACAAATAAATAATAAAAAATTTTAAAAAGTTCCTTATGTACTTCGATGAAAATATCTGGTATGCATATGCAAATGTGTACACAGGTACGTATATATGTATGTACACACATAAACATATACGTGTCCCAGCAGGGTGCTGAAAGTATTAACATATTCAAAGCTGACCCTTACCTGTTTTTTCTTCTAGTAACTGCAGCTTCTGTTCTACCTCAGCTCTTACTTTTTCGCTCTTTTCCAATTTTTGCAAGAGGCTTCCTACATCTACCATTGCACCATTGTACACAATGAGGCCAACATTTTCTTCCACATCCTTTGATTCCTGCTTTACTGTTGGTGTTGGAAGTAATAATCTGTTTCCTATAATATAAAATATACCATATTTTAGTAAGTTATTTTTCTTCTTTAATTACTAGTATATTTATTAAAAAGCAAAATCTTAATATTACTCAGACCTAGCATATCTTCCTGCAATGACTCAGACTCTTCATGGTTCTCTTCATCTTTTGAGGTGTCTGTTAATTTCCGGTAAAAGCAAGATTCACGGAGCACTACTTTATTAAGAAGCTTCTTTACCTGTTATGCATGCAAGTAAACAAAATACAGAGATGAAAATACATTTCTTGATTCTCTTAGAAAAACTATGATATAATTTTCACTTTCTTTTGAGAAAGAGTCTTGCTCTTGTCGCCCAAACTGGAGTGCAGTGGTGTGATCTCGACTCACTACAACCTCCACTTCCCAGGTTCAAGCGATTCTCCTACCTCAGCCTCCAGAGTAGCTGGTATTACAGGCACCCGCCATCATGCCTGGCCAATTTTTGTATTTTTGGAGAGACAGGGTTTCACCATGTTAGCCAGGCTGGTCTTGAACTCCTGACCTCAGGTGATCCACCCTCCTCCGCCTCCCAAAGTGCTGGGATTACAGGTGTGAGCCACTATGCCCAGCTGTAATTTTCACTTATGATGGAAATCCATGGAATTGAGTAAGATCCAAGTTACTTTTGAAAAAAAAAACTTCATTGTTAAAAAGTATAACATTGATAAAAATTTATGCACAGGGATGATTTATTACAGCATAGTTGGTAAATCCAATAAATGAAAACCACCAGCAATGGAGACTAGGTAGGTAAATTATGGTACATCTGTATAATGGGTACTGTGCAGCTATAAAAAGAATGAGGCAGGTCTCTATTTTCATGGTGAATGTATCTATAGAATACTGTGGAATGAAAAAAAAAAAGCCAGTCAAAACGTACAGAATAATTCCACGTTTTGTTTATAAAAATGGAACTGAGCTGCTTACAAAAAGATCTAGAATTTTATATATTGTAGTCCTAAGGAGTAGAAACAGAGGGAGAGGGAGAAGGGAAGTGTTTTACAACTGGCTTGTGTTATATTGCTTTATTTTTATTTTTTGAGATGGAGTCTCACTCTGTCACCCAGGCTGGAGTGCAGTGGCGTGATCTTGGCTCATTGCAACCTCCACCTCCTGGGTTCAAGAGATTCTCCTGTCTCAGCTTCCCGAGTAGCTGGGATTACAGGCGTGTGCCACCACACCCAGCTAATTTTTGCATTTTTAGTAGAGACGGAGCTACGCCATGTTGGCCAAGCTGGTCTTAAACTCCTGGCCTCAACTGATCTGCCCGCCTCAGCCTCCCAACCTGCTGGGATTATAGGTGTGAGCCACCACGCCTGGCCCTTATATTGCTTTAATATATCAAAAAGTCAACAGAGGTTCTATTAACTTTTCACTGGAAAGGTAACTTTTAAAAAATGTTTTCCTTTTAAATATTCACAAGATAGATTACCTGAGCCCGAGAAAGATGTAGTCCAAGAGTATAAAGTATTTCTTCCAAATCCTTTTCAAGAAGGTAACCACAATGACTTTGATCAAAATAAACAAAAGCCATTAACAGATCTCTGTTAATTGTGATCATTTGAGTCTTTTCTTTTTCCTAAGAAAATGGAGAAGTAGAAAACATAGTATTCAAATTTCAAATTTTTTACCCCCAAAAAGTGAGAAACGGAGACTGTGCATAAGATAGCAATAATCTAATAAGATATTTGCCTCATCCTAGCTAAAATGAGTTTATCTGGTATACGAATATGAGAGAAAAGAATCAGACATACTAGTTATCTGACATAGCCACAAAAAAACAACTGACAGAATTTTACTTAGTGGTAATAAAGATGTATAAGGACTAATAAACTTCACAACTGTGTTATGTTTAGATGATGTAAGATATCACCATATTATAAAGAATACAGTATTCAATAAACACCTTATCTTTAGAGGGCCTCTCCTTGCAGTATCTGTTGATATCTCTTTTGTCATCTCGTTTGGTCATTTCTTCCTCATCCCTATCTGTAAAATAAATATAACAGTGGCAAAAAAGTCATTAATACACATACTTTCAAGTGGGCACAGTGGCACATGACTGTTATCCCAGCTACTCAGGAGGGCCAGGCGTTCGAGGGTGTAGTGAGCTATGACTATACCACTGCACTCCAGTCTGGGTGACAGATCAAGACCCTGTCTTTTAAACAACAACAACAAAAACATAAAGAGAAAACCTTATGCTAAAACATACATGAACCTTGATAACAGGCTAAGTAAAAGAAGCCAGTCACAAAAAAATCACTTATCGTGTTATTCCATTTATAAGAAATGTCCAGAATATCTACAGAAACAAAAAGCAGACTAATGGTTGCCTAGGACTGAAGAGGTTCAGGGAAGATGGGGAATGGCTGCTAATCAATCTCTTTTGGGTTCTTGGTATGAGGGTGATAAAAATGTTCTATAGTTAATTGTGGTGATGGTTGTACAACTCTGAATATATTAAAAACCACTGACTTGCATACAGGCACAACTTGGGAGTTACTGAAGGCTCTGGTTCAAGACCACCCCAATAAAGCAAGTACTGCAATAAAGCTAGTCAAACAAATTTTTTGGTTTTCCAGTAGATAAATTATGTTTACAGCCAGGTACAGTGGCTCATGCCTGTAATCCCAGCACTTTGGGAGGCTGAGGCAGGTGGATCGCTTGAGCTCCGGAGTTTTAAACCAGCCAGTGCAACATGGCAAAACTCCATCTCTACAAAAAAATACAAAAATTAGCCAGGCATGGTAGCACACGCCTGTAGTCCCAGTTGCGCAGAGGGCTGAGATGGGAGAATCACTTGAGCCTGGGATGGTGAAGCTTCAGTGATCCATGTTCATGCTACTGCACTCTGGCCTGGAAAACAAAGCGAGACCCTGTCTCAAAAAAAAAAAAAAAGTTATAGGGCCGGGTGCGGTGCCTCACGCCTGTAATCCCAGCACTTTGGGAGGCCGAGGTGGGCGGATCACGAGGTCAGGAGATCGAGACCATCCTGGCTAACACGGTGAAATCCCGTCTCTACTAAAAATACAAAAAATTAGCCTGGCATGGTGGCCGGCGTCTGTAGTCCCAGCTACTCGGGAGGCTGAGACAGGAGAATGGCGTGAACCCAGGAGGCGGAGCTTGTAGTGAGCCGAGATTGTGACACTGCACTCCAGCCGGGGTGACAGAGCGAGACTCCATCTCAAAAAAAAAAAAAAAAAAAAGTTATGTTCACACTATAATCAAGTGTGCAATAATAGCATTATGCCTTAAAAAAGTACATATATTAAAAGATACTTTATTTCTAAAAACACTAACAATCACCTGAGCCTTTGGCAAGCAGTAATCCTTTTGCTGGTAAAGGATCTTGCCTCAGCCTGGGCAACATAATGAGACCCGGTCTCTACAAAAATAATTTAAAAAATGAGTCAGACTAAGTAGCGCATGCCTGCGGTTCCAGCTACTTGGGAGGCAGACGTGGGAGGATCACTTGGGTCCCAGAGCTTGAGGCTGCAATGAGACATGACTGCACCTCTGCACTCAGCCTGGGTGAAAAGTGAGACCCTATGTGATGCTGTTTGATAGCATCTGACCCACAGAATAACCTCTTTTAAAATTAGAGTCAATCGCCGAACATGGTGGGTCACGCCTGTAATCCTAGCACTTTGGCAGCCCGAGGCAGATGGATCACTTAAGGTCAGGAGTTTGAGACCAGCCTGGCCAACATGGTGAAACCCCATCTCTAAAAACACAAAAATAAGTGGGGTGTGGTGGCGTGTGCCTGTAGTCCCAGATACTCAGGAGGCTGAGGCTGGAGAATTGTGTGAACCCGGGAGGCAGAGGTTGCAGTGAGCCGAGATCACGGCACTGCACTCCATCCTGGGCGACAGAGCAAGACTCCATCTCATAAATAAATAAATATATAAATAGAGTCAATCCCCTCCAATCCTGCCACTGCTTAATTAAGTTTACATAATATTCTAAATCCTTTGTTATTTCAACAATGTTAACAGCATCTTCACAGAAGCAGATTGCATCTCAAAAAAACACTGTCTTTGCTCATCCATAAGAAGCAAACAATTGGCCGGGCGCAGTGGCTCACGCCTGTAATCCCAGCACTTTGGGAGGCTGAGGTGGGCGGATCACGAGGTCAGGAGATCGAGACCATCCTCGCTAACATGGTGAAACCCCGTCTCTACTAAAAATACATAAAAAAAATTTGCCAGGCGTGGTGGCGGCCGCCTGTAGTCCCAACTACTCAGGAGGCTGAGGCAGAATGGCGTGAACCCAGGAGGCGGAGCTTGCAGTGAGCTGAGATCGCGCCACTGCACTCTAGCCTGGGCGACAGAGCAAGACTCCATCTTCAAAAAAAAAAAGCAGCAAACAATCATCAGTTTAGTTTATCCTGATATTGCAGCAGTTCCATCCCATCTTCAGGCTGCATTTCTAATTTTAGTTCTCTTGCTCTATCATACCTGCAGTTATTCCCTCTACTGAATTATTGAACCCTTCAAAGTCATCCATGAGAATTTTTAGTAGAGTTGGGGTTTCACCATGTTGGCCAGGCTGGTCTCGAACTCCTGACCTCGTGCCTTCCTCAGCACTCAAGAGTATGGGATATCCCCAGGGCTGGACCAGATCCTAGAACTTCAGAAAGACATGGATGAGGCCAGGAACGGTGGCTCACGCCTGTAATCCCAGCACTTTGGGAGGCCAAGGCAGACAGATCACGAGGTCAGGAGATCGAGACCATCCTGGCTAACGTGGTGAAATCCTGTCTCTACTAAAAACACAAAAAATTAGCCAGGCGTGGTGGTGGCTACTCAGGAGGCTGAGACAGGAGAATGGCATGAACCTGGGAGGCGGAGCTTGCAGTGAGCCAAGATCGTGCCACTGCATTCCAGCCTGGGCAACAGAGCAAGACTCCGTCTCAAAAAATAAAAAATAAAAATAAATAAATAAATAAATATTTAGCTGGGCATGGTGGCTCATGCCTGTAATCCCAGCTACTTGGGAGGATGAGGTGGGAGATAATTTGAGGCCAGGAGGTCCAAGGCTGGATTGAGCCATGATCACGCCACTGCATTCCAGCCTGCATGACAGAGTGAAACCCTGTCTCAAAAAAAAAAAAAAAAAAAAGAGTAAAGTGAAATTACTCTCTGATCCAAGGGCTGCAGAATAGATGTTGCAGCCATGAAACATTAATCTCCTTGTACATCTCCATCAGAGCTCTGGGTGACTAGGTGTGGTGTCAGTGAGAAGTAATATTTTGAAAAGAATCTTTTTTTCTGAGCAGATCTCAACAGCGGGCTTAAAATATTTAGTAAAAACGTCGGTTACATGATAAAGGAGTAAAAAAAAATTCAGTAAAGCATTGCTGTAAACAATTGTCATTCTCACTTTGTTCAATTTCTAGGGCACAGGTACGGTAGGTTTAGCATAATTTTTAAGGGGCTTAAGATTTTTGGAATGGTAAATGAGTACTGGCTTCAGCTTAAAGTCACAAGCTGCATTAGCCCTAACAAGAAAGTCAACTTGTCCTTTGAAGCCAGGCACTGAATGCTCTTCTCTAGCTGTGAAAGTCTTAAGATGGCATCTTCAGCCGATGGAAGAAGGCTGTTTTGTCTCCATTGAAAATTTACTTAGCATAGCCATTTTCATCAATGATCTTAGCTTCTACATAAGCACTTGCTGTTTCAATGTGCCTTTTTTTTTTTACCCGCCCCCAAGAGGCAGGGTCTTGCTCTGTTAACCAGGCTTGAGTGCAGTGGCGTAATCATAGCTCACTGCAGCCTTAAATGCCTGGGCTCAAGCAATCCTCCCACCTCAGCAACTACCTTGTACTTTTACCTTAAGGAGATGGTTGCTTTCCTTAAACCTCATGAATCCACCACTGGTAGCCTCAAACTTTTTTCTATAGCTTCTTCATCTTTCTTAGCCTTTATAGAATTGAAGAGAGTTAGGGCCTTGTTCAGAATTAGGTTTTGCCTTAAGGGAATGTTGTGACTGGTGTGACCTTCTATTCTGACCCCTAAAACTCTCTCCTTATAGCAATAAAGCTGTTTCATTTCCTCACCATTTGCATGTTCACTGGAGTAGCACTTTGAGTTTCCTTCAATAACTTTTCCTTTGCATTCACAACATGGCTAACTGACGCCAAAAAAACTAGCTTTTGGCCTATCTCAACTTTCAACATGCCTTCTTCACTCACTTTAACGATTTTTAGGTTTCACTTGAACACTCCAAGGCCATTTTGGGTTTTTTCTTTGTTATTATGATTATTATTTTTGAGACAGAGTGTTGCCCTGTTGCCCAGGCTGGAGTACAGTGGCACAATCATGACTCACTGCAACCTCAACCTCTTGGGCTCAACAGATCCTCCTACCTCAGCCTCTAAAAGTATCTGGGACCACAGGGGCATGTAACCACACCAATTTTATTTTTTTTTGTAGAGATGGGGTATCACTATGTTGCAGATGCTGGTCTTTACTCCTAGCCTCAAGTGATCCCACCTCGTTATCCTCCCAAAGTACTGGTATTACAGTCATGAACCACTGAGCCCAGCCTAATTATTAATTGGCCTAATTTCTTTTTTCTTTGGAGACGGAGTCTTGCTCTGTTGCCCAGGCTGGAGCGTATGGCATGATCTCAGCTCACCGCAACCTGCATCCTGGGTTCAAGTGATTCTCCTGCCTCAGCCTCCCGAGTAGCTGGGATTACAGGTGCCCGCCACCACGCCCGGCTAATTTTTGTATTTTTAGTAGAGACGGAGTTTTACCATGTTGGCAATGCTGGTCTCAAACTCCTGATCTCAGGTGATCTGCCCACCTCAGCCTCCCAAAGTGCCGGGATTACAGGTATGAGCCACCGCACCTGTAATTGGTCTAATTTCTTTTCTTTTTTTTTGGAGACAGAGTCTCACTCTGTCACCCACGCTGGAGTGCAGTGGCGTGATCTCAGGTCATTGCAACCTCCGCCTCTCTGGTTCAAACAATTCTCATGCCCCCAGCCTCCCGAGTAGCTGGTATTACAAGCGTACACCACCACACCTGGCTATTTTGTGTATTTTTAGTAGAGACAGGGTTTCGCCATGTTGGCCAGGCTGGTTTCAAACTCCTAACCTCAAATGATCCACCCGCCTCAGCCTCCCAAAGTGCTGGGATTACAAGCGTGAGCCACCGTGCCTGGCACAATTGGCCTAATTTCAATGTTTTGTCTCAGGGAATAGGGAGGCCCAATAAGAGGGACAGAGATAGGGGAATGGCAGGTTGATAGAGTGATCAGAACACAAACAATATTTATAATTAAGCTCGTCATCTTCTATGGGCACAATTCAAGGTGCACCAAAACATGTATAATAGTATTATCAAAGATCACTGATCACAGATCACCAAAACAGACATAGTAATAATGAAAAAGCTGGAAATACTGTAAGAATTACCAAAATGTGAAAGAAAGTCAAAGTGGCACATGCTGTTGGAAAAGTGGTGCTGATAGGCTTGCTTGGCGTAAGGCACTATCTTTGGCGCACAATAAAGTGCAGTGCAAAAAAAACAAAGCATGCCTATAAAGTGTCTACTTGTATGGTATGTGAATTACATTTCAATAAAGGTGTTATTAAATAAAAAATTAAGCAAATGTTCTAATGGCTGGGTGTGGTGGTTCATACCTGTCATCACATCGCTTTGGGAGGGAAGCAGGAAGATGGCTTAAGGCCAGGAGTTTGAGATCAGCTTGGGCATCATAGTGAGACCACATCTCTATAAAAAATTTAAAAATTAGCCAGGTGTGGTGGTGCACACCTGTAGTCCTAGCTACTCAGGGAACTAAAGTGAGAGAATCACATGAGCCAGGAGTTCAATGCAGCAGTGAGCCACGAGCGTGCTACTGCCCAGCCTGGGCAACAGAATAAGACTGTCTTGAAAAAGAAAGAATGAGAGGGAACTTCTCCTTGGAACCTAGTCATTTACTTATTTTTGATGATTGAAAAATACTCACAATATAATCCACATTATTTGGGTATTTATATTGAGAGGTGTCACTTTCAAAACTGTCTCATCCGAAACTTGTATTTTTGAAATAACTTTTGAAATATTCAAGTAGTATTTATTCATCACAGAAAATAAATCAATCCCACCACACAAAATGAGAGTAGTGATCATGTCCTATTTTTTCCCCATATATACACACTTATCAACACTAAATTTATTTATAGAACATGCTATCTACAAAAACCCTTTAAAAATCTTTTTCCATGTCACTACACTTCTCCAAGTTTTCTTCAATGGGTGCACAGAATTTTAACTGCATGACTATATTACCAAAGTACAATTTAATAATTCTCTATTCCTATTCAGATTGATTCCATAGTTTTGTTTTATAATAAATTATGGAATGATCACTCATGTTGATATTTTAAAGGATATGGCTAATTCACATTTCCAAATTTCTGTTCAGAAAAGGTATAACAATGTATAGTCCCAAAGAAGAGTGATGAAAGTGTAACTCCTTTTACCCTTGTTAAACTGTGTTACCTTTCATTTAAAAATTTAATTTTCATTAACTTGATAAGAAAAAGATAGGCCGGACGTGGTGGCTCACGCCTGTAATCCCGGCACTTTGGGAGGCTGAGGTGGGCGGATCACCTGAGGTCGGGAGTTCGAGACCAGCCTGGCCAACATGGTGAAACCCTGTCTCTACTAAAAATACAAAAATTAACCGGGCATGGTGGTGCATGTCTGTAATCTAAGCTACTTAGGAAGCTGAGGGCACGAGAATCGCTTGAACCTGGGAGACAGGGGTTGTAGTGAGCCGAGATCACGCGACGACACTCCAGGCTGGGCGACAGAGCAAAACTCTGTCTCAAAAAAAAAAAAAAGTATCTTATTGTTATCTGCTCTCCTAATTACTAACAAAATTCAACACCATTTAATACATTTACTGATACTGTATTTTCATGTTATAATTCTGCTTTTGTATTCTAAGAAGTGTAGTCTCAGCCAGGCACAGTGGCTCACGCCTGTAATCCCAGCACTCTGAGAGGCCGAGGCAGGCGGATCACAAGGTCAGAAGTTCAAAACCAGCCTGGCCAATATGATGAAACCCCATCTCTAATAAAAAAACAAAAAAATTAGCCAGGCGTGGGCCTGTGATCCCAGCTACTCAGGAGGCTGAGACAGAAGAATTGCTTGAATCCGGGAGGCGGAGGTTGGAGTGAGCTGAGATCGCACCAGTGCACTCCAGCCTGGTGACAGAGCGAGACTCCGTCTCAAAAAACAAACAAAAAAAGAGTAGTCTCCAGGAAACTTAACAGGATCATGAGATATAAAATATGAAAAAAAGTGGTAAAACAGAAGCAAGCAGCAATTGGAAACTCCAGGGAAACAAACAAAAAACAACTATAATCCTATCAACATATATTTGGAGCCTATTTAATTATTTAGACTGTTCCAGGAACTTGGAATATATATTAACAAAGAACACAGATAAAAATCTCTTTTTCTTACATAACAGCTTTTATTCAAGTGTAGGGGTAGAGGGAGACAGGCAATGAGCAAAATAAAGAGTATGTAATAAAATAGGTCATAAATTCTATGGAAAAAAAAAAAGGAGAGGATAAGAGACCAGAAATGTGCAGTAAGGGAGGGCGGGGGATTGCAATTTTAAATAAAGTAGGGGGCACAGCAGGCTTCACTGACAAAGTGATACTTGAACAGACTTCATATATGAGAAACTAAGGAAGGTGGATCTCCAGGAAAGACCCTGCTAGCAGAAAGAACTGCCAATGTAAATCTCCTAACATAGAAGCATATGTGAGGGGTCCACTCTTCTCAAGAAGAGGGGTTAAGAGATGTAACTGGAGACATGACGTGGTAGAGTCTTGTAAGTCATTGTGAGCACTAGCTTTTTCTTTTCTTTTCTTTTGAGATGGAGTCTTGCTTTGTCACCCAGGCTGGAACGTAGTGGCACAATCTCGGCTCACTGCAACCTCTGCCACCCGGGTTCAAGTGATTCTCCTGCCTCAGCCTCCTGAGTATCTGGGATAACAGGCATGTACCACCACACCCAGCTAATTTTGTATTTTTAGCAGAAGGGGTTTCACCATGTTGGTCAGGCTAGTCTCGAACTCCTGACCTTGTGATCCGCCTGCCTTGGCCTCCCAAAGTACTGGGATTACAGGCATGAGCCACCGCACCCGGCCTTCTTTTCAGACAGGGTCTTGCTTTATTGTCGAGGCTGGAGTGCAGTGGTGTGATCATCGCTCACTGCAACCTCCGCCTCCCGGGCTCAAGTGATCCTACCAGCTCAGACTCCTGAGTAGCTGGGATTACAGGCATGCACCACCAAGCCCGGATACATTTTTTATTTTCTGTAGAGACACGGTGTCGTCATGTTGCTCAGGCTGGTCTTGAACTCCTGAGCTCAAGTGATCTGAACAGTGGCTTTTTTTTTTTTTGAGACGGAGTCTTGCTCTGTCACCCAGGCTGGAGTGCAGTAGTGCAATCTCAGCTCACTGCAACCTCCACCTTCTGTGTTCAAGTGATTCTCACGCCTCAGCCTCTTGAGCAGCTGGGATTACAGGTGCGCGCCACCATGCCCAGCTAATTTTTTGTATTTTTAGTAAAGACAGGGTTTCACCATATTGGCCAGCCTAGTCTGGGACTCCTGGCCTCAAATTATCCACCCGCCTCGGCCTCCCACAAAGTGCTGAGATTACAGGCGTGAGCCACCATGCCCAGCCTGAACAGTGGCTTCTTCTATGAAGTAAAAATGATGGGGATACACTGGAAGAATTTGAACAAAAGAATGAAATAAATTCTAAATTTTGCGAAGATCATTCTGGCAATTGTATTGAGAAACTTTATTGTAGAGGGGAGGAAACACGTAAACAGGTTAGGGGTCTATTAATATAATCTAGGCAAGAGATAATGTGGCTTGCATTATAGTCAAATTAGTGGAATTCGTAAGAAGTGGACTGATTCTGGATAAGTTATGAAAACAGAGCAAATATAACTTCCTGATAGATCGGAAGTAGGGTACTGCAGAAAGAAAGGAATCAAGGATGACTCCTGGGTTTTAGTCTCAACAACTGGAAAGATGGAATTGTCATTAAATGAGATGGTTGGCAAAGGCTAAGGTTGTAGGATTTGTGTATGTTTTCTTTCTGGTGAAGGGGTTAGCAGGAATTTAGTTTCAGATATACTGATTTTGAAATGCCAGATAACTAAGTGGAGGTGTCAAGTAGACAGTTCAATATGAGAGACTGGGAGAGAAGTCTGATATGAGATAGAAATTTGAGGCTTGGCACATCCTTGTAATCCCAGCACTTTTGGGAGGCCAAGGCAGAGGACTGCTTGAAGCCAAGGAGGTCAAGACCAGCCTGGGCAACATACTGAGACCCCATCTCTACAAAAAATTAAACAGCTGGGTGCAATGGCATGCACCTGTAGTCCCAGCCACTCAGGAAGCTGAGGAGGAGGACTGCTTAAGCCTAGAAGTTTCAGGCTGCAGTGAGCTATGACCATACCACTATACTCCAGCCTGGGTGACAGACCTTATCTTTTTCTTTTTTACAGACGGAGTTTTGCTATTGCTGCCCAGGCTGGAGTGCAATGGCGTGATCTCGGTTCACCGCAACCTCCGCCTCCTGGGTTCAAGTGATTCTCCTGCCTCAGCCTCCCAAGTAGCTGGGATTACAGGCATCCGCCACCACGCCCAGCTAATTTTTTGTATTTTTACTAGAGGTGGGGTTTTCAATATGTTGGCTAGGCTGGTCTCGAACTCCTGACCTCAGGTGATCCACCCACCTTGGCCTCCCAAAGTGCTGGGATTACAGATGTGAGCCACTGTGCCCAGTCCAACCCTATCTCTTAAAAAAAAAAAAGAAAAGAAAAGAAAAGAAAAAGAAAATTAGAAATTTGAGAATTAACAGTATATAGACAGCATTTAAAGCTAGGAGAATGGATGAAACCAACATTAAAGGAGTGAGAGGAAAAAATAAACTAAGGCTGGGCTGGGGTCAGTGGCTCATGCCTATAAACCCAGCACTTTGGGAGGCTGAGGCGGGTAAATCACGAGGTCAGGAGATCAAGACCATCCTGGCCAACATGGTGAAACCCCATCTCTACTAAAAATACAAAAATTAGGCTGGGCGCAGTGGCCCATGTCTATAACTCCAGCACTTTGGGAGGCCAAGACGGGAGGACCACCTGGTCAGGAGTTCGAGACCAGTCTGGCCAACATGGTAAAACTCCGTCTCTACCATAAATACAAAAATTAGCAAGGTGTGGTGCCACATGCCTGTAATCCCAGCTACTTGGGAGGCTGAGGCAGGAGAATTGCTTGAAACTGGGAGACAGAGGTTGCAGTGAGCTGAGATTGCGCCACTGCACTCCAGCCTGGGCAACAGAGTGAGACTCCATCTCAAAAAAAAAAAAAAAAAAAAAAAAAAAGAAAAGAAAAATTAGCTGGGCGTGGTGGCAAATGTCTGTAGTCCCAGCTACTCGGAAGGCTGAGGCAGGAAAATCGCTTGAACCCGGGAGGCAGAGGTTGCAGTGAGCCGAGACTGTGCCACTGCACTCCCGCCTGGTGACAGAGCCACACTCTGTCTCAAAAAACAAAAAACAAAAAAAAAAAAAAAAAGAAAATGAGGCTGACAGCTGGAACACTAACAAAATAATGAGAATACTATTTAATGATTCAACTAAAGCAGCAATAAAATAATACTGGGCGTACAGGGGAGAGAAAATGGGGCTGTAAAAAGGGCTTAAGTCTTCATTAAGTAAAGCAAGTAATGAAGATAAACACTGCTGTATGAATATTATGTCACTGCTAATGAGTTACTATATTAAAGCAAATAAGAGGAGATATTACATAGTAATAATAGATGCTATTACGACCTTATTTTCTTAGGTGTGATTATGGAATTGTGGTTATTTCAGAGCATGTTTTTTCCTTAGGCAAACTGAAGAATTCATATGTTAAACTGGGTTACAAAAACAAAACAAGACAAATATTAACAATTATTGAATCAAAGTTGATGGATACACAGGTGTTCACTGCACTATCAACTTTTTGATCTTTTCAACTTTTTCATTAAACAATATTAAAAACTGATATGGTAGAGAGAAGAAAATGTAGAGGCAAACAAAATATACCGTAAATAAAAGTAATTGCCAGAGACACAAACTGTAAAAAAAAAAACAAAAAGAACTCTTATAATTTTCTATATCAGAAAAATATAATTTTTTAAAAAGCCACAAATCTACCTAGAAAAGAACAGGTAAGGTATTCAGAGGCACTTTTGAGGTATTTGATCGTTGATGTCTACGGTCAGAGCATCTACTGTATTTTAAATGTCACCGCATGGTTAACAAAGTCTGTCTTATAAAACTTAGGCGAAAGGTATATGGGTGTTTATTACTATTAGCCTTTAAACTCTATATGTACTCTTTTGCATTATGATAGTCTTTGTTAAACAAAATGCCCAAATTAGTTTTTTTTTTTTTTGAGATGGAGTTTCCCTCAGTTGCCATGGCTAGAGTGCAATGGCACAATCTGGGCTCGCTGCAACCTCTGCCTCCCGAGTTCAAGCCATTCTCCCGCCTCAGCCTCCCCAGAAGCTGGTATTACAGGCGCGTGCCCGGCTAATTTTTTGTATTTTTAGTAGAGATGGGGTTTCACCATGTTGACCAGGCTGGACTTGAACCCCTGACCTCAGGTGATCCACCCGCCTTGACCTCCCAAAGTGCTGAGATTACAGGCATGAGCCAGCACACCCAGCCCCAAATTAGTTTTCTAAAGAATATATTTAGAACACGTATGTAGCTCACGCCTATAATCCCTGCATTTTGGGAAGGTGATGTGGGCAGATTTCTTGAACTCAGTAGTTCAAGACCAGCCTGGGCAACAGAATGAGACCCCGTGCCTATGAAACATTTAAAAATTAGGCCGGGCACAGTGGCTCAGGCCTGTAATCCCAGCACATTGGGAGGCCGAGGTAGGTGGATCACCTGAGGTGGGGAGTTCGAGACCAGCCTGACCAACATGGAGAAACTCCATCTCTACTAAAAATACAAAATTAGCCGGGTGTGGTGGTGCATGCCTGTAATCCCAGCTACTTGGGAGGCTGAGGCAGGAGAATCGCTTGAACCCGGGAGGCGGAGGTTGCGGTGAGCTGAGATAATGCCATTGCACTCCAGCCTGGGCAACAGAGCAAGACTCCGTCTGAAAAAAAAACAACAAAAAAAAAATTTAAAAATTAGCCAGGAATGGTGGCAAGCACCTGTAGTCCCAGTTACTCCAGGGACTGAGGTGAGAGGATCATACTGAGCCTGGCAGGCTGAGGCTGCAGTGAGCTGTGAGCATGCCACAGTACTCCAGCCTGGGTAATACAGTGAGAACCCTGTCTCAATTAAAAAAATAAAAAATTAGTATATGAAACATCAAGGACTATTATACATTTTTTTTTTTTTGAGACAGGGTCTCACTCTATTGCCCAGACTGGAGTGCAATGGCACGATCTTGGCTCACCACAACCTCCGCCTCCCATGCTCAAGTGATTCTCCTGCCTCAGCCTCCAGAGTATACCTGGGATTATAGGCACGCGCCACTACCGCCTGGCTAATTTTTGTATTTTTAGTAGAAATGGGGTTTCACCATGTTGGCAAGGCTGGACTTGGAACTCTTGACCTCAAATGATCACCTGCCTTGGCCTCCCAAAGTGCTGGGATTACAGGTGTGAGCCCCCATGCCTGTCCTATTATAGCTTTTATGGCACAGCTTAGGCACCATGTTCCGGGAAATTTGTTCCGCCAAATTGAGTATTAATTATATATGAGACATAGGATAATTAGTAATAAATATGTCTTCAAACAATCTTCTCACCTAAAAATCAGAAAAACTTTCTCACTGAAGAGTATATTACTCTTTCTATTCTAAAGAAAAAAATGTTAAAAGTATAGATTTCAGTGAATACAATGTCAGCAAACAAAAAATGTATTCTTAACTCTAAGAAGTAATAAATAAATTTCAATCATACCATCTTCTTCATCCTCAGCTTCTTCTGCTTCCATAGGGTCATATTCATCTTGATTGTTATCTTCTTCAGTTTCATCATCATCTTTAGAATCATCTTTTCTTTTATCTTCTTTCTATAATTTAAAATGCCTTTATTATTTATTTACTTATTTTTAGAAGACGGGGTTTTGCCATATTGCCCACGCTGGTCTCCAACCCGTGGGCTCAAGCGATCCACTGGCCTGGGCCTTCTGAAGGGCTAGGATTATAGGCGTGAGCCACCACAGCCAGTAGTTATATTATTATTATATTATCATAACAATTATTATATATTATTACATATATATATGGTTTTTTTTTTTTTGAGATGGAGTCTGGCTCTGTCGCCCAGACTGGAGTGCAGTGGCACAATTTCCCTTCACTGCAACCTCCACCTCCCAGGTTCAAGTGATCCACCCACCTCAGCTTCCCAAAGTGCTGGGATTACAGGTGTGAGCCACTGTGCCTGGCTTAAAATGGTTTTAAATTAAGCAAGAAATCCCACCACACATTAAATTACTAAAACTGAAAAATAGTAAATCCACTGAAGTTATTTAAAAGTTTTACATTGCAAATTACTTTTTTTTTTTTGTTTTTTTTGAGACACAGTCTCACTTTGTTGCTCAGGCTGGAGTGCAGTGGCACAATCTGGGCTTACTGCAGCCTCCAACTCCTGGGTTCAGGCAATCCTCCTGCCTCACCCTCCCAAGTAGCTGGGACCACAGGCACATGCCACCATGTCCAGCTAATTTTCCTAATTTTTGTAGAGAGGGGGTTTCACCATGTTGTCCAGGATGGTCTTGAACTACTGGAGTCAAGCAATCTGTCCACCTTGGACTCCCAATGTGCTGGGATTATAGCAGCGAGCCACTATGCCCATACTATAAATGTATAATAATAATTAGGCTGGGTGCGGTGGCTCACATCTGTAATACCAGCACTTTGGGAGGCTGAGGTGGGCAGAGCGCTTGAGGTCAGGAGTTCAAGCCTGGCCAACATGGTGAAAACCTGCCTCAAAAAAACAAAAAACAAACAAACAAAAAAATTAGCTGGGCAAGGTGGTGTGCACCTGTAGTCTCAGCTACTTGGGAGACTGAGGCAGGAGAACTGCTTGAACCTGGGAGGGAGAGGTTGCAGTGAGCCAAGATTACGCCACTGCACTTCAGCAAGCCTGGTCAACAGAGCAAGACTCCGTCTCAGAAAAAGGAAAAAAAAATTTTAAGAATAAAGTATTAGAAAACTAGCTGTAGATGCTCATATTGGCTTAATTTGAAGATCTGAATTTCTTATCTTTTTTTTTGAGATGGAGTCTCGCTATGTCACCCAGGCTGGAGTGCAGTGGTGCAAGCTTGGCTCACTGCAACCTCCACCTCCCAGGTTTAAGCAATTCTCCTGCCTCTGCCTCCCCAATAGCTAGGACTATAGGCATGTGCCATCATGTCAGGCTAATTTTTTGGATCTTTAGTGGAGACGAGGTTTCACTGTGTTAGCTGTGATGGTCTCAAAGACTTGATTTTCTAATATAGTAAAATCTTTCAGTTTGGCTTTTACATCTAATATTCTGATGGAAATCAACATCAACCTTTATAACCTAGAAGAGTAACTGAAAGCTTCTAAAGCAGGTTGTTATTACAGACCTTCCTTTCATCTCTATCTTCTTTTTTATCTTTATCATCGCCTGATTTTCTCCGTTTGGGTTTTGGTTCATCAGTTTCATCATCTCTTTCTTCTTTTTTATCTTTTCTCTCATCTTTTTTGCTTTTTTTATCCTTTTCTTTTTTGTCCTCTTTCTCAGGAAGAGACAGTAATGATTTGTATATACGGACACCAAAATCTCTTTGAAGCATTTCGTTGAAAAGTTCCGCAAACAATGAAACCTATAAAAAGATATCAACATGAACCTAGCCAAATTTCAACAGAAATAATAAAGCTAGCAGAGTAATTTAGCAAATAAAAACTTGCCACATACAACGATTATGTAAACTTATCAAACTTTTTTTTTTTTGAGATGGAGTCTCGCTCTGTCGCCCAGGCTGGAGTGCAGCGGCACGATCTTGGCTCACAGCAAGCTCCACCTCCCGGGTTCACGCCATTCTCCTGCCTCAGCCTGCTAAGTAGCTGGGACTACAGGCGCCCGCCACCACGCCCGGCTAATTTTTTTGTATTTTTAGTAGAGACAGGGTTTCACCATGTCAGCCAGGATGGTCTCGATCTCCTGACCTTGTGATCTGCCCGCCTCGGCCTCCCAAAGTGCTGGGATTACAGGCGTAAGCCACCGCGCCTAGCCACTTATCAAACATTTTAACACAACCATTAATCTTTTTTATTTTTATTTTTTTCTAGACAGAGTCTTCCTCTGTCACCCAAACTGGAGTGCAGTGGCATGATGTGGGCTCACTGCAACCTCTGCTTCCCGAGTTCAAGCCATTCACCTGCCTCAGTCTCCCGGGTGGCTGAGATTACAGGCTTGTGCCACCAAGCCCAGCTAATTTTTGTATTTTCAGTAGAGATGGAGTTTCATCATGTTGGCCAGGCTGGTCTTGAACTCCTGACCTCAGGTGATCCGCCTGCCTTGGTCTCCCAAAGTGCTGCGATTACAGGTGTGAGCCACCCCGCGAAGCCAACCAACCGTTAATCTTCATGATAAGTGTACCTTATTCATTTACTCAATAAGTTTTAAGTCAAATGCCTGGTATGTACCAGGGCCTGTTTTAGGCATTAGGGATACAGCACTGAAGAAAGCTGATAAAAACCCCTCCTATCATCCAGCTAGTGGAGAGAATAAATAACCAAATCATGAAGTCTCTGTTAACCTATTCTGGTTCTAGGGCTGCCTGGTTTTTAAGAAAATGAACAACCAAATCAACATCAAATTATATGAAAAACAAGCAGGATAAACACCTAGAGTATAACAAGAGAGAATAGTAAGACAAGGCCTCTCTGATAAGGTGACATTTAAAAAGTAACCAGAAGGCAATAAGGAAATAAGCCATATTGGTATCTAGAAGAAAATTCTGGATTAGGGAAACAATTTTAAGCCCTGAATAGGGAGCATCTATTACTATGCAAGCATCCACAGATAATGGGCTATAGCATACGCATAAACCTAAAACTATATAATTTTTTTTTTTTTTTTTTTTTTGAGACAGAGTCTTGCTCTGTCACCAAGGCTGGAGTGCAGTGGCGGAATTTCGGCTCACTGCAAGCTCCGCCTCGCCAATTCACACCATTCTCCTGCCTCAGCCTCCCCAGTAGCTGGGCCTACAAGCGCCTGCCACCACGCCTGGCTAATTTTTTTTATTTTTAGTAGAGACGAGGTTTCACCGTGTTAGCCAGGATGGTCTCGATCTCCTGGCCTCATGATCCCCCCGCCTCGGCCTCTCAAAGTGCTAGGATTAAAGGCGTGAGCCACCACGCCTGGCCTATATTATAAATTGTTATGTACCTATTTATTTTTTCTTTGAGATGGAGTTTCACTCTTGTTGCTCAGGCTGGAGTGCAATGGCACTATCTTGGCTCACCGCAACCTCCGCCTCCCAGGTTCAAGCAATTCTCCTGCCTCAGCCTCCCGAGTAGCTGGGATTACACGTACGCGCCACCACGCCCAGCTAATTTAGTATTTTTAGTAGAGATGGGGTTTCTCCATGTTGGTCAGGCTGGTCTTGAACTCCTGAACTCAGGCGATCCGCCTGCCTCAGACTGCCGAAGTGCTGGGATTACAGGCGTGAGCCACTGCACCCAGCCTTATGTACCAATTTCTAAGGCTAAAGTCCATTGCTTTCAACAGACTCTTAAAAAGGGCTAAAACGGGCCACGCATGGTGGTTCGTGCCTGTAATCCCAGCACTTCAGGAGGCTGAGATGGGTGGATCACGAGGTCGGGACTTCGAGACCAGCCTGGTCAACATGGTGAAACTTGTCTTTACTAAAAATACAAAAATTAGCTGGGTGTGTAGGCACACGCCTGTAATCCCAGGGCTACTCGGGACGTCGAGGCAGGAGAATTGCTTCAATCTGGGACGTGGACGTTGCAGTGAGCCAAGATCATGCCATTACACTACAGCCTGGGCGACAGGGTGAGACTGTCTCAAAAAAAGGGTTAAAACTTGAAATGGTTGACCACAGCCCTTAAATGTGTCATCTTTGCAAATCTGATATATTTGCTAAAATATGTTAATCAGATCATTTTCTGATTATAAAGGATAATGCAATTTATTATAACTATAATTTATTTTAGCCTATTTTTCATTAGTTGCCCAATCTTTTTTATTTCAAATTGAGATGGGAGTCTCACTATGTTGGCCCAGGCTGGCCTCAGACTCCTGGGCTCACACAATCCTCCCACCTCAGCCCCTCAAAGTGCCGTAGGGACTGTGCCCAGCCTATGTATTTATTTATTAAGTGATTATTACAGGGATGGCACTATTAGGAATTACTTCAATTTATGGCAACTGCTTACTTTTTTTATTTTTTGAGACAAAGTCTCGCTCTGTTGCCCAGGCTGCAGTGCAGTGGCACAATCTTGGCTCACGACAACCTCTGCCCGCTGCGTTCAAGAGATCCTCCTGCCTCAGCGTCCTGAGTAGCTGGGATTACAGGCGCCTATCACCTAGCCTGGCTAATTTTTTGTATTTTTAGTAGAGATGGGGTTTCACGATGTTGGCCAGGCTGGTCTCAAACTCCTGACCTCAGGTGATCCACCTGCCTCAGCCTCCCAAAGTGCTGTGATTACAGGCATGAGCCACTGCACCCAGCCAGGCAACTGCTTAAAAAAAAAAAGATAACATCATATAGCATCTGATTTTAAGGACATCTGCTTATTGGAATAATTAACATTGGAAAAAAAAATCCCAACAACTTGGACATAATTTAATATTTATAACATGTTTTAAACACCAATAAGCATGGACTTTATGTTTCATAATTGCCTCAGTAATCCTCAAAGGTCTCTAGTCATCCTTGATTTTCATCTTACCAGTTGGTAAACAATGACCTTCTGGTTCAAAGAAGCATGATTGATTTTTCCAATATAATTTAGAAAATAAAAGAACATAAGATATGTTGATAAGATACAATAATTAAACACAGTAATAATTTTAGATATGATTTTGTACAGGACACTACAAAATTAATATGTTGGAAATTCTATTTTTAAGGAGTGAAGCAATTACACTTAAAGATAAAAGTTTTCAATTGTTTTGAAAACAAACATGTTGTAAAGTAAACTAAACTACATGATGTAAAGCTGCTCTAAATAATGATACAGGCTAGGTGAAATGGCTCATGCCTATAATCCCAGCACTTTGGGAAGCCAAGGAGAGTGGATCACCTGAGGTCAAGAGTTCAAGATCAGACTGGCCAACATGCAAAAATTAGCCGGGGCTGGCAGTGCGCAACTGTAATTCCGGCTACTTGGGAGGCTGAGGGAGGGGAACTGCTCAAACCTGGGAGGCGGAGGTTGCAGTGAGCCAACATCGAGCCACTGCACTCCAGCCTGGGTGACAGAGGGAGACTCTGTCTCAATAAATAAATAAATAGGCCGGGTGCAGTTGGCTCACGCCTGTAATCTCAGCAATTTGAGAAGCTGAGGCAGTTGGATCACTTGAGGTCAGGAGTTTGAGACCCTGTCCCTACTAAAAATACAAAAAATTAGCCAGGCATTGTGGCAGATGCCTGTAATCTCAGCTACCCGGGAGGCTGAGGCAGGAGAATCGCTTGAGCCTGGGAGGCAGAGGTTGCAGTGAGCTCAGATTGTGCCATCGTATTCCATTCTGGGCAACAAAGTGAGACTGTCTCAAAAATAAATAAATACATAAAATAATGATACAAAAAATAGATTAATAATGAAAAGTTAAACAATTATTTTCTCTTACAACTCAAACGCAAGTTAAATTTTTTATCTCTTTAAATGGTATTAAATGCTATTTTAATTCTAGAGAAAATAATAAAGCATTACCTCATCCCCAAAAGAGACAACTAGACATTATGGATATCCTGAAGAAAGAACATACCACACTACTTATGAAAGCGTCTTAGGGAAAAAACAGAACTGGACTTGATTAAAAATTTAGATCCAACAATCAATTTACATGAAATACAGAGGACAGAGGAACACATAAACCATACCACAGAAATGCAATCAGCAAAAGTGAGTCTGTAAGGAAAGTTAGAGGACAAATCATCTATTTTTTCCCAAGAAGTAGACTACAACAAAAAAACAACAGAAACTCAAAAAAACAAGCAATGAAAAGGCATTCAGGGCCAGACACGGTGGCTCAGGCCTGTAATCCCAGCACTTTGGGAGGCTGAGGCGGGCAGATCACCTGAGGTTGGAGTTCGAGACCAGCGTGACCAACATGGAGAAACCCCGTCTCTACTAAAAATACAAAATTAGCTGGGCATGGTGGCTCATGCCTGTAATCTCAGCTACTCGGGAGGCTGAGGCAGGAGAACTGCTTGAACCCGGGAGGCGGAGGTTGCAGTGAGCAGATATCATATCACTGCACTCCAGCCTGGACAATAAGAGTGAACTCCGTCTCAAAAAAGAAAGAATGAAAGAGGCATTCAAAGAGATTTCAGAGATACGGGCATGGTGGCTCACACCTGTAATCTCAACACTTTGGGAGGCTGAGGCGGGCAGATCACCTGAGGTCAGGAGTTCGAGACCAGGCTGGCCAACATGGTGAAACCCCGTCTCTACTAAAAATGCAAAAATTAGCTGGGTGTGGTGGCAGGTGCCTGTAATCCCAGCTACTCAGGAGGCTGAGGTAGGAGAATTGCTTGAACCCGGGAGACAGAGGTTGCAGTGAGCCACCATCATGCCAATGCACTCCAGCATGGGTAACAGAGTGAAACTCTGTCTCAAAAAAAAACAAAAACAAAACAAAACAAAAAAAACCACGAAAAGCGAAAAACAAAGAAAAAAGATTTCAGAGATAGAGATATATTAACTAGTCATAATGTGTGGACCTTATATGGATCTTATTTCAAACTTAAAACATTACCTCAAATGAATGTTCTTTATTATCCTCTAATCTGTAGTCCAATAGGACACTCAAAGACATGATGCTACAATCAAACTTGCCACTTTTTGCAGCCCAATTTGGATGTACAATGATGGCCGGTTCATCAGGCAAAATATATCTTCTTTCTCGACGCTGGCGTTCTATTTCCTCTTGACGTTTCCTTTCTTCTTCCTAAATATTTCAAATTTCAAGTCAAGGTTAAATCTGCAAGTAGGATGTATATACATGTGCAAGATGAATATATATTGAATATATATCTCATAAATAAAAGGAACAAAATTCCCATGACTCTTCATGGTACTTATACAAACCATAAGCGTTGAGAAGGGAGGAAAGCTCAAATTCACTAAGAGTAGTAAGCTTTGATGGCTCCTAACTCTCTTTTGGATTTCCCAGCATAAGAAACTGCCTTGTAAAGAGGGGGAAAAATTATCTATATTGAGATTATATAAATTAGAAAATTCTCGGAAAATAGTAGTGGTAGCATAGGTTTTAGATCTTCCTGAAACCTCACACTAAAAAGACAAAGCAATATAGATATAAAAATCAAAAACTGATAGCATTCATAACAAAACTAAGTGACAAGGTATCCCCACAAACCAATATACAAATGGGTGGGAAAAGGCCAAAAGACCCATGTGTTACTGATGAATGTGTCCAAAGAAAGCATAAGGAAGCAATGGGAGAACAAGAAAACCAAAAAACAGCCAGTAGGTATTTACTGGAAAGTGCAGCAGCTGAAACTAGGCAAAATTTCACCCCTTACAAGAGAGTGAGTGGAGAATTTATTTTAAGATCTGAAGAGGCCTAGGCCACTCTAGCCTTACAAACTTGCAAAGCTCATTTACCAGGGCCCTATACTGAGGAGAAACTGCTGGGACTAGGAGAGGGACAACAAAGACATAGGAGAACGCCCAGGTAAAAAGTGATGAAGGGCAAAAGGAACAGCAAACTTCAGAAAGCAAGCCAACATGTGTTTCTGACAAAACAAGAAAACAACAAAACGTAAGAGCAGAACTCTATGAATTTAGAAAAGCTATCTGAAAGAAACTACGTTTATAAAATTCGGACAATCTAAATTCACACAAAAATGATTCAAGTATTGAGGTCAAATCCCATACAAATTTAGTATGTTTTAAAAAAGAGAGTGAGAAGCAGCAGCAGAATTACATCCCTGTAGATGATGAAAGTGGGCCAGAAAGACACCACCACAAGGCAGATGAAAATTTTAAATTACTATTTTTAAAGTGTGCTAAAAGAAAATGTTACAAGAGACACAGGAATTCTGCATCATGATCTTAACATTCAAAATTCAGAAAGTGAGTATCTGATTGGTAGATAGATCATGTATCTGACCCTATCTGTAGCAATTCTTCAGCTTCTCTAATAGAAGTGGCCGTGGGAAAGGAGAATCAGGCCTGCTAAAAGCCAATCCAAAAAGAGACTGGATGGAAGATGGAAAAGATCTGCAACTTGGTAAGGGTTTGTGCATTTCAATACATGCAACTTTTTTTTTTTTGTTTTGAGACAGGGTCTCACTCTGTCACCCTGGCTAGAGAGTAGTGGTGTGATCATAGCTCACAAATAGCGTTGACCTCCTGGGTTCAAGCAATCCTCCCCAGTAGCTGAGACTACAGCCACATGTGACCATGCTCGGCTAAATTTTTTTTTTTTTTTGTAGAGATGGGGTCTCACGAAGTTGTCTCCATCTATCCTGAACAATTCAGTTCTAAAGCACTCTTTTCAAGGAAGGTTAATGTCTACACAGGAGACGGAGGCTGGCAGGGTGGTGGAGCCACAACTGCCCAGTGATGATGAGCTGCTTCATTACTAAATATTGAAACCCAGATGGAGCAAGGACAATAATCCATGCAGAGATAGCATAGGGTAGAGTCAGATCACTGGAAGAATTAGAGGCACCTGTGTAAATTCACAGCTTTCAATATGTGTAAGATATAGAAATAAATATAGATTTAAATATTTGTAAGTGTTAGCTATCTACTTATCTATATATCTATCTTCCATATCTCTGTTCACTGAAAGGGGTTGGGAGCAGCAACCTAATTGCAATGAGCATATCTTGGATTCTAAATACCATTCTTCACTAAAAAGGAACCAGGGCTTCCTGGGGAAATGACTGATTCCTGAACTAGGACAAGGATAGCACAAAATAAAACTGAAATGCTTTAAAATGCTAGTAAGTAAAGAAGTCCTCAAAAAGTGATGAAGGTATGTCAAAAGGGCACATAACTTGAAAGAACTCCCACCGTCCAACTCTGGGACAATTTCATCACGAAAATAACTCATTGAGGGCTGAGCACGGTGGCTCACACCTGTAATCCCAGCACTTTGGGAGGCCAAGGTGGGTAGATCACCTGAGATCAGGAGTTTGAGACCAGCCTGGCTAACATGGCGAAACCCCATCTCTACTAAAAATACAAAAATTAGCCAGGCATGGTGGCAGGCGCCTGTAATCCCAGCTACTCGGGAGGCTGAGGTACAAGAATCGCTTGAACCCAGGAGGCAGAAGTTGCACTGAGCCGAGATCGTGCCACTCCACTGCAGCCTGGGCAACAGAGAGAGACTCCGTCTCAAAAAATAAAAATAAGGCTGGGCGCAATGTAATACCAGCCTGTAATACCAGCACTTTGGGAGGCTGAGGCGGGTGGATCACGAGGTCAAGAGATTGAGACCATCCTGGCCAACATGACAAAACCCCGTCTCTACTAAAAATACAAAAATTAGCTGGGCATGGTGGTGCATGCCTGTAGTCCCAGCTCCTCAGGAGGCTGAGGCAGAAGAATAGCTTGAACCCAGGAGGCAGAGGCTGCAGTGAGCCGAGATCGCACCACTGCACTCCAACCTGGCAACAGGGCGAGACTCCGTCTCAAAATAAATAAATAAATAAACAAATAAAGTTAAAAAATAAAATACATTAAAAAAAAAGAAATCACAAGTCCATGCATCACCTAAGAACAAGGTAATTATCTTACACAATCACAAAACCATTATCACATTCAAGAAATTTAACACTGCTTTAATATTATCTAATGTCACATCCATATCCATAATAAAATTTCTCCAACTGTCCCAAAAATACTCTCTATGACTTTTATTTTTGCCTATCCAGGATCTAGTCAGGTTTCACTTAGTTCATTTGGTTGTTATGTCTCACTAGCCTCCTTTAATCTAAGAGATCCCTTTAACCACTTCTTTCTTTTATCTTTCATTATATGGACCATTTTTTGAAAAGCTTAGGAAAGCTTCGAGAATTTTTCACATTCTAAAAAAATTTAAAAAAAATAAAAAATTTAAAAAAGAAAATTTCACATTCTAGATTTATCTGTTTTCTCACAATCAGATTTAGAGCAAACATTTCTGGAAGTAATTCTTCATAAATAATGATGTGTACTTTACAATGTATAAGATTTAGAAACTGATTATGTGGCTTATCCAATTACTGGTGCTAAAACACACTTCTGATATCCCTATATTTCAAATTCAGAAAACAAGTAACAGGCTTATGCATCCGGGAGTTATTCTATTGGACATAAAACTGAAGCATAAAACAGCTTGAATAAATAGTCTGAGTCTCAAGGTTTGACTCAATCAAACATACTGTTTTAGAAGTAGACAGATTCTGGAATAAGCACTTCACTAGAACTCAATTTCTGAGCCATTTACCTAGAACTGTTTTTTTTTTGTTTGTTTTTTGTTTTGTTTTTTTTTTTAGACAGAGTCTCACTCTGTCGCCCAGGCTGGAGTGCAGTGGCGCAATCTGGGCTCACTGCAAGCTCCGCCTCCCGGGTTCAGGCCATTGTCCTGCCTCAGCCTCCCCAGTAGCTGGGACTACAGGCGCCTGCAACCACGCCCAGCTAATTTTTTGTAATTTTAGTAAAGACGGGGTTTTACCATGTTAGCCAGGACGGTCTCGATCTCCTGACCTCGTGATCCGCCCACCTCGGCCTCCCAAAGTGCTGGGATTACAGGCATGAGCCACCGCTCCCGGCCTTTTTACCTAGAACTGTTTTGTATCTTCATTGTGGTGTTGGTGGTGGTTATATAACTATATGCATTTGTAAAAACTCACAGAACTGTTCACAAAAAAGGTTGAATTTTATAATAAGTAAATTGCACCTTAATAAACGCATATGCATGGCCGGGCACAGTGGCTCACGCCTGTAACCTCAGCACTTTGAGAGGCTGAGGTAAGCGGATCACCTGAGGTCAGGAGTTCGAGACCAGCCTGACCAACATGGAAAAACACCTTCTCTACTAAAAACACAAAATTAGCCAGGCGTAGTGGTGCATGCCTGTAATCCCAGCTACTTGGGAGGCCAAGGCAGGAGAATTGCTTGAACCTGGGAGGTGGAGGTTGTGGTGAGCCAAGATCGTGCCATTGCACTCCCTCCTAGGCAACAAGAGCGAAACTCCATCTCAAAAAATAAATAAATAGCTGGGCACGGTGGCTCACGCCTGTAATCCCAGCACTTTGGGAGGCTGAGGCAGGCGAATCACAAGGTCAGGAGTTCGAGACTAGCCTGCCAACATGGTGAAACCCCGTCTCTACTAAAAATACAAAAAATTAGCCAGGCGTAGTGGCGGGCGCCTGTAATCTCAGCTACTCGGGAGGCTGAGGCAGGAGAATAGCTTGAACCTGGGATGCGGAGGTTGCAGTGAGCTGAGATCACTCCACTGCACTCCAGCCTGGGCAACAGAACGAGACTCAGTCTCAAATAAATAAATTAATTAATTAAATTAAATAAATAAAAGCTTACACACACATAATCTTAACTCACGTATTCCAAGAACACCCTATACATGAATATTAATACCATAGAGTATAATAATAGATTGAGTACATACCTCTTTATCGTCTTCAGATTTCCTATCATCATCCTCATCCTCTTCTTTTTCAGATTTCTCTAACTCCTTCTGTTCTTCTTTTTGTTCCTCTACTTTAAGCTGTTTTGTCAATCGGGCTATTAACTGGGATTTTAATCCTTTGGAACTAAGAGCTCGACTTTCTAATTCTTTTCGGAGGTCATTTACCTGAATATATGGAGCAGAAAAACACGGAAAAAAAAAAGGTGGCGGGGGGCGGGGGGCAGCGGATATTGAAATAGGAAACAAACTAGCTACAATTAACAATTATATTTTGTGTGTTTTTTTTTTTTTTGTTTTTTGTTTTTTTTGAAACAGAGCCAAACTCTGTCGCCCAGGCTGGAGTGCAGTGGCGTGATCTCGGCTTACCACAAGCTCTGCCTCCCAGGTTCAAGCAATTCTCCTGTCTCAGCCCCCCAAGTAGCTGGGATTACAGATGCGCACAATCACATCCAACTAATTTTTGTACTTGTAGAGACGGGGTTTCACCATGTTGGTCAGGCTGGTCTCGAACTCCAGACCTCGTGATCAGCCTGCCTTGGCCTCCCAAAGTGCTGGGATTACAGGCGTGAGCCACCACGCCCAGCCTTTCGTGTGACTTTTTAAAAATGTGGTGAAAAGAACATTTGTACAGCTCACAAAACACTTGTGAAAATGCAAAATGATAGAATATTTTTAGAAAATAAAACATTTTAACATGCATAAAAATTTTTTTAAATGTTCTTTGACCCAGAAGTTCTAATTTCTGGCTGTCTACCCTAAGGAAACATCCTAAATAGAAGGGGGAAAAAACCCCACAAAACTATAGATTTACTTATTTCCTCCCTCCAAAAAAGGGAAGAGTCTAAATGTCTCATAAATTAGCCAGGTGTGGTGGTGAATGCCTGTAGTCCTAACCACTTGGGAGGCTGAGATGGGAAGACTGCTTGAGCCCAGGAGTTTAAGGTTCCAGTGAACTATGCACTGCACTCCAGCCGCGGCGACAGAGACCTTGTCTCTAAAAGTTAAGTAAATAAACAAATGTCCAACAGAGGAGTAACACCAGCAGGGAATGGTGGCTCGTGCCTGTAATCCTAGCACCTTTGGAGTCCAAGGTGGAAGGATCGCTTGAGGCCAGGAGTTTAAAATCAGCATGGGGAACATAGCAAAACCCCATCTCTTTAGAAAAAAAAATTAGCCAGGCATGGTGGAACATGTCTTTAGCCCAAGCTACTTGAGAGGCTTAGGTCAGAGGACCACTTGAGCCTAGGAGTTTGAAGCTACAGTGAACTCTCATCACACCACTGCACTCTGTCCCTTTAAAAATAATAATAATACCACCTAAGAAATATCTGTATATCAATTTAATTGAATAGTATAAAATATTTAAAAATAATTACATGGATAAAATTAATGTTAACGCAACAGGATGAGTCATTTTTCTTTTTTTTTTGAGGCAGGGTCTTGCTCTGTCACCCAGGCTGGAGTGGCACAACCATGGCTCATGGCTCACAGCTCACGGCTCACCGCGGCAGCATTGACCTTCCAAGTTCAAGTGATCCTCCCACCTCAGGCTCCTGAGTAGCTAGGACTATAGGCATGCATCACCATGCTCAGCTAATTTTTTTTTTTTTGGTAGAGAGTCTCAGTATGTTGCCAGGGCTGATCTTGAACTACTGGGCTATAGCAATCTGCCCATCTGGGCCTCCAAAAGTGCTAGGATTACACGCATAAAGCATTGTGCCCAGCTGCAACCTTACACACACATATGTATTTATTTTTAGACAGGATTTCATTTTGTTGCCTAGGCTGGAGTACAGTGGCACAATGATAGTTCACTGCAGGCTCCAGCTTCCAGGCTCAAGCAATCCTCCCACCTCAGCTTCCCAAGTAGCTGGGACTACAGGCGTGTGCCACTATGCCCAAATAATTTTTTAAACTTTTTGTAGAGACAGGGCCTCACTATGTTGCAGAAGCTGATCTCAAACTCCTAGACTGAAGTAATCCTCCTGCTTCAGCCTCCAGAAGTGCTGGGATCACAGGCATGAGCTACCTTGCCTGGCTTATTACTTTATGGTTGTTGGTTGTTGTTTTTTCTATTCAGTATCCTTGGGTTGAAGTGATCGTAACTTTTATATACAATAAGCAATCAGCCAATCACAAAACTTGTACCCAGAAAAATACAAATGGAATAAAACACCTAACAATGTTATGAATGACAGCGGGCCAGGGGAGGAGGATCACATCTGTAATCCCAGCACTTTGGGAGGCTGAGGTGGGTGGATCAATTGAGGTCAGGAGTTCAGACCAGCCTGGCCAATATGGTGAAACCCCATCTCTACTAAACATACAAAAATTAGTCAGGCATGGTGGCACAGGCCTGTAGTCCCAGCTACTCGGGAGGCTGAGGCACGAGAATCTCTTGAACCCGGGAGGCATAGGTTAAGATCGTGCCACTGCACTCCAGTCTGGGCAACAAAGCAAGACTCTGTCTCAAAAAAAAAAATATATATATACACGTGTGTATATATACATATATATATATATACACGTGTGTATATATACATATATATATATATACACACACGTATATATATGTGTGTGTACATATATACAAACGTGTGTACATATATATATGTATACACTGTATACACACACACACACACACACACACACACACACACACACACACTGCCCAGGATGGTCTCAAACTCCTGGACTCAAGCGATCTGCCCATCTATGCCTCTCAAAGTGCTGCGACTACAGGAGTGAGCCACCGCTTCTGGCCTCTTCCCAGTTTAGATGTGTATCAATCTATGTTTTAATTTTAAATATATTTTAGGCTGGGCGCAGTAGCTCACGCCTGTAATCCTAACACTCTGGGAGGCGGGGGTGGATAGATCGCTTGAGGCCAGGAGTGTGAGACCGGCCTGACCAATATGGCAAAATCCCATCTCTACTAAAAATACAGAAATTAGCCTGGCATGGTTGTACGTGCCTGTAATCCAAGCTATTCGAGAGGCTGAGGCACAAGAATCATTTGAACCCAGGAGGCCAAAGCTGCAGTGAGCCAAGATCATTCCACTGCACTCCAGTCTGGGAAACACAGCAAGACTCTGTCTCAAAAAAATATTCTATTTTAAAAACCAAATTACGGCCAGGCACGGTGGCTCACACCTGTAATCCCAGCACTTTGGGATGCCAAGGCGGGTGAATCACGAGGTCAGGAGATTGAGACCATAATGGCTAACACGGTGAAACCCGATCTCTACTAAAAATACAAAACAATTAGCCGGGCGTGGTGGCAGGCGCCTATAGTCCCATCCCCTTGAAGTTACTTAGTGCAGAAATCCTACCTTCTTAGTTCTCAAAGTTACTATAGTTACACTATAGACCCTCATATATTATAGGCATTCAACAGATATTGGCTGTACTGATTTATAAAATTGCCTTTTAATTTATATGTATATAAATACAATTGGCCAGGCACGGCAGCTCATGCCTGTAATCCCAGCACTTTGGGAGACTGAGGCAGGTGGATCACCTGATGTCAGGAGTTCGAGACCAAACTGGCCAACATTCTGAAACCTTGTCTCTACTAAAACTAGAAAAATTAGCCAGGCGTGGTGGCAGGGTGCCTGTAATCCCAGCTACTCAGGAGGCTGAGGCAAGAGAATCTACTGAACCCAGGAGGCAGAGGCTGAAGTGAGCCGAGATCGCGCCACTACACTCCAGCCTGGGCGACAGAGCGAGACTCCATCTCAGAAAGAACTTTTTAATTGAAAAAAATAAATAAAATCCATCCTTATCAAAGTTACCTTCATTGTCTTTGGATCAAGTTTAGACCAATGGGTAGGTGTAGAAATTTCTTTAGCTTCACCATCATCCTTCTCTTCTTCATCCTGACATACAAAGTTAAGAATGTAATTACTATTATGAAACCTTAAAATAAAAATAATTTATTTTTAAAAGTCTGTTGCTGATCTGTGCAAGGTCACAAATGTTTCAGATTGTCTTCTCCTAAAGTTATTATTTAGGCAAGTCCACGTACATACATTCTACCACTTTTAACTGATCACAAAGACACTCATCAGCCAATCAAAGCCAGATCTGTGAAACACAAAAGGGTGATAAATTACAACACAAAGGATATCAGGGATGCACAAACACTGCCGGTCTCCACAAACCACACAGTGTGTGATCTTGCCTCAATTTTCAAGCCACCCAAAGACTGATTTAGTCAGACCTTTGAAATGTACCAAAGACGTTGCCACATAGCCTGAAATTTCAAATCTCTCAGACTTGTGGTTGTCCAATTTCAAATATCCATGACTAGAACTGATGACCATGAAAAAGAAAATTTTTTAAATTTTAGAAAATGGCAAAATGTTTAAAATGGCTTAATACTGAATCTTGTTCAACAACTGGTCCCAGATTCCAGCAACTAGACCTATGATAAAAACAAAATTCTGTGCAATTTAAGCACAACTTATTTTCCTTTGAGGTCTCAGCACTCTTAAAGTTAGGATAATAAGACAGAAATTTTAAGAGAAAAGAACATACAACTATACTGCTGAAAGCTGGATTACCAGTCGCTGTTACCAGTTATGTTCCTCCATGTGTGTTTATTATGTAGTGTGTGGTGTGCATTTGTGCCTGTGTTCCTGTGCCTGTGAGAAGCGGAAATAGAAAAAGGGATTAGCGTTCAGTGCCTGTTCTCCATCAGCCTCCTTGCGTTCACCCTGAAGCTTCTCGACCAGCTGCTGCTTGTATCCTCGGGAGAGGGTTTCCCACTCTGAGCGGGTGGGAAGGCAATGCCAAACATCCGGGAAAAATAAAACCACTGTCTCCACATGAGCTGGAACTGTACGCCCCTTGTGGGTCTCCTCAGGGCGATGGTAGCGAATCTCTGCAAAACGGTACCTGTTGCAAGGGAAGAAGCATGTTGGAAAAAAAATTCTAAAATACATTTTAAAGACCCTAGTTCACTTGTAGCACATCAAGTAAAGAAATTTTGCTGCAAGAACTTGAGGTTGGTCTAAAGAAAAAAAAATTATAGAAGCCATAGTTCCTCTTTTGGTACATTTGTACAATATTTAATAAGTTAAAGGAAGAATATGTTCCCCCAAGGCATTTTCAAGTTTGATTACAGAGCTACCCGCATTTTAGAGAATACCTGAAGAAGCTGGATAGCTGTTCAGATTTCATGTGCTAAAAAAGAATATTCTCAAATTAAGTCACAAGAGATACACTAAAATACACAGGACAAATAAGCCTCAAGAGAAAATATGGCTGAACAAAAATAATCGCAACTACATCATTTTATAACAAAAGAATTATAATGAAATGAAGTTCTCTCTTGACGATCTTCTCCAGCTATGCATGAAATGAAAAGTATTTTCAACATACATCCAACTTCCAAAGTACAACATAACAAAACATTTAAATTTTCAGTTTATTTTGATTAGTTCTTAATCCCTTTTCCCCCAAAACATTTTGGCACCAAATAAACTTTAGCTACAAATGGGGATTTTCCTTTGAGATTACCTGCATTGACCAGGGTTGCTAAAATAAGCCGGGGGGAAAAGGCTGATCGATAAGAACAACTACATAAACTATCAGTAAAACACTTCTAATCAAGAAATGAATTAGTACTTACCATTGTGTGCACACACTTAGATCAATGCCTGTCAGAGCCTTACAACAACGAATAGCAGTCTTAATCAACACAGAGGGATCTTTTTCTGGGTCTGGTCCATCCAACGAAGGAGACCAGTGGCCTCCAATGGCCATAGCTTCATCCTTGCCTTTCATGCCCACTAAAAACTAATTCAAAACAAAGAATCATTTACATATATTACGCACCCTGTCAAATTACCAATAAGATACTTGAGAAGGAAAGGTACAAACCTTTCCAATATCATTTTTACTACCTCTGGTATCTGTCAGTCAAGGAAGAGTTCAGTTCATTGTGTTCCACACTGCATTTCAGCAATGGAATAGGATTTACACACATCATAACTCATCCTTTTAAAATATTTCTTCAGATAGAGTTCTTTTAAAGAAACAAGCTATAATTCAAACTTCAACAACATCCAAAGACACTCTGAATCCTATTACCACTAATATTCTACTATGTTACAAATATAAAACATCAAAATGACTGTTGAACTAGTAGCGTACAAATAAGATATAGTTGTAATCTGCAATGAGAAAAACATCTACATCATTAAATTCTGGGTGCCTTAATACTAAAATTACTCATTAATCAACAAATATTAAAATGTAGGGCTTTAGATTTTATGTGTACAAAGTTACAGCTAAGCAAAGTGAATACATCTAAAGTTAAAACAAATGTGTCCTTTTACCTTAACAAGTCTAGCAGGATGTTGGAATCCATCTCGAAGTTCTTGTGGGTCCTCAGCAAGAGCACATGACTTATGATATAAATCTTCCATACTAGGGCTAGCCATCAGCATTACCTATTATAGTCAAATAATTCAATCCTGTCAAAAGTCTAAAGTAATGTGAAAAAATGAGAAGCACTACTAATTATCTTTAAATATAAGATGTCTGAAATTTAAATAAAAATAGGAAGTAATACTATAGCAGAAACAGTATTAGATACCTCAGCCTCCCAAAGTGCTGGGATTACAGGCGTGAGCCACCACGCCAGGCCTAGATACCTTATAATTACTTAGTTTTAACTTTTGAAGGGATGCTTTTTCAGTCACACAATGCTTTAAACAAAACTATAGACTATACACAATATACTGAATGTTTCCCTTAAGATTGACATTTAGTGCATTCATCTAACATTAAGTTTTATCTGAGGCTACCAGAAGTCATACAACATTCCAAATATCTCATTAATATCAACTTTATCTTCACATTTTTAATAAGGTTTAAAATGTTAGAATAACTAGTTTTACAGCTCAAGAGATGAGGCAAAGAGAGCTTAAATTAAATTATGTAACCAAAATAGGATCAAGCAGTTAAGAAGAAAACAGGTATTCGGGTCTACCTAACAAACACTTTCTGAAGGATAATTCTACATACCCTTTTATTATGAATAACTGCTAAGAAATTTAAGCTGCATATCACAGCTGAATACAAACCTTTGCACTGTATAAGTGGTCAGCATCTGGTGGATCAAGAATGGCCATATTTTTTTCTAAGGACTCTACTTCTCTGTGCATTACATAAAAATTGCAGTAATTTCCCAGCTGAAATGGTCTTGACAAAGGGAAAGCATCCACCCATGTAAATTGAGCATCAAAAAAGTCACTAGGTATATACAAATTTTGATAACGGCGCCTTAGTTCCATCATGTCACAACTGGGACTGAAAAACAGACATAAGTAGTGAATAAATAGCCTTAATAAAAAAGGTTACACAAACATTTAATTCTGTAGCAAATATAACTGGATATAGTAAAAAGTAAGCTGAAAAAAGACAAAGTCAGTTACTAATGAGCTATAGATTTGCATAGAGACATATGAAAATATTACGTTCAAATTTATATACGCAAAGCTTTGAATAAATAGTATTCTCAGTGTTATCCTTATTTTGATACTTTTTGTTACAGAAGACGCTTTGAAATAACTTGAATCTCAGCTCCAGAAAAGATCTGTACAAAAGCAGGTTTTCCTCAGTTGGAACTGTGGATTACTTGAAAATTATGGTTCATGTTGAATAGATACAAAACAGCAATGAGAGTATTAGTATTTCTGTACGCCCCTCAATCAGGTTTTTGAGTGTAGAAAAATTATAACTTTTATTTTACTATAGTAAGTTCCTAGATCAAGCATACTTACATTCAAAATTAAATACAAAAATCCACAAAAAGCAAAATTCATATGTTCCTTGGATTATCTGCACCTCCACAACCCTTTCTCTGTGAATGATTAAGATCCATACCTGATTATTATGTATAGAGGGGATAAATTTCTTGCCTTTTAAATCTCACACTGATTTTTTAAAGGATCATTTCCTTTTTCCTAAGAAGTAGAGCTTTTAAAAGAGAGGAACTGAAAGGTCAATCTGGCAAAAGGCTAAGAGATGTCTGTTAAAAGTATAATGTAAGATGAAAAGACAACTAAAAGCAGAAGTATGAAAGATGAAGTAATCTACATGCAGAGATGTCTTTATTTGAAGTATAAAAATAAATACAGAGTAATAAACCTGTCAGTTAACAGACTATTACCTGCCTACCTATTCATCTATTTATCTATCTATTCTATCTACAGACAGAATCTATCTATCTATCTATCTATCTATCTATCTATCTATCTATCTATCTATCTATCTATTCTATCCTATCTACAGGCAGAATCTTGCTCTGTCGCCCAGGCCAGAGTGCAGTGTGGCATACTCACAGCTTGCTATAACCTGAATTCCTAGGCTCAAGCAATCCTTCCATGTCAGCTTCTAAGTATTATAGCTAGGACTACGGGTGCACTACCACATGTGGCTAACTTCTACTTTTTGTAGAGGTGAGGTCTCACTATATGCCTAGGCTGGTCTCAAACTCCTGGCCTCAAGTGATCCTTCCACCTCAGCCTCCTAAAGTGCTGGATTACAGGCATGAGCCACCAGTGCCAGGCCTATAATTATACTTTATTTGGATATGATTCTGCTGTCAAAATAATAAAAACATGAAACAAGTATCTGAGTTTTGTTTTTAAGGAAGTGTTACAAAAAGCAAGTATGTATAATTGTTTCCCAATTCCGTATCACCAGAATTTATGAAGTCATGTTTTACCCCACAGGAGTAAAATTTATAATAAAACAAAAGATATAAGTACAAATAAATCATTTCATGGGCACGAAGTTTCTTATAATCATATTAGTATAAGAAAATCTTGATTTACACAACTACAAATGAGAAGTATGGAAACTTTAAAATCATTTTTACTTGCAAGAGATCCATTTAATGTTCTCGGAATTTACTTCAAAGTGGTAAAACTAAACTGTGAGGCCGGGTGCGGTGGCTCACGCCTGTAGTCCCAGCACTTTGGGAGGCCGAGGTGGGCGGATCATGAGGTCAGGAGATGGAGACCATCCTGGCTAACACGGCGAAACCCTGTCTCTACTAAAAATACAAAAAAAATTAGCTGGGCGTGGTAGCGGGCGCCTGTAGTCCCAGCTACTCGGGAGGCTGAGGCAGGAGAATGGCGTGAACCCGGGAGGCAAAGCTTGCAGTGGGCCGAGATTGAGCCACTGCACTCCAGCCTGGGCGACAGAGCAAGACTCCATCTCAAAAAAAAAAAAAACAAAAACAAAAAACTAAACTGTGAAGGTGTAATTTATTATTATTAGTTTTTTATTTTTTGAGACAGTCTCCCTCTGTCTCCCAGGCTGGAGTGCAGTGGTGCAATCTCGGCACACTGCAATCTCTGCCTCCCGGGTTCAAGCGATTCTCCTGCCTCAGCCTCCCAAGAAACTGGGATTACAGGCGCACACTACCACGCCCAGCTAATTTTTTTATTTTTTAGTAGAGATGGAGTTTCACCATGTTGGCCAGGCTGGCCTTGAACTCCTGACCTCAAGTGATCTGTCCGCCTCAGCCTCCTGAAGTGCTGGGATTACAGGCGTCAGCCACTGCACCTGGCCCCTGAAGGTCTAATTGAGAAGAAGCTAAATAGCTGTTCAATTTCATATCCTATGCATCAACTCTTCCCAAAAGAGCATTCAATATTGAGAACAGATGGGTTAAAATCAGAGCTCCTCTATTTAATATCTTTGAGGCTGGGAAAAGTGGTTTTGGTTTCGACTGGTTTCTCGGAAATATGCAGACTACAGATTTTTAAGTATAAGAGTAAGCAGCTATAAGAAGAAAACTAGTGTAAAGTTAAGAGTAGTTGCTGGGCCAGGCATGGTGGCTCACACCTGTAATCCCAGCACTTTGGGAGGCTGAGGCGACTGGATCACCTGAGGTAAGGAGTTTGAGATTAGCCTGGCCAACATGGTGAAACCCTGTTTCTACTAAAAATACAAAATTAGCCAGGTGTGGTGGCGCATTCCTGTAATCCCAGCTACTCGGGAGGCTGAGGGAGGAGAATTGCTTGAACCTGGGAGGCAGAGGTTGCAGGGAGCCAAGATCGCGCCATTGCTCTCCAGCCTGGGGAACAAGAGCGAAACTCCATCTCAAAAAAAAAAACAAAAACAAAAAAAAAAGTAGGTGCTGATTTGACCATAAGTAAGAGTAAATGAACGCCAACTATGTAACATAATTAAGCAAAGTCACCAAGCAAAATTTTCTTGGCATTAAGTAGCTTGACTAAAATTCACTGGGTTACTAAATCTAGAACTGAATATCTGGAAATTTTGACCTCTGATAGGCAAGTATTATGAACGGTAATTATCACTCTGTTTAAACATAATAATATCCTCTTAGGCCACTGCATTGCATATAGCTATTTGCTTTTAGGCTAAACAGCCCTGAACACTGCTTTTAATGATTTTCTTATTTTACTGTCAATTTGTTATTTTTCCATCTATTAATCTATTACCTAAGTTGCGACCATAACCCACCATTAATTACTGAGACTATACAACTGCCACACACTGGGTTAAGTCCTTTGGATACATGAACTAAACCTCACAATAATTTTGCTAGTTAATATTACCTTTGTTTTGCAGGTGAACCTCAGAAATTCCTGGCAACTTGGCCAGGAGCAGTAGCTCACACCTGTAATCCCAGCACTTTGGGAGGGCCAGGCAGGTGGATCACTTGAGGTTAGGAGTTCGAAACAAACCTGGCCAACAACATGGTGAAACCCCGTCCCTACTAAAAATACAAAAATTAGCTGGGTGTGGTGCTGAGCACCTGTAATCCCAGCTACTAGGGAGGCTGAGGCAGGAGAATAGCTTGAACCCAGGAGGCAGAGGCAGAGGCTGCAGTGAGCTAAGATCATGCCACTGCACTCCAACCTGGGTGAAAGAGTAAGACCCTATCTCAAAAAAAAAAAAAAAAAAAGAAAAAAGAAAAAAGAAATTTCTGGTAATTTGTCATGGCTTCTGATTCAAAGGGTGAATAATATATTTATGTATATACATACACATACACTATACATGTGAATACATTATGTATGTGAGTATATACGCATATCAATGTTTCTATTATACTACACTGCCAGGGCTAAACTTGAAATTAATCAGTTTACTACTCTATTATTGCTTTATCATACACAATGGACTATACATGATCTTCAAGTTATCAGTAAGTCTAGATCTTAACTGATTCTAACTTTAGGGGAATAACGTTATGACAGAGGAATTTCCTTGAGGGGCTGCCTTTTTCAATACCAGTCGATATCCTTCATGGGGGTATAAAAATAATGCAGCATTGTAGATAATTAAGTTATTTCAAATTGCATTTCTGCCCTTATATGAAGAACACTAACTGTCGGGAAATCAATCTTGCAAGAAAAATACCTCTGTGACATATTCTATCAAATTATATGAAATTAGTAACTCAAGAAAACAATGGGTGGGGAATAACCTACCAATCTAAAGAAAACTTTGAAAACTGAACTGTGTAACGTGGAACAACACGTCGAACTCTCCGAGGTGATCGCTCTCGCTCTCTTCGTGGAGATCTTTCCCGGGAACGTTTCCTCTGAGGTGATCTTTCTCTCGATCTACGTCTTTCTCTCTCTCTCTCACGACTGAAAGCAAATTTTTCTAAAATTACTAATATTTCTAATATTATGGAAAAGCTCTTCAATGAAGTAAATAGAGTAGGTAATATAAGCAAGAATCCACAGTATATTTGTTTAACTTTTTAAAAATTGTAGTAAAATAGACATAACATAAAATTTACCATTTTAAAATTTTATATTATAAGCATAGTTCAGTGGCATTAACTATGTTTCCATTGTTGTACAACCATTGCCACCATCCACAGTACACTTTAGAAAATATACCTTCGATCATCTTTTCTGTTAGGCACTTGATCCCCTCTGTCATTTCTTCCTGAAAATCGGGATGGGGGATCTAATCGTCGTGCCGGTTGTGGCTGTGAAACTATACGAACAGGAGGCTGCAATAAACCAGCTTTAAAAGATAAAAGAAAAAAACGTTTAGCGTGTCTAAACAAAGTTCGAAGGCATTACCTGATAAAATTAGAGGAACAAAGTTAAATAACTGAGAGTGACTAAAATTGTTTTTTCAAAGTTGGCCTAATTTATATATATTTTTAAAGAATAGGTACTGGCCGGCTGCGGTGGCTCACACCAGTAATCTCGGCACTTTGGGAGGCCGAAATAGGCAGATTACTTGAGTCCAGGAGTTCAACACCAGCTCTGGCAACATGGCAAAACCCTATCTCTAAAAAAAGGTGCAAAAATTAGAGGGGGGCTGAGAAGGGAGGATTCCTTAAGGCCAGGAGGTCGAGGCTGCAGTGAGCTGAGATCATACCACTGCACCTATGCCTCAGTGACAGACCAATACCTTGTCTCCAAAAAAAGAAAGAAAAAAAGAAAATGCAGCCTGGGCATCATGGTGAAACCCTGTCTCTACAAAAGATACAAAAATTAGGCTGGCGGGGTGGCGCGCACCTGTAGTCCCAGCTACTCAGGGGAGCTGAGGCAGTAGGATCACTTGAGCCGGGGAGGCGGAGGTTGCAGTGAGCCAAGATTACACCACTGCACTCTAGCCTTGGCGATAGAGAGAAACCCTGCCTCAAAAAAAAAAAAAAAAAAAAAGAACATGTCACAATTACATTTTTTAATGCTAATTAAGTAGGCTTCTGTAAGCTAAGGCTACCTGTCATCTTTTTCTCTTTTTTTTGAGACAGAGTTTTGCTCTTATCGCCCAGACTGAAGTGCGATGGCGTGATCTGGGCTAACTGCAACCTCCGCCTCCTGGGTTCAAGCGATTCTCCTGTCTCAGCCTCCAGAGTAGCTGAGGTTACAGGCGCCTGCCACCACGACCCAGTTTTTTTTGTATTTTTCCAAAAGTGCTGGGATTACGGTGTGAGCCACCATGCCTGGCCCTATGCATCATTTTAAACAGTGTTTTTATAAGAACACGTCTGGACCGGGTGCAGCGGCTCAAGCCTGTAATCCCAGTACTTTGGGAGGCCGAAGTGGGCGGATAACTTGAAGTCAGGAGTTCGAGACCAGCCTGGCCAACGTGGTGAAACCCTGTATCTACTAAAAATACAAAAATTTGCCGGGCATGGTGGCACATGACTGTAGTCCCAGCTACTTGGGAGGCTGAGGCAGGAGAAGAGCTTGAACTGGGGAGGCTGAGGTTGCAGTGAGCCCAGATTGCACCACTGCACTCCAGCCTGGGCGACAGAGCGAAAAAGAACACATCTGGAGTTTCAAACAATCAATTTGCAAAAAAACTTAAAACCCAGCAAATTCATTTGATGTGGTATGGTTTAATAAGTAATTTAATAGTTTTGATATTTAAGTCCACAAAGGTGTATCTTTTAATTTCTTATCACTAAGAGAAAAAAAAATACTTCCACATAGCTATGGAAGTAGATGTGTCCTATTCAGGATTTTTAGGCTTCAAGTTTTCTTGAAATCCCTGCCTTTTTTTGTAATTAAAAGCATAGTTACATTATCAACAACTAAAAAGTTATACATTTGCCTGAAACAAAAGCAAAGATACCTTTTTGCTGAGGCTGCTGTAATAAGGGCTGTGGTTGAGTCTGCAATAGTGGTGTAATAGAAGCTGCTGAAATCTGTGCCTGCAGCAGTGACTGGGGCTGGGGCTGAGTCTGAACACCAAATGTTGTCTGTGGTGCAATTGGCTGAAGTACAGCAGGAGGAGTCTTCAGTAATGGCTGGGTTTGCGACTGATTCTTCAATTAAAAAATGAAAGAATAAGAAAAAAAATCTTTGTGAATTAGAAGACTCATTTACCAAGCTTCTATAATACCTAACTCAATACTTTCTGTACCTGATTTGGTAGTGTTTGAATTCTCTGTGCATTCCATTTAAAAGGCATATTAGGATTATAAGTAGCTTCAACCAATACTCTGTCACCTACTTGGGGGGTTTTCCCTTTGACAGCACTGTAAAAAAAAAAAGAAAAAAAAAGTTAAATATAAATACAATTAAAATAGATTTCTCCCCAAAATGATTTACATAGTTAGTACTTTAAAGTAAACCATATCTCAAAAAAAAATAAACAGTAAACTATATCAGAAATGGAAGCCTGGAAAGCTCTTTAAAAAGTAGATGGGTGTGCAGCACACCAGCATAGCACATGTATACATATGTAACTAACCTGCACATTGTGCACATGTACCCTAAAACTTAAAGTATAATAATAATAATAATAAAAAAAGTAGATGGGGCTGGGTGTGGTGGTTCATGCCTGTAATCCTAGCACTTTGGGAGGCCGAGACAGGCGAATCACTTGAGGTCAGGAGTTCAAGACCAGCCTGGTCAACATGGTGAAACCCTGTCTCTAGTAATAATACAAAAATTAGCCGAGCGTGGTGGCGCACACCTGTAATCCCAAATACTCAGGAGGCTGAGGCAGGAGAATTGCTTGAACCCAGGTGGTGGAGGTTCCAGTGAGCTGAGATGGTGCCCTGGCCTGAGTGACAGACGAGACTCGGTCTCAAACAAAAATAAATAAATAAAATAAAATAACAATAAAAAGTAGTTGGGTGATGGCAGCAGTAGCTCACGCCTGTAATCTCAGCACTTTGGGTGACTAAGGTGGGCAGATCACTTAAGGAGTTCAACACCAGCCTGGCTAACATGGTCAGGAGTTCAAGACCAGCCTGACCAATGCGGTGAAACCCCATCTCTACTAAAAATACAAAAATTAGCCGGGTGCGAATCGCCTGTACCCGAGAGGCGGAGGTTGCAGTGAGCCAAGATCGCACCACCGCACTCCAGCCTGGGCGATAGAGTGAGACTCCATCTCAAAAAAAGTAATAATAAAAAAAGAGGCTGGGCGCGGTGGCTCACGCCTGTAATCCCAACCCTTTGGGAGGCCGAGGTGGGTGGATCATGAGGTCAGGAGTTCAAGACCAGTCTGGTCAAGATGGCGAAACCCCATCCCTACTGAAAATACAAAAATTAGCCAGGCGTGGTGGCAGGAGCCTGTGATCCCAGCTACTTGAGAGGCTGAGGCAGGAGAATCACTTGAACCCGGGAGGCAGAGGTTGTGATGAGCCAATATTGCACCACTGCACTCCAGCCTGGGCGACAGAGCGAGACTCCATCTCAAAATAAATAAATAAATAAAAAATTTAAAAATAAAAAAATAAGAAAAAGTAGATGGCCAGGTACAGTGGTTCATGCCTCTAACGCCATAACTTTAAAAATCAAACGATCACTTGCAGTCAGTTCAAGACCAGCTTGGGCAACATTGTGAGATCACATTTCTACAAAAAATTTAAAAATTAGTCTTTATGTCTAGATCTGAAGAAACTGGAAAAAAAAAAATAGTTGCCGGGCGTTGTTGTGGCTCACGCCTGTAATCCCAGCACTTTGGGAGGCTGAGGCAGGTGGATCACCTGAGGTCAGAGGTTCAAGACCAGACTGGTCAACATGGTGAAACCCCGTCTCTACTAAACATACAAAAATTAGCCAGGCGTGGTGGTAGGCACCTGTAATCCCAGCTACTCAGGAGGCTGAGGCAGGAGAATTGTTTGAACCCGGGAGGCAGAGGCTGCAGTGAGCCGAGATCATGCCATTGCACTCCAACCTGGGCAACAAGAGCGAAACTCGGTCTCCAAAAAAAAAAAAAAGCTGGACGTGGTAGCATGGGCCTAGAGTCCCAGCTACTTCAGAGGCTGAAGCAGGAAGATCCCTTGAACCTGGGAATTTGAGGCTGCAGTGAGCTATGACTGCACTTCTGGACCCCAGCCTGGGCAAAAGAGACCCCATCTCAAAAAATAAAACAAAAAGGGCCGGGCGTGGCGGCTCATGCCTGTAATCCCAGGACTTTGGGAGGCTGAGATGGGTGGATCACGAGGTCAGCAGTTCGAGACCAGCCTGACCAACACGGTGAAACCCTGTCTCTACTAAAAACACAAAAAAATTAGCCGGGTGTGGTGGCAGGCGCCTGTAATCCCAGCTACTTGGGAGACTGAGGCAGGAGAATCACTTGAAACCAGAAGGCGGAGGTTACAGTGAGCCAAGATTGCACCACTGCACTCTTGCCTGGGCAACAAGAGAGAAACTCTGTCTCAAAAAAAATTAATTAATTAATTAATTTAATTAAATAGCCAGAAGTGGTGGTACACGCCTGATGGCCCAGCTACACGAGGTAGCTGGGTCCAGGTGTTCAACTTTGCAGTTCACTATGATCGCAACACTGCACTCCAGCCTGGGTGATAAAGCAAGACCCTGTCTCAAAGAAAAAGAAAAAAAAAAAAAAGAGTTAAGTAGATATACCTCCTAGACTCATTTTAAAATGGGTGTTTCACCCTTATAAACATGAGTTTAAAGTGAAATTAATAATTTACCACCCCATATTTCCCTGATATTATCTCTCCTGATCCATTTTTTACTTTTATAACCCAAGACTAAGATTTGCTTTGGGCTTTCAAATGATGAATGCAAAAAAGATAAAAAACAGGAATCTCTTTTACAGAAAAATGTTGTACAGTATTTCCTACAAACACTACAAAGCTATAAAAGTACTAATTTAAATATGGAAAAGGAACTTTTAAAAATTATTATTTTGAATGTCAGTCCATCAATCACTTGATCCTATTGACTTTTTCAATGTTAATATTTTTGCGTCTTAGAGATGGGGTCTTGCCATTATGTTGCCCAGGCTGGTCTGGAACTCCTAGCCTCAAGCCATCCACCTACTTTGGACTCCCAAGAAACTGAGATTACAAGGACAAGCCACTGCGCTTAGCTAAAAAACAATTTTAAAATCTATGCTACGTCATTAGACACGTCAAACAAAGATTAGATTTCAAAATTAGATTTCAACACCCCACTCACAGTTATGTTTACCCAGAAATATTGTTAGAACCGCCTTTCTTCAGGAAAAAATACAAAATTATAGCTAAACTGGCTAGGCGCAGTGGTTCACGCCTATAATCCCAGCACTTTGCAGGGCTGAGGTGTGCAGATCACCTGAGGTCAGGAGTTCGAGACCAGCCTGGCCAACATGGTGAAACCCTGTCTCTACTAAAAAATACAAAAACTGGCCAGGTATAGTGGCTTACGCCTGTAATCCCAGCACTTTAGGAGGCCGAGGCAGGTGGATGACGAGGTCAGGAGTTTAAAACCAGCCTAGCCAAGATGGTAAAACCCCATCTCTACTAAAAATACAAAAAATTACCCAGGCGTGGTGGCAGGCACCTATAATCCTAGCTACTTAGGAGCCTGAGGCAGGGAACTACTTGAACTTGGGAGGCGGAGGCTGCAGTGAACTGAGATCGCACCACTGCACTCCAGCCTGGGTGACAGAGCGAGACTCTGTCTCAAAGTAAATAAATAAATAAATAAATAAATAAATAAACAAACAAATAAATAATACAAAAATTAGCCGGGTGTGGTGGCACACGTCTGTTGTCCCTGCTACTTGGGAGGCTGAGGCAAGAGAATCACTTAAACCCGGGAGGTGGAGGTTGCAGTGAGGTGAGATCACGCCACTGCACTCTAGCCTGGGTGACAGAATGAGACTGTCTGAAAAAAGAAAAAAGAAAAGAAAGTAGGAAAGAAAAAGAAACAAAATTCCACACTTGAGTTTCTTCAGAAAAAAATAAAAATACAATATTACAGCTAAGGCCAGACACAGTGGCTCACACCTGTAATCCCAGCACTTCCTGGGAGGCCGAGGCAGGTGGATCGTGAGGTCGGGAGTTCGAGACCAGCCTGGCCAATATAGTGAAAGGCCGTCTCTACTAAAAATACAAAAATTAGCCAGGCATGGTGGCTGAGGCATGAGAATTGCTTGAACCTGGGAGGTGGAGGTTGCCGTGAGCTGAGATCGAACCACTGCACTCCAGCCTGAGTTACAGAGTGAGGCGCTGTCTCAAAAAAAAAAAAAAGAAAAAGAAAAAGAAAGAAAGAAGAGTAAGGGAATGATTATCCTATCAAGACCAGCCTGCCCAACATGGTGACACTCTGTCTCATACTAAAAATACAAAAATGAGCCAGGCGTGCTGGCGCATGCCTGTTGTCCCAGCTACTCGGGAGGCTGAGGCAGGAGAATCACTTGAACCCAGGAGGCGGAGGTTGTGATGAGCCAAGATCACGCCACTGCACTCCAGCCTTGGCAACCGAGTGAGGCTCTGTCTCAAATAAAAAAGGAAAGAAAATCATAGCTACACTGGCCAGGCGCAGTGTCTCACGCCTGTAATCCCAGCACCTTGGGAAGCTGAGGCGGGTGGCTCACTTGAGGTCAGGAGTTTAAAGACCAATCTGGCCGACATGGTGAAATCCCATTCTCTAATAAAGATACAAAAATTAGCCGAGTGTGGTGGTGCACGCCTGTCATCCCAGCTACTCCGAAGGCTGAGGCAAGAGAATTGCTTGAACCCAGGAGGCAGAGGCTGCAGTGAGTCGACTTGAGATTGCACAACTGTGTCCAGCCTGGGCTACATACAATTTCTGCCACAACTAAACAGGTGTTTTGTGGTAAATGCAAGAAGCCATGTGACAAGACCTCATTAAGTTTACCTAAGCTGAAAGAATACATCTTCATCCACAAATCCAAACGTATCATGTAGTTTTGTAACCACCCCTGTGAAAACACGCTGCTTCTGAGGCTGGGTTTGCTGTTGACTGGACCTTGGTGTTGGATATGATACAGTTATTTGTGCTGTTGGCTGAGGAGTAGACAGGCTAAGGCTTGTAGGCAGTGCAACAGCTGGCTATAAAACAAAATCAACATCAAATTAAGGTAATGATTTGAAATCATCTAAAAACTGAATATGACTACTTAAAACTAACCCAGAATGTTAAAAATTTCATATTATGTTAGAAGATATACATGTACATCTTGAGAGTCAGGTCTAAAATTAAACTATAAATTATTTTTAGCCTATTTCATCAAGATCCCTTAGATGAGTGTTCTTACTAATACAATATCCATACTGGCATAATAAAGGCTTAGGAAAGTCCTAAGTATAGTAAAGGAACTCAGCATTCCTCAAACTTTGACCACAAAACTATTTTCTCATGAAATTTCTTTAATATCTTAAGATACTAGTAATGTGTTATGGGTACACTTAGGGAAATAGCATTTGAACAAAAGAACTTCTATTGTTTTTCTACTTAATTTGGAAATTCTACTTTGTTGATTATTGAAAATAGGAGTTATGAGTTACGTGTTAACCAACTGTAGTTCTTTAATAAAAACAGGTTGATTTCTCAATTCAAGTATATTTTTAAAAGACAAGGAAGAGATTCAAGACTAAAAATACAGTACAAAATGTTATACTGTGAAAAGCCTCTCTCCTATCCCTGCTCCTCAGCTATGCAGTTCCCTAAACATGAAGCAATCACTGTCCTAATTATTAGTGTAAAGCCTCCTAGAGATGTTTTATTCAAATATGCATATAGATAAATGGGAGCATATAATACATACTAGACTGTACCTTTACTTCTACCTCAGATTATCTGGAATATCATTCCATATCAGTATACAAAGAGGTTGTGCTTTAACAGCTGCATAGTATTTCACTCTACGTATTAACCAGTGATCAGCAAACTATGACCCATGGGCCAAAGACAGCCTATAGGCTCTTTTTACGTAGTTTATAAGCTAAGAACACTTTTTACACTTTCAAAAGGTTGTAAAAATAGAAAAAGAGTATGTGAAAGATACAATAAATAGTCTGTAAAGCCTAAGGTAGCACTACATATGAAAAGTTCAAAACTTTTTAATGTTGCTGAAAAATTAAGCAGATAATGTCACACAATAACTTTCCCTGCTAAAGTGGAAAAAACGTGCAGAAATCTTCCAAAAGAAAAAGACTACAAAAATCAGTATCAATGAAAAATCAGTATTAAGTTTAAAATAAAACCTCAGCCGGGCATGGTGGCTCGCACCTGTAATCCCAGCACTTTGGGAGGCCAAGGCAGGTAGATCACCTAAGGTCTGGACCTTAGGCGAGACCAGCTTGGCTAGCATGGTGAAACCCTATCTCTACTAAAAATACAAAAATCAGCCAGGCGTGGTGGCAGGCGCCTGTAATCCCAGCTACTCAGGAGGCTGAGAGAGGAGAATCGCTTGAACCCAGGAGGCAGAGATTGCAGTGAGCCGAGACTGCGCCATTGCACTCCAGCCTGGGTAACAGAGGGAGATTCTGCCTCAAAATAAATAAATAAATAAATAAATAAATAAATAAATAAATAAATAAAATAAAACCTCATATTTATTCAAACTGTATCACAGCTGAACCTACAAGGAGAAACCATCAAAAATAAACTAGCATACTACTACCTTTATTTAGCATTATATTCCTAAATTATTAGGTGAATCTAACAAGTAACTAAACCCTGAAAGAAAAAGTAGAATACTAATAAAGCTTTAGTCTACTGTTCATTCAGACATCCAAAACAAATAAAGTAATACCAACTAACCTGTGTTAAGAGGGTTTGCTGGGGTTGCTGTAACTGAAAACAGAAAAATAAACACACACAGAAAAGGGTCAATCAGAATTGTTGCTTCATAGATGCTTCATAAAAGAAATAATCCTATAAAAGTTATTCTACTTATTTTTATTTATGTATTTAAACAGAAACGAGGTCTCACTATGTTGCCCAGGGTAGTCTTGAACTCCTGAGCTCAAGCAATCCTCTTGCCTTGGCCTCCCAAAGTGACAGTATTGCAGACATGAGCCACTGCACCCAGCCCAGTTATCTTAAGAAAAATGTGAAAAGTAACAGAGATAACTAGGTATAAAGTTTCCTACAACTGTTTCTAAAAACTGCAGACCTCATATGTAAGTAACTCATTCAATGATAGGCACTTAACTACTTTTATTAATAAAAATACAGAACCTGATTTTTTTGTTATTGTTATTATTTCCCAGGAATAGCATCCACAGTAAAACCCCACAAATCTCTAAAAGCGAAGATTACCATGCTACAGAAATGACTCAATATCATCAATATGCTACTTGTATCAAAAAATATCACTGGTCATCAATCCAATTCATAGATATATCCCTAAATAAAATGAGAAGCACTGTTGATGGACAATTTACCATAGGCACAGAGACCATGAAGGACCACATACTCTGATGTATGGTTTTTCTGTAATAGCAAAGTGTACTATTACCAGAAAGTAAAAGGAATTAGTATGAAAGGAGAAATTTTAAAATTCTGAAATACAAATTTGACTTAGGCTAAGGTAAAATAATCTGTATGAGGTTGTAATTCAAAACACTCAGTTTACCTGGAGTCACCATGTATTAGAGATTAGATCATATCAAAATACTATTTTTTTGTAAGTTAAGAACAGTTGAGTAGTGCCATTTTTTAAAGGCAGAATGAGTATTGCAATTTTTGCAAGGTTCAGCCTCACCCATTATCATCTTTAAAAATGTATTTCATAAGAGCACTAAAATAAGTTGGAAGGTACTCTGAAAACAAGACATCTGATTTGAGACCAGTCTCTTGTCAGTTTTTAAGAAGTTTAAAGCAATTACTAGTGAAATACTGAGGTCTTCTGGGAAAATGCAATGCTTCTGAAGCCTCAAGGGGCTTAAGTCGAGGATTAAACTGGGCCATGGATCTAGGGACAAAGAAGTTATGAATTGAGAAGCCTCTGCAGCCATAAAAAAAAGAATGAGGCTGGGCGCAGTGCCTCACGCCTGTAATCCCAGCACTTTGGGAGGCCAAGGTGGGTGGATCACAAAGTCAGGAGTTCGAGACCAGCTTGGCCAACATGGTGAAACCCTGTCTCTACTAAAAATAGAAAAAATTAGGCGGGCCTAGTGGCATGCACCTGTAATCCTAGCTACTCAGGAGGCTGAGGCAGAAGAATTGCTTGAATCTGGGAGGCAGAGGTTGCAGCGAGCCAAGATCGCACCATTGCACTCTAGCCTGGGCAACAAAAATGAAACTCAGTCTCAAAAAAGAATGAGACCAGATCCTTTCCAGGGACATGCTTAGACTAAAGCATATCTGTATTTCAGCAAGGCAAACTCTCTTTCCTTGACAGTTCCTAGAGAATGTGTCTAAGGAAAAGGGTCCAATGAAACTTGCTTTTAGTCTAAATCAGGAGTTTCCATATTGTTTAAACATGCCTAGGGAATAGAAGTGTGAACTACAAAGTGTGACTTTCTCCCACATTTTATTTATTTTAATTTTTTACAGCTGTGCACCACCAGGCCCAGCTAATTTTTCTATTTTTAGTAGAGAGAGGGTTTTACCATATTGGCCAAGTTGGTATCAAACTCCTGACCTCAAGTGATCCGCCCGCCTTGGCCTCCCAAAGTGCTTGGATTACAGGCGTGAACCACTGTGCCTCACCAACTTTCTCCCATTTTGAACAGTTCTATTTTAATATTTTGATTTCCATACACAATTTGATTAGTAAGAAGGGGACTAGGAGTCCTACTCCTTGAAAGAAATAAAGGCTGTAGTAGGTGTTAGTTAATGTAACAAAAATTTTTAAAAATAAAAAATAAAGAAAAAAAAATAAAAGCTGAAAGCCTATAAGGTTTAGGCTTCAATCAGCAAAAGGAGCTTTCATTTTCACATGTGGTCTAGTTCAGCAGACCTGGCCCAAACGTTCCAGACAGGAGCATAACAGTCCAAAGGGTGGTTCTTTCTAGATTATTCTCTGCATACTTTTTTATTTTTTTTTGAGACAGAGTTTCGCTCTTGTTGCCCAGGCTGGAGTACAGTGGTGTGATCTCGGCTCACCATAACCTCCGCCTCCTGAGTTCAAGCGATTCTCCTGCCTCAGCCTCCCTGTCTCAGCCTCCCACGTAGCTGGGATTACAGGCCTGCGCCACCACACCCGGCTAATTTTGTATTTTTAGTAGAGATGGGGTTTCTCCATGTTGGTCAGGCTGGTCTCAAACTCCCGACCTCAAGTGATCCGCCCGCCTCGGCTTCCCAGTATGCTGGGATTACAGGCATGAGCCACTGCGCCCAGCCTCCTCATACTTTCTTAGAAACATGCGACAAAGACTGGCTAAGGATCTGGGTTGTTAGGACCACCCTCCTATCTCCCTCACCCTTGGAGACGTTCCTTTTTTCCTACCTATTTACTCTAGCCCCTCCCAAAAAATTTGTATCACATGTTAAGGTAGCTGATAGAAATAAAACTCTCTATCAATTGAACTTTGGAGCAAATGGCTATTTTAAAATCAGTTTTTAACACGGAAAATATAAACTAACCTGTTGTTGCACACTATACAGGGCCTGCTGAGGTTGTGAATATTGCTGAAAGATTAAAAAAAAATTTTTCAAAGAAAAATACAGACACTAAATTTATTCATTCTCAAAAAGTGATATACATAGAAATACATACAATTACACTAAACATAAACTTTCTGTTCTGGTGTGGCATTGATTCAAAGAAAAAAACAAAAAAAATAAAAATAATAATAATAAAGATAAATTTTCTGGAACAGTGAAACTTCATCTAAAGTAAATCAAGTTGTGATTACTTATACTCCGGGATCCAAAAAGAAGTAAATTTTATTCATGTAATTAAGGTATAAGAACTGCCCAATTTAAGGACTTAAAAATTTTGACTATTCAACTACTTTTTTTTTTTTTTTTTTTTGGACACAGGGTTTTGCTCTGCCTCCCAGAGTGCAGTGGTGTAATCTCAGTTCACTGCAGCCTCAACCTCCCAATGCTCAAGCAATCCTCCCATCTCAACCTCCCAAGCAGCTGGGACCACATGCATCCTTCACTATGCTGGCTAATTCTCGTGTTTTCTGCAGACGCTGTCTCACCACGTTGCACAGGCTGGTCTCAAATTCCCGGGCTCAGACGATCCTCCCACCTCAGCCTCCTAAAATGCTGGCATTACAGGCATGAGCCACCATGCCTGGCCCAACTATTCTTCCCTATATATGCTGGTCAGATATAATATTCATCACCAGAAAAAGAAATCAGCATAATAAAAACACATAATTCTTCACTACCTGTAAAATGAAGGTAGCAATGCTAGCTACTCAGATTTCATAAAGTTTTCTACATCAAATAATAAGACATATTAAAGATTTACCTGTTGTAATGCAGCTGCTGCAGCTGCGGCTTGTTGCTGCAATGCAGCAGTTTGTGTTAACTGATAGTTTGCTGGAGTTTGTGTGGTAAGGCCTGCTGCTGCCAATGCAGTTTGCTGTGTATAAATGGTAGGAGATGCTCCAAGGAGTGATGGCTGTTGAACACCCAGTGCAGCTAAAATGAAATCAAAAAGGAAAAAATAAAAATCAAGATTAAGAAGAATATAAAAAATATGAAAACAGTACATAGAAGAGATACCCGCACCCCCATGTTCACTCCAGCACTATTCACAATAGTCAAGATATGGAATCAACCTAAGTGTCCATCAATGAACAACTGGATAAAGAAAATGTGGTATATATGCACAAGGGAATACTATTCAGCCTTAAGAAGAATATCCGGTAATTTGCACCACGTATGAACCTTGAAGGACATTATGTTAAGTGAAATAAGCCAGGCACAGAAAAAAGAGTATTGCATGATCTCAAATTTGGAGTATAAGAAAGTCAAACTAAGAGAAACAGAGTAAAATGGTGGCTACAAGAGGCTGTGGGGCCCAGGGCAGGATTGGGCAGACATTGGTCAAAGGTTTCAGTTAGGAGGAATGTTCAAGATACCCATTGTACATCACGTTGACTACAGTTAATAACAATACATTATATATGTAAACATTGAGAAGAGAGCAGACTTTTAAGTCTTCTCACCACAAAAGATAAGTAGGTGAAGTAATGCACGTTAAATAGCTTGATTTAGCCATTCCATGACATATATATACATCAAGACTTTATATATATTATCTATAAAACTTTGGTATTAAGTAATTGTGTATGTATACCATAAATACATAGGATTTTTACATGTCAAGAAAAATTTCTAATTTTGAAAAAGACTAAAACTGGCTGGGGGTGGTGGCTTATGCTTGCAATCCCAGAACTCTGGGAAACCGAGGCGGGAGGATCACCTGAGGTCAAGAGTTCGAGACCAGGCTGGCCAACATAGTGAAACCCCATCTCTACTAAAAATACAAAAATTAACTGGGCATGGTGACACACGCCTGTAGTACCAGCAACTCAGGAGGCTGAGGCAGGAGAATCATTTAAACCTGGGAGCCGGAGGTTGCAGTGAGCTGAGATCACCACTGCACTCCAGCCTCGGCAACAGAGTGAGACTCCATCTCAAAAAATAAAAAAAGGAAAATGGACAAAAACAACACTTAAGCACAAAAAGCCTGGTCCAAAGGTAATGAGTTATCTAAAGCGGTTATTCAGTTACTGACTGAACTCCTTGTTCTACTCTTCCCCTTCTGATTACAATGCTTGTCTAGTCTTTGAAGAAAAAAATGTAGGCTGGACGAGGCAGCTCATGTCTGTAATTCCAACCCTTTGGGAGGCTGAAGTAGGAGGATCACTTGGGCCCAGGAGTTTGAGACCAACCTGGGCAACAAAGTGAGATCTCATCTCTACAAAGATTTAAAAAAATGAGCCACACATGGAGGCAGGTACCTGTAGTCCCACCTACTCAGGGGGCTGAGATAGGAGGATCATTCTACTCAGGATGCTGAGATGAGAGGATTACTTGAGCCCAGACATTCCAGGCTGCAGTGAGCCATAATCCTATGAGGGATTTTCACAGAGTAAAACTCTACCTCTCAATATTGGAAAAAAAAAAAAAAAAAAAAGCACAAAAACGGTTTGTGTTTTTGAGACAGAGTCTCACTTTGTCACTAAGGCTGAAGTGCAGTTGTGCAATCACAGCTTATGGACGCCTCGACCTCCCCAGGTTCAAGTGATCCTCCCACCTCAGCCTTCCGAGTAGGTGGGACTACAGGCGCAAGCCACCACATCCTGCTAATTTTTAAATTTTTGGTAGAAAAGGGATCACCTTATGTTTCCCAGGCTGGTCTCGAACTCCTAGGCTCAAGCAATCCACCTGCTTCGGGATCCCAAAGTACTGGGATTACAGGTGTGAGCCACCACAACTGGCCACAAAGAGGTTTTAGTTAGTGTACACTACTGTACTGAGAAATTAAAAAACAATTCACCATGTAGTGACTTAAAATGATAATTTGCTAAGACCAAAAAATTGGGGAGAGGGGCTCAAAATGATAGACTTTGGTACTTAAATGTTTAATGTATGCTCAGAGATAGCTACACACTGAGGAGAATATGATAAAGGTTTTACTTGATCCTTTTACCCAATTCCATTAAATGCAGAAACTTTAGGTAAAAATTATGGTCTAGCACTGCACTTCCCAAAAATGCATCTCCTAGAAAAATGACCACTAGCTCCCTGGGGCAATAAATTTTGAAAAAAATGGGATCTAAGGCTAAGTTCAGGAAACTGAATTAAACGCAGGAATTAAATGCATTTACGCTTTACGTAACTGCGTTAAGTAATTCAGTTGAATTAAACTGAATTATACCTCAGGAGGCTGAGGCACGAGAATCACTTCAACCCGGGGGCGGGCAGAGGTTGCAGTGAGCCAAGACTGTACCACTGCACTCTAGCCTGGGTGACACAGTCAGACTCTGTGTCCAAAAAAAGAAAAAAGAAAAAAAAAAGGAAATGGAATCTCATTAATGTTGCCCAGGCTGGTCTTGAACTCCTGGGTTCAAGCAATCCTCCTTCCTTAGGCTCCCAAAGTGTTAGGATTACAGGCATCAGCCCAATTTTCTCAATGGTATCTAGGGGGACAAAACCAAGAGGCCGTAAAAACCAGTATTTGCTCATGGAACACTCCCTTCCCCAAACTATCTTGCTTTTATCTGGGAACAATCTGAAAAAAAATGCTGCCTTATAACTATTAGTTATTAACTCTATAGAAAGAACAATTTGTGCTTTATAAAAACAGAATAAAGAGCTTTAATGAACCGACCAAAGGCAGGTACCCTACTCTTGAACATCACAAAAATTCATTCAAAGTTTGAGGTTTACCATCAACTATTTAAAAAGTCTAATTTCATTTAAAATAAAAAAAAATAACAAAATAAGAAAGAAACAAAATCCCAGAAATCATGTTTAGAATTTTTAAAAATTCAAAATTATCCTCTGCAAAAACAATAATTTTAAAAAATGTTTTTTAAAAAACCTCAGCATGGTAGCTCACGCCTGTAATCCCAGCACTTTGGGAGGCTGAGCAGGGTAGATCACCTGAGGTCAGGAGTTTGAGACCAGCATGGCCAACATGGTGAAACCTTGTCTCTACCAAAAATATAAAAATTAGCCAGGTGTGGTGGCGTGAGCCTGTCATCCCAGCTATTCGGGAGGCTGAGGCAGGAGAATCACTTGAACCCGGGAGGTATAGTAAGCCAAGGTCGCGCCACTGCACTCCAGCCTGAGTGACAAAGCAGGACTTGATCTCAACAAAAATAAAAAATAAATAAAATAAATTTTAAAAATTCTTATTATAATAGAGATGGGGTCTTGCTATATTGCCCAGGCTGGTCTCAAGTGTCCTGGACTCAAGTGATCCTTTTGCCTGTGCCTCCCAAAGTGCTGGGATTTCAGGCCAAAACCAGATTTTTAAAATTTAAAGAAAGAGAAGAATCTACAGTGAAAAGAAAACTTTACAAATGTCCTAAATACACAGTGCTAATCATTACAACACCAAGTTTTTCATTTTCTCTTTTTACTTTTTTTGAGACAGGGTCTCACTCTGTCACACAGGCTCAAGTGCAGCGGCAGAATCTTGGCTCACTGCAACCTCAACCTCCCGAACTCAGGTGATCCTCCTCCCTCAGCCTCCAGAGTAGCTAGGACTACAGGCACATTCCACCATGCCTGACTAATTTTTGATAGTTTCTGTAAAGACAGGGTCCCACTATGTTGCCCAGGCTGGTGTCGAATTCCTGGGCTCAAGCAATCCATCCACCTCGGCCTCCCAAAGTGCTGGGATTATAGGTATGAGCCACTGTGCCTGGCCTATTTTCTCTTTTAACTATTTTTAAGATAAGTCAGATGTCATAGGTAGGGAGAAAGGATAAAACAAGGACCAACAAAGTGAATTTAAATAGACGTGGGGAATATCTTAACACCAGTATTAATTCAAAATGAGGTTAACCGCAATGAGAATACAGAAAAAATAGTGCATCAAAATGTAGGGCACAGGTTCTATTATTATTTTTTCAGAGATGCAGTCACACTGTTACCCAGGCTGGAATGCGGTGGTGCAATCTTAGCTCACTGCAGCCTTGAACTCCTGGTTCAAGCAATCCTCTCGCCTCAGCATCCCCGGCAACTGGGACTACAGTCGCATGCCACCATGCCTGGATAGGGCATAGGTTCTAAAAGGTGGGATAATTTCCTGAAACCGTATGCAAAATGGAAGATAAATCCATAGCTGTCATCCGATTTTCAAAAGGATTATATATAGGCCCTAGAAAGGTTAAGAACAACTGTTCTGGCCAGGCATGGTGGCTCACACCTGTAATCCCAGCACTCTGGGAGGTTGAGGCGGGCAGATCACCTGAGGACAGGAGTTTGAGACTAGCCTGGCCAACACGGTGAAACCCCATCTCTATTAAAACACAAAAGTTAGCTGGGCATGGTGGTGCACACCTGTAGTACCAGCTACTCAGGAGGCTGAGGCAGGAGAACAGCCTGAACTAGGGAGGCAGAGGTTGCGGTGAGCTGAGATGGCGCCACTGCACTACAGCCTGGGTGACAGAGCAAGACTCTGTCTCAAACAAACAAACAAACAAACAAACAAACAAAACTGTTCTGGTAATAGAAAAAAAATTATCATGTAAATAGGAACAAGACGCTATGAAAAAGTATTAGTACTTTAAATTCTAATAATCTGAATTGGCATGTTAATAAATTAAGATCGGCATGTTCTGCATTTGACATTTTAAATCAGTGATTCAAGTATAAGTATCATGACATCACTTTCATCCACCTGAACCACGGCCTTAGATTTGCTGTTTCACTCTGCTGGTACCAACTCCCACAACCCTGGGAAGTATTGACAGTTGCCACAGCAGAAGTGCTGAGAGCCAAAATCGCAGAATGTCCATTTTTTCTTATAATTTTTCTGGGTGTCCTGTATTCTGGCAGCATACAACAGTCCAGCACCAAGTAGGTAAGATGACATCCAATACCCACACTTCTCTTTTCTACACCTGACAGTCCATGTGATGAGTTAGAAACAAGACAATTTCAGCTAGGTACTGCGGCTCATGCCTGTAATCCCAGCACTTTGGGAGGCCAAGGTGGGTGAATTGCTTGAGGTCAGGAGTTTGAGACCAGCCTGGCAAACATGGCGAAACCCCATCTCTACTCAAAATACAAAAATTAGCCAGGTGTGATGGCCCATGCCTGTAATCCCAGCTTCTTCTGAGGCTGAGGCACTTGTTTGAACCCAGGAGGTAGAGGTTGCAGTGAGCCGAGATTGTGTCACTGCACTCCAGCCTGGGTGACAGAGCAAGATTCTACCAAAAAAAAAAAAAAAAAAAAAAAACAGAAACAAGACAATTTAATAGGTAATGAAGATTTTGACTGCTAGGAAAAATTGATAGGAAGATAATTTACATTGCAGTAGAGTAGTTGCTTCACACTACCAGGTACTTATTCAAATTTTGTGGAATCACTGTGAATGTGATTATATCTTTTATAAATATATAACAGTTCTTTTCTAAATCACTTATACTTGAGACTTTAATTTCAATGAAGTGTATTTCATTAAATATTTATTAATGCTCCCCTTTGTGGACATTTGAGAAGCTATCCTTGAATATTTTTATATGTGCATTCTGCACTCAATGTGAATTATTAGAATCAACATTCTGCAAGTAATTCTGTAATCTGCAAAGTACAAAGGTATTAATCTCTGATTTAATCTCCCTCACACACATAAATAGCTAAACACGTGTCATTTGAAGATCTTTTCCAATTATACATATTGAAGCACTTTATCCTTCACTTTTACCTCATTCAATATGATTGTCAAAGGTCCCATACCACAATCACAATAGATACTTATCACTATGTATTTATATCACAAATAACTAAATGAAATGAAACCAAAATGACCACAGGCTATCTACTAAATAAAATTTAGGCCAGGCACAGTGGCTCATATTTGTAATCCCAGCAATTTGGGAGGCCACGGTGAGCTGACTGCTTGAGCCCAGCAATTTGAGGGCAGCCTGGGCAACAAGACAAAACCCTGCTTCTATGAAAAATATAAAAAATTTGGTAGTACATGGTGACGCACACCTGTAGTCCCAGCTACCCAGGAGGCTGAAGTGGGTGGATCACCTGAGCCCAGGATATCAAGGCTACAGCGAGCGTGACTGCACCACTGTACTCCGGCCTGTGTGACAAAGTGAGGCCCTGTCTCAAAAAATTAAATTAAAAAAATTAAGGGCTAAGTTTTCTGAAACCACCTTTAAGGATAAAAATATGTTCTTTTTTGGCTGGGTGCGGTGGCTCACGCCTGTAATCCCAGCACTTTGGGAGACTGAGGCGGGCAGATCACAAGGTGAAGAGATCGAAACCATCCTGGCCAAAATGGTGAAACCCTGTCTCTACTAAAAATACAAAAATTAGTGGGGCATGGTGGCACGCGCCTGTAGTCCCAGCTACTCAGCAGGCTGAGGCAGGAGAATCACTTGAACCCAAGAGGTGGAGGTTACAGTGAGCCGAGACCCTGCCATTGCACTCCAGCCTGGGCAACAGAGCTAGACTCCATCTCAAAAAATAAATATATATATATATATATATTCTTTTTTAAAAACTACAATCAGTTTCATATGACTAAAACAGTCATGTTATAATATACTATTAACATAATTTATTGACCACAAGCTATCATTAAAACACAAAAGAGGGGCTGGGCGCAGCAGCTCACGCCTGTAATCCCAGCACTTAGGGAAGACGACACGGGTGGATCAGGGGGTTAGGAGTTTGAGACCAGCCTGACCAACATGGCAAAACCCCATCTCTACTAAAAATACAAAAATTAGCTGGGTGTGGTGGCACGTGTGCCTATAATCCCAGCTACTCAGGAGGCTGAGGCAGAAGAATCGCTTGAACACGGGAGGCGGAGGTTACAGTGAGCTGAGATTGTACCACTGCACTCCAGCCTGGGCAACAAGAGCGAAACTCCATCTCAATAAAAAAAAAAAGTGAGTCATCTTTCTGAAATAATGAATAAAATTCAAAACCTGGCAGAACATGTTGGTGCACACAGGAGCCTAAGGCAGGAGGACTGCTTCCATCCAAGAGTTCAAATCCAGCCTAGGCAACATAGCAAGACCCCACTATAAAAAAGAAATTTTTAAAGACTTTAAAATTCAAAATTTCAAACTGACCCAAGAAATGTTTTTGTATTTTTTTTTTTTTTTTAAGACGGAGTTTTGCTCAATCCTCCTGACTCAGCCTCCTGAGGGACTACTGGCATGTGCCACCACATTGGTCTCAAACTCCTGGAATCAAGCGACCCTCTCAAAGCGCTAGGATTACAAGAGTAAGTCACCAAGAGCCGGGCGCGGTGGCTCACACCTGTAATCCCAGCACTTTGGGAGGCCGAGGCGGGTGGATCACAAGGTCAGGAGATCAAGACCATCCTGGCTAACACAGTGAAACCCTGACTCTACTAAAAATACAAAAAATTAGCCGGGCGTGGTGGCAGGCGCCTGTAGTCCCAGCTACTCGGGAGGCTGAGGCAGGAGAATGGCATGAACCCAGGAGGCGGAGCTTGCAGTGAGCCGAGATAGCGCCACTGCACTCCAGCATGGGCGACAGAGCAAGACTCTGTCTCAAAAAAAAAAAAACCAAAAAAACCCAAAAAAACAAAAAAGAGTAAGTCACCACGCCTGGCTACAAAATAATACTTTAAATATAACCTATTACAAGTGTTATGATCTTATATAACTGTATTGTCCAATTCACTACCCACCAAATACATGTGGTTATTTCATTTAAATTAATAACAATTAACATAAAATTACAAATTCAGTTCCTCAGTCACACTAAGTATATTTCAGGGGCTTAATAGTCACACATAGTGGGTATCATATTATACAAAGCAGATGTAGCACATGCTTATTACCATAGAAAGTTCTACTTATTGGACAGGGCTTTTTTTTTTTTTTCTGGGACGGAGTCCAGCTCTATCGCCCAGGTTGGAGTGCAATGGCACGATCTCGGCTCACTGCAACCTGTCTCTGGGTTCAAGTGATTCTCCTGCCTCAGCCTCCCAAGTAGCTGAGATTACAGACGCCCACCACCACACCCAGCTTATTTTTGTATTTTTAGTAGAGGCAGGGTTTCACCAGGTTAGGTGGGTGGGTCTCAAACTCCTGACCTCAGGTGATCCACCTGTCTGGTCTCTCAAAGTGCTGGGATTACAGGCGAGAGCCACTCGCGCCCAGCCTGGACAGTGCTATTCTATAAGGAAAAGGAAAAGCCTTATTGTTATATGAGGTTCTTATACTCTCTATAATGTCCTAACAGATGACAGCTCTTCCGCTCTCAGACAGAAGTCCTTTGGAAGTGAGGACTAGTGCTCCTGGCAATAGCCTCTTCTTACTACAATTCAAATAACTGTTGGCCAATCCCCTTAGGCAGTTGAAGACACCATTCATAGGCTGAGTGATCCCTTGAAGGCAGAAATTTGAGACCAGCCTAGGCAACAAAGTGAGACCCTGTCTCAAAAAACAAACAAACAAAAACAACGGAAAAAAAAACCTCCAGGATTATTTTTGGATGTCTTTTTCCCTTAGCTAAAAAGATTAAAAAAAAAAAATCAAAAAATGAAATGGATGTTTAAAAAAATATATGAAATGGGTGACAATAGGTCTGAATCTGGTAAATCCACCTCCATATTTTAATAGTTTAAATACAGATACACATGTAAATATTTTTCATCAAATATACTGAAGGTACCTCTATAATCAATAATTGATCTAAGGCCGGGCACAGTGGCTCACACCTGTAATCCCAGCATTTTGGGAGGCCAAGGCGGATGGATTACCTGAGGTCAGAAGTTCAAGAGCAGCCTGGACAACATGGTGAAACCGTGTCTCTACTAAATATACAAAAATTAGCCGGGTATGGTAGCAAGCCTATAGCCCCAGATATTCAGGAGGCTGAGGCAGGAGAATTGCTTGAACCCTGGAGGCAGAAGTTACAGTGAGCTGAGATCATGCCACTGAACTCCAGCCTAGGCAGAGTGAGACAGACTCCAGCCTGAGCAGACAGAGCGAGACTCCATGTTCAAAAAAATAAAATAAGATAATTGATATAAGGGCTACTTAAAGATTTGATTGACTGGTCACTGACTGGTGAGTCATTGGCCATTTCTCTCAACGTCTCTTTACACAACAGAAATTTTCAAAACTAAAAGCTCTGGTCCCTAGAATGGCTGTCACTGAAGACGTATCAAAGCACTTCAGGTAGGATATGGAAAAATACGGTAAATATTAAGAATATATTTCAAGGGGTGAGAAAAATGAAAAACAGGGCCACAAAAATAAGACCTTGAATACCATCCTAGAATCTGAACTGTATTCTAAAACTCTTTGAAGATACTTTTGCAGACGAATGAGAAAATGAAGAAATAGAAGATAAAATGAACCACAATTCTGAGGTCCTAACACTGACTCTGCTATGACCTCCTGTGAGACGTAAACAAATTTTTTTCACCGTCCTTGGCCTCAATTTCCTCATCTCTTAGAGAATTAAGTTGGGATAGAATCTAGCTTAGCTTTGGGAGGCCACGATGGGCGGATTGTCTGAGCTCAGGAATTCAAGACCAGCCTGGGCAAGATGGCAAAACCCCATGTTTACTAAAAATAAAACCCACAAAATTAGCCGGGAGTGGTGGCACGCGCCTGTAGTCCCAGCTACAGTCCCAAAGGCTGAGGCACAAGAATCACTTGAACCCGGGAGGCAGAGATTGCAGTGAGCCCAGATCGTGCCACTGCACTCCAGCCTGGGTGACAGAGCAAGACTCTGTCAAAAAAAAAAAAACAAAAAAAAAAATCTAGTTTAGGCCTGATCCAGCTTTGAAAAAAATTCTGTGAATTTATTTTTTTATTTTTATTTTTTTTTGAGAGGAAGTCTTGCTCATCACCCAGGCTGGAGTGCAGTGGCACGATCTGGGCTCACTGCAACCTCTGCCTCCAGGTTCAAGTGATTCTCCTGCCTCAGCCTCCCGAATAGCTGGGATTACAGATGCACACCACTATGTCCGGCTAATTTTTGTATTTTTAGTAGAGACGGGGTTTCACCATGTTGGCCAAGCTGGTCTCGGACTCCTGACCTCGTGATCTGCCTGCCTTGGCCTCCCAAAGTGCTGGGATTACAGGCATGAGTCACCACGCCCAGCCAAAATTCTGTGATTTTGACAGAAACTATGTTTTAGGAATATCAGATCTGATGGATGCACTGGAGCTGGAGGAAAAATAAGGATTATCACACATAGTAACTAAGAGAGAAAAACAAATAAAAGTAAGCAGTTAGAATTTAAAATAATAATACTAAAGATAGAGTATCACCACCAAGCCAGAGATGGGAGGAGAAAAGCTTCCTTAGGGAAGTAAGGATCTATGGTAAGCACTGTGGATTAGGATACAAAGGTTTAAGCATGTCAAGAGCCAGGCGCAGTGGCTCACGCCTGTAATCCCAGCACTTTGGGAGGCCGAGGTGGGCGGATCACAAGGTCAGGAGATCAAGACCATCTTGGCTAACAGGGTGAAACCCAGTCTCTACTAATAATATAAAAAATCAGCCGGGCTTGCTGCCACACGCCTATAGTCCCAGCTACTTGGGAGGCTGAGGCACGAGAATCGCTTGAACCCAGGAGGTGGAGCTTGCAGTGAGCCAAGATCATGCCACTGCACTCCAGCCTGGGCAACAGAGCGAGACTCAATCTCAAAAAAAAAAAATTAAAACCCTGAAGTACCCATTTCTTTTTTTTTTTTTTTTTTTTAGGACAGGGTCTCACTCTGTCACCCAGGCTGGAATATGGCGGAACTATCACAGCTCACTGTAGCCTAGACCTCCCAAGGTTTAAGCGATCTTCACGCCTCAGCCTCCCCAATAGCTGGGACTACAGGCGTGCTCTACCACACCTGGCTAATTTTTGAGTTTCTGCAGATGGGGTTTCGTTATATTGCCCAGGCTGGTCTTGGACTCCTGGATGCAACTGATCCTCCTGCCTCAGCCTCCCAAAGTGCTGGGATTACATACATGAGCCACTGTGCCAGGTCTCCACGTCTTTAAAGAGAAAGGTCACCAAGATAACTAATCATTTCCATCAAATTTTGGAACACTGAAGTTAGAAGATCACAGTGTCTCCGAAATTGACCTCGAATTAAAAAAGATATTTTAAGCAAGTAAAATGCAGCAAAGAGTAAGAGATATAAAATAAATAAAAATATATTCAAATTAAAAGACAATCAAAATCTCATTCTGTAGAATTCTTGGGAAACTTATTTGAAATCCCTAAACACAACTGGTTTCATTCAAGTAAAAAATTCTGAATCTACAGGAGTTAAAGCTTTTGAGATTCAACAAATAAGTCAAAAAATGACCAAAAAAAAAAATTCTTCCTAAAAAGATTGGGAAGAATTTAAAGCTTCAATAACATTTTCTATTTACTTTGAAAATGACGTTTTGTTGACTTTATTTTTATTTATTTTTTTTGAGCTGGAGTCTCACTCTGCTGCTCAGGCTGGAGTACAGTGGTGCCATCTCGGCTCACTGCAACCTCTGCCACGCCCGTCTAATTTTTGTATTTTTAGTAGAGAGGAGGTTTCACTGTGTTGGTCAAGCTGGTCTCGAACTCCCGACCTCAGTGATATGCCCACCTCCGCCTCCCAAAGTGCTGCACCGGGCCTTGTTGACTTTATTTTGAAAATGTAAATGTTCTTTTACTGCTTTTACAACTATTTTTTTTTTTTGAGACGGAGTTTCTCTCGTTGCCCAGGCTAGAGCGCAATGGCGCAATCTGAGCATCTGAGCTCACCGCAACCTCCGCCGGGTTCAAGAGATTTTCCTGCTTCAGCATCCCAAGTAGTTGGGATTACAGACACGTGCCACCACGCCAGGCTACCTTTGTATTTTTAGTAGAGACGGGGTTTCTCCATGTTTGTCAGGCTGGTCTTGAACTCCCAACCTCAGGTGATCTGCCCGCCTTGGCCTCCCAAAGTGCTGGGATTACAGGAGTGAGCCACTGCATCCAGCAGCTTTTACAACTATCTTTTTCCTTTGTCTAGTAACTAAATTCTTTAGAGTTGGTTTTCTTTCTTTTTCTTTACCTTTTTTGAGACCAGGTCTCACTCAGACTGTAGTGCAATGGCACCATCATGGCTCACTGCAACCTTGACCTCCCTGGCTCAAGCAATCCTTCTACCTCAACCTCCCTGAATAGCTAGAACCACAGGTACATAACACCAGGTCCAGGTGATTTTTTTTTTTGAATGTAGTTTTTCAACTTTAAATTCAAACAACTGGCTAGTCCTGGTGGTTCACACCTGTAATCCCAGCACTTTAGGAGGCCAAGATGGGAGGATCGCGTGAGCCCAAAAGTTCAAGATCCACCTGGGTAACAAAGTGAGACCTCCGACTCAATTTTTTTGGGGAGAGTCTCCCTTTATCACCCAGACTGGAGTGTAGCGTTGCGATATCAGCTCACTCAACCTCTGCCTCCCCGGTTCAAGTACTTCTCCTGCCTCAGCCTCATGAGTAGCTGGGATTACAGGCTTGCACAAACACGCCAAGCTAACTTTTATATTTTTTAGGTAGACATAGGATTTCACCATGTCAGCCAGGCTGGTCTCCGAACTCCTGACCTCAGGTGATCTGCCCACCTTGGCCTCCCAAAATGCTGGGATTACAGGCATGAGACACCTCACCTAGCCTAAATACATTTTTTTTTTTTCTGAGACAGAGTTTTGCTCTTGTTGCCCAGGCTGGAGTGCGGTGGTGTGATCTCGGCTCACTGTAACCTCTGCCTCCCACGTTCAAGCGATTCTCCAGCTTCAGCCTCCCAAGTAGTTAGGATTACAGGCATGCACCACCATGCCCAGCCAGTTTTGTATTTTTAGTAGAGACAGGGTTTCTCCATGTTGGTCAGGCTGGTCTTGAACTCCTGACTTCAGGTGATCCACCCACCTCAGCCTCCCAAAGTGCTGGGATTACAGGCACAAGCCACCGCGCCCAGCCTAAATTTACCTTTTTTTTTTTTTCTTTTTGAGATGGAGTCCTGCTCTGTCACCCAGGCTGAAGTGCAGTGGCGCGATCTCAGCTCGCTGCAAGCTTCACCTCCTGGGTTCACGCCATTCTCCTGCCTCAGCATCCCGAGTAACTGGGACTACAGGTGCCTGCCACCATGCCCGACTAATTTTTTGTATTTTTAGTAGAGACGGGGTTACACCATGTAAGCCAGGATGGTCTCGATTTCCTGACCTTGTGATCTGCCCGCCTTGGCCTCCCAAAGTGCTGGGATTACAGGCATGAGTCACCGCGCCCGGCCCATTTACTTTTAAACATAACTCATTAATACTGACAACTTAACATGCCAAATACAGTATATTGTAATGAATGAGTAGCTAAACTCTAACAGAATTAAATCAATTAAAAGTTAATCTAAGGTATTAAAAAACTACAAAACTGCCGGGTGCGGTGGCTTACGCCTGTAATCCCAGCACTTCGGGAGGCCGAGGCGGGCATATCGCAAGGTCAGGAGATCGAGACCATCCTGGCTAAGACGGTGAAACCCCGTCTCTACTAAAAATACAAAAAAAAAAAAAATTAGCCGGGCGTGGTGGCGGGTGCCTGTAGTCCCAGCTACTCAGGAGGCTGAGGCAGGAGAATGGCGTGAACCCGGGAGGCGGAGCTTGCAGTGAGCTGAGATTGCGTCACTGCACTCCAGCCTGGGCGACAGAGCAAGACTCAAAAAAATAAATAAATAAAAATAAAAATAAATAAAAAAATAAATGTTTGGGGAAAAAAAAAACTACAAAACTGTCCAAACTACTATGTAAAACAGCTTGTTAGTTGATCTATGGATTTTTAAAGGAGCTTCACAGAGAAAGTTAATGAATTCACAATTTGCAAACACTTTACAATATCAGAATATCAGAACAGCCTAATTCATGTTGTTTTGTTTTGTTTTTTTGAGACGGAGTATCTCTCTGTCGCCCAGGCTGGAGTGCAGTGGCGCGATCTCAGCTAACTGCAACCTCCACCTCCCGGGTTCAAGGGATTCTCCTGCCTCAGCCTCCTGAGTAGCTAGGATTATGGGCGCGTGCCACCAGGCCCGGCTAATTTTAGTATTTTTAGTAGAGACGGGGTTTCACCATGTTGGCCAGGCTGGTTACGAACTCCTGACCTCGTGATCCACCTCCTCCGCTTCCCAAAGTGCTAGGATAACAGGCGTGAGCCACCACCCCCGGCCCTAATTCACGTAGTTTTAACAAGTCCCCCACAAACAATTACAGTACATGTATTTAGAAGCCTGACCTGGCTGTGATACTGCAGTGGCTGTAAACTGAGTAGCCCATGGCGGATTCTTCTGTCCTCCAAATTGAGCCATGATGCAAAAGGAAAAAAAACCTTCCCTTGTTTGTCTTCTATAGCATCGATCTATCAAGAAAAGGATCCACATTTTAAAGTCCAACCAAGCTACAGATATCACAAAAGGATATTACAATAGAAAGAAATGTTTAATGTGTCGAGGACGTCTTCGCAGATTTCAGCAGAAATAACAACTGTTAAGTAGAAAAAGGGCAAATGAACATCCAAAATGCAGCAAAAACATTTTACATCAAGTAGATCACCAAAAATGCCCTATTTTACAAGATAACATTAGAGGGAGACTCAGAAAAAGCACTCCTTTCTGGGACTACAAGTTGTCACATTTAAACGAAGACCATCTGCTGTATCCACCCAATTGTTAACAAAAAGTTCACAACTTTATATTCACAGGAAATACAGCCTGCGTGTTTCTTCTGGCAATGGGTTGGGGAGTGAGGCCAGGGTAATGTTAAAACCAATAACGGATACTGGGACAAGACCCCCATCACAGGTATTTAAAGATATCATTTAAATAACGAACATCTCTACTTTCCAAAGTAGAAAAGGAACCTAGGGGGCTTCTTTTCCAACCCCGACCTCGAAGGAAAAGGCCGTTGAGATAATGGATGTCCCTTAAAGAACCACTGGGAAAACCCCTCCCCCCAAGATAAACCAGAAAAGGCGAAGATTCTCCGCCCGTGCACCCCCTCCTCGGCCGCCACGACCCTCAAGGGCCAGAGCTCGGCCGTCCATCTTCCTCCAGTCCCAGCTCCGTGCCGGCCGCCGGCGACGGAAGGCGGAACCCACCGCCCCACGACACTCGATGGCTCCCGAGAGCCCTGGGCTCGTTTACCACGCACGGAGAAAGCCTCTATTCCCCAAGACCCACGCCGCCGGGAGCCGCCACGATGTCCCGGGCCGGGGGGCCAGGAGGGTAAAACCGCAGCGGCTCGGGAGCAATGGGGCGGCGGACTGCAGCGTCGCCATGCCGAGGCTGAGGGGCGCTGGGGGCACCTGAGGAGCCGAGCGGTGGGGGTGGGGCTGGCCGCGCCGGGCCTGCTCCGACCCGCACAAAAGGGACCGCGTCCCTCCCGTCCCAGTCCCACAAGAGCCCCACCGTCGCCGCCCGGGGCCGCCGGGCTACCCAAAAGATCGCTCCCGGCCCTTCCACAGATTCGACAAGATGTTAAGAGACCCGGCTTGGCCGCCCACTGCTCCAACTACGGGGACCAGACCTTCACCTGAGTCGGGTCCCGGCTAACATCGAAGCCATTTCAAACCCGTCAGCTTTAGGCGCATGCGCCAACTTCCCCCTCTTCCTCCACGCCGCCCCCCTCCTCCACATCTCCCGGAGGAACGGCGCTTACTGGCTGACGTTCTGCGTGCGCGCTCCCCTGACCGCTCAATACGCCTGGCCCTTTCGCTACGAAAGGGGAAATAGAGCGCGCCTAAGGGTTGCCTTGGCCTCGCTTAACAATGAGCGGGGCTATATGTCTTGCGCTTGCTCTGAAGGAAGGGCTTTCCTTTGGGTGGGAAGGAAAGAAATGGCGGTCACGTGATCCGATCCAGCCCGCCGCCATTTTATGTTTAACCTTTTTTTTTTAACCTCGTTCCATTATTTGAGAGAAAGGATATGCCCCGTAACATTCTTTTTTTAAATTATTATTATACTTTAAGTTATAGGGTACATGTGCACAACGTGCAGGTTTGTTACATATGTATACATGTGCCATGTTGGTGTGCTGCACCCGTTAAGTCGTCATTTACATGACGTATCTCTCCTAATGCTATCCCTCCCCCCTCCCCCCACCCCACGACAGGCCCCGGTGTGTGATGTTCCCCACCCTGTGTCCAAGTGTTCTCATTGTTCACTTCCCACCTATGAGAGAACATGCGGTGTTTGGTTTTCTGTCCTTGCGATACTTTACTCAGAATGATGGTTTCGCCGGGCGCGGTGGCTCACGCCTGTAATCCCAGCACTTTGGGAGGCCGAGGCGGGCGGATCACGAGGTCAGGAGATCGAGACCATACTGGCTAACATGGTGAAACCCCATCTCTACTAAAAATACAAAAAAATTAGCCGGGTGTGGTGGCAGGCGCCTGTAGTCCCAGCTACTCAGGAGGCTGAGGCGGGAGAATGGCGTGAACCCGGGAAGTGGAGCTTGCAGTGAGCCGAGATCGCGCCACTGCACTCCAGCCCTGGCAATAGAGTGAGACTCCGACTCAAAAAAAAAAAAAAAAATGGTTTCTAGCTTCATCCATGTCCTCCCTACAAAGGACAAGAACTCAACCTTTTTTATGGCTGCATGGTATTCCATGGTGTATATGTGCCACATTTTCTTAATCCAGTCTATCACTGATGGACATTTGGGTTAGTTCCAAGACTTTGCTATTGTGGATAGTGCCACTATAAACATACGTGTGCATGTGTCTTTATAGCAGCATGATTTATAATCCTTTGGGTATATGCCCAGTAATGGGATGGCTGGGTCAAATGGTATTTCTAGTTCTAGATCCTTGAGGAATCGCCACACTGTCTTCCACAATAGTTGAACTAGTTATACCCTGTAACATTCTTAACTCGTCTTAAAAATTGACATAAAATTTACTTAACATACAATTCACTATTTAAAATATCTTAAAGCACAATTCAGGCTGGGCACGGTGGCTCACGCCTGTAATCCCAGCCCTTTGGGAGGCCGAGGCAGGTGGATCACCTGAGGTCAGGAGTTCAAGACCAGTCTGGCCAACAAAGTGAAACCCCACCTCTACTAAAAATACAAAAATTAGCCAGGCGTGGTGGCGCATGCCTATAATCCCGCTACTCAGGGGGCTGAGGCAGGAGAATTGCTTGAACCCAGGAGGCGGAGGTTGCAGTGAGCTGAGATAACGCCATTGCACTCCAGCCTGGGCAACAAAAGCAACATTCCATCTCAAAAAAAAAGTACAATTCAGTGGCTTTTAGTATAGTCATAAGGTTGTGCAACCATCCCTACCACTACTTCAAGAACCTTTATATCACCAGAAAAAGAAACCCATACCTGTTAAGCAACAGCCCCCTAATCCCTGCTCTTCCCAGTCTCAGTCAACCACTAACATTTCTGTGTCTTAGACATTTCCTATAAATAGGATCATACAATATGTGGCCTTTTATGTGTTGGTTTTCTTTGTTTTAGCACATTGATTTCAGGGTTCATCCATGTTGTGGCATGTATCAGAACTCATTCCATTTTATGGCTAACATTGCGCTTTCTTTCTTTCTCTTTCTTTCTTTCTTCTCTTTTTTTTTCTTTCCTTTCTTTCTTCTTTCTCTTTTTGAGGCGGAGTCTCGCTCTGTCCCCCAGGCTGGAGTGCAGTGGCGCAATCTCGGCTCACTGCAAGCTCCGCCTCCCGGGTTCACGCCGTTCTCCTGCCTCAGCCTCCGGAGTAGCTGTGGCTACAGGCGCCCGCCGCCACGCCCGGCTAATTTTTTGTACTTTTAGTAGAGACGGGGTTTCACCATGTTAGCCAGGATGGTCTCGATCTCCTGACCTCGTGATCCACCCGCCTCGGCCTCCCAAAGTATTGGGATTAAAGACGTGAGCCACCGCGCCCGGCCACATTGCGCATTCTTTAATATTTTTTCCAAATTTAAGGAATCTTTCTATTTTCTCTTAAGCTATCTATAGCTTACAGCAATTTGGTAAAATATACCATTGTGAACAAAGATAAAACTTATTTTTTTCTCCCTATCTGATCCCTCCAGAATTCAGAAACTATTAGTATTCTTATTTTCATGACAGTATAGTAATACGCATAAATTCAATATGAATTTGATAACCTTGTAGCACTACACAATTAGAGACATTGGTTTTATTGCCAAGACTTTAACCCATATGTCATATTTTCAAATATGATCAGACAACTTAAAAAAAATAAGCTTCACTTTATGGAGCCAATAAGGTCTGGCTTTTAAGTGAGTAAGGGATGTCACTTTCTGGCAGGCTCAGAAACCTTAAGATGCTTTGGGGCTTAAGATACTTTAGCCTCTTAAGAGGAATTCACCCAAATCCATAGGTATTGCAAGCAAAATCTGATGGCAGGTCCTTGGCTGGGCTTCATACCCTTAAAGGGCTTTTTTATTTTATTTATTTATTCATTTATTTTTTGAGACGGAGTCTCACTCTGTCTCCCAGGCTGGAGTGCAGTGGCGCGACCTCGGCTCACTGCAAGCTCCGCCCCCCGGGTTCACGCCATTCTCGGGCCTCAGCCTCTCAAGTAGCTAGAACTACAGGCACCCGCCACTGCGCCCGCCACCATGCCTGGCTAATTAGTTTTTGTACTTTTAGTAGAGACAGAGTTTCTCTACTAAAAGAAAAACCAGTGTTTTTAGTGTTAGCCAGAGTGGTCTCGATCTCCTAACCTCGTGATCCGCCCGCCTCGGCCTCCCAAAGTGCTGGGATTACAGGCGTGAGCCACCGCGCTTGGCCAAAGGGCTTTTAAAAGTCCAATTTGAGAGATATGTTCCTTCGTTTATTCCTTTCCCTATGAACCCACTGAGGAAGAATCCTGAAAGTCTCTCTTCTGGACAAGCACAGTGGCTCACACCTGTAATCCCAACACTTTGAGAGGCTGACGTGGGAGGATTGCTTGAAGCCGAAAGTTCAACACCAGCCTAGGCAACATAGCAAGACCCTTGTCTCTATTTTTAAAAATTAAAATTAAACTCTCTCTTTTCATTGTCATTGTGAGCCTGAACACCTATGGAAGCTCTTCAGCAGAGGACTGGGCTTTGAAACAACTGATAAAATTAGCTGGGTGTGATGGCATGACCTGTAATCCCAGCTACTCCAGAGGCTGAGGCAGGAGAATCACTTGAACCCAAGAGGCGGAGGTTGCAGTGAGCCAAGATCGCACCCTTGCACTCCAGCCTGGGCGACAGAGCAAGACTCCTTCTAAGAAAAGGGGGAGGAGAGGGGAGAGAAGGGGAGGGGAGGGGAGAGGAGGGGAGGGGAGGGGGAAGGGGAGGGGGAACTGGTGAGAGAGCCTGAGGAGCCATTTTAAACAATGGGGAGCACTCAGATTGTGTAGTAATGAGAGATCCAAACACCAAACAGTCCAGGGGCTTTCAGTTTGTCATGTATGCCACTGTGAAGACGGTGGATACAACATGAATGCAAGGTCACACAAGGAGGATGGAAGAATTGTGGAGCCGAAGAAAGCTGTCCTAAGATTCTCAGATTCTTAAGATTCTGGCCAGGGGTGGTGGCTCACGCCTGTAACCCCAGCACTTTGGAAAGCCAAGGTGGGCATATCGTCTAAAGTCAGGAGTTCGAGACCAGCCTGGCCAACGTGGCAAAACCCCGTCTCTACTAAAAAAAAACAAAAAATTAGCCGGGTGTGGTAGTGGGCACATGTAATCCCAGCTACTTGGGAGGCTGAGGCAAGGGAATCGCTTAAACCTGGGAGGCAGAGGTTGCAGTGAAGCGAGATCACACCATTGCACTTCAGCCTGGGTAACAGAGTGAGACTCTCAAAAAAATAATAATAAAAATAAAAAGCCTAAGATCAAAATCAATCACTATTCTTGCTATACTTATGTAAATAATGAGGTCAAGTTTAATGACTAGACTTACTTTGCAAACAAGTCAGCCTTTGATCATCTTTAATAAAAATAACGGTGATTTTAGAGACAATATAGTTTCAATGGAAAACTATAGAACATCCTCGTGATTATCAAGTTCTAGTCTTGGCCAGGCACAGTGGCTCATGCCTGTAATCGCAGCACTTTGGGAAGCCGAGGTGGGCGGATCACCTGAGGTCGGGAGTTCAAGACCAGCCTGACCAACATGGTGAAACCCTGTCTGTACTAAAAATACAAAATTAGCTGGGCGTGGTGGCAGGTGCCTGTAATCCCAGCTACTCGGGAGGCTGAGGCAGGAGAATTGCTTGAACCCAGGAGGCAGAGGTTGCAGTGAGCTGAGATCGTGCTGTTGCACTCCAGCCTGGGCAACAATAGCGAAACTCCGTCTCATAAAAAAAAAAAAAATTCTAGTCTTGTTCATCGTCTTAGAGGTCTATCTGCGGACTGACCTGGATCCTAAATTCTTCTAGTTTCCTTCAGTATCTGGCTATGACTCTCCAAACTATTATTTCCAATTTTTTTTTCCACCCTTATGGCTTAGAGTCACAAAATATTAAAACTGCTCATTTTCCCAGCGCCTTGCTAGCCGAAGCTGGAAAATGTGATATAAACTTAAAAGAAATCAACTTTGTGCATGCTACTGGGTGGACCAATCAGAAACTTCATCAGAAACACCAAATGTCATTACCAGAGACATTCAAACCATAAACCAGGAAATCCATTGGGTTGCTATCCTCAAGCCCAACATCTAAAAATCTTATTGACTCACTGCCCTCTAGATTCAGAAACTGGGTTTCTATTAATCGTTATTTTTCTTTATTTTCATAGAAATTCCCCCTTGTTAAATTCTTGACCGCTAACAATCCGGTGAATATTCTCTGCTACCAAGGCCCAACAGATGATTCAGCTGGTCCTTAAAGAATAAAAGGTGATTGAATGAAAAAACAGACTTAAATTGTGCAAAGGAAAGAAAAGAGAAGAGACTAGCCTGGGCAACATGGCAAGACCCCATCTCTACAAAAAAAAAACAAAAACAAAAATTAGCCAGGTGTGGTGGCATGCACCCTGTAGTACCAGCTATTCTGGAGGCTGAGGTAGGAGGATCACTTGAGCCTGAGAGACGGAGGTTGCAGTGAGCCTAGATGGCGTCACTGCACTCTGGTCTGGGTGACAGAGTGACACCCTGTCTCAAAAAAAAAAAGGAAAAAGGAAGGAAAGAAAAAAGAAAGGGAGGGAGGGAAAGAAAGAGAGAGGAAAGAAGGAAGGAAGGGAGAGAGGGAGGGAGTAGGGAAGGAAGGAAGGTTAGTTGATTGGGAGGCCAAGGCAGGTGGATCACCTGAGGTCAGGAGTTCGAGACCAGCCTGGCCAACATGGTGAAATCCCGTCTCTACTAAAAATGCAAAAATAAGCCAGGCATGGTGGCATGCACCTGTAGTCCCAGCTGCTCCAGAGGCTGAGGCAGGAGAATCCTTTGAACCCGGGAAGTGGAGGTTGCAGTGTGCTGAGATTGTGCCACTGCACTCCAGCCTGGGTGACAGAGCGAGACTCTGTCTCAAAAAAAAAAAAAAAAAAAAAAAAGCAAGATAAGAGACTGACAGACATTCTCTGCTTGACCAAACTTTAGTCAGGCTCCTCACCTTGACCTAGGCCCACCTGTGCACTTAAAACCCACTTTTACTTGTATTTACCGTTTTTTGAAAGATAGGGTCTTCGCATGGTGCCCAGGCTGGTATGCAGTGGCTATTCACAGGTGCAATCATAGCACACTGTAGTCTCAAACTCCTGGCCTCAGGCATTCCTCTGGACTTAGCCTCCTGAGTAGCTGGGACTAAAAGTGTGCACCACTGTACCCAGCTAAAATCTAGTTTTAGCAAAGAACCCTGTTAAGTAAGTTTGTCAAGAGCTCCCCCAACCCTTTTTTTTTTTTTTTTGAGACATAGTGTCACTCTGTAGCCCAGGCCGGAGTGCAGTGGCGTGATCTCAGCTCACTGCAACCTCTGCCTCCTGGTTTCAAGCAATTCTCATGTCTCAGCTTCCCGAGTAGCTGGAATTATAGGCACACACCACCATTCCCAGCTAATTTTTGTATTTTTAGCAGAGACAGGGTTTCACCATGTTGGCCAGGCTGGTCTCGAACTCCTGACCTCAAGTGATCTGCCCGGCTCAGCCTCCCAAAGTGCTGGGATTACAGGCATGAGACACCGCGCCCAGCCCAAGAACCCCCTACATTTGATATCTAATCACCCTCAATATCTGGTCAAGTTCCTCATCCTCCACCAACCACTAGAGTGATGTCTCATCACCTCCACCTGTCTTCAGCAAGAATCCTGTTGAATGAGTTTAGTCAGAATCCCCGGACTCTGATGTTACCTGTTAGTAATGTTCTTTTCTTTTCTTTTCTTTTTTTTTTTTTTTTTTTTTTTTTTTTTGAGACAGAGTCTCGCTCTGTGGCCCAGGTGGGAGTGCAGTGGCGCAATCTCGGCTCACTGCAAGCTCCGCCTCCCGGGTTCACGCCATTCTCCTGCCTCAGCCTCCCGAGTAGCTGGGACTACAAGCACCCGCCATCACGCCCGGCTAATTTTTTTTGTATTTTTAGTAGAGACGGGGTTTCACCGTGTTAGCCAGGATGGTCTCGATCTTCTGACCTCGTGATCCGCCCGCCTCGGCCTCCCAAAGTGCTGGGATTACAAGCGTGAGCCACCGCGCCCGGCCCTTTTCTTTTCTTTTTTGAGACAAAGTTTCACTCTGTCACCCAGGCAGCAGTGCTCGAGTGCAGTGGCAAGATCACGGCTCATTGCGGCCTTGATCTGCTAGATTCGAGAAATCTGTCCACCTCAGCCTCCCAAGTGGCTAGGACTGCAAGCGTGTGCCACCACGCCTGGCTGATTTTTGCAATAATTTTTTTGTAGAGATGGGGATCTCACTTTGTTGCTTAGGCGGGTCACGAACTCTAGCCTCAAGCAATCCTCCTGCCTCACCCTCCCAAAGTGCTAGGATTACAGATGTGAGCCTGGCCCTTAGTAATTTTCTATCCACTGACCCTAAACTGCTCCTTGGCTATAAATTCCCCCGTGCCCATGTTGTATTCAGAGTTTAGGCCAACTCTGTTCCCCACTGTAAAATCCCACTGTAGTGGTCCCTATACATAATCATAATGGTCCCAAGTAAAGTCTTCCTTATCATGCTTTAACAAATGTCACTGATTTTTCTTCTTTTTCTTTTAATTTTTTTTTTTTTTTTTTTGAGATAGTGTCTCACTCTGTCACCCAGGCTGGAGTGCAGTGGTGTGATCTCGGCTCACTGCAACCTCCACGTCCCGGGTTCAAGCGATTCTCCTGCCTCAGGCTCCTGAGTAGCTGGGACTACAGGCGCCCGCCACCACACCCGGCTAATTTTTGTATTTTTAGTAGAGATGGGGTTTCACCATATTGGCCAGGCTGGTCTCAAACTCCTGACCTCGTGATCTGCCCACCTTGGCCTCTCAAAGTGTTGGGATTACAGGCATGAGCCACTGCGCCCGGCCTCTTTTTTTTTTTTTTTTTTATGTAATATACAGACTTTTTTTTTTTTTTTTTTTGAGATGGAGTATTTGCTCTTGTTGCCCAAGCTGGAGTGCAATGGCGCAATCTTGGCTCATTGCAACCTCCGCCTCCCGGGTTCAAGTGATTCTCTGCCTCAGCCTCACGAGTAGCTGGGATTACAGGCATGCACCACCACGCACGGCTAATTTTGTATTTTTAGTAGAAATATGGGTTCTCCATGTTGGTCAGCCTGGTCTCGAACTCCCAACCTCAGGTGTTCCGCACGTCTCGGCCTCCCAAAGTGCTGGGATTACAGGCATGAGCCACCGCACCCGGCAATATACCGACATTGTAAAAAGGCTTGAGTGATACACATCTCACACATGAAAACTCAACCATCACAATTATGACTACAAACAGATAAAAAAAAACTTTTCTTTAACACAATAGATATACCACATTTTGCTTATCCACTCATTAGTTCATCTATTAAGTTTTTCTACTTTGGGGCTAGTATGAATAATGCTGCTGTGAGTTGAAGGAAACCAGAATATGTCATCACAAAACATGCCTCTTTGACGTAACAATTACTTTGAGCTGAAGGCAATTAATAGCTTGTAGAAAAGATAATACTGCCTAGGCGCTGTGGCTCACACCTGTAATCCCAGCACTTTGGGAGGCTGAGGCAGGCGGATCATGAGGTCAGGAGTTTGAGACCAGCCTGACCAACATGGTGAAAACCCATCTCTACTAAAAATACAAAAATTAGCTGGACTTGGTGACGCACACCTGTAATCCCAGCTACTTAGGAGGCTGAGGCAGGAGAATGGCTTGAGCCCAGGAGGCGGAGGTTGCAGTGAGCTGAGATCACGCCACTGCACTCCAGCCTGGGCAACAGAATGAGACTCCATCTCAAAAAAAAAAAAAGTTAATACTAAAAAAATTACCAAAATAATAATAATATATATATATATATTTTGAGATGGAGTTACACTCCTGTTGCCCAGGCTGGAGTGCAATGGTGTGATCTCAGAACACTGCAATCTTTACCTCCCGGGGTTCAGGTAATTCTCTTGCCTCAGCATCCCAAGTAGCTGGGGTTACAGGTGTGTGCGACCACGCTCGGCTAATTTTTGGTATTTGTAGTAGAGACAGGGTTTCACCATGTTGGCCAGGCTGGTCTCCTACTCTGGTCCTCAGGTTATCCACCCGCTTCAGCCTCCCACAGTGCTGGGATTACAGGTGTAAGCCGCCATGCCTGGCCAATAATAATAATTTTCTTTTTCTTTTTGGGACGGACTCTCGCTGTGTTGCCCAAGCTGGAGTTCAGTGGTACGATCTCAGCTCTCAGCTCACTGCAACCTCCACCTCCCGGGTTCAAGTGATTCTTCTGCCTTAGCTTCCTGAATAGCTGAGACTACAGGCGCGCGCCACGACACCCGGCTAATTTTTTGTATTTTTACTAGAGACGGTTTCACCATGTTGGCCAGGCTGGTCTCAAACTCCCGACCTCGTGATCCACCCACCTCAGCCTCCAAAAGTGCTGGGATTACAGGCATGAGCCACCATCTCGGCAATAATTTTTTTAAAAAAGCCAATTAAGAATACAAAATTAGCCAGGCGTGGTGCATGTCTGTAATCCCAGCTACTCGGGAGGCTGAGGCAGGAGAATTGTTTGAACCCAGGAGGCGGAGGTTGCGGTGAGCCGAGATCGTGCCATTGCACTCCAGCCTGGGCAACTGGGCAACAAGAGCAAAACTCCGTCTCAAAAAAAAAAAAAAAAAAAAAAGGCAATTAAGAAACCGGAAAATTAGCTAGGCGGGGTGGCTCACACCTGTAATCCCAGCACTCTGGGAGGCTGCAGTGGGTGAATCCCTTGAATCCAGGAGTTTGAGACCAGTGTAAGTGACATGGAGAAACCTGTCTCTACAAAAATGCCAGGCTCGGTGGCTCACGCCTGTAGTGCCAACACTTTGGGAAGCCGAGGCAGGTAGATCACCTGAGGTTGGGAGTTCGAGACCAGCCTGACCAACATGGAGATACCCCCATCTCTACTAAAAATACAAAATTAGGGCCGGGTGCAGTGGCTCACGCCTGTAATCCCAGCACTTTGGGAGGCCGAGGCGGACGGATCACGAGGTCAGGAGATTGAGACCATCCTGTCTTAACATGGTGAAACCCCGTCTCTACTAAAAATACAAAAAATTAGCCGGGTGTGGTGGTGGGCGCCTGTAGTCCCAGCTACTCGGGAGGCTGAGGCAGGAGAATGGTGTGAACCTGGGAGGCGGAGCTTGCAGTGAGCCGAGATCGCCCACTGCACTCCAGCCTGGGCGACAGAGCTAGACTCTATCTCAAAAAAAAAAAAGAAAAAAAAAGTACAAAATTAGCCGGGCATGGTGGCGCATGCCTGTAATCCCAACTGCTCAGGAGGCTGAAGCAGGAGAATCGCTTGAACTGGGGAAGTCAGAGGTGAGGTTGCGGTGAGCTGAGATCACACCATTGCACTCTAGCCTGGGCAACAAGAGTGAAACACCATCTCAAAAAAAAAAAAAAAAAAAATCAGCCAAATGTAGTGGCAGGTGCCTTTAGTCCCAGCTACTTGGGAGGCTGAGGCCATGACATGGCTTGAGCCCAGGAGGCAGAGGTTGCTGTGATCTGAGATCATGCTGCTGCACTCCAGCCTGGGAGGCACAGTCAAACCCTGATTCCAAAAAAAAAAAAAAAAAAGAAGAAGAAGAAAGGGCCAGGTGCGGTGGCTCACGCCTGTAATCCCAGCACTTTGGGAGGCCGAGGTGGGCAGATCACGAGGTCAGGAGATCAAGACCATCCTGGCTAACACGGTGAAACCCCGTCTCTACTAAAAATAAAAAAAAAAAAAAATAGCCGGGCGTAGTAGCGGGTGACTGTAGTCCCAGCTACTTGGGAGGCTGAGGCAGGCGAATGGCGTGAACCCGGGAGGCAGAGCGTGCAGTGAGCCGAGATTGCGCCACTGCACTCCAGCCTGGGCAACAGAGCGAGACTCCGTCTCAAAAAAAAAAAAAAAAAGAAGAAGAAAGAAGAAGGAGGAGGAGGAGAAAAAAAAGAAGAAGAAAACAAAAAATCAGTGAACTTCACAAACTTTACCTAGAATGACCATCGGGGAAAAAAAAAAGAAGGTCGCCCAAATAACTAGAATCAGAAATGAGTGAGGACATTACTACTGACCTTACAGAAATAAAAAGGGAAAAAAAATACTATTAACAGTTGTAATGCTATAAATGAGATAACTTAGAAAAGATCAAATTTCTAACATTTCGTCATGTTGCCCAGGCTGGTCTTGAACTCCTGAGCTCAAGCAATCTGCCCGTCTTAGCCTCCCAAAGTGCTGCAATTTCAGGCGTGAGCCACCATGCCCAGTCTGATCTTTTCAAAGAGCCAACTTTTTGATTTGCTGATTCTCTCTGTTGTTTTTCTACCTTCTATTTTATGAATTTCCACTCTGATCATTATTTGCTTCCTTTCTGACCTCTTGATCCTATTTTGGGTTTATTTTTATCTTCTTTCTTCCTTAAAATGAAATGCATCTCACAGTCTGTAACATGATAAAAGTGACAGCAATTTTTTACTGTGGTTTATAAAATGCATCTTAGAATGAAGTGAATATGGCAAATATCCTTTTCTCCCCGTTTTTACACAAGTACTATATCTTGCTTTTTAAATAATATATCTTAGAAAATGTTCCATGTTCCAGCATGGGGTACATGGCAAAATCCTGTCTCTACTAAACATACAAAAATTAGCTAGGGCTGGGTGCATTGTCTCATGTCTGTAATCCTGGCACTTTGGGAGGCCTAGGCAGACAGATGACCTGAGGTCAGGGGTTCAAGAACAGTCTGTCCAACATGGTGAAAACCCGTCTCTACTAAAAATACAAAATTTAGCCAGGCATGGTGGCGGGCACCTGTAGTCCCAGCTACTCAGGGGGCTAAGGCAGAAGAATCGCTTTAACCCAGGAGGCGGAGGCTGCAGTGAGCCAAGATTGGGCCACTGCACTCCAGCCTGGGTGACAAAGCGAAACTCCGTCTCAAAAAATAAAATAAAATAAAATAAAGTAGGGGTGGTGGTGCATGTCTGTAATCCCAGCTACTCGGGAAGCTGAGGCACAAGAATCACTCAATCCTGGTAGGCAGAGGTTGCTGCAGTGAGTGGAGATAACGCCACTGAACTCCAGCCTGGGCAACAGAGCAAGACCCTGGTCTCAAAAAAAAAAAAAAAAAGAAAAGAAAAGAAAAGAAATTGTTCCATATCCAAATATAAATTGCTTCCCCTCCCCCACTTTTTTTTTTTTAACCATTGAAGTGCTTATTCTTTTGTGAATTTACCATGTGATATTTACTCAATCCAAAATAGATAGGTATTTAGGCCCCTTTTTATTCTTTTTTTTTTTTTTTTTTTTTTTTTTGGAGATGGAGTCTAGTGCAGTGTTGGGATCTTGATATCTTGATATCTTGATCTCAGCTCACTGCAACCTCCAGCTCTGGGGTTCAAGAAATTCTCCTGTCTCAGCCTCCCAAATAGCTGGAATTACAGGCCCATGCCACTATGCCTGGCTAATTTTTGTATTTTTAGTAGAGATGGGGTTTCACCATGTTGGCCAGGCTCGTCTCAAACTCCTGACCTCAGGTGATCTGCCTGCCTCGGCCTCCCAAAGTGCTGGGATTACAGGCATGAGCTACTTATTCTTCTTTACTTTCATAGGCAGTGCTGCAATAAACAACTTCGTGATTATGTGATTTCACTTGTATATAATTATATCAATAGAATACCTTCTTAAGTCTGGGAGAAGTGGCTCATGACTGTAATCCTAGCACTTTGGGAGGACGAGGTGGGAGAATTGCTTGAGGCCAAGAGTTCGAGACCAACCTTACCAACATAACAAGACCCCTCCACTGTCTCTAAAAAAAAAAAAAAAACAAACTTCTTAAAAGGATTGCTTGGTCACAGATTTCGTGCATTTATGATTTTAATAGTTACTGCCATTCTACTTCCATAAGAATTATACCAATTTATGGCTGGCTGTGGTGGTTCATGCCTATAATCCCAACACTTTGGGAGGCCAAGGCAGGCAGATCAAGAGGTCGGTAGAGTTTGAGACCAGCCTGGCCAACATGATGAAACCTCGTCTCTACTAAAAATACAAAAATTAGCTGAGCGTGGTGGCACGTGCCTATGTTATCCCATGCTTTATGGCATAACAAACCATCACAAAATTTAGTGGCTTAAAATAGTAATATCTGCTGGCTCTGTGGAATGACTGGGCTCAGCTATCTGGCTATTGCTTAAGTTCTCTCATATTCTTGTATTCACATGGCAACTGGGGCTAGAGTTACCTGATTCTAGCATGCCCAATGTTGTTTCTTTTTTTTTTTTTTTTTTTGTATTTTTAGTAGAGACAGGGTTTTGCATTGTTGGCCAGGCTGGTCTCGAACTCCTGACCTCAGGTGATCTGCCCACCTCGGCTTCCCAAAGTGCTGGGATTACAGGCATGAGCCACCGTGCCTGGCCCAGTGTTGTTTCTTAAGTCACAATCTAGCACTTCAGTACTCCATTACTCTCAGGTTCTCTTTCCCCCAGAGCAACCTGGCCTTCACTCGTAATACCTCAGGGCTCCAAAGTGAAGAAGGGAACACTGTCAACTGAGATTCCAGAAGGTGGAAGAACAGTTGCCACCACTCCATAAGGATATGTCATGCACAAAAAGAGAAGAAAGGAAAAGAGGGTGGCCATTGTTGGCATCTTAATGTAGCTATAGTATTTTTCTTACTATGCATGAAGATATCTTTTTATACTTGTAAGAGACATTTGTATTTCCTTTTCTATTAGCCAATTGTTCCTATCCTTTGTTCTATTTCCATTAGGCCACTGATCCTTATTCATTATTGAGAGCTCATTATTTTAATCTTCTGTTATACGAGCTTCAAATATATACATATATATATATATATATATATATATATATATATATTTTTTTTTTTTTTTTTTTTTTTTTTGAGACGGAGTTTGGCTGTTGTTGCCCAGCCTGGAGTGCAATGGCGCAATCTTGGCTCACTGCAATCTTCGTCTCCCAGGTTCAAGAGATTCTCCTGCCTCAGCCTCCCTAGTAGCTGGGATTAGAGGCATCCGCCACCACGCCTGGCTAATTTTGTATTTTTAGTAGAGATGAGGTTTCTCCATGTTGCTCAGGCTGGTCTCAAACTCCTGGCCTCCGGTGATCCGCCCACCTCAGCTTCCCAATGTGCTGGGATTACAGCCATGAGCCATCGCGCCTGACCGAGCTTCAAATATTTTGTTAGTTTTTGTCTTGTTTTTTTTTTTCAACTTTGATTTTGGGAAAATTTTTTGTACAGAAGGTTCCATTTTTACTATTTTTTGTTTTTTTTTACTGGACAGAGTTTCACTCTTGCTGCCTAGGCTGGAGTGCAATGGCATGATCTCAGCTCACCGCAACCTCCACCTCCTGGGTTCAAGCGATTCTCCTGCCTCAGCCTCCCGAGCAGCTGGGATTACAGGCCAACACACCTGGCTAATTTTGTATTTTTAGTAGAGACAGGGTTTCTCCATGTTGGTCAGGCTGGTCTCGAACTCCTCACCTCAGGTGATCTGCCTGCCTCGGCCTCCCGAAGTGCTGGGATTACAGGCGTGAGCCACCTTGCCCAGGCCCAGGCATTTTTGTATTATTTTAACAGAGATGGGGTTTCGCCATTGTTTGCCAGGCTGGTCTCGAACTCCTGACCTCAAGGGATCCGCTCCCCCCTGCCTCCCAATGTGCTGGGATTGCAGGCATGAGCCACCATGCCCGGCCTATTATTTATTTTTTAAATTAAAATTTTTTTTGAGACAGATTTTCACTCTGTCACCCAGGCTGAAGTACAGCGCCACTATCACAGCTCACTGCAGTCTCAACATCTCCGGCTCAAGCGATCCTCCCATCTCAGCCTCCCAAATAGCTGGGACTACAAGCTCAGCCTACCATGCCCAGCCATTTTTATTTTTTATTTTTTATTTTGAGATGGAGTCTCACAATGTTGCCCGGGCTGGAGTGCAGTGGCACAGTCCTGGCTCACTGCAACCTCCACCTCACAGGATCAAGCAATTCTCCTTGCCTCAGCCTCTGAAGTAGCTGGGATTACAGGCACCCACCACCACACTGGCTAATTTTTTTGTATTTTTAGTAGAGATGGAGTTTCACTATGTTGGCCAGGCTGGTTCGAACTCCCGACCTTGTGATCCGCCCGCCTTGGCCTCCTGAAGTGCTAGGATTACAGGCGTGAGCCACTTCCCCAGGCCTTAAGTTTTTGTAGAGATGCGATCCCACTATGTTGCCTGAAATGGTCTCGAACTCCTGGCTTCAAGCAGTCCTCCCCCCTTGCCTCACAATGTGCTGGGATTATAGGTGTAAGCCACCATGCCCAGCCCTATTATTTTTATATAGTTAAATTGGTAATTTTTTTATTTTATGCCTCTCAAATTTTGTAACATGCTTTTCCCACTCTGAAATTATAAAAAATAAATGATCCTATTGTTTCTTATACAATTTTTATGTTGCTTGTTTTTATTTAGAGATGGGATCTTGCTATGTTGCCCAGGCTGGCTGGACTTAAACTACTAGGCTAAACCAGTCCTTCTGCATCAGCCTCCTGGGTAGCTGAGACTACAGGCATGCACCCTCATGCCCAGTAACATATAATTTTTTTTTTTTGAGATGCACTCTCGCTCTGTTGCCCAAGCTGGAGTGCAGTGGTGCAATCTCAGCTCACTGCAACCTCTGCCTCCCAGATTCAAGTGATTCTCCTGCCTCAGCCTCCCGAGTACCTGGGATTATAGGCACCCGCCACCATGCCCAGCTAATTTTTTGTATTTTTTTTGATAGAGATGGGGTTTCACCATGTTGGCCAGGGTGGTCTTGAACCCCTGATCTCAGGTGATCCACCTGCCTTGGCTTCCCAAAGTGCTGAGATTACAGGTGTGGTGTCAGCCACCGCACCTAGCCAATTTTTTTGTTTTTGTTTTTGAGGCAGGGTCTCACTTTGTTACCCAGGCTGGAGTGCAGTGGCTCCATCGCAGTTCACTGCAGCCTCAACCTTCTGGGTTCAAGTGAGCCTCTCGCCTCAGTATACCAAGTCGTTTGGACCACATGTGCTTGCCATCACACCTGGCTAATTTTGTTGTATTTTTTGGAGAGACGGGGTTTGCCTACCTTGCCCAGGCTGGTCTCAAACTCTTGAGCTCAAGTGATCCACTGCCTCAGCCCCCCAAATTGGTGGGATTAGAGGCATGAGCCACCACACCTGGCCTGTAATGGAATTTTTATGAAAAGTAAACTACAGGCTGGGCGTGGTGTCTCTCGCCTGTAATCCCAGCACTTTGGGAGGCCGAGGCAGGCAGATCACCAGAGGGTGGGAGTTCGAGACCAGCCTCATCAACATGGAGAAACCCTGTCTCTACTAAAATTACAAAATCAGCCAGGCATGGTGGCGCAAGACTGTAATCCCAGCTACTCGGGAGGCTGAGGCAGGAGAATTGCTTGAACCCAGGAGGCAGAGGTTGCAGTGAGCCGAGATTGACCCATTGCACTCCAGCCTGGGCAACAAGAGCGAAACTCTGTTTCAAAAAAAAAAAAAGAAGAAGAAGAAAAGTAAACTAGAGGCCGGGCACAGTGGCTCACACCTGTAATCCCAGCACTTTGGGAGGCCTAGGTGGGTGGATCACCTGAGGTCAGGAGTTCATAACCAGCCTGGCCAATATGGTGAAACCCCATCTCTACTAAAAAATACAAAAATTAGCCAGGCTCAGTGGTGGGCACCTGTAATCCCAGCTACTCTGGAAGCTGAGGCAGGGAGAATTGCTCGAACTCGGGAGGCAGAGGTTGCAGTAAACTGAGATTGCACCACTGCACTCCAGCCTGAGTGACAGAGCAAGGATCCTCAAAAAAAAAAAAAAAAAAAAAGTAAACTACAGAACAAATAAAGATGTTGACATAATTTTTTAGCTTTCCTTAGAAATACTTTATTGAAGATAAATATTTATTTATTTTTTTTTGAGATGTATTTATTTATTTATTTTTTTGAGATGGAGTCTTGTTGTGTCACCCAGGCTAGAGTGCAGTGGCACGATCTTGGCTCACTGCAACCTCTGCCTCCCAGGTTCAAGTGATTGTCCTGCCTCAGCCTCCTCAGTAGCTGGGATTACAGGTCCATGCCACCATGCCTGGCTAATTTTATATTTTTAGTAGAGACGGGGTTTCACCATGTTGGTCAGGCTAGCCTTGAACTCCTGACCTCGTGATCTGCCCAACTCGGCCTCCCAAAGTGCTCGAATACAGGCGTGAGCCACCACGCCCAGCCGACTGTCTTTTCTTATGAGAGTTGGGATTCTGTCAGCATGCCATGGGACCTTTGGATAGCCCAGCCTCAGTAGGTAGAAAGGCTTGGCCAGATGCCATATGACTGTGCTTTTTTCACCGAGGAACATATGGAATCAATAACCTGTCTCTAGGTGAGCATGGACTAGCAAGGCCTAAACTAGTTCATTCTTATGAAATAATTTATGTGTAATAACCATGGAAAGAGAAAATACATAACATTTTACACAGATTGTATTATTATTATTATTATTTTTGAGATGGAGTCTTGCTCTTTCGCCCAGGCTGGAGTGCAAGTGGCGAGATTTCGGCTCACTGCAAGCTCCGCCTCCCGGGTTCACGCCATTCTCCTGCCTCAGCCTCACAGGTAGCTGGGACTACAGGTGCCCGCCACCATGCCCGGCTAATTTTTTGTATTTTTAGTAGAGACGGGGTTTCACCGTGTTAGCCAGGATGGTCTGGATCTCCTGACCTCGTGATCTGCCCTCCTCGGCCTCCCAAAGTGCTGAGATTACAGGCATGAACCACTGCACCTGGCCGACTTTATTATTTTTATGTGTGAGATGAAACAGAACTTTTTTTTTTTCCAGGCCGGGCATGATGGATCGTGCCTGTAATCCTAGCACTTTGGGAGGCCGAGACGGGGGGATCATGAGGTCAGGAGTTCGAGACCAGCCTGGCCAGTGTAGTGAAACCCCATCTCTACTAAAAATGCAAAAAATTAGCCAGGCTTTGTGGTGCACGCCTGTAATCCCAGCTACTTGGGAGTCTGAGGCATGAGAATCACTTGAACACAGGAGGCGGAGGTTGCAGTGAGACGAGATCAGCCATTGCAATCCAGCTTGGGTGACAGAGTGAGACTCTGACTCAAAAAAAAAAAAAAAAAAAAAAAATTACGCGCTTGTAATCCCAGTACTTCGGGAGGCCGAGGCAGGTGCTTCACCTGAGGTCAGGAGTTTGAGAACAGCCTGGCTAACATGGTGAAATACCATCTCTACTAAAAATATAAAAATTGCTGGGCGCAGTGGCTCACACCTGTAATTCCAGCACTTTGGGAGGCCGAGGCGGGCGGATCACCAGGTCAGGAGATGGAGACCATCCTGGCTAACACGGTGAAACACGTCTCTACTAAAAAATACAAAAAGCCGGGCGTGGTGGCTCACGCCGGTAATCCCAGCACTTTGGGAGGCCGAGGAGGGCAGATCACGAGGTCAGGAGATCCGGACCATCCTGGCTAACATGGTGAAACCCCGTCTCTACTAAAAATACAAAAAAAAAAAAAAAAAAAAAAATTAGCCGGGCATGGTGGCGGGCGCCTGTAGTCCCTGCTACTCGGGAGGCTGAGGCAGGAGAATGGCATGAACCCGGGAGGCGGAGCTTGCAGTGAGCCGAGATCACGCCACTGCCCTCCAGCCTGCCTGGGCGACAGAGCGAGACTCCGTCTCAAAAAATAAATAAATAAATAAATTAAATAAAATAAATAAAAAGTACAAAAAAATTAACTGGGTGTGGTGGCAGGCGTCTGTAGTCCCAGCTACTGGGGAGGCTGAGGCAGGAGAATGGTGTGAAGCCAGGAGGCAGAGCTTGCAGTGAGCCGAGATCACACCACTGCACTCTAGCCTGGGCGACAGAGTGAGACTCCGTCTCAAAAAAAAAAAAAAAAAAAAAAAAGGAAAAGAAATTTATTAACATTCAAGACAAACAGAAAAGATGATAAAAAGATGGGCAATATTCTCTTCTTGACCTGGATGGAGGTTACACAGGTTATTTGTGTTATAATTCATTAAGCTGTATATTTGTATTTTTCTGTTGGCATTATATTTCACAATTTCAAAGGTTAAAAAACCAGTTAATTTTAAATAGGACTTTCCTAATATTTGAATATGTCGTTCTGTTCTATTTCATTTTCTATAATGCTGGTCACAACTCATTCATTCACAATCATATACTGTAACTTACAGTTTAAAAAACACTGATACAGGTCAGACACAGTGGCTATGCCTATAATCTCAGCACTTTGGGAGGCCAAGGCAGGTGGATCACTTGAGGCCAGGAGTTTGAGCCCAGCCTGGCCAACACGGCAAAACCCCATCTCTATAAAAAATACAAAAATTAGCCAAGCATGGTGGCACATGCCTGCAGTCCCAGCTACTTGGGAGGCTGAGGTACAAGAGCTTGCAGTGAGCCGAGATCACCCACTGCACTCCAGCCTGGACAACAGAGCAAGACTCCATCTCAAAAAAAAAAAGTTAGCCGGGCATGGTAGTGCACACCTGTAGTCCCAGCTACTCAGGAAGCTGAGGCAGGAAAATTGCTTGAACCTGGGAGGCGGAGGTTGCAGTGAGCTGAGATCGCCCCGCTGTACTCCAGCCTGGGCGACAGAGTGAGACTCTGTCTCAGAAAAAAAAAAAAAAAGTAAAAAAAACCTTTAATATTGAAGTCTTTAAAATACTGTTGGCGTCCAGGAGCAATGGCTCACGCCTGTAATCCCAGCACTTTGGGAGACAGTGGTGGGCAGATCACTTGAGGTCAGGAGTTTAAGACCAGCTTGGCTAACATGGTGAAACCCCGTCTCTATTAAAAATACAAAAATTAGCCAGGCATGGTAGTGCACCCCTATAATCGCAGCTACTCAGGAGACTGAGGCAGGAGAATCGCTTGAACCAGGAGGAAGAGGTTGCAGAGCTGAGATCGTGCCACTGTACTCCAGCCCAGGCGACAGTGTGAGACTGTCTCAAAAAAAAAGTAAAAAAAGTAAAATATATTGGCAAACTGCATTCAGAATTAAATTTAAATTTAGCAGACTTAAGGAAAAGTATTAAGTTTATTGAAACAATTATAAAGCCAAGTAAGGACATGAGTAGAGTAACAGCTCTGCCAATTACTAGGGCTGTGAACTTAATAACTTCAAGCCTCAGAATAGATCTATGTAATGAGGCTGATAAGAGTCCTTAATAGAATCACCATGGGAATTACATAATTTACATAAAATGTAAGGTTTCTGGCACATAATGAGGATTTCACAAATGCTAGCCATTTTGGTTTTATGGTGAGCACATGCATACATTTAGTCATCTCCAAATATTAAATCTTATAGTCCTTTGTAGTTAAAATGTGTGAATTTTATTGAATATTAAAACTTTTAAATGTGATTTTTAGAAGGAAAGAAAAATTAGACTATCAGGTGCAAAATAGAAGTATAAAATTTATTTAAAACCACCCACAAAGTTCTGTGTAATCAGGAATGATACAATTTGCAATAGTTTTTTTTAAAAAAACTCATGACAAAGATTTAAAATATATTTTCAATTACAGTATTCATTTAGCCTTATTCAGTTAGGCTGAATAAAAAAAACCTTTATGCTCTAAATAAATGACACACAAGGAAAATATAACAATTTCCACAACTACCTTTACATGTATGTTTCAACACTAATACATTTCAATGCATTTTGCTACATAAACATGAAATCATGTACAACCTGCTGTGCACCAAAATTTAGCTTAATTAGATCTTTCAAGTAACATGCAATTCCAACTCACAAGTCTTCAAGTACTGCTAGTAAGTGTTCCCTTGTTTGCAGAGGATTAAATGTTGATAATGAATTGAAATTATCTTAATTAAAATGATCACTTTCTCTTCTACGTGGTGAAGTGCTTTTTCTTTTACTGCTTCCCCCATATGTTAAGAATGAAATTGGATATTTGTGAAGTTTTAAAAGTGTTTCCTTGCTAAGATATTTCATTGTACAGGATACTTAAGATAGTAGGATGGCAATAGGTAAAAATCCCCCAAATCAAAAATTCAAAGGTAAATAATAAATAGTAAATATATCCTGAAGAGAGAAAGAAGTCAGCTAAAAGATAGGAATATTAGCTTATGAAATTAGTATTTCTGTATTGGGAATTCAGTATTATTCTATTTCACCATGGTAAAGAATCTGTGTATATTTTACTCCCACCAATGATAAACATTCTGGCTTCTCCTTTGAATTAAGGTAATGGTATGCAAGTGAATTTACTTGGTAATTAAGCGTATAGCATGAGAAAAAAAATAAATAAACTAGAAGTTAATGATTTTCTTCCTGCCAAATAGCTTTGCAAGTTTCTTGTTAGGGAACACTTCATGATTTCTTAATAACCTAACTAAATATGACCATCCACCCACACATCACAATGTAAAAACTGCCCTTAGTTTATACTATAAACCACTTCTGGAAAAATATTTTTCTTAAAGCACCTATCACAATGTTATTTCATAAAAGTTAAAAAAAATATGAACATATATTGCAATAAAATATTTAATTTTTTTCAGGAGCTATTTTTGTAAAGTCCCGGTTGTCAACTATTTCATCATCACAAACAAGCATTGATGAGGATAGGCAGTTACTGAACTGAATCACCATTACTGAACTGAATCACCAAAAGGGGAATTTATTTGACTATCTAGAGTGTTTGGCCTGTTTGTGTGTGTGTGTGTATGACCCAGAATGTGCTAATTAGCCAAAACATCCTACCTCTTTATATTTATAAACGTATTTATAAAGAGGTTATTTTAAAATTTTACAAATACATCTCATTTTTCATTATGTAAAAATTTACAAATACATCTTATTATTTTTCTTAACTGTCTGAGCAAATCTCTGGGTCAAGACCCACAGATTTTACGTGGCAAGAATCAAAGCAAAGCAAACAAAACAAAACGAATTCAATTAAGTGGGAGACACTACTATCTCTTAGAGAGGGAGTCTTGCTCTGTCTTAGAGATGCCAACAATTTTGCTTTTTTTTTTTTTTTGAGATGGAGTCTCACTCTGTCACCCAGGCTGGAGTCCAGTGGCACAATCTCGGCTCAATGCAACCTCCGCCTCCTGGGTTCAAGCAATTCTCTGCCTCAGCCTACCAAGTAGCTGGGGTTACAGGCGTCTGCCACCATGCCCGGCTAATTTTTGTATTTTTAGTAGAGACGGGGATTTCACCATCTAGGCCAGGCTGGTCTTGAACTCCTGACCTCGTGATCCACCCGCCTTGGTCTCCCAAAGTGCTGGGATTACAGGCGTGAGCCACCACACCAGGCCCAATTTTGCATTTTAACGATCAGGAGTTGGGAACTAAAATGTTTACCTACCATGTTTCCTTCAAAAAACCCTGCATTTCAATATGACAAATACATTAAATTTTGATTGTGAGGTGCTCACCCTAGCTTTTTAAAAAAGTAATATTAAAAAATATATTATTTAGGAGATTTCCCCGTTTTAGTATTACATGGATATTCTTTATAAAAAGAGCTTTTTATAAGGAGGAAAAAATATAAAACTTCATAAATCTAAGCCCTATTGTGGAATTTAGGTAATTTGGGAGACCTTCTTTAGTACCCATAAGAAACTAGCTGGCTAAATAAATAATGGAAACAAAATATTTCAGAAGCATGTTTTGCAAATGAACAAATTTTATATTCTCAGATCAGGTGTGACAAAATTTCTGCTCAGCAACATTCTCTCCAAGTCATTGTTCATGATGCAGAAATTTAGCAGTCTACAGGTAATAAATATTTTAGTCTCCGATTGATTGACTTGCTGTGTGACTTGGAGCCAGCCATATGCTATTCTTGCCATCTGTAGGTTCCTCACCTCTAAGATGGGAACAGTGTTCTCCATCTAACCCTCAGTAACGGGCAGAAAACGCTCCACATAGTAAAGCAGTTGGTAATCTAAAACATTATATAGCATGAGGATTATACCTTTGATTACTACCGTTGCTTTCAAAATGGCTCCTAAGTTTCAGCAGCAATTTTTCAGATAAAATTAGTACAGAGTAGAGAGAAGAAATATTAAAAATATTTCTTGCTTTTAAGCAGGTAGAGCGAACCCTCAGATTGCTGATAGGAGCACAGTTCTTCCGTTCTGTCCCTTAATTTCCCCTTCTTATGGTCAAAAGCGTTTCTGATGGTTTACTTGTGCCTCCTCTTTCAATTACTTTCAGTTCATTTCCTAATATTTCTCACACAGATTACAGAATAATTCCTATTACTGCCAAAAACCAAAGAATTCCAATGGAGTAAATTTACATTAGAAATAGTAAAGCCATACAGAAGAACTTAGAATATTTAACTTTGTACACAAATAAAACACTCAAACACTAATAAATAAGAGTTAAACATTGTTGGGATTGGTAAAGTGAGAGAGAGCACTCAATATTAACCTGTGGTCTTGTGACTGCTTAACTATTATTCCTAAAAATGGAATTTGCCTAAAACTGAAAAGAGTTGAATACAAGTTTGTGATTTCTTATGATGTTACACCTAAAAGAACTTGCAGGACACAATGGAAAAGACAGCTTTACCAGGATGGTTGCTATTTTTTAAATGAACCATGTGTATTTGTGTAGGGGATCAGAGGAATGCAGACAGGACAGAGAAGGGGAAGCAATAGATTTTTAATTTAAAGAAAATGAGAAGAAAAATAACACTGTAAAAAGAATGAAAGTGCGCTTAGTGATATTGCAGCTTCAGTAAAATGAGAAAAAAGAAAAATAACAAGTAGAGTTTCTAGTCAAGGTTCATACCTTGCCAAATGGAGAAGAAACCAAATTAATTTCCAATATTGTTTCTCCTAAAATGAAAATCTGACAGCTGCAAAATTTCTTTCTCATGAACAAGACAAGGGTCATGACTTACATAACAGCTGCCAAGGACAAAATTTCTATTTTTAGGAAAGCTAGCTTTACACTGTTAACCAAGGGTTTTCAAAGTTGCATTCAAACATAAATGGGTTAAATCAGCTAACATGTTTTACATCTAATAATGACATTCCTACCTTGGACCTAGTTTTGCTCCAACATAAAGGTCATCTATAGCTGAACAAACTAAAAGAAAACCTATGACCCAAGCAAGATCATAAGTATTACAGTAAAGGTAGGAAAGAAGTATAGCTGATAAAGAAGTGATTGGCGGGGTGCGGTGGCTCACGCCTGTAATCCCAGCACTTTGAGAGGCCGAGGCGGGCAGATCGTTTGAGGTCAGGAGTTTGAGACCAGCTTGACCTACATAGTGAAATCCTGTCTCTACTAAAATACAAAAATTAGCCGGGCGTGTTGGCGGGCACCTGTAATCCCAGCTACTTGGGAAGCTGAGGTAGGAGAATCACTTGAACTCGGGAGGCGGAGGTTGCAGTGAGCTGAGGTCACACCACCGCACTCCAGCCTGGGCGACAGAGCAAGACTCCGTCTCAAAAAAAGAAAAAAAAAAAGAAAAAAAGAAATAATTAATGATGGAACTTTAGAGCTAGAAATATTGAATGTTGCATACTACCAAATGAGAAATTAGAACATACTATAAGGCCCTTAAAGAGAAGCGAAAATGAGGAGTGGCAAAATTAGGAATACCTTTGGATTACTAGAGAGAGTATAATATATCCCTTTTGAAGCAAACAATGGTATATGATTGGAAGCCCAGAAGAAATAGGGAATTAAAAAGTCATCCAGACACTGAAAGGTAGAGAATTAAAATTTGTACCAAAAAAATAATAATAAAATTTGTAGCTATCAATGCAGACAAAAATAGTGATGATATCCTGCATAAAAGTCAGCTCTACCATCTCAGGAAGTAATAAAGGAACTCAGTTTCCCCTTTATACATATAGGAAAAGCAAGAACATTTCAATAAATCTCAATACATTCTATGAAAACACACAAATTTAATTTCTGATGGACATACTGAGTCTGACTTTCTGAACTGCATTCCAGAGCAATGGATGACATCATTTTCTAAAGCTGTTAAGAGGTAGCTCAACATGGAGCATAATTTGATTTGGATAAATCCAGACTCCTTCAGCAATTACGTATTGATTACATTCACTTGGTTGAGTGTGCCACACAACTGGTGTTCAATATACTTATGGGCAAGTTTAGAAGCTATGTGCAATAAAATAGTATTCCAATACATGTAGACAGCTACATCAAAATAAACTATGCTGGGGCTTAATTGTGAGGCTAACTAGGCAAAGGGCATGAATGAACTTTGTAAGCATGGCTAGGTAGTATATACAGTGGAAATACACTTTCCTTAATTATTTCAATCATCCATGCCTTTATAACTTCTTGTATATGCTTAACACTAGTTCCAGGGGAATTGAAAGCCTATACTTTATAAGCATCTGATACTTGTTTATTTCCCAGTGATAAAATACCCTTTGGGTAAGAAAATCAAGTTTCCCTACAGTTCTCAACACAAAGTGGCCTTCATCTATTTAAATTCTAATTACAATCTAGCATTAAGATCTGCTCTCTGGGCCCCAGTGATTGAGCTCTGTGATTTCTCAGGTGTCTTCCATTGCTATGAGAGGCCACTACTATATGAACTTATTTCAAAATTCTCTTGTCATAAATCTCTATAAAAGATCAAAACTCACAGTTGTATTAAATCTAGATAAAAAAGATTTCCATGCATCAAGGTGTGAAATTGAAGGTAGTAGCTATAAATCTATTAAAGTTTGCATACAGCTACTGATTTAGTTGGCACATGCGAAGGAAATGCTGTGCCCCTGTCAGTGGAAGTTTCGTGCAATAAAGTCCTATGTCCCAGATAAAAAGTCAATATAATTTTTGTTTTAAAAACTGGTTCAGGGTTATTTTCACACACGCTATTGTGAAATGTTATCAGTAGAAATCCACTGTAATAATGTTAGAAAGTAGGTTAGTCATGTGAATTAAATCAGTAGCTTATTTACACAAGGGTATGCATTCAATTAAATATGTATTGAGTTTATGTCTTAAGTAAATTACTTATGGATCTCATCTAGTTGAAGTTCTATATTTAATAAATGAAATTATCAACATGCAGACTGAGTAACAAAGATGTTGGAAAGTTATTTAAGATGTAAACATGTTGCAATAATTTGCCTACAGCTATGCCTTTTCAGATAGCCTCACTTTCCAATAAGAATGTATTTCAATTATGTTTATGACCTGGTCTATTTGGTACTTTGTAGATGAATTGGAAACAAGAGGTAGGTGAGACAGACAAGCACAAGAAAAAAAAGAAATTTCAACAATGGCTGAAGAGCCATTAGAAATGGAATTTCAGGCCAGGTGGAGTGGCTCATGCCTATCATCCTTGCACTTTAGGAGGCTGAAGCAGGAGGATCTCTTGGGGCCAAGAGTTTGAGACCAGCCTGGGCAACATAGTGAGACAGTCTCTACAAAAAAAAAAAAAAAAAGAAGAAAAAAGAAAAAAGAAATGGAATATCAAGGGCAGCATGATATTTTGTACGATTCTGCAATAGGCAGGAATTATTCTCTCATTAAAATTGGTAAGTTTGTAGCATATTATGAACTGAGTGGGCTATTAGGAGGTCATGTATCAGTGAATTCAATGATCATACTATGAACAAACGCAGATTTAAAACCCAATTTAAGTGTTATAAGAGAGGTATAAGAAAAGGTGATCATTACAGTAAAACATAATAGAGGGGTAGAAATAATGTTAGATGACCAGTTTTATGAGAGAAAATGTCATTTCAAACAAATTTATTTCCTTGCTTCATGAGAAAGAGCATTCTAAAAGCAGTGTAGCCAGCATACAATCACAATGCTGCAGAACATTGAATAAGCTTTTAAAAAAAATCACAGGGCAGAGAATGGGATGGTAAATTGTTAAAATCAGGAAAGAGAGTCCAACAAAGTAGGAATCCAATTTGGTTCCCACAGTGGGGTAATCAGCTTAAGAAGTCCATTCATGATGTTAACTACAACAACGGAATGGAAACATTTCAGTTGATACTATATATTTTCAAATACTTGTTTTGGTAAACTGCAACAAGCGTCACAAATCCCAATAGTTCCAAAAATTAACATTGATGTTTCAAGTTTAGATTGTTAAGAAACCTATTGAGAGAGAGATCAATTTGAATTACTGCATACATTACCATGGATTATACTGAAGATAATTTGCTACTTCTTTTAAAAATATTTCTGAGGGTAGTTTTTATTCTTCAAGTTTACTATGTCATAGGTGGTGATCCAAAGAAAAATAAAAGTGATACTTAGATTTTGCAGGCATTCAATAAGTGTAGACTCGAAGAATGAGTAGATGAGTGGATGCATAAAGAGCCATAAAACTTTATCCATTAAATCTGGTGAAGAAATAATTTCTAGTGGGAGCTAAGGCCTAAAATCTAAAACATAATCTCGCAAGGGTGTATTCCTGATAGTCTAATACTAGTAAATATCTTGTTGAAGCAGCTGAAGCAATAAACAATCACTTATTTATATACTTATATGTATATAAGAAACCTTAGGCTCACAAAAATATACATGTCTTAAAACGGAAATCTAAGGCACACAAAATACTAAAACAAGTCAATGAATTACCCTATTTTACATATTCAACAAGCAGAAATCTACTTGTACACGATGGTCTATCAATGGACATTTTGTTTTTTACAATCCCTTCATATTCCTTTACTTGGATTAGTCAAAAGCTCAAAACAGATACTTTGCACCAGATATTATTTTAATAAGTTACAATGAGTTTTTCTTTAGAGAGCCTGCTGGAACTGTTTGCTTTTGCACCAAAATTGTAAGTGTTAGCGGTTGTGGGCTTCCTATGGCATTTCCAAGGGAGAAGCACCATTAGGTTTTCCATACTCCCAAGGAATCTGACACTTTGAATGTTATAGCACCTCTGCATTTTAACAGAATCAAGTATTTCATTGAAAATTCTCCTTGTTCGAAACATGTTGTTTGGGTAATCCTTTTTGTTTTGCAATAAAATGAGTCAATAAAGTAATAGGAAGAAAATGGGAAGACTAAAATAAACTTAATGCCTGTTTTCCTGTTACCTAGAACATAGGCAATTATCAGAAAAGATGAGTTATCATTTTCCCAAATCTAGTATGCTAAGATAAACAAATGAATTAGCTCTTAATGGACAAAGCCATGTTTGTAGTACCATTCCTCTTGTTTTTGACTTGGGGTTGGGGAGGCATGTGATGATAGTAGGGAATTTGTTTTCAAAATATTTCAACAAGAATTTTTTTTTTCTAATTCTGTATCAGACTTCAGTACAAATATCTGTCTACTTAGTTTTTGTATTTTATCACCTTGAGACATTAGAAGCATTTGACTCTTCTGAAACCTATCCTGTTCCCTCATCTCCTTTTGGAAACACCTCTCATGGATTATACTGAGAAAGGTGGGATGAAACTAAATTGAGGTTGTTCAATAAGAAGAGACCACTCTTACCTAGTTCCAAAGAGAATGTTAATCAGTATTGGTGATATGCTTCCTAATTCCAATTTTAGAGATAATTAACAACTTCTCATTATCTAACTATTTTATATACTGCAAGTTGCTAATACTTGAATGTGAGAGGACACAGTAAAAGAACACAAACCATATACATGATTAGAATACATACTGCAGTTAACAAGATGGAACTCTACACAGCAAGGATAAATGATTTCTCTTGTATGCAAATATGCACAAACAATAGACAATAGGATTCTTATACTATATTATTTCAAGTTACTTTTAAAAATAGAAAGTGCTTTTAAAATATATATTTACAATTTATGAACAGCCTCCAACCATTACTAACAACAATGATTTATTTTACACAGGAGAAATATTTTAAGAGAGAAAACATTTCATAAGTTTATTTCAAAGGAATATGCCAATTTTCTAGCAATGATTGGAAGATGTTGGAACAATGGCACCATGAAATAATAATTCAGCTTATTTTTAACTGTGTGGATGTGGTTAAGCACCAGAAGCTGTGTAGAGTTAACACTGTGTGTCTTGATTTTACATCATAGAACATGAACCTGTTAAAATCCTCTAAAAATGACTCTTGTTTCATAGTAAACAGACTTAATTTAAAGCACCAAACTGAGTGATTCTATCAAGGTTAATGCCTAACTGAAACATTTCTTTATGTATTTAAAACTATAAAACTTTTATTTTTGCTTAAAATGTGCACCTTCTACCAATTGTCAAAATATAGTCACAGTTAAGAATACCCACCCCGTTTTGTTATCATTATTATTTTTTTACCTCAGACTTGAAATGGGTGAGATGAAGATAGTAAACGACAACATGACTTTCTTTTAACAGCACCTTGAAAAAATACACTGCACTAGCAAAGGCATTAAGAGGGGGAGAAAAGCCTTCAGACCCAATGGTTATAGGGCCCCGCAACGTGTGTGAGAGCATAAGGGGACACGGTGACAACATTGTCATGGGTTAATGTTAATGCTTTATGAGAAGGAATTTGGTTCAATTCATTTACTTCAGAGGACTGTTCTGGACCTTCATTAGCTGCCTGGTCTTTTTGCTCTGAGGCCTTCATTTTCTTATTCTTAGCTTCTTTAGCCTCAAACTTAATCTTGTTTAGTTCAAAACCATGTTGGGGCTTATTTAGGTTTTTGTGCTGGTAAAAGACAAGGGAGAGGCGGGTTGGATGATTACGGTTGGGGTGCTCAACAGGAGTGGTAGCGTGCAGCTCTCGCCGGGCACACTCAATCAAAACCGAGCCGTGAGCAGGTGCGATGGCCACCCCACCAATATTTGCATCCAAAAAGATGTGCTCACTGTCTGACCAATACTCATCAATGTGGGGCAATTTCTCCTCAGCAGGTGACAGGGGGTCATCAGATAGGGGTTCGTCTGATGGAGGCTCATCTGCTTCAGAATGCTGCTCATCTTCTTCCATTGGAGAAGAGGCAAGGTCTTGAGGAGAGGTGAGGAAGGAGGGCTGGTGGTTTGGCTGATGAGGCGTTAGCGGCTCAGTCACACCAGTGGAAGGCTCAGAATTAATGAGGGGCTCCATCACAGGAGCAGACAGGGTGGGGAGAGGAGCCACTTCGCCAAGCTGTGAAATGCCAGGGCCATCAGCAGCAGCTGCATTGGCACCACTGAGTCTTCCCGAAGGCATCGTACAGTGGGGAGTGCTGCTTCTTTCTGAAAACCCGCATGAGGCTGTTGCGTCATTCTTCAGTGGAGCTGGTGTGGCTGAAGCAGTCTTCGGGGACCAGGAGAAGCCTGGAGATGCCTCTTTCACTGGGTGAGGAGCGGATGGCATCAGCGAATAAGTTTTAGTGTTGTCTGAACTTTTTAAGATAAAATGGGGTTCGGTTTCACTTTTTACTTCAGGTTGCACGGTCTCAGTGTTACTCCCTAAACAAGGACACCAAATGTGAAGAAAAATACAAATTACTTTTGGTAGGGGTTGCCTTTTAAAAAGTATTTTCAAAGACAAGTACAAAGAATTATATAAGAAAACGCTGATGTTGTGTTGGTTGGTTTTGTTCTGTTCATTTCAAATCACAAACACGAATTAAAAATTTTATGTAGTTTTGTATAATTTTTCATCTAATAATTTTTATTTTTATGTTTTTTTTGGAGACGGAGTCTCGCTCTGTCCCCCAGGCTGGAGTGCAGTGGCACGATCTCGGCTCATGCCATTCTCTTGCCTCAACCTCCCGAGTAGCTGGGACTACAGGCGCCTGCCACCACGCCTGGCTAATTTTTTGTATTTTTTAGTAGAGACAGGGTTTCACCGTGTTAGCCAGGATGGTCTCGATCTCCTGACCTCATGATCCACCCACCTCGGCCTCCCAAAGTGCTGGGATTACAGGCTTGAGCTACTGCGCCCGGCCATAATTTTCTTTAAAGAACTCTTCCTTTGGGAAAGAGGCATAAATAAGTGCAAAAATCTAGCCAAAAGGATGGCTGTTCATTGTTTGAAATAGTAAAATATTAGAATTGAACTAATTAGGTAGGAAGTAAGTAATACAACTAAATGTTGTAATATTGTGCAGGTATTGTAATACAATCACATACAGCAATATTTAACTATTCAAAGATATTTAGATACGTTTTAGGCATTGTATGACCCTATATTTTAAAAAGTAAAAACAAGTAATAGTTTATAAATATTTCTAGGTAACAAAACATCTTAACTGGCAAAGTCCAAGGTTAGGCAGAGGGAAGTCAAGCAAAATATTGTACTTGAATATAAATCTTTGTGACCCTCAAAAGCAAGAGTATTTCAGCTTAGTTTCCTTCTCATTAAGGAAGGAGATCATTACTCTCAAGATGTCAACTGTGGGTTATTTGCTCTGACACATCCACATAAATCTCACATCCAATGGGAACATTTTCCTTGAGGACATTCTCCCTGTTATGAAGTTCTTTTTTTTTTTTGAGATGGAGTCTCGCTCTGTTGCCCAGGCTGGAGTGCAGTGGTGCGATCCTGGCTCACTGCAATTTCTGCCTCCCAGGTTCAAGCGATTCCCCCGCCTCAGCCTCCCGAGTAGCTGGGACTACAAGCGCACACCACCACCACACCCAGCTAATTTTTTGTATTTTAGTAGAGACGGGGTTTCACCATGTTGGCCAGGATGGTCTCAATCTCCACCACGCCTGGCTAATTTTTTGTATTTTAGTAGAGACGGGGTTTCACCATGTTGACCAGGATGGTCTTGAACTCCTGACCTCATGATCCGCCCGCCTCTGCCTCCCAAAGTGATGGGATTACAGGCATGAGCCACCACGCCTAGCCCCTGTTGTGAACTTCTAAAAAACTATTTGGAAGTGCAAAACCAGCAAATCTTAGGACCAAGAAAAGGTAAAGCAGCCATGTTTTAAAGTAATTAAAAATATAATAAATTGATAATATAATACATAATGATCAATTTCAGAAGCTCTGCAGTTCTCCTCTCAGATGCTACAACCTGGAGCCTTGAGAGCTCTCATTTCTAAAGATAACGCATACATAAGACCCAGAAATGGTACATCAGGAAACCTCTATTGTTATCAGTGGCACTATTATTATAGAGGTTAAGTTGTCCACAGAAGGTAAATGATGGGAAGGAAAGACTAAATGACTGAGGGGTAGAATTACAAAAGGACATTATGGCCCAAGTATTGTACATTATGCTTACAAATATCTGGGAATATACATTTCTTCTCAGTATTTCTCTGTATTATTGCATTTCTTTCAGCATTATATAAATGCCTGCACTGCCAACTCTGCTCATGTTATAAAAACAAATAAACAGCTTCTCATAAATGTAAAAATGAAAGAAGCTAAGGAATACATTATAATGTTAATTTTGAGTGTCAGTATGAATTCATGATTTTTTTTTCCTTCTATAGGCTCATCAAAGAAATGGCTGATTTTAAATATGGGGCAGAATTATATAGATAAGCCTGGAACAACTTGTTATAGAAGTTAAGAAAGTAGGCCGGGCACGGTGGCTCACGCCTGTAATCCCAGCACTTTGGGAGGCTGAGGCGGGCAGATCACGAGGTCAGGAGATCGAGACCATCCTGGCTAACACGGTGAAACCCCATCTCTACTAAAAATATATAAAAAAAATTAGCCAGGCGTGGTGGCGGGTGCCTGTAGTCCCAGCTACTCGGGAGGTTGAGGCAGGAGAATGGCGTGAACCCGGGAGGCACAACTTGCAGTGAGCTGAGATTGCGCCACTGCACTCCAGCCTGGGAGACAGAGCGAGACTCTGTCTCAAAAAAAAAAAAAAAAAAAAAAGCTATCAAAAGACAATTGAGGTTGTGACAAAAGAACTGAGAAGCCAGCCGGGCGTGGTGGCTCTCACCACTTTGTGAGGCCGAGGCGGGTGGATCACTTGAGGTCAGGAGTTTGAGACCAGTTTGGCCAACATGGTGAAACTCCGTCTCAACTAAAAATACAAAAATTAACTGGGCGTGGTGGCGGGCACCTGTAATCCCAGCTACTCGGGAGGCTGAGGCAGGAGAATCGCTTGAATCAAGGAGGTGGAGGGTTACAGTGAGCCAAGATGGTGCCACTGTACTCCAGCCTGGGTGACAGAGTGAGACTCTGACTCAAAATATATATTAGGCGAAAAGCTGGTAAGAGCCAGGTGTGGTGCACGCCTATAGTTCTAGCTGCTAGAGAGGTTCCCATGGGATCCCAGAGTTTGAGGCAGCAGTGTGCTATGATTGTGTCTGTGAATAGCCATTGTACTCCAGCTTTGGCAACATAGCAAGACTCTGTCTTTTAAAAAAAACCCCAAAACCCAAAACCCAAAACCAAAACTAACGAGACTTTATAATCAACAAATCAAGCCAGGTGTGATGGCTCATGCCTGTAATTACACCAATTTGGGAGAATCATTTGAGTCCAGGAGTTCCAGATCAGCCTGGCAAACAGGTGAAACCCTATCTCTATAAAAAATACAATAATTAGCTAGACACAGTGGCACACACACTACAGTCTCAGCTACTTGGGAGGCTGAGGTGGGAGGATTGCTTGAGCCTGGAAGGTTGAGGCTGTGGTGAGCCATGATCACGCCACTGCATGCACTCCAGAGCCTGGGCAAGAGAGCTAGATCTTGTCTCCACAAACAAAAACAAAATAACAAAGAAACAAAACAAAAACAACAACGACAACCCACAATACCACTGTTGAAAGTGGTGTTTAGTAATATTTATTTAATTATTGCTTAAATTGATGGTAAAGGTGACCAAGGAAGGCATCCCGAAAGTCATGTCTCTTATCTATGCCAACAACGAGTAGGGCTTCGAATTAGATGGGGAAATTCACAGGAACAATGATAAGAACATGTTAAAATTAGCTGGGCACAGTGCTGTGTGCCTGTAGTTCCAGCTACTCTGGAGGAGGCTGAGGTGGGATTATTGCTTAAGCCAAGGCGTGCCAAGCCAGCCTGGGCAATAAAGTGAGACCCCTCCCCATGCCATAAAAAAAGAATATGTTAAAGTATAAAAAAGGATAAGTAGGCCGGGCGCGGTGGCTCACACCTGTAATCCCAGCACTTTGGGAGGCCAAGGCGGGGGCGGGGGGGCGGGGGCGGATCAAGAGGTCAGGAGATCGAGACCATCCTGCCTAACACGGTGAAACCCCGTCTCTACTAAAAATACAAAAAATTAGCTGGGCGTGGTGGCGGGCGCCTGTGGTCCCAGCTAAGCAGGACGCTGAGGCAGGAGAATGGCGTGAACCCAGGAGGCAGAGCTTGCAGTGAGCCAAGATTGCGCCACTGCACTCCAGCCTGGGTGACAGAGCAAGACTCCCTCTCAAAAAAAAAAAAAAGGATAAGTCGAAAAAGTTACCAAGAAATACTGATGGGTCACTTTTTTGTTGACTTTTGGTTCTGGTATATGTAAAAATATATTCAGTGTCTTAGTTTTAACTCTAAACAAATAAGGCAAGGCAAAGTCCAAACACATCTATCCATCAAAGTTGTGCAGAGATTACCAGGTTCCATAGGGCTCACCTAAGGTTGGCAGTGACGAAGGCTTACTGTTGTTTGTTGTTGTTGAGTTATTCTTCCGCTTGATTCGGGGAATAGGTTTCTTTTCCACTGCCCTTATCTTATGTGCAAGAACCTCTGTCATCATCGCAGCCCTCTTCTTTCCAGAACGGGGAACAGGCTGAGTGAAACACGTTCTTTTTTTGCGGCGGGGTGCCAGGACCTCGATGGCCCCAGATTTGATCTTGGCTTCCATTCCTTCCTTGGAGCCAAACTCATCTGTGTCTGAAAGCTTATAAAGAGGTAGCACATGGAGCTGCTCATCTTGAGGAATAACACCCAAAGAGCGGTTATCTTCTCGAGTTAAGGTACAAACCTGATAGGGAGAAAAACATGAAATGGGAAAGATATACGGGTCGTGCACATTCATTGTGGCTATTCCTACCTTCGTGTTGTTGCCTTTGGGAAAGAGATTTGTATTCCCATTTTATTTTCAATTGGTTGCTGATGGTATATTATTATTTTATATCAAGCCACCCAACTCTGTTCAATCATAGTAACTTCCCAGTTGTTTGTAGGCAGACCAGAATAATATTTAATTTTCTAAGTAAATATAACGTTATAAAATACTTACGTATTTTTGATACTAAACATTCTTGTTACATTTCATCTTACTTCATTGCCTAAATTAAGGAATGGCTATTGAACTATGTTTATTGTGTTCATATTAAGTATAACTTATTAGGAAGATATGATTTTAGCTCACATAGCACCATATTTCTGATATTTCAAGAATGTCACATTCCTTGGATAGCAGGGACATAATTGATTTCTCTTTCCAGAAAGACTTATACGCTAACAGTTAAAAAAAATTTTTTTTTAATTTTATATTGATAAATATTCTCTTTCTGTTCTATTACTGCTCTATTCCAGTGAGGAGCCATATCAATAAATATCAATAAATTTGCCTTTCTTTGGATATGAAATACTAATAGCCAACTTTTTTCATCTTAAATGCAACCTATTTTAGCCCTCCTCCTTACATTAAAGGTTATATTTATTATGGAGAAATGAAAATACAGAACTATAGGCACTATAGTGATTCCTGACTTTTGATACCTAATATTAATATTCTGCTTTAAAAACTAACATTTTATTATAAAACTAATATTTTAATTGTAATTAATTTTCCTCAAGTGATCTACCCACCTTGGCCTCCCTAAGTGCTGGGATTACAGGTGTGAGCCACTGGGCCCAGCCAAATTAATTTTCAAATATTAAAAATCCAACAGAAACCTATAAAATGTTTTATTTATTTAATAATAAAAACATATATCCCGGAGCTGTAAACCCTTTCAGTGATAGCGAAGACTGGAGATAAATGAAATAAACAGATTTGATTTCCAAAGCATTTTTGTATTCATGGTAGAACTTGATAGATACCAAGGTAAAGCAAAGTTAAAGGTTAAAAAAATTCATTTTTTTCAATATCTGTAGTCACATTTTTCAGCAAAGTCTAAAATATAAATATATGTTTCAGCCTCAAACTCCTGGGTTTGAGTGTTTCTCCTGCCTCAGTCTCTCGAGTAGCTGGGAGTACAGTTGTGTACCATCACGCATAGCTAATTTTGTTTTTAATTGTAGAGACAGGGTCTCACAAAGTTGCCCAGGCTACACTCAAGATCCTGGGTTCAAGCAATCCTTCCACCTCAGCATCCCAAAGTGCTGGGATTACAGGCATGAGCCATGGTGCCTGGAGAAAGCCTGCAATATTAAACTGTCATGGTGGTAATCTGTTCATAACTAATAATAGTCATGCTGAAAATCAGAATGTCACATCAATAAATGTTTACTGGAACCAATTTAATTGGTCACAGAGAGACTAAGAAGGACATAAGGAGTTGACATGAGGAGCATAATTAGAAAGTAAACCAATAAGGAGTAGAGAGTAAACCAATAAAAAAAATAAAAAAAATAGAAATTATGGTAAAACAGGGTGAAGGGAGAGGTAGTGGTAGAATTTCAAGAGTTCACATGTTTGAAGATGGGGGAATTTGGAGTGATGTCAAGTTCCGGATAAGACCCTCATTGAGTGAGTAATCCGGGCCCTGGAAGTCAAAGAGCGCAGAGAAGAGAAACTGAAACTTAGCTTGACTCTGAACTGACTTCAGCCTGATCACAGATATTCTGTAATTCAGGTAAAATGTCCTGGCCAAGTGATGGTGATGAACCACTGCCTGGCTAGTATTTACCAGGCTGGATTTATATAACTTCAACACTTAGAAATAACATTGGTCTCAAAGACTCTGCAAAACATTTTTGTATACAGGAATGATACGCAAAAAAAAAAAAAAAAGTTGTTGTGGCTTAATCTATCACCAATACTCTTCTACTGACCAAGCAAGGAAGAAAGACTGCCTGTTGATAGATCTGATCATATACTTTCAATCACACTGTAAGAGGCTGTAGCTAAACCTAAAAAAAATTATTTTTTAAAAATTGTATATTTTAAAGAGACGGGGTCTTATTGCCCAGGCTGGTCTAGAACTCCCGGGGCTCAAGCAATCCTCCTATCTTGGCCTCCGAAGTAGGTGGGATTACAGACATGAGCCAACATGCTCATCCTGCAGCCAAGACTTAATGAAGGTTTTAGAATTCTCTGGCAAACCTAAAAAACTGGTGCAGCAGAAAAACAAAAGCAATTGCTCTCTATTGATCTTGCTTTACTAGATGACAGGAAGACAAACAGGTGAAGCAAACAGACAAAAATACTATTTCAAGATTTTCCACTGGGTCTTCTGCCTAATTTACGTATTTCTTAATTGACTTCAGGCGATGGACATGTGATGATTTACATAACTATAAACATAGTAGGCATACCAGAATGCAAATATTGCTGATAATTGGCACAGTTGCCTCACAAAAACCCTGAAGTGCAGATGGCAAAAACAAATATCAAGTAACATGCTCAACTTCATACCTACTAGTTTGATAGCAGAGAATTGTTACTTTAAAAAATTGGCCGAGCGCGTTGGCTCACACCTGTAATCCCAGCACTTTGGGAGGCCAAGGTGGGCGGATCACGAGGTCATGAGATCAAGACCATCCTGGCTAACACGGTGAAACCCCATCTCTACTAAAAATACAAAAAATTGGCTGGGCGTGGTGACTCACACCTGTAATCCCAGCACTTTTCGAGGCCAAGGTGGGTGGATCACGAGGTCATGAGATCAAGACCATCCTGGCTAACACAGTGAAATCCCATCTCTACTAAAAATACAAAAAATTATCCGGGTGTGGTCGTGGGCGCCTGTAGCCCCAGCTACTTGGGAGGCTAAGGCAGGAGAATGGCGTGAACCCAGGAGGCAGAGGTTGCAGTGAGCTGAGATCGTGCCACTACCCTCTAGCCTGGGCGACAGAGTGAGACTCCGTCTCAAAAAATAAATAAATAAATAAATTTAAAAAAAAGTACTCCTGCCTCCCAGCAAAAACACAACAATTAAATATGTAACATAGCCTTTCAATAAAATGTTTGTTTGAAGCTGGCCCTGTTACTTTTTAGAAGTGCATAGATAATGCATTTAATGAAGACCTGCACTACACACTTATTTCTTTTTTTTCACTTTATTTTCCACTTATTTCTAATAACACATAAATTAAGATTTTTCACAGTAATAGTCATCACAGTATACGTAAGGACTGCAGCCTAAGCATATAGTGATGGAGCTTTTAGAATACAAATTCACACAGGTACATACCACAGTGCTTCCATTATTCATGTTGTGAATGTCCCTGTGGGGATGAGCACAGAAGTCCAGGCAAGCAGTGACCCCAGAGAAGGGACGACCTTCCTTGCTGCCAAGCCGACATTCTCGGGCAACATTTTCATATTCCACCTAGAAAAGAAAGCATGGAGCACAATCTTAAGAGAGAGAAGGAAATCACCTACCTTCAGTAAAGAGTAAAAATAATTTCCTCATGAAGTTTCTAATTAATTACACTTTGTAATTTCTGAGACTAAATGTATTATTGTCATGAAGGTGTAGCTTAGCAACATTCAGGAGAAAGCACTTGACAATACATGGAGTAAAAGGAAAATCACTGAATTTACAAGGGAAGGCAGGGTGAGGATACTAATTCTTGTTGGAGATGGATAAGCAAGTAAAATAGACTCAATCATTCCATTAGAAAGAAAGACCAATAAAAGCGCATTAATCATATACACAGAGTTTTCAATATCCGTAAAAAGAAGATATACATACATTTCATGAACCATTACTGAAAGTCAATTTGTAACTCCTTTTAAAATGAAAAGGTGGATGCTGGGCAGGGTGGCTAATGCCTGTAATCCCAGCAGTTTGGGAGGCTGAGGCGGGCAGATCACTTGTGGCCAGGAGTTCGAGAGCAGCCTGGGAAACATGGTGAAACCCCATCTCTACTAAAAATACAAAAATTAGCGGGGTGTGGTGGCGCATGCCTGTAGTCCCAGCTACTCGGGAGGCTGAGGCAGGAGAATTGCTTGAACCTGCTGGGAGGCAGAGGGTGCAGTGAGCCAAAAGGCTGAGATTGCGCCACAGCACTCCAGCCTGGGCAACAAGAGCAAGACTCTGTCTCAAAAAAAAAAAAAAAAAAAAAAAAGAGTAGATCAATAAAAAGTCCAATTACATAAATGTATGTTAGATAGATATGCTGTGTATGTATATATTTGTTCAAATTTGAAAATTTTTCTATTAACAATGACTGGTTTTTTTTGTTTTTTTTTTTGAGACAGAGTCTTGCTCTGTCACCCAGGCTGGAGTGCAGTGGCATGATCTCAGCTCAATGCAACCTCCACCTCCTGGGTTCAAGTGATTCTCCTGCCTCAGCCTCTTGATTAGCTGGGACTACAGGTGCACACCCACCACACCCAGCTAATTTTTGTATTTTTAGTTGAGATGGGGTTTCACCATGTGGGCCAGGCTATTCTTGAACTCCTGACCTCAGGTGATCCGACTGCCTTGGCCTCCCAAAGTTCTGGGATTACAGGCGTGAGCTAACGAGCTTGGCCAACAATGACTTTTTAAGATATAAAACAGTCTGGCATATCTGTAATCCCAGCATTTTTGGAGGGTGAGGCAGGAGCATTGCTTGAGCTTAGGAGTTTGTAGTAAGCTTTGATCATGCCACTGTACTGCTGCCTGGGCAACAAAGCAAGACCCCACCTCAAATTAATAAATAAATAAAAAGTTCATACCAATACATACCTGATTTTGGTAAGCTACTGGAGCATACTGCTTATAAATTGGAGCTAATCGTGTAGCCAAACTCTGTAAGTTATCTTCAAGGTTTTTTTCCTATAGGAAAACAGAATCCATTAGGTATTTTATAATCGCACCTTCATGTGTTTAAGGTACAACTGAATCATAAATCATGGCTGATGGTGGTTAATGCACAATTCATACTTATCCTGATAAAATAGCTACCACAGAAAATTACACTGCTTCTTTTCTCCATCTAAACTATTAGACATTGTTATGCTTTAATGAAGTCTTTTGAAATGAAAATTCTAAGTTAATTAGAAATTTAAATAGTGTTAGAGATAAATTACAATACTGTTCATGTTGTGAAAAATGAGAGCTATGTTTTATATTTATTCAATAGTATTGCACACTTGGAATAAATGCAAACAACGTTCTTGCTGGCAAGGGGAAATGGCAAGTAACTTGGTTACAATGTAACAGGTTCCTATAACGGAGAAGAGAGAGTACATACATAAAACACCTACTCTGTGTGAGATCCTGTTTCAAATGGAATCCATATGTCCTTATGAATTAAACACATGTCCTTATGGCCCATGAAACAGGAATATTACGCATGATCTCTACGAAAGAGCAAGGTCAGGATAACTGAGAGGTTTAGTAAATGCCTGCAGATCAAAGGAAGTAAGTGGGCAAGTGGTTGTCTATAGTTCTCTTTTCTACACCATAATAACTACAAATTGAAGAAGACTTTGAAGGACTATGAGGACCATTAACACTCAAGAAATCTGGATTGCTACTGATAGAGACATCAGATTTTTTCAAAGGAAAACTATCACATGAGTCTCTATTAGCATGGTGGCTAACGCCTGTAATCCCAACATTTTGGGAGGCCGAGGCGGGCAGATCACTTGAGCTCACAAATTTGAGACCAGTCTGGGGAACTTGGTGAAACTCCACACCTCTCCAAGAAATAAAAAAAATTAGCTGGCCGTGACGGAGTATACTTGCAGTCCCAGCTACTTGGGAGGCTGAGATGGGAAGGTTGCTAGAACCTGGGAGGCTGAAGTGGCAGATCAAGAGATGATATCAAGCCACTGCACTCCGGCCTGGGTGACAGAGCCAGATCTTGTCTCAAAAAAGAAAAACACGTATAGAGAACATGGACTAAACAGGGTGAGTGAGGCTTTCGCCTCATATGCTCATGTGAGATTTGGTGGAAGGAGATGCCATTAACACAGAAAGGAGACCATTATATGAATCAATTGACCTTTGGTATGCATCAAATTATTATAAAAGCCAAAGCTACACAATAATTTAGACACAGCAAGTCAATTATTTAGTGGTTTCTGACAAGCCTCCATCTTAGCAACCGTAAGTGTGACTCATAATCATTTTGGTTTCCTATTGATTTATATTGACTTGATTACACAAAAAAAATCCATAGGATCCATTCATAGATTTGTCTGTTAATCAGGCTACTTTTATCTTAGCCGTTGTAGTTTAAAAAACAGGAAAGTCAGCTGGGCACAGTGGCTCATGCCTGTAATCCCAGCACTTTGGGAGGCTGAGGTGGGCAGATCACCTGAGGTCAGGAGTTCGAGACCAGCCTGGCCAACAAGGTGAAACCCAGCCTCTACTAAAAATACAAAAATTAGCCAGGTGTGGTGGCATGCGCCTGTAGTCCCAGATATTTGGGAGTCTGAGGCAGGAGAATCTATTGAATCTGGGAGGTGAAGATTGCAGTGAGCTGAGACCATGGCATTGCACTCCAGCCTGGGAGACAGAGCCAGACTCTGTCTCAAAAAAACAAAACAAAACAGGAAAGTCATGACCCTACTTTAAAAACATGCCCTCGCTAAACCCATACACTAATTATTATGTTTATTTGGGAGAAACTTTTAAATCAACACCCATTAAAACAATTCTATTTATATCTTCAATCACTGGAAGTATCCAGTGGGCTGGGTAACCGTGTTTTACTACAAGTGGAACAATGCAGAGAAATGTTAACACTTGTGTACTGCTATTGATATGAACACTGGAAAAGTCACATGTAAATTCTATACTTTTTGTATGCAGCATCAGGTTTAAATTCTTTAATATTCTCACATCACTTTACTCTATTTTGTAATAATATTTATTCTGTTGTGGACCACACAGAGTCACAAGTCCTACTGAGGAACAGGTCATCTCAAATTACCTCATTTATTGTGTAGAAGCACTGAAATAAAGTAGACAACTAGAAGCAACTCATAGTTTGTACAGTTCACTGTTGGTATTATTTTATTATTTTTCATCTTTTATTTTTTGAGACAGAGTTTCACTCTGTTGCCCAGGCCGGAGTGTGAGTGCAGCGGCACAATCTCGGCTCACTGTATCCTCCACCTCCCAGGTTCAAGCAATTCTCCTGCCTCAGCCTCCTGAGTAGCTGGAATTACAAGCATGAGCCACCACGCCCGGATAATTTTTTCCATTTTTAGTAGAGACAGGATTTCACCATGTTGGCCATGCTGGTCTTGAACTCCTGACCTCAAGTGATCCACCTGCCTCAGCTTTCCAAAGTGCTGGGGTTACAGGTGTGAGCCACTGTGCCCGGCCCTATTAGTATTATTTTACTATTACAGGCTTATTATTCATATTGTAAAATCCTGACCTTCTAATTATTTCATTAGAATGAACATGCATGTCAGATACAGAGGGAATTACTTAGCAGATCTTTACCTATTGGTGGTCAAGATTAACTCCTTCTCCCACTCTTTTTTTGTGTGTGGGGGGGTGCAGTGGTGCGATCTCAGCTCACTGCAACCTCTGCCTCTCAGGTTCAAGCAATTCTCCTGCCTCAGGCACTTGAGTAGCCGGAATTACAGGTGCCCGCCACCATGCCCGGCTAATTTTTCTATTTTTAGTGGAGACGGAGTTTCACCATGTTAGCCAGGCTGGTCTCAAACTCCTGACCTCAAGTGATCCACCTGCCTTGGCCTCCCAAAGTACGGGGATTACAGATGTAAGCCACCACACCAGGCCTCTGTTCACACTCTGTATCTAATCTCTAGGACCATCATATCCTCATCCACAGCTATACTTACCACTTAGACCATTTCTTAAGTTTCAGATTCCTATTATTGACCTGACATTCCCATGTAGATTTCCCTTAGGAATCTCAATACCAATATATCTAAACTGAATTACTGATCTGCCCTCTACAAACCTGGTCCAATTTCCAGTGTGCCTGATGATAAAGATGAACCCCCCACCCCATATAATTTAAGTGACCATTATCCCCTCCATGGATTGTGCTCATAGATGGTTGGCTCATCTTGCTAAATCCACTCTTGGTTACATTTAGTCTATTGTTCAAACAGCATCTAGAGGGATCTCATTCAAGGGCAAGTGTAAGTATGTCACTCTCCTCCTTAAAACTCTTTGATTCTGGCTGGGCGTGGTGGCTCACGCCTGTAATCCCAGGACTTTGGAAGGCCGAGGTGGGTGGCCTCCCTCCTCACTCTGCCTGGGTGACAGAGTGAGAACCCTTCTCAAAAAATAAAATAAAATAAATAAAAATAAAAAATACTGGTCTGCAATTGTGGCTCATGCCTGTAATCCCAGCAGTTTGGGAGGCCAAGGCAGGCGAATCACCTGAAGTGGGGAGTTCAAGACCAGCCTGGCCAACATGGAGAAACCCCATCTATACTAAAAATACAAAATTAGCTGGGCGTGGTGGCGCATGCCTGTAATCCCAGCTACTTGGGAGGCTGAGGCAGGAGTTGCAGTGAGCCGAGATCACACCATTGCACTCCAGCCTGGGCAAGACCGAAACTCCGTCTCAATTAAAAAAATTGCCAGGCAGGGTGGCACATGCCTGTAATCCCAGCTTTGGAGTTGAGAAAGGAGAATCCCTTGAGCCCAGGAGTCCAGCCAGAGCAACATAGTGAGGCCCCGTATCAAAAAATAAAATAACATTATTTCTGAACATAAGTTCCATCCAGGTCAAGACACTTTTGTAAGTGACAATATTGGACATTTAATCCATTTCTAAAGCATGGAGCACTTTGGGAATTTAACCATGTCAATATAGTTTTGTTGTTGTTGTTGTTTCTTTACATTATTAAGTGAAGAAAAATAGGTGCCCTTTACGGATTTTTTTAAGATTAGGAAACAAAAAGAAATCAGAAGGAGTTAAATCAGGACTATAGGGTGGATGCCTAATGAGTTCCCATTGATACACTTTGCAAAACTGCCCCCGTTTGATGAGAGGAATGAGCAGGAGCATTCTTGCGGTGGAGAAGGACTCTCTGGTGGAGCCTTCCTGGGCTATTTTCTGCTAAAGCTTTCTCCAACTTTCTCAAAACACTTTCATAATAAGCAGATGTTATTTTTGTTTGGCCCTCCAAAAAGTGAGCAAGGAAAATGCCTTAAGCATCCCAAAAAAACTGTTGCCATGAACTTTGCTCTTTACTGGTCCACTTTGGTTTTGACTGGACTTCCTATACCTCTTGCTGGCGTTTGCTTTGATTATGCTTTGTCTTCAGGATTATGCTGGTAAAGCCATGCTCCATCTCCTGTTGTAATTTTAAGAATGCCTCAGGATCTTGATCCCACTTGTTTAAAATTTCTATTCTTTTCTGCAGCTGAGCTGGGAACAACAGTTTTGGAACCCATCAAGTAGGAAGTTTGCACAACTATAATGTTTCAGTAAGAATTGTGTAGGCTGAACCAGTTGATATATCTATTCAGTTAGGGAACAAACAAGATTAATGTTTCCTCAAAAATTGATGTGGGCCAGGCACAGTGGCTCACATCTATAATCCCAGCACTTTGGGAGGCGGAGGAGGGCAGATCATCTGAGGTCAGGAGTTCGAGACCAGCCTGGCCAATATGATGAAATCCCATCTCTACGAAAAAAAAATACAAATGGCCAGGTCAGGCACGGTGGCTTACGCCTGTAATCCTAGCACTTTGGGAGGCTGAGGCAGGCGGATCACAAGGTCAAGAGATTGAGATCATCCTAGTGAAACCCCATCTCTACTAAAAATACAGAAAATTAGCCGGCTGTGGTGGTGGGCGCTTGTAGTCCCAGCCACTTGGGAGGCTGAGGCAGGAGAATGGCGTGAACCTGGGAGGCGGAGTTTGCAGTGAGATGAGATCGCGCCACTGCACTCCAGCCTGGGTGACAGAGCAAGACTCCGTCTCAGAAGAAAAAAAAAAAAAAAAAAAAAAAAAAAATATATATATATATATATATATATATATATATACACATACATACATATATATGTGTATATATATACATATATATCTTGTGTATACACACACACACACACACACACACACACAAAAGGCCAGGTGCTGTGGCTCACACCTATAATCCCAGCACTTTGGGAGGCTGAGGTGGGTGGATCACAGGGTCAGGAGTACAAGACCAGCCTGGCCAAGATGGTGAAACCCCGTCTCTACTAAAAATACCAAAAATTAGCCAGGCATGGTGGCGGGAGCCTGTAATCCCAACTACTCAGGAGGCTGGGATAGGTGAATCACTTGAACCCGGGAGGTGGAGGTTGCAGTGAGCCGAGATCAAGCCATTGCACGTCAGCCTAGGCAATAAGAGCGAAACTCCATCTCAAGACAACAACAACAAAATAGCTTTATAAAAGAGCCTAGGTATTAATTGGGCACCTGGCAAGGAGTAGGGACTGTCATTGATCTTGGGCCAAATATTTTTCCTTGAACAGCCAGAGAGGGCCAATTTTATCTTAATTTCTAAAAATCTGCCTGGCCACAGTGTCTCATGCCTGTAATCCCAGCACTTTGAAAGGCTGAGTTAGGCAGATCACCTGAGGTCAGGTCCAGTGAGTGAGCTGAGATCACATCACTGCACTCCAGCCTGGATGACAGAGCGAGACCCAGACTCAAAAAAAAAAAAAAAAAAATGACGTGGATAGTTTGACGCTTTGGCCTTCATCTTCAAAATCGTCCCATCCGTTCTTAAAATGAGCTATCCATTTGTAAACTGCAGATTTCTTTGGGGCAGTGCCCATAAGCTTTTTATAAGGCATCAACGATTTTATCATTCTTCCACCCAAGCTTCACCAGAAATTTGATGTTTGTTCTTGCTTCAATTTTAGCACAATTCATGTTGCTCTGATAGAGGCAGTTTATAAACTGACATCTTATCCTTCTTAGTGCATCAAACTAGACCCCATTCAGGCATGTTACAAGTAAGTATGAGTTTATTTTGGTGAAAATTATTATGAAATCCATACATAGTTTATTCATAATATGCATTTTCCTTGAATGTTTTGAAGATCCTTTATGTTTATCAACTAACAGACACTTTTTTCCCCCACAAATATGACTTTTTATTTGCCACTACTATAAGTCTGAACTTTAAACAGATTCTTGGACTAGTGGTTCATATCCATCAGCTCGTTCTACTTTAGCACCTGTTTTGTCCTCAGTGGCTTTTCCAGAACTGCTACCTTCACCATAAAGCTCCATGAGTTTCCCCAATTCAAAGCTAGGCTTCTTCAGCATTTTAACTTATCTAACAAAGACATCATGGAGAGGATAGATTGGCAAGAATTTTTTCTATGTCTTTTCCAATCCTGTCTGGAATCAATTTATTGACCACTTCTTTCAAGTAATTTGTCTGCACCTCTCGGGTCATGATTTCCATCAACTTGTTCCAGATTTGGCCGAAACATTGGTGCTAAGCATAAGAGGTCTTCCGTATCTGATTGTTGCATTTTTTAGTAAAACCAACACAGAACACATGAAGCAAGTAAGCACCGGTAGTCTTGATATTGACATGACCTTCAACCATTGTCTGCCATTTTTTGACCATGAAACATATTTTGTCACAGGTAAGATCCACGCCATGGAAGCTCATCAGGCAATCATTCCCCTGAACATCTTCAGTAATCAGCTGAATTTTCTAAATGCAACTTTATCATTCTGCATATCAGCAAGACTCACTTCAAATACACGACCCTTGAGGCCATCAGATTCAATTATGGTTCCTTGGGTTCTGGTGACTAGTGTCTTCCCAATATTTCTTATATTGAACATGGCAGATGCTTTCACGTAATACAAATCTTTCTTAGAAAATGGATCAAGCACTTTCTTCTTGGCTCCCTTTGTGCTGCCTTATTCTTGCCAACCACTACAGTGCTGCTCAGAGAGCCAAAAAGGGACAGATACTTTTATCATATAATATTTAGAAAGAAAACCTAGCTGGTTGGTTCAAGCCAACCTCCCACCTCAGCCTCCTTAGTAGCTGGGACTACAGATCTCACCTGAGATCCGGAGTTCGAGATTAGCCTGGCCAACATGGTGAAACCTCATCTCTACTAAAAATACTAAATTAGCTGGGCATGATGGTGGTGCATGCCTGTAATCTCAGCTATTTGGGAGGCTAAGGCAGGAGAACTGCTTGAACCTAGGAAGTGGAGGTTGCAGTGAGCCAAGATCACACCTTTGTACTCCAGCCTGGGCAACAAGAGCGAAACTCTGTCTCAAAAAAAAAAAAAAAAAAGAAAAAGAAAAAGAAAAAAAAAAAAGAAAAAGAAAGAAATCTGATAAAAAAATGATGTATCATAGACTCTTAGAATAACTACATTGATATTAACTTTTTAAATATTTTGATGTTACTGCTGTTACATGTAAGAAAGGTAAGTATTGTTTTCAGATAGGTCTAATTATTTTCTTATGTCTATGTATGTGTATAGTGGCTTGTAATATAAAATGTTTTTTACTCTTGGTCACTGCTCAAAGATTAAAAGATATCAATCTTATAGTTAATCAATATATAAATCCTCACTACACAAACAAAGCATAACACATTAGAATACTTAGTTCCTATTGGTGCCCCACCCCCTCCCACTGCCTACCCACCCACGAGCTGATAAAGGTGTGGAGTTATACTTATAGGTTATTTTAATTTAATATAATATATAAGTATTGAACTTATTTAACTTAACACCAAGTTCGACTAATTTCTTTGCTCACCATGGCCTCGTGTCCCGGACTGATTCGTTCCGGTTTCATATATCTTCTTTCTGGATTACGTCCTTTAGTAATTCTTTCATAGTAGGTCTGTGGGTAGTAAACTTTCTGAGTCTTTGAAATTTTGGCAAATGGGTTTTTCCTATTTTGGCTGAGTATAAAATTCTAGGTTCTTTTAATGATGATTTTGCTGGGGTGGGGTAGTAGAGCAGGAGGAGGAAGCCAGGGACAATTGGAATTTGGGGAGATAGCTAAAGTCTTTACCTAATTTATTTAGAGTCTTAATTAATTTATTTACTTATATAATAGAAATATAATTTTACTATTTGATTACTACTTTTCAATATTTAGTTTTTATAGTGTTTCAAAAAATGTTAAAGGAATGCACTTACATATTCAATGTGTAATTCAAAAATAAATTATTTGAATAAAGAAGGACACTTACATGTAAGGGAGAGCTTGGATCAATTCTAAATCTTCTGGGGCTTGGGCTTCTACCAAACTTACAGCCATTAAAGTACATACTCCATGAACAGCCAAAAGAGAATGAAGCTCCACAAGTCTCTGGATCAATTCCTTGACATGTACAGGTACGACTGTAAGATTGTAATTCAAGAGAGTGAATTGATGAAGCATTACAATACCTCAGAGAGAACATTTCAGGTTTCTATAGCTTTAGAAGGATGGATGCCTAAAGAACCGGTTATAACACTTATCTATTATATTACTTATTTAAAATAGTTTAATGTTAACAATAAAAAGCTAACTTTTGTTTTTTCAAGAAATCTGACTAGGGGACCAGGGTTAACTATACTTTATTATAACCAAATTTTTAGCAGAAATATTTGGTCATGATTGCAAATCCAAATAAGTGGGAATAAACTATACAGATCTAAAATACTCACAGTATTGTTTGATTTGGAGATGTCTGAGATAGGGAAATAAAGAACCTGGGTTTTTCTTTTTTTTTTTTTTGGTGTTTTTTTTTTTTTTTTTTTTTTTTGAGATGGGGTCTAGCCCTGTCACCAAGGGTGGATTGCCGTGGCACAATCTCGGCTCACTGCAACCTCTGCCTCCCAAGTTCAATCGATTCTGCTGCTTCAGCCTCCTGAGTAGCCGAGATTACAGGTGTGCGCCACCACGCCCAGCTAATTTTTTTATTTTTAGTAGAGACGGGTTTCATCAGGTTGGCCAGGCTGGTCTCAAACTCCTGACTTCAAGTTATCTACCCTCCCAAAGTTCTGGGATTACGGGTGTGAGGCACTGAGCCTGGACAGAACCTGGTTTTTAAATCTGGGTTTTAAATCCTGGATTTGTTCCATATCACAAATGAAAATTTAGAACATTTTATTACTGCTTTGGAATTCAGCTGCTTTATATCTAAAATGAGACGGATATAATTTTCTAAGGATTGAAAAACAATATATATTTTATATAAAAACAGTTTCTTGGCCAGGTGTGGTGGCTCACTACTGTAATCCCAGCCCTTGGGAGGCCAAGGTGGGCGGATCATGAGGTCAGGAGTTCAAGACCACCCTGACCAACATGGGGAAACCCCATCTCTACTAAAAGTACAAAAAATAGCCTGGCACAGTGGCAGGAGAATTGCTTGAACCCAGGAGGCGGAGGTTGCAGTGAGCTGAGATCGTGCCATGGCACTCCAGCCTGGGTGACAGAGCAAGACTCCATCTCAAAAAACAAAAACAAAAACAAAAACAAAACAGTTTCTGAATTTTAAAAACTTTAAAAAGTGCATAATAGAAAAAAATGGAGCAGAAAACCGGTTACATTTAATTAAATCTTAAGTGTATAACTTTTAGGGCATTTCTAAAGCCTTAAACTAAACTATATGCTAAGAATGACAACGAAAGTACCATATATTCTTCTTGTAGTTATAAAACTGTATGCTCTTCCAATCCCATTACTGGGTATATACCCAAAGGAGTATAAATCGTTCTACCATAAAGACACATGCATGTGAATGTTCACTGCAGTGCTATTCACAATACCAAAGACACGTAATCAACCTAATTGCCCATCAATGACAGATTAGATAAAGAAAATGTGGTACACATACACCACAGAATAGTATGCAGCCACAGAAAAGAACATAATCGTGTCTTTTGTGGGAACATGAATAAAGCTAAAGGCCACTATCCTTAGCAAACTAACACAGGAACAAAAGATGAAATATTGCATGTTCTCACTTATAAGTAGGAGTTAAGTGATGAGAATTCATGGACCCAAAGAGGGGAACAACAGACACTGGGGCCTACTTGAGGATGGAGGGTGGGAAGACAGAGAGGATCAGAAAAAATAACCATTGGATACTAGCTTAGTAGCTGGCTGGTGAAATAATCTGCACAACAAACCCCTGTGACATGAATTTACCTAAATAAAAAACCTGCAAATGCACTCCTGAACCTAAAATGAAAGTTAAAAAAGGATTGCATGATTTTAAATTCCACCAGAAAGAAAGAACAAAAAAAACAGTAAAAGAATAATTAAGTAAAAAATAAAATTGCATAATGCTTACAACTTAGTATATATTGTACTTATATAATGATTAAAATATAAAACAATAAAGAAACCAATTATTTTGAAAAAGTGAAAATAATATAAAAATTTAGAAAAAAACTATTTTTTATGTTTTCACTGTGAAAGCCTGGAAAATGCCTGATACGTAACTTAGCATTGCTTATAAAAGAAAGACTACGATGAAATTCACTAAATGAGATGCAAATGGAATGAAAATGGTTAAAACATTTTGAATAGAATAAATTAAAGTTGCCAAACAAATAGAAACATAAGAAATTTATTCATATCATTGAAAAAGACATGGAAGGAGAGAAAAATGTTGTTTAACTTACTATGTACTATTATTTTAAAAATGAAACACAGAGGAAATGTGATAAGTTGTGAGATCTAGAAGAGCATCCTCAGATTATTTTAAATAGTCAACAACACCAATAGTGGGACAAATTGCACTGAGTGTAATAGTCCAGGTTATATTTCATCTTTTTAATTATTTTTTCTTTTGTTTCAGCCATCTTTGGCTATAGGTTGTATTTCATAGCCTGACTTAAGTCAGGAAGAAACAGATAAACCAAAATTGATTAACAGTCTATAGAATTAGCCTTTTCGCTTCAAAAATTTCAATGTCATGACAGACAAAAACTGAGAAAACAAAAAGGATTAAGGGAGCAAAAGGACAAAATAACTAAATGCATTCAATCATGGACAGGGGAAAATTATTGGGAAATGGATGATATTTGAATATGAACTAAGATGAGATCACAGTATTTTATCAAATTTAAATTTCCTGAATTTGATCATTATATGGGGATATACAAGAGAACAATCCTCATTTTTAGGATAAATACATTCAAGTATTATTTAGGGAAAAAGACAAAGTCTACATCTAGCTCTCAAATGATCAAGAAAGAAATAAGTCTACAACAGTAACGTGTTTGTATGTGTACGTAAACAAATGTAACATAGTGTTAACAATTGTGGAATCTAAGTAAGGGTATATAAGAGTTTACCAGGCCGGGCACGGTGGCTCACGTCTGTAATCCCAGCACTTTGGGAGGCTGAGGCGGGTTTGAGACCAGCCTGGCCAACATAGTGAAACCTCGTCTCTACTAAAAATACAACAACAACAACAACAAAAATTAGCTGGACGTGGTGGCGGGCGCCTGTAATCCCAGGTACTTGGGAGGCTGAGGCAGGAAAACTGCTTGAACCCAGGAGGCGGAGGTTGCAGTGAGCCAAGATTGCACCACTGCACTCCAGCCTGGGCGACAGTGCGAGACTCTGTCTTAAAAGAGTTCACTGGGCTGGACGTGGTGGCTCACGCCTGTAATCCCAGCACTTTGGGAGGCCGAGGTGGGCGAATCACGAGGTCAGGAGATCAAGACCATCCTGGCTAACATGGTGAAACCCCGTCTCTACTAAAAATACAAAAAAAAACCCCCCCAAAAAATACAAAAAAATACAAAAAAAAAAAAAAAAAAGCTGGGCATGGTGGCAGGCGCCTGTAGTCCCAGCTACTTGGGAGGCTGAGACAGGAGAATGGCGTGAACCTGGGATGCAGAGTTTGCAGTGAGCTGAGGTCACGCCACCGCAACTCAACCTGGGCGACAGAGTGAGACTCTGTCTCAAAAAGAAAAAAGGAAAAAAAAGACTCCGCTGAAGTATTCTTACATCTTTCTGTATTTGTGAACTGTTTTTTTTTTGTGGGGGGTGGTGAGGGGAAGACTTGATCATGCTCTGTCAAGTGCACTGGCAAAATCAGAGCTCACTGTAACGGCAAACTCCTGGCCTCAAGCCATCCTCCCTCCTCAGCTTTCAAAGTAGCCAGGAACACAGGCACACACCACTATGCCTGGTTTTAAAAATTTTGTGTAGGGATAGGTTCTCAAACTCTTGGTTTCAAGAAATCCTCCTGCTTTGATCAGGCATGAGCCAGTACATCAGGCCCATGAAGTTCTCTCTCTCTCTCTCTCTCTCTCCTTTTGCCATGTTGCTCAGGTTGGAGTTCAGTGGCATCATCATAGTTCACTGCAGCCTCAAATTCCTGGGCAACAGCAATCTTTCCACCTCAGCCTCCTAATTACCTAAGGACTACAGGCATATGCCATCATTCCCAAACAGTTTTTTTAAAAAAATATTTTTGTAGAGATGGAGTCTTACTATGTTGCCTGGTCTGGCTTTTGAACTCTTGGCCTTAAGTGGTCCTCCCTTGTCGGCCTCCCAAAGCGCATGCCTGTAGTCCCAGCTACTCAGGAGGCTGAGGCAGGAGAATCGCTTGAACCCGGGAGGCAGACATTGCAGTGAGCCAAGATTGCGCCACCGCACTCCAGCCTGGTGACAGAGCGAGACTCCGTCTCAAAAAAACAAAACAACAAGAACAACAACAAAACTTATCTCCTCTTACAACTATTCACCAGTGATTCATTAAATGTATGAGAGATTTAAATTTCAAAAATTTATATTTTAAACAAGTATAGTCATTTCTCACTTGATGTCAACAGGCTGTTAGAAACTGATTATAAGTGAAACCACCTAGAGCAGTTCCCCGAATATCGCTCAATATTGCTACAGCGTTGATGAGAAAAATATTGGTTTCATTATATGTTGCTTTGCTTAAAGTCATAGAAAAACATGCCTAAATACCACTCAACATCCAGATCCAAATAAGGAAAAAGATGGGTATGTTTGATTGCATCAAAAACAAAACCTTTTGTGGGAGATAACATAGCCAAAGGAAAAAGACAAACTGAGAAAAATATTTGCAAATTATATCACAGAATAAGAGTTAATAGCACCATCAGAGAGAAAATAGATAAATGGAGGAATTCTCTGCAAAAATGGGCTAGGTTATTTAACAGGTGGTTAAAACAAACAAACAAAAAAAGCCAAATGGTTTTTAGTCATGTGAAAAAAATACTCTCATTCATAAGAGAAATTCAGGTCAAAATTACACTGATGTCATTTCTCTTAATAGGCAAAAACTCACATTTGCCAACATAATCATTGGTAAGACTACAGAAAAACAGATATTCTCTTACATTGAATAGAGGAAATGCAAAATGATATGACACTCCTGTGGAAGACCATTCTTTTAAGTCAAAATCCCTTTCCTCCAGACTCTAGAAGTGAGTTGGGTCAGCAATATTCTTTCATTGCTTCCCTTTTTGGGAAGCAATGAAATAATATTCTTTTCTTTTTTGTTTTTTTTTTTTGAGATGGAGTCTCGCTCTGTCACCCAGGCTGGAGTGCAGTGGCACAATCTCAGCGCACTGCAAGCTCCGCCTCCCGGATTCACACCATTCTCCTGCCTCAGCCTCCTGAGTAGCTGGGACTGTAGGCGCCCGCCACCACGCCCGGCTAATTTTTTGTATTTATAGTGGAGACATATTAGCCAGGATAGTCTTGATCTTCTGACCTCATGATCCTCCTGCCTCGGCCTCCCAAAGTGCTGGGATTACAGGCATGAGCCACTGCACCTGGTCACAGTGAAGTAATATTCCAAAGGAGAATGATTTAAAGTAACCTTAACTCACTATAAAATAGAGACTCTCTCTTTACAGAAATGTTCATTCTTTTTAATTCCACAATACTCAAATCCTATTCTCCCATATAATATACATAGTTGGTAGCTAATTAACAATTTTACCAATATGTAATAGAGATCTGAATGGTAAGGCAGTATAAAACAGATTTAATTACTTTTCATTGAGGGTGCATCTTCTGTCGGTAGGGTGCCCATTGTATGACTTTAGATTCTCTGTGAGCTCTGTGTATAGCCGGTCGGCCATTGGAAGAGGGATGCCATCCCACACCATGATGAGCACCACCATCACAGCAGTTGGACAGTGGTGGCCTGTACGCTGCCGGACCAAACAAAGAACTTTTTCTTCATCACTGCTTCTTCTTAAAACCTGAAAAAACAGAATACATTCATCTATGGAAGACAAGTATGCCAAATTTGAATGCAATGGATATTCCTTTTGATGTTCTCCATGATTATATTTTAGTTTATTTACTTAATTTATAAAATCTGTTCTACAGACGGGGTCTAACTATGTTACCAAGGCTGGTCTCAAACTCCTAGCTTCAAGCAATCCTCCTTCCTTGGCCTCCCAAAGATCTGGGATTACAGACATGTGCCTCCATGCCCGGCCATATTTTAGTTTTTTTAAAGTTACTACTTCTCAAGGGATAAAACCCTGTAGGACTTTCCACTGCCTCAACAGTTCCCTCCATGAGACTCATCACAAGAGTACCTGAACCTATATGACTAACAAACAACAGGCAGAACAAAAATCTGTGACACGTGGTTATTATTTGTAGAAGTAGTACAAGGCAGTCTGTGTTTTATTTCACTGCTGTTATAGTTTGCACAACAGACAAGAGAGGGCCCGGTAGAAAACTGCACTGAAATTCCACAAATGTCACAAGGGAACAAATGTAGACGATGGAAAAAAACCATCTAATGTAGTTAGATGGAAATAACCAAGAACTCTCAACATTAAAAATAAACTTGACAACGAATTTTGGCCATCTGAGGAATGTTATGGCTTTTCCTTTGGGTGACTCATTTTACTATCGAGAATTAATATACACAAAGGAATGCCTCTGTGGTTTCTATGATTTTTACATGTTATTGGAAGGATGCATTATATGCATTTTATTCATAAGACTAATGTGGTCTACTTGACTTGGTGAATGCAAAATAGAAAAATTAATTGTAAATATTTATTTGTTTATTTAATACTGCATCCAATTATTGGGATGTTAAAAAGGCTTCGGCAGTATTTAAAATTTGCTCAGTGGTCTGAGTGTTAACTACAAAAAAAAAAAATTCTATACAAATGTTGTCACCACATAAAACCATCCAACCATTTAAAACTGCCTCCATGTATCAAAAATTTAGAAAGTGCAGAGATTGACCACATTAATCAGTACATAACCAGGACATGATGAAAACGCCCATCCATGTGACCAGAATGGAGCAACCAATAGCATAATTTTTTGTTGCTATAATATTACAAAACTTGAGATGAAACTTCTTAAGAAGTTAGTTACCCAATATCACTTTCTTCTGTCACTCCAGATGGTTAACAATCATTGCTACCAAGGCATCCCTTGAGTAGAGTTGGCTTTAGGACCTTCCCCCTAGACACAATTATTTATATTAAAATTTTTTCTATATTTATACGTCCTCTTACAGCCAAATAATAACACAGTGCTTGCAAATAATCTCAAATGCAAAATTATATATATATATAGTACCAAAATTATTTTGGTTAATATTCAAGTTGTCAAAATTAACAATGAATTTATATTAATAAAGTTTTTGTATAGGAAATGCTAAAAAGCTTTTTACTGATGATATTTGTGCCTTTTCTGGATATTCCAAGTTTCCATCAGTGTACAATAGAAAATTAAGCACAATGGTTAGGAGTCTTTAAATTCAAATCTGAGCTCCATAAACTGCTTAAATATTAAATCCGTAAGGCTTCTGGAAACTAAAACTATTATTAAAATAAACAAAGGACTAACTATATGCAGAGGAGTATAAATTCATGGAATAGACATTATTATAATTACGTCAATTTTCCCAAAATTGATCTCTAGATTCAATGCAATCCCAATCAAAACCCTATCAGAGGTTCGTGTGTATGTGTGTGTGTGTGTGTGTATGTGTAAACTGACCAATTGTTCCAAAGTTTATGAAAGAAAATGAATCTTGACCCCTACCTCACATTGATCAACTTGAATTATAATGTGTATCTAAACACAAAAAATAAAGCAATGAAGAATTTTAGAAGAAAACATCTTCATGACCTAGGAGTGGGCAAAGCATTTTAAAATGGCTTACACCAAATCTGCTAATTGAAAAGATAAAAAAGGCTGGGTGCCGCAGCTCACACTTGTAATGCCAGGATTTCGGAACGTAGAGGTGAGAGGATTGCTTGAGGCCAAGAGTTCGAGGCCAGCCTGAGCAACATACTGAGACTCAGTCTCCACAAAAAATAAAATAAACCCGGCATAGTGGCATGTACCTGTAGTCCCAGTTGCTCAGAAGGCTGAGGGGGGAGGATCCCTTGAACCTGGGAAGCCGAGGTTGCAGTGAGCACAGCTTGCACCACTGCACTCCAGCATGGGCGACAGAAACTCCATCCCCGCCAAAAAATAAAATAAAAAAATAAAGAAGGCAAGCAGGAGGATCACTTGAGATGGGAGAGTTCAAGGCTATCATCATGAACTTCAGCCTGGGCAACAGAGTAAAAAAAAAAAAAAAAAAAAAAATGCAGGCTGGGCGCACCTCCCAGCACTTTGGGAGGTGGTTAGATCACTTGAGGTCGGGAATTTGAGACCAGCTTGGGCAACATGGTGAGACCTTGTCTCTTCAATAAAACACAAAAATGAGCCGGGTGTGGACACCTGCCTGCAGTCCCAGCTACTTGGGAGGCTTAGGCGGGAGCCGAGGTTGCAGTAAGCCCAGATCTCGCCACTGCACTCCAGCATGGGAGACAGAAACTCTGTCTCAAAAAAATTAAAAAAAATAAAAAAATAAAGAAGGCAAGCAAAAGGGCAGGAGAAATATTTACATGACATATATTTGACATGATATATATATACACATTATATATATTTACATTACATATATTTGGCATAATATATACGACACAACATATACAGAGAATTGCCCCCATAGAAAATTGGCAGAAAAAATTGAATAGGCACTTCACAATAGAGAATATGAAAATAGATGATGAGCATATGAATATATGTCCGACAATATTTGTCACCTAGCAAAGTAAAACACAGTAAAAAGGAGCTACCCAGGCCGGCACCGTGGCTCATGCCTGTTATCCTAGCACTTTGGGAGGTGGAGGTTGCAGCGAGCCAAGACTGCAACACTGCACTACAGCCTGCGCGATGGGAGCAAGACTCCATCTCAAAAAAAAAAGGAGGTACCTACGTTGGTGGAGAGAAGAGAGTGTTGTGATAAAGATACTGTTAAATTTCCAAGAGGCAACTGCAGCTAAGATTATTCTTGAATATTCGAGGCTTGGACAGAAGCAGCTCAAAGCCCCATAGAGGTTTTTGCTACAGCAGGCAAATTTGGCTTCTAGTCATGTCACATGCATATAGGAAACAGAAAAACCAAGTATTTAAACAGCTTTTTAATTACCCTCCTTCCAAAAACCAGGAGAACACTAAAGGTATACACATTCTTGTTCTGTGTGTACAAAAATATACTATCTATTCCTAATGTCAATGAATACTATAGTGACATTTAATTATTTTTCTACTATATTCACTAACTTCTTGCTGGTATACAGACTTCATAATTGTTCTACAGTCCTATTTGAAACAGACAATATGATATATGACTGGTATTAAAATAATAGGACACAATTATTATAGCTATAATAGTCTTTCTAGAATATTTTTCAAGAGAATCACAGAAAAATCTACTTGATTTTTAAAGAAAGTAAAACAATTGGATCCTTATATACTGAGGATGCAATAGCTTTACTATATAGTGGGAATAACCAGATAGAAGTTTGGTTTAAAGTCTGATATCTCAGTAAGGTTGTTAAAAAACAGAAAGATGCAAAAAACCTAAGAATAAAACTATAAAAAATGCAGAGAAGGTTATAAAAGAAAGTTCAGTTGGAAGAACATAATAGTGTTCCTAAATGAGAAAGCCAACCCTAAATGTCTAGCCACAAATCTCTCCCCCAGTCTGTTCAAATTTAGCGTGCTTCTAAGGTTCATATGGAAGGGTAAATGAGCATCATGTCAGGAAAATTTGTTTTTAAAGAATTAGAGGGTACAAGTGCAGTTTTATTACATGGATATATTGGGCAGTGGTGAAGTCTTGGGCTTTTTGTATACTCACTTCCAAAATAGTGAACATTGTACCCAACAGGTAATTCTCCAACCCTCAAGAGAAACGTTTTTTAAACAAATAAGGGAACTGCCCTTCTAAATTGAAGTTTGTTCTTTTAAAACTGTTCTTTTTTTGTTTTGTTTTCTTTTCCTTTTGGAGACAGTGTCTCACTATGTCACCTTGGCTGGAGTGCAGTGGTTTGATCATGGCTCACTGTATGCAGCCTTTAACATCATTTAAAAGCTCTCCAGGCTCATTCGATCCTTCCGCCTAACCCTCCCAAGTAGCTAGAACTACAGGTGCTTGCCACCGTGCTTGGCTACTTCTTTGTATTTTTGGTAGAGATGAGGTCTGGCTATGTTGCCCAGGTTTGTCTCAAACTCCAGGCCTCAAGCGATCTGTGCATTTCAGCCTCCCAAAGTGCTGGGATTACAGGTGTGAGGGCCCACGCCCAGCCATGATAAAACCAGCCATGGTCTATTATACATACACATATTATATATATGTGGTCTATTATACATATTTACAAAAGTATAATAGAAGATAACCTAAAAAAAGGCTATGAAGAGTGAATTCATGGAAGAAATAAAAATTAATAATACGTAAAATTTATTATTAATAAAAATTAATAATAAGTAAAGACATCCAACTTTGCTAGTTACAATGCAAATTGAATCATGATGTCAACTTTCACCTTAGATGTACAATGACAAAAATTATCACTCTTAGCTTAGTATTTTGTTTCTATTTTTTTGACTATTAACAACAGGCTGGGTACGGTAGCTCATGCCTGTAATCTCAGTAATTTGGGAGGTCAAGGCGGGTGGATCACTTGAGGTCAGGAGTTCGAGACTGGCCTGGCCAACATGGTGAAATCCCGCCTCTACTAAAAATACAAAAATTAGGGCAGGGCACAGTGGTTCAAGCCTGTCCCAGCAATTTGTGAGGCCAGGGCAGGCAGACCACCTGAGTTCAGGAGTTTGAGACCAGCATGGCCAACATGGTGAAACCCTGTCTCTATTAAAAATACAAAAGTTAGACGAGTGTGGTGGTGCAACTTGTAGTTCCAGCTACTGGGGAGGCTGACGCATGAGAATCGCTTGAACCACAGAGGTTGCAGTGAGCTGAAATCGTGCTGCTGCACTCTAGCCTGGGAGGCAACAGTGAAACTCCATCTCACAAAAAAAAAAAAAAAAGAAAAAAAATTTTTTTTAAATTAAAAAACCCACAATACTTGGTTTTTTGTGTGTGTGTGTGTTTTTTTAACAAAGAAAAGAAAAGAAAAAAGTTCTGGCTGGGCATGGTGGCTCATGCCTGTAACCCCAACACATTGAGAGGCCAAGGTAGGAGGATTTCTTGAGCCCAGGAGTTAAAGACCAGCCTGGGCAATGAAATGAGACCCCGTCTCTACAACAAACCCCAGAAAACTAGCTGGCATGGTGGTGAGTGCCTATGGTTTCAGCTCCTTGGGAGGCTGAGGAAGGAGGATTGCTTGAGCCTGGGTCAAGGCTGCAGTGAGTTGCGCCACTGTACTTTTAGCCTGGGTGACAGAGCAAGACCCTGTCTCAAAAAACAGAAAATTTTCACAGCCTAACTCTTAGTTTGAGTATACCCAAACTGCTAAAAATTATAATCTCTAAGCACAGGATAAAATTGTAATGGCTTTTAAAATTTGAAATATATCTATAATGTGTATATATAATTTTTAAATTTAAAAACTAATATTAGAGGCTGGGTGCAGTGGCTCATGCCTGTAATCCTAGCACTTTGGGAGGCCGAGGCGGGCGGATCACGAGGTCAGGAGATCGAGAACATCCTGGCTAACATGGTGAAACCCCGTCTCTACTAAAACTACAAAAAAAAAAAAAAAAAAAAAAAAATTAGCCAGGCGCAGTGGCAGGCGCCTGTAGTCCCAGCTACTCGGGAGGCTGAGGCAGGAGAATGGCGTGAACCCGGGAGGCGGAGCTTGCAGTGAGCCGAGATCGCACCACTGCACTCCAGCCTGGGCGACAGAGCAAGACTCTGTCTCAAAAAAAACAAAAACAAAAACAAAAAACAACTAATATTAGAAGGAGCAAGATTACACAATTAAAAAAAATTTTAAGGTTTAAAACGGCTAGCGCGGTGGCACACGCATGTAATCCCAACACTTTGGGAGGCCGAGGCGGGTGGATCACCTGAAGTCAGGAATTCGAGACCAGCATGGCCAACATGGTGAAACCCCATGTCTACTAAAAATACAAAAAAAATTAGTCGAGCTTGGTGGTGGGCACCTGTAATACCATCTACTTGGGAGGCTGAGGCAGGACAATCCCTAGAACCTGGGAGGCAGAGGTTTCAGTGGGCTGAGATCGCGTCATTGCACTCCAGCCTGGGCGACAAGAGTGAAACTCTGTCTCAAAAAAGTAATAATAGTTTTTTAAAAAGTAAAAAAAAAAAAAAATTGGCCAGGCACACCTGTAATCCCAGCACTTTGGGAGGCCAAGGCAGGCAGATCACCTGAGGTCAGGAGTTTGAGACTAGCCTGGCCAACATGGTGAAACCCCATCCCTACTAAAAAATACAAAAATTAGCTGGGCTTGGCTGGGGGACACCTGTAATCCCAGGTACTTAGCAGGCTGAGACAGGAGAATCGCTTGAAACCAGGAGATGGTGGTCGCAGTAAGCCCAGATTGTGCCATTGCACTCCAGCCTGGGCAACAAGAGTGAAATTCCATCTCAAAAAAAAAAAAAGAAGAAGAAGAAGAAAAGAAAAAAGTAAAAAAAAGTTAAATTAAATTAAAAACCAAACTAAGCGGAAGTATCCAAGCTGTAAATTATAATTTTTTTAAAAGATTATTTTTTTAAAGCAAAAAATAAGTCCCTGTAACACAATCTTATTTGTAAGGTTTCCAAAGGGAATAGGGTGATTCGTCAGTGCACAAATGATCTGGGCAGCATACAAATTCCAGATCAGATTCAGATCTGGGAGCAACATTCATGTCAAGTGTAGCGGGTATCTTTCCAAAGAAGGGTCATTTTGAGTTTCATCAATAATCATGTAAGAGACAAAGTAGAGTAAATTTTTCAAAACAAAATTATAGTGGCCAACTCCTCCAAAATGTCACCAGTTAACATCATTTAAAGCTATCTACATATTACAAGAAAATGAGACTTTTACAATACAATTCCACCTTTGTAAAGGGATTAATGACTGAGTTCACACAACGGGGTTCTGAAGTTTTGGTAATGTCTTGATCTGGCCACTGGTCACATAGGTATGTTCACTTTGTACAATTTCACTGGGCTGTACCTTATGGTATGTATACTTTTCTGTGTGTATATTATACTTGAATTAAAATTTCCTTAAAAAATGAACTCTATAAGCAAGTAAACAAACTAACATAAAAAGAGTACTAATGGTACTTTAGCAGACAATAAGCTTAAGTAAAGAAAAACATGTAAGTCAGTTTAATATTGGCCGGGCGCGGTGGCTCATGCCTGTAATCACAGCACTTTGGGAGGCCAAGGTGGGTGGATCACTTAAGGTCAGGAGTTCGAGACCAGCCTGGGTAACATGGTGAAACCCCACCTCTACTAAAAATACAAAAATTAGCTGAGCATGGTGGCACACGCCTGTAATCCCAGCTACTCGAGAGGCTGAGGCTGGAGAATGGCTTGAACCTGGGAGGCAAAGGGCCAAGATCACACTACTGTACTCCACCCTGGGCAACAGAGCAAGACTTCATCTCCAAAGAAAAAAAAATCACTTGTAGGTATTCATTGCCACATCTGCTCTATTGACTAATACACAATCGCACAGAGGGGAACTCATCATATGATGCCCAATGTGAAGCACTCAGGCATTGGGGCCAATGAGGCCATCCACTGTTTGACTTCTTCTACCTACTTCTGCCATTACCCCAGAAGCTCAAGAGGGGAAGTATACAAAGAGTTATACTCCTGCCTCAGCCTCCTGAGTAGCTGGGATTACAGGCTTATGCCACCACGCCCGGCTAATTTTGTATTTTTAGCAAAGATGGGATTTCACCACGTTGGCCAGCCTGGTCTTGAACTCCTGGTCTCAAGTGATCTGCCTGCATCAGCCTCCCAAAGTGCTGGGTTTACAGGCATGAGCCACCACGCTGGCCAGCTGGGAAATTCTTAAATGTGATTTACTCACGACATCCAGCTAATTTTTAAAATACTATTTTTTTTTGTTTTTTTCTTGAGACAGGGTCTCATGCTATCACCCAGGCTGGAGGGCAGTGGCACAATCTCAGTTCACTGCAGCCTCTGCCTCCTAGGTTCAAGTGATTCTCCTTGAACATCTAAGGTGCATCTAAGAAACTACATTACCCTTTTCTTCAAAATCTACTGAAGAACAAGATAACTTGTTTCTGACAAGATCCAAAGTGACAGCAGAGAAAAAGAGTCAAAAATCTCTGCCAAAGACTATAATTATGTGAGAGTTTTAATGACCACCTGGCAAGGAAACATTTCAAGAGAAGAATAAAACGGTGTTGCGAACATAGGCAAAACAACATAAGAATGGCTAAGAAAGTGGTGCTGGCCAGTTAGAATTTGCTGTTAGACTTTTTGTGTGTGATCATTAAAAAGAGAAGCAATAGATCTCTCTTCCAAGCAAAGAAGACAAGAGGGCTGTCGCGGTGGCTCACGCCTGTAATCCCAGCACTTTGGGAGGTGGAGGAGGGTGGATTACTTGAGGTCAGGAGTTTGAGACCAGCCTGGGCAACATGGTGAAGGCTGAGGCAGGAAAATCACTTGAATCTGGGAGGCAGAGGTTGCAGTGAGCCGAGATTGTGCCACTGCACTCAAGCCTGGGCAACAGAGCAAGATTCAAAAAAAAGAAGACAAGAGAAACACAACTTAAAAAAAAGGTGAGGGGGCAGTTTAGGACAGAACTTTAATACTATTAACAAACCTAAGCATATACATGGAGATTTTAAAAAATGAAATCATGAAACGATGCTTGATATAGATTAATGTTTTATAACAAATACACAAAAAAGGTACACTATCCAAGATGAAAAGTAAATTTGGAGCAATGTAATTCACTGGCTGTATGTGTATATTCGATTTCTTAGTTCAAAATTTTTGACCTTCATTTCCTCCCTCACCCACGTATAATCCACCCAATTGCACTAGTGTCATTCAAAATAACCTCATGATAAAGTTCTACAAACTATGTAGAATACAGACAAATTAATTCTTTTTTAAAATTGTTTTAAAATTTTTCCCACCTTCCTTCATGGACATTTTTTAATTCCAATTTTCATTCAACCTCTACCTAAAGTTTAAGCGTGGGGTGGACAACTCCAGCAGATTCCCAGCTCTAATCCTCAGTTTCTCATGCCTCAGAATATAGCTAATAATGAATACCATAGCCATACTATTTCAAGATACCAATTCAAATTCAAGATACTCAACTTTCTTTTCTCTCTGTAGGCAGGGCTCATTCCGTTACTCAGGCTAGAGTGTAGTGGCCCAATAATGGCTCACTGCAACCTCCTCTTCCTATGCTCAAGCAATCGTCCAGCCTCCAGAGTAGCTGGGACCACAGGTGCACACCACCACAGTTGGCTAATTTAAAAAATTTTTGGCCGGGCGTGGTGGCTTACGCCTGTAATCCCCGCACTTTGGGAGGCTGAGGTGGGCGGATCACGAGGTCGGGAGATCGAGACCATCCTGGCTAACACGGCGAAACCCCGTCTCTACTAAAAATACGAAAAATTAGCCAGTTGTGGTGGCAGGCGCCTGTAGTCCTAGCTACTCGGGAGGCTGAGGCAGGAGAATGGCGTGAACTTGGGAGGTGGAGCTTGCAGTGAGCCGAGATCACGCCACTGCACTCCAGCCTGGGCGACAGAGCGAGGCTCCCTCTCAAAAAAAAAGAAAAAAAATTTTTTTTGTAGAGTCTCACTATGTTGTCCAAGCTGGTCTCCAACTACTGGGCTCCAGTGGTCCTCCCGCCTCAGCCTCCCAAAGTGCTGGGATTACAGATATACAGAAATGAGCCACCGCACCCAAATGGGAAATTTTTTTTTTTTTTTTTGGAGCTAGACTCTGGATGTTGCACAGGCTGGAGTGCCGTGGCACCATCTTGGCTGACGGCAACCTCCGCCTCCTGGGTTCAAGTGATTCTCGTGCCTCAGCCTCCTGAGTAGCTGGGACTATAGGCACGTGCCACCATGTCTGGCTAATTTTTTGTATTTTACTAGAGACGGAGTTTCACCGTATTGTCCAGGATGGTCTCAAATTCCTGAGCTCAGGTGATCCACCCGCCTCGACCTCCCAAAGTGCTGGGATTACAGGCGTGAGCCACCTCACCCAGCCCTAAAATACATTTTCTAAATAGCCATATTTAAGCTCCATATTCATTCACTCAACACAAATTTATTGAGTGCTAATTCTAGGCTCGGCATTGCTCTCTGCAAAAGCAGTAAGTGATATGAATATTTTAAGTAAGATAACCTGGAAAGTTTGGAAAAATAAAGTTTGACTAACATTACGATTTTTCTGACATAAAATCTGTTAAAAAATCTATTTTAGCACTTTGGGAGGCTGAGGTGGGCAGATCATGAGGTTAGGAGATCAAGACCATCCTGGCTAATGCAGTGAAACCACGTCTCTACTAAAAATACAAAAAATTAGCCAGGTGTGGTGGCAGGCGCCTGTAGTCCCAGCTACTCAGGAGGCTGAGGCAGGAGAATGGTGTGAACCCAGGAGGCGGAGCTTGCAGTGAGCCGAGATTGAGCCACTGCACTCCAGCCTGGGCAACAGCCAGAGTCTGTCATTTCATGGAAGACAATTTTTCCACAGAGGTGGGGCCAGGGGCAGAGGTTTTGGGATGATTCGAGTACGTTACATTTATTGTGCACTTTATTTCTATTATTATTACATTGTAATATATAATAAAGTAATTATACAACTCATCATAATAAAGAATCAGTGGGAGCCCTGAGCTTGTTTTCCTAAAACTAGACGGTCCCATCTGGGGGTGAGGTGGGACAGTGACAGATCATCAAGCATCAGATTCTCATAAGGAGAGCACAACCTACATCCCTTGAATGTACAGTTGACAACAGGGTTTGCAGTCCTATGAGAGTCTAATCCCACTGCTGATCTGACAGAAGGCAGAGCTCAGGTGGTAATACTAGCAATGAGGAGTGGCTGTAAATACAGATGAAGCTTCACTTGCTCTCCTGCCACTCACCTTCTGCCATGAAGTCAGGTTCCTATTGGCCCATGGCTCAGGGGTTGGAGTCCCCTGGGTTAGTGCACTCTAGCCCAGGCAACACAGACAGATATCCAAAACAAATAAAATTTCGCTAGGGAAAAATACTAATAGAAAGTTGTTACCGAAATCTTTAAGCTACAGCATTTATATTTGCCTTCTTAAGGAAAACAAAAACAAAAACAAAAAAACTATACACTACAATTCTTTATATCACTGTCATTATTATTATATTAGAAAAGGTTTTAAAGAGAGGAAAAAGAAATCATCCCAATCCCACCAATAAGCCTAGTTACATTTCTCTCTTTTGGACTCACTGTAGGAGAAGCCAGCTGCCACAACATGAGGACATATTCATTCCTTACCACTTAATAGACAAAGGAGTGAACAATTCAGAAATAGCTAACAGATATAGCTCAATAAATTGGTAACAACTATCAGCGCCAGATATTGGGAACCAATTGTGTGATTTATTTCAAATATACAAGGTACTATGGATAGGCCAGACACAAAAGAACAAAACAAAATAAAACTATACTGTTTGAGAAATATATAAGTAGCAGGGAAAGGTGGAAAGCAAGAAAATTATTACCACAAAGCCAGGTTGGGAGATTTATAACTGGGGCTTCTGAGAATCTAGTTTATTTTCTTTGTTTCTTTCTTTAAACAAACAAAAGAGATGTGGGGTCTTGCTATGTTGCTCAGGCTGGAGTGCAGTGGCTGGCTATGGATTCACAGGAGCCACCATAGTACACTGTGACCTTGAACTCCTGGCCTCAACCTCTTGAGGTGATGAAAGAAAGACACTGTAGTTTCCTTCTTGCTCTCTTTTGATTCACTCACTCTGGGGGAAACCAAGCTGCTGTGTTATGAAAACATTTAAGATGAGGAGGAACTGAGGCCTCCAGCCAACAGCCATCAAAGAGCTAAGGCCTCCTGTAAGGGAGCTTGGAAGTGGGTCTTCCAGCTGCACCACTCTCCCCCAGTCAAGTTTTCAGATGATTGCATCCTCATAGGAGCCTATGTCAGAAGCACCACTTGGATTCCTAACCCACAAAAACTGCAGGAGATAATACCTGTTTGTTATTCAAACATGAAGGCCTTCATGTTACTCATGGGCTAAAACCTCAGCTCCTCACTATGGCCTACAAAATCATTCACCTTTTTACCCCCACCTGGTTCTATTAATTATCTCCTTAATTTCGTTTTTCATTTTTGTTTTTTTTGAGACGGAGTCTCACTCTGTCTCCCAGGCTGGAGTGCAGAGGCACGATCTAGGCCCACTGCAACCTCCACCTCGGGGGTTCAAGCAATTCTCCTGCCTCAGCCTCCCGAGTAGCTGGGACTATAGGCTCGCGCCACCACGCCCGGCTAATTTTTTCTATTTTTAGTAGAGACGGGGTTTCACCATGTTAGCCAGGATAGGCTCGATCTCCTGACCTCTGGTGATCTGCCCCACTCGGCCTCCCATAGTGCTGGGATTACAGGCGTGAGCCACTGCGCCTGGCCTATCCCCTTAATTTCAACTGACTCTGCTTAGATTTTTTTTACTGGACTCTTATTTCTAAACCCAAGACCTTTGTTCTTGCTGTTTTCTCTGCTTAGGAATGCTACTTCCTGCTTATCCTCTGCCTACTTAGCTCTTTTTTGTTTTTTGTCACTCCTTTCTCAGCTTAAATGTTCCCTCCCCCGAAAGGCATTCCCTGACAATCCATGCTTTTTTTTTTTTTTTTTTTGGAGACATTTTTGCTCTTGTTGCCCAGGCTGGAGTGCAGTGGCCCGATCTTGGCTCACTACAACCTCTGCCTCCTGGGTTCAAGTGATTCTCCTGCCTCAGCCTCCCAAGTAGCTGGGACTACAGGTGCCCATCACCATGCCCAGCTAATTTATGTATTTTTAGTAGAGACGGGGTTTCACCATGTTGGCCAGGCTGATTTTGAACTCCTGACCTCTGGTGATCTGCCCACCTCGGCCTCCCAAAGTGTTAGGATTACAGGCGTGAGCCACCGTGCTGGGCCGACAACCCACACTTAATGGGAAAACCCTGGAAAGATCCCCATGGGAAGAGAGAAACAAAGTAAGGAGACCATCGTTACTAAAGCAATATAAAATTAGAGTTAGTCTGTTGGACTAACTGTATTAGAGGATACACAAGAGAAATATGTACAAAAACAAGAAACATGTAAATTCTCCCTTAAATTCTACCTTAAAATGGTTCTAAAGGACAAAAGAAGGCATATGTAAATGTAAAGATGCAATATGTAGAATAGGAAGACTGAACATGAAATATATGTAAATTCTCCAAATTCTGTTAACATGATTCCAATAAAATTACCAGTAGGATTTTATTCTTGTAATGAAACGTGGTGTTTATATACTAATATGATAAAATAAACCAGAATAGTCAGACCACTTTTGAAAAATTAAAAGGAATTAGCCTATCAGACATGGAAACATTATAAAATCTAAATAATTAGAGCAATCTCATGCTGATTAAAGACAGTGATTTAACACAATAGGGAATTCTCACATATAAACAAATACACATCAATAATGAAGAGATGTACAATTAAATGAGTGGTGTTGGATAACTGAGTAGCCATCTGGAGAAGTGTACATAGCTACCAATATTCTAAACCAGGATAAATATAAAATACTTCATTATAGAAAAAATAAAATCATTAAAATACTACAAAAGAAAATGAAAGATTTATAACCTACAAGTGGTAAAGATTTTTCTAATTAAGATAAAATACCCTAAAGCTATAAAAGATGAAAAAGCTGATTACAGTCAAAAAAAAAATCTAACTGGTAAAACCACAACAAACTGAGAAAATATATTTGCAACTTTCATCACAAATGGCCAATTTACTTAAAAATCTATTAAAAAATCTGGCCCAGTACAGTAGCTCACGCCTGTAATCCCAGCACTTTAGGGGACTGAGGCGGGAGGATCACTTGAGCTCTCCACTAAAAAAAAAAAAAAAAAAAAAAAAATTAGCCGGGTTTGGTGGCAAGTCTTAAGTACTTGGAGGCTAAGGTGGAAAGATTGCTTGAGCCTGGGAGATCAAGGCTGCAGTGAGGTGTGATTGCACCACTGCAATCCAGCCGGGGCGACAAAGCCTGTCTCAAAAATTAAATAAATAAATGAATAAATAAAATAAAGATCACTCTGGCTATTGTAAATGTATAAATATCAGCTCTGGAATAACAAGCTTCAAAAAAATGTATAAATAGGAAATACTTACCCACTTAGCAATTGGACACCCATGAGAGCTTTTCCCTTCTTTACCGGTGTACACTACTATTTCTATCCTTATTGCGTTTCCTTTTTGACCATACCTGAGTATAAAACACAGTGAAGGGAATGTACTAATTAATTGCAATCTGTACTTGAAGGCTTTGGCTTTGAACATCTTAATGTATATAAGATATAGATGTACAGAAGTTCAAAAATTAGACACTCTTCGTAATTTACTCTTGTTAAACATTTGCTTTTGTGTGGCAGGTATTTTAATTTGTTAACCAGTCCTACTCACTTATCCTCAAAGATCACTCTTTAAAAAATAGGCTGAGTGCCAGACAAGCAATGGGAATGTAGGGTATGCAGTGTCAAGGGTGGTAATTTGACCTATTTCTACCATTATGCGATATATAAAAAGTACTTCTGAGTTTATCAAAGACAACTAGTCTTGCTTTGTGGGTGCTTTTATGTGCCCAACAGCTTGTATGATGGGTGGCTCAGTAGGGACACGAGGACACCCCTCTTTTGTTGGGCCCTAAGAAACATCCAACTCATACTCCTGATCATTTTTCAATCACGGCGTTTGTTCTTAGAGATGATTTATCTCCGTTGAGTCAGATCCACAGTAAGAATGATTTTAACAGGGAAGCGTATTTCCTCACCTATTCTCCATGATTTCCCTGACAGCAGCAACACTTGGTCCTGCCCCAAGGTGTGTATAATATGGGCCTTTGTCTTTTTGTATAACTCGATCTGTGGAAGGAATAAGATTATTAGACCCAAAGCTTTACAGAATTGCATAGGGGACAGGAGAAGCTACTTTTATACTTTTTGTTCCCCCTCAATTCAGAACCATGAATCTTGACAAGGTTTTGGTAAGATTTGATAATTAAAGGCAAGGACAACAGCCCATGAAATTTAACTTTTAATGTTCCTTTCTTCCTGCCCCTAACGAATTCTTTCTTCCTCTGAAAATCAGAGGAGAAAAAAAATATTTTAAGATGTGGGTCATATTTATACTCCTATCTCCTGCTTAAAAAAAAAATCTGTATTAATTGAGGTGTAATACTAAAAGTTATCCAAGAACAATAAATGTTAAAGGTTGCCCTTAGAATCCTATTAAAATTGAGCAATCCCCTTTTTTTTTTGAGACAGAGTCTTGCTCTGTCGCCCAGGCTGGAGTGCAGTGGCGCGATCTCGGCTCACTGCAAGCTCCGCCTCCCGGGTTCACACCATTCTGCCTCAGCCTCCCAAGTAGCTGGGACTATAGGCACCCGCCACCACGCCCGGCTAATTTTTTTTTTGTATTTTTTAGTAGAGACGGGGTTTCACCATGTTAGCCAGGATGGTCTCAATCTCCTGACCTTGTGCCTCCCAAAGTGCTGGGAAAATTGAGCAATTTCATTGCAGACAATTTATTCTACTATACATTTGCACAATTACAAAAGAATGTTCCTTGTTACAATTATTTGTAATATCAAAAAGAGAGCAAAACACTCAACATCTGTCAATAACATGTGGTTTAAATAAATTATGGGATGTTTATATAGTGGTATACAATAAATCTATTGAAACAATAATATTTATAAAACATTTAGACATCCACAATATCATTATATTAAAAAACCAAGTAGAAAGATTGTTTTAAATTTTTGTAAAAATGGAAACAAAATTAAAATCAATAATGTTCTTTTGTATAGAATGGGAGTATAGGAAGATGTTTGCGTCGTATTTCTGCACCACTTGAATTTTTGTGAGCATGAATTTTATGTTTCTTAAAAAATGCTATTTTTAACTTGGCCCCTTAGACTCATGTGTAGTAAGAATTACTGGGGAATTTCTGCGTTTCATGAATTTCTAGCCATGGTATACCTACACCAAAAAGTCATTTTCACTGGATGTCAAATACTAGGGGAATTACTTCTGTGGCTTCCTTTTTCACCTTTATTTTTTATTATTATTTTTTTGAGATGGCGTTTCACTCTTGTTGCCCAGGCTGGAGCACAGTGATGAGATCTTGGCTCACTGCAATCTTCGCCTCCTGGGTTCAAGCGATTCTCCTGTCTCAGCCTCCCAAGTAGCTGGGATTACAGGCATGCACCACCATGCCTGGCTAATTTTGTACTTTTAGCTTCACCATGTTGGCCAGGCTGGTCTCGAACTCCTGACCTCAGGTGACCCACCCGCCTCCCCCTCCCAAAGTGCTGGGATTACAGGTGTGAGTCACGGCACCCAGCCTACTTCTGTGGCTTCTTAAGTAAGATACACTTGATAGATTTTATCTTATTCTTAGTGATCTACAGCACTGATTCTGAACCAGGGGAATGTTGCCGCTAAGGGGACTCATGGAAATACCTGGAGACATTTTTGGTCGTGACAATTTGGCAGTTATGTGTGTGCATTACTACTGGCATCTAGTGGGTGGAAGATAGAGATGCTGCTAAACATCCCACAATGCACAGGACAGCTCCCCACAACAAAGAATTACGAAGGATAAAACACCAATACTGCTCAGTTTGAGGAATCCTAATCTAGAGATTATTTTGCTAGAACATAATTCCACCATGGAAATTCTTTACCCTCAGATATGGATGGTACTACTTGGGATGATTTGATAAAAAGTGACTGGGTAAGTAACTTTTTGTTTCTCTGTCTTTAAGTGCCTTTTTCTACACAATGAGCACAATAAACTTACATGTAATGATTTACTAATGACATGTTAGTGACAGTAGATAAAACAGCTGAGTCCCCTGCAGGTATTTATTCAACTTTGAATGCCTGGCTGTCTATTCCTATATGCTGTGACTAGTTATTTTGCATAAGGAAAGGGTCTTCAAACTAGACAATCATCCTTTTAGAACCATGCACATAGAAAAAGTAGTCTAGCTCAGGTATATAAACTTTAAAGGCACGTGTTTGTTGAACTACAGGCCTTATTTCCATTTGTAAGGATATTTAGAAAAGTGTTCTCTCCCTTTTTTTTTTTTTTTTTTGAGACAGAGTCTCGCTGTGTCATCCAGGCTGGAGTGCAGTGGCGTGATCTCGGCTCACTACAAGCTCTGCCTCCCAGTTCACGCCATTCTCCTGCCTCAGCCTCCCAAGTAGCTGGGACTACAGGCACCTGCCACCATGCCCGGCTAATTTTTTGTATTTTTTAGTAGAGACGGGGTTTCACCGTGTTAGCCAGGATGGTCTCATCTCCTGACCTCGTGATCTGCCCGCCTCGGCCTCCCAAAGTGCTGGGATTACAGGCGTGAGCCACTGCACCCAGCCGAAAAGTGTTCTCTCTTTTATAATTCACCTTTATTAAGCACCAGAGTGTTCGTTATAAGGATAGGTTCTGGAGTTGAGACTGCTGTCTCTGAGTCCCAGTTCAGTTACTGGATAGCTATGAAATTCTCTGTGCCTCAGTTTCTGCATTTGTATAATGGGGATAATAAACCCTCTCTTTGAAGAGCTTCTGTGAAAATAACAAGTCAAGGCAAGCACAATATCAGACTTGTAGTAAGATCTCCAGAATGGAAGCCATTATGATGATTACTTTCTTCTCTCCTTAATTCAAGAAACTTTTTCTCCCAATTCAACTCCACTCAGACAGCATTGTCACTCTTTCCAAATTGTGAGATTCTTCTCAGAACAGCCTATCCTTGATAACTGGCACATTGCAGTTTGTCAAAACTGTGTGTTAGCTGGTGTGGTGGTTCATGTCTGTAATCCCAGCACTTTAGGAAGCTGAGGCACGAGGATCACTTGAGCCCAGGAGTTCAAGACCAGTCTGAGTAACAAAGTGAGACCTCATATCCACAAACAAAACAAAAACCTAAAAAACACTGTGTATTGAACAATGAGCAGAGAAATGGAAGGATATTATTTCAGAACAACAAGTGTACTTTGGAAAGACAAGAATTCAATATTATTACTACACAACACTATATTTTCTACTGTTGTTAAAAAATCAGTGTGATATACTTAGCCTCCCTATGGAACCACCTGCTTCTAATAAAAACATCACCTTTGGTCAAGGCAAATCTTGAGTCTTTGTGATTTGGAGCCATATTTTAAGTAAGACTTCCAATAACTAAACCTATTTGGATGAGGTTCAAAACAGATTTTTCACAAAATTTATTCTAACATAGTTGTATGGTAAACAAAGTAATGGGGCTTCAAGCAGCCTAACGAACTTTAATGACACAATCTATTGAATTTCCCTATTTTTTTACAGCTATATTAGAGTCAACAGGTTTCTTAGAAGAGTGCTTACCTGAAATTTGGCCATAGACAGTAACTAATCAGTACAGGATTCAAATTAAGCTTTCACATGTTTCAAATACTGAGGAAATTTCTCATAAGGTCTGCCTGAGAATCTTTACCCAGCAAGATTTTCTCAGGGCTTTTAACACACTAATAAAACTAATTGGTTCAGAATGTTCTCTTTCAATGACTCCTAAGGCACAAAAATGTAGAAATACATTGGTTAGGGATCAGTCCATGAGTCAGCTATTAGCACATGACTCATGTTAGCACACTGGTTATTCTTTGATTTTTTGAAATAGGAAATCAGGATTAAACAAATTTGTTAAAATATGTTAAAATTCAGAAAGGCTTATGAATTCTTCAAGTGGCCAAGATTATGGAATTTCTTTATACATAAGTACACTTTGTATTGCAGAGAAATAGAAATATATTATTCCAGAATATCAAGTGCTCTTTGGACAAAAAAAGACAGTATTAGATCTTGTACTGGACAGAGCGTAAAAGCACTAGACACTGAAAAAGACATAAACCAGCTTCAATTCTAGAGTAGGACGGCAACTGCCAGCTATATATTTCTTAACTGTTAACTTATACATATGTTTTACATTCTCTATATGTATCTTCTATCTCACACACACAAAAATATAATGAAAGGCTTGTAAGTTGAAATTTTTTTGAATATAGGAAGAATAAACAAACTGTAATAAACTATTAAGTTATTTCTTTCTTTCTTTTTTTTTTAAGACAGGGTCTTGCTCTGTTGCCCAAGCTGGAGGGGAGTGGCACAATCTTGGCTCACTGTAACCTCCACCTCCCAGGTTCAAGTGATTCTCCTGCCTCAGCCAACCGAGTAGCTGGGATTGCAGGCGTGCACCACCATGCTCAACTAATTTTTGAATTTTAAGTAAATACAGGGTTTCACCATGTTGGCCAGGCTAGTATCAAACTCTTGACCTCAAGTGATCCATCTGACTCGGCCTCCCAAAATGTTGGGATTACAGGCAAGAGCCATTGCGCCTGGCCTACGAAATTCATTCTTATGCTACGCACGATAAATTGACAGACATTCAACATTGAGAGATATATCAGCCTATTTTTCCACTTGAGCGGGTTTACCTTTTCCAAGTTTGTTTTTCCAAATTATGAGCTGAATTTTCCATTCTTGTGGCAGAACCAAAAGTTCCCACAGAAAAATGGTTATAGATTTACTTAATCCATCTTAGTTAGAATAAGAATGGGGAAAAAATATCACACAAAAAAGATGAATCAGAATTTGCTTCAGTCATGATTGAGGTAATTTGTGCAGGTGAAATAAGAACACATGCACACAAGTACTCACCAAGACAGCTGCAGGTGGGCAGTTCAGAATCTTTAGTTATAGACACTAGGTTTTTTGTAGGGTTAGTAAAGAAGTTCATGGCATAATCATTAAAATTTTTCTGTGCACTGTCCACTGTGGAAAATTCTGATGTTCCAAAACTGGATGAACAGACTTCCTCTTCACTTTTGGTAGAAACCACTGTAATTCCACCTGAACACACTACATTTACATTCCTGAGAGTTAGTGCTGACTCCGGTAAGGGTGTTTCATGAGAGATACCAGGCAATGTTGGCAGTCTCTGATGCATGAGTTGCTCCTTAACAACCTGCTGAAACCGTATTTGGTCATCGCCTGCCATCACGTTAGCACACTGGTTAGGTGGAGAGGAGGGCTGGGTCAAAGGATGGGCTTTCTGATTGGCATTCACCGTTAACTGTACCTGAGAATTATAAGCTTTATCAGTGAATGCCTTCCCGTTGGATTCCGTTTTAAGATGAAATAAGCTGAGTGAATCCAATGGTTCAACCTTCACCTTTTCCTCTGCTGATTCAGGATATCTCTGTAATTTTATCTGAGTGAGTGGTGGAAATACTGTTTTGGGTTGCATAATGGACCTCGTTTGAGCCAGTGGTTTCCATATTTTGGTCGAGGAAGAAATTTTCCCAAATACAGTAGGAAAATCATGTGGACAAAATTGCCCAAAATTTTGAAATTTCGATGCTATCCAAATGTCGCATATTGTGCCATACATATAGGACAACTTTTCCCACTTCTGCCGATCATTTTCTTGATAACTTACAACTGTGGGCTTCTTTTTCCGCCGATCTCTTGATGGGGTGGATTTTGTCTTTTTCTGGGTTGGGTTCTTTTGTTTTGTTAATGATGAACCATGATTATTGTGTACACTTGAAGGTGGTTTCTGTTGTATTGTGCCCTTCTCCTGATTGTATTTTTGCTGTACATTACATGTGACAAGGCTTGTTGGTGTACTTTCAACTTTTTTGTCCTCTGGTTTTATATAATTGATCTTAATTATCGAAGCAAGTTGTGTCAACTGTGTTGCAACATCTTCCTCAATTTGGGTATGGGTTGCATCCTGACATGATAGATCATCTGAGTCCAATTTTTTGCTGCTGTCCAGTAACTGGTTGCAATACTCCACTTCATTATTTCTTGGTGGCAACTGATGCAAATCATTGGAACAATTGTCAAGAGTAATTATCCCTTGAGCAATACTTTTATTGGTGTCAATCTTGGATGAATTTGATTTTGGTATAAAAAGAGATAATGAATTTGTGACTTTTGAATATTCATGTGACTTTGTGGATGCTTGGTTAGTAGCTGAGTTGATATGTGAGTTGGAAAGGGTAGTAGTTTGCCCATTGAAAACCACCGTGTTGCATGAACTTTGTTTTTCCAAAGATGGACAGTGATTAAGTTTTGGTGGCTCTCCCTGTAAGTTTGGGTCTTGGAGGTCTTTTCTTACAGTGTAGAGGATAGCTTTGCAGCTATTAAGCAAACTGGCTGTTCTCTGCTCTGATTCCTCATCCTTCTCTGACTTTGATGGGGAGGAATTCTCTGATGGGGCTTCTGAGAGTTGAGTCAGGGCCTCTATGGCTACCACTTGCTCCAATGTTAATCTCCTATCTTTCATTAACGATAAGAGACTTGGTTGAACGGGAGATCCATCTTTTGGTTCTTTACTTGGTATATTCTCAGGAGTTTTTGGTTGATCACCTTCATTGTGTATACTAGCATGATGATTTATGATGGAGTGTGAAGAATGTGGAATGGAACTGCAGTTAAAGCCAGGCTGCTGGAATACTAAAACGTTACTTCTCCCCTTGAGATGATCACAACTCATATCAGTAGCAACAGAGCTCATAGCGTTTTTATGGTTTGCAGTGTCTTTTAGGAATTTATAAGAATTGTTTTCCAATGTCTTGCCGAATTCTTCAATATTGAATTTTTTAAATGAAACATTTGTTTCAGCTGGTAAACAGTGTACATGTTTAATGCCATTTCTTACGGTTTGTACAAACAATTTTGGAGATTTGGTTCGTTTCTTGTCAACTTCAGAGTTTTTCGATTTTTCAGCTTCTGGGACATTAGCACTAAAATCTCCTTTCACGTGATCAGTTAACTGTGATTTCTTGTTTTGTGTCCACTTCTCCACCTCGATGCCTGTCATGCTGTCTTCATTTTTAGTTACATTTTCAACAGTATGTGGGTTCAATTCCAATTTTTGTTCTTCCCCATGACCACATCTACTGTAGTCCATGGATTCTGACTTGGGGCCATTTACTGGTTTGTTGTCAAAATCTGCCTGTAAAATACAGAAATTACTTATGTCATCTACTTAAATATCTGAATAACAGCCATAGAAGATTAAAATTTAATAACAACTAAATGTAAAGCCCCTGTGGATACAGCCTAAAATATTATTTTTGCTTTTCACACATTCAGCGAAGTCATAAAATACCAAAAGGACATAATATACAAAAAGAAAAGACAACTAGGCTAGGCATAGTGACTCACACCTGTAATCGCAGCACTTTGGGAGGACAAGATGGGAGGATCGCTTGAGCCCAGGAATTCAAGACCAGCCTGAGCAAGATGGTGAAACCCAGTCTCTACCAAAAATACAAAAAAAATTAGTCAGGTGTGGTGATGCACACCTGCGGCCCCAGCTACCCGGGAGGCTGATGGTGACAGCATCGCTTCAGCACAGGAGGTGGAGGTTCCAATGAGCCAGGACTGTGCTACTATACTCCAGCCTGGGTGACAAAGTGAGACCTCTTCTCCAAGAAACAAAATCAAAGGCCAGGGGTGGTGGCTCATGCCTGTAATCCTAGCACTTTGGGAGGCCAAGGTGGGCGGATCACAAGGTCAGGAGTTCAAGACCAGCATGGCCAATATGGTGAAACCCTGTCTCTACTAAAAATACAAAAATTAGCAGGACGTGGTGGTGCACACCTGTAATCCCAGCTACTTGGGAGGCAGAAGCACAAGAATCGCTTGAACCCGGGAGGCAGAGGTTGCAGTGGGCCAAGATCATGCCACTGTACTCCAGCCTGGGTGACTGAGTGAGACTCTGTCTCAAAAAAAATAAAAAATAAAAAAATAAACTACTTTTACATCGGTAGTGTTCATTAGGCAATATCTATTTTATTTATTTTTTATTTTATGTTTTAAATAATTTATTTTTTTTCAGACGGGGTCTTGCTGTGTTGCCCAGGCTGGAGTGCAGTTGTGTGATCTCAGATCACTGCAACCTCTGCCTCCCGGGTTCGAGCAATTTTCCTCCTCAGCCTCCCAAGTAGCTGGGATTACAGCCACCACACTCAGCTAATTTTTGTATTTTTAATAGAGATGGGGTTTCACAATGTTGGCCAGGCTGGTCTTGGACTCCTGACCTCTGGTGATCTGCCCGCCTCAGCCTCCCAAAGTGCTGGCATTACAGGTGTGAGCCACCGTGCACAGCCATACCTATTATTTTGATACAAACTGTTTTCAAGTAGAACATACACATAGAAAGGTGTACAAATCATAAGTATATAGCTTGTTAAGTTTTCACAAAATGAGCTGTTAAGTATACTTGTAGTCCATTCTCACTGTATAGTAAGTTCACTGATTAAATACATAACAATGTTATTTTTTCTGCTGGACATGGGCATTGTGTTATTTTTAGTGTTTGGGTCTTTAGAGTAACTGCTATAGTTTCAATTTCTTTCTTTCTTTCATTTTTTTTTTTTTTTTTTTGAGACAGGGTCTCACTCTGTCACCCAGGCTGGAGTGCAGTGGTACAATCACAGTTCACCGTGGCTTCAACCTCCCAGGCTTAGATGATCCTCCCAAGCTCAGCCTCCCGAGTAGCTGGGACCACAGGCACATACCACCATGCCTGGCTAATTTTTTTGTATTTGTTGTAGAGACAGGATATCACCATGTTGCCCAGGCTGGTCTCAAAACTCCTGGATTCAAGTGGTCTGCTCACCTTGACCTCCCAAAGTACTGGGGTTACAGACACGAGCCGCTGCACCCAACCTAATTTTTCTTATTGAGATGAATTTACATGACATGAAATCCATCACTTTACAGTTGCAAAGTGTACAATACAGCTGGGTACAGTAGCGCATACCTGTAATCCTAGCACTTTGGGAGGCCTAGACAAGCAGATCACCTGAGATCAGGAGTTCAAGACCAGCCTGCCCAACAGGGCAAAACCCCGTATCTACTAAAAATACAAAAATTAGCTGGGCGTGGTGGAGGGTGCCTGTAATCCCAGCTACTCAGGAGGCTGAGGCAGGAGAATCGCTTGAACCCGGGAGGCAGAGGTTGCAGTGAGCCAAGATTGTGCTGCTACACTCCACCTTAGGCAATAGGAGTGAAACTCCATCTCAAAAAAAAAAGAAGAAAAGTGTACAATTCAGTGGTTTTTAGTTTATTTGTACTGTTGTACAACATAGCCATTCTCTACTTCCAGAGCATTTTCAAAACCCCAAAGAGAAATGCTGTGCCCTGTTTAAGCAATCACTCCCTATTTCCTCCTCTAATCCTTATTTATCTACTTTATTTTCTTTTTTTTTTGAGACAAGGTCTCACTCTGTTCCCCAGGCTGGAGTGCAGTGGCACGATAACGGCTCACTGTAGCCTCGAACTCCCAGGTTCAAGTTATCCTTCCATCTCACCCTTCTGAGTAGCTGGGTCTACAGGCGCCTGTAACCACAACTGGTTAATTTATATTTTTCCTATTTTTTGTAGAGACAGGGTCTCTCTATGTTGCCAAGCCTGATTTTGAAGTGCTGGACTGAAGCAAGTCTCCTGCCTCAGCTCTAGAGAAGCTGGGACTACAGACTAATTTTGTAAAACCTTGAAACAGCTCATCAGACATACCACAGGAATCGAGACAGTGGAGTGTTCCCATTGATACCAATTGTAAAAAGAATGATAACTCCAATTACACAGTGTATACACATTTGAAAACTTCATGTTGTACATGATAAATATACACAATATTTATTTGTAAATTTAGTAAAAGAATAAATGAAAAAACAAAGAGCCGCATGCAGTGGCATGAACCTGTAGTCCTACCTACTGGGGAGGCTGAAGCCAGAGGATCCCTTGAGACTTGGAGTTCAAGGCTGCAGTGAGATACTATTATGCCACTGTTCCCCAGCCAGGTTAAAAGAATGAGACATCGTCTCAATAAATAAATAAATAGGCCAGGTGCGGTGGCTCATGCCTGTAATCCCAGCACTTTGGGAGGCAAACGTGAGCGGATCACGAGGTCAGGAGATCGAGACCATCTTGACCAATATGGTGAAACCCTGTCTCTACCAAAATACAAAAAAAAAATTAGCCGGGCAGGGTGGCGTACGCCTGTAGTCCCAGGTACTCGAGAAGCTGAGGTAGGGGAATCGCTTGAACCCGGGAGGCGGAGACTGCAGTGAGCCGAGATCGTGCCACTGCACTCCAGCCTGAGAGTCTGTCTTAAAAAAAAATAAACAAATAAAATAAAATTAAATAAATAAATAAATAAATAAATAAATGGTAACCTCCTGGGAATAGGAGACCACTAGACTAGGTTGCCTAAGGAGATGTGAACTGGCCTAGGTCACAAACATAGAAATTCAAAACTATAACTGATCAGTGGTGGAATCACTGCACTCCAGCCTGAGCAACAAAGTGACACCCTGCCTCTCAGGCAGGAGAATCGCTTGAACCCAGGAGGTAGAGGTTGCAGTGAGCCGAGATCGTGCCATTACACTCTAGCCTGGGCAACAAGAGCAAAACTCCAACTCAAAAAGAAAAAAAAGAATAAAAATGTCTAAGATTAAACAGATTATCATGTTGCCAAAAGACACATTGTTTACACCAAGGTTCGGCGAACTTTTCTGTAAAGGGTCAGATAGTAAATATTTTAGGCTTCATGTGCCATACAACCTGTCACAGTTACTCCTGTTGTATCTAGTAAGCAGCCTCAAAAATAATATGCAAACTAATGAGTGTAGTAGTATTGCAATAAGACTATGGACACTAAAATGCGACCATCATATAAATATTACATAAATATTTTTATTTACATAATATCATTACATAAAAATCATATAAATATTGTATAAATATTACATGTCACATACATACACAAGAGATGTAAGAAAAATAATATTTAGGCTGGGTGGTGGCTCACACCTGTAATCCCAGCACTTTGGGAGGCCAAGGCGGGCAGATCACGAGGTCAGGAGATAGAGACCATCCTGGCTAACATGGTGAAATCCCATCTCTACTAAAATACAAAAAAATTAGCCGGGTGTGGTGGCAGGCGCCTGTAGTCCCAGCTACTTGGGAGGCTGAGGCAGGAGAATGGCGTGAACCTGGGAAGCGGAGCCTGCAGTGAGCCTAGATAGCGCCACTGCACTCCAGCCTGGGCGACAGAACAAGACTCCATCTCAAAAAAAAAAAAAAAAAAAAAAAAAGAAAGAAAGAAAGAAAAAGAATATTTAGGCCAAGCACAGTGGCTCACGAGTTCAGGAGATCAAGACCAGCCTGGCCAAGATGGTGAAACCCCATCTCTACTAAAAATAAAAAAATTAGCTGGACACGGTGGCAGGCGCCTATAATCCCAGCAACTCGGAAGGCTGAGGCAGGAGAATCACTTGAACCTGGCGGGCAGAGGTTGCAGTGAGCCGAGATTGAGCCACTGCACTCCAGCCTGGGCGACAGAGTGAGACTCCCTCTCAGAAAAAAAAAAAAATTTAAGGTAGAGAAAGTCTTCCGCTATAAAATAAATGACAGACAGGGCATGTCAGCTTCCGCCTGTAATCCCAGCACTTTGGGAGGTCGAGGCAGGCGGATCACCTGAGGTCAGGAGTTCAAGACCAGCCTGACCAACATGGTGAAACCCCGGTTCTACTAAAAAGACAAAAATTACCTGGCGAGGTGACACATGCCTGTAATTCCAGCTACTCGGATGGCTAAAGCATGAAAATCGCTTGAACTCGGGAGGAGGAGGTTGCAGTGAGCCGAGATAGCACCACTCCACTCCAGCCTGGGCGACAGGGCGAGCCTCCATCTTAAAAAAATAAAAAGTTACTAGTGTTTAACACTAATAGGATTGCAGAAAGAGGAGTCTCATTTTTTGACTTGGTACTTTTAATTTTACAGATGTGCATATCCAAGAACACTGAGAATTTCAGTGTATGTATTTCTCTATAGGAAAGATCTTGAGGTCCTTCTAAGATTTATGTACAGAAAGGGCGGGGCATGGTGGCTCACGCCTGTATTCCCAGCACTTTGGAAGGCCGTGGCAGGCAGACTTGACTCCAGCATGCTTGAAGTTTGAAACCAGCCTGGGTGACATAGTGAAACTCGGTCTCTACTAAAAATTAGCCAAGCGTGGTGGTGCACGCCTATAGTCCCATCTACTTGGGAGGCTGAAGCGGGAGGATCACGTGAACCTGGGAGGCACAGGTTCCAGTGAGCCCAGTGTGAACCACTGCACTGCAGCCTGGGCGAGAGACCCTGTCTAAAATAATAATAATAATAATAATAATAGTAGTAGTAGTAGTAGTAGTAATAATAATAGTAATAGTAATCTTTGAGACGGAGTCTTGCTCTGTCACCCGAGCTGGAGTGCAGTGGCAAGATCTCAGCTCACTGCAACCTCCGTCTCCCAGCTTCAAGTGATTCTCCCGCCTCAGCCACCTGAGTAGCTGGGATTACAGGCTCACAGGACCACACCCAACTAAATTTTGTATTTTTAGTAGGGACTGGGTTTTGCCATGTTGGCCAGGCTGGTCTCGCACTCCTGACCTCACTACACTCTAGCCTGAGCAACAGAGTGAAACTCTGTCTTAAAAGAAAAAAAAAAGAAAGAAAGAAAAGAAAATCTTCATAAGACATTCACATTAATTAATGAGCTTAATTAAGAACCCTTGAACTTTTTTATTAGTTATATTTCATATCACTTTTAAAAATTATCCTAAGACGAGAACTTGCTCTGGGACCATCCTACCCACCCTGAAGCAAGAATAATGTTGAACTCCTTAGATCAAGTCTGGGTCTAGTAGTTCCTACGCCCTCTCCATTTTCTCATTTTTCCAGATTCCCATTGTCTTGATAATCTTATACCCAGTCTAAAGGAGCAATGTGGTGTTTTATTCTGAAATGACTGAGTCATTTGAACAGAATCTGACTATAGCCCCTCCACCACACACACACACACACACACACACACACACACACACACACACACAAACTCCATACATGCAGTATTTCCTGTATCAAGAAACAGCTACTCCAAAAACAACAACAACCCATAAAGAAACAGCTACTCAAATCATATAGAAAAATAAAGCCTTTCGAAGTCTGTTCATTGACATGGTCAAGTAAGACCTTTACTAGAGGTAGCTCAGGGTTTGTCAACTGTTTTTCATCTTCACCAATAACCATTCCCTCCAGGCTTTTTTAGACATTTTTTTCCCTAATAACCCTCTCCGTGAAATTTTAATACCACGGACATACCATTTGGGTACTGTGACCCAATTGTAATGTCTCAGATTGTCCTCCACTCACCAACATCCAATTTTCATTTCTCTTGAGAATGCATAAAGTAAATATATCAAATTGTTGAGGAAAGACCAAATTATTAACAAAGTATTATGTGAAACACTACAATGGGCAGACCACAAAGTATTTGTCTAATCAGAAATGACACTGTCAGGACCTATGCTGTCAGCCTGAAAACTGAGTGTTTTTGGAAAAAACTCAGAGACAACCACTGGTGCCTTCATAATGTTGACTTTAAGATACTGTATTCACTTCCTCCCACTGACACTACTAAGAAGTATAGAGGTCAGGCCCTGTTCTGCAACCAACCACCATACAGTGCCCAGTACCACTGGCCATTTAATTAAACCAAATTTAAATAAAAAGAAAAGATTGGCTGGTCATGGTGGCTCACGCCTGTAATCCCAACAGTTTGGAAGCTGCAGTGAGTGGGTCACTTGAGGTAAGGAGTTCAAGACCAGCCTGGCCAACATGGCAAAACCCTGGCTCTACGAAAACTACAAAAATTAGCCAGGCGAGGTGGCACATGCCTGTAATCCCAGCTACTTTGGAGGCTGAGGTACTAGAATCTTTTTTTTTTTTTTGAGACGGAGTCTCACTCTGTCACCCATGCTGGAGTGTAGTGGCGCCATCTTGGCTCACTGCAACCATCTCCCAGGTTCAAGTGATTCTCCTGCCTCAGCCTCCTGAGTAGCTAGAATTACAGGTGTGCCCTACCACACTGGGCTAATTTTTGTATTTTTACTAGAGACGGGGTTTGCCATGTTGGCCTCCCAAAATGCTGGGATTACAGGGTGTGAGCCACTGTGCCCGACCACGAGATCTCTTGAACCTGGAAGGCAGAGGTTGCAGTAAGCCAAGATGGCACCACAGCACTCCAGCCTGAGGGCGAGAGAATGAGGCTCTGTCTCTTAAAAAAAAAAAAAAAAAAAAAGAATAGGAAACAACTGGCTACCCACCAAAGATTCACCTAAGGAGAAATCTAAAATGAACATTTAAGGCAAAAGCAACAAAAATCTCTTCAAAGAAGACCTGTACAACAGTTTTTCCCAAAGTTTTTCCAACAACCTTATTTTCCCAAAGAAGTGAAATGAACTAATTTGACTAGTTCAGAATTTCAGCCATCAATTTATTTTTCTTTTTTTAGGGATAAAAAGAAAGCTGGCCAGGAGCAGTGAATCATGCCTATAATCCCAGAACTTTGGGAGGCCGAATCACCAGAGGTCAGGAGTTCGAGACCAGCCTGACCAACACAGTGAAAACCCATCTCTACTAAAAACACAAAAATTAGCGGAACATGGTGGCACGTGCCTGTAATCCCAGCTACTTGGGAGGCTGAGGCAGGAGAATCACTTGAACCCGGAAGGCGGAGGTTGCAGTGAGCCGAAATTGCACCACTGCACTCCAGCCTGGGTGACAGAGCAAGACTCTGTCACACACACTCACACACACACACACACACACACACACAACGAGTAAAATAATAGAAAACAAAAGTCAGCTGCTAAACCAAGTGTCGAATACCTAATATTCTTGGAGCTTTGCCTCTGATCCGTTTCCCTACTGACTACAGCCATCAGCTGAGAGATTCGAAGTCCACAGAAAGTCAGGGTCAAAGAAAGTGCTGCCCCAAAAGTGGATCTGAGAAACTGTGTGACCCTAGACTCCACTCTCCTTACCTTGGTGATGTAGGGCCTCATGGCTCTTCCATATCTAGGCTGGATGGGAGCCACAGCAGAGGCTTCAGAAGTTTCCAGAATCTCTTCACTAGAGCCAGGCTTCTTTCCTTTTCACTTTATCACCGAGGCTGTAGTGCAGTAAGAGGATCACAGCTCACTACAGTCTCGATCTCTCAGGCTCAAGGGATCCCCTGAAGCTCAGCTACTTTTGCTTTTGTAGAGACAAGGTCTCACTCTGTTGCCCAGGCTAGTAGTGTCAAATTCCTGGGCTAAAGATATCCTCCTGCCTTGGCCTCCCAAAGTGCTGGGATTACTTTGATATTCTAATTTTCTCATTCCTACCCCAAACGAGAACTCCACCCTCATCTGTCCAGGGCTTCTTAGAACTCACAAGAAATCCTTTCAAATCAGGGCTGGAGTGAAGGGCAGAGGGGAAGTTGAGCAGGTTGTTAATTGAGGGAGGGATCAAAAACCTCTATTTAATTTTTTTTAACGTGCAAATTGAAGATTGGCTCCAAATGTGTAGCAAATCATGACTGACCTAAGAGTTAATGCTCTCTGTTCACAAGTATTCCTGGCTATCTTCCTTTTTCTTTGGGGCTATGAGCCAGTATAATTTATTCCCAAAGGAGGAAAAACCTTCTAAGACCACCCAATCTGCCTCAAACTGTCATTCTACCAATTTCCCTCCTTATTCAAATATCTTAAACTTCTACCAAATTATAATTGAATTATCAGTCAGATTCAATCATTTCTTAAATACCACAGACTTAACTTGCCATGACCCCTTAATGGTCTGGTTTGTAGACCTCCAAGGAGAATTTTCACTTAAAACTCTCTAAAATGTAGATCTTCCTTGAAGCTTCACTCTCACACCTCTTGGCCCCTTGATGAGCCTACTCCTAGAGGACTCTACTTTATTTTCACTTCGTTGTTTTGTTTTTGGTAGAGACTGAGTCTCGGTTTGTTGCCTAGGCTGGTCTGTAAACTTCTGAGCTCACGTGATCCGCCTGCCTCAGCCTCCCAAAAGGCTGGGATTACAGGCATATGCCACCTTGCCCAGGCCCTAGAGGACTCTAAAGCAAAACCTACTACCTTCTCATTCTTCACACTTACCATGAACAATCCCCCACCCATGCTTAAGGTTAATAACCAACTCTGGTGATTAGTGTATTATTCTTTTCAGTATCTTAGCTATTTTATATATTTTTAAGAACATGGGTTTGGCAGGAATCAAACAACAAACTTTGGAGCAGAGCTAGTAATAACATGTATTAAAGAAGTTCATTGTGAGGATTAAATGAATCAATGTATTCCTATAAACTGTAGGTTGTTGTTTCTGTTAAGAGACAGGGTCTTGCTATGTTGCCCAGGCTGGTCTCAAACTCCTGGGCTTAAGCAGTCCTCTCACTTTAGCTTCCCAAAGTGCTGGGATTACAGGTGTGAGACACCAGACCCAGCCAAATTGCTGGACTTTAGTATATGTTGAAATGAACTGACTTATTTAAAGGAAAAATGCCTATTAGATAGGCATTTTTCTACTTGTCCTCCAACATTTGAGAAAAACCTTTCCTTTTCTACTTGTCCTCCAACATTTGAGAAAAACCTAGTAATTCCAGTCTCAAACTCACAATTAATAAAAGAATATTGGAAAAAATATATATATTATATATATATATTGCGCCAGGCATGGTGGCTCATGCCTGTAATCCCAGCACTTTGGGAGGCTGAGGTGGGCGGATCACGAGGTCAGGTGTTTGAGACCAGCCTGGCCAACATGGTGAAACCCAGTCTCTACTAAAATATACAAAATATACAACCAAGTCTCTACTAAAAATACAAAAATTAGCCAGGCATGGTGGCACACACCTGTAATCTCAGCTACACAGGAGGCTGAGGCAGGAGAATTGCTTGAACCTGGGAGGCGGAGGATGCAGTGAGCTATCACAGCACCGCACTCCAGACTGGGCGACAGAGTGAGACTACATCTCAAAACAAACAAACAAACAAAAAAGAACATTTATGAATACCTATTATTATGTACTGAGAATTTACTACTTGCCAGGTATCATTATGAACAGTACTTCATAGGAATTCTCTCATTTGCATCTCCCACTAAGTAATATTAGTATTTCCACTCACTGAACATTTCTTATTCAGATCAGTATCAAGAACCAGGCCTCAAACCAGAGGTCTAACAACAAGGTCCTAGTGTCTAACCCCCAGGCACTGTTTTAAAATTAACAATTCAGTAGCAAATAGTAAGTGTTAACATTCACAATGAATTCCACTGGATACTAATGCTAACTAAGATGCACTGAATTAAAGTTACAATGAATTTAAGTTACTTCTTTTGGTAGTTTACTTTCTTAGATTGTACAGATTATCAAATTTCCAAATCCACTGGCCTGTTTTATTCATTTGTGTGTCAAAGGATGTTAACTGTGAGTTGTAGGAGTATAGCATTGCTCTTCAAAATATTACCATCTTATGTCCAAAATCAATATTTACAGTACACACTGAGTTCAGAGCAAGCTGCTAGGGAAAATGGGTAAATTTAGAACTCAATTTAGAATCCAATCCTTAGCTAGTTGCGGTGGCTCATGCCTGTAATGCCAGCCAGCACCTTGGGAGGCCTAGACAAGAGGATTGCTTGAGTCCAGGAGATCAAGAACAGTCTAGGCAACATGGTGAAACCCCGTATCTACAAAAAATTTAAAAATCAGCCAGGTGTAGTGGTGCGTGCCTGAAGTCCTAGCTGCTCAAGAGGCTGAGGCAGGAGAATCGCTTGAGCCCAGCTGGTCAAAGCTGCAGTGAGCTGAGAGTGAGACTGTTTCTCACAAAAATAATCCATTCCTTGAGGATGTGGTCAAAGGTCATGGTCCATTTTCCCTCCAAATATTCCTTGGACTACAAACCCTCCTCATTTCTCTATAATCCTGATATGTTCTATATTTTTACCTTTTTCATCATATTTTATACTTTCATATAACTGGGAGACTAAGAGCCAGTGAAAACTTATTAGCATTAAAAAATACCCCAGGGCTGGGCACCGTGGCTCATGCCTGCAATCCCAGCACTTTGGAAGGCCAAGGTGAGCAGATCACTTGAGGTCAGGACCAGCGTGGGGTTTCACCTTCAATATGGTGAAACCCTATCTCTACAAAAAATATTACAAGTAATGGCAAAAACCGCAGTTACTTTTGCACTAACCTAATACAAAAATTAGCCAGGCATGGTGATGCATGCCTGCCGTCCCAGCTACTCAGGAGGCTAAAGTGGAAGGGATCACTGGAGTCTGGGAGGCAGAGTTTGCAGTGAACCGTGGTCACACCACTGTACTCCAGCCTGGGTGACAGAGGAAGACTGTCTCTCAAAAAACAAAACAAGACAATAAAAAAAAAACCCAGTATAAATTTCCATATTAATTTTTAAAAAAACAAATTAAAAGACCATACAAATATAGATTAATCAGACAAGATTAAATCACACTAGTTTTACAAATAAGGTTTATGTTCACTCATACTGTAAAGGCTCAATATAGAAGGCAGACTTCAACAACACTTTGTTTTTTTGTTTTTGTTTTTTTTGAGATGAGGTCTCACTCTGTCACCCAGGGTGGAATGCTGTGGGGCAATCTTGGCTCACCGCAACCTCCACCTCCTGGGTTCAAGTGATTGTCCTGCCTCAGCCTCACTAGTAGCTGGGATTACAGGCGCCCACCACCACGCCCAGCTAATTTTTGTATTTTTAGTAGAGACGGGGTTTCACCACGTTAGACAAGCTGCTCTCGAACTCCTGACCTCAGGTGATCTGTCCTTTTTTTTTTAAAATTCAAATACCATTTAAATGCTCCTTAAGAGTTCAGGAGATTCTTCCTATGACAAATCTGGTTTTCTTAAGACAATTTTGTTTTCTTTCTTTTTTTTTTTTTTTTTACAACTTAAACTTTATTTACTTGATTGAGAGCTTATTGCACATGAAATGTTTTATGTGGTTGATCTTAACTTCGTTTACATTGACTTCTTTTCTATGCTCAAGATTGTTCAATTGCTGCTGCCGCCGTTGTGTTTTCTTTCAGGATCGAGGTGGGTACCTTCATATAATATCTTCTTTTTAATTTCTTCTCTGGCAATTCTTTCCTGGATTCTTTGCCTTGCATAATTATACCTACAGTGAAACCAGCATCCCAAAGTCACCAAGATAAACCCCCCTACTCCAACATCACATGATCTTCTAATTCTACTAGTGAACAAAAAATGTCCAAAGCCAGCCACAACAGATCCTAATGAACCATACAATATTGAATGCCGGGCGCAGGGAGTATTTTCAACATCTAAAAATCCTAGGAGCTTAAGGGACTTCCTCTCCTCGGGCTCACCGGGCTCCGGCGTGGAGGCCATGAGGACTACTCCGCGACTCCACCCGCCCTGCACCCTTTCTTTTTTTTTTGAAAGGGAATCTGGCTCTGTCACCCAGGCTGGAGTGCAGTGGCGGGATCTCGGCTCACTGCAAGCTCCGCCTCCCGGGTTCACGCCATTCTCCTGCCTCAGCCTCCTGAGTAGCTAGGACTACAGGCGCCCGCCACCACGCCCCGCTAATTTTTTTGTATTTTTAGTAGAGACAGGGTTTCACCATGTTAGCCACGATGGTCTCGATCTGACATCGTGATCCACCCGCCTAGGCCTTCCAAAGTGCTGCGATTACAGGCATGAGCCACCACGCCCGGCCAGATCCTGTTTTCTACTAGGGTTTAGCCAATATCAAGTCATCTTTCGTGGAATGCTCCCTCATGATCAAAGATAGCTTTCAGGGACCTTGCCTAACTCCAAGCAGAAGGCCATCAGATAACTAGTTAATTCATGATCCGACAAGCCACCAATCAACGTTTAGGCTTTTAGTTCTTTCACTATTGCCCCTGTGGTCTTGGGTCTCTAGTCAGTTCCTCAAATGTTACCCCTTAAAGAAAAAAGTAATGTCTATTTACGTCTCAGCTTTCTAAGAACATAAGCTGCAAGAATACCGAGTATTTATTTACCATCAAGCACTTAGCTGGTGGTAATATGCACAGACGTGTTTACACATTCCTAAGAGAAAAATCAGCTTTCTGGAGCCAAAGTTTGGAGATCTGTAAATCGTCCCCTGCTGGCTCTTTCCCCACAGGCAATAACAAGCAGGTCTTTCCTATCTTAAGAAAACAAAACCTGGGTGGTGGCTCACGCCTGTAATCCCAGCACTTTTGGGAGGCTGAAGTGGGCGGATAAGGAGATGGAGATCATCCTGTCTAACATGGCAAAACCCAGCTCTACTAAAAATACAAAAAAAAAAAAAAAAAAAAAAGAAGAAAGAAAACAAAATCTTCTGGGGATAGTTAGCTAATACCCTACCACATTGCACCATTTTACAACCAAAGTCCTCCAAATAATTGTCTGCAATCACTGTCTGTCTAACATGCACTCTTCGATCTACTACAATTAGGTTTTTGTTCCCACCACTATGTTGAAACTATTCACCAACGTAGTCCCCACTGCCAAATTCAATGGAATGCCAGAATCATCTTTGTTTTTAATATATTTCTTTTGTTTTGTTTTGTTTTTTGTGACAAAGTTTGGCACTATTGCCTAGGCTGGAATTCAGTGGCAGAATCACAACTCACTGCACCTTTGAATTCCTGGGTTCGAGTCTCCTCCTGCCTCAGCCTCCCAAGTAGCTGGGAATACAGGCACACACCATCATGCCTGGCTAATTTTAAAATTTTTTGTAGAGACAAGGTCTCATTATGTTGCCCACGCTGGTCTCAAACTCCTGGGCTCTAGGGATCCTCCTGCCTCAGCCTCCCAAAGTATTGGGATAAAAGGCTGAGTGCCCCCGCACCTGACTAGAATATATTTTGATAGTATTACTCACTTCTTTAGGATCGTCGTCACTTCAATTCTCCACTCTTTATTTCACTTACCTTTGCTGGCTCCCACGTCCACCTATAAATGATGGTGTTCCCCTATGCCCTCTGTCCAATCTCTCCACTTGTCCACATACTTGGCATCAACCTACACTTATTTGCTGATAACTCCCCTATCAAGACAAGATCTTTCTCCTGAATTCCAAACTCAGTCAACCACCAACTGGATATCTTCACCAGACAAAAGTCAACCACGTCTAGGCCAGGCACAGTGGCTGATGCCTGTAATCCCAGCGCTTTGGGAGGCCGAGGCAAACAGACCACCTGACGTCAGCAGTTTGAGACCAACCTGGCCAACATGGTGAAACCCCATCTCTACTAATAATACAAAAATGAGCTGGGCGTGGTGGCAGGTGCCTAAAATCCTAGCTACTCAGGAGGAGGCTGAGGCAGGAGAATATCTTGAACATGGGAGGCAGAGGTTGCAGTGAGCCAAAATAGCACCACTGCCCTCCAGCCTGGGCAACAGAGCGACACTCCGTGTCAAAACAACAACAACAACAAAACTCAACCATGTCTAAAAGTTATGAGTAACCTCTTCCCCATACCTGCTTTAATCCCAGTACCCACTTAATAATAACCCAAGGCTCCTCTCAAAATACCCCTATGTTCAAGACCCAAATTCAGCCACCAAGTTCAGCAGAGTCGATCTACTTAGCACCTCTTCCATCCAGCCCGTGTCCTCTACTCATACTCCTTCTGCCTCACTGTCTTCACTCAACAAATATAGAGTACCTAAAACATGCTCTAGAAATGGTTAAGAAAATAAAAAAAGATACCAGATTTATGGAGATTACACTCTAGTGGTTGTTCTGACAAATATTTTCAGAACCTAATCTTCTATCAACTCACACCCTTACAGGATTAGTCTCAGAATTGAGGGTGACTTTAAGTATGTAGCACTTCCAATCGTTCATATTGTTTTAGGTAAGCACTGACCAACAGAACCAGATGAAATTAATATTAATAATATACTTTTGGCTGGGTGCAGTGGCTCACGCCTGTAATCCCAGCACTTTGGGAGGCCAAATTGGGTGGATCACAAGATCAGGAGATCGAGACCATCCTGGCCAACATGGTGAAACTCCGTCTCTACTAAAATACAAAAAATTGGCCGGGTGTGGTGGCAGGCACCTGTAGTCCCAACTACTGGGAGGGGAGGCCGAGGCAGAAGAATCACTTGAACCCGGGAGGCAGAAGTTGCAGTGAGCCGAGATCATGCCACTGCACTCCAAGCTGGTGACAGAGGGAGACTTTGTCTCAAAAAAAAAAAATTAAAAATAATAATATACTTTTATTTAAGGCAATATTAAAAATATCTCAACATTTCAAAAATACTTACAAGCTAAATATCTGATTATATTTCATAGATATATTTTAAAGTAAAAGTTACAATTAATACATCTCAATTTGATGCTACATTTTTATTTAATTATTATTATTATTTTTTGAGACGAGATCTTTCTCTGTCGCCCAGGCTGGAGTGCAGTGGCACAATCTCGGCTCACTGCAACCTCTGTCTCTCAAGTTCAAGCGATTCTCCTCTCTCAGCCTCCCAAGTAGCTGGGGTTACAGGCACTCGCCACCACACCCAGATAATTTTCACATTTTTAGTAGAGACAGGGTTTCACCATGTGGTTCAGGCTGATCTCAAACTCCTGACCTCAGGTGACCCCCCCACCTCAGGCTTCCCAAGTGCTGAGATTCCAGGCATGAGCCACCGCGCCCGGCATACATGCTAAATTTTTAGTGACTAAAATAAAATGCAGGGATACCAAAACGATGAATTTCTATTTTAGAGAAAAATGTTTTCTGTTGCTTCAGTTTTCAAATTTAAATTGATTGAAATGAAATCACAAAGTCAGTTTCTTAGCTGCCCTACCCAAATTTCAAACATTAGACTGCAGTTTTAAGGGGCTCCTTCTAATATGAAACTCTCATTCCTTCAGGCTGCATTCTGCACCTGCTAAACATCAACATCACCTAGGAGGGGTTTTAGAAAACCACAGCCTCTGCATGATTTCCTTAGGTCTGGAGCCTTGCCAAATGCTATTTCAAGCAGCCTTGCTTCAAGTCCTAGAATGCCCTTGTTATTCGATCCTTCCCCGGTCCAGCAGCCCCAAAATCACCCATTCATCTCTAAGAACTGGACAAAGGTGACAGTAAACTACACATTTCTTCACCAGCTTCAGTTAGATAAAACTAAGCACCCCTCCCTTTACTATCCCTACACAGCTCTCTATCAAATCCATTGATTGTACTTACTGATTTGATTGCAATGCTATCCCTTCCTGGACTTCAAGGACAGATCTTGGTGCTTGTCCCCCAGGCTCAAAATTGTTTTATTTGGGAAACAACTGGAGAAATCTAAGGATGAACTTTGATAATGTAAAGGAATTGTAATACTGGCATAATCATGTAGAAAACTCTTATTAAGAGATTTAAACTTAACGACGACACCTTCTAGTCATTCACTCAGAGAAAAAGACTTGTTTTCTTGAGAAAACAGATTTAGTGGCCTTTATTGCATTCTTCTCTCAATTTGTTTTGTTAAAAAACTGTCATTTCGGCCGGGGGCAGTGGCTCATGCCTGTAACCCCAACACTTTGGGAGGCCAAGGCGGGCGGATCACCTAACATCAGGAGTTGGAGACCAGCCTGGCCAACATGGCGAAACCCATCTCTACTAAAAATACAAAAAATTAGCTGGGCGTGTTGGTGGGTGCCTATAATCCCAGCCAAGTGAGCCGAGATCACGCCACTGCACTCCAGCCTGAGCAACAGAGTAAGACTCTGTCCCCCCCAAAAATAATAATAGTAATAATAATAATAAATATTTGGGGGCCGGGCACGGCAGTGCTTTCTTTCTTCTTTTTTTTTTAGACATAGTCTCGCTCAGCCGCCCCGGCTGGAGTGCAGTGGTGCGATCTCAGCTCACTGCAACCTCCGCCTCTCAGGTTCAAGAGATTGTCCCATCTCAGCCTCCCAAGTCGCTGGGATTACAGGCACCTGCCATCACGCCTGGCTAATTTTTGTATTTTTTTATTTTTTTGGTAGAGACGGGGTTTCACCATGATGGCCAGGCTGGTCTTGAACTCCTGACCTCGGGTGATTTGCCGTCTCGGCCTCCCAGAGTGCTAGGATTACAGCGTGAGCCACCGCGCCCGGCCACTTTATTTCTTAACTGCATGGTGATTGAGTTTTCTTTTTACTTTTTTTTGAGACAGAGTCTCGCTCTGTCACCCAGACCGGAGTGCAGTAGCACGATCTCGGCTCACTGCAGCCTCTGCCTCACGGGTTCAAGCGATTCTCCTAACTCAGCCTCCCGAGTAGCTGGGATTACAGGCGTCCAGCACCATATCCGCCTAATTTTTGTATTTTTATTTTATTTATTTATTTTTTTTTTCGGAGACAGAATCTTGCTGTCACCCAGGCTGGAGTACGGTGGCGTGAGCTTGGCTCACTGCAACCTCTGCCTCCCGGATTCAAGTGATTCTCCTGTCTCAGCCTCCTGAGTAGCTAGGATTACAGGCACGGACCACCACACCTGGCTCATTTTTGTATTTTATTAGTAGAGACGGGGTTTTACCGTGTTGGCCAGGCTGGTCTTGAACTCCTGACCTCAGGTGATCCGCCCGCCTTGGCCTCCCAAAGTGCTGGGATTACAGGCATGAGCCACTGCGCCCAGCCTAATTCTTGTATTTTTAATACAGACGGGGTTTCACAATGTTGGCCAGGCTGGTCTCGAACTTCTTACCTCAGGTGATCCACCGCCTCGGCCTCCCAAAGTGTTGGGATTACAGGCATGAGCCAATACGCCCATCCAAGTGTTCTTTTTCTAATAATTCTTAACTGTACAAATGTCTTAAAGACAGACTTGCATGAATATTTCACAACCTAAAGTTTAAACCTCGGCGATAGAATGAGAATATCTCAAAATAAATAAATAAATAATAAAATAACAAGGGGCCAGTCATAGTAGCTTGCATCTGTAATCCCAGCACTTTGGGAGTCTGAGGGCAGATCACTTGAGGTCAGGAGTTCGAGACCAGCCTGACTAACATGGTGAAGCCCCGTCTCTACCAAAAATATAAAAAAATTGCTGGGTGTGGTGGCGCATACCTATAATCCCAGCTACTCGAGAGGCTGAGGCAGGAGAACTGCTTGAACCCAGGAGGCAGAGGTTGCAGTGAGCTGAGATCATGCCACTGCACCCCAGCCTGGTGACAGAGTGAGACTGTCTCAAAAACAAAATAATAATAATAAAGTAATAAAATAAATTTAAAATAAAGAAAAAGACAATAATAAATGTCTAGGCCAGGTGCAGTTGCTCACACCTGTTACCCCAGCACTTTCGGAGGCTGAGGCAGGAGGATCCCTTGAGGCCAGGAGTTCGAGACCAGCCTGGGAAACATAGAGAGGCTCTGTATCTACATAAACAAACAAACAAGCAAGCAAATAAATAGTATCTAGGTCCCAGCTGCTCATGCCACCTTACTCCAGCCTGGGAAACAGAATGAGACCTTGTGTCCAAACAAAACAAAACAAAACAAAACAAAAAATAAAAAAACGAGTAAAGAGAAAAAGAGAGAGACAAAGTAAAAAAGAAAACATTTTTAAAAGACATTAGAAGTCAGTACAACCATACAGAAAAGGACACCGTATTTTCCCTCCCCCTTTAAGTATTTTCTTTTCTTTTTCTTTTCTTTTTTTTTTTCTTTTTTTTGAGATAGGGTCTCGTTCTTACTCTGTTGCCCAGGCTGGAGTGCAGTGGCACCATCTCGGTTCACCTCACTCTGGAACTTGTGGGCTGAAGTGATTCTCCCCCCTCAGCCTTCTGAGTAGATGGGACTGCAGGCATGTAGATACCATGCCAGGCTTTTTTGTATTTTATAGACACTGGGTCTCTTCATGTTTCCCAGGCTGGTCTCAAACTCCTGGGCTCAAGCGATCCACCTGCCTCAGCCTCCCAAAGTGCTGAGATTACAGGTGTGAGCCATTACACTTGGCTCACTCTAAGTATTTCCTAACAGTTATAAACAGATAAATTCAAATCTGGGACTGCATTACTTCAATAGTATGAATTCCAGAGGTCCAAAAAGATTGGTGTTACACAACTAAAAACAACAATGAATCTTAAAATCATACAATTAAGGAAGGTTGCAAAGACCAACACAGCTGAGTGTAAGGCTTTTTATGAAAATAGGTAAAAATAACACCAGAAAACCATGTGATTTCCTGATATGTGAACACTGAAGGTTTTCTGTTAAAGTTACATCCTGACCCTAAAATATCTTTAATCTACACCTCTGTGGAACGTTGCCAAGTAGCCTTTTGTGACCCGCTTTTAAGCGACTTTGATGCCTGCTAACAAATGAGATGACAGCAGCAAAAACTAATGGGACTTTTGAGACCCCAAGGCTCCTGTGTGATGAAGCCTTGGCAGGCATTCTACATCTGAATATTAATAATAAAGCAATTTCTACAAGGCTTCTTGGCATTTTCTTTGCAAAACTGATTCAAACAAATCGGCTTGAGACAGTGCAATCATAGGGACTAGATACTGGATCAAATACAGTCAACAAAGGACCCTTGCCAGGAGCGGGCAAACTTGGCTAGTAGAAATTCAAATAAAACCTAAGACCTTCTAAATTTAACAATTAAGTGAAAATGAGTAAAATCCAAGTGTTGGGCCAATAATAAATGAGACCAATAACTACAGGCTACTAAAAGGGAAGAAAATTTAACTGATGTTGTAAGAGAACATACAGTAAGAAAAAGAAGCCGGGCGCACTGGCTCACGCCTGTAATCCCAGCACTTTGGGAGGCCGAGGCGGGCAGATCACGAGGTCAGGAGATCGAGACCACCCTGGCTAACACGGTGAAACCCCATCTCTACTAAAAATACAAAAAAAAATTAGCTGGGCGTGATGGCGGACTCCTGTAGTCCCAGCTACTCGGGAGGCTGAGTCAGGAGAATGGCGTGAACCCGGAAGGCGGAGCTTGCAGTGAGCTGAGATTGCGCCACTGCACTCCAGCCTGGGCGACAGAGCAAGACTCCGTCTCAAAAAAAAGAAAGAAAGAAAGAAGGAAAGAAAGAAGGAAGGAAAAGAAAGAAAGAGAGAGAGAGAGAGAGAGAGAGAGAGAGAGAGAGAGAAAGAAAGAAAGAAAGAAAGAAAGAAAGAAAGAAAGAAAGAAAGAAAGAAAGAAAGAGAAAAAGAAAATAAGGCCAGGCACGGTGGCTCACGCCTGTAATCCCAGCACTTTGGGAGGCTGAGGTGGGCAGATCACCTGAGGTCGGGAGTTCCAGACCAGCCTGACCAACATGGAGAAACCCTGCCTCTACTAAAAATATAAACTTAGCTGGGTGTGGTGGCGCATGCCTGTAATCCCAGCTACTCGGAAGGCTGAGGCAGGAGAATTGCTTGAACCCGGAAGGCGGAGGTTGCGGTGAGCCAAGATAGCGCCATTGCACTCCAGCCTGGGCAACAAGAGCAAGACTCCGTCTAAAAAAAGAAAGAAACAAACAAACAAAAAACACACACACAAGAATTAGCCAGGCATGGTGGCACGCGCCTGTAATCCCAGCTACTTGGGAGGCTGAGGCAGGAGAATTGCTTGAACCCGGGATGGGGAAGTTTCAGTGGGCCGAGATTGCGACACTGCACTCCAGCCTGGGCAACAGATCGAGACTCCATTTCAAAAAAAAAAGAAAAGAAAGAAAGAAAGAAAAAAGAAAATATGTGTGTTAAAACTATTATATTGCTTCATGAAAATATTTCACAAATGGGGGAGGCAGGAAACATGTACACAAGTCAGCTGAAAAATATGGAAATGTCTGGGGGAGAATAATCCAAGGCTGAAATTCAAAGGAAAAAGTGCTGGAAAAGGATTTGGGGTGGCAGCAGACAACACATCACACAGCAGTGTAGCTGTTACTAGAAAACAACACCAGAAAATGAAATAATCTTCTTTGTACATGCCAAGGAAAAGTCGCTTTGAGCTACTTAGGCATCAGTATATTGAGTCTTGCAAGTGAGACCTCAGCTAAATGAGTGTGGTGGAATCATCAGGGATGGTCTGTTTCGATGTACACTGAATTTCTACACACTTTACCCGTTGCCTGGTGGTGTTGCTGGATTTTACTAATTATGTGACAGATACACCAGAGGCTAACCCTGACTATGCAAGCTTAGTAGTTAAGTAAGTTATGAAGTGGCCATCTGTGTTTTCTGCTTAAGCCGTTGAGAGGATCTCAAAGGTAGAAGAGACCTTCAAGGGCATCGAGTCCATCTACTGATGCCAGGGGTGGACTCTGTTAACTCTATTAAGTGATTCCTCAACCTTTGCCAAGTATCCAAAGCAACAGGAAACTAACTACCTCGAAACAGTATGTAGTAGGCTGTTTCCTCCTCCCTTCTATCCAACAGTCCTATTTTAACCTTTCATATATTTGTCAGTAATAGTTTATAGCCCATAGAATAAAATAAATAGCTGTAAGTTTATATTAATATAACAAATAATTGATGAACAAAGAAATGGGAGAAAAAGGACAACACTTTTTTTACAGTAGAATTTCCATTAATAGATGTAGAAGGAATGGTAGAAACAGAAAATGACCATTTGGCAAACACCACATTAATATGTATTGGAGGCAAAGTAGATGCTAAATACGATTAAAGGACTTGCATAGTCTCCAAGTATCTCCCCACAATATATTAATATTTGTTAATTACAAAGGGAAACAGTAATTTTACAGAGGTGAAACCTGGCCAAGGATCTCTGTAAAACCCTTAAGCCAAGAGATCAAAGTTAACCCAGATAATGTGATTTTCTGACATGATACACAGCAGGGCACCTGACTCCTGTGGATTATTGCCAAAAATGCATATCCTAAATTTAATTATGAGGAAGTACCAAACAAGCCCAATTTGAGTAGCCAAGAGCAGTAGCTCACGCCTGTAATCCTAGCACCCTGGGAGGCTAAGGCGGGAGGGTCCTTTGAGGGAAAGAGTTTGAGATCAATCTGGACAACACGGCGAGACACTGTCTCTACAAAAATTTTCTTAAAAACCAATTTCAGGGACATTCTACAAAATAACAGACCAAGATTCTTTAAAACTGCCAATGTCATGAAAGGCAAACACTGAGAAACTATGTTGAAAGAGGACTGTGGAACTGTTCAACACTGAGGAACTGTGTGGAACTGTGTTGGAGATCAAGGAGAAATGACAACTAAATGCAATGAGGGGCCGGGTGTGGTGGCTCATGCCTGTAATCCCAGCACTTTGGGAGGCCGAGGCAGGCAGATCACCTGAGATTAGGAGTTCCAGACCAGCCTGGCGAACATGGTGAAACCGTCTCTACTAAAAAAAATACAAAAATTAGCTGGGTCTGGTGTCAGACACCTGCAATCCCAGCTACTCTGGAGGCTGAGGCAGGAGAATTGTTAGAACCTGGGAGGTAGAGACTGCAGTGACCCGAGATCATGCCACTGCACTCCATCCAGACTGGGCGACAGAGCAAGGCCTTGTCCAAAGAGGGAAGAGGGAGAGAGGGAAGGAGGGAGGGAGGGAGGGAAGGGAGGAAGGAGGGAAGGAAGGAAGGAAGGAAGGAAGGAAGGAAGGAAGGAAGGAAGGAAGGAAGGAAGGGCATAGGTATCCTATATGGAATCCTGCACCCAAAAAAGGACATTCGTGGGAATATTGGCCAAATTTGAGTTACATCTTTAACATAGTTAATAGCACTGTGTTATTGTTAACATCTTAGTTTTGACTGATACTAAGGCTATGTAAGATAACATTTGGGGATGTTGGATAAAGAGTATAAGAGAATTCTTTGTACTACTTTTGTAATCATTTTATAAATATCAAATGATATCCAAATAAAAAAAAGACAAACATATAACTATCTCAGTTTAGAGCCCATACTCCTGTTCCCAAGACCCTTTTTCTCCCTCAAGGCTCAGGTTTAAACAGAACTTTTAGATATAGGGAATGGATTTCATAATGTACATGACGTTGATCACTCAGTTCTTTAATCCTAAGGTTAGCCTTTGTGTTTTTCATTATAATTTGAAATTTCTTTGATTTTATTAAAGTCTCACTACAGAAAAAAATTGAAAATGCAACAGATGTAGAGAAGGAAAACCAGAAGAAACACCCCAAATCGTCTACTCAGGGGAAACTGGTATTTAATCAGCCAGATTTTAAAATTTTATTTATTTATTTTTTTTGAGATGGAGTCTCACTCTGTCACCCAGGCTGGAGTGCAATGGTGCGATCTCAGCTCACTGTAACCGCCTCCCGGATTCAAGAGATTCTCCTGCCTCAGCCTCTTGAGTAGCTGGAACTACAGGTGCAAGCCACCAAGCTCAGTTAATTTTTGTATTTTTAGTAAATACGGGGTTTCACCACGTTGCCCAGGCTAGTCTCAAACTCCTGAGCTCAGGAGGCTGAGGCAGGAGAACCACTTGAACCCAAGAGGTGTAGGTTGCTTTGAGCCGAGATCACGCCACTGAACTCCAGCCTGGGCAACAAGAGTGAAACTCCGTCTCAAAACAACAACAACAACAACAACAAGAAACACCTAGGCTCAAGCAATCCTCCCACCTTGGCTTCCCAAATTGCTGGGATTACAAGCATGAGCCACCATGCCTGGCCAACTGTTTTTAACACCAAAACCATAATTACCCAAAGAAAAAGATAAACTGAACACAACCAAAATTATGAGACCATAACTAACAGAATAAAATAACTGCAAACCATACATTTGATAAAGGACTTGTGTGTAGGACATAAAGTACTATTATAATTCAATAATAAACAGTCAAATGGCGCAATTTAAATATGAATAGATAGTTCTCCAAAGAAAACATACAAATGGCCAAGAGGCACATGAAAAGATGTTAAATACCATTAGCTATTCAAGATACCAGTTTGCCACCCACTAGGAGGCTAAAATTTTTAAGATGGACATTAATAAGTGTTGACCAGGATGTAGAGAAACTGAACCTTTCATCCACTGGTAGTGGGAACATAAAAGGATGAAGCTGCTTTGGAAAGGTCTGGCAGTGGCTCTTAAAGTCAAGCATAGAGTTAACATAGGAACCAGTAGTTCCACTTCTTGGTATGTACCCAAGAAGAGTGAAAACATGTCCACACAAAAAGTTCCACATGAATGACTATAGCAGGATTCTTCATAGTAGTTAAAAAGTGTGTGTGTTTGGGGGTGGGGGTGGTGTACAAATGGCCAACAACTGGAGGATATAGAAAGAAAATGAGCTATATACATAATACATACATTGAAACATTACTCAAGAAAAGTAGTGATATATGCTACAACAGATAAACTTGGAAAAGATTATGCAAAGTGAAAGTCAGTCACTAAGTATCACGTACTATATGATGCCATTGTTTGAAATGTCTGGAATAGGCAAATCCAGAGACAGGAAGTACACTAGTGGTTGCCAAGGGCTGGGGTAAATGGAAGGATTGGGGAATGACAGCTAAGGAGAACAGGGTTACTTCTTAGGTAATGAAAATGTTCTAAAATTGATTGTCATGATAGATGCACATTGGTGAATGTACTAAAAGCCACTGAATTGTACACTTTATTTTATTTATTTATTTTTGAGACAAAGTCTCGCTCTGTCGCTCAAGCTGGAGTGCCTGGCTCACTGCAATCTCCGCCTCCTGTGTTCAAGCAATTCTCTCTGCCTCAGCCTCCCAGGTATCTGGGGTTACAGGCCCCTGCCACCACGCCTGGCTAATTTTTGTATTTTTAGTAGAGACGGGGGTTTCACCATATTGGCCAGGCTGGTCTTGAACTCCTAAACTCAAGTGATCTGCCCAGCTCGGCCTCCCAAAGTGCTGGGATTACAGGAATGAACCACCATGCCCAGCCTGAATTGTACACTTTAAATGAGTGAACTGTATGGTATACAAATCATATCTCAATGAGACTGGGGAAATCAGTCATCAAAACTCGCTGAATAATATATTTGTGATCTGAGTATTTCACAATATGTAAAATGCACTTCAAAAACTAATGACACCTGCACAGCATGTTAAATATAGCTATTAGTGTACTGTGCACTGCAAATTTGCTGAGTACATTTCAAATATCCTCACCATAAGTTATTTAAGGTGATAAATATGTTAATTAGATTAATTTTCCACGTTGTATTCATAAAAATGCAATGTTGTTTTGTACCCCATGAATATATGCAACTATTGTTTGTCAATTTACAATAAAAATAAACTTTAAAAATAATTCTGCCATTCAAAATGAATGGGCGTGGTTGGGTGCAGTTGGCTCACACCCGTAACCCCAGCACTTTGGGAGGCTGAGGGGGCTAGATTACTTGAGCTCAGGGCAAAAAAGTGAGACCCCTCTGTCTCTACAAAAAATATTTTAAAAAGCCAGGTGTGGTGGTGAGCATGTGTGTTCCCAGCTACTTAGGAGACTGAGGTGGGAGGATCGCTTGAGCCCGGGAGGCGGAGGTTACAGTGAGCTGATGAGCTTCTACCACTGCACACCAGCCTGGGTGATAGAGACTCTGGCTCAAAAAAAGAGAATAACGGAAGGGGTGGACACATGTGTCTATACTACACATATGTAACTATAGAGATACTTGTATGTATATAGACTATACCTAGAAAGATACCCACAAAACTATCAAGACTGCACCTCTGATATATGAGACTAAGATTGAAAGAAGGGAGGAACAAGTATACAGGAGAATGTTTACTTTTCCTTTGTACCTTTAATTCCTTTCGAAAATTTAAAACTACTATTAAATGAATTCATTGAATTTCTTTTTACTTAATTATTTATTTGCTTTTTAAGAGACAGGGTCTAATTCTGTCACCCAAGCTGGAGTGACGTGGCAAGATCATAACTCACTGCAGCCTTGAAATCCTGGGCTCAGGTGATCCTCCCAGCTCAACCTCCCAAAGTGCTGAGATGACACCATTTGCTACCAGGCCAGGCCCAGATTTCCTTTTAAATCATACTGATTAATCTGCATTTTCTTTCATAACAAATTAATTTTGACTACACTTTGACATGTTGCCCTTGGATTATCAGTTGTACATAGGATTGTACTATACTTATGCTATTATAATAAGCTAAAATTTCACTCAGAGGTAATTTTTGTGTTTGTACATGACCTGAAGGGCATTTTCTGCTATTTGTTTCCTATCTGGTACATAAACAAATCTTTTTTCTTTTGTTCACAGCTAGGTGGTCCCAGATTGGAGGAGTAGGTTGTCACTGATTAATTGGTTATCTTCTATTTTACTTTATCTCCATTGACTTTCAGCATTGGGCTTCTTTTGTTTGTATTAAGGTCCTGGTAAGATAAAGCTCTGTGGAAGATAAGAGCAGGAAGGGCAAGATAAAGAAGGAATGAAGTCTATGTCACATTCCCGTGGAATTCTATGCCTAGTTAGCCTCATTCCCTAATACCTATTTTTTTTAAAAAATATGCCAGTTACTACAGCCACATTTTACCATACAGTAACCTGACTCCAACTTTCTTAAACCAAACTTAGCCATTTTAACTACACTGTGCAATCAGATATTGATCTAGTTTAAGTGAAGGTATAAACTAGATTTCATGAGTGGAGTGACACAAGAAGCCATAAGCATTTTTTACTATTACTTAAAAGGTTTCCTCCTTTACTCTTAAAAACTCAAGAGGTACCATTGCTATGCCCTCCCCACCCCCAAAATTCAAAGCCAGGTATGGTGACTAACGCCTGTAATCCCAATGCCTCAGGAGGATCACTTGAGCCCAGGAGGTTCAGGCTACAATGAGCCATAATTGTACTACTGCACACCAGCATGGACAACAGAGCAAGACACTGTCTCTTTAAAAAAAAAAAAAGAGAAAGAAAGAAATTCAAGATGACGTAAAGGTAACATGGTACAAGATAAAATGTTTGGGTTAAAAATAGAGTCCATTGGCCAGGCGCGGTGGCTCACGCCTGTAATCCCAGCACATTGGGAGGTCGAGGCGGGTGGATCACCTGAGGCTGGGAGTTCCAGACCAGTCTGACCAACATGGTGAAACCCCGCCTCTACTAAAAATACAAAATTAGCCAGACGTGGTGGCGCATGCCTATAAGTCCCAGCTACTCAGGAGGCTGAAGCAGGAGAATCGCTTGAACCCGGGAGGTGGAGGTTGTGGTGAGCCGAGATCATGCCATTGCACTCCAGCCTAGGCAACAAGAGTGAGACTCCCTCTCAAAACAAACAAACAAACAAACAAAAAAAACAAAGATCCTCAATGGATGCTAAAAACCAAAGAGAATTAACAGTATATTGACATAGTCTTAATGTATCTTCTCAGGCTGTGCTTGGTAGGGTGTCCCTGTATCCCCAGCATTTTGGGAGGCTGAGGCAGAAGGATCGCTTGAGGCTGGGAGTTCAAGACCAGCCAGGGCAATGTAACAAGACTCCATGTCTGTAAAAAAGTTTAAAAATTGGCCAGGCGCGGTGGCTAACGCCTGTAATCCTAGCACTTTGGGAGGCCGAGGTGGGTGGATCACGAGGTCAGGAGATCGAGACCATACTGGTTAACATGGTGAAACCCCGTCTCTACTAAAAATACAAAAAAAAATTAGCCAGGCGTGGTGGCAGGCGCCTATAGTCCCAGCTACTCGGGAGGCTGAGGCAGGAGAATAGTGTGAACCCGGGAAGCGGAGCTTGCAGTGAGATCGCGCCACTGCACTCCAGCCTGGGCGATAGAGCAAGACTCCGTCTCAAAAAAAAAAAAAAAAAAAAAAAAAAAAAAAAAAAAAAGGCCAGGCGCGGTGGCTCATGCCTGTAATCCCAGGACTTTGGGAGGCCGAGGCGGGTGGATCACGAGGTCAGGAGATTGAGACCATCCTGGCTAACACAGTGAAACCCCGTCTCTACTAAAAATACAAAAAATTAGCTGGGCGTCGTGGTGGGCGCCTGTAGCCCCAGCTGCTCGGGAGGCTGAGGCAGGAGAATGGCATGAACCCGGGAGGCAGAGGTTGCCGTGAGCCGAGATTGCGCCACTGCACTCCAGCCTGGGCGACAGAGCAAGACTCCGTCTCAAAAAAAAAAAAAAGTTTAAATATTATCTGGGCATACTTACATGCACCTGTAATCCCAGCAATTTTGGAGGCTGAATCGAGAGGATCGTGTGAGCCCAAAAGTTTGAGACTGCCGTGAGCTGTGATTGAGCTACTGCATTCCCGCCAGGGTGAGAGTGAGACCATGTCTCATTAAAAAAAAAAATTCTCAAAAGATTGCTTAATTACAAAATGAAAGACTAAGTTAGTACTGGAGAAACCTGGCAGATACACCTTAACCAAGTGATCTGTTAAGGTCACAAATTGACATGTGTCTCCAGATACGATGCTGCAGAGATCACAAACTCACTTCTGTGATACTCTTGTGAAAATGCATAACTTGAATGTAATCATCAGCAAATGCAAAACTCAATTTGAGGGAAATTCTTCAAAAATAGCTGACCTGTACGCTTGGAAAATATCAGATTGAAAGACTAAAGAGATATAGCAACTGAATGCAATGCATAATGAGCGTCTGAATTACAAGGTATTAGGACAATTGGTGACATCTGAATAGGTACTGATGAGTAAATTATTATCTGATGAAATAATAGCATTGTATCAATGTTAATTTCCTTATTAGTAGATTAAATAATAATAGCATTGTATCAATGTTAATTTCCTTATCAGTACATTAGTACATTAGATAATAATAGCATTGTATAAATGTTCATTTCCTTAATTTGATGATTTACAGTAAGCTAAGATGTCCTTATTTATAGGAAATACTCTAGTAAGGAGTTTAAAAAACACCATTCTTAGGCCGGACGTGGTGGCTTATGCCTGTAATCCCAGCACTTTGGGAGGCCAAAGCGGGCGGATCACCTGAGGTCGGGAGTTCGAGACCAGCCTGACCAACATGGAGAAACCCCATCTCTACTAAAAATACAAAATTAGCCGGGCGTAGGCGTAGTGGCACATGCCTGTAATCCCAGCTACTTGGGAGGCTTGAACCTGGGAGACAGAGGTTACGGTGAGCTGAGATCGCGCCATTGCACTCCAGCCTGGACAATAAGAGTGAAACTCTGTCTCAAAATATAAAAAATAAAAAACACTGTTCTTGCCTGGACGCAGTGGCTCATGCCTGTAATCCTAGCACTTTGGGAGGCCGAGGCAGGTGGATCACTTGAGGTCAGGAGTTCGTGACCAGCCTGGCCAACATGCAGAAACCCCATCTCTGCTAAAAATACAAAAATTAGCCAGGCGTAGTGGTGGGTGCCTGCAGTCCCAGCTACTCAGGAAGCTGAGGCAGGAGAATCGCTTGAACCTGGGAGGTGGAGGTTGCAGTGAGCTGAAATCATGCCACTGCACTCCAGCCTGGGCAAAAGAGTGAGTCTCCATCTCAAAAAAAGAAAAGAAAAGAAACACCATTCTGAAACTTACTCTCAAAGAATTCAGGGTAAAAACTGTGTGGAGAGAGAGAGGAAAAAAAAGAAACCTCAGGGTAGGGTATAAGGGAATACTGTGTACTATGCCAGGCTGGGAGCGGTGGCTCAAGCCTGTAATCTCAGCCCTTCAGGAGGCCCAGGCGGGTGGATCACGAGGTCAGGAGTTCGAGACCAGCCTGGCCAACATGGTGAAACCATCTCTACTAAAAATACAAAAATTAGCCGGGTGTGGTGGCACACGCCTGTAATCCCAGCTATTCAGGAGGCTGAGGCAAAAGAATTGCTTCAACCTGGGAGACGGAGGATGCAGTGAGCCGATATCACACCACGTTGGAGTGCCAACATGGGCAAAAAAGTAAAACTCAAAAAAAAAAAGCCATAAAAATTTTAAATTTTTTATGAAACACACAAGAAAGAAGTGAGAATGGCTGGGTGTGATGGCTCACGCCTGTAAGCCCAGGAGTTTAGGAGGCCAAGGTGGGCGGATTGCTTGAGCTCAGGAGTTTGAGACCAGCCTGGGCAACATGAAAAAACCCTGTCTCTATAAAATATACAAAATTTAGCCAGGTGTGATGGCATACACCTGTAATCCCAGCTACTCAAGAGACTCAGGCACGAGAACTGCTTGAACCCAGGAGGTGGAGAATGCAGTGAGCACACCTGTAGTCCCAGCTACTCAGGTGGCTGAGGCACAAGAATCGCTTGAACCTAAGAGGTGAAGGTTAGGTTGCAGTGAGCTGAGATCGTGCCACCACACTCCACCCTGGATAACAGAGCAAGACTCTTGTCTCAAAAAATTAAGAAGTGAGAAGACAGGATACTTTTTCATTTCAGAATTTAGCAAATCACATTTCTTGGGCAGTGAATTTGACTGAGTTTTTTGAAAAGTCAGGACAGAAAAATACATTTTTTCCTTTCTCCACTTTTGAAGGAAAACACAGTATTTACACTGTTTTTTATTTCTGACCATGAACAGCACATAAATTAATCTTCAGTATTTCCCCCTAGAAATTCTATTGAGCAGAAATTAGCTGTTAGACCTTATAGTATAATTGTATCATTTGTGATAATGCATAGCATCTTAGAAAATGTGGCCCAACTAAATCAGCATGGTCAGCATGGTCCTAAGTTGTTTTAGTGAAGTGATCAAATATCACAGGCTTTAAATAAACCCTGGACAGGTGGATTAAATTTCTCATGAAATGTTCCAATCTTCAGTTCAGCTATTTTACACTATCCATTAAGTGAGAGCATAAACCAGATTTCATGGGTGGAGGGACAAAATTAACATTGAAATAGCTTCTACTTATCTTAATCAGCAAATAACCTTCAAATAAGGTTCACCAAAATACTTTAAACAGCAATTTTTTTTTTTTTTTTTGAGACGAAGTCTCGCTCTTGTCCTCCAGTCTGGAGTGCAATGGCACGATCTCGGCTCACTGCAACCAGTGTCTCCCGGGTTCAAGCGATTCTCCTGCCTCAGCCTCCTGAGTAGCTGGGATTACAGGTGCGTACCACCATGCCCAGCTAATTTTCTGTACTTTAGGTAGAGACAGGGTTTCACCATGTTGGCTAGGCTGGTCTCGAACTCCTGACCTCAGGTGATCCACCTGCCTCGGCCTCCCAAAGTGCTAGGGATTACAGGCTGAGCCACTGTGTCCGGCCAACCAGTAGTGTTTTTGTGAGTGCTTCCCCATTGCTCTATTATATCATTACTTTTTTTTTCCATGTTGTTTTTTCAATGAACCAATGATTAAGGCATTCTTTTATCTTCATTCCCTGAAACCACTGGGGTGGATGCAGCAGATCAATTTAATCTCTGAGTTTACCCAATTACATTATTTTTTCCAATCTGCTAATCTCCTGTAATTAGGAACTTTGGACAGTCTCCAACAAAGACTCCAACAGTTAAACATAGATTGGACAACCTACCTGAAACTTACTGAAATTTACTGTCAGTTACCCAAATCACTTGACCATCAAATCAAAAGATTTTTTTACAAAATGGAACAAGTAGTCTATGCAACCATCATCAAAAAGAAAGACTTTTCTGTAGGTTTGGGTTCTTTTAAATGTAACATGTCAGAGAAAAGTTAACCAAATTAAAATAAATGTATTAAATATGTATCTTGATTTGCCATAGCAATTAATTACAGAGACTATCAACGCTGGATCAATGATTTGAGGAAGTAGTTTTTCCTTTACACCAAGATGCAATTACACAAATTTTGTAGTTCTGACTTAACTGACTGAAGTTAAGCTATAATGTGTATGAATTCAATTATTCATTAAAAAGATAAATGTATTGAGTTGTAAACACAAGATATTCTGTTAGACACTGTGGAGAACAAAAAGGTGAATACTACTCTACCCTTAAAGGATTTGTAATGATTCATAAAAGCAGCCAGGCATGGTGGGTCATGCCTGTAATTCCAGCACTTTGGGAGTCTGAGGTGGGCAGATCAGTTGAGCTCAAGAGTTCAAGACCAGCCTGGGCAACATGCTGTAAACCCGTCTCTATGAAAAACACAAAAATTAGCTGGGCGTGGTGGTGTGTACCTGTAGTCCCAGCTACTTGGGGGACTGAGGTGGGAGGATCGCTTGAGCCTGAGAGGTGAGGCTACAGTGAGCCGAGATCTTGCCACTGCACTACGGCCTGGGTGACAAAGTGAGACTCTATCTCCTAAACAAAACAAAAACAAAAAACCCCCATACATATAGAATAATAAATGCAAATAAAAACTTAAGCAAATTAATAGACTATAAAGGACTTTATTTTATTTTTCAGTTTTCAAACTGGATCCCAACATGTTGCCCAGGCTGGTCTCAAACTCCGGGGATCAGTGGATTCTCCAAACTTAGCCTCCCACACTGCTGGGATTATAGAATTGGGTCCTAGTACCTGCTGATCACATTAAAACAAAATGACTGGCCGGGCCCGGTGGCTCATGCTGGTAATCTCACCACTTTGGAAGGCTGAGGCTGGTGGATCACCTGAGGTCAGAAGTTCAAGACCAGCCTGGCCAACATGGTGAAACCTCGTCTATACCAAAAATACAAAAATTAGCTGGGTGTGGTGGTGTGCCCCTGTTGTCCCAGCTAGTCAGGAGGCTGAGACAGGAGAATCACTTGAACCCAGGAGGCGGAGGTTGCAGTGAGCCAAGATCGAGCCACTGCACTTCAGCCTGGGTGACAGAGTGAGACTCTGTCAAATAAAAAAAAAAAAGAAAACAACAACAAGATATGCCTCATCCATTGTAAGTAAATTAAAACAGAAGTGACATTTTCAAAAGGAATGAAAAGCCTCTGTTGAATATAGGCTTATATTTCTCAGTAAGGCTATCAAGTGAATATACCAAGAGGAAATAATATTATTTTCTTTTCCCCTTCCTCCCTCCCTTCCTTTCTTCCTTCCTTCCTTCCTTTCTCCCCTCCCTCCCTCTCTCTCTCTCTCTCTCCCTCTCTCCCCACCCCCCCCACCTCCCGAGCTACTCATGGAGACTGAGGCAGGAGAATCACTTGAATCCAGGAGGCAGAGGTTGCAGTGAGCGGAGATCGCACCATTACACTCCAGCCTGGGCAACAGAGCGAGACTCCCTCTAAAAAAAAAAGAAAGAAAAAGAAAAGAAAAGAAAAGAAAAGAAAGAAAAGAAAAGAAAAGAAAAGAAAGAAAGGGTCTCTGACAATTGGCCTAGGCTGGAGTGCAGTAGCATGATTACAACTCATTGCAGCCTGGAACTCCCAAGCTCAAATGATCCTCTCACCCTAGCCTCCTGAGTAACTGGAATGACAGTCATAAGCCACTATGCCCAACCCACTTATTTTTTTCTTGAAGAGATGGAGTCTTGCTATGTTGCCCAGGCTGGAGTGCGGTGGCTTCACAGGAGCTCTCATAGCATACCACGGTCTTGAGCTCCATAGTTCAAGCAATCCTCTTGCTTTAGCCTTCTGAGTAGCTAGGACTACATGAGTGTGCTACTGCACCTGACTGAAATCCACATTTTTTGGAAAGGTCACTTTTTTTTTTTTGAGAAGGAGTCTCGCTCTGTTGCCCAGGCTACAGTGCAGTGGCACAATCTCAGCTCACTGCAACCTCCGCCTCCTGAGGTCAAGCAATTTTCCTACCTCAGCCTCCCGAGTAGCTGGGATTACAGGTGCCCGCCACCATGTCTGGCTAATTTTTGTGTTTAGTAGAGACGGGGTTTCACCATGCTGGCCAGGCCTGTCTCGAACTCCTGACCTTGTGACCCACCACCTTCGGCCTCCCAAAGTGCTGGGATTACAGGCATGAGCCACTGCGCCCAGCCTAGTTCACTTCATATTCTTATGAACATAAATTACACCTTTACTTGTAATTATAATCACTATTAAAAAATTACTAGCTGGGCAAGGTAGCTCATGCCTGTAGTGCTAGTACTTTGGGTTTGCTTGAGCCCAGGAGTTTGAGACCAGCCTGGGTAACATGGCAAAACCTCATCTCTACAAAAAATATAAAAATTAGGCGGGATTGGTGGTGCACACCTATGGTCCCAGCTATTTGGGAGGCTGAAGTAAAAGATCAATTGATCCAGGAGGTCAAGGCTGCAGTGAGCCATGATCACACCACTACACTCTAGCCTGGGTGACCGAGGAAGACCTTGTCAAAAAAAAGTAAAAACAAAAAAACCACAGTATGCCAAGCGGTTCTAAACATTTAACATATTTTTTATTTTTGTGTTTTTTTATCTTTTGAGAAGGAATCTCCCTCTGTCACCCAGGGTGGAGTGCAGTGGGCGATCTCAACTCACTGCAACCTCCGCCCCCTGGGTTCAAGCAATTCTCCCACCTCAGCTTCCCGAGTAGCTGGGACTGCAGGCAACCACCACCATGCCTGGCTAATTTTTGTTATTTCCTTTTTTTTAGTAGAGATGGGGTTTCACCATGTTGGCCAGGCTGGTTGAGCTCCTGACCTCAAGTGATCCACCGCCTCGGCCTCACAAAGTACTGGGATTACAGGCATAAGTCACCATGCCTGGCCTTTTTGTTTGTTTGTTTTTTGAGACAGAGTCTCGCACTGTCACCCAGGCTGGAGTGCAGTGGCGCAATATCAGCTCACTGCAAGCTCCATCTCCCGGGTTCACATCATTCTCTTGCATCAGCCTCCCAAGTAGCTGGGACTACAGGCGCCCGCCACCACGCCTGGCTAATTTTTTGTATTTTTAGTAGAGATGGGGTATCACTGTGTTAGCCAGGATGATCTTGATCTCCTGACCTCGTGATCCTCCTGTCTCGGCCTCCCACAGTGCTGTGATTATAAGGGTGAGCCACCGTGCCCTGCCTTATTTTTTATAAATATATAGAGATGTAGTTTTCTCATGTTGCCCAGGCTGGTCTCAAACTTCTGAGCTCAGGCAACCCACTAGCCTTAGCCTCCCAAAGTGCTGGGATTACAGGTATGAGCCACTGTGCCCTGCCTAACATATTTTAAATAATTCACCCAACTCCCAGATAATCCTATGATATGGTGTATATGTATATAAAATATTTAAAAATAAATAAATGAAATATTTTAAAATGCTCTCACACGCTATATATATATAAAATAACCAAACTCCTAGAATAAGTTTATTATTTAATATCTGATTTCCTAGAATTATGAAAATAATCTATGCTTTAATCAAATTCATGTGACATCACTGAATTTTACACATAGATGACAAAAACTTCAGAAGTACAGAAAAGGAGTTACTATTTAAAACTGTGGGATAACACTTGAGGAGGCTAAGGCAGGATGATTGCTTAAGCCCAGAAGTTCAAGATCACCCTGGGCAACACAGGGAAACCTGGTCTCTGCAAAAAATTTTAAAAATAGTCAGGCTTGGCCGGGGGCAGTGGCTCATGCCTGTAATCCCAGCACTTTGGGAGGCCGAGGAGGGTGGATCACCTGAGGTCAGGAGTTCGAGACCAGCCTGACCAACATGGAGAAACCCCATCTCTACTAAAAATACAAAATTAGCCAGGCGTGGTGGCACATGCCTGTAATCCCAACCACTAGGGAGGGTGAGGCAGGAGAATCACTTGAACCTGGGAGGTGGAGGTTGCAGTGAGCCAAGATCACGCCATTGCACTCCAGCCTGGGCAACAAGAGCGAAACTCCATCTCAAAAAAAAATAAAATTAGTCAGGCTTGGTGGCACACACTTGTCAACCTAGGTACTCAGGAGACTGAGGTGGGAAGATCACGTGAGCCCAGTAGGTTTTGGCTGCAGTGAGCAGAGCCACTGCACTCCAGCCTAGGTGACAAAGTGAGACCCTGTCATAAAAACATATAAACAAACAAACAAAACTATGGGCCAGGAAAGGTTGCTCATGCCTGTAATTCCAACACTTTTGGAGGCCAAGGCAGGAAGATCGCTTGAATCCAGGAGGTTGAGACCACCCTGGGCAACATTTGAGACCCCTCTTTTGTATTAAAAAAAATTTTTTTTTAATTAAAAAATAAATATGGCTGGGCATGTTGGCTCATGCCTGTAATCCCAACACATTGGGAGGCTGAGGTAGGCGGATCACCTGAGGTCAGGAGTTGGCGGCCAGCCTGGCCAACATGGTGAAACCCTGTCTCTACTAAAACTACAAAAAATTAGCTGGGCTTGGTGGCACACACTTTTAGTCCCAGCTACTCAGGAGGCTGAGGTAGGAGAATCACTTGAACCCCGGAGGTGGAGGTTGCAGTGAGCCAAGATCACACCACTGCACTCCTGCCTGGGTGACAAACCAAGACTCCATCTCAAAAATAAATAAATAATAGGCCTGGCGCGGTGGCTCACGCCTATAATCCCAGCACTTAGGGAGGCCAAGGCGGGTAGATCACGAGGTCAGGAGTACGAGACCAGCCTGGCTAAGATGGTGAAACCCCATCTCTACTGAAAATAAAGAAAATTAGCCAGGCATGGTGGCGGACGCCTGTAATCCCAGTTACTCGGGAGGTTGAGGTAGGAGAATCGCTTGAACCTGGGAGACGGAGGTTGCAGTGAGCTGAGATCATGCCACTGCACTCCAGCCTGGGCTACAGAGTGAGACTCCGTCTCAATAAATAAATAAATAGGACATTGTCGGCTGGGCACGGTGGCTCATGCCTATAATCCCAGCACTTTGGGAGGCCAAGGAGGGTGGATCATGAGGTCAAGAGATTGAGACCATCCTGGCCAACATGATGAAACCCCAGTCTCTACTAAAAATACAAAAATTAGCTGGGTGCGGTGGTATGCACCTGTAGTCCCAGCTACTCCGGAGGCTGAGGCAGGAGAACTGCTTGAACCCGGGAGATGGAGGCTGCAGTGAGCCGAGATTGCACCACTGTGCTCCAGCCTGGTGACAGAGCAAGACTCTGTCCAAAAAAAAAAAAGACACTGTTACCTCTGTTACCCACGTTCTCTTGCATAGGCCATTTTGGTTGGCAAACCTTACCATCAAATCTTTGAAAATGAAATATATATTTATATTTATATATATAAACATATTTATATATTCTATATATAGAGAGAATATATATATTCATATATATATATGAATGACATTGCAAGACATTCCATTATTAAAAATATTTCACTTAAAAATGAATTAAGAAGGCCAGGTGCAGTGGTGCAGGCCTGCACTTTGGGAGCCTGAGGAGAATGGATTGCTTTGAGCTCAGAGTTCTAGACCAGCCTGGCAAAACCTTGTCTCTACAAAAAATACAAAAATTATCTGGGCATGGTGGTGTGTGCCTGTGATCCCAGCTATTTGGGAGGCTGAGGCTACAGAATCTCTTGAACCCCGGAGGCAAAGGTTGCAACGAACCAAGATTGTGCCACTCCACACCAGCCTGGGCAACAGAGTGAGACCTGTCTCAAGAACAAATAAACAAACAAACAAAAAAAACAAAAAAAAAAAACTTAAGATCCAAACAAAACTTAAATAAAGTTATTAGTTGGCTCTTTTCATCTGACTCATGAGAATATATTCTAGTCAGTAAATGGAGAGCTATACAGTAAAGAAAGTACAACTCAGAAACAGTATGAATCCGGCACTATCAAAACACAAACACGTACCAGATGAGCCTAAGTATTCAGGATACAAGGCATATGTTCTTTTGTGGACTAGGAAGAATTCAAGTCTTTTTTTTTTTTTTAATAGCCTGAATGAAATTTTCCTTAAACCCGTCCAACTCCATTTGGCTTTTATTCACTTTGATTCTCTGTTTGGGATCATTCCTAGAAATCACAGAATGGACATGAGTCTTGAGTCACTGGAAATATACATGCTGCAGTGATAAACGAATGCCTGTATATGAGCTGGTTTAGTGAGAACTCAGCCCTGAAATCCAGTCTGATCTCCAGGCAAAATGCTGTATTACAGTTTCTGGGTATACAAACGAAGCCCATGTGTGTCTTTGATTGTGTGAATAAACACTGATGGGTGAGCACACGTCCTTAACAGTTTTTGCCAGTTTATGACAAAATGAGTTCAATAAAGACAATGTGTTGTCATAAAACTAAATTATTAAATTTCTATGACCTTCCTGTGTTCTGATATTATCTTCTTTCCATTTTTAAAAATTAAAGCTGGTATTCCCTTGTGAATATTTTCAACACCCACTCTGATTTTTTTCCTCACTGGCCCATTAAATCCAGAAGTCTGGGATTAGTTGCCTGGGACTATAAGGACCTATCAAAATGACATGTGTTTTTTTTTTTGTTTTTGTTTTTCCCCTGAAGGATGGTCAAGCTTAGTATTTGATCTAGTACTTAAATTTGCAACATGTTGCTACAAGTAATAGAATGTTGCATTATAACCGTCTGTTTAAAAACTCTAAAGAAATTACTTTACCAATGATTTATTTTACTAACTGAAACAAAGTTATAGACAAATAAGCAGAAGAAAATCATTAGCAACTATGTTATCTTTCATTTGTAGGGTTTTTTGTTTGTTTGTTTGAGAGGGAGTCTCCCTCTGTCGCCCAGGCTGGAGTGCAGAGGCACAATCTCGGCTGACTGCCACCTCCGCCTTCCAGGTTCAAGCGATTCTCCTGCCTCAGCCTCCCAATTAGCTGCGATTACAGGCACCTGCCACCACACCTGGCGAATATTTGTATTTTTAGTAGAGACAGGGTTTCACCATGTTGGCCAGGGTGGTCTTGAACCCCTGACCTCAAGTGATCCACTCATCCTGGCCTCTCAAAGTGCTGGGATTACAGACATGAGCCACCGAACCTGGCCTATTTATAGCTTAATAGAATTTTAAAATAAACAATGTAACTCAATTGTATCTAATTTAGTAATTTTAGCAGGGGAGGGTGGCTGTAATCCTAGCTACTCAGGAGAATGAGAAAGGAAAATAGTTTGAGCCCAGGAGTTGAAAACCAGCCTGGGCAGCACGGCAAGACCTCAGCTCAACAAACAAACAAACAACAAACAACAAACATAACCAGAGTATAATTTAGTCCTTTTAAACCAGCACTGGTCTAGTATATATAAAAATAATTTATGGGCTAGGCGTGGTTGCTCACACCTGTAATCCCAGCATTTTGGGAGGCTGCAGTGGGCAGATCACTTGAGGCCAGGAGTTTGAGACCAGACTGGCCAGCATGGCAAAACCTCGTCTCTACTAAAAATACAAAAAAATTAGCTGGGCGTGGTGGCACATGTGTGTAATCCCAGTTCTTAGTAGGCTGAGGCAGGAGAATCATTTGAACCCAGGTGGCAGAGGTTGCAGTGAGCCAAGACTGCACCACTGCACTCCAGCCTTAGTGACAGAGTGAGACTCTGTCTCAAATAAATAAGTAAATAAATTCAATAAAAACAATTTATAAATGATGGGAATGTTAAGTATCTTTCCCTAGATGATGTTTTCCTTCATCATCTCGGCAATTTTTGCTTGTTTCCTCACTGTAACCTCCGCCTCCTGGATTCAAGTGATTCTCCTACCGCAGCCTCCCGAGTAGGTGGGATTACAGGCATGCGCCACTACCCCTGGCTAATTTTGTATTTTTAGTAGAGATGGGGGTTTCTCTATGTTGGTCAGGCTGGTCTCGAACACCCAACCTCAGGTGATCTGCCCGCCTCAGCCTCCCAATGTGTTGGGATTACAGGCCTGAGCCACTCTCCTGGCCCCACTTGTTCTTTATCAGCATCATCAAGGAATGAAGGAAAAGAGAAGAGCAAGTCAGTGCTGAACCCTGCAGGAAGATCCCTTAGTTTTCATTTTGCCTTTTTAAAATCAACCTCTGGAGACACTCTCCTAGTTTAATATCCACTGACATTTCTTTATATTTGTTCACCCAGCTCTTCCAAATACTACTCTGATGATATTTTATAATTAAATAGCTAGAAAATATTCCTTACCAGCCAAAAAGACTATCTAATTACAGAATGTATAAATGCATCCCCTCAAGGATCCTCATGCTTATTGGGAAATAATTTTAGATTTACAGATGAGTTGCAAAAATAGTATAGAGTTCTTATGTACTCTTCAGCCATCTTTGCCTAATGTTACCATCTTATGTAATCACAGTTCTAGTACTATTGTTCACTCTACCATACCACCCCTGTGGTCACTAGTCATGCCCAGTATGTTGTTTTCCCTTCCAGGCCTACATTCCACCTTCCATAACCTTCTTACACATCCCAGAAGGCTGACCAGCGTGTACTACATCAGAGGTCTCCCCTTTCACTCTGGCTCCCCATTGGGATCAACCAATCAAAGCAGCAGGAGACTGGAGAGCAGGGCATTTATCCCACACCCACCCCCCACTTGACTCCTTGCAAGAGCATCTCTTTACCAAAGGCTCCAGCCCATGCTTCCTCTACTCAGCTGTAGCTACATTACCTGGTTTCCACTCACCATCCCCCTTCAGGCCTAGGATTAGTAATAGCTCTGCCTTCATTAGATCTGGATTTCTTCACCATCCTTAGTTCTTTCCTTAACCCTCCCACACTATTGAAAGTAATTCCTTTATTAAACTCTGTTCAAACCCCCAATTGACTGTGCTGTCTGATTTTCTCCAGGGACAATGACTAACAATCTAACAAAACTATTATCATCTTAAAATTGACTTTCTTAAAGGGAGTATACACTCCTACTCACCTGCTCCCACCACACACACACAAAGTAAAAGTTATTTACACAAATGTTTCTTCCAAGAGGAATTCCAAACCACGTCACTTAAAAGGCTAAGTTCGTGATTGAAGGACTGGAATTAGACCACACCTCTACCTAGATCAAGAGTCAAGGAAATGCTTGTGTTTCCAATAATAACATTGCTAACAAGATGTCATCTATATATGAAAATAACTAGTGATCACCAATAGGCTTGAATAGGAAGTTGATGCTGAGCTACCCCCACCCACCACTAGTGCACCATTAGCTGATACCCATTCTGGCCTTTAGAGTGCTTTGGCCAGAGCTGTCATTTCAGCTACAGGAAGAATCTCTAATCAGGATTTAGATCGCTATTTAGTTTTTAATTTTGAAGTACAATAGAATGAATATGGTATAAATATGGATAATAGTGTTCTTTTGGTGGTGGGAGACAAGGTCTCATTCTATTCCTGAGGCTGGAGTGCATATAGCTCATGTGATTATAGCTCACTGCAGCCTCCAACTCCTAGGCTCAAGCAATCCTCCCTCCTCAGCCTCCTGAGTAGCTAGGACTAGAAGTGCACACCGTCGCACCCAGCTAATTTTTAAATTTTTCATAGAGACAGGATTTTGCTAGGTTTTGCAGGCTGGTCTCAAACTCCTGGCCTCAAGCAATCCTCCCGCCTTGGCCTCCCAAAGTTCTGGGATTACACATATGAGTCATCATACCTGGTGGATAACAGGTATGTTTTTAAGAGGAGAGGGATATAAGACATGCCAGCCAATTTCAGCCCCACAACTGGATTCAATAGTTATCAGGTTCAGGTCAGTGTAGGATGAAACAAGTCTCAAATTCTATACCCAACTTCTTGAATCAGGTTCTTCACGTATCCAACTACTTTCTAATAGATGATGAAAATGAAAAGTCAATCAGGATACCTGCAGCATCCACCCTGACAAAGGGTAAATGATCCAGGAGATTTCAACATCTAAAAGGATAAAGTCAAAGGAAGCAGACTAAATTTCTGGAATGACACCAAATGTAAAGACAGCAAATAATGATGGAAGACCAAATCATAAACTGTGAGATTCCCATCACTGGTCCCCCAGGTAGCATGCTCCTAGAATGTTGAAGTCCTCACTCATAAAACCTCAAGCTGACAGTTGTATTCCTCTCCCACTCTCCCTCCCAAACACAGGTTTCATTTTTTTTATGTCTTCTATAGGATTATATAATATTCTACATTTGCTCTATGAATTTTATACACATCAAGCTAAAATCTGAAAGTTTTTTTTAGCATTTCTACTGTGAAGCAGAGAAACAAAGCTTTCTTTGGATGAGAAAAAAAATTATGTCTAACAGAAAATGTGGAAAACCATTTTTAAATGCCAACATCAGAAATTTTTTTTCCTTTTAGAATATTTTCCTGCTCTTGTACAGTAATTGCTAACTATAGAGGAACGTGAGCAACAATTTGGTTCTGCTTGCTGTTGCAGATGAAATGTGGCCACCCACAGGCACTTTTATTCTTTTTCTTTTAAGCCAGAGTCCACTACCGTGATTCCAAAAAGCAACACATGGCATATTTACTTTTTACATTTATTTCAGGTGACAGGACACTCACAATCTAACAAAATAAACATAGAATTAAATTGCATTCCCAAAGTCCAATTCTACTTCCTAGCCAAGGCAGGGGAAGACATAGATACTAGGCTTGGTCTGTATTAGTTTCTCCACATAATCTATCCCTTTCTCCTGCTAATCCCCATCCACAACCCCAACAAATGAGAGCCATTTTTAAGAGGAAGACTAAATCTATTTTTCACAAAATGCCTGAGATGGATATAGCCAACACAGAAAGTATAGAAGGAGCTTTTAATGATAAACTTCTATCTCTGTTGGAAGGAAAAGGAATAAATGGGGGTCGATGGATCAACACAAAGAAGAAAAACAGAAAAGGGTTTAATTTACCTTGAGAATAACCATGATTCTATTTGTCCAGGCCCAGTGAAAATTTGTGTCAAGCAATTTCATTCATTTCACAGTGCCTAGCACATTGCTGACTATGTGGTAAATATTAAATAAATACTTGTTGGTTGATGAAACAGGTACATGAAAATGCTGTATATACACAGGAAGCAGAAACTCAATGTGGTCAGGCAAATTTGAAAGCAGGGCAAGGTTTGGTTCTCCGTGTCAACATTTTCAAGTTACACACTGGGGCAACAAATGAAATAAAATTCTGCCACATTCATAGTTCAACATGTTGTTCCTCTTTGAGTGCTAAAACTTTATGTGTAAAAAAGGAAAGCTAGGATTAGGTAAAACTATTTTAAATTAAATGTACACAAAATAATTAAAGATAAGTCATTTTATTGCTTAGTATTTCTTCATGAATTTAAAAGGTGGCTTGCAAAGGTTGCTTACATTTGTAATAGCAATACACCACTTGAAATCTTAAACACATAAGCACCTATTCGTTAGACTAAAGCTAGCCTTGAACTTTTAGTGATGCCATATGCTTTTAAATTAACCCTTCTAAACACTGTACAAATCTCATCACACAGACTGTGAGCTTATAACTGAATTAGGTTACTATTAATACTCATCAGGCAAACTATAGAAAATAAAGAAAACATGCATATTCTTATGGCTTCATGAAAGCCAAAATTAAAGATGATATTATGAGAATTTGAGATTAAACAACTATAATTTGGCTGTAAGATCTCCACTACTTACACATTAAGGACTTTTTCTTTGGAAAAGAATCATACATTTTAAAATAGCCTTTAATGGACAGTCTATTAAAATCACAATGGATCATAGCTGTCAACTTCAAATAGTGCCTTTCTTCTAAAGGGCTTAAGTTTACACACTGGTGCAACACCACAAATGCAGATGCTACAAAGGGAGCTATAAAGAAAAACAAATTTTATTCACAACACTCTGCATACAAACTTTTCTTTCTGTAGACTTGAGTGGAGTTGAAAATAAAGGATGCTAATATGCACATTATGCAGCACATCAAAAAAAAGAGAGAGAAAACACTTTAGTTGAGTGGAAATTCATCCATCTACTGAAAATCTGGGAGAATTCACATATACTGTACTCCAAATATACCCAAGTGCAGAAAAATACTATATGAAATGGAAAAATAATGAAATATTATTTAATCAACAGCTGATTACCTTTAAAACTTTGGGCTTCTTTTCCCTCTGGGGCCTCTTGTTTTCCTTTATAACCTAAAAAAAATCAAATTGCAAAATGAGCCTCTGTTTAAGAAATAAAATTAGCTCCCACATCCCCAAAATTTTTGGCTATTTCTCTGTAAAACTATTTATACCATTTAAAATCATCAACATGTTTGCTAGGCAGAACCTAAAGAGCTTATGTAAAATGTATACTTTAAAAGTCACTAAAAAAATCTTGCATAAAGATGAAGCAGGGAAATACCCTTTTTTCCCCTTAAAGTCTGTCTTAATTAGCCTCTGCATTCTTCACAGCGAAGCCCACGAGGTAGCCATCTTGCTTGCTTCTGCAGAGGAAGCCTCTACAGTGGAACAGTTCTGCAAACTGCTTTTTGGTATTATTATCATGGTGTTTAAAGGCAGCCCTGGCCTGCCAGCACTGTAGACGTGCTGGGCATGCCTTTTGCAAAAACAGCCCCACAAAGAGTGCAGCCAATGGCAATGCAGAGCTTAGCAACTCCAAAGTGATCTTCTCAGCCTAGCCCTTCCTAGACAAAGGATCTCCTGTGCGGCTCGGCTCTCACCACAGGACACAGGCAGCCACAAGCTGCGACATGGAGTTCGCTGCAGAGGATCTGGTCGCGCCGAAATCACAGGAGGCTTCAACAAAAACAATGCACACAAATCCCCCAGGTCACCACCATTGGATCGATGGTAGAGCCTTCCTGATTAGTAACCTCTTGGCGGTTCCGAGGGCAGGTCTGCATGGGGGAGGGGTGCGCTGCTCTGCCTCCAATGTACAGGAGACATAACTGAGCCTAGGGGGGCATTTGGGCTTGCTGAAACTCTGGAAGGTATTGTGCATTTTTACTTTATAAGGCAAGGCTAAATATTGGCGATATTTAAGGCAGGGAGGTTATGTGAGGACAGTGTAGGCTCAGCTGTTGGGCTGCGTGTCTCATTCCTCAGGAACCACACCTCTTTGCAGCAGGCGCTTTGCCCAGAAACACAGCAATTTGATTTCTGTCAATAAATGTCCAATGACAATGGCGAATTAAAAAATAACAGTAAAGCCACTGAAAAGGAAAAGGACAGGATGAGGACAAAAAGAGAGGGAGGAGTTTTCAAAATACACTTGCCACTCTGAGTGGCTAGAGAGAAAGGATTTTCTCTCTTGCTCTGGGCATTTCTGATGACCTTCATTTCCAAATAAAATTTCTCCCCTACGAGAAGGAAAATTCGGACTCATATCTTTGGGACAAAAGGACACCTTTGGCTCTTCTGTCTCCCAAGATCAACTGTCACTGAGCATCTATATCCGCAGACCTGCCAAGCAAGTCCCCACGTGGGGCCGGTCTGCGCACCAGACTCGCGGTCAGACGGAACCACCCACTTCCCAGGGATCGGGACCTGAGCCAGGGGTAGAACAAACCACCATCTCCCGACACACACCTGGACTGCCCCCACGCCCAGTGGGTGGTAGGCAGTGGGACAGCTGGCACCACAGCTAGCACCTGCCAGACACTGGGAAAGACTGGACCGGGAGCCGTGCCCCCCACGACCCCTCTTAAGCCACCTGGCATTGCAACAGCGGCAGCAGAGCAGGGCAGCTGTGGTGAGCTGGCTGGTCTCAAGGTCACTGCCAAAATGCAGTGTAGAGGGCGGTCACAGTCCCATCACAGCCACCTTGACAGCTGCACAGATCTGGGGAAGACAGCCCTAGCTCCAGCCTTGCAGGGCCAAAGTTTCAGCAGCACATTTCGGGGATTGGCAGGAGGGCCTCCCCGGCTGCTCAGCCAAAGATGGGTTTTCCACTTGCAGCTGGATTCAGAACAGATTCCCACAACCAGAAATCAGGAACAGAGTGAGGGCCGGAAGGCCTGCATTTCATCACCCTTAATCCCTAGCCTTTCAGTTTGCCACAAAAGCATGCTTTCCGTGTTGGAACGTGAAGTCCGGCATGCGTTGTTTTTCCACTTTTAAATTACCTCTCACTCACCCACCCCTCACCCACATTTTTAACAAATTCATGTAAGAAAAAAACTATTGGCCGGGCACAGTGGCTCACGCCTGTAATCCTAACACTTTGGGAGGCCGAGGCAGGAAGATCACCTGAGGTCAGGCGTTTGAGACCAGCCTGGCCAACAGGAAACCCTGTCTCCACTAAAATACAAAAATTAGCCGGGCATGATGGTGGGTGCCTGTAATCCCACCTACTCGGGAGGCTGAGACAGGAGAATCGCTTGAACCCAGGAGACAGTAGTTGCAGTGAGCACCACCGCACTCCAGCCTAGATGGCTGAGCCAGACTCCGTCTCCAAAAAAAAAAAAAAAAGAAAGAAAAAGAAAAAAAAAACCTAATGAATATGGTGTTCTCAACTCTTCCTGCAACACTTGTAACAAAACCAATGGACTCTGAAATATGCACATCCACCAGTGCAACTTTGAGCACACTAAGCCCACACTATCTATAAGAAGCTCTCTGTGAGGAATAAAGCAGCATTGAAACTGGCAGAAAAATAATCAAATACAGTAAGATTTGAAAATAGGTACAAAATCTTTTAGCTGTACATCCCATTTTTGGTGATTTTTTTTTAAATTGTGATGAAATATATGTAACATAAAATTTATCATTTTAACTATTTTTTTGGAGATCGAGTTTCACTCTTGTCGCCTAGATGCAATGGTGCGATCTCAGCTCACTGCAACCTCCGCCTTCCGGGTTCAAATGATTCTGCTGCCTCAGTCTCCCGAGTAGCTGGGATTACAGACATGCGCCATCACGCCTGGCTAATTTTTTGTATTTTTTGGTGGAGACGAGGTTTCACCATGTTGGTCAGGCTGGTCTCGGACTCTTGACCTCAGGTGGGCCGCCCACCTTGGCCTCCCAAAGTGCTGGGATTACAGGAGTGAGCCACTGCGCCCAGCCCATTTTAACTATATTTAAGTGTATCGTTCAGTGACATTAAGTACATTCACAACTGCTATGCAACTATCACCTCTCCATTTCCAGAACTTTTTCTTCCTTGTAAACAGAAACTCCATACCCATTAAACAATAACTCCTCATTTGCCTTCCCCCAGCCCATACTGACTTCCATTCTACTTTCTGTCTATGAAATGGACTACTCTAAGTACCTCCTATAATTGGAATCATATAGTATTTTTCATATAGTATTTTTCTTTTCGTTTCTCTTTGCTTCACTTATTAATAGCATAATATTTACAAGGTTCATCCATGTTGTAGAATGTATCAGAATTTCATTCATTTTGAAGGCTGAACAATATTCCTTTGTATGTACATAACACATTTTGTTTTTCCCTTATTCTGTTGTTAGACATTTGTACTTTTTGGTGATTATGAATATTACTGCTATGAACATAGGTGTACAAGTAGGTATACAAGTAGTATACACCTTGGAGTAGAATTGCTGAATCATATGATAAGGCTATGTTTAACTTTCTGAGGAACTACCAAATTGTTTACCATAGCAGCCGCACCATTTTACATTCCCATCAGCTTTGCACAAGGGTAGTCCTACATTTCTTGAAGTGCCTTGCATTTCAGTTACACATTATGCCTCTTCTGTTGAATGTTTGAATATAACTTTAAAAAATGAACATTTTTTTCCAGGTTAATTGTTCAATATTTAGTAAAGTGGCCATGATATATTATGATAGAATTGTATAATTTAAGTCGATCAGCCGGGCGTGGTAGCTCACGCCTGTAATCCTAGCACTTTGGAAGGCTGAGGCAGGTGGATCACTTCAGGTCAGGAGTTCAAGACCAGCCTGGCCAATATGATGAAACCTCATCTCTACTAAAAATACAAAAATTAGCCAGGAGTGGTGGCATGCACCTATAGTCCCAACTACTCGGGAGACTGAGGCAGGAGGATCACTTGAACCTGGGAGGTGGAGGTTGCAGTGAGCCGAGATCGTGCCACTGCACTCCAGCCTAGGCAACAGAATGAGACTCGGTCTCAAAAAAAAAAAAAAAAAAAAATCCATTAGCTGTGTGATCATGAAAATAAAATAAAATAAAATGAAATCAGGCTCAGAGGGTTAGGTGTACAGAATATCTATATTGCTGAGAGGTCTGTTTTGTAAAGGCCCAAAGACAGGTGTTTTCACTGTATAGGATACTCATGAAGCCATACAACATTGCACTTGACAACCTAAGCAAACATCGAAGGCCTGTGTGTGCACTCTTCTGTAAAATTGGATAATAAATAAAGCCAAGGCTCATCCTAGCTATATATGAAAGTTAATGAATGTGATCAGAACTAACATTAACTCCAAATATCAAATTGATGCTTCACCACGAAGATCTATACTTGTTTGAACACAGCATAGATCAGGTGTTTCAATTCCTATACTAAGTGATTTGGTGGTCTGAGCTCTGGGCGAGTTTTGATGGGAGAGAATAGTCAGAAATTCTGAGCAGAGGCCAGGTGCAGTGGCTCACATCTGCAATCCAAGCACTTTGAGAGGCCAAGGTTGAAGGATCACTTAAGCCCAGGATTTCAAGGCTAGCCTAAGCTACATAGCGGAGACACATCTCTACAAAAAAAATTAAATATTAGCTATGAAATAATTCAGAGGCCCAAAGAAGTAAAAATATCTCAGCTTGCACAGCAGGTTAGAACTTGACTTGAGCATGTACCATAAGATGTTTATTAATATACAGAAAAAATATGAAAATATATAGAATTTGAGTTGATCCCACTTCTAACCATCTATACAGCTCTCTCTACAAATCCTCTTGATTTTCAGTATCTAACAAAAGACATTTGTAAATATCCTAAAATAACCTTAAAAGAAATGTCTTCCGCTGGGCATGGTGGCACGTGCCTGTAATCTCAAGCTACTCAGGAGCCTGAGGCAGGAGAATCGCTTGAACCCAGGAGGCGGAGTTTGTAGTGAGCTGAGATTGCGCCACTGCACTGCAGCCTGGGCAACAGGAAGAGACTGTCTCAAAAAAAAAATGTGTATATATATATATATATGTGTGTGTGTGTGTGTGTGTGTGTGTGTGTGTGTGTGTGTGTGTATATATGTGTGTGTGTGTGTGTATATATATATATATATATATATATATATATATATATATATATGTTTTGGCTGGGCGCAGTGGCTCACACCTATAATCCCAAACTTTGGGAGGCCATGGCGGGCTGATCACAAGGTTAGGAGCTCAAGACAAGCCTGACCAACATGATGAAACCCTGTCTCTACTAAATATACAAAAATTAGCCAGACCTGGTGGCGCTTGCCTGTAATCCCAGGTACCTGGGAGGCTGAGGCAAGAGAATTGCTGGAAACCGGCAGGCGGAGTTTGCAGTTAAGCTGAGATCACACCACCGCACTCCAGCCTGGGTGACATAATGAGACTACACCTCAAAAAAAAAAAAAAAAAAAAAAGAAGCTGTGTGTGTGTGTGTGTTGTGGCTTCAGGATTAAAATTATGAATAATTCCAAAACTCCACTTCTCTTTCTGGGTATATGCACCTCTGGATTGATAAGAAACTGTAAGTACAAACTACCTAGATTAAAACAACAGCAGCATACTACAAGGAATTTTCTTCCAAATTAATCTCAGGAGTAATTCACCTTTCCTCAAGACTGAAGACCGAAACACAATTTCCTTCCAATATGTCCCGCGCTCTCCTCTCCCAAGAAATTCTTTATTTTTCTTCTGATTTTGGGGGCTACAATTTTGCAGTGATAACTAAAGATATTCCAAGTACCATCTATTATAAACTTCCAATCAATAAGAATAAGTACACATGTACTATGTACCCATAAAAATTAAAAACTTTTTAAAAATTTAAGGAATAAGAAAAGAATGTCTTGTACCTTTCAGAGATTTTTTTTTTTTTTCTTGATAGGGTCTCACTCTCTTCCCCAGACTGGAGTGCAATGCTCCAATCATAGCCCACTGCAACCTCGAACTCCTGGGCTCAAGCGATCCTCCCATGTCAGTGTCCCAAATAGGCATGTGCTACCACAACAAGCTAATTTTTTTTTTCTTTTCTTCTTTTTTTTTTTTTTTTGAGATGGTGTCTTGAGCACTGTTGCCCAGGCTGGAGTGCAATGGCGAGATCTCTGCTCACTGCAACCTCCGCCTCCCGGGTTCAAGGGATTCTCCTGCCTCAGGCTCCTGAGTACCTGGGATTACAGGCACGTGCCACCACGCCCGGCTAATTTTTGTATTTTCAATAGAGTTAGGGTTTCACTATGTTGGCCAGGCTGGTCTTAAACTCCTGACCTCAAGTGGTCAGCCTACCTCAGCCTCCCAAAGTGCAGGGAGTACAGACATGAGTCACCGCGCCCGTTCTCTCTCATAGATTTAAAAAAGCTAGTTTGGTTTTATTTCCTGTGACACATAGGAACCTGAAAGGCTAACACTGGAGAATCTCCTTGGAAGACTGGGTGGAGTAATAGTCCGGATGTAAGCGGTTGGTCCACTAGAAGAGCCTTTCCTGCTGGATCTCTCCCTGACCCCTTTCCCTGAGGCTACTCTTGCTCTTCCCCCACTCTCCCAAGGGGCCAGATCTACTGGATTCCTTCCAGCAGTTCTGCTGGTAATAGCTGTTCCTTGATGGCTCTTCTAAAGCAAGAATTGAGGAAAAAGTAGGTGAATAATCTTCAACAGTTACCAACTGAGACAAACTGTTGTAAGAATGGGGCTGAAATTATTGCCTCTCTCAAATTTCTCAACTCTTCTTTGTACCAACTAGAAACTGGAAGGCCTACTCCCTGTGTCAGTGTCTAGATTCAAAATTTGGACAGAAAAATCCAATAACAGGGCTGGGCATGGTGCCTCATGCCTGTAATCCCAGCACTTTGGGAGGCCAAGGCGGGAGGATCACTTGAGGTCAGGAGTTTGAGACCAGCCTGGCCAACATGGTGGAACCCCGTCTTTACTAAAAATACAAAAATTAGCCAGGCATGGTGGCGCATGCCTGTAGTCCCAGCTAGTCAGGAGGCTGAGGCAGGAGAATCGCTTGAACCCAGTAGGCACAGGTTCCAGTGAGCTGGGATCTTGCAACTGCATTCCAGCCTGGGCAACAGAGAGAGACTCTGTCTCAAAAAAAAAAAAAAAAAAAAAAAAAAAATAGCTCAGGCGCAGTGGCTCACGCCTGTAATCCCAGCATTTTGGTAGGCCAAGGCAGGTGGATCGCCTGAGGTCAGGAGTTGGAGACCAGCCAGGCCAGCATAGTGAAACCCTGTCTCTACTAAAAATACAAAAAATTAGCTGGGCGTGGTGGCGGGTGCCTGTAATCCCAGGTACTTGGGAGGCTGAGGCAGGATAATCGCTTGAACCTGAGAGGCGGAGGTTGCAGTGAGCCGAGATCGCACCATTTGCTCTCCAGCCTGTGCAACAAGAGCGAAACTCTGTCTGAAAATAATAATAATAATACAAAAATTAGCCAGGTATGGTGGCGCATGCCTGTAGTCCCAGCTACTCAGGAGCCTGAGGCAAGAGAATCCCTTGAACCCCGGAGGCAGAGAGTGAGCCAAAATGCTGCCACTGCACTCCAGCCTGGGCAACAGAGTGAGACTCCATCATAAAAAGTGAAAAAATTAAAAATTTTTTTAAAAAAACTTTATTTTTTTCCCTTCCATTTCAGAGAACTTAAAATTATTGAAGAACCTTAAAAGAACCCAGGTCCAAAAATGTTTTCTTTAAATGTATTAATTTGTTTTTCACAATAACTTTCCCCATTTAATAACCAAAACCCCTTAAAACAATGTAATGTATGTTGATCACCTCTTTTTTTTTTTTTTTTTTTTTTTTTTGAGACAGAGTTTCACTCTCTCGCCAGGCTGGAGTGCAGTGGCGCAATCTCAGCTCACTGCGACCTTCAACTTTCGGGTTCAAGCGATTCTCCTGCCTCAGCCTCCCAAGTAGCTAGGACTACAAGTGCATGCCACCACGCCCAGGTAATTTTTTTTGTATATTTAGTAGAGATTTCACTATGTTGGCCAGGATGGTCTCGATCTCTTGACCTCGTGATCCACCTGCCTTGGCCTCTGAAAGTGCTGGGATTACAGGCATGAGCCACTGTGCCCCAGCCTTGAGCACCTCTCTCATGCAGACATAGTGCTGAGTGTATAACTGGAGGAATGTCATTGTTGCCACCCACCCGGAAACTACCATCTTCTAAGAGACACAAACAAATAAACACATATTCATGATGTAATGTAGAATGAGATGAGCCCAGGAGGTATATAGTACCCAGAGGAGGCTTCCCAGGGGAAGCAATATTTCCCACTGAAACCCAAGGGTTGGCAGGTAGGAGTTGGCAAGATATAGAGGGAGAGAAGAAAGGAGTGTGCCCCACATGGAGGTAACAGCACCCACAAAGACACTGGAGCACTAAGTTGCTGAGGTAACATTCCAGTGTGGTTGTTAAGGGGCCATGGGGAGATACAAATATCAATAAATATGCCACCACTTGGGTAGCAAGGTTACTGAGCATGCATATGAAGAGATGCCAGCCTTTACTTCTCTACCGTTCCCGTTAGAATTATTTTTGTTGTTCTTTCAATTGTCCATAATTGTTTCTTTGAAAAGCCAAGAATAACGCTCCTGTTAAGACGATTATCAAAAATATAAGTTACCTTTTCAAGGGGAGAACTAAAGAGAGGTGATTGGTTTGTCCCAGACCTGAAACTCTTGTTTTGTTTTGTTTTTTGTTTTTTCTTTTTCTTTTTGAGACAAAGTCTCTTGTCACCCAGGCTGGCATGCAGTGGCACGATCTCGGCTCACTGCAACCCCTGCCTCCTGGGTTCAAGCAATTCTCATGCCTCAGCCTCCCGAGTAGCTGGGATTACAGGCGCCCGCCACCATGCCCAGCTAATTTTTGTAAATAGTAGAGACAAGGTTTCACCATGTTGGTCAGGCTGGTCTCAAACTCCTGACCTCAGGTGATCCACCCACCTCGGCCTCCCAAAGTTTTGGGATTACAGGCGTGAGCCACCATACCCAGTCAACTCTTTTGTTTTTAAGCTAGAAAACACCCTTGTATAACTAAGTCTCCTAATCAGAGAAAAGCAATTATTTTGAGAATGGATATTATGTAGGCTGTTTTTGTTTGTTTGTTTGTTTGTTTGTTTGTTTTTGAGAGGGAGTCTTGCTCTGTCACCCAGGCTGGAGTGCAGTGGTGTAATCTCGGCTCACTGCAAGCTCTGCCTCTTGGGTTCACACCATTCTCCTGCCTCAGCCTCCAGCCAGTAGCTGGGACTACAGGTGCCCACCACCACGCCCAGCTAATTTTTTGTATTTTTTAGTGGAGACGGGGTTTCACCGTGTTAGCCAGGATGTTCTCAATCTCCTGATCTCATGATCCACCCACCTCGGTCATCCAAAGTGCTGGGATTACAGGTGTGAGCCACTGTGCCCGGCCTTTATGTAGGCTGTTTTTGTTGAGATGAGACCAGTTATTCAGAAAAGGCTTATTTCTTTAGTTTCTAAATTCATTTACTCGAGTCTCACACAATCTATGGAGAAGCAAGATTTGACTGCCTACAAATGAGTTACTCTCTCAGCTGGATGACCCTGTACTGCACAGATGCTTCTGATGTTGGAAGTAGGGGATGCTCTTACTTTGTTCATTCCAGAAATAGAATACAGAACAACAGCTATGTTCGAGGACACTGCTTAATGGCTGTGGTTCTTATTGAAAAGCACTTTTCCATGGAACATAACTCAGATAGAAAAAAGAGAGGAACCAAAAAATAAAAAGACTTATCATTGAACTCATAATATTTACAACAGAATTTCTACAATTAACTTTCCAAAGTCTGTTTGATTTTCCTGATATCCAAATACTTAGTCAATGACACATTAGCTTTTTTTGTTTAAAATGCATAAATGGGATGCGGTGGCTCATGCCTGTAATCCCAGCACTTTGGGAGGCTGAGGCAGGTGGATCACCTGAGGTCGGGAGTTCGAGACCAGCCTGACCAACATGAAGAAACCCCATCTCTACTAAAAATACAAAATTAGCTGAGGGTGGTGGTGCATGCCTGTAATCCCAGCTACTTGGGAGGCTGAGGCAGGAGAATCGCTTGAACCTGGGAGGTGGAGGTTGCAATGAGCCGAGATCGTGCCATTGCACTCCAGCCTGGGCAAGAAGAGCAAAACTCCATCTCAAAAAAGAGAAAAGAGAAGAAAAAAAGAAAAAAAAAAGAAAATAGCTTTATATATTTTTTAAATATTTATTTATTTATTTAGAGACAGGGCCTTGCTCTGTCACCCAGGGTGGTGTACACTAGTGCAGTCATGGCTCAAGGCAGACATGCAGTGAACTCCTGGGCTCAAGTGATCCTTCCACCTCAGCCTCCAATTGTTTTTATGTTTTGTAGAGACAGGGTCTCAATATGTTGCCCAGGCTGGTCTCAAACTCCTGGCCTCAAGTGATCATCCCACCTTGGCCTCTCAAAGTGCTGGGATCTTATACAAAACGAGGATATCCTTGGGGAGATCCAAATCCCAATGATGGGACCATGAGCAAGTCAACCTCCAGTAGACTCAATGGGGGGAAATACTAACATTAGAGTTATATGCAATATTGGATATGAAAAGCATGTAGTAGCTGGGTGTGGTGGCTCATGCCTGTAATCCCAACAATTTGGGAAGCCAAGGCAGGAGGATTGCTTGAGCCCAGGAGTTTGAGACCAGCCTGGGCAACATAATGAGACCCATCTCTAAAACAAAAACAAAAACAAACAAACAAACAAAAACACTAGCCGGGCATGGTGGTACATGCCTCTGGTCCCAGCTACTCAGGAGGCTGAGATGGGAGAATCACTTGAGTCTGGGAGGTCGAAGCTGCAATGAGCCATGATCACACTACTGCACTCCAGACTGGGCAACAGAGCAGGACCCTGTCACACACAAAAAAAGAAAAAAGAAAAGCATGTGTTATGGCACTTGACTCTCAGTCCGTACAACTGTAGCAATGGAGAACCATGGCTGCCACTAATTAAGAAAACAGTGTACACGTAAACCATGTAATGAGCAGTTAAAATTCATTTAATATAAAAATTGGAAGGCCAGGCATGGTGGCTCACACTTGTAATCTCAGCACTTTGGAAAGCCAAGGCAGGCAGAAGGCTTGAGGCCAGGAGTACGAGACCAGCCTGGCCAACACAGTGAAGCCCCATTTCTGCTAAAAATACAAAAAATTAGTGAGCATGGTGGTGCATGCCTGTAGTCCCCGCTACTTGGGAGGTAGAGGCATGAGAATTGCTTGAACCCAAGAGGCAGAGGTTGTAGTGAGCTGAGATGTCACTACTGTATTCCAGCCTGGGTGACAGAGTGAGACTCTTGTCTCCAAAAAAAAAAAAAAAAAAAAAAAAATTGGAGATATTAACCGAGCACAGTATTTTGGGGCACTGGAACCTCTCCCAGAGCACTAAGGCTGGGCTAGGTGGCTCACTCCTGTCAGCCCAGCACTTTGGGAGGCCGAGGCAGGTGGATCACTTGAGCCCAGGAGTTCAAGACCAGCCTGGGCAACACAGTGAAACCCCATCTCTTTTTATAAATTTCTTTTTAAAGTATATATATACACACATATAGATATATGCATCTAAGTATTAAACAAGTTTGCTACTAGTATTGGGATAGGCTAGCTCCATGCTAATTGCATCATAATATAACCTTACACTTATTAAGTAAAAGAGAATAAGAAACTTTCACTTCTAGTGATAATGAAATTGATAATCTGGGAGAAACCTCCTGCTGAAGACAATTAGAAAAGCTGGACAAAATACAAAGTCATCTGCTTGAAGGAATAGGAGAGTGAATGTGAATCATTACCATGATAGTGAAGAATTACCAGACCATGATTCAGAGGGAAATAAGGTCCAGGGAGTGTAAAAACTTTTTCTTTTTTTTCTTTTTTTTGAGAAAGGGTCTTCTGCCCAGGTTGCTGTGCAGTGGTGCAATCATAGCTCACTGCAGCCTCCATCTCCCCAGCTCAAGCAATCCTCTCGCCTCAGCGTCCCTACTAGCTGAGACTACAGGCACTCACCACCATGCCCAGCTAATTCCTGCATTTTTTGTAGAGATGAGGGTCTCAGTTTGTTACCCAGGCTTGTCTCAAACACCAGGGCTCAAGGGATCCTTCTGCCTCAGCCTCCCAAAGTGCTGGGATTACAGCTGTGAGCCACCACACCCAGCCAACATTTTTTTTTTTTTGAGACAGGGTCTCACTAAAAATATTTTAAGTAAAATTAAAAATGGAAAGAGTTAAACACAGTTAAAGGAACACCTTAATATTAAAATATAGCAGCAGTAGAATTGACAAACTCAAAGATTTGAAGTATTTAAATCATGTTAACATTTTTGTTTTTTGTGTGAAATGAAGCTAGAAGATGCTCACATCTCTCCAAATTTAACAAGTCTAAAAGATGACAGCAATAACCTCAACATGACTTATTCCTCAACCAGTCCACCTCTCAGTCTCACTACTCTCCATCTTTTGGGCCTTTCACATTTTCCTCATTGCCTTAGCTCAGAGATATGGTGACTAAAATGAACACATACCATTCAACCCAGGGATTCTAATCCCAGATCAACTATGTTCTTAAGCAAGTTACCTGGCATCTCTAAGCCTCAGTGTCTTACTTTATAAATTAAAGCAGAACATATATTTCATACGATTGTTGTAAGATTGTATGAGACAATGAGCATGTGAGTTCTTAATGCTATACTGCTCACTTAATAAATACTGAATAAGGCTGAGCATAGTGATGCACACCTGTAATCCCTGCACTTTGTGAGTCTGCAGCGGGCAGATTGCTTGAGTCCAGGGTAACATGATAAAACCCCATCTCTATTTCTACATATAAAAAATAAAAGCCAGGCAAGGTGGCCGACGCCTGTAATCTCAGCACTTGGGAGGCCCAGGCGGGTGGATCACGTGAGGTCAGGAGTTCAAGACCCGCCTGACCAACATGGTGAAACCCCACCTCTACTAAAAATACAAAAATTAGCCAGGCGTAATGGTGCGCACCTGTACTCCCAGCTACTTGGGAGGCTGAGGCACGAGAATCTCTTGCACCCAGGAGGCAGAGGTTGCGCCACTGCACTCCAGCCTGGGTGATAGAGTGAGACTGTCTCAAAAAACAAAACAAAACAAAAACAACAAGACGTGTTTCTATTTCCCATTCTGCATAATGAGAATCCGAATACTTACACCTCATGGGTTAGGGTTACTGTCAGCATTGAATACAGTAATAGGAAGTCTTTTATCACTGTGTCTGCCCCTCAAAAAAATGTTAGTCTCCTTCCACCTTCCTTTCCTTTGCCAGCTTCCTGTGTGTGTTTCAAGCAAAGTTTCAATTTTGTTAAAACTGCGTGTACCTAATTAGTAATGAAGTAATGTGAATTAGTAATGTACCTAATTAATAAAGGTTATTGGTTCTTTAAAAAGGAAGAGAAAATAGAACACTATTTTGATTTTCTTGTTTTATTAGTCTGTTTTACCAACTCATAATGCAGTATCAGAGTCTCTAGAAAATGGGAAATAAGGAAAGCAACTTAACTTCTGTGTTGCCCAGTAGACAAATCTCCCTGCAATTCTGTAATAACTCCTGTACAAATTACTTACTCCTCCAAGGATAGAAGAAACCAACAGACACCCGCTTTTTTCTCTAAATCTAACCTATATCCACTCCATCCAAAATTCCATGGCTTGGATCAACTCTGGCCTTCCACTGTCTTGTCCTCCCACTTCCTCGTCCCTTGATCCTACTTTTACAGAAAACTCACCACAATATGGTGTTGCGTATGAAATATGATATGAAAATGAGCTGTATAGTGTAACTGTCTAGAACACAGCAGAAACACCAAAACCCTCTCATTATACAAGCACAAGAAAATAACTGCGGCATAGTCATCTCGCTGGAAACCACAACTATAATTCTGCATCACATGGGAACAGTGAAACCAATTCATTCATAAAGTATCTTAATCCTCCAGCAGGAAAAATGCTTTTGCAGATACTGAGAAATGGTACATATGGAATACTTAGAAAACTTAATTACTTTCCTCTACATAACATGAATAAAATGGCAAGATGGAAAACAGGTGAAAGTAATGAAATAAATACACAAATCTCTTCAAACATATACAATACCCACCACTTTTAAGCATCTGTTGTATAGCAGACACACTGCAAGACGCTTTACAGACATCATCTCTGCTCCTCATGGCATCTCTGCTTTGCAGTATGACTATCTCAATGTTACAAGTAGGTCCACTCTCACACTGTTTACCATATAGGAAATAACTAAATTCTTAGCAAACTGTTTTTTCCTTAACCATAGAAACAATATTCAATTGCATTCCTTCAAATCTGTTAAAAAAAAAAAAAAACTGATGTGAGGCTGGGCACAGTGCCTCATGCCTGTAATACCAGCACTTTGGAAAGCTGGAGGAAAGATCACTTGAGGCCGGGAGTTCAAGACCAGCCTGGGCAACATAGTGAGATCACATTTCTACAAAAAATAAAAATTAAAAAAAAAAAAAAAACGTTAGCTGGCTGGGTGCAATGGCACACGCCTGCAATCCCAGCAAGCTGGGAGGCCGAGGCAAGCAGATCACCTGAGGTCAGGAGTTTGAAACCAGCCTGACCAACATGGTGAAACCCTGTCTCTGCTAAAAATACAAAAATTAGCTGGGAGTGGTGGTTGGCGCCTGTAATCCCAGCTATGAGGGAGGCTGAGGCAGGAGAATCACTTAAACCTGGGAGGTACTGATTGCAGTGAGCCGAGATTGCACCACTGCAATCCAGCCTAGGCAACAGAGCAAGACTCCTTCTCAAAACACAAAACCAAAAACATAAACCAGGCATAGTGGCACACATGTATAGTCCTAGCTAGTTAGGAGGCTGAGGCAGAAGGATCCCTTGAGCCCAGAGGTTCAAGGTTACAGTGAGCTATGACCATGCCACTGCAGCTTAGCCTGGGGACAGAACAACTCTATCTCAAAAAAAAATTTTTTTTTTTTTTTTTTGAGATGGAGTCTGTGTCACCAGACTGGAGTACAGTGGCGCTATCTCAGCTGACTGCAACCTCCGTCTCCAGGGTTCAAGCAATTCTCCTGCCTCAGCCTCCTGAGTAGCTGGGACTACAGGCGCACACCACCATGCCTGGCTAATTTTTGTACTTTTAGTGGAGACGGGGTTTCACCATGTTGGCCAGGATGGTCTCAATCTCTTGACCTTGTGATCGCCCGCCTCAGCCTCCCAAAGTGCTGAGATTACAGGTGTGCGCCACCGTGCCCGGCCCAAAAAAATTTTTTTTAAGTGGTCTGATTCTTTGATTTGTTTTTATTTCAGGGAGTGGACATATGATTTCCTTTCTCTGAAATCCAATACAAGCTATGGGTAAGCTCACCATAAAAAATGCATATAAATGCAATATGCTGCATATAATTCTGAGGGGGTGGGATCACAGACCATTGAAGCCTACCCAGAGTAAGAACCTCTGATGTAGAAGTTGCAGTTTTATGATTTCTAAATCATATGAAAGTATGATGTTGGGATCATTTAAACTAGGATCAAATTCGTTCTAGAAATTCTTGGCCAGGCACAGTGGCTCACATCTGTAATCCCAGCACGTTGGGAAGCTGAGGCAGGCTGATCACCTGACGTCAGGAGTTCAAGACCACCCTGGTCAACATGGTGAAATCACGTCTCTATTAAAAACACAAGACTGGACGCAGTGCCTCACGCCTGTAATCCCAGCACTTTGGGAGGCCGAGACGGGAGGATCACCTGAGGTCAGGAGTTCAAGACCAGCCTGACCAACATGGAGAAGCCCTGTCTCTACTAAAAATACAAAATTAGCCTGGTGTGGTGGCGCATGCCTTTAATCCCAGCTACTCGGGAGGCTGAGGCAGGAGAATCGATTGAACCCGGGAGGCAGAGGATTCAGTGAGCCAAGATCATGCCATTGCACTCAAGACTGGGCAACAATAGCAAAACTCTGACTCGAACAAAGCAAAACAAAACAAAAACACAAAAAAATTAGCTGGGCATGGTGGCAGGCGCCTGTAGTCCCAGCTATTCTGGAGGCTGAGGCAGGAAAATCGCTTGAACCCGGGAGACGGAGGTTGCAGTGAGCTTAGATCGCACCACTGCACTCCAGACTGGGCAACAGGGCGAGATTTTGCCTAAAAAAAAAAAAGAGATATGTGTAGAATAAACTAATACAATGTTGTTTTGGGGTACTAGCTGCTATAGTATACTGCATATGGAATAAAATGTATGGTTTACAGTATACTTTTTTTGTTTTGTTTGTTCCCTGAGACGGAGTCTCACTCTGTCACCCGGGCTGGAGTGCAGTGGTGCGATCTCAGCTCTCTGCAACCTTTGCCTCCTGGGTTCAAGCAATTCTCCTGCCTCAGCCTCCCTCATAGCTGGGATTACAGGTGCATGCCACCACGCCTGGCTAATTTTTGCATTTTTCGTAGAGACGGGGTTTAACCATGTTGGCCAGGCTGGTCTCGAACTTCTGGCCTCAAGTGATCTGCCAGCCCTGGACTCCCAAAGTGCTGGGATTACAGGCCTGAACCACTGCACCCAGCCCATTTTCTTTTTTTTTCTTTTAACAGACATTGTCATATGAAAAATAGGCTGACTCATATGTATTTGTAAGATTTTACTCACTCATGGCCGGGCGCAGTGGCTCACTCCTGTAATCCCAGCACTTTGGGAGGCTGAGGCAGATGGATCACCTGAGGTCAGGAGTTCAAGACCAGCCTGGCCAACATGGTGAAACCCCATCTCTAATAAAAATAAAAAAAAATTAGCTGGGTGTGGTGGGGTGTGCCTATAATCCCAGCTACTCGGGAGGCTGAGACAGGAGAATCGCTTGAACCTGGGAGGCGGAGGTTGCAGTGAGCCGAGATCGCGCCACCGCATTCTAGCCTGGGCGACAAAGCAAGACTGTCTCAAAAAAATTAAAAAAAAAAAAAGATATTTTATTCATTCACTAATTCAATCATTTGTTCAACAAATATTTCTTGAGCACTTGTTATGTGCTGTTAGCACCCCCTAATCCAGGGCTTGGGCTTTGGAAGTTAATATAAGCATGTCTTTTTTTTTTGGAGACAGAGTCTCTGTCGCCAGACTGGTGTGCAGTGGTTCAATCTCAGCTTACTGCAACCTCCGCCTCCCAGGTTCAAGCGATCCTCTTGCCTCAGCCTCCTGAGTAGCTAGGACTACAGACACGCGCCATCATGCCCAGCTAATTTTTGTATTTTTAGTAGAGATGGGGTTTCACCATGTTAGCCAGGATGGTCTTGATCTCTTGACGTCATGATCTGCTTGCCTCGGCCTCCCGAAGTGCTGGGATTACAGGCGAGAGCCACCGTGTCCGGTCAAGCATCTCACTTCTACTGCTCTCTCTGCAGGAGAACATCAGGGCCTTCTTTAGAAACAGTGACTTGGTGTTAATGGTGCATAATTAAATCAGTAAAAAGCAAAATTTCTCTTTTGTTGCACTCATAGCAGACATGAAAAGCTGATGATAATTAGCCAACACCTTCTGGATATGTCTTGAGCACTGGGTCTCATTGTCAAGGTAATGCCCTGAATTGTTTAGATTAGTCTGATTCATTTGGAAGTTGTGTCTTATTTTAGTATGATAATAATGCAAAAGGAGATGCTTTCTCCTACCCCTCCTGGTAACATTTGTGCCATTATCCATCATAGTCCCACAGTGGCTGGCTACTTGAAAAGGACTTTTGCAGCTTTGATATAGTCAATTCTTGAAATACCACCCTGGAATAAAAAACCAAAAGCCTGACCAACAAAAAGAGATCTGAAGTTAAGCCCTGCAGCAAAATAAACATGCACGATAATAGGGTGCTCAATATTACATCACAGTGTAACTTGGATTATGCTGACACTAGATGAAGATGTTGGCCAGTTTTACAAATTTTTCTTCCTGGAAAAGATAACACATACGAAATGACAGGGTAAGATTTGAACTGCTGTGACAAAATTTCAGAAATTAACACCCATGGGTCAGAATCAGTCTACATGCCTTTATACTGACAAACTTGGAGGTTATACACGAATATCTACTAAACAACAAAAGTTTGTTTTTTGGTTTTTTTCCCCAAGTCCAGTTCTGTGGTGCAGTATGCTACTGAAGTCTCAGTAGTGATACAAAGAGATTCCTTAAAGGCATATTTAAGTACATATAACATCTGCCCTCAATTGAAAGAGTTGGTAGCAAAAATTTGTTCCATATGCCATATGTAACATATGCCATAATGAGATACGGCTGTTTGAAAACTGAGAAAAGCAATGGCCAAGAGAGGCTAGCCCCACCCCCACTGCCACCAAAAGGGATAAAATAATACAAGTGTGTCAAGTAATTCTGAAATGACAGCCCTGGAACTAGACAATTATCACATGGAAAGGCCTGCACATAAAATAGTGGACAGTCAGTCGTTCAATTTGTATCATATTAACACTACTTAACTTTTTAGCTCCTGAAACACAGCCCATGTAGGTATTACAATTTTTTTTCCAGTGGAATTTGCATTAATTAAGAGGCTAGCGTGGTAATGAACATGGCACATTAGCTGACTTAATAGTGTCATCTAAGGCCAGGTGCGGTGGCTCATGCCTGTAATCCCAGCTCTTTGGGAGGACGAGGTGGGCGGATCACCTGAGGTTAGTTCAAGACCAGCCTGACCAACATGGAGAAACATTGTCTCTACTAAAAATACAAAATTAGCCAGGCGTAGTGGTGCATGCCTGTAATCCCAGCTACTCGGGAGGCTGAGGCAGGAGAATTGCTTGAATCCAGGAGGTGGAGGTTGTGGTGACCAAGATTGTGCCATTGCACAACAGCTTGGGCAACAAGAGCAAAACTCCATTTCCATAAAAAAAAAAAAAAAATAGTGTCATCTAATATGCTTCTATTTAAACTAACCAAGTACATAATAGCCCTTTAATATTTTAGACAAAAAATACATTAACCAGAGTAAATATGAGAGATTATTTCAGTTTGACTAAACTTGCAAACTAATTGTCCAGTCATTCAATGAAAGTTAATTAAATGCATGATACTACACCAAAATCACCTGGCTAGAGATATATGAAGACCCTATCTTCAGGGATATAGTCCACGACTTTAGATTGCTTTCCTTTTTTTTTTTTTGAGACACGGTCTCACTCTGTCGCCCAGGCTGTAGTGTGATCTAAGCTCACTACAGCCTCCACCTCCTGAGCTCAAGCTATCCTCCTGCCTCAGCCTCCCGAGAAGCTGGTACTATAGGCACATGCCACCATGCGCAGCTAATATTTTTGTATTTTTTTGGAGAAACGGGGTTTCACCATGTTGCCTGGGCTGGTCTCCAATGCCAGGGCTCAAGCAATCTGCCTGCCACGGCCTCCTAAAGTGGTGGGGTTACAGGCATGTGCCAGTCCCCATGGCCAATTTTGTTTTCTTTGGCTTTCACACATACTAAAAATTACTTGTGAAAGTGTAGCTTAGCCAAAGCACCTACTCTCTAATGTCTGCGAATAGCTCTACAGTCCCCCGTTCCTTTTTTGTAACAATCTCTCACTGTTCAATAAATAGGGTAGTGCATATGTTTCAAAATGCACTACCCTATTTATAGTATTTTCAAAATTACAAACACATAGAAGGAAAACCCTAACCGAAAGCAAATTCCTAGATGACTGAGAGTGACAAAGCTAGCAGTTTTAATTATCTGTAATTCTGAACATCAAGAAGAGTAAGCTGAATTAGGCTTGACAGATGACAAATTAAGTTTTTTTCCATGACCAAAAGATACCTCTCAGAAGATTACATAACACACTGTCATACAATTAAAGAATGGGAGACTACAATGTAATCTATGACTTAATAAAGTCTAAGGTTGTTTTCACTTATCCGAGGAGTTAGCAGTCAACATTCTGAGAAATGGTACATGGCTTTAGGGGCTAAATATATTTTATTTCTTACAGGCAACCTTCAAACGAGAATAAATTCAGAGACTCCTTCAGAATTTACACATATTTTCTGAGACACAGTCTCACTGCCACCAAGGCTAGAGTGCGGTGGAGAGATCACAGCTCACTGCAGCCTCAACCTCCCAGGCTCAAGCCATCTGCCACCTCAGCCTCCTGAGTAGTTGGGATTACAAAAGTGTGGGCCACCATCACGCCATATATATATATATATATTTTTTTTTTTTTTTTTTTTTTTTGAGATGGAGTTTCGCTCTTGTTGCCCAGGCTGGAGTGCAATGGTGCGATCTTGGCTCACCCCAACCTCCGTCTCCTGGGTTCACGCCATTCTCCTGCCTCAGCCTCCCAAATAGCTGAGATTATAGGCATGCACCACCACACCCGGCTAATTTTTTTTGAATTTTTGGTAGAGATGGGTTTTCACCATGTGGCCAGGCTGGTCTTGAACTCCTGACCTCAAGTGATCTACCTTCCTTGGCCTCCCGAAGTGCTAGGATTACAGGCATGAGCCACCGTGCCCGGCCTTCTACAAAAGATTTTTAAGTTGGCCAGACATGTGCCTGTAGTACCAGCTACTGGGAGGCTGAGGTGGGTGAATGACTTGAGCCCGGAGGTCAGGGCTGCAGTGAGCCATGACCATGCCACCTCACTCCAACCTGGGTGACAGAGCAAGACTCTGTCTCAAAAAAAAAAAAAAAAAAAAAAAAATTGAATATAATAAAAATGCATTGGTTCATACTGAAAAATAAGATAAAAATTAATAATAAAATAGGCCAGGTGAAAGAGTGAGACTCGGCCGGGCACAGTGGCTCATGCCTATAATCCCAGCACTTTGGGAGGCCAAGGGGGGTGGATCACCTGAGGAGAGGAGTTTGAGACCAGCCTGACCAACATGGAGAAACCCCATCTCTATTAAAAATACAAAATTAGCTGGGCGTGGTGGTGTGCACCTGTAATCCCAGCTACTAGGTAGGCTGAGGCAGGAGAATGACTTGAATCCGGGAGGCAGAGGTTCCAGTGAGCTGAGATTGCACCACTGCACTCCAGCCTGGGCAACAAGAGTGAAATTCTATCTGAAAAAAAAAAAAAGAAGAAGGAAGGTGTGAGAGTCTGTCTCAAAAAAAGAAGAGAGAGAAAGGAAGAAGGGCATCACTTGGGCCTGGAGACTGAGGCAAGAGTATGCACTGGGGAAATGTATGCAGTCGTATACTGCTGCAGCAAGTAGAAGGTGAAGATACATGAAGGCAAACAAGACAGAAGTGGGTTTTGCAAAAATCTTAAAGGTGCTGTATTCCCTGCTAATGAATCTAGGCTTCATCTAATCATTCGAAGGCCCTGAAAGTTTTGCTCTATTTCTTTTATTTTGAGTGAAATATATCACATAAAGAGAACACTACATGTAGTTAGATAGGAGAATCATGTTTTTCAGAAGGAAAACTTGAACTCCCCTAAGGGGAGCTTGTTATTCAGCTTCCTGATTTCCCTGGTGGCTAGAATGCTCATGATTGGATTTCCAGTGCATAGCCTAGGAGAAGTGCAATACTTGTTGATAGTAAAGATAGCACTGAAGTTATCCTGATGAAGAAATAAAGGCCTCAATATAGCAGTGGCCAAGAAAATGGAGAGGTGGTAGCGCTCAGAACTTGTAGAACAAGAGAATTTGGATGGATGAGCAAAGGAGGCGAGGATACTGAATATTCTATTTTGGGTAATCATTTGTTATGGCACTGAACCAAACATGTAATGCAAGAGAAAGAGCAGGTTTGAGAAAGAATAGAACAAATGTGTTCATATCCATTAGAGATACAGTGTTTTTTACAATGATGTCATTTGGCAATGCTACAAACCAGTAACTTACAAGGGAGGTCTCTCTACTAGAGATATTGCTAAATGTTACTTTGTAAACCATCAGTAACTGGCCACATTTTATCTATTCCCACATGTGTGACGTGACTTGATTGAGTAAAAGATTATACATTTCAGTAAGGTAGTTATTATTTTTTTTCAGACAGGGTCTTGCTATGTCACCCAGGCTGGAGTGCAGTGGCGCGATCATAGCTCACTGCAACCTCAGCTTCACAGGTTCACGCAATCTTCCCACCTCAGCATCCCAAGTAGCTGGGACCACAGGCATGAGCTATCACGCCCGGCAAATTTTTTCTTTTTTTTAAATTTTGGGGCTGGGCATGGTGACTCATGCCTACAATCCCAGCACCCCAAGTTAGACCAGAAATTGGCAATTAGCAACACTATTCAAAGCAAAAGCATCCCCTTTGTCCCCCATGTGTATCCGTCACTCAGCATCAAATAAGATCTTTTTCCATTTTGCTCCTGAAAATGTCTGAATGGGTGGCTTTGTCCAAATCCTAGCTAAATGTAAAAATTCTTATCAGGACTCGTTAAAAACTTCAAAATCTGTCCTTGCCATGGTTGGGGCTTTAAAAAAAGAATTAAAATATTATAAAGAATCAAAAATCAGCCACGCGCAGTAATCGCAGCACTTTGTGAGGCCGAGGCAGGCAGATCACCTGAGTCAGGAGTTCATGACCAGGCTGGCCAACGTGGTGAAACCTCGTCTCTACTAAAAATACAAAAATTAGCCGGGCATGGTGGCAGGTGCCTGTAATCCCAGCTACTCGGCAGGCTGAGGCAGGAGAATTGCTTGAACCCGGGAGGTGGAGGTCGCAGTGAGCTGAGATCACGCCACTGCACTCCAGCCTGGGTGACAGAGCGAGACTTTGTCTCAAAAATAAATAAATAAAATAAAATAAAATAAAATTTTGGTGTAGAGGTTTATGTCGCTATGTTGCCCAGTTTATTTATCTCAAAGTCTTGGGCTCAAGCAATCCTCTTGCCAGCCACCGCGCCCAGCATACATTGGCCTCTCTCAAAGTGCTGGGATTACAGGCTCAGTAAGATTTTTTACAACAAAGTATTTTAGAAACACTTTAAATGCCCATCAATACATGATTTATTAAATGTCTGATTTCTCATTTGCAGTGGCTCAGACAAATAAAAAATCAGTGTTATTTATTTATTTATTGAGACAGGGTCAGGCTCTGTCACTGAAGCTGGTATGCAATGGTGCCATCATAGCTAACTGCAGCCTTGAACTCTTGGGCTCAAGCTATCCTCCCACCTCAGCCTCTCATGTAACTGGGAATACAGGTGCATGCCAACATACCCAGATATGTTTTTTTGTTTCTTGTTTTTTGAGACAGTGTCTTGCTCTGTCGCCCATGCTGGAGTGCAATTATGCGATCTTGGCTCACTGCAACGCCCCCCTCCAGGTTCAAGCGATTCTCCTGCCTTAGCCTCCAGAGTAGCTGGGATTAACAGGTGGGCACCACCATGCTCTGCTATTTTTTGTATTTTTAGTAGAGACAGGGTTTCACCATGTTGGCCAGGCTGGTCTCAAACTCCTGACCTCAGGTGATCTGCCTGCCTTGGCCTCCCAAAGTTCTGGGATTCTAGGAGTGAGCCAATGCACCCGGCCCAGCTATGATTTTGTTTGTTTGTTTGTTTTTTGTTTTTTGATGAGGTCTTGCTATGTTGCTTATGTTGGTCTCAAACTCCTGGCCTCAAGTAATCCTCTCCCCTCAGCCTCTCGAAGTGCCACAAGCAGCCAAAATCAGCATTTTTAAACTGATAATTTAAGTCAAGAATGAAATAGAAGGCCAGGCACGGTGGCTCACGCCTGTAATCCCAGCACTTTGGGAGGCCAATGCAGGCAGATCATCTGAGGTCAGGAGATGGAGACCAGCCTGGCCAACATGGCAAAACCCTGTCTCTATTAAAAATACAAAAATTAAGGCTGGGCACGGTGGCTCACGCCTGTAATCCCAGCACTTTGGGAGGCCAAGGCGGGTGGATCGTGAGGTCAGGAGATCGGGACCATCCTGGCTAACACGGTGAAACCCTGTCTCTACTAAAAATACAAAAAAAATTAGCCGGGCGCGGTGGCGGGCACCTGTAGTCACAGCTACTCAGGAGGCTGAGGCAGGAGAATGGCGTGAACCCAGGAGGCAGAGCTTGCAGTGAGCCGAGATCGCGCCACTGCACTCCAGCCTGGGCAACAGAGTGAGACTCTCTCAAAAAAAAAAAATACAAAAATTAGCCAGGTATGGTGGTGGGTGCCTGTAATCCCAGCTATGCAGGAGGTTGAAGCAAGAGAGAATCACTTGAACTTGGGAGGGAGAAGTTGCTTGAACTTGGGAGCCGAGATCATGCCACTGTACTTCAGCCTGGGTGACAGAGTGAGACTCTGTCTCAGAAAAGAAAATGAAAAACAAAAAAAGAAATAGAAACAGTTTCCTGAATTTTAAGTTCACAGTACTTTTTATTTATTTATTTATTTTTGAGACAGGGTCTCATTGCTGTCAACCAGGCTGGAATGCAGTGGCACCATCACTGTTCACTGCAGCCTTGACTTCCCAGGATCAGGCGATCCTCTCACTGCAGCCTCCCAAGTAGTTGGGACTACAGGAGCGTGCCATCACACCCAGTTAGTTTTGTATCTTTAGTAGAGATGAGGTCTTGCTATGTTGCCCAGGCTGATTTCGACCTCCTAGGCTCAAGCAGTCCACCTGCCTGAGCCCTCCCAAAGTGCTGAGATTACAGACATGAGCCACCATGCCTGGCCTAAACCTCACAATACTTTTTTTTTTTTTTTTGAGACAGGGTCTCTCTGTTGCCCCTGCTGGAGTGCAGTGGCGCAACCTCCACTCGCTGCAACTTCTGCTTCCGAGGTTCAAGTGATTCTTGTGCCTGAGCCTCCAAAGTAGCTTGGACTACAGGCATGCACCACCACTCCTGGCTAATTTTTGTATTGTTAGTAGAGATGGGGTTTTGCCAGGTTGGCCAGGCTGGTCTCGAACTCCTCAAGTGATCTGTCCACCTCAGCCTCCCAAAGTTCTGGGATTACAGGTGTGAGCCACCATGACCAGCCTCACAACACTTTTATTTATTCATTTATTTATTTATTTAATTTTTTTTTTTTTTTGAGATGGAGTCTCACTCTGTCACCCAGGCTGGAGTGCAGTGGCACAATCTCGGCTCACTGCAAGCTCCGCCTCCCGGGTTCACGCCATTCTCCTGCCTCAGCCTCCCCAGCAGCTGGAACTGCAGGCGCACGCCGTCACGCCCGGCTAATTTTTGTATTTTTAGTAGAGACGGGGTTTCACCGTGTTAGCCAGGATGGTCTCGATCTCCTGACCTTGTGATCGGCCCACCTCGGCCTCCCAAAGTACTGGGATTACAGGTGTGAGCCACCGCGCCCGGCCTATTTATTTATTTATTTATTTATTTATTTATTTATTTGAGATGGAGTTTCACTCTTGTTGTCCAGGCTGTAGTGCAGTGGCACGATGACGTCTCACTGAAACCTCCGCCTCCCGGGTTCAAGCGATTCTACTGCCTCAGCCTCCTGAGTAGCTGGGACTACCAGTGTGCACCACTATGCCCAGCTAATTTTGTATTTTTAGTAGAGATGGGGTTTCACCCCATGTTGGTCTCGAACTCCTGACCTCAAGTGATCCGCCACCTTGGCCTCCCAAAGTCCTGGGATTACAGGTGTAAACCACCATGCCCAACCACAATACTTTATTTATTTATTTATTTATTTATTTATTTATTTTTGAGACAGAGTTTCGCTTTTGTGGCCTAGGCTGGAATGCAATGGCGCAATCTTGGCTCACTGTAACCTCTGCCTCCTGGGTTCAAGTGATTTTCCTGCCTCAGCCTCCAGAGTAGCTGGGATTACAGGCACCCGCCACCACGCCCAGCTAATTTTTGTGTTTTTAGTAGAGATGGGGTTTCACCACGTCAGCCAGGCTCGTCCCAAACTCCTGACCTCAGGTGATCTGCCCGCCTCGGCCTTTCAAAGTGTTGGGATTACAGGCGTAAGCCACCACACCAGGCCTACAATACTTCTAAGTCCATCTATTCTACCATACCTGCATTCATAGTAGATGTAATAAACATAACTTTAATGCGTGATCTAAAAATCACAAAACATCATATTTGACAGGTGTTTCAAAAGGCCAAAAAAGCAATACTGGGTTTTAACCAAGCTCCCTAAAAGTTTTTAAATAAATTCTAAATCAACAGATCCTTTAACTACCTTAGGTTCATAAACTATAATAAGAACTAATGTTTGTGTATCACTTTGGAGTTTACAAGCCATTTTCCTTTAATCCCAACAACCCTATGAGGTTGGTAGAGCAGGTAGAAATCACTCACCAAAAGTTGAGACAAAAGCTGTATTATTGCTATGTCTCCAAAACAAAGTTTCAAGATTAGGGATGCAACTGTGTTCTTTCAAAAGGAAAGATGTTTAATTCCTCTGGTTTTTCAGGCTGCTATGGAGTTAATGAATTTGTTCCACTCTTAATTTTTAAATCTGTGACTGCCAAAAAAGACATGCAACTAGCCAAAAGAGGCATAGGGGAAATCTCTGCAAAAACACATTTCATACAATTTCTCTATGTTTCCATCAAATCCTGTAATGAGAAAAAAACTGTATGTTCTAGTTTTCTGGGACAAATTCTAAAAATAAGCTAGCTAAGGCATCACTGCACAAGACATACTTCAGGTAGGTCCAGGAATTCTTTTATGGATAACTTAAAGTAACATTGTACCAAAGTAAAAATATGTAATAGTGAAGCAATTCACTATTACATAGAGACACTAGAGACACTAGAAGTGTCTCTGCATATAGATCACTATACCAAGTGTCAGCTGTCTCCCAGCCCCTTGACTGTTTGCTTACCTCCAGAGGCACAACAACAGATGGTTTCTTTTTCAGCTCCTCACATTTTCTTTTCTTACAGATCTGATGGCTGTTCTTTCTGTTCTTGCAGTAAGTGCATTCACCACAGTTGGTCTTCTGCTGGCAGGGTTCACAGACCCCACATCGCTTTCTTTTCTTCTTTTCCAAAGTCGGTAGCAAAGTGGTATAGGAAGAAGAGGAGGTACTGACCATTGGCACTGGCATAGTCACCACTGTGGTGTTGACAACATGAACTGTGCTGGTTACACTGACCTGGGAGCTCCCTCTGTCTGATTTGCTAGGACCAGCCTGAGAGAGTTGGGCTATACCCAGTGAAGCATGGAAGAGTCCTCTCTCAGGGGCTAATGGGAACCCCTGAGTGTTAGCTGGCAGGAAGCTTATATGAACCTGCTTCTCATTTTCTACATTGCTTATAGCCATTACTGGAGGTAATGAATTTTTCTCTGAGTTTGATGATGATTGAGGAGTGTGTCCTGAGCCCAAAGGCAAAATCTGTATAGCACCCTGGACTGCAAGTCCATATGAGACAGTGCTTTGGGGCTCAGGCCATTTGGAAGGAGCATTAAAGGTAGCAATTGGATTTGGAGGAACAGGAAGGAAGACAGGCAAGTCTGGGACAACACTCCCACTCATACCAAGAGTTTCTTGTTGGTCTAAAATAGTACCAAAGACCTCTCCTTGGACTGGAATAGCACCAGGAATCTCTGGTAGATCTGGGGTCTCACCCAGGGCCTCACCATGAACTGGGTCAGCACCAGGAAGTTCCCATTGATGTGGGATAGCACCAAAGGCCTGTCCTAGGAAAGAGGTGGTATCAGAAACTTCCTGTTGATTTGCAGTAGCTTCGAAGGCCTCTTGATGATCTGGTTTAGCACCAAGGGTCGCTTGTTTTGAGCCTGCCAAGAGGAATTTTATTACAGAGGTAGGAGACGTAGACCCACCAAGAGCCAAGCAGTTTCTAAGGTTCAAGTCAGGTATAACCTTATTAAGACTGGAGGTGGGGTAGCAATCATGTTCACTTTTAATGGGATCCAGGTAAGAATCAGATAACTTAAGAGATTCTACTCGTGAACCCAACTCTTCTAACTGAATGCTGGGGTTTCCTTGAGAGGTAACTTTGGGGGTTGCTCTTTGGGGAAAAGGAGCACACACTGTGTCCTGAGCAAACATTTTTGGGGAACCACTGGTATCATTCAATGTCTCTTCAGAGAATAGTCCTTCACCACAGCGTGTCCCTTCCAGTGGCCCAGGAAGGATCTCAGCTGCAGGGCCACTGTGGGTAGGGATATTGATCTTGGAATCCTCAACTCTTTGGGACCAAAACTGAGTTGTCTCTTGGCTCTTACCTTTAAGTAAAGAGGGATTTTGTACACCAATTAGAGTCTCTATATCAGGAAGGACTTGGGTGTCTTGCATTGGAACCGAATCATTTTCTGAGTGCTTTACTCCCAAAGCAGGGAGTATCTTATAATCACAATCATGTTGCTTTTCTAAACCCTTAGAAAGTGGAACCTTTTTGGATTTGGCTACGACCAGTGGGGGTTGGGAGAGTCGCCTGCTAAGAGAGGTGCTTCGTAGCGCCATTGTAAACCCATTGCAGGTTAAGGACTCTGGGTTCTGAAAAAGAACCTCAGTCCTATCCAAATTCATGCGTGCTGCTCCAGCTCTTGTCAGAAGGCTTCTGACTGGCACGGGTGGTTTAGGTTCTGTTTTTTTCTTAACATCTCTTTCTTGAATTAATTGCTTTAATTTTCCAGGGCTTAAAGTCTTGACTGATGCCACATTTTTGTTGGCTCCCTTGGTTGTCTTTCGTAGTTGGCTGTTTTTCTTTTTTTTGTTTACATCTTCCTTCCTGACTAATCTGGAAGGCCTTGCATGGCGGGATCGAGACATAGCTACAGAGTAGGAAAAAATGAAAGGGCGCAGGAAACAGAGTCATTGGTCCTTTGGAAAGTCTCACTTCTGAGGAGAATCTGGATGCACTGCTCTTCAGCTCAGTCACACAAGGTTTTGGTCTGAAATAACAACAGAATACACTGAAGTGAGTCTTTTTCCTATGCATTCCCCTATTTGAAATAGAATATTCACTACTAATTGTTTTATTTTATTTTTTTGAGACAGGGTCTCATTCTGTTGCCCAGGCTGGAGTGCAGAGGCATGATCACAGCTCAGCACAGCCTGGACCTACCCAGGCTCAAGCAATCTTCCCACTTCAGCCCCCCAAGTAGCTAGGACTGCAGGCTCACACCATCACACCTGGCTAATTTTTGTATTTTTTGTAGAGACATGTTTTCGCCATGTTGCCCTGGCTGGTCTCTAACTGGGCTCAAGCCATCCACCCACCTTGGCCTCCCCTAGTGCTGGGATTACAGGTGTGAACCAGCGTGCCCGGCCAGTTAAAAGTAAGGACCAGGAGCAGTGTTTCATGCCTGTGATCCCAGCATTTTAGGAGACTGAGGCAGGAAGATGACTTGAGGCCAGGAGTTCAAGACCAGCTTGGGCTACATAGGCAGACTCCAACTCATAAAAACAGTGGCCAGGTGCGGTGGCTCATGCCTGTAATCCCAGCACTTTGGGAGGCCAAGGCAGGTGGATCATGAGGTCAGGAGTTTGAGACCAGCCTGGCCAACATGGTGAAACCCCATCTCTACTAAAAATACAAAAATTGCCAGGCGCAGTGGCTCACGCCTGTAATCCTAGCACTTTGGGAGCCTGAGGTGGTCAGGAGTTTCAGACTAGCCTGGCCAAAAAAAAAAAAAAATTAGCTGAGTGTGGTGGTGCACACCTATAATCTCAACTACTCAGGAGGCTGAAGCAGGAGAATCACTTGAACCCAGGAGGCGGAGATTGCGGTGAGCCGAGATTGCGCCATTGCACTCCAGCCTGGGTGACAGAGTGAGACTCCATCTCAAAAAATAAAATGAAATAAAATAAAATAACAGGGCTGGGCGTGGTGGCTCATGCCTGTAATCCCAGCACTTTGGGAGGCCGAGGTGGGTGGGTCACCTGAGATCAGAAGTTCGAGACCAGCCTGGCCAACGTGTCAAAACCCTGTCTCTACTAAAATACAAAAATTAGCCAGACGTGGTGGCAGGCGCCTGTAATCCCAGCTACTCAGGAGGCTAAGGCAGGAGAATCTCTTGAACCCAGGAGACGGAGGTTGCAGTGAGCCGAGATTGCACCATTGCACTCCAGCCTGGGTGACACAGCGAGACTCCATCTCAGAAAAATAATAATAAAATAAAATAAATAAAATAAAATAACAAAAATAGAAAATGACAAAAATTTAAAAATAATTAGGCCAGGCGCGGTGGTTCACACCTGTAATCCCAGCACTTTGGAAGGCTGAGGCAGGCAGATCAGGAGGTCAGGAGATCGAGACCATCCTGCCTAACACGGTGAAACCCCATCTTTACTAAAAATACAAAAAAAAAATGAGCTGGGCGTGGCGGCGGGTGCCCGTAGTCCCAGCTACTCAGGAGGCTGAGGCAGGAGAATGGCGTGAACCCGGGAGGCGGAGCTTGAAGTGAGCCAAGATCACGCCACTGCACTCCAGCCTGGGTGACAGAGCAAGACTCTGTCTCAAAAAAAAAATTAAAAATAATTAAAATCATGGAACTGAGAATTGTTTACTGCAAAAGAAAAATATAATCAACACAGAAAGTACTAAAATATCCCAAGTGAATTAATGCAGGGACAGAAAACCAAATATCTGATGTTCTCACTTATCAGGTACTCATGGACATAAAGATGGCCATAATAGACACTGGGGACTACTAGAGAAGGAGGGAGGGATGGAGACAAGGGTTGAAAAACTATCCGGTACTGGCTGGGCGCGGTGGCTCACGCCTGTAATCCCAGCACTTTGGGAGGCCGAGGCAGGTGGATCACCTGAGGTCAGGAGTTTGAGACCAGCCTGGCCAACATGGTGAAACCCCGTCTCTACCAAAAATACAAAAATTAGCCGGGCGTGGTGGCAGGCGCCTGTAATCCCAGCTACTCCGGAGGCTGAGGCAGGAGAATCACTTGAACCCGGGAGGCAGAGGTTGCAGTGAGCTGAGATTGCACCATGGCACTCCAGCCTGGGTGACAGAGCAAGACTCCATCTCAAAAAAAAAGAAAAAAAAAAGAAAAACTTTTGGGTACTATGTTCACTACCTGGGTGACAGGACCAATTGCACCCCAAACCACAGTACCACACAATATGCCCATGTAACAAACCTGCACATGTACCCCCTGAACCTAAAAGAGTTGAAATTATTTTAAAAAAGAAAAAATACTAAAGTATCCTTTAAACCTTAGATTCACTATAAAGCTTCTTTAATTGCTACAACAAATGATTTAAGTTGATGAAGTTCCTCAAATAAGGTAAGCATGGGGTTTTCTCTACATTAGAAACCACACCCCTTGTAGTTTCATGCATTTTTAATTAATTAATTTATTATTATTATTTTTTTGAAACAGGTCTCCCTGTTGCCCAGGCTGCAGTGCAGTGACATGATCATACCTCACTGTAACCTTGAACTCCTGGCCCCAAGCAATCCTCCCCGCCTCCCCAAGTGCGGAGATTACGGGTGTGAACCAGCATGCCTAGCCATTATATATGTTTTAAAGCTTAAATCCCAATCTTTACAAATTTGGATACTTTAAAAATTATCTCTTTCCTGAGCATATCCCTATACTGGGAGAAGTATCATCTGTTTGACAGTAAAGCTGGTTAAACCAGAGGAAGAAGAGGCTCATATAAGGTAAGAAACTGGCCAGGCGTGGTGATTCACGCCTGTAATCCCAGCACTTTGGGAGGCCGAGGTGGGCGGATCACGAGGTCAGGAGATCGAGACCATCCTGGCTAACACGGTGAAACCCCATCTCTACTAAAAATACAAAAAATATTAGCCGGGCCTGGTGGCGGGCACCTGTAGTCCCAACTACTTGGGAAGCTGAGGCAGGAGAATGGCGTGAACCCGGGAGGCAGAGCTTGCAGTGAGCCGAGATTGCACCACTGCACTCCAGCCTGGGTGACAGAGCTAGACTCCATCTCAAAAAAAAAAAAAAAAAAAAAAAAGAAACTCTCCTGCCTGGAGATCCAGCAGTATTCCTACCACATTCCAATTAACAATCCACAGATTTTGAGCTTTTCACATGCACACCAAAACAGCATAAAATCTCAGGAGACAGTATTGACAAATTAGGTTACAAATAAGACTCACAGGTCCAATACATCTGTTGAGTACCTGCTATGTCTAAGGAAGGCATTGTGGTGGACACTGCCCAAACCCAGAAATGTCCCTCTTTTCTTTCTCCTGACTCAATCCAAAGACTGCTGGTTCTAAAATCCCTTCTACAAGATCCCACAGGTCTTTTTCTTTTTCTTTTTTTTTGAGACAGGGTCTCACTCTGTCACCTGGACTGGAGTGCAGTAGTGCTAACTCAGCTCACTACAGCCTCAACCTCCTGGGTTCAAGCAATCCTCCCACCTCAGCTGCCCGAATAGCTGGGACCACAGGCATGTGCCACCACGCCAGTCTAAATATTTAATTTTTGTGGAGATGGAGTCTCACCACTTGACTCTGGGTTTTGACCCGGGTCTTTTCAGATTGCCTACCCAGACCCAAAATAAGATGAAGCTCTAAGCAAAAGCAAAGCTCACTATAGTAGGATATCAACAGTCTCTCTCAAGATCACAGCATCGGCCTGGCACTGTGGCTCACACCTGTAATCCTAGCACTTTGGGAGGCTGAGGTGCACAGATCACCTGAGGTGGACAGATCACCTGAGGTCAGGAGTTCGAGACCAGCCTGGCCAACATGGTGAAACCCTGTCTCTACTAAAAATACAAAAAGTAGCTGGGCGTGGTGGTGGGCGCCTGTAATCCCAGCTACTCGGGAGGCTGAGGCATGAGAATCGCTTGAACCAGAGAGGTGGAGGTTGCAGGGAGCCAAGATCGCACCATTGCACTCCAGCCTGGGTGACAAGAGTGAAATGCCATCTCAAAAAAAAAAAAAAAAAAAAAAGACTGGGCGCGGTGGCTCACACCTGTAATCCCAAAGGCTGGGCGCAGTGCAGTGGCTCACGCCTGTAATCCCAGCACTTTGGGAGGCCAAGGTGGGTGGATCACCTGAGGTTGGGAGTTCGAGAGCAGCTTGACCAACATGGAGAAATTCTGTCTCTACTAAAAATACAAAATTAGTCAGGCATGGTGGTGCATGCCTGTAATCCCACCTACTCAGGAGGCTGAGGCAGGAGAATCACTTGAACCTGGCAGACAGAAGTTGCGGTGAGCCAAGATCGTGCCATTGCACTCCAGCCTCCATCTCATGGTGTAGGAACTCCGTCTCATGGTGTAGGAAAACGGTTGTTGGTAACCATTTGTTCTCATTGTGAGAACCATATGTTCTCACGAATGGTCTCAAATGACAACTAGTCTTAATTTTCTGTTGTCACAGTCTTGATTCTATGATTTTTTTTTTTTAATTTTTAAGATGGAGTTTCACTCTTATTGCCCAGGCTGGAGTTCAATGGCACGATCTTGGCATGTTGAGCAGGCTGGTCTCCAATTCCTGACCTCAGGTGATCTACCCGCCTCAGCCTCCCAATGTCTGAGAAAAATTAAAAATAGATTAAAAAAAAATAAACCTGGCCAAGCACAGTGGCTCATGCCTGTAATCCCAGCACTATTGGAGGCGGAGACGGGTGGATCACCTGAGGTCGGGAGTTTGAGACCAGCGTGACCAACATGGAGAAACCCTGTCTCTACTAAAAATACAAAATTAGCCGGGCGTGGTGGTATATGCCTGTAATCCCAGCTACTTGGGAGGCTGAGGCAGGAGAATCACTTGAACCCTCCCGGGTTCAATCTGTTTAAAAATTACTGACTGACCTAGGTAATCCTAGGACCCACTGTTTAGTTTCATGTCTAGAGATGATCTCACACCAAAAAGTCCTGGGTTTGAATCTGTGATCGCCAGCTCTGTGTCCTTCAGAGAACTACTTAGCTGAGTCCATGTTCCTTCATCTAAAATGAGGTAGTTTTGAGGTTTCAATGGGCTCCCACAGGAAAAAACTAGTGGCACTGGTTTCATCCTTGTGGTATCTGTGGTTTGAGTGTCAGGGGACATGGGTAGCAGAGTAAAAAGATGGACGTTGGAAGTAGGCTGACCTGGGTTCAGTTTTCAGTTCATAAATATTAGTAGATTGTGACAAGTTTCTTGGTATCTTTATACCTATGTTTCTTCATGTTTAATACAAAAGAAAACCTAATAGTATTGACCTCATTGGGTTATCATGAGAATAAAACGAAATAATATGTGTAAAGGCTTAGCACAGGGCTGGCGCATGATAGGTGTTTCATAAATAGGAGCTAAAAAAAAAAAGCCTGTTTGCAACTCTAAAATACAAAAAAAAAAAAGAGAGAGAGAGAAAATAAGTGGTAGTTATCATTATTATGGAACCAGTTTAACTCAGAGTTTGCTATATTCTCCAGAACAAGATCTCCTTTTGGTTCTGTTCCCACCTTACACACTACGTAGGTTATACACACAAGAATTCCCAGAGCACACTACATTTAGTCAATGTAATGTGTCTTTAAGACTTTTAAAATAGACATTAGTGATAACATCAAATACACAAAAAATAACATTTTGATAAATCTGTACTAAATACAAACACTAGGCCAGAGAATACTTCACTTGAATTCTTGGCATCTAAGCTTACTGCTTTCCCCTTCTTCCAAAAAAAAAAAAAAGTTTTGGCTTGCAGTAATTCAGTCTTTGGCTGTGAGAAACTGAAAGATATTTTCTCCAAAGACCACTGCTTTTTGTACAAGATTTTCAGAAAACAAGACATTCCAATTCCAATTTCCAAAAAGTCAACAAATACCTTCATCAGGATGCATTTTCATTACAAAAAGCAATTCATTTTAATCTCTTGAAATTCAACGATATCATTAAAAGCATGCTTTCTCTCTTGTATCAAGATTATACTGCTAAAAAATTATTAGGAGTATATAATCTAGTCATTGTAAATCAGCCACAAAAATTAAAATTCATATATGTAGGCAAGTAATCTGGGTATGCCAGAGGGTGTCATGGGATCTGCTTTGAAAGTGGTTTACAAATTGATTTCTGTCTCTCCTATATTCTTTCATATTTTTAAATTGAAGTGCTTTAGAAATTCAGACTTGTAATTAAGATAATCTTTATCATTCAAACCCTATCTCCTAAAAAACAGCCTGTCAAGGAAATAGAAAAGGTATGAACAACATGGATTGCGAAGATGTGGCCTCTTTAAATGGTAACAGCCTTTTTATGAGATCATGAAAGAGGCCAATGACCCCTGAAAAACCCAACTGCAGGGGAGAAAACCACTGGGTGCCACCCAGCCAAAGAATCAGAGACAACCAGAAACAAAATAAGGACTCCCACAAGACCCTGATTTTTATCACTCATGGCTCCACTATTGAAACATAAACTTCTTTTGTGACAAACTAAGTTGTCCCAAGAGCCGAACTCACGGAGTAGGGGCAGTAAGTTTATCCTGAAATTTGTGGAGGCAGGGGCAAGAGAATGTAGTCCACTCCATTAAATAGGTCCACATTTAAATATGGAATTACCTCAAAGACCTCCAGAAATTAATTTCTTTTTTGTAAACATTATTAAATGCTCTGCTTCCATTTTTAGTGCTTCTGTCATAGATTATTCAATTCATACAAAAATGTGTGTGTGTCTGTGTGCATATATATATATATATATATATATTTTTTTTTTTTAAACAGGGTCTTGCTCTGTCGCTCAGGTATATCAAGGCTCACTGTAGCCTTGACCTCCTGGGCTTAAGTGATCCTCCCACCTCAGCTTCCCAAGTAGCTGGCACTACAGGCACGTGCCACCACACCAGGCTAATTTTTTCTTTCTTTTGTAAAGACAGGGTGGTCTCACTATGCTGCCCAGGCCACTCTCAAACTCCTAGCTTCAAGTCATCTGCCCTCCTGAGCCTCTTAAAGTGCTAGGACTACAGGTGTGGGCCACCATGTCCAGAAAAAATGTGTATTTTCAAATAAATACTCAGATCCTACCACTCAGATGAACTAAAATATTTCCAGCAGTCAAATCTCTCCCGTGTACACTCTTCCCTAATTCTACTTCCATTTTTCATTTCTGATAAAAACTGATATTTCAATGTTTCTCAATATCAGGTTTGTTTTGTTTTTTTGAGACAGGTCTTGCTCTGTTGCCCAGGCTGGAGTGCAGTGCTGTGATCATCGCTAACTATAGCCTTAAACTCCTAGACTCAAGTGATCCTCCCATCTCAGCCACCGCGGTAGCGGGAATTACAAGCACAGGCCACCATGCCTGGCTAAGTTCTTTTTATTTTTTGTAGAGATGAGGATCAAGGGTGATCTCACTATGTTGCCCAGACTGGTCTTGAACTCCTAGCCTCAAGTGATCCTCCTGCCTCAGCCTCCCAAAACACTGGGATTACAGGCATGAGAAAGTTACTTTTATTCTAACCTGGAATGTCTTCAAGAGTCAGTGAAAGTGCTGCAGAGATAGCTACATGATAACATGATATGAGAAGAAAATAAGACTGGAGACCCTGTTATTAAGCATCTATCATTGGCCAAGAAGGGAATCATGTGCAATTAATGGACACCATCCTGTGAGTTCTTACTGTCATGGAAGGGAAAAACAAAAAACCATTTCTGGGATGTAAAACATTACTCAATCAACAGATCTTTTCACCAGAGAGCACCAAGACGCCCTAAACAACAACAGAATAATTTTTGGCCAGGCGTGGTGGCTCACACCTATAATCCCAGCACTTTGGGAAGCTGAGGCAGGTGGATCACTTGAGGTCAGGAGTTCGAAACCAGCCTGGCCAACATGGTGAATCCCCATCTCTACCAAAAATACAAAAATTAGCCGGGCATGGTAGCGCATGCCCGTAATCCTAGCTACTAGGGAAGCTGAGGAAGGAGAATCACTTGAACCCAGGAGATGAAGGTTGCAGTAAGCGGAGATCACACCACTACACTCCAGCCTGGGCAACAGAGTGAGACTCTGAAAAAAAAAAAAAAGAAAACAATAGAACATTTTTCCCCCTAAAATGTCTTTATGACAAGGGAACTACAGAGTATGCAATCCAAAATTATAGGCTAGGAGATAATAACCCAACTAACTTTTAAAAATAATTACCTTGCTTAGAGAATGAAAAGCTGGCTTCTTAAAGTGTAAGGGTTTTCTGCAAAGAACTGGCTGGTGCGGTGGTTCTTGCCTGTAATCTAAGCATTCTGGGAGGCCGAGGCAGGCAGATCACCTCAGGTCAGGAGTTTGAGACCAGCCTGGCCAATATAGTAAAACCCCATCTCTACTAAAAATACAAAAATTAGCCAGGTGTGGTGGCACACGCCTGTAATCCCAGCTACTTGGGAGGCTGAGGCAGGAGAACTGCTTGAACCCCGGAGGCAGAGGTTGTAGTAAGCCAAGATCATGCCACTGCACTCTAGCCTGGGAGACAGAGCGAGACTCCGTCTCAAAAAACAAACAAAAAAGCCAGTATTGACAGCAACATGTCAGCAAGATCCTCTTCCCACCTATATCCGTCCTTTTTCTGGATTCCCCCAAAATCCTCTGGGCAAAAATGCTTAACTGATGTAACAATCCAGCCTGCATGTTAAATTAAAGTCATATTTCAATTCTTCCCACTACCAGCAGTGGCCAAAAACGTGGTATTTGCATACATAGAGCTAGTTGCAAGAGACTGATTTCATAGTCCCTCCATTCAGCTCTACAGAACTTAAAGGCTCTTGCACTTGGCAGAGAAAAACAAGATTTAAAACATTTTTTAAAAAAGGCAGCACCTGGCTCAGTTTCCTCCAGCAACTAAGTTCTACCTCGAAAGGAAGAGCAGGCAGGCAACTGCTTGCTGTTCCTAGATAGTTTTCTACCACAGGAAGTGTGAGAGCCCTCGGCACATGTAAAAGCTGTTCAGGGAAACTCACTAGAATGCCAGCACATTTAGTCAATGGCTCCTTCCATATGTAAAACACCCCTCTGCCCTGCAGAGAGGAAGGGGGAAAAAAGGGGGGAAAAGGGCCAAGAAAAGGGAAGGGAGACGTTAGAATGGACATAGAACTGTCCTTCCGAAGACAAGAAAGACATAACACACAACAGGAGGAAGTAGAAGAAAAAGCAAGAGAAGGAAGAAAATGCCCAAAAAGAAAACAAAAAAGGCCAAAAACGAAAGAAGGGGAAGAAATGTATAGTAAAAAACTGAGGAAGGGCAAAAATTACTTATAGTAAAAACTGAGGAAGGGGTTCGACATCTATAGTAATAAAGCTAGAACATAAAAAGGCAACTGGGATCAAAAGGCCGAAAACTAAAAGACCAAGGGGATAGGGGAAATCAAGTGTGCAGGGAAGATACGGACGCTCAGAAGGTGGGGGAGGGGAGACAAATCAGATGGGAGAAGGAAGAGAAACAAAGGGCAGGGACAGTGGAGACCCAACCCTCCCACCCATCTATTCTGGGAGACCAGCCCGGAGAGCGATAGTTAACTCTTATTAAAATGGAAAGTGGCAGTCCCAGAGTTGTAAGCCTGGACTCCTCATCTTTGCAAAGAGAAAAGGACACTGTCTGCCATTTCCCGTATATCTTGATTCTGAAATTTAATTGAAACCACAACTTAGCTTTAAAGACTGACAAACTAATTAAAAATCCCTTAATTGGGGAAAAGGGGGACCCGTATGATCAATACCGATAAAATCGGAAACACACCAAAAGCCACCTAAGTCTTTTGATTCTTGGTTTGATTCACCTAAGTCTTTCGATTATTAACTCACACCAATCTCCTTATTTCCGTACCTATCTACGTGTACCCCTGCCCCTGGTTTAATTGTAGTCATAAATTCCTAGTGTGCTCCAAATAACTGTTGCCCTTACTGGTTAAGAAGCGCCTTTTCCATATTTTTCGTATCCTGAGGCCTAATTAAACCATTGCTTTTATTTTACTTTATATTGGGGGTGGGGACGCCGAGCACACTCAGGTCCAGGGGAGACCTGGGGCTGCTGCTATACAGCGCCGCTCTTCCAGTGGCGCGCGCGGCTCACCCCGCCGGCCCAGGGCTGTGTACCTAATCCTGTTCTCGCTCCAAGGTCTTGCAGCACTTTTCAAACATTTCTTCAAAAAGCAGTCATTACTAGGACATATTGTGCAGCTCGTTTAGTGCCCAGGAGTGGAACCGGGACGGAGGGGAAGAGGCACCCTAAGAGACGTATGCAGAAAGGTTGGTTAATTTGGGAGAGGGACGAGTTGGGGGCGCGGGAAAGACTCCGAGGCTGAAGCTTTAAGTGTTCTTTTGGAAACACTTTAGTTTTTAGTGGATCAGAAATGCCCAGCGTGGGTTTCTCGTTCACGTGGAAAGATTACCAGCGTCGGCCAGTCCCTTCCAGACCACTTCTTGTAGAATATATATATATATATATTCAAGAGCCTGGGGCGAGAGAGGCGGGGACCGGAGCGGGGGAGAGGGAGGGAGGGAGGGAAGCACAGAGAGAGAGGAGAGCATTTTTTCTCTGGGGGCGGTAGGTTGTGCGGCCGCCTCCTCGCCCGAGAGCGAGGACCAGGCCCCTCACGTGCTGCACGACCAGCCCCAGCACCCAGCTCCGCGCACCTCCCACCCTCGGGGCCCGCTCCGGGATCCCGCCAGACGGGGACTGATGGGATCGCAAGGCCAGCGCGTCCAGCGACCCAGTGGTGCTCATAAATGAGTTTCTTAAATGCCATTTTGACAGAACACACTCTACTCCCTCTTCCCTTCTTCCCTGATCCTTACAACTCCCAGCCAACTCCTAGCAAGACTGCACCACTGCCTCCACTCCAAACGTTTCATCCCTGGAGCTGCCGTCCCAAAACTCTCGGGGAGACAGGCGCCAAAGCGTTTCCCTACCAACCTGTCTCTCATATATATATGGGGGGAGGGAGAAAACTTGTTTAGGGGGTACGCTTGAGCACGGGACAGCCCGGACTCCCCACTCACAACTTGCACAGACTCTAGCCTCTCCTCACCCCGAGGCGCCCCGACCTCCAACTCCCCAAAGGGGCCAGGGAACCAACCGCTGGTATATTCAGCCATCTCCCCCACGCCACACTTGCCCTCCCCCAGCCCCGCTTCCACCGCAGCCCGGGGTCAGAGCCCCAGGCGCCCCCGCTGCCCCCAACCCGGCGCTGTGGCGGGGCCTCCGGAGCGGGTGGCCGATACCTCCGGCCGGGGGCATTGTTTATCTCCGGCAACAAAAGCGTCCCGAGCGTCCCGGGGTGGGGGGTCGAGGCGGGGAACGAGCCCACCCCTGAGGCAGCGGGAGAGCCAAGGACGCAGAGCCCCGGCCACATCCAGCCCGCGCCGAGCGCCGCCTCCCGGACCCCCCTCGGGCCTCGGCGTCGGAGTCCTCGCTCCCCGCACCCCTGCCCTCTGCCCCGGCCCCAACTCACCGCTGGCCGGGTCACATTCCCAGGGCAGCGCACGGCCCCCAGCTCCAAGCCTGCACCAGCCCTCGGGCAAACTTTCCAACTCGCGCCGGTCCCCACAACTTTGGAGCCCGGGGCCCCGGCGGGCGCGAGGGGCGCGGGCGGGTCGCGGAGGACGCCTACCGGCTCCCAGCACAGTCAAGGCCCGAGCCCCCGAGGTGAGGAGTCGGTTCCCAAAGGTCCACAGTGGAGAGGCAGGTAGGGCTGCATGACTTGGGCGAGGCAGAGGGGTGTCCCGGGGGGCAGACCCGGGAGTAGAGGGGCCAGCGGCTGCGCGCACAAAGCGGCGCCGGAGCAGACTGCGCGGCCACTCCCCGCCAGGTCAGCCCCCCGGAGCAGCAGTGTCTCCCCAGGACAGACCTCAGGGAGTGAAGCTGGGGCTCTGCCTTCGCTGGACCCTGCACAGTTGAGCGAGAGACAAAACGCGAGCTGGATTTACCCAAACTGGAGCTGGAATCCCTCCTCGACTCCCTCTCGACCCCCTCCCCCTCCCCCTCGTTCTCCACCTCTCTCAACTTCTCTGTCTCCGAAGAAGACGTAGAGAGGTGTCAAGATTTTGTCATTAACTTTTTTCCCAGGGGAGCTCTAGAAAAAGTTTTTAGGATCTCTAAATTGCATGTTTATAAATGTATGAAGAAGGTGCCAGGTCAGAGATGACACCATTGAGCAATGTCTAGGTCGCCAGCAACGGAAAACCGCCCTCAACACCAAAGAGAGAAACCAGATGAGGGCTGTGTTCCCTGACTCTGGGCTGGATGTCTGCAAAGTTCATCATAATATTTCTGTTAGTTATTTGGCCCTGGACCTCAGTGGTGGTCGTATTCACTTTATGAATGAAGAAATGAAAGGGCAGGAAGAGCTAAGTTTTCCGAATTAGGAGGAATAACCAGTGGCATTACGCCAGAATTAAGACTGACTAGGGCATCTGAATTTTTCTCTAAATGTTTGATAGCTATTGCTTCTTCCAGCAGTCATGACACAGACAAGGGAATCCAGGATTTTAATGGGGTCACCGTGGTAAGGAAAATGCTGTTCATGGAATCTTCATTCCTTCCAGGTCAAACTTCAAGTGAAGAGAAAGGATTCAGTCCCTCATTGCATTTCACACCATTCTACCCCCATTCTGCACTTAGATTTTATTCGTATACACATAAGTATAACCGGGCTGTTCTGGGAAAGATTCCTAAACTTTTAACCTTCCTCACTGATTGATTCATACAAATGTATTCTTGCACTACAATGTAGGCATACAAGGATGAATAAAATTTGCCTCCTACACAGAAGGAACAGAGATTCCAGGCTGGCAGAGCAAACTGATGACTGCACTCGTGTTTTCAATGGCACAATCAAAGTACCTTGGCTGAATAAAATCAGAAATGTGGCATTTGAAATAAATTTTTTTTTGAGATGGAGTTTCGCTCTTGTTGCCCAGGCTGGAGTGCAATGGCATGATATCGGCTTACTGCAACCTCTGCTCCTGGGTTCAAGCGATTCTCCTGCCTCAGCCTCCTGAGTAGTTCGGCTTACAGGTGTGCGCCACCACACCCAGCTATGTTATTATTATTATTATTATTATTTTGGAAGAGATGGGGTTTCACCTTGTTGGTCAGGCTGGCCTCGAACTCCTGACCTCAGGTGATCTGCCTGCCTTGGCCTCCCAAAGTGCTGGGATTACACGCGTGAGCCACCACACCAGGCCTGAAATAAATCTTATATGACCCGTTGATGGTATAGGGGTTAGCATAGCTGCCTTCCGTGAAATAAATCTTATGGACAAAAATTGACCCTTCTGAGCCAATGCTTCAAAAGGTTACTTGTTAAAATCTTGTTAGAAACATTCTACCTAGATAAAAAGAAAGGAATGCAGGGAGAGTTTGACTTATAAAACTTGATTTTCAAGGCTGGGCACACACCTGTAATCCTAACACTTTGAGAGGCTGGGGCAGGAGGACTGTTTGAGCCCAGGAGTTTCAGGTTGCAGTGAGCTTTGGTAAAGCCACTGCACTCCAGCCTGAGTGACAGGGCAAGATACTGTCTTAAAAAAAATCCTGACTTTCAGGTGGGCATAATAGTGCGCACCATCCCAGCTACTCGGGAGACTGAGGCAAGAGGATTACTTGAGCCCAAGAGTTTGAGGCCATCCTGGGCAACCACAGCAAGACCCATCTCCCTGCCCCCAAAAAAAGGAAAAGGAAAAATCCAACATAATCTAATTTTCATGAAGAACAAAAGGAAAAGGACTATCATAAAATAGAAATATCCTGGCTTTTGTCAATTAACTGGATTAACTTTAAAATGTATTGAAATAGGAAAATCATACAACTATATAGAATGATGTCCATGGTAACACTCATTCCCCTTGAGTCCCTACTTAGTGCCAGACACAATTCCAAACTTGGGGAAACAAAAGTGAGCAAAAGGAAACCTCCGTCCTTGTAGAGCTTGCATTCCATCGTGTTGTAAGAGTCGGGGCACAGAAAATAAAGAAAATAAATGAGCAGAATATATAGTGTATCAGATAGTGATAGCACCGGGATAAAGTGGGGGGAAAAGGCAGGGAAGGGGATGGGAAATGCTGGGGAAGATTGCAATTAAAAAAAAAAATAGCCGGGCACAGTGGCTTACACCTGTAATCCCAGCACTTTGGGAGGCCAAGCCAGGCAGATCAATGTCAAGAGATCAAGACCATCCTGACCAACATGTTGAAACCCAGTCTCTACTAAAAATACAAAAATTAGCTGGGAGTGGTGACGCGCACCTGCAGTCTCAGCTATTCGGGAGGCTGAGGCAGGAGAATCGCTTGAACCTGGGAGGCAGAGGTTGCAGTGAGCCGAGATGGCACCACTGCACTCCAGCCTACAGCCTGGTGACAGAGCAAGACTCCATCTCAAAAACACACACACACAATACACAGGGCTCAGGGCTCAGTGGCTCATGCCTGTAATTTCATCACTTAGGGAGGCAGAGGGGGGGAGGATCACTTGAACCCAGGAGATCGAGACCAGCCTGGGCAACATAGTGAAATCTCTACTAAAAATATAAAAATTAGCCAGGCATGGTGGTGCATGCCTGTTTTCCCAGCTACTCGGGAAGCTGAGATGGGAGAATCACCTGAGTCTGGGAGGCGGTTGCAGTGAGCCAAGATTGTATGACTTGCATGTCAGCCTGGAGGAAAGATCAAGACCCTGTCTCAAAACAAACAAACAAACAAACAAAAAACCCAATGAGTGCTTCTAAAAGGATTCTAAGTGCATGTGTGCTTCTAAAATAATTGTGTGTGTGTGTGTGTGTGTTTTGTTTTTTGGGTTTTTTTTTTTTGAGATGGAATCTTGCTCCGTCGCCCAGGCTGGAGTGCAGTGGCCCGATCTCGGCTCACTGCAACCTTCGCCTCCCAGGTTCAAGCAATTCTGCTTTAGCCTCCTGAATAGCTGGGACTAAAGGCATGCACCACCACGTGTGGCTAATTTGTGTTTTTTTAGCAGAGATGGGGTTTCACCTTGTTGGTCAGGCTGGTCTTAAACTCCTGACCTCAGGTGATCCACCTGCCTCGGCCTCCCAGAGAGCCAACGCGCCTGGCCTGTTTGTTTTTGAGAGGGAGTCTCACTCAGTCGCCCAGGCTGGAGTGCAGTAGTGCAATCTTGTCCCACTGCAACCTTCCTCCCAAGTTCAAGCAATTCTTGTATCTCAGCCTCCCAAGTAGTTGTGATTACAGGCATGAGCCACTGCCCCTGACCAGAATTTTAATTTTGAATTCAGCAATCAAGGAAGACCACATTGAGTAGACTGAAAAAAGTAAGGGAGGAAGCTGGAAGAAGATTGCAGGCTTAGGAAAAAGCAAGTGCAAAGGCTCTGAGGGCTGAATTGAGTCTGTGTCAATAAAATATTTTCATTATGTTTCACAATGGTGAAAAACTGGAAACCATCTAAATGTCCATCAAAAAAGGACAGGTCTCTCCCACTGGCCAAGTCTGGGACAATTTCGAGTTTGGGAAGGAGAGTTATCTTGAAGAAACAAATTGAGAGTCATCAGCATGTAGATGATATTAAAAACCATCTTGGCACCCAGCAACCTGATCGGGTTCATCTGTCAGGAAAGGGGCCAGATGTTTCCATAAAGTCTAAAAGGTTTAACAAGTCATGGGAAATTAAACAATAACATGAGGTGACTACTCAGGGAGAAGAAAATAAAGTGCAATTCTTTCCAGACCTCAATAACAAAGAATAAATGTTTAGGCAATTTTCCACTATCCTTATAACTAACTTACCCCATTTTCTTCCCCAAGTAACAGCAAGAATGTCTTTTTTCCAGTCACCTCTTTTAAAAAGAGGTATGAAAATTATGTCATAAGGGTATAGGAACTGCACTTATCTAACTCATCCAAACCTAACTCAAGTTCCCTCTACAGTTATTTCTCATTTTACTATTGCTCTATCTCCAAAACATCTTAGCTACTCTGCTTACCAAATTATCTTGGTTAGTGACCTGGCAGAGGTGGAAATTATATATATAATATAGAATAACCTCCTCAAACACACATACACACACAGAGATTCTTTCCTAAAGAATATAATCTCTGCCAGGCATGGTGGCTCACGCCTGTAATCCCAGCACTTTTGGAGGCCAAGGCGGATCATGAGGTCAGGAGTTCAAGACAAGCCTGGCCAAGAAGGTGAAACCCTGTCTCTACTAAAAATACAAAAATTAGCCAGGTTGGCCGGGCACGGTGGCTCACGCCTGTAATCCCAGCACTTTGGGAGGCCCAGGTGGGCAGATCACGATGTCAGGAGATCGAGACCATCCTGGCTAACACGGTGAAACCCCGTCTCCACTAAAAATACAAAAAAAAAGTAGCCGGGCATGGTGGCGGGCGCTTGTAGTCCCAGCTGCTCGGGAGGCTGAGGCAGGAGAATGGCGTGAACCCGGGAGGCGGAGCTTGCAGTGAGGTGAGATCGCGTCACTGCACTCCAGCCTGGGCGACAGAGCAAGACTCCGCCTCAAAAAAAAAAAAAAAAAAAAAGAAAGAATATAATCTCCATTGGACAAAATTTTAAAATTTGGCAATACTAAGTGTTAGGAATTTTATACAATCCTGGTAGTACAAATTATATAGTAACTAAGGAAGACAAACTCATTATTTCCTATATGGAGATCAGGGTCTGATTAGATAGATAGATAGATAGATAAATTAATTTGGGTTAGGTGGCCCATGCCTGTGGGACCAGCTGCTTAGGATGCTGATGTGTGAGGAGTTTGAGACCAGCCTAAGCAACATAGCAAGACCCTAACTCAGTAAATAAATAATAAAATAAAAAATAAAATAGGCTGGGCGCGGTGGCTCATGCCTGTAATCCTAGCACTTTAGGAGGCTGAGGCGGGTGGATCATGAGGTCAGGAGTTTGTTTTGTTTTGAGACGGAATCTCCCTCAGTCGCCCAGGCTTGAGTGCAGTGGCGTGATCAGCTCACTGCAATCTCCGCCTCCCAGGTTCAAGCAGTTCTCCTGCGTCAGCCTCACGCGTAGCTGGGACTACAGGAGCACATCGCCACGCCCAGCTAATTTTTTTTGTATTTTAGTAGAGACGGGGTTTCACCATGTTGTCGAGGCTGGTCTCAACCCCGGAGCTCAGGCAATCCGCCCACCTCAGCCTCCCAAAGTGCCAGGATTACAGGCGTGAGCCACAGCGCCTGGCCACAAGGTCAGGAGTTTGAGACCAGCCTGACCAACAAGGTGAAACCCCATCTCTACCAAAAATACAAAAATTAGCCGGGCGTGGTGGCAGGCGCCTGTAATCCCAGGTACTCAGGAGGCTGAGGCAGGAGAATTGCTTGAACCCGGGAGGTGAAAGTTGAAGTGGGCCATGATCACACCATTGCACTCCCGCCTGGGCGACAGAGCGAAACTCCATCTCAAAATAAGTAAATAAATAAATATAAAACGTAAATTCAATAGATAGATAGTTGATATAATAGCAGGTAGTAAAGAGTCAGTTGTCCCTTGGTGATCTGGGACAGCACACTCTGCATGGTCCTGGGGGATAGCGGGGAAGCTGGGCAAGATACATCTTGTAGCAGCAGAAGCCAGCAGTAGCATTTGTGAAGATCTAATGCTGTCAGTTGGGCGAGGAATTCAAAGGAGAAAGAAAAATTTCAAGTAGAAAAAACTCAAGGAGGCTGGGCACTGTGGCTTACACCTATAGTCCCAGCTACCCAGACGGCTGAGGCAGGAGGATTGCTTGAGCCCAGGAGGTGAAGGCTGCAGTGAGCTATGACTGCATCAGTGTGCTCCAGACTGGGTGACAGAGCATGAGTCTGCCAAAAAAATAAAATAAATTAAAATAATTCTTAAAAAAGAAAAAAAGAGGCCGACCGTGGCGGCTCATGCCTATAATCCCAGCACTCTGAGAGGCCGAGGCGGGTGGATCACCTGAGGTCAGGAGTTCAAGACCAGCTGGGCCAATATGGTGAAACCCCGTCTCTACTAAAAATACAAAATATTACTCAGGCGTGGTGGTGGATGCCTATAATTCTAGCTATTCGAGAGGCTGAGGCAGGAGAATCGCTTGAATCCAGGAGGCGGAGGTTGCAGTGAGTCGAGATCACGCCATTGCACTCCAGCCTGGGCAACAGAGTGAAACTCCATCTCAAAAAAAAAAAAAAAGAAAAAGAAAAAAGAAAGGACCCAAGGGAATGACCAGAGAACTACCAGAGGAAAGAACTTGCACTGAGCAGGTGTTCAAGAATTGGCATTTATTGGTCACAAATTAAGGGAAAAAAGTTTTTTCTCCCTACTCGCACTGAATGCAGCTCAGAATATTTATCAGATTTATGGGGGTTTTCACACACACACACACCAAAATTCTCCAGCAGATGCCAACTGGGTGTCCTCTAACTCAATTCAATTCTGATGCTATCTGAAGCCCACAGATAGGGGCTTAGTCCCACAAGACTGCCGCCATTTTGAGACACCAATTACATGTCCCAGACAGTGACCTGTGCTTCTGACTGACTATAAATCAGGGGTCCCACAACCCCCCTCCTCGGCTGTGATAATTTGCTAGGATGGCTCACAGAACTCAGGGGAAATGCTCTACTTATGTTAACCAATGTATTATGAAGGACACAAATGATCACTCCAAGAAGATATGCAAAGGGCATGATTGTGGAAGGAGGTGTCACAAAGCTTCCGTACCTTGACTGTGCACACTGACCTCCCAGCAACTCGAAGTGTTCAGCAACTCCTTGTTCAAAAGTTTCTATGGAGCATCATCTCCTGAACCCCTCCCTCCCCCACCCCCTCTGCCTTTCCAATCCACTAATCACCCGTTGAGCAGCCCCAGCCTAAGGCTACCTTGGGGCCCCACCCTAAATCACTTCTTTAGCATAAACTCTGGCGTGATGAAGGGATTTGTTGTGAATAACTAAGACATTCCTAGCACTCAGGAAATTCCTACGATTTTAGGAGCTGTGTGACAGGAGCTGGGGACTCAGACTAAATGTATTTCATATCATAGTAGTCCACTCCTTATCAGAGGTCGTCAGTGGTCTGATAAGATTCCATGGAAAATTCAAGAAATAAACAATTTTTTTTTTGTTTTTTGAGATGGAGTCTCACTCTGTTGCCCAGGATGGAGTGCAGTGGCGTGATCTCGGCTCACTGCAACGTCTGCCACCCTGGTTCAAGCGATCTCCTGCTTCAGCCTCCCGAGTAGCTGGGATTACAGGCACCTGCCACCACACCTGGCTAATTTTTTTTTTTTTTGTAGTTTTTAGTAGACAAGGGGTTTCACTATCTTGGACAGGCTGGTCTCAAACCCCTGACTTCGTGATTCACCTGCCTCTGCCTCCCAAAGTGCTGGGATTACAGGCGTGAACCACTGTGCCCAGCCAGCAATAGGTTTTAAAATACTTATTTTATTTTATTAAAAAATAAAATAAATTTTAAATAAATAAAAATTGCTAAAAAGCAATAGTTTCGGCCGGGCACGGTGGCTCAGGCCTGTAATCCCAGCACTTTGGGAGGCCGAGGCGGGCGGATCATGAGGTCAGGAGTTGGAGACCAGCCTGGCCAACATAGTGAAACCCCATCTCTACTAAAAATACAAAAAAATAGCTGGGTGTGGCCAGGCACGGTGGCTCAGACGACAGAGATTTCTTACCTTTCTTTCCTTTCCTCAGCGTGCAATTTCTTTTCTTACTTGAAGTTTCTTCTCTATGTTATGTGCCTGCCCATTAGCTTGTATCCTTGAGCCCATAGCTTCCATGTTACTTATCTAAGCACCTCTTACTCCATTAATGAGCCCCTGTCTTTCTAGCATCAGCACCGTCTCCTCTTCATTAATTCCTTCTCCTCTGCTGTTTATAGGTCTTTTGTGTTTACCATGACCAGGTGGCCCCTTTGCTTGGCCTTGCTTTCTTATTTCTTTCCTGAGAAGCTCTCCCTTCCCCTCATCTCCCCACCCCTCCCCTTCCTTTCTCTCTTTTTGACACAGGGTCTCTTTTGTAGCCCAGGCTGGGGTGCACTGGTATGATCACAGCTTATTGCAGCCTCAGCCTCTCTCCCAGTTTCAAGCGATCCCCCTGCCTCAGCTTCCCGAGTAGCTAGGACTACAGGCAAGGCTAATGCCCAGCCTAATGTTTGTACTTTTTAGTAGAGACAGGGTTTCGGCACGGCGAGGTGGCTCACACCTGTAATCCCAACACTTCGGGAGGCCGAAGCAGGCAGATCACGAGATCAGGAGTTCAAGACCAGCCTGGCCAACATGGTGAAACCCCGTCTCTACTAAAAATATAAAAACTAGCCAGGTATGGTGGGGGGTGCCTGTAGCTCCCCCACTCCACCCACCAGCTACTCTGGAGGCTGAGGCAGGAGAATCACTTGAAACCAGGAGGTGGAGGTTGTAGTGAGCCAAGATTGTACCACTACACTCCAGCCTGGGCAAAAAGAGTGAGAATAATTCTCAAAAAAAAGAAAAAAAAAGAGATAGGGTTTCACCATATTGGCCAGGCTGGTCTTGAACTTCTGACCTCGTGTTCTGCCCACCTTGGCCTCCCAAAGAGCTGGGATTACAGGTGTGAGCCACTGTGCCGAGCCAGGCAAGGCTAATTAAAAAAAAAAAATTGTTTTGGCTGGGCATGGTGGCTCATGCCTGTAATCCCAGCACTTTGGAGGGCCTAGGTGGGCAGATCACTTGAGGGCAGGGGTTCAAGACCATCCTAGTCAATATGGCAAAAACCCATCTCTACTAAAAATACAAAAATTAGCCAGGCATGGTGGCACATGCCTGTAATCCCAGCTACTCAGAAGGCTGAGGCAGGAGAATCGCCTGAACCCGGGAGGCAGAGGTTGCCATGAGCTGAGATCACGCTATGGCACTCTAGCCTGGGAGACAGAGCCAGATTCTATCTCAAAGAAATTTTTTTTTTTTTAGAGATGGGATCTTGCTCTGTTGCCCAGGCTGGTTATGAACTCCCAGCCCCAAGTGATCCTTCCACCTCAGACTCCCAAAGTGCTGGGATTTACAGCCATGAAGCCACTATGACTGGCCAAGAATTTCTATTTGCTGCTTCTTTTTTCTACAATGCCCATTTATTCCTGAGTTCACTGATGCACTCTCCTAAGGCTATAGTCACTACACATCTTCATTCTCCTTTGTTTAAAAATGCCTCCTCCCTGGATCTCTGTGGCAGCTAATAGGCCACCCACATGTCCAAATTGCCTTCACCATCTTCTCTCTCTTCCTGCTCCCTCCTTTGGAGACTTCCTGGTACTGCAAGCCCTTCAAGACTCCTGGTCTCAGAAGACTTCTGAAGCTGAATTTCCAGCCCTGGTTTGTAGCTCTGGTGTTACCACTAACCTCTGAAGCCATGTTTTGCGTTCCTGCTCTATTTTCCATTCATTTTCACCTGAGTGATGCTGAGACTTCCTCCCCTCTGACGCTTCATTTATGTTGTATGTTGTAACCTCCATACATGCCTATTCAGACACTAAAAATGACTGAATGAGTGGACAAGCAATGGCTCACACCTGAAATTCCAGCACTTTGGGAGGTCAAAGTGGATGGATCACATAAGGACAGGGGTTCTAGACCAGCTTGGCCAACATGGTGAAACCCTGTCTCTACTAAAAATACAAAAGTAGCTGGGTATGGTGACAGGAGCTTGTAATCCCAGCTACTTGGTAGGCTGAGGCAGGAGAATCGCTTGAACCCAGGAGGCGGAGGTTGCAGTGAGCTAAGATTGTGGTACCGCACTCCAGCCTGGGAGACTGAGCAAGACCCTGTCTAAAAAAAAAAATTAGTTATCTTAATAAAAGCTATCTTAGTTACCTCATGAGTTTCTCCTAACATTTTCTCAGGCTTTGTGAATGGAGATGATGGAAATGTTGGGACAGAGGGACAGATGCAGATCTGCCTAGAATGTTCTTCTTCCTCCTGCCTCTTCTTCTCTTATCTAATTTTCTTTCCTTTTTTTTTTTTTTTTTTTTTTTTGAGACAGAGTCTCGCTCTGTTGCCCACACTGGAGTGCAGTGGTGCGATCTTGGCTCACTGCAACTTCCACCTCCCAGGTTCAAGTGATTCTCCTGCCTCATCCTCCTGAGTAGCTGGGATTACAGGCATGCGCCACCATGCCTGGCTAATTTTTGTGTTTTTATTAGAGATGGGGTTTCACCATGTTGGTCAGGCTAATTTCGAACTCCTGACCTCTTGATCCACCTGCCTTGGCCTCCCAAAGCACTGGGATTACAGGCGTGAGCCACCACGCCCAGCCTTCTTCTTCTTCTTTTTTGAGACAGAGTCTTGCTTTGTCGCCCAGGCTGGAATGCAATGATGCGATCTCAGCTCACGGAAACCTCCGCCTCCCGGGATTCTCCTGCCTCAGCCTCCTGAGTAGCTAGGATTACAGGCACGTACCACTGTACCCAGCTAATTTTTGTGTTTTTAGTTGAGACGAGGTTTCACCATGTTGGCCAGGCTGATCTTGAACTCCTGACCTCATGATCCACCCACCTCGGCTTCCCAAAGAGCTGGGATTACAGCATGAGCCACAGCGCCCAGCCTATTTTTTGTATTTTTAGTACAGACATGGTTTCACCATGTTGCCCAGGCTGGTCGAACTCCTGAGCTCAGGCAATCTGCCAGCCTCAGCCTCCCAAATTTGCTAGCACTACAGGCATGAGCCACGGCGCCCAGACTAATTTTCCTTTTTATCAACCTGGCAAACTTGTCCTTATTCCTCAAAACCCAGCTCACAGAGCTCCTAGTCTGTGAAACCTTTTATAATTACTGAGGCAGAATTAGGAGCTCCATAGCCTTATGGATCTCTGAGCTGCTTCTGCAACATTCCTATATCTCTCTCATTGCAATGCTCACACATTCTACTCCAGTTACTCACCAAATTGCATACCTTGCATGGGATTGTCTTTTTTTTTTTTTTTTTTTTTTTTTTGAGATGGAGTCTTACTGTGTCGCCCAGGCTAGAGTGCAATGTCGATATCTCGGCTCACTGTCGATATCTTGGCTCACTGTAACCTCCACCTCCCAGGTTCAAGTGATCCTCCTGCCTCAGCCTCCCCAGTAATGGGGATACAGGTACGTGCCATCACGCCCAGCTAATTTTTGTATTTTTAGTAGAGACAGGGTTTCACCAGCTTGGCCAGGCTGGTCATGGATCTCACTATGTTGCTCAGATTGGTCTCAAACTCCTGGACTCAAGCAACCCTCCTGACTCAGCCTCCCAAAGTGCTGGGATTAAAGGCATGAGTCAACATGCCCATCTGTGGTGTTGGATATTTAATGTATAGATTTGGTGGGCTGTAGAAAAAGACTTGACCAAAACATGTCCCTTTTTCATTTCATTTTATTTTATTTGAGGCAGGGTCTTGCTCTGTCAACCAAGCTGGAGTGCAGTGGTGCAACCTTAGTTCACAGCAGTCTCGAACTCATGGGCTCAAGCCATCCCCTCCTACTCAGCCTCCCAAGTAGCCGGGACTACAAGCACACGCCACCATGCCCAAGTTTTTTTTTTTTTGCAGAGGTGGGATCTCAATATGTTGCCTAGGTCAGTCTTGAACACCTGCCCTCAAGGGATGCCCCTACCTTAGCCTCCAAGGTGTTGGGATTACACGCATAAGCCACCATGCCTGGCCAGTTTTCTGTGTTTTTTTTGTTTTTGTTTTTGTTTTTTTTGAGATGGAGTCTTGCTCCGTCGCCAGGCTGGAGTACAGTGGTGTGATCTCGGCTCACTGCAATCTCTGCCTCCCGGATTCAAACGATTCTCCTGCTTCAGCCTCCCGAGTAGCTGGGACTACAGGCGCATACCACCACACCCAGCTAATTGTTTTGTATTTTTAGTAGAGATGGGGTTTCACCATGTTGGCTAGGATGGTCTTGATCTCTTGACCTCGTGATCCGCCCGCCTCTGCCTCCCAAACTGCTGCGATTACAGGCATGAGGCACTGCACCTGGCCTGGGCAGTTTTCATGAAAAAATATAATAATAACCATATTACTCAAGCCAAAAAGAAAAGATAAATCTGAAACTTTTTTTAAGCCCCTGCTTTCGGCTGGGTGCGGTGGCTCATGCCTGTAATCCCAGCACTTTGGGAAGCTAAAGGCAGGGGATTGCTTGAGCCCAGGAGATTGAACCCACCTGGGCAATACAGCGATACGTCCTCTCTACAAAACAAAAAAGGAGTCGGGGCTGGGTGCGGTGGCTCACAGCTGTAATCCCAGCAATTTGGAAGGCCGAGGCAAGTGGGTCACTTGAAGTCGGGGTTCGAGACCAGCCTGGCCAACATGGTGAAACCCCATCTCTACTAAAAATGCAAAAATTAGCTGGGTGTGGTGGCATACACCTGTAGTCCTAGCTACTTGGGAGGCTGAAGCAGGAGAATTGCTTGAAACCAGGGAGGCAGAGGTTGCAGCGAGCCAAAATCCTGCCATTGCACTCCAGGCTTGGTGACACAGTGAGACTCCATCTCAAAAAAAAAAAAAAAAAGTAGGCGGGGCACGGTGGCTCACGCCTGTAATCCCAGCACTTTGGGTGGCCGAGGCGGGTGGATCACGAGGTCAGGAGTTCCAGACCAGCCTGGCCAAGATGATGAAACCCCGTCTCTACTAAAAATACAAAAAGTAGCCAGGTGTGGTGGTGCACGCCTATAGTCCCAGCTACTCAGGAGGTTGAGGCAGAAGAATCATTTGAACCCAGGAGGCGGAGGTTGCATTGAGCTGAGATTGCACCACTACACTCAAGCCAGGGCAACATAGCGAAACTCCGTCTCAAAAAGAAAGTGCAGCTCCTCATCTTTCATTCATCCGCCTCCTCAGAGATCATCATGGCTGACAAATTCTTGCGTATGTTTCTGAGATTTATCATGTCATTTCTTCTGATGTACTAAAATCCTGTACTTTATGTGACTATAAAAGATAATGAAGATGTCGTGTTTCTTTATTATTATTATTGAGACAAAAAGTCTTGCTCTGTTGCCCAGGTTGGAGTGCAGTGGCACGATCTCGGCTCACTGTAACCTCTGCTGCCCGGGTTCAAGCGATTCTCCTGCCTCAGCCTCCTGAGTAGCTGGGATTACAGGTGCCTGCCACAATGCCAGGCTAAAATGGGGTTTCCCTCTTGTTGCCCAGGCAGGAGTGGAATGGCGGATCTTGGCTCACTGCACCCTCTGCTTCCCGGGTTCAAGTGATTCTCCTGCCTCATCCTCCCGAGTAGCTGGGATTACAGGCACCTGTCACCATGACTGGCTAATTTTTTTTTTTTTTAACTAGAGATGGGGTTTCCCTATGTAGGCCAGGGTGGTGTCAAACTCCTCACCTCAGGTGATCTACCCACCTCAGACTCTGAAAGTGCTGGGATTACAGGCGTGAGCCACTGTGCCCAGCAGACTCCCTTTTATTTTTGAGACGGAGTCTTGCCCTGTTGCCCAGGCTGAGGTGCAATGGCGCAAATTCAACTTACTGCAACCTCCGCTTCCTAGGTTCAAGCAATTCTCTTGCCCCAGCCTCTCTAGTAGCTAGGATTACAGGCAGGCGGCACTACACCCAGCTAATTTTTTATATCTTTAGTAGACGGGGTTTCACCATGTTGGCCAGGGTGGTCTCGAACTCTTGACCTTGTGATCCGCCCGCCTTGACCTCCCAAAGTGCTGGGATTACAGGTGTGAGCCACTGTGCCCAGCTGTTCCCAAAGTTTTTTAAATGAATAAGGCATCTGTAATATATGATGCTTATTTCTGATAAATATAAATAAATAAGAGTTAATAATGAGCCGAGCAAGGTGGCTCACACCTGTAATTCCATCACTTTGGATGGCTGAGACAGGAGGATTGATTGAGCCCAGGAGTTTTAGACTAACCTGGGTGACATGGAAAGACAATGTCTCTAATTTTTATTTATTTATTTATTTATTTAGGCAGAGTTTCGCTCTTGTTGCCCAAGCTGGAGTGCAATGATGCAATCTCGGCTCACTGCAACCTCCACCTCCCGGGTTCAAGCGATTCTCCTGCCTCAGCCTCCTGAGTAGCTGGGATTGCAGGCGCGTGCCATCATGCCTGGCTAATTTTTTGTATTTTCAGTAGAAACGAAGTTTCGCCATGTTAGCCAGGCTGGTCTCGAACTCCGGACCTCAGGTGATCCGTCTGCCTCGGCCTTCCAAAGTGTTGGGATTACAGGCGTGAGCCACCGCACCCAGCCGGCTTATTTTTATTTATTTTTTAAGACAGAGTCTCACTCTGTTGCCCAGGCTGGAGTGCAGTGGTGCAATCTCAGCTCACCGCAACCTCCGTTTCCCGGGTTCAAGCGATTCTCATGCCTCAGCCTCCTGAGTAGCTGGGACTACAGGCATGCACCACTGCTCCCAGCTAATTTTTTAAATTTTTTTTTTCGAGATGGGGTTTTACCATGTTGGTCAGGCTGGACTTGAACTCCTGACTTCCTGATCCGCCCACCTCAGCCTCCCAAAGTGCTAAGATTACAGGCGTAAGGCACTGGACCCGCCTCTAAGTTTTATATTAAAGAAAACAAATTGGCTGGGTGTGGTGGCTCACGCCTATAATCGCAGCAATTTGGGAGGCCAAGCCGGGTGGATAACTTGAGGTCAGGAGTTTGAGACCAGCCTGGCCAACATGGGGAAACCCCATGTGTACTAAAAATTAAAAAATTAGCTGGGTATGCTGTCGCACACCGGTAATCCCAGCTACTCATGAGGCTGTGGCAGGAGAATTGCCTGAACCCGGGACACGGAGATTGCAGTGAGTTGAGATTGTGCCGCTGCACTCCAGCCTGGGCAGCAGAGCAAGACTCTGTTTCGGAAAAAAAGAAAAAAAAATTAATGATCTGTGGTCTAAAAGAGACTACATAATAGAAGACAAAGATAGCTAAGGTCCGGCCGGGTACAGTGGCTCACGCCTGTAATCCCAGCACTTTGAGAGGCTGAGGCGGGTGGATCACCTGAGGTCAGGAGTTCGAGACCAGCCCAGTCAACATGGCGAAACCCAGTCTCTACTAAAAATACAAAAATTAGCCAGGCATGTTGGTGGGTGCCTGTAATCCCAGCTACTCAGGAGGCTGACGCAGGAGAATCGCTTGATTCTGGGCGGCGGAGGTTGCAATGAGCTGAGATTGTGTCACTGCACTCCAGCCTGGGCACCAGAGCAAGACTCCATCTTGGGCAACAAGAGTGAAACTTGTTGCCCAAGCCTGGGCAACAAGAGCAAAACTCTGTTGCAAAAAATAATAATAATAATAAAAAATAAAAACAAGAGACCTGGCAGCTGTGTCCCGCGGCTTGCGCTCCATTGTGCTCCCCACGGGCCTTCAGGAGATGCAGGCCTGGGGTAGTCTCCTTTCTGGACTGAGAAGAGAAGAATGGAGAAGCCCCTCTTCCCATTAGTGCCTTTGCATTGGTTTGGCTTTGGCTACACAGCACTGGTTGTTTCTGGTGGGATCGTTGGCTATGTAAAAACAGGCAGGGCGCCGTCCCTGGCTGCAGGGCTGCTCTTTGGCAGTCTAGCCGGCGTGGGTGCTTACCAGCTGTATCAGGATCCAAGGAATGTTTGGGATTTCCTAGCCGCTACATCTGTTACTTTTGTTGGTATTATGGGAATGAGATCCTACTACTATGGAAAATTCATGCCTGTAGGTTTAATTGCAGGTGCCAGTTTGCTGATGGCTGCCAAAGTTGGAGTTCGTATGTTGATGACATCTGATTAGCAGAATCAGATGTTCCAGCTTGGACTCATGAAGGATTAAAAATCTGCATCTTCCACTATTTTCAATGTATTAAGAGAAATAAGTGCAGCATTTTTGCATCTGATATTTTACCTAAAAAAAAAAGACCAAATTTGGCGGAGGGGTGGAAAATCAGTTGTTACCATTATAACCCTACAGAGGTGGCGAGCATGTAACACGGGCTTATTGAGACCCTCATAGAGATCGATTCTTGTATATTGATTTTATCTCTTCTTTCTGTATCTATAGGTAAATCTCAAGGGTAAAATGTTAGGTGTTGACATTGAGAACCCTGAAACCCCATTCCCTGCTCAGAGGAACAGTGTGAAAAAAATCTCTTGAGAGATTTAGAATATCTTTTCTTTTGCTCATCTTAGACCACAGACTGACTTTGAAATTATGTTAAGTGAAATATCAATGAAAATAAAGTTTACTATAAATAATAAAAAAAATAAAAAAATCAAAACAAAACAAAAACAAACAAAAACAAACAAAAAAGATCGCTAAGATTCAAGACAATGCTTATTAAAATGTACACCATTTCCCCCATTTCATAATATATTGGGGTACATGTCAAATGAGGGAAAGCTTTCAAAGAAGGCTTTTTAGGTAGTTATTGTTATATATGGTCTGTATGGTAATTTTGTGTTGTCTGTATTCAAAAACCATTTGTCATTTTGGGGATGAGAATAACTTTATTTGAAACGCTAATTCGCTGACTAACCCTGAGTCTGGGAATGCCTCCAAAATGTCTAGGTGATGTATTACTCTTTATATAGGATACCTATTCATTGTAAGTTTCACCTTTCCTTCAAAGCAACCCTTGGTACATCATAGGTTTAACACCCATAGCCACCTACACATTCCTTCCAGAGCACATTTACCTTTCTCCAAGGTCTAAGCCTTGGACCTGGGCATTTGAGGTAAAGAGCTCTACCTGTCTGTGGCTGCCCAAGACCATGCTTCTCTCTGTAAATTCCCCCAATAAGTCATCCCATACTGACAAACTGGATTTATCTGCTCCCTTCTTTAATTTCTCAGCTCTTTCTGCATTTGAGGGTGGCTTTGCATATACAGCCCTTACATGAAACAAGTGGTGATCCAGCCAGGAGCCAGGAAACCAAAGCATGAGCATGAAGAAAGAAGCATCCTTGGGGAAATCCTGGGGTAGTCCTCCTCATCTAAATGAAGTGGTGCTGCCCATTTGCTAGATACCTGTGGACCATCACGTGAGTACAGAAACACCTCCAAAACCCCAGAGTCTAGAGTGCTTGTTTGTAAAAAGCCATATGACTCACTGTGGTGAGAAAGGTCAGTAAGCTGCTATGACAGTGAGTTGGCCGCTATTATGGTCTATGCCAGCAACCACAGAAGTACAGGTAGCAGCTACAGCAAATGTCTGAAAGTTAGAAGAACTGCAATTAGAAAGGGATATAAGAAATTCCACGCCAGGCCCAGTGGCTCCTGACTATAATCCCAGCACTTTGGGAGGCCGAGGCAGGTGGGTCACCTGAAGTCAGGAGTTTGAGACCAGCCTGGCCAACTTGGTGAAACCCCGTCTCTACTAAAAATACAAAAAATTAGCCAGGCGTGGTGGTGTGAGGCTGTAATCCCAGCTACTCGGGAGGCTGAGGCAATAGAATCGCTTGAACCCAGGAGGCAGAGGTTGCATTGAGCCGAGATTGCGCCATTGCACTCCAGCCTGGGCAACAAGAGTGAAACTCCGTCTCAAAAAAGAAAAACACAAAAACTTCCACATCTGTGTTAGTGTCTGGTTTGGCAGATAAGCTTGAAACTCAGGAGGCACAGTTGGAAACCTTAGCTTGACACTTTGTACAGTTGGGAGGGAGAAAACTGTGCTAATGCAGGCTGCCCTTGCCAAACCAGACTGGGATGCAAATATTTGGAATTATTGGGAACCAACTAGTGAGCCAGATAAAGACACAGAGGTTATCTGGGAGGTGGAGGATAATTATCGTCCCCTTTTGAGGGTATGCAGCAGGAAGCAAAAGCCCTATACGTACATCCTGGCCATAAGCAATAGCCTTTGCAGGAATCTTCGACGATCCAAGATTATTCCTCAGAAGAATTATTAGACCTAGCAAAAATTTCCGAACAGCTGCTGAGAGAAAGCTCAGCCACATGGATGGTGCAGCTATGGGACACTGGTGAGGATGACATTTCTCCAGCAGAGAGTGAAGCTGAAAAAAAATAAGTAATATAACCGACTCATCTCACTCTGAGACAGTGTTTGTATTATGCTAGAACTGTCTGGGGGAACTGTAGCCTTGTGGACTGGGATTATAATGACCACGAGAAAGGCTTGGCCAAATAAAAGAGACTTCTCTGGACACAGCTCACCATGGCAGTCTTTGGAAGAAGCACAGAGCACTTTTAGAGAGTGGGGCATGCATTAGGTCCAACAATTTTTTTTTTTTTTTGAGACGGAGTCTCACTCTGTCACCCAGGCTGGAGTGCAGTGGCACGATCTCATCTCACTGCAGCCTCTGCCTCCCTGGTTCAAGCAATTCTCCTGCCTCAGCCTCCCAAGTAGCTGGGATTACAGGTGCCCACCACCATGCCCCGCTAATTTTTGTACTTTTAGTGGAGATGGAGTTTCACCATGTTGGCCAGGCTGGTCCCAAACTCCTGACCTCAAGTGATCCGCCTGCCTCTGCTTCCCAAAGTGCTGGGATTACAGGCATGAACCACCTTGCCCAGTCAGCCACTGGGTCCGGCCCTGACAATTTGAAGGACCAGAAAAGACTGTGCTTACCACAGGTATGAAAAGCAAATTGTTACAGAATGCTTCCCAAGAGTAGCATGGCCTTCTCATATTCCTCTTGAGCCCTCTTATGGGACAAGATATATATAATGTGGGATAAACCATAGCTAATCTTGGAGAGACAGAACAAGGAAGAGAGAAAGTCAGATTGGTTACTAGAAAATAAAATTAAATAAAATTAAATTAAATTTAAAAACCAAGTCTGCTAGACCAAAAAGGGAAGCCAAAAAAGCCTAATTAGGATTACCAGGAAACAAATGTGGTATGATCTGATTTCACCCAAGATAGAAAAAGAGAAAATAGGCTGGGCACAGTGGCGCATGCCTGTAATTCCATCACTTTGGGAGGCCGAAGCAGGTGGATCATGAGGTCAGGAGTTCAACCAGCCTGGCCAAGATGGTGAAACCCCATCTGTACTAAAAATACAAAAATTAGCTGGGCACCGTGGCAGGCACCTGTAATCCCAGCTACTTGGGAGGCTGAGGCAGGAGAATAGCTTGAAACTGGGCGGCAGAGATTGCAGTGAGCCGAGATCAGGCCACTGCACTCCAGCCTAGGCCACAGAGTGAGACAAAGAAAAGACAAAAAAAGAAAAAAGAAAAAGAGAAAATAGATCCACAGCCAAATGCAGTATTGGTGGGCCTTTGGGAAGACCTGACTCTTGACCAACAAGTTAGGCCCCTCCCTAGTGCCCCACCAGGAAAGGGGAAAGTAACAAAAGAAACTCCATGTAAAAAACCCTAAACTCGGTTGGTCACAGTAGTTCATGCCTGTAATTCCAGCACTTTGGGAGGTCGAGGCGGGCAAATCACCTGAGGTTAGGAGCTCGAGACCACCCTGGCCAACACGATGAAACCCTGGCTTTACTATACATACAAAAAAATCAACTCGGCGTGGTGGCATGCACGTGTGGTCCCAGCTACTTGGGAGGCTGAGGCAGGAGAATTGCCTGAACCTAGGAGGTGGAGGCTGCGGTGAGCCGAGGTCATGCCACTGCACTCCAGCCTGGGCAACAGAGTGAGACTCTGTCTCAAAAAAAAAAAAAAAAAAAAAAAAAAAAACCATCTTGGCTAACACAGTAAAACCCCGTCTCTACTAAAAATACAAAATTTAGCCGGGCGTGGTGGCATGGGCCTGTGGTCTCAGTTACTTGGGAGGCTGAGCCAGGAGAATCGCTTGAACCCGGGAGGCAGAGGTTGCAGTGAGCCAAGATTGTGCCACTGCACTGCAGCCTGGGCGACAGAGTGAGACTCCACCTCAAAAAAAAAAAAAAAAAACAAAAGAAAAGAAAGAAAAGAAAATCCTAAACTTTACATTTCAAAGATTCCAAAGGTGGACTCCTCTTCAGCCTGAAGACCAGGGATGGGGCCAAGGTCACCTTCACCCACAAGCAGTAGGGGGCATAGGTCCATGTGGAGCTCACAATCTATTAGATGCCAAGAAACACATAGAGAACCTTGACTTTAGTGGACACAGGTGCAGAATGCAACTAAACCTATGTCATGTTAGATTTCGCTAATGTCTTTTTTTTTTTTTTCTTTGAGACGGAGTTTCACTCCTGTTGCACAGGCTGGAGTACAAGGGCATGATCTTGGCTCACCACAACCTCTTCCTCACGGGTTCAAGTGATTCTCCTGCCTCAGCCTCCCGAATAGCTGGGATTACAGGCATGTGCCACCACGCCTGGCTAATTTTGTATTTTTAGTAAAGACAGGGTTTCTCCATGTTGGTCAGGCTGGTTTCAAACTCCTGACCTCAGGTGATCCGCCTGCCTTAGCTTCCCAAAGTGCTGGGATTACAGGCGTGAGCCAGCGTGTCCAGCTGCTAATATCTTCTTCTTCTTCTTCTTTTTTTTTTTTTCTGTGAGACAGAGTTTCGCTCTTGTTGCCCAACCTGGAGTGCAATGGCGCGATCTCGGCTCACTGCAACCTCTACCTCCTGGGTTCAAGCAATTCTCTTGCCTCAGCCTCCTGAGTAGCTGGGATTACAGGCGCTGCTACCATGCCCGGCTAATTTTTTGTATTTTTAGTAGAGACAGGGTTTCATGATGTTGGCCAGGCTGGTCTTGAACTGCTGACCTCAGGTGATCTGCTCACGTCGGCCTCCCAAAGTGCTGGGATTACAGGCGTGAGCCACCATACCCCGCCATTAATGTCTTCTTTAGCATCCCTTTGCATCCTGACTTGCAGGACCAATTTGCTGGGTTTTTTGTTGTTGTTGTTGTTTGTTTTGTTTTGAGACAGAGTCTCACTCTGTCGCCCAGGCTGGAGTACAGTGGCTTGATCTTGGCTCACTGAAACCTCCACCTCCCGGGTTCAAGTAATTTTCCTGTCTCAGCCTCCTGAGTAGCTGGGACTACACGCAGGTGCCACCACACCCAGCTAATGCTTGTATTTTTAAAGATGGGGTTTCACCATGCTGGCCAGGCTGTTCTGGAACTCCTGACCTCAGCTGATCCACCCGCCTCGGCTTCTCAAAGTGCTCAGATTACAGGTGTGAACCACTGAAGCCTGGCTGTTTTTGTTTTTGGTTTTTGAGACAGAGTCTCCCTTTGTGGCCCATGGTAAAGTGCAGTGGCGTGATCTCAGCTCCCTGTAAGCTCCACCTCCCGTGTTCAAGTGATTCTCCTGCTTCAGCCTCCTGTGTAGCTGGGATTACAGGTGTGCACCACCATGCCCAGCTAATTTTTGTATTTGTAGTAGAGACAGGGTTTCACCATGTTGGCCAGCCTGGTCTCAAAATGCTGACCTCAAGTGATCCTCCAGCCTTTGGCCTCCCAAAGTGCTGGGATTACAGGCATGAGCCACCATGTCTGGCCAATTTGCTTTTACTTGGGATAGCTGAGGTGGACATTCCAAGTGTTGCCCCAGGGTTATTTACATAGACTCACTATTTGTCATGGTATGATTGTTAGAGGTTTGACTCTATGTCCACCACCACTTGCTGTCATATGGCTTCGTTATGTTGGTAATATTATGCTAACCTCTGAAGATTTGTCAGTGTTACAGCAACAGCTTGACACTTGTGCACCCTTCTCCAATCCAGAGGATGGGCCATCAACTTGCAAAAGATACAAGGGCCAGGACCATCTGTAAAGTTTTTAGAGGGTCACTTGATCGGGTAAGACACACCTTATCCCAGGCACATTCATTGGCAAAATATAAAAATTTTCCATGCCTAAAACAGGTAAACAGTTACAAAGTTTCCTCAGTCTTCTGGGATACCAGCAGGCATCATTCTACATTTAGCTCAATGTTTGTATCCCCTATACTGACAAGTAAAGAAGGGATCTAGTTAGTGCTGGTATAGAAAACAAGAGGAAACATTTGACAAGGCTGAAATGCTAGTGGTTCAGGTAAAAGCCTTAGGTTCCCCTTCTCCTGGATAGTGATGTCTTTAGATGTGACCATAAATGCTGAGGGGACCAGTTGGGCCCTCTGGCAAGTCCAACATGGGAAAGCAGTTCCTCTAGGATTTTGGTCACAACTCTGGACCAACAGTGCTGAAACCCACTATTCCCCACTTGAACAACAGATCCTGGGGGATGTACAAGGTCTTATAGCAAGTGGAACTCAAAACTGCTGCTTTGCCAATAACAGTAAGGCCGAGTCTCCTTGCCAGGCATGGCAGCTCAAACCTGTAATACCAGCACTTTGGGAGGCCAAAGGGGAAGGATCACTCGAGGCTCTGAGTTCCGGGCTGCAGAGAGCTTTGATGGTGCCACTGCCCTCCAGCCTAGGTGACAGAGCAAGACTTTGTCTCAAAAAAACAAAACAAAACAAAACAAAACAAAAAAACAAAACGGGTTTCCCTCTCAGAGGCTGGATGGAAGCGTTGTTTGCCAGGACTGCCTCAGCTATTGCCCAGGCCTCCACTTTACAAAAGTGGCGTGCATACCTGCAATAACATAGTGCCCTCTCCATGAGTCTCTTCAGAGATGAATTGCATGCTATCTTTTTTTTTTTTTTGGAGATGGAGTTTCGCTCTTGTTGCCCAGGCTGGAGTGCAATGGTAAGATCTTGGCTCACTGCAACCTCTGTCTCCCAGGTTCAAGTGATTCTCCTGCCTCAGCCTCCCGAGTAGCTGGGATTACAGGCATGTGCCACCACGGCCAGCTAATTGTGTTTTTTTGGTAGAGACGGGGTTTCACCATGTTGGTCAGGCTGGTCTCAAACTCCCAACCTCAGGTGATCCGTCCACCTTGGCCTCCCAAAGTGCTGGGATTACAGGCGTGAGCCACTGTGCCCAGCCGTGCATGCTATCTTAAGGCCAGTACATTATGAGACCAGTGCTGCCCCTACTGCAGAGTGTGTACATGGAGGCATGACCCTCATTCTTGAAAACATTTGGTACTCAGATGGGTTGAGCAGAGGTAACCTGTGTGGATGGACACATAGTAGCTGCAGCTGCCCATACGCAGGCAGATACCTTACGGTTTGAGAAGGGAATGCAGCAAAGCAATCAATAGGCAGAACTCTGAGCTGCACAATTGGTTTGTACCCATGAGCCATGGCCTATATATAGTTCTCCGTTCAAATAGTTGGGCAGTATTCAATGATCTTTGCCAGGAGTGGTGGTTCATGCCTATAATCCCAGCACTTTGTGAGGCCGAGATCGTTTGAGCTCAGGAGATTGAGACCAGCCTGGGCAACATAGTGAGGCCCTCGTCTCTACAAAAAAATAAAAAATTGGCTCGGTGTTGGCCACGTGCGGTGGCTCATGCCTGTAATTCCAGCACTTTGGGAGGCTGAGGCTGGTGGATCAACAGGTCAGGAGTTCGAGACCAGCCTGACCAACATAGTGAAACCCCGTCTCTACTAAAAATATAAAAATCAGCCGGGCATTGTGGCAGGAACCTATAGTCCCAGCTACTCGGGAGGCTGAGGCAGGAGAATGGTGTGAACCCGGGAGGTGGAGGCTGCAGCGAGCCAAGATGGCGCCACTGTACTCCAGCCTACAGCCTGGTGACAGAGCAAGACTCCGTCTCAAAAAAAAAAAAAAAAAAAAAATTTGACTCAGTATGGTGGTGCATACCTGTAGTCCCAGCTACTAGGGAGACTGAGGCAGGAGGATTGCTTGAGCCCAGGAGGTTGAGGCTGCAGTGAGACATTATTGTGCCAGTGGACGCTAGCCTGGGCAACAGAGCAGGACCCTGTCTCAGTTAAAAAAAAAAAAAAAAAAAGGGACCTTATAACTTGGCTTGCCCAGTGGGTTGGGATGACTGGCACATACTGTGGGGAGCTGCCATGTGGAAAGTTATTTGGGAAAAGCTATAAGAACTCACTGCAAACCTAATTGTGTATCATGTTTCAGCACATTGGTCAGATTCAACCCCCACCCCCACCCCTGTATCATGGAGGCTGGTACCCTGGCAAAAATTAGAACCCTGGCTCCCTTGCAATTCTCTGAGCTAGCTGATTGGCACATAAATACAGTGGGCATCACAGTGTATGAGTGGGCTGGCGAACAGGAAAGGGAGCAGGATTGCCCCTCTGCTATGCAGATTTAGCAGTAGCAGTAACACACTGTTCAGTTTGCTCCCACCTGTGCCCCCGCTGCATCCCACATAGATCTAGACACATATATGAGACAGCCACTCCTGTGAGAGGCTGGCAGATAGACTACAATGGACCCCTGCCAGTAAGCTTGGGATAAAAGTACATACTAACATGAAGACACCGTCACAGGATGGTTACAGGCCTTCCCTTGTAAAAGGGCAAACCAAATAGCCACCATTAAGGGCTTGGAACAACTCAGTGTCGCGTATGGATACTCTTGATGCATTTGTAGTGACGTAGGCACACATTTTACTGGGCATGATGTCCAAGATTGGGCACTTGAAAGGGATATAGACCAGAGATTTCATTTGCCATATAATCCCCAAGTGGCAAGGTTTATTTAAACAAAAAATGGCAATTTGAAGACACACAGTGAATATTTTTGCAATCCAGAACATTGCATGGGTGGGAGGTTTTGCTTCAGGCAAAACTTAATTTGGCCTTAATTAGAAACCTTAATTAGGGCCGGGTAAGGTGGCTTACACCTGTAATCCCAGCACTTTGGGAGGCCAAGGCAGGCGGATAACTTGAGGTCAGGAGTTTGAGACCAGCCTGGCCAACATAGTGAAATCCCATCTCTATTAAAAAATAGAAAAATTACCTGGGCGTGGTAGTGTGCGCCTGTAATCCCAGCTACTCAGGAGGCTGAGGCAGGAGAACTGCTTGAAATTGGGAGGTGGAGGTTGCAGTGAATCGAGATCATGCCACTGCACTCCAGCCTGGGCGGTAGAGGGAGGCGACATCTTAAAAAAAATAAAAGAAACCTTAATTTGGGCCGGGGTGGTGGTTCATATCTGTAATCCCAATGCTTTGGGAGGCCAAGGTGGGAAAATTGTTTGAGGCCAGGAATTGGAGACCAGCCTGCCGGGCAACATAGTGCAATGCTGTCTCTTCCAAAAAAAAAAAAAAAGAGAGAGAGAGTGAGCAAGATGGGCATGGTGGTGGCATGCAACTGGAGACCCAGCTACTTGTGAGGCTGAGGCAGGAGCATCACTTGAACCCAGGAGGTCTAGGCTGCAGTTAGCTATGATGGCACCACTGCACTCCAGCTTGGGCCACAGAACAAGACCCTGTTTCCAAAAAAAAGAAACAAATCTTAATTTGGTTGAAATACATTCTGTGCTGGTACCATACCATGGACTCAGTACCACCACTGGGGAGGGTCTATTGATCACACTTATAAAGAAAGTCTGGGCGGGGCATGGTGGCTCATCCCTGTAATCCCAGCACTTTGGGAGGCCAAGGCAGGCAGATCACGATGTCAAGAGATCAAGACCATCCTGGCCAACATGGTGAAACCCTGTCTGTACTATAAATAGAAAAATTAGCTGGGTGTGGTGGTGCACACCTGCAGTCCCAGCTACTCGAGCGGCTGAGGCAGGAGAATTGCTTGAGCCCGGGAGGCGGAGGTTGCAGTGAGCTGAGATTGCGCCACTGCACTCCAGCCTGGGTGACAGAGCGAGACTCTGTCTCAAAAAAAAAAAAAGTCTGACCAGATGCATGTCTACCAGTGCTGATAACAGGCCAACAGCAAATGCTATTTAGGACTCCCCAGTACCTTGATCCAGGAAGGAGACACCTTTTTTTTTTTTTTTTTTTTTTTTTTTTGTGACGGAGTTTTGCTCTTGTTGCCCAGGCTAGAGTGCAATGGCGTGATCTTGGCTCACTGCAACCTCTGCCTCCTGGGTTCAAACGATTCTCCTGCCTCAGCCTCCTGAGTAGCTGGGATTACAGGTATGTGCCACCACCCCGACTAATTTTGTATTCTTAGTAGAGACGGGGTTTCTCTATGTTGGTCAGGCTGGTCTTGAACTCCCAACCTCAGGTGATCCAACCGCCTCGGCCTCCCAAAGTGCTGGGATTACAGGTGTGAGCCACCGCGCCCGGCAAGGGGAGGAGACACTTGAATGAGGGTTGGACTGGCAACTTCCCCCAGGTTGAACAGGGCCTTTCTTGCCGAAGAGCAAGGGATTTCCTGGCCAGTGTAAGTGGTCTGCATTGATCCTTTTGGAGTCTGGGCCAAAATGCTCCACATGCCAATACATTGGAACAAGGCTTCTTTTAAAGGGAACCTTGGTCAGCCGTCCGACATGGTCTTTTGCTACTCCTGTAGTCTTACACATAATACTGGCACCTTTGTCCCTTGGGCAACATGTTTGGTATGCACCCCCAGCCCATAATCCTTAGGCTGCCTATGTCCTCACTAATGAGATGAAACTACCATAGTAATTCCGCTTGATGGAGAAGAACTCCCCCACCAAGTATCTACTAAACATTTATATTTCCACTCACAGTCTTCTGTTCCTCCTGGTGCTCTGCCCTACAGAAGGAGAAATGAACCTCTTTCTGAAGTGTGTTTCTCTACCCTTTCTTTCTCCCAGTGGCTCTCCTCCTGGTTTGGCTATGGGTAAACGTGGTGACAAAGGCATTTTTAATTCTGTGCCTTATATTTGACCTATGATATCTCGTCTGTTGTATTGTTGCTGCAGCCTCTGCTTACAACTAGAAAACAAACTGATGCAGCATGTCACCCACACCATGGAAATAACTTCAGCGTCTCCCATAAGGCTCAGGGGCCATCGCAGAAGAAGTAGGTGCATCAGATTGTAATAGATGCATTAGAGGGGTAGAATGTGGGGCCAAGAGTGACTTTATTTTGGCCGGGTGAGGTGGCTCATGCCTGTAATCCCAGCATGTTGGGAGGCCGAGGTGGGCAGATCACCTGAGGTCAGGAGTTTGAGACCAGCCTGGCCAATATGGTGAAACCCCATCTCTACTAAAAATACAAAAATTAGCCGGGAATGGTGGCATGCGCCTGTGGTCCCAGCTACTCAGGAGCTTGAGACGGGAGAATTGCTTGAACCCGGGAGGCGGAGGTTGCAGTGAGCTGAGATCGTGCCTTTGCACTCCAGCCTGGGCTACAAGAGTGAGACTCCATCTCAAAAAAAAAAAAAAACACACAGAAAAAAATGTGTGTGTGTGTGCATATATATATATATATATATATATATATATATATATGCACACACATATATATACATACAAGAAAATTAGCCGAGTATGGTGGCTTGTGACTGTAATCCCAGCTACTCGGGAGGCTGAGGCAAGAGAGTCGCTTGAATCCAGGAGGCGGAGGGTGCAGTGAGTGGAGATCGCGCCACTGCACTCCAGCCTGGTGACAGAGCGAGACTCTGTCTCAAAATAATAATAATAATAATAATAATTATTATTATTATTATAATAAAAAGGAGAGAAAAGGATAGTGAATTGTGGTATGGATTGGTAATTTTAAATATCGTAGTTAGGCAAGGCCTCTTTCAGGTGTCATTTTGTCTAAATACTTGGAGGGGAGAGAAGGAGGAAGTTACGAGGAATATCTAGCAGTACAGGCAGAAGACATAGCACATGCATAGTCCCCGAAGGAAGCATGTTTGGTGTTTATGAAAAACAACAAAGAGGCCAGCATGACTGAGGGGAGTCCTAGTTGTGGAGGTCAGAGATTTAGTAGGAATTCACAAAGTCATTGTAAGGATTTCAGCTTTCTCTATGTGGAATGGGAAGCCATCAGAGGGGGTTTTTTTTGTTTGTTTTTGTTTGTTTGAGACGGAATTTCGCTCTTGTTGCCCAGGCTGGAGTGCAATGGCATGATCTCAGGTCACAGCAACCTCTGCCTCCCAGGTTCAAGCAATTCTCTTGCCTCAGCCTCTTGAGTAGCTGGGATTACAGGTATGCGCCACCACGCCTGGTTGTGGCTCATGCCTGTAATCCCAGCACTTTGGGAGGCCGAGGCAGGCACATCATGAGATCAGGAGTTCAAGACCAGCCTGGCCAACATGGTGAAACCCTGTCTCTACTGAAAATACAAAAATTAGCATGGCATGGTGGCACGCGCCTGTAATCCCAGTTACTCCAGAGGCTGAGGTAGGAGAATCACTTGACTCCGGGAGGCGGAGATTGCAGTGAGCAGAGATCGTGCCACTGCACTCCAGCCTGGGCGACAGAGCAAGACTTCGTCTAAAAAAAAAAACCATAGTTGGAGACCGGGCACATGGCTCACACCTGTCATCCTAGCACTTTGGGAGGCTGAGGTGGTATTACTTGAAGCTAGGAGTTCGAGAGCAGTCTGGGCAACAGAGTGAGACCTTGTCTCTACAAAAAATTAAAAAACAGGCTGGGCGAGGCGGCTCACGCGTGTAATCCCAGCATTTCAGGAGGCCAAGGTGGGCAGATCACCTGAGGTCAGAAGTTCAAGACCAACCTGGCCAACATGGTGAAACCCTGTCTCTACTAAAAATACAAAAATTAGCTGGGCCTGGTGGTGGGCGCCTGTAATCCCAGCTACTTGGGAGACTGAGGCAGGAGAATCACTTGAACCCTGAAGGCAGAGGTTGCAGTGAGTTGAGATCGTGCCATTACACTCCAGCCTGGGTGACAAGAGTGAAACTCTGTCTGAAAAAAAAAAAAAAGAAATTTAAAAACAAATTAGCCAGACATAGTGGTGCATGCCAGTAGTCCCAGCTACTTGGGAGGCTGAGGTGAGAGGATCACTTGAGCTCTGGAGTTTGAGGTTGCAGTGAGCAGTGAGCTGTGATCTTGCCACTGTACTTCAGCCAGAGCAAGAGACCTTGCCTCAAAAAAAAAAAAAAAAGGTGGGGGGTGCGGGGCTGGGGGCAGTGATTCATGCCTGTAATCACAGAACTTTGGGAGGCCAAGGTGGGTGGATCACCTGAGGTCAGGAGTTTGAGACCAGCCTGACCAACATAGTGAAACCTTGTCTCTACTAAAAATACAAAATTAGCCAGGCCTGGTGGTGCATGCCTGTAATCCCAGCTACCTGGGAGGCTGAGGCAGGAGAATTGCTTGAACCTGGGAGGTGGTGATTGCAGTGAGCCGAGATTGTGCCATTGAACTCCAGCCTGGGCAATAAGAGGGAAACTTCAACTCAAAAAAAGAAAGAAAAAAGCCATGAGGTTGGGTGAGATCTCTAAGAGCAAATAAAATCATAGAAGAGACCCATAGACTAAGCTCTGGGACACTAGAACATCTGCAAATGCACGTTTTGCAGAGGCACATGCACAGAAAAAGAAAGAGATCAGTATCTGTAAAGGGAAGGCTGGAGTAAGTATTTAGAAAAAATATGATAGGTAATTTCTGAAAGGGAGGATAAAAGTTCAGTACAACTTTGGTCACAAAGATTGGGAATGAGTTTTGTCCAGGCTGGAAGTGATGTGGGGTCCACAGTAAGAGAGAAGTGCTTGTAAATGGTGGTTAACAAATAAGAGTCTTGGATACAGTGGGACCAGGGAGATGAACCTGGAAGTTTCCTCAGAGTTTAGGGCAGAGACTTGAGGTTGGTAGGAAGCAGAGCACAGTGGAATTTGTAAAAAGTAAAATAGAGGTTCCTCTTCAAAGACTTTCCTCCTCGTCTAATTAGGAATAAATAATAACTTCTCTTTTTTTTTTTTTTTGAGACAGAGTCTCTCTCTGTCGCCCAGGCTGGAGTGTAGTGGTGCGATCTCGGCTCACTGCAAGCTCCACCTCCTGGGTTCCCACCATTCCCCTGCCTCAGCCTCTCGGGTAGCTGGGACTACAGGTGCCTGCCACCACGCCCGGCTAATTTTTTGTATTTTTAATAGAGAAGGTGTTTCACCGTGTTAGCCAGGATGGTCTCGATCTCCTGACCTCGTGATCCGCCCACCTCGGCCTCCCAAAGTGCTGGGATTACAGGCATGAGCCACCGCGCCCAGCCAACTTCTTTTAAAAGCAAAATTTATTCAAAGACCTGTGCTAACATTCTTAAATATCTGCTAGCCATAATAAAAAAATCAATGTACTTTATGTTTTTAGCTCCCACAATTTAGTCTAAATATTTGCCCTGGCATGCTGGTCCAAGCAAGCATTAGGTCATAACCTGTTTCTCTTCCTTATTTAAAAGTGTTTTTACCTTTCTCAACATTCCACAAGTTACTTCCTCCTTCCCTTGTTCCCCTCTACCTTTGCCTCTTTTAAAAAGTTCTAAGTTACTAGCCAATCGAAACAAACAAAAAATGTGAGGTCCTGTTCCAGCCAATGGAAACCGGACACAGCAGTGGGGTAGACGCGTCAGGTCATAAATGACCCTGTCTCCTTTGTTCGGTGTACTCTCCTGGCAAAACTGCTGGCGAGTGTACCCTTTCTGCAAAAAGTAAAAATGGCCTTACTAAATAAATTAAATTTATGTTCAAGTGCTATTTATTTACGGCACCAAAAAACAAATATTTCAAACAAATTGGAGAACTGAGTGGAAGACAGATTCAGGATTGCCTGGAAAGGCAGAACTATTTGTGAAATGTGTAGGGCCGAAAAGAAAGAATCACCTGCTTTAGCAAATACTATATATATGTGCATATTATATATGCATATATGTATATATAATATATACATATATGTATATATAATATATACATATATGCATATATAATATATACATATATACACACATATATACATATATATACACATATATATACACGTGTGTGTGTGTGTATATATATATATATATATATATTTTTTTTTTTTTTTTTTGAGACGGAGTTTTGCTCTTGTCGCCCAGGCTGGAGTGCAACGGTGCAATCTCAGCTCACTGCAACCTCCGCCTCCCAGGTTCAACCGATTCTCCTGCCTCGGCCTCCCGAGTAGCTGGGATTACTGGCACCCACAGGCACCCACAACCACGCCTGGCTAATTTTTGTATTTTTAGTAGAGACAAGGTTTCACCATGTTGGCCAGGCTGGTCTCGAACTCCTGACCTTTGGTGGTCCGCCAGTCGTGGCATCCCAAAATCCTGGGATTACTGCATGAGCCACCGCCCCAGGCCTGGTTGTGTGTGTTTTTTTTTTTTTTTTTTTTTTTTTTTGCAGAGGTGGTAGGGGAGGAATGGAAGCTTAGTGGGGGATTTAGGGAGGGCAGAAATTGGTGTTCAGTGAGGAGCTCTGACAAGGCAGAGCTGATTTGGTGGGAGATGGAAGCAAGTCAAAACATGCCTGAAAAAGCGAGAAGCCGCAGGTTAGAAAGGCTGCATCTTGGCCGGGCGCCGTGGCTCATGCCTGTAATCCCAGCACTTTGGGAGGCCGAGGCAGGCGGATCGCGAGGTCAGGAGATGGAGACCATCCTGGCTAACACGGTGAAACCCCGTCTCTACTAAAAATACAAAAAATTAGCCGGGCGTGGTGGTGGGCGCCTGTAGTCCCAGCCACTCAGGAGGCTGAGGCAGGAGAATGGCGTGAACCCGGGAGGCAGAGCTTGCAGTGAGCCGAGATCAGGCCAGTGCACTCCAGCCTGGGCGACACAGCGAGACTCCGTCTCAAAAAAAAAAAAAAAAAAAAAAAAGAAAGGCTGCATCTTAGGGAGGTCAGAATACAGCTCCGAGAGCAGGGCGCAGAGGCTCACGCCTGCAATTCCAGCACTTTGGGAGGCCGAGGAGGGCGGATCCGATGAGGTCAGCAGTTCGGACCAGCCTTGACCAATACGTTGGAAACCCCGTCTCTACTAAAAATACAAAAAGTAACCAGGGGTAGTATTGCACGCCTATAATCCCACCTACTAGGGAGGCTGAGGCAGGAGAATTGCTTGAACCCAGGGGGTGGAGGTTGCAGTGAGCAGAGATCTCGCCACTGCACTCCAGCCTGGGCAACAGAACGAGACTCCGTCTCAAAAAAAAAAAAAAAAAAAGCGCGATAGGCGATTACTGGTCAGTGGTCAATATAGGTCAAGGGACGAGACAGGAGAGAGCTTTCTAAGGTTGTGGGCCTTTTTATTTTTTATTTTTTTGAGGCGTAGTCTCGCTGTGTCGCCCAGGCTGGAGTGCAATGGTGCGATCTAGGCTCACTGCAATCTCCGCCTCCTGGGTTCAACCAATTCTCCTGCCTCAGCCTCCCCAGTAGCTGGGATTACAGGCGCCCGCCCTCACGCCTGGCTAATTTTTTGTATTTTTAGTAGAGACGGGGTTTCACCATGTTCGCCTGGCTAGTCTTTTTTTTTTTTAGACGGAGTCTCACTCTGTCACCCAGGCTAGAGTGCAGTGGCGCTATCTCAGCTCACTGCAACCTCTGCCTCCTGGATTCAAGTGATTCTCCTACTTCAGCCTCTCGAGTAGCTGGGACTACAGGTGCCCGCCACCCCGCCCGGCTAATTTCTGTATTTTTAGTAGAGACGGGGTTTCACCATATTGGCCAGGCTGGTCTCGAACTCCTGACTTTGTGATCCGCCCGCCTCAGCCTCCCAAAGGGCTGGGATTATAGGCGTGAGCCACGGCGCCCGGCATCCAGGCTAGTCTTGAACTCCTGACCTCAAGTGATCCGTCCGCCTGGGCCTCCCAAAGTGCTGGGATTACAGGCGTGAGCCACCGCGCCCGGCCAGGTTGTGGGTTTTAATGGGACCATCTCACTGCCTACCGTTTCCTTTTTCCGTCCGAACAGAAGGGGCCTGAGCAGTGAACTGACAGTGGCAACGCCGGGTGAGGCGGGATGGAGGAGTTTACGAGCCTGGGTGACGCCCTGTTCCGCGTCCTGGCCCCGCCCCTCCCGGCAGAGCCCCTTGGCGCGTGACACAGGCCCCGCCCTTGCTGTACGCCATCAGCCGGCGCCGCGCCGCCGGGTGTTACTTTGCCCCGCCGGCGGGGCGGTCAGCCTCCTGTCACCGCCTGTTCCGGCTATGGTCCCGTCCGGTGTTCTGTAAGTTGGCAACCTAGGCTCCTGACGCGACCCTGGTCCTGATGGCGGCGGCGACGGCCGCGGCAGCCCTGGCGGCGGCCGATCCCCCTCCCGCAATGCCGCAGGCGGCAGGGGCCGGAGGGCCCACAACCCGCAGAGACTTCTACTGGCTGCGCTCCTTTCTGGCCGGAGGTGGGTCCATGCCACGAAGAGCCAGCCGCGCTCTGAGTGGCGGGGGCAGGACTGTGGGCAAGTGGGATGCAAGCGGCCTCTATGACATTCCTGGACTCTGGCTGCTTCAATGTTCTGTTAGATGTCTGCCCTGACCTGCTGTAACCTCTTTCTAGTAATCACTTGACTAATGACAGCTAGGTTATGGGGAGTGGGACCTTTGGCACTCCGGCAGAGGCTGGGGAGGTGGAAGGTCTGAATCAGGCACCCATTCTTCAGGGCTGGATAACAGGGAAAAGAGGAGGATCCCTTACAGAGACCCTGGGGTTTTAGTGAGACATGCTGGGCACTCCTTTCTTTTATAAAAACCGTGAGTGACCCAGTGTAGACTTGGATTTTGCTGTTTGCTTAAAGGAAAACAAATATTGGAGATCAGCTTTTTAATGACTACTGGAAAATTGTGCAAACTGTCTACAGCCAAAACTGGTTCCAGTGATTCTAGTAAACTGTGACACAGTACTTGACAAGCCCTATTATTGATGTGACTTTGGGATCAAAAAGTTCATATTGTCTCTTAGGAATTTCCTGGGCCTTCAAGCTCCACCCTTCCTTAATTACTTCTCTGGGTTGTGTAGGGGTGGGTTGCCCCTCCACACCTGTGGGTGTTTCTCGTAAGGTGGAACGAGAGACTTAGGAAAGAAAAAGACACAGAGACAAAGTATAGAGACAGAAATAAGGGGACCCGGGGAACCAGCGTTCAGCATATGGAGGATCCCGCCAGCCTCTGAGTTCCCTTAGTATTTATTGATCATTTGTGGGTGTTTCTCGAAGAGGGGGATGTGTCAGGGTCACAAGACAATTGTGGGGAGAGGGTCAGCAGACAAACACGTGAACAAAGGTCTTTGCGTCATAGACAATGTAAAGGATTAAGTGCTGTGCTCTTAGATATGCATACACATAAACATCTCAATGCTTTACAAAGCAGTATTGCTGCCCGCAGGTCCCACCTCCAGCCCTAAGGCGGTTTTTCCCTATCTCAGTAGATGGAGCATACAATCGCGTTTTATACCGAGACATTCCATTGCCCAGGGACAGGCAGGAGACAGATGCCTTCCTCTTGTCTCAACTGCAAGAGGCATGCCTTCCTCTTATACTAATCCTCCTCAGCACAGACCCTTTACGGGTGTCGGGCTGGGGGACGTTCAGGTCTTTCCCTTCCCACGAGGCCGTATTTCAGACTATCACATGGGGAGAAACCTTGGACAATACCTGGCTTTCCTAGGCAGAGGTCCCTGCGGCCTTCCGCAGTTTTTGTGTCCCTGGGTACTTGAGATTAGGGAGTGGTGATGACTCTTAAGGAGCATGCTGCCTTCAAGCATCTGTTTAACAAAGCACATCTTGCACCGCCCTTAATCCATTCAACTCTGTGACACAGCACATGTTTCAGAGAGCACGGGGTTGGGGGTAAGGTTATAGATTAACAGAATCTCAAGGCAGAAGAATTTTTCTTAGTACAGAACAAAATGGAGTCTCCTATGTCTACTTCTTTCTACACAGACACAGTAACAATCTGATCTCTCTTGCTTTTCCCCACAGGTTGTCATTACTTAATTATTTAAGATTCAAAAATTTAAAAATTCCACATTGAAGTTGTGTGCAGTGGCTCACTACTGTAGTCCCAGTTACTAGGGAAGCTGAGGCAGGAAGACTGCTTGAGTCCAGGAGATCGAGGCTCCAGTAAGCCATGATCACACCACTACCCTCCAGCCTGAGCTACAGAGAGAGACCCTCTCCTAAAAGAAGAAAAAAACAAAAACAAACAATAAAAATTCGCTGGGCAGGGTGGCTCACGCCTGTAATCCCAGCACTTTGGGAGACTAAGGTGGGCAGATCACTTGAAGTCAGGAGTTTGAGACCAGCCTGGCCAACATGGTGAAACCCTGTCTCTACTAAAACTACAAAAATTTGTCAGGCGTGGTGGCACTCGCCTGTAATCCCAGCTACTCAGGAGGCTTAAGGCAGGAGAGTCGCCTAAATCACTGTGGAGGTTGCAGTGAGCCGAGATCCTGCCATTGCACTCCAGTCTGGGTGACAGAGACACTCCATCTCAAAAACAAAATAAAATAAAACAAAAAAAACCTCACATTATGAGGATTTGTAGAAAGATAATATCTGAAGACTGCAGCAGTATTAAGTTTTTTTTGTTGTTGTTGTTGTTTTGAGACAGAGTCTCACTCCCTCACCCAGGCAGGAGTGCAGTGGCGTGATCTTGGCTCACTGCAACCTCTGCTTCCTGGGTTCAAGTGATTCTGCTGACCCAGCTTCCCAAGTAGCTGGGATTACAGGGGAATGCCACCATGCCTGGCTAATTTTTTTTCTTTTTCTTTTTTGAGATGGAGTCTCACTCTGTCGGCCAGGCTGGAGTGCAGCGGCACGATCTCTGCTCACTGCAACCTCCGTATCCGGGTTCAAGTGATTTACCTGCTTCTGCCTCCCAAGTAGCTGGGATTACAGGCGTGCACCACCATGCCCAGTTAATTTTTTTTTTTTTTTTTTTTTGAGATGGAGTCTCACTATGTAGCCCAGGCTGGAGTGCAGTGGCGCAATCTCGGCTCACTGCAACCTCTGCCGCCTGGTTCAAGCGATTCTCCTGCCTCAACCTCCCGAGTAGCTGGGATTACAGGTGCTCGCCACCGTGCCTGGCTAATTTATTTATTTATTTATTTTTGAGACGGTGTCTTACTCTCACCCAGGCTGGAGTGCATTAGTGCCATCTCAGCTCACTGCAACCTTTGCCTCCTGGGTTCAAGAGATTCTCCTGCCTCAGCTTCCTGAGTAGCTAGGACTATAGGTGTGTGCCACCACACCCAGCTAATTTTGTATTTTTAGTAGAGACGAAGTTTTACCATGTTGGCCAGGATGGTCTCGATCTCTCTTTTTTTTTTTTTTTTTTTTTGAGATGGAGTTTCTGTTGCCCAGGCTGGAGTGCAGTGGCGTGCTCTCGGCTCACTGCAATCTCATCTCTGCCTCCCGGGTTCACGCCATTCTCCTGCCTCAGCCTCCTGAGTAGCTGGGACTACAGGCGCCCGCCACCACGCCCGGCTAATTTTTTGTATTTTTAGTAGAGACGGGGTTTCACCATATTAGCCAGGATGGTCTCGATCTCCTGACCTCGTGATCCGCCCGCCTTGACCTCCCATAGTGCTGGGATTACAGGCGTGAGCCACCTGGTCTTGATCTTTTGACCTTGTGATCCACCCACCTCGGCCTCCCAGAGTGGTGGGATTACAGGCGTGAGCCACTGTGCCTGGCCCTAATTTTTATATTTTTAGCAGAGACAGGGTTTTACCATGTTGGCCAGGCTGGTCTCGAACCCGTGGCCTCAAGCAATCTGCTCACCTCTGCCTCCCAAAGTGCTGGGATTAAAGGCATAAGCCACCAATCCAGGCCTCGGGATTTAATTATTTTGTTCTGCTGATAAAATGACATTTAGGCTAGGTGAGGTGTCTCACACCTGTAATCCCAGCACTTCAGGAGGCTCAGGTGGGCAGATCACCTGAGGTCAGGAGTTCAAGACCATCCCGGCCAACATGGCGAAACCCCATCTCTACTAAAAATACAAAAAAACTAGCCAGGCTTGGTGGCACGCACCTGTAGTCCCAGCTACTTGGGAAGCTGAGGCATGAGAATCGCTTCAACCTGGGTGGTGGAGGTTGTTGTGAGACAAGATCGCTCCACTGCACTCCAGCCTGGGCAACAGAGCAAGACTCCCTCTCAATTAAAAAAAAATGACATTTATTCACACGGAAAATATTCGAGTTCCAACTATGTGCCTCCGACTTGCTTGGTATAAATCAGAGAACAAAATATCTATGGCCGGGTGCACTGGTTCAGGCCTCTATTCTCAGCACTTTGGGAGGCTGAGTAGCGGGGATAGCTTGAGCTAATGAGTTGGAGACCAGCCTGGGCAACATAGTGACACCCAGTCTGTACAAAAAATACAAAAATTAGCTGGGCATGGTGGCGCCCACCTGTTGTAGTCCCAGCTACTCAGGAGGCTGAGGCAGGAGAATCACTTGAACGCGAGAGGCGGAGGTCGCAGTAAGCCCAGATCGCAGCACTGCACTCAAGCCTGAGCAACAGAGCCAGATTCCGTGAAAGGGGGAATAAAAAGAGCTATCGTTGTTGGCTAAGTTAAATGCACTTTGACAAACATGTTGTGTAATGACCACCATAGTCAAGATATAGAGTAGTTCCAAAATATTTCCACTTTTATTTTTTTTTTGAGACATTCTCGCTTTGTTGCCTAGGCTGGAGTGCAGTGGCCTGATTATCACTGCAACCTCCACCTCCCGTGTTCAAGTGATCCTCCTGTCTCAGCTTCCAGAGTAGCTGGGACTACCGGTGGGTGCCACCACTTCTGGCTAATTTTTTTTTTTTTTTTTTTTTTTTGAGAAGGAATCTCACTCTGTTGCCTAGGCTAGAGTGCAGTGGTGCAATCTTGGCTCACTACAACCTCCAGCTCCCAGGTTCAAGTGATTCTCCTGCCTCAGCCTCCCGAGTAGCTGGGACTATAGGCGTGTGTCACCACACCTGGCTAATTTTTTGTATTTTTAGTAGAGACGGGGTTTCACCGTGTTAGCAAGGATGGTCTTGATCTCCTGACCTCGTGATCCGCCTGCCTCGGCCTCCGAAAGTGCTGGGATTACAGGCATGAGCCACCGTGCCTGGCCTAATTTTTGTATTTTCAGTGGAGACCGGGTTTCACCATTCTGGCCAGACTGGTCTCGAATTCCTGACCTTAAGTGATCCACCTGCCTTGGCCTCCCAATGTGTTAGAATTACAGGCATGAGCCACTGTGCCTGGCTTTATTTCCACTTTTCTTTGACAATCCTCTCCTCTCATCTGCAACCCTTGTCAACCACTGATCTGTTTTTCTATCTCTGTAGTCTTGACTTTTCCAGAATATTATATAAATCGGGTCATATAGTATGTAGCCTTTTGAGTCTGACTTCCATCACTTACCTTAATGCATTTAAGATTCATTCACATTGCACGTATAAGTAATGTATTTCCTTCTTTTCTTTTTTCTTTTTTTTTTTTGAGACAGAGTCTCTCTCTGTTGTCCAGGCTGGAGTGCAGCAGCATGATCTCAGCTCACTGCAACTTCTGGCTCCCGAGTTCAAGCGATTTTACCGCCTCAACCTCCCGATTAGCTGGGACTACAGGTGGTGTGCGCCATCACGCCCAGCTCATTTTTGTATTTTTAGTAGAGACGGGTTTCACTATGTTGGCCAGACTGGTCTCCAATTCCTGACCTCAAGTGATCTGCCCACCTCAGCATCCCAAAGTGTTAAGATTACAGGCATGGCCGGGCGCGGTGGCTCACGCCTGTAATCCCAGCACTTTGGGAGGCCGAGGCGGGCGGATCACGAGGTCAGGAGATCGAGACCATCCCGGCTAAAACGGTGAAACCCCGTCTCTACTAAAAAAAAATACAAAAAATTAGCCGGGCGTAGTGGCGGGCGCCTGTAGTCCCAGCTACTTGGGAGGCTGAGGCAGGAGAATGGCGTGAACCCGGGAGGCGGAGCTTGCAGTGAGCCGAGATCCCGCCACTGCACTCCAGCCTGGGCGACAGAGCGAGACTCCGTCTCAAAAAAAAAAAAAAAAAAAAAAAAAAAAAGATTACAGGCATGACCCACTGCACCAGTCCTCGTTGTGTTTATTTTTTATTTATTGAGATGGAGTCTTGCTTTGTCACCCAGGCTGGGTGCAGTGGCACCATCTCTGCTCACTGAAACATCCGCTTCTTGGGTTCAAGCGATTCTGCCACCTCAGACTCCACAGTAGTTGGGATTACAGGTGTGTTGCTTGGCTAGTTTTTGTACTGTTAGTAGAGATGGGGTTTTGCCATGTTGGCCAGGCTGGTCTCGAACTGAGCTCAAGTGATCCTCCTGCCTCAGCCCACCAAAGTGCTGGGATTACAGGCATTAACCACCACAGCCGGCCGGTTTTAATTAGAAACTGTCAAAGTATTTCTAAAGTGTCTATTCCATTTTGTATCCCCACTGCCTTGTTGGCACTTGATATTAAATGTGAGTATGTGTGTGTCTGTGTGTTCCTTTTTTTTTTGGAGACGGAGTCTCACTTTGTCACCAGGCTGGAGTGCAGTGGCGCGATCTCGGCTCACTGCAACCTCTGCCTCCCAAGTTCAAGTGATTCTCCTGCCTCAGCCTCCCGAGTAGCTGGGACTGCAGGCACGTGCCACCATGCCGGCTAATTTTTTGTAGTTTTAGTGGAGACGGGGTTTCACCATGTTAGCCAGGATGGTCTCGATCTCCTGACCTTGCGATCTGCCCGCCTCAACGTCCCAAAATGCTGGGATTACAGATGTGAGGCACCATGCCTGGCCCTTCGCCTGGCTAATTTTTGTATTTTTTTTTTTTTTTTTTTGAGACAGAGTTTTGCTCTTGTTGCCCAGGCTGGAGTGTAATGGTGCAATTGTGAATCACTGCAACCTCTGCCTCCTGGATTCAAGCAATTCTCCTGCCTCAGCCTCCCGTGTAGCTGGGATTACAGGCATGTGCCACCAGGCCTAGCTAATTTTTGTATTTTTAGTAGAGATAGTGTTTCTCCATGTTGGTCAGGCTGGTTTCGAACTTCTGACCTCAGGTGATCTGCCTGCCTCGGACTTCCAAAGTGCTGGGATTACAGGTGTGGGCCACTGCGCCTGGCCTAATTTTTGTATTTTTAGTAGAGACGGGGTTTCACCAAGTTGGCCAGGCTGGTCTTGAAATCCTGACCTCAAGTGATCCTCCCACCTAGGCCTCCCAAAATGCTGGGATTATAGGCATGAGCCATTGTGCCCGGGTCAATTGTTTATTTACAGATTGTCTATCTAATATTTTTTGAACATGGATGACTGGTGGTAACTAAAACTGCAGAAAGTGAAATTGCAGATAAGGGGGGACTATCGTAGTGTGAAAGCAAGTTAAGATACTATTAAATAGGCTGGGTGCGGTGGCTCATGCCTGTAATCCCAGTACTTTGGGAGGTAGAGGCGGGTGGATGACGAGATCAGGAGTTCAAGAACAGTCTGGCCAACATGGTGAAACCCTCTCTCTACTAAAGACTAAAAAAAGAAAAAATTAGCTGGGCGAGGTGGTGGGTTCCTGTAATCCCACCTACTCGGGAGGCTGGGGCAGGAGAATCGCTTGAACCTGGGAGGTGAAGGTTGTAGTGAGCCGAGATCGCACCATTGCACTCCAGCCCTGGAAAAAAAAAAAAAAAGATACTATTATATAAAAGTACTTATTGAATACATTCTAAACAATTTCTCTCTTTTTTTTTGAGACGGAGTTTCGTTCTTGTCGCCCAGGCTGGAGTGCAGTGACATGATCTCGGCTCACTGCCACCTATGCCTCCCGGGTTCAAGCGATTCTCCTGCCCCAGCTTTCCAAGTATCTGGGATTATAAGCATGTGCCACCACACCTGGCTAATTTTTGTATTTTTAGAAGAGATGGGGTTTCACCATGTTGGCTAGGCTGGTCTCGAACTCCTGACCTCAGATGATCTGCCCACCTCGGCCTCCCAAAGTGCTGGGAATACAGGCGAGAGCCACTGCACCTGGCCTAAATAATTCATTATACAGTTAATTCATACACAACTGAGAAGATAATATAAAATATTCTGAAACCAAATGTATCCAAATGCATATTATTTTTAGTTTACCCATAATTTTGGATAGCTATGATTATGATTTACTTTTTTTTTTTTTTTGAGATGGAGTCTCACTCTGTCACCCAGGCTGGAGTGCAGTGGCACAATCTCAGCTCACTGAGACCTCTGCCTCCCGGGTTCAGGCAATTCTCTGCCTCAGCCTCCCGAGTAGCTGGGATTACAGGTGTCCGCTACCACACCTGGCTAATTTTTGTATTTTTAGTAGAGACAAGGTTTCACCATCTTGGCCAGGCTGGTCTTGAACTCCTGACCTCGTGATCCACCCACCTCGGCCTCCCAAAGTGCTGGGATTACAGGCATGAGCCACTGCGCCCAGCCTTTTTTTGTTTTTTGAGACGGAGTTTCATTCTTGTTGCCCAGGCTAGAGTGCAATGGTGTGATCTCGGCTCACCACAACCTCTGCCTCCCAAGTTCAAGTGATTCTCCTGCCTCAGCCTCCCAAGTAGCTGGGATTACAGGCACACGTCATCACACCCAGCTAATTTTGTATTTTTAGTAGAGACAGGGTTTCTCCATGTTGGTCGGGCTGGTCTCAAACTCCCGACCTCAGGTGATCCGCCCACCTCGGCCTCCCAAAGCGCTGGGATTACAGGTATGAGTCACCATACCTGGCCAACTATTATTTTCATTAGTTCGGATAAGAGAGCTTTGATATGGAAACATAGTGGATATAATATCTGAGTAAAAAATACATTTTATTTATTTATTTATTTAATTTATTTATTTATTTATTTATTTTATTTGTTTTTTTGAGACCGAGACCTGCTCTGTTGCTCGGGCTGGAGTGCAGTGGTGCGATCTCGGCTCACTATTACCTCTGCCTCCTGGGTTCATGCAATTCTTCTGCCTCAGCCTCCCAAGCAGCTGGGATTACATGCACGCACCACCATGCCCAGCTAATTTTTGTGTTTTTAGTAGAGATGGGATTTTACCATGTTGGCCAGGCTGGTCTTGAATTCCTGACCTCGTGATCTGCCCGCCTCGGCCTCCCAAAGTGCTGCGATTACAGGCATGAGCCACGGCTCCCAGCCACAATTTATTTTTGGATATCTCAGAATATGGATTTTTAAAATTAAAATTTTATTTGTGTTTTCTTTTTTTTTCTTTTTTTAAGACATAGTCTCTGTAACCCAGGCTGGAGTGCAATGGTGTGATCTCAGCTCACTGCAACCTCCACCTTTTGGGTTCAAGAGATTCTTCTTCCTCGGCCTCCCCAGTAGTTGGGATTACAGGCAGCCGCCACCATGCCCGGCTAATTTTTTTATTTTTAGTAGAAATGGGGTTTCACCATATTGGCCAGGCTGGTTTCAAACTCCTGACCTCAAGTGATCTGCCTGCCTCGGCCTCCCAAATTGCTGGGATTACAGGCGTGAGCCACCGTGCCCGGACTTGTTGTTTTTTAAAGACCAGGTGTTGCTGTGTTATCTAGGCTGGAGCGAAGCCGCACAATTATAGCTCTCCGTGACCTCCAACTGTTGGCTCACGTCATCCTCCAGCCTTAGTCTCTGAGTACTGAGGCACACCACCATGCCTTGCTAATTTTTTTTTTTCTTTGAGATGGAGTCTCGCTTTGTCGCCCAGGCTAGAGTGCAATGGTGTGATCTCGGCTCACTGCAACCTCGGCCTCCTGGGTTCAAGGGATTCTCCTGCCTTAACCTCCCAAATAGCTGGGACTACAGGCGCCTGCCACCATGCCTTGCTAATTTTTTTGTATATTTGATAGAGACGGGGTTTCACCATGTTGGCCAGGCTGGTGTCGAGCTCCTGACCTCAGGAGATCTGCCCGCCCCGAGCTGCCAAAGTGCTGGGATTGCAGGCATGAAGCACTGCGCCCAGCCGATTTTAAAAAATTTTTTGTAGAGATGAGGTCTCACTGTGTTTCCCAGGCTGGTCTCAAACTCCTAGTCTCAAGTAATTTTTCTACCTCAGCCTCCGAAAGTGCTGGGATTACAGGTGCGAGCTACTGTGCCTGGCCTGTTATTCACCTTTTTATAAAAGGAGCAACCCATTTTTTCAAGTCATTACTAGATGTACAGTATTGTAGAGAAGTCTATATTATTGCTTTAGAAGCATGCCAAGCTCGAAGGGCTGGCCTGGACTCTGACCTATGCTAAAGCCCATGTATGCACTTTATTCTACTTTCATCTATACTTTTCCCCAGTGGCACATGGTAGGGTCGAAATACATATTTGCTGAATGTATAAATGGATGACTAATTTTATGGGTAAAAGTTGGTTGTTTCAATGAAAAATGATCCAGAAGAAGAGGAGTTTACTTCAAACAGAACCTGGCAATCGGATAAATACCTTCAAGTGTCTGTCTCCGTAAAAATGTTCCAGAAGAAGAGGAGGTTACTTCAAACAGAACCTGGCAGTTGGATTAATACCTTGAAGTGTCTGTCTCCATAACCACATTTTAGCAAGATTCCCAGCCTTCCTCAGGTATTAGATGACGATTTACACTACTAAAATTTGTTTTAGTAAGTTTTAGCAGTGTAATCATGCTCACTTATTAAGTTACAGGAAATGGGGACCAGTCATCTGCATATCTATACGCTGTGGGCAGATTTACTCATGGAGACTGAATTAGAGATTAGAGGGTTTGCTGGCTGAACAACTAATGATTTCCATCTGGAAAGAAATGGTACGCAATTTCTTCCTGACCTTTTGAAAAATTTTTAGGTATTGCTGGATGCTGTGCCAAAACAACAGTTGCTCCATTGGATCGAGTAAAGGTTTTATTACAAGCTCACAATCACCATTACAAGCATTTAGGTGAGTTAATAGATGCTAAAGATAAAAATGAATGAAAATATTGTGGAAAGTGGGCAAAAAAGGGAATTTAAGTTTGGGGGTGTAAAAAGTAAAGTAGAGGTTCCTCTTTAAAAACTTTTTTCCCCATTTAATTAGGAATAAATAGTAACTTCTCTCAGAAGCAAAATTTATTCAAAGACCTGTGCTAACATTCTTAAATATTTGCTAGCCATGATTAAAAAATCAATGTGCTTTATGTTCTTAGCTCCCACAATTTAGCCTAAATATTTGCCCTGGCATGCTTATTCTGCTCCAAGCAAGCATTAGGTCATAGCTTGTTCCTCTTCCTTATTTAAAGGTGTTTTTTTTTTACCTTCCCCAGCATTCCACAGGTTACTTTCTCCTTCCCTTGTGCTCCTCTGCCTTTGCCTCTTTTAAAAAGTTCTAAGTTGCTAGCCAGTCGGGACAAATACAGGCTGTGAGGTCCCGTTCCAGCCAATGGAAACTGGACACAGCAGTAGGGTGGACATGTCAGGTTATAAATGACCCTGTCTCCTTTGTTCGGTGTACTTTCGTGGCAAAACTGCTGGCGAGTATACCCTTTCTGCAAAAAATAAAAATGACCTTGCTAAGTAAATTAAACTTAGGTTCAAGTACTATTTCTTTACGGCACCAGGAAACGAGCATTTCAAATGGGCAAATTTGTTATTTGTTTTTTCTCTGTAGGTTCAGGAACTTGAAAGGGGGCAAATTTTCCAAAGAATATATTTCTTATCCATTATAATCCTTTCATTTGCAGTAGTGGTTATATATATTATCATTTTAGGATGCTGATATTTTCCTAGCCCAAATCTTGGAATCATTGAAGCAAATATTACATGTTTATTGGGATTTATTAGTCACATTGTTCACAGGCACACGTAACAACTCAGTCTGATTTTTTACTATTTATTTATTTATTTATTTATTTTTTGAGGCAGAGTTTCGCTCTTGTTGCCCAGGCTGGAGTGCAATGGCGCGACCTCGGCTCACTGCAACCTCTGCCTCCCAGGTTCAAGCGATTCTCCTGCCTCAGCCTCCCTAGTAGCTGGGATTACAGGCATGTGCCACCACGCTTGGCTAATTTTGTATTTTTAGTAGAGATGGGGTTTCTCCATGTTGGTCAGGCTGCTCTCGAACTCCCAAACTCAGGTGACCCGCCCGCCTCGGCCTCCCAAAGTGCTGGGATTATAGGCGTGAGCCACCGAGCCTGGCCTCAGTCTGATTTTTTAAATGCAATAAGAGATGGGAGATGAAATTTAAAAATGCAAAACTGAAATAATTACTCCTTTTTAACGCTTAATTTAAAAAGCATTCTAGAAATATTTGTTCAAGAAGAATCCAGTGCTTGCTTTTTTTTTTTTTTTCTTTTTTTGGAGATGGAGTTTGCTCTTGTGGCCCAAGCTAGAGTGAAATGGCGCTATCTCGGCTCACCACAACCTCCACCTCCTGGGTTCAAGTGATTCTCCTGCCTCAGCCTCCTGAGTAGCTGGGATTACAGGCATGCACCACCACGCCTGGCTAATTTTTGTATTTTTAGTAGAGACGGGGTTTCTCTATGTTGGTCAGAATGATCTCGAACTCCCGACCTCAGGTGATCTGCCTGCCTCGGCCTCCCAAAGTGCTGGGATTACAGGTGTGAGCCACCGCACCTGGCCACTTGCTTTGTTAAAAAAAAAAAAAATCAAGACTTTAGGCCAGGTGCAGTGGCTCATGCCTGTATTCCCAGTACTTTGGGAGGCTGAGGCAGGAAGATCACCTGAGGTCAGGAGTTCGAGATCAGCTTGGCCAACATGGTGAAACCCTGTCTCTACTTAAAATACAAAAATTAGCTGGGCGTGGTGGCAGGCACCTGTAATCCTAGTTACTCGGGAGATTGAGGCAGGAGAATAGCTTGAATCTGGGAGGTGGAGGTTGCTGTAAGCTGAGATCAAGCCATTGCACTCCAGCCTGGGGGACAAGAGCGAGACTTCGTCTGAAAAAAAAAATCAAGACCTTAGTTGTTCCTTACAGACCAGCCATTTGATTAACATGGACACTTCAATAACTTGTCATTGGTGAGAATAAGAATTGTTTAGTCTTTGGAGGGCATTTTGGCAATATGCGTAAAAGTCTCAAAAAGTACCTATTCTTTGACCTTGCGGTTCCAGTTCTAGGAGATTATTCTAAGGAAGTAAACAGAAATGTGGTCAATGATACATATGCAAGGATCAAAACATTAATTATTATTATTTTTTGAGATGGAGTTTCACTGTGTTGCCCAGGCTGGAGTGCAGCGGTGTGATCTCTGCTCACTGCAACCTCCGCCTTCCGGGTTCAAGTGATTCTCCTACCTCAGCCTCCTGAGTGGCTGGGACTATAGGCGTGCACCACCACGCCCGGCTAATTTTTGTATTTTTTAGTAGATACGGGGTTTCACCATATTGGCCAGGCTGGTCTGGAACTCGTGACCTTGTGATCTGCCCGTCTCGGCCTCTCAAAGTGCTGGGATTACAGGTGAAAGCCACTGTGCCCGGCCTATTATTATTACTATTTTTTGAGACAAAGTCTTGCTCTGTCGCCCAGAGGCTGGAGTACTGTGGCATGATCTTGGCTCATTGAAACCTCCTCCTCCAGGGTTCAAGCCATTCTCATGCCTCAGCCTCATGAGTAGCTGGGATTACAGGCATCCGCCACCATGACCGGCTAATTTTTGTATTTTCAGTAGAGAGACAGGGTTTTGCCATGTTGGCTGCCTCGAACTCCTAACGTCAAATAATCTGCCTGTCTTGGTCTCCCAAAGTACTGAAATTATAGGCATGAGCCACTGCTCCCGGCCAAAACATTATTTGCGTTAGCTTTTTTTTTCTTTCTGAGATGGAGTCTTCCTCTGTTGCCCAGGCTGGCTCAATCACAGCTCACTGCAACCTCTGCCTCCTGGGTTCAAACTATTCTCCTGCCTCAGCCTCCTGACTAGCTGGGATTACAGGGGTGTGCCACCATGTCCAGTTAATTTTTGTATTTTTACTAGAGATGGGGTTTCACCGTGTTTGCCAGGCTGGTCTCAAACTCCTAACCTCAGGTGACCTGCCCGCCTTGTCCTTCCTAAGTACTGGGATTACAGGCATGAGCCACCACGCGCGGGCACTGTGCTTGATTTTTATAATATCGTTTTATAGAAAGATGTTTAACAGGGTGAATAACAATGAGTTATTTTTCCAACTGCATTTTAAAAGTGTTATTCTTACAAACCTGAATGGATATTTATGCGGTATATTAATTATAACTCATTTTCTTGTCAATATTTTTTCTTTTCTTTTCTTTTTTTTTTCCTCTTTTTTTTTTTTGAGATGGTCTTGCTCTATTGCCCAGGCTGGAGTGCAGTGATGTGATCTCAGCTCATGGTATCCTCTGCCTTCTGGGTTCAAGCAGTTCTCCTGTGTCAGCCTCCTATGTAGCTGGGACTACAGGCATGCACCACTGTGCCCAGCTAATTATTGTATTTTTGGTAAAGACGGGGTTTCACTATGTTTGGCCAGGCTGGTTTCTTATTTTTTATTAAAAAAAAAAAAATAGAGAGTAGGTCTCACTTGTTCCCTAGGCTGGTCTGCAACTCATGACTTCAAGTGATCCTCCTGCCTTGGCCTCCCAAAGTGCTAGGATTACTGCGTGGGACTTCACCGCCCAGCCAACATTTTGTTTTGTTTTGTTTATCAGACGGAGTCTCTCTCTTGTGGCCTAGGCTGGAGTGCAATGGTGCAATCTCAACTCGCTGCAAACTCCGCCTCCCAGGTTCAAGCAATTCTCCTGCCTCAGCCTCCCTAGTGGCTGGGATTACGGGCACCCGCCACCACGCCCAGCTAATTTTTTGTATGTTTAGTAGAGATGGGGTTTCACTATGTTGGTCAGGCTGGTCTCGAACTCCTGACCTCAGTTGATCCATCCGCCTCAGCCTCCCAAAGTGCTGGGATTATAGGCATGAGCCACCACTTCCAGCCCCAACCAACATTTTTAATAGTGAGGAAGTCTGTACTTTGAAATAGAAAAATTGCAACTATCTTCATATCCAGGAGTGAATTATCATTTATCTTTTTTTTTTTTTTTTTTTTTTTTTTGAGACGGAGTCTCGCTCTGTTGCCCAGGCTGGAGTGCAGTGGCGGGATCTCGGCTCACTGCAAGCTCCGCCTCCCGGGTTCACGCCATTCTCCTGCCTCAGCCTCCCAAGTAGCTGGGACTACAGGCGCCCGCCACTACGCCCGGCTAATTTTTTGTATTTTTTTAGTAGAGACGGGGTTTCACCGTTTTAGCCGGGATGGTCTCGATCTCCTGACCTCGTGATCCGCCCGCCTCGGCCTCCCAAAGTGCTGGGATTACAGGCGTGAGCCACCGCGCCCGGCCAATATCATTTATCTTTAATTTAGTTTCTATTAGACTAATTTATGTATTTATGTATTTATTTATTTATTTGTGACAGGGTGTCTTAAATATTTGGAGAGACAAGGTCTTGCTATGTTGCCAAGGCTGGTCTCAAACTTTTGGGCTCAAGCTGTCTGACCCACCTGTCTTGGCCTCCCAAAGTGCTTTGATTACTGGCATGAGCCACTGTGCCCTGCCTCTGCAATGAATTCTTCCTCACACAGTTTATTGCTCATGTATACAAAGAATCAAAATTAAACGTGTGTAAGCCTAGCCAATATGGTGAAGCCCCGTCTCTACTAAAAATACAAAAATTATCCAGGCTTGGTGGCGCACACCTGTAATCCCAGCTACTAAGGAGGCTGAGGCAGGAGAATTGCTTGAACCCAGGAGGTAGAGGTTGCAGTGAGCCAAGACTGTGCTACTGTACTCCAGCCTGGGCGATAGAGTGAGAACCCATCTTAAAAAAAAAAAAAATTAAATGCATGTGGTTGCATGTACCTGTAGTCCCAGTACTTTTGGGAGGCTGAGGTGGGAGGCTTGCTTGATCCCAAGCATTTGAGTCTGCAGTGAGCTGTGATTGTGCCACTGCACTCCAGCCTGGGCAACAGAGTGAGACTCTGTCTCCAAAAAAGAAAGGATTAGACCTGTGAACTTATTGAGAGATTATAAAAAACTGGAAAGGAAGGAAATTATTTTCTTTTTTTGTCTAACTTGAGGATAAAATGGAGAAGAATGATATTACCCAGTGTCTTGGGGTGTATTACTCTGCGTATCAGTGTGTGAACAGGATTCTTTTATTCCTTTAACCTCCTCCCCGTGCTGATGTGTGCTGTTTTGTTTCCTGATTTGCAATCATTAGGTTACACATTCATATTAGATTTCACACTCTATAGGGCTGCATGCCGTGGGTTACAGTGTACCCTGGTTACAGTATACCCTACAAGGCATATAAAATTTGGAGTAGAATTCCTGGAGTGCAACAGTGAACTATTGTAGTAGTCTTTGGAGTGTCCTCTATTTTTAATATATACGAGCCCCCTCAAAAAAATAAATCTGTATTGGTGGCTTTAATTTAATTTAATTTTTCTTTTTTGAGACGGAGTTTCACTCTTGTTGCCCAGGCTGGAGTGCAATGGTGTGATCTTGGCTCACTGCAACCTCCGCCTCCCAGGTTCAAGGCCAGATTCTCCTGCCTCAGCCTCTCGAGTAGCTGGAATTACAAGTGCCTGCCACCAAGCCCCGCTAATTTTTAGTATGTTTAGTACAGACGGGGTATCACTGTGTTGGCCATGCTGGTCTCGACCTCCTGACCTCGTGTTCTGCCCGCTTTGGCCTCCCAAAGTGCTGGGATTATAGGCGTGAGCCACTGCACTGGGCTTTAATTTATTTTTTAAATGCTTTTAAGCATTTTATTCCAGGTACCTCCCCACTTTTTGTAGGTATAAGATAGTTTTTTTAATTTTGCTCTTTTCGAAAAATTTTTTCATGTATTTATTTGAGACGGAGTCTTGCTCTGTCGCCCAGGCGGGAGTGCAGTGGCATGATCTCAGCTCACTGCAACCTCCGCCTCCCGGATTCAAGCAATTCTCCTGCCTCAGCCTCTCAAGTAGCTGGGACTGCAGCTACATGCCACTACGCCTGGCTGATCTTGTATTTTTAGTAGAGATGGAGTTTTTCCGTGTTAGCCAGGATAGTCTCGATCTCCTGACCTGGTGATCCGCCTGCTTCGGCCTCCAAAAGTGCTGGGATTATAGGCGTAAGCCACCGCGCCCGGCCCATTTTTTAATTTTTTGAGACGTAGTTTCACTCTTGTCACCCAGGCTGGAGTGCAATGGCACGATCTCGGCTCACTGCAACCTTGGCCTTCCAGGTTAAAGCAATTCTCCTGCCTCAGCCTCCCGAGTAGCTGGGAGTACAGGTGTTTGCCACCACACCTGGCTAATTTTTTTTTTTTTTTGTATTTTTAGTAGAGACAGGGTTTCATCATGTTGGCCAGGCTTGTCTTGAACTCCTGACCTCAGGTGATCCACCCACTTTGGCCTCTCAAAGTGCTGGGATTACAGGCGTCAGCCACTGTGCCCGACCCCTAAAAATTTTGCTTTTTTAAACATGATTTTTCACAGATGTTAAAGATATGCTATTGGACAAAACTATTACTTCTACTCCGACTTTTTATAAAAAGTGTCACATTACTTCCAAGGCATCAAAGACATGTTTTTATTTTACTTGTCTTTTATTTATGTATTTATTTATTTTTTGAGATGGAGTCTTGCTCTGTTACCCAGGCTAGAGTGCAGTGGCGCGATCTCGGCTCACTGCAACCTCTGCCTCCTGGTTTCAAGCGATTCTCCCGCCTTAGCCTCCCAAGTAGCTGGGATTACGGGCATGTGCCACCATGCTGGGCTAATTTTTATATTTTTAGTAGAGACGAGGTCAGGCTGGTCTCGAACTCCTGACTTCGTGATCTGCCTGCCTTGGCCTCCCAAAGTGCTGGGATTAGAAGCATGAGTCACCGCGCCTGGCCTTTGTCTTTTTAAAAAATATATCTATCTATATATCTATCTATCTATATCTATATATCTATATATATAGATATATATATAGATAGATAGATATATAGATTTTTTTTTTTGAGACATGGTCTTATTCTGTCACCCAGGCTGGAGTGCAGTGGTGTGATCACAGCTCACTGCAGCCTCTACCTCCTGGGCCCAAGCAATCTTCCTGCCTCAGCCTCCTGAATTGCGAGCGCCACCACGCAGAGCTAACTTTTAAGTTTTTTTGTAGAGATGGTGTCTCACTATGTTGTCTTGGTTGGTGTCAAATTCCTGGGCTCAAGCGATCCTCCCACCTTGGCCCCACAAAGTGCTCAGATTATTGGCATGAGCTACTGTGCCTGGTTGTACTTCTTATTTTAAATTAAAATTATTTTCCTCAAATTATAAGGAAGGAGTATATTTAAAAATTTCTCCTTGTCCCAATTTGTTTTGTTTTTTTGAGACAGAGTTTCACTCTTGTTGCCCAGGCTGGAGTGCAGTGTCGCTGGAGTGGCTCACTGCAACCTCCACCTCCCGGGTTCAAACAGTTCTCCTGCTTCACCCTCCCTCGTAGCTGGGATTACAGGCACCCGCCACCATTTCCATCTAATTTTTGTATTTTTAGGAGAGACAGGGTTTCCCCATGTTGGTCAGGCTGGTCTTGAACTCCTGACCTCAAGTGATCCGCTGCCTCTGCCTCCCAAAGTGCTAGGAATAAAGACATGAACCACCGCGCCCGGCCCTTAATTTTAGAAGTACTGTATCTATTTCACTTCTACTAATGGTTTCTCTTAAAATGCTTTTAACAAAATTGGCGACAATCAAAAAATTTTAAGTAATAACATAATAAACATATGTGGACCTGCAACAGAGCTTTGGAAATAAACATTGTCAGTGTAGTTGAAACCCCCTCGATACTTCTACCTTATCATTAGCCTTCCTGTCTCTGCTAGGTAATCATTACTCTAAATTTGATTACCCTTTAATTATTACAAACACTTTTGGATCAAATTAAACAGGGCTTAACCTTTGTGTCCGCTTCCAGCAAAAGGAAGTTTTAATAGAATTCTTTTTTTTTTGAGATGGAGTTTCCCTCTTGTTGCCCAAGCTGGAGTACAATGGCACAATCTCGGCTCACTGCAACCTCCGCCTCCCGGGTTCAAGCGATTCTCCTGCCTCAGCCTTCCCAGTAGCTGAGATTACAGGCACCCGCCACCATGCCCAGATAATTTTTTTTGTATCTTTAGTAGAGACGGGAGTTTCTCCATGTTGGTCAAGCTGGTCTCGAACTCCCAACCTTAGGTGATCCACCCTCCTCGGCCTCCCAAAATGCTGAGATAACAGGTTTGAGCCACCCCGCCTGGCCTAGAATTCTTTTTTTTTTTTTTTTTTTTAAAGCTTCCTGTTACTCTCCTATCCACATTTTGTATCCTCTGTTCTCTCGATGAATTGACAGTTTTATTGGTATGAACTCTTCTTTCTGTTATTATAGTCATACATTTTACTTTTTACATATGTCATAAACTCCAGATTGCATTGCCATAATTTTTGTTCAAACAAGCAGTTATCTTTTTGTTTGTTTTTTTGAGATGGAGTCTCACTCTATCACCCAGGCTGGAGTGTAGTGGTGCAATCTCGGCTCACTGCAACCTCTACCTCCTGCTTCAGTCTGCTGAGTAGCTGGGATTACAGGCGCACGACACCATGCCTGCCTAATTTTTGTATTTTTAGTAGAGACAGGGTTTCACCATATTGCCCAGGCTGGTCTCAAACTCCTGACCTCAGGTGATCCACCTGCCTTGTCCTCCCAAAGTGCTGGGATTACAGGCATGAGCCACCACGCAAGGCCAGAATTCTTCTTACCAGAATGTTAGTCCATTTCGATATCTGCTTTTGGGATATATCTTTTGGATGTTAATAAGTACCTACAATTTTAATTACTGAGAAGGGCTGAAGAGGTTATTTGCAGTCTAAAATTTGAAATGAACCTGGTGATTTCCTTTCATATTTGATCAAAAGTTTGCTTGAAAAATTTGAAAGGGAACCTGAATTTAAATTGTTGAATAATGGAAGTAGTAATATGTTTTTGAGAAGTCTGTATACTGCTTGTAGGATTAGTGACTGATGTTAATAGAGTAATAAAGATATCACTATATATAGATGTGTCTATATATTTTTTACTTGTCAGTTAGAAAGCTCAGAATATCACTGTATATAGATTACAACTCAGCCCTTTGTTTATCATTATTCCTAAAGTGTCCTAATAATGAAAATTTGCCCCCACACTTAAAGAGTATTAATAGGTAGTCTTTTTATTTGCTTGTTTTATTTAAAAATCTCTTTATGTAAACAAACAAAACACATGTATCTGGGTAGGCCTCTGAAACCTTCCTTCATCCTTCCAGATAAAGAGTAGATCATCTTCAGGGCCAGGTGCAGTGGGTCACGCCTGTAATCCCAGCACTTTGGGAGGCCGAGACGGGTGGATCACGAGGTCAGGAGTTTGAGACCAGCCTGGCCAACATGGTGAAACCCCGTTTCTACTAAAAATGCAAAAATTAGCCGGGTGTGGTGGCGGGCGCGTGTAATCCCAGCTACTTGGGAGGCTGGGGCAGGAGAATCATTTGAACCTGGGAGGCGGAGGTTGCAGTGAGCCCAGATCGCGCCACTGCACTCCAGCTGGGGCAACATGAGTAAAACTGTCTCAAAAAAAAAAAAAAAAAAAAAGAGTAGGTCATCTTTAGTGCAAACCTGGACCTTGCATATATTTCTATTGTTAATATTTTTTAGATTGCTATAGTTTAATATAATTTGCTATTATTATAAATAGAATTTGCTGTAATTTGTAGTTGTTTCTACAGTAGGTTTTATATTATATGGGGTGTGCTTATTTATATTATTTGGATATATGATGCATTTTTAGTAGGTTTAACTGTTTTATAGAAATTACTATTCATGTAATCCCTCAAGCAAAATTATATCTTGAGTGATGGCACATTAATCTTTATCTGTGATTGTCATGAAAATTTAGGTTTAGATAATTTTCTCTGTTTTAACAGCATTTTTCCTCTAAAAATAGGAGTATTTTCTGCATTGCGTGCTGTTCCTCAAAAAGAAGGATTCCTTGGATTGTATAAAGGAAATGGTGCAATGATGATTCGAATCTTTCCCTATGGTGCAATCCAGTTTATGGCATTTGAGCATTATAAAACGGTAGTTAAACTTTGATCTTTTCTCTTTTGCGTTCTTGAATATCATGCATGCTTGACCAGGCATTTGCTTTGGACATTTAAAAATATGTAAAAGTTTCATATTTTTAAAAAGTTAAATTATTGGTTTTTTTTTTTTAATTTTTGAGACAGAGTCTCGCTGCCCAGGCTGGGGTACAGTGGCACGATTTTGAAAGGCTCACTGCAACCTCGCCTCCTGGGTTCAAGCGATTCTCCTGCCTCAGCCTCCTGAGTAGCTGGGATTACAGGCCTATGCCACCATGCCTGGCTAATTTTTGTATGTTTAGTAGAGACAGCGTTTTGCCATTTTGGCCAGGCTTGTCTCAAACTCCTGGCCTCCCAAAGTGTTGGGATTGCAGGCATGAGCCATGGTACCAGGCCAAAAAGTTACTTTTGATATAGCAATGCCTTTTTAAAGGAATAAGACTTGTGACAGCTTAAGATTTTAAATATAACTTGTCTTTGGAATTACCGATTCCAGAATTGTTAGTCATTTATGAGTTATTTATTTATTTATTTATTTAATTTTATTTTTTGAGATGGAGTCTCACTCTGTTGCCCAGGCTGGAGTGCAGTGGTGCACTCTTGGCTCACTGCCACCTCCATCTCCTGGGTTCAAGCAGTTCTTTGCCTCAGCCTCCTGAGTAGCTGGAATTACAGGCGCCCGCCACCACACCCAGCTAATTTTTGTATTTTTAGTAGAGATGGGGTTTCACCATCTTGGCCAGGCTGGTCCTGAACTCCTGACCGCGTGATCCACCCGCCTCCGTCTCCCAAAATGCTGGGATTACAGGCTTGAGCCACCGTGCCCGGCCTTTATTTATTTATTTTTTCAGACGGAGTTTCACTTTTGTTCCCTAGGCTGGAGTGCAATGACATGATCTTGGCTCACTGCAATCTCTGCCTCCCAGATTCTTACAGGCATGCACCACCATTCCTGGCTAATTTTGTATTTTTAGTAGAGGCGGGGTTTCACCATGTTGGTCAGGCTGGTCTGGAACTCCTGATTCAGGTGATCTGCCCACCTTGGCCTCCCAAATTCTTGGGATTACAGGCATAGCCACTGCACCCGGCCAAGTAAATTCTTTATGTTCACTCCTAATGAATGAGAGCTAGAATATCTTTAAAGAAGATAATAATAAATCCATATAATATTAATATATTTTTAATGTGTTTCCCTTCCCTCCTTCCCTCCCTCTTTTCTTTTCTTTTCTTTCTTTTTTGAGATAGTTTCTCTGTCACCTAGGCTGGAGTGCAGTGATGTGGTCCTGGCTTACTGCAGCCTCAACCTCACGGACTCAAGCAATTCTCCCACTTCAGCCTCCTGAGTAACTGGCACTAGAGGCATGTGCCACCACCCCCGGCTAATTTGTTTTTTCTTTCTTTTTCAGAGGTGGAGAAGAGGCCTGGCTGATTTTTTAAAAAATATTTTGTAGAGATGGGGTCTCACTGTGTTGCCCATGCTAGTCTCGAACTCCTGGGCCCAAGCTATCTGTGGGCCCCAGCCTTTAGTGTGCTTTTTGTTACTCAATTGTAGGAGAGGAACACTGTGACTTTGGATTTTCTTATTAAACAAAATAGTGAAACTGGCTGGGCACAGTGGCTCATGCTTGTAATCACAGCACTTTGGGAGGCCGAGGTGGGAGTATCAGCTGAGGTCGGAAGTTTGAGACCAGCCTGACCAACATGGAGAGACCCCTTCTCTACTAAAAATACAAAATTAGCTGGATGTGGTGGCGCATGCCTATAATCCCAGCTACTCAGGAGGCTGAGGCAGGATAATCGCTTGAACCCGGGATACGGAGGTTGCAGTGAGCCAAGATCGTGCCATTGCACTCCAGCCTGGGTGACAGAGTGAGACTCCGAATCAAAACAAAAAACAAAAAACAAGGCCGGGTGCGGTGGCTCATGCCTGTAATCCCCAGCACTTTGGGATGCCGAGGCGGGCGGATCACAAGTTCAGGAGATCGAGACCATCCTGGCTAACATGGTGAAACCCAGCTACTCAGGAGGCTGAGGCAGGAGAATGGTGTGAACCCAGGAGGCGGAGCTTGCAGTGAGCCGAGATCGCACCACTGCACTCCAGCCTGGGCGACAGAGCCAGACTCTGTCTCAAAAAAAAAAACAAAAAAAACACAAGCAGCAGAGATCGGAACAACATTCTAAGCTAGTCAGCCAAAGAGAATTGATGCCATTTGTGTATCAGGACTTCATTGTCTATAGAGCATTTAAAAAATAAAATAAAAAATTAGGCTGGGTGCGGTGGCTTCAGCCTATAATCCCAGCACTTTGAGAGGCCGAGGTGGGTGGATCACCTGAGGTCAGGAGTTCGAGACCAGCCTGACCAATGTGGTGAAACCCCGTCTCTACTAAAAAATAAAAAATTAGCCGGGCGTAATGGCACACGGCTGTAGTCCCAGCTACTTGGGAGGCCGAGGCAGGAGAATCGCTTGAATCTAGGTTGCAGTGAGCCGAGATCGTGCCACTGCAATCCAGCCTGGGACACAGAGCGAGACTTCATCTCAAAAAAAAAAAAAAAAAAAAAAAAAAGTAGCAGTTTATTCCTACTACCCCCAGTCACTTGTTAAGGGCTTGTGTTCCTTAATACACAGTATCATATACTTAGCAATACTAAGCTAGCTTGCTTCTGCAGAAATGCAAAAAATTAAAGCAGAGACTACAGAGGAAATATCCCCTTCTGCTGTGATATAACACTGCCAAGCTGTATTTAATTGTGCTCATTTCGTTCACATTTATTATTAATTTCCTTTTTATTAGTCCTGTAACTCTTGAAATAAATCTTCATTATTAAACAGTGAAATGGGCAGCATTTAAAAAATATCTCATTTAATTCAGTGTTCTTGTTTTCTAGTTAATTACTACGAAGCTGGGAATTTCAGGTCATGTGCACAGATTAATGGCTGGATCCATGGCAGGTAAGAGGAGTTAGGTATATTTTATTTCTGACAAATTAATTTTCTATTAAAATATTTAATTTGGTTTAGATTATATGAGTGCCATTGGGGAAAGCACAGGTTGCAGGTGTCCTGTGACTTGTATTTTTTCCTGGGTGCATCCTCAAAAAAAGGTATGTATTAAAATAAAAAGTGTGACATTGATTTAGTAGCACACATTTGTTGTTTTTCTATATTCAGTTATATATATGAAATTATCAGTACGCCAACTGAAAAAGAGTCATTTTACAGTAGAGGATAAGGAGTAGTCTCAACTTATAACTATGTGAAAAGCTTGCATTCTCTTTGACAATTCTACTTTTGGAAATGTTTAAAAATTAAAAAACATTTTTCTGAAGGCTAGTCATGTAATGCAGTGTGAGTGGAGAAAAAAACAAAGAAAACTGTAACTGACTGTGATCAATGAGTTTTAAACATCACTGCACTTCACTTGGACCAGCCATTACTTTTCAAAATTTCTTTTTTCTTTAAAAAAATTGTAACGAATTATAATGACTAAAGTAATAACTGCTCCTATACAGTAAAAATAGTTGCATTCTCTAGAGACAACCATGATTAGCAATTTCTTTCCTTCTCCTTTCCTTTCCCTCTCTTCTCTCTCCTCTTCCCTCTCCTCTCCACTCTCCTTTCCCCTCCCCTCCCCCTCCTTTCCCCTCCCCTCCCCCTCCTTTCCCCTCCTCTCCCCCTCCTTTCCCCTCCCCTCCCCCTCCTTTCCCCTCCCCTCCCCCTCCTTTCCCTTCCCCCTCCCCCTCCTTTCCCCTCCCCTCCCCCTCCTTTCCCCTCCGCTTCCCTCCCTACCCCTCCCCTCCCCTCTTTTCTTCTCCCCTCCCCTCCCCTCCTCTCCTCTCCTCTCCTTTTTTGAGACAGGGTCTGGGTCTGTCTCCCAGACTTGGAGTGCAGTGGCGTGATCACAACTCACTGCAGCCCTCACTTCCCAGGCTCAAGCCATCCTCCTATCTCAGCCTCCCAAAAGTAGCTGGAACTATAGGCACATGCCACCACACCCAGCTAATTTTTGTATTCTCTGTAGAGACGGGCATTTGTCATGTTGCCCAGGCTGGTCTCAAACTCCTCAAATTCTCACCTGGCCTATTTCTGTTTTTTAAATATTCATTTTTCTGAGTTTGGGAGTTAGGACATTAGTTGTTTTTCTTTCAGATATTGTTAATATTTTATTTCCCAGTTTTAGATTTGACCTTCGGTTCTATGATTTTTTAAAAAAAATCATCCAAGATTTTTTTCCCTATAGAGAAGTTTTACATGGCCAAACATGTTAGTTTTTTTCCTCTGGTACTTCTAAATTTTGTGTTGTATGTAGAAATTTTCTCCCCGTTCTAAGGTAAAGACATTTAATCATGTTTTACTTTTTCTTTTTTTTTGAGACGGAGTCTTGTTCTGTTGCCCAGGCTGGAGTGCAGTGGCACGATCTCAGCTCACTGCCACAATCTCAGCTCACTGCAACCTCTGCCTCCCAGGTTCAAGCAATCCTCCTGCCTCAGCCCTCCAGTAGCTGGGATTACAGGCTCACACCACCATGCCCGGCTGATTTTTGTATTTTAGTAGAAATGGGGTATTGCCACATTGGCCAGGCTGGTCTTGAACTCCTGATTTCAGGTATCCACCCGCCTTGGCCTCCCAAAATGTAGGATTACAGGCATGAGCCACCGTGCCCGGCCCTAGTCATGTTTTTCTACTAAAACTATTTGTTTTGGCATGTTGATCTTATGTTTACTTTTGTAGAGGGAGTGAGGGATGGATGGAATAAGTTTTCCATATGACTTGTCAGTTGTGCCAACATTATTCGCTCACGTAACTTTTTTGCCAAAAAAAGTTATTTTAGAGATGGAGTCTTGCTCCGTTGCCCAGGATGGCTTAAACTCCTGGATTCAAGTGATCTTCCTGCCTCAGCCTCCAAAGTGCTGGGACTAGAGGCACACACTACTGCACCCATTTGAACATTCAAATTTTGAGTCAAATTCTCCCAACATTCCTTCCCTTCCCTTCCCTCCTCTTCCCTCCCCTCCTCTCCCCTCCCCTCATTCTCTCCTCTCCTCTTCTCCTCTTTCTCTCCTTTTTCTCACTTTCCTTTTTTTTTTGTTTTTGTTTGTTTGTTTGTTTTGAGATAGGCTCTTGTTCTGTTACCCAGGCTGAGTAGTGGGATGAGTTTACACTCAGCCTGGCTGACAGAACTCTTGACATGTAATATTTGGACACTCGACATGGAGTCCACAGGACAATATTATGAGGAAAGCTCTATGATTTATCTTCATTTTACAGAAGAGCAATGTGAGAAAGTTTCCAAATTTTTCAATGTGTTATTTTGTATATCACTTTTTTTTTTTGAGATGGAGTCCCTCTCTGTCGCCCAGGTTGGAGTGCAGTGGCACAGTCTCGGCTCGCTGCAACCCCCACCTCCTGGGTTCAAGCGATTCTCCAGTCTCAGCTTCCCGAGTAGCTGGGATTACAGGTGTGTGCCACATGCCTGGCTAATTTTTGTGTTTTTAGTAGAGACGGGGTTTCACCATGTTGTCCAGGCTGGTCTCAAACTCCTGATCTCAGGTGATTCGCCCACCTCGGCCCTCCAAAGTGCTGGGATTACAGGTGTGAGTCACCGCACGCATCCTGTATATCACTTTGTAATTATCTTTTTTCTTCTTTTTTTGAGACGGAGTCTCCCTCTGTCGCCCAGGCTGGAGTGCAGTGATGGAATCTCAGCTCATTGCAACCTCCGCTTCCTGGGTTCATGAGATTCTTCTGCCTCAGCCTCCTTAGTAGCTGGGATTACGGGCACGTGCCACATACCTGGCTAATTTTTGGATTTTTAGTAGAGATGGGGGTTTCAATATGTTGGCCAGGCTGGTCTCAAACTCCGGACCTCAGGTGATCTACCTGCCTTGGCCTCCCAAAGTGCTAGGATTACAGGTGTGAGCCATGGTGCCTGTCCTATAATCAGGTTCTAATCCTCCTGTTAAAAATTTAATTCAGGGCCGGGCACAGTAGCTCTTGCCTGTAATCCCAGCACTTTGGGAGGCCAAGGCAGGTGGATCACCTGAGATCAGGAGTTTGAGACCAGCCTAGCCAACATGGTGAAACCCTGTCTGTAGCAAAAATACAAAAATTAGCCAGGCATGGTGGTTGGCGCCTGTAATCCCAGATACGTGGGAGGCTGAGGCAGGAGAATCGCTTGAACCTGGGAGGTGGAGGTTGCAGTGAGCCCAGATCGCGTTACTACACTCCAGCGTTGGCAACAGAGCTAGACTTTGTATAAATATGTTTAAGTAATTACAATTTATATTTTTCTCCTGTGATTGAAACACTTGAAATGGATCTTATGATTAATTTATGTCTGGTATCTTTGCTCCTCTACTTTTGATAAGGCTTCTAAATGTAACTTTGGAAATTTTATATTTGCCAAAGTAAAAAGTGGTGTTTTTAATGATCATTTTAATGTAGCTTATTTTAAAGCTTTTTAAAAACTTTTCCCTGTCCCTCGTCCTACAACTATAATCCAATACATACTAAATCTCAGTTGGCCAGCAAAAGGAAACCTAAAGATTGAGATCAAGGTTTGTATTTTCTTTTTTTTATTTCGAGTTTTTATCAAAGCTTGTATATAAGATTACTTTATTCCTGCCTCTTCTCAATTGTTTCTTCCTTGTATTTGCCCTTTTCCTTTCCTACTTGGCGAGATTTGGCTTTCTGTTCAGGAATCTTTTTGCCGTCTTTGTTCAGTTTTATCCTAGTGAGAACCACTTGCTGTGGTGAATGTCTACATGGATAGTTGTACCATTAGCCTTTTCCCACTGCACTCATTCAGTGTAGATGACATTTCTTCCTGTAAGCCTGGACTACTTTGCCAATTTGCTGACCTTTATAGTGTCCTCATACAACCTGACCTTCATCAAAACCTTTCGGATGGGCATGGATCACACATTGTATTTCTGTCTCAGCTCTTTGGAAAGAGGGGAAGACATAATCTTCCTGCTAATGTTGGATATTGCATTGAAACGCCTTTTGCGTTTCTTGCCTCGGTTGGAAGTCACAAAGGGATTGAACTTCATTTTGGCTGCTCCTGCTTCGGTGATGGCCGCAAAAGGGAAGAGAAGGGTTTGTATTTTTAAGGAAGGTCTCCTTCTTTCCCCACGTATGTTTTAGTTGTCTGAAATCCATCTGGCTCTGCCAGTTTCCATGGAACTAAACGTGACAAGATAAAGAGTAGAGAAAAAAAGAAGGAAAGTGTTAGAACCTAGAAGTGATGAGCTGAGTTCCGCTTGTTGTGCTCTTTGGTCTGCTCCTACTTGCTGTTCCGGTCCAAAGCTTGGTGATTGAGTGGACAGAACACTTGCTGGGATCCTGCCTGGCCTCCGTTACTCACCTTCCCTTTGACCATGGGCAGATCACCCAAAACCTCTGTAACTTGCCTGTATGTTTGTTAAAGAGGAGCTTGTGGTTTCTCTCTCTCTCTCTCCCCCAACCCTCCTTTTTCCCATTCTTTCTCCTCTATCTCAGTTGTTCTGAGGGTCAGCATAAAGAATTGCTGTAAAAATAGTCTGAAAGATCTGAAGTCCTCCATGAACACAAGGGAATGTTATTAATCCTTCCATGCCAATGACTTTTTGGATGCTTTTAAGTCAGCAACCTGAATTCTTTATTCTCCTTTTTGTTTCATTTGTAATGTAGGGAATATTTTAGTTGTAAATAATGGTGATATTCAAAATATTTAACAACCACTATGGCAAAGGCAGTAGCCAATCACAGCAGAGGCTGGACATCTGCAACCAGAATGACCATACGGTATACTCCAATGATTATTAGAACCACGTGCTCACTGTACTTTGAGGATCTCAAAGAGGCTTGTAGGCACCTTTCCCAAATAACTTTTTGTTTTCTTTTTTTCAGAGACAGGGTTTTGCTCTGTTGCCCAGGCTGGAGTGCAGTGCTGAGATGATAGTTACTGCAGCCTCTAACTCTTGGGCTCAAGCAGTCCTCCCCGCTCAGCCTCCTGGGTAACCAGGACTGCAGGCACATGCCATCACGCCTGGCTAATTTTAATTTTTTTTTGTAGAGACAGAAAAATGAGAAGTTATTTTGCTCAGACTGGTCTTGAATTCCTGGCCTGAAGCAATCCTCCCATCTCAACCTCCCAAGTAGCTAGGACTACAGACACGTGCCACTGCGCCTGGCCTTCCAAATACTTTTATATTTAAAAGGGAATTCTAGGGCCGGGCACGGTGACAGAATGAGACTCTGTCTCAAAAAAAAAAAAAAAGAAAAAGTTAAAAATAAAAAAATATCTCCCTTGAGCTCTGATCCAGAATTCAAAAGCAACAAGCTTCCTACGTGTTTGGAAAAATTGCTCTTCTGAGCTGGTAGTCCAACTCTTGAATTTTTGAAAATTGGAATGTAGGTAAGTTCTGATTAATAGAATTTGAGTCCTGATTTGTGGGAGTGGGGGAGCGGCATGATGCTTAGGCCTCTACTCTTAAGTCCTTTGGCTTTTTTACTTACGTTGTACAGGTATCAGAGATCTGTGATTTCTGTGTGAGAATCCTGCACAAAAGGCATATACTCACTCTATAAACCCAGTTCTTTGGGAGGCTAAGGAGGGAGGATTGCTTGAGCCCAGGAATTCAAGACTAGCCTGGGCAACACAATGAGACCCCATTTCCTCAAAAATAAAAATAAAGGCAGAGTACGGTGGGTAATCCTAGCATTTTGGGAGGTCAAGCTGGGGTGGATCATGAGGTCAGGAGTTCAAGACCAGCCTGGCCAACATGGTGAAACCCCATCTCTACTAAAAATACAAAAATTAGGCAGGTGTCTTGACGCACACCTGTAATCCCAACTACTTGGGAGGCTGAGGCAGGAGAATTGCTTGAACCCGGGAGGCGGAGGTTTCAATGAGCTGAGATCACATCACAGCGTTCCAGCTTGGGTAACAGAACAAGACTCCATCTTGGAAAAAAAAAAATTAAAAAAAAAAAAAAGATGTTAGAAGTAAGAAGAAAAAGACATACAGTTATTCTTTTGTGTTATAATGGTTTCTATTGTGGCTCATGAGTGTCATAACTGAATTTTTTCTCACTAGATCCTACTCTAAGAACATAGTTTTAGTTGTCACACTCATCAGAGATTGCACACAACTATAGACAGGTGTATTTTGGTTGTTCATAACTGATATTTAGTCAACCTTGAAGTAGTAACGTGTTCCCAAAGGACAAACTATTATAGAACTGGACTCCTACTCCAGACCAATTTGTTTAGCTTTGTGGCTTAGTTTTTGTATCTATGACGCTTGGAGTCCTTCTTTTGTCTAAAGTATATATTTAGAATCTATGTATTTTTGTCAAACTTTAATCTCTTTGAATATGTACATGGACTCTGGATGCTGCTCCCACTATGTCAGCCTCAGATGGGAATGGAGGGTGGTGAGAAGCTGTCTTTGAGAACAAATCCACTTCCGTATTCATTGAGAAGTTGCGGGAGAGGATGAATTGATGAGGGTCTGTAAATGTCCATATACTTCAACCCTGTATTATGCAATTTCTAATCTTAATTTCTTCCTTCCCTTTACTCTCTCCTTGTAATGTTAGTTCCTTTTTTAAGAAATCCTTTGTAGCTAGGTCAGGTGATGCACACCTGTGATCCCAGCAACTTAGGAGGCTGAGGTAGGAGGAACATTTGAGCCCAGGAGTTTGAGGCTGCAGTGTGCAGTGATCACACCACTGCATTCCAGCCTGGGTGACAGAGCGAGACCCCATCTCAACAAAAAGAGGAAAAAAAGTCTTTTGTGTTTATTTCTGGAACACAATAAATAATTCATAATTACCATACTTTCTAAATATGATTTCTAATGTAATTGCTGGTTAAAATATGTTCTCAGGTTTCCCATAACTCCTGGGATTCTAGACTGTAGAGACAGTAAGATGATGAGAATTTAGAGAAAAAAGTCTGACTTTGTTTAGATTTATCTTTATGTCCTTAGTTTCTTGACTTAAGAGAGGGAAAGAGAAGAGTTTGCACATTCATAAAAATTGAAAGCAAGTCTCAGCTTGATTGAGTCTCATTGCTTCCTGGTAGGTAAACATATTCTACTATTTGTATTGGATTGTAGTTGTAAACTGAGGGAAGAAGAAAGCTGTTACCACCACTATTCAAGGTAAGCAGTTTCTGATTTGCCTTATTTGTACATCGAGGGCTTTTTTGGCCTTCTTAAAAGAAGTGTTAGGTAGAATAGTAAGGAGTGTGTGAATGGAGAAAAGAGGCCCAATGGGAGACTGTAGCTTCATGAATTGAAAACCTCAGTCACCCTCTGAATGATTGTTATGGATGTCAGTCTGATTACTAGCAGCAGGCAAGCTGAATTCCCACGTTGTTACATATTCCTCTTCAGTAATTCTCTGATTGTGCTTCCCTTTTAATTCAAATTTGTGAGCTTTGATGTGCAGGAGACAGATGGGGGGCAAGGGGATGCAAGAAGAGGAGATAAATGAATTGATTCTCAAAGGAAAGGGTAACAAAGTACATAGTTTCAATAGAATACATGAGAATAATAGCTAACACATATATAACCTTTACTGTGTACCAGGAATTATTTTAAGCATTTACATATGTTAGCTCACCTAATCTTTACAAAACCCTGATTTGGGTACCCACTTATTATGATACTCATTTGACAGATAACAGGATTGAAACCCAGGTTAAGTAACTTGATCAGGGTCATATATCTAGTTAGTAGTAGAGTCTAATTTGAAACAAGGAGGTGCACTCTACAGTTTATACTCTTTTCTCTTTTTTTTTTTTTTTTTTTTGAGACATAGTCTAACTCTGTTGCCCAGACTGGAGTGCAGTGGCATGATCTCGGCTCACTGCAATCTCTGCCTCCCGGGTTCAAGGATTCCCTGCCTCAGCCTTCTGAGTAGCTGGGATTACAGGTACCCACCATCATGCCTGGCTAATTTTTGTGTTTTTAGTAGAGACAGGGTTTCACTGTGTTGCCCAGACTGGTCTCCAACTCCTGGTCTCAAGTGATCCACCCACCTTGGCCTCCCAAAGTGCTGGGATTACAGGCGTGAGCCACTGTTTCCGGCCCTAGAGTATATACTCTTTTAACTTTTGACCATTTTGGTCAATTTTGATTATAAGTCAAAAGTTAATAGTTTATTATTATTATTTTTTGAGACAGAGTCTGGCTGTGTCACCCAGGCTGGAGTGCAGTGGTGTCATCTTGGCTCACCGCAACCTCTGCCTTCCAGGTTCAAGGATTCTCCTGCCTCAGCCTCCCGAGTAGAGTAGCTGAGATTACAGGTGCCCACCATTACACCTGGTTAATTTTTGTATTTTTAGTAGAGATGGGGTTTCACCATATTGGCCAGGCTGGTCTGGAACTTCTGACCTCAAGTGATCCGCCTACCTCGGTCTCCCAAAGTGCTGGGATTACAGGTGTGAGCCACCACATCCGGCCTATTTTTTAAATAAATACGAAGTTTTGCTATGTTGCCTAGGCTGTTCTCGAACTTTTGGGCTCAAGCGATCTGTTCACCTCAGCCTCCCAAAGTGCTGGGATTAAAAGGAGTGAGCCATGGTACCCACACACCTCCTTTACCTTTACAAATTTCTGGGTACTCTTGTTTCCTACCAATTCATTATTTAACCACTACATTAACTCCCACAGTGATTTTGTTTTCTTTTCTTTTTACTTTTTTTTTTTTTTTAGATGCAGTTTTACTCTTGTCGCCCGGGCTGGAGTGCAGTGGCACTATCTCGGCTCACTGCAACCTCCGCCTCCTGAGGGTTCAAGTGATTCTCTTGCCTCAGCCTCCCAAGTAGCTGGGACTACAGGCGCGTGCCACCAGGCCCAGCTAATTTTTTTATTTTTAGTAGAGATGGGGTTTCACCATGTTGGCCAGGCTGGTCTCGAACTCCTGACCTCAGGTGATCTGTCCACCTCAGCCTCCCAAAGTGTTGGGACTACAGGCGTGAGCATGCCTAGCTCCCACAGTGATTTTCTATTAAACCTCTTCCTTCCTTCCTTCCTTCCTTTCTCTCTCTCTCTGTCTCTCTCTCTCCTCCCCTCCCGTCTCTCCTCCCCTCCCTCCTCCCCTTCCCTCCCCTCCCCTCCTTTTCTTTTCTTTCCTGGAATCTCACTCTGTTGCCAGGCCGGACTGCAGTGGCGTGATCTTAGCTCACTGCAACCTCCGCCTCCTGGGTTCAAGTGATTCTCCTGCATCAGCCTCTCGACTAGCTGGGACTACAGGAATGTGCCGCCACACCCAGCTAATTTTTGTATTTTTAGTAGAGATGGGGTTTCACCATGTTGGCCAGGACGGCTCGATCTCTTGACCTCATAATCCACCTGCCTCGGCCTCCCAAAGTGCTGGGATTACAGGCGTGAGCCACCACGCCTGGCCTATTAAACCACCTTCAGCCAGTAACCAGAAAACTCGGAACATGGGAAAAGGAATTAAGAAATAGATGGAGTTGGGCTGGGTGTAGATTACTTATAATACCTAATATAATGTAAATGCTATGTAAATACCTGTTATAGTATATGGTTTAGGAAATAGTGACCAAAAAATCTGTACATGGTCATTACAGATGCAACCATTGTAGACCTCACTACATTTTCCGTCCATGGTTGCTTCAATCCATGGATGTGGAAACAATGGATCAGGAGAGCCTACTGTGTTTCCTTTCTGATATCTTAACTGGGAATACATAAATAGTAGAATAATTTTTTTTAAAAAAATCTCATGATTCCCTTACACTGTACACTGTACCATTTTGGTGCTAACAGTATAACTTCACAGTGAGAAGAACTTGAAAACATTTTTTACAAACTGACCCTTCACTTACTAGGTTGTTTTCCATCTAATGATATGGTATAATTCTGTCAGTAATATCACCTTTGATTTTATTGGGTTTTCACCATTGCCATAATATTGAGAATAATACTAATGATAGGGGAATATATGTATATATCAAAAATTCATTGTACCTCTAAATTTCTACTTTCTTTTCAGGTATGACAGCAGTTATCTGTACTTACCCTCTTGACATGGTTAGGGTCCGCCTAGCATTCCAGGTGAAAGGGGAACACAGCTATACAGGAATTATTCATGCTTTCAAAACAATTTATGCAAAGGTATTTCATATTTACCTTCCTCATCTATAACATGCCCTTTTATACTTAGGAAAATATTTTGAATGTCATATAAGTAATTATTCTTTTACTTATAATTATTGATGTTAATAACAATAATTACGAAAACACATCTTTGTGTTTCAGGGTGGATCCCTGAATAATTTTTCTGTTATAAAGTGTGATTTTTTCTTTGATGTTTATGATAATGAGCACAATGTAATCTCACTTGCAATTTTCCTTCACTCAAAAGGAAGGTGGTTTCTTTGGATTTTACAGAGGTCTGATGCCTACTATTTTAGGAATGGCTCCATATGCAGGTATGTTTCAAATTTGCCAGAATCCTAATATGCATGTTTAAAATTTGTTACCTTTTTTTTTTTTTTCTGAAATGGTAATATAAAAAGATGTTATCTGTTAAGTACTTTTAATAAGAAATGATTTATGGATGGTCACATAATAATATCTTGGATATAAAGATGACTATTCGTGTATAATTGGAGAAGTACTTTACATCTTTTTCTTAATATCTGAGCCAGCTGTAGTCTTGTTAACACACACTTACGTTAGATGATGTTAAACATTTAGGTTTTATGAGCATGTTAATTAAAAATAGGAGTTGAAAAGTGGTTTTTGTCTCATTATAAATAATGAAGACATGGCAAATTTTGAAAATATAGAAAAGTAGAAAGAAGAAAAATAAGGATACCTATAGTTCTCTAATCTCCATTTATTACCTTGTTTACAGTCCTGTTTTTTTTTGTTTTTTGAGACGGAGTTTCGCTCTTGTTGCCCAAGCTGGAGTGCAATGGCGTGATCTCGGCTCACTGCAACCTCCACCTGCTGGGTTCAGGCGATTCTCCTGCCCATGGTCAGGCTGGTCTCAAACTCCCGACCTCAGGTGATCTACCCGCCTTGGCCTCCCAAAGTGCTGGGATTGCAGGCATTAGCCACCGTGCCCAGCAGTCCTGTTTTTTTTTTAAACTAAACTTTTTATTTTGAGGTAATTGTGGATTTACATACAGTTATGTTACAAGACAAAATTGCAGCCAGTTTAGTTTAAACATCTCAGTTGGCTTTATTTTGCAATTCTAGAATTGGGCAATACTTCATTTCATAAAAATAGAGTAAGTGTTGGAATGACTAGACCCGAAGGAGTTGATTTTATATAGAGGAAGGGTTGAAGAAAGCAGAAACAATGAACAATCAGGTTGCTCAGTTCAAAGTTACTATCCTTGTAAGTTGGGGACAGGAAGAATAAAATAGAAAAATCACTAGTTAACTTCAGGTTATATTAGGCTACCTTTTTTGTGTAAGTATTAAAGCAAAAGGAGCCGGGTGTGGTGGCTCAAGCCTGTAATCCCAGCACTTTTGGAGGCCAAGGCGGGTGGATCACCTGAGTTTGAGACTGGCCTGGCCAACATGATGAAACCCCATCTCTATTAAAAATACAAAAATTAGCTGGCTTGGTGGCGTGTGCCTGTAATCCCAGCTACTCAGGAGGTTGAGGCAGGAGAATCATTTGAACCCGGGAGGCGGAGGTTGTGGTGAGCCGAGATCACGCCACTGCACTCCAGCCTGGGCGAAAGAGTGAGACTCCATTTCTAAATCAATCAGTCAATCAATCAATCAATCAAGCAAGCAAGCAAGCAAACAGAGAGAAGTTTACTATCAAGCTTATTCAAGATTGAAACTGGCCTGTTAGAGAAAGTGGCTGTCACTTCTTTCTCCTAATTTCTCAGGAGGTCAGGTAACAACTAGTTTTAGTTTGGTAGTGTGGAACTTAAGCATGGTGACTCTGTTTTGATTTTTAGTCTGGTCTGTTAGGGCCTAGTGTAGGAGCTTCATGCAAAAGAATGGACACCCTCCTGGGTGACAGAGTGAGACCTTGTCTCTAAAAATCAAACAAACAAAAAAGCAACAACAAGGGCCGGTGCGGTGGCTCATGCCTGTAATCCCAGCACTTTGTGAGGCCAAGGCAGGTGGATCACCTGAGGTTAGGAGTTTGAGACCAGCCTGACCAACATGGAGAAACACCGTCTCTACTAAAAATACAAAATTAGCTGGGCGTGGTCGCACATGCCTGTAATCCCAGCTACTTGGGAGGCTGAGGCAGAGAATCACTTGAACCCAGGAGGCGGAGGTTGCAGTGAGCCAAGATTGCACCATCGCACTCCAGTCTGGGCCACAAGAGCAAAACTCTGTCTCAAAAAAGAAAAAAAAAAAGCAACAACAAAAAAACAGTGCACTAATAGCAAACTAAAATGTGGTGTGGCCAGGCATGGTGGCTCACACCTATAATCCCAGCACTTTGGGAGGCTGAGGCAGGAGGATTACTTGAGCCTAGGAATTTGAGACCAGCCTTGGCAGCATGGGGAGAATTTGTCTCTACAAATAATTTTCTAAAATTAGCCAGGCTTGGTGGTCCCAGCTACTTGAGAAGCTGAGTTAAGAGGATTGCCTGAGCCTAGGAGGTTGAGGCTTCAGCGAGCTGTGATCATGCCACTCTACTCCAGCCTGAATGACAGAGTAAGACCCTGTCCCAGTTTCAAAAAAAAAAAGTATATTTTTTAGCTGTTCTAGTGGTTAAGAAATTCAAATTTTAAGGTAGTCGAATGCATCAATCTATTCTTTTATGGATAGTCTTTATTGTGTCAAAAAAATTTTCTTCTGAGAATGATTTTTAACGTTTAGCATTTTATATATATGCCACTAATCTGTCTGGAAGTATTTGTTTTCTTTGTTAAGGAAGTTTTTTTTTTTCCCCTTCACTTTTGACTTGGCACCATTTTATAAATAGTCTCTTCCCTGGCCGGGTACAGTGGCTCACACCTGTAATCCCAGCAGTTTGGGAGGCCGAGGGGGAGTGGATCATGAGGTCAGGAGTTTGAGACCAACCTGACCAACATGATGAAACGCCATCTCTACTAAAAATACAAAAATTAGCCAGGCGTGGTGGCGCACGCCTGTAATCCCAGCTACTCAGGAGGCTGAGGCAAGAGAATCGCTTGAACCCAGGAGGCGGAGGCTGCAGTGAGCTAAGATCGCACCATTGCACTCCAGCCTGGGTGACAAGAGTAAAACTCTGTTTCAAAAAAAAAAAAAAAGTCTCTTCTTTTCCCAGTCATCTTAAAAAAATAATATTAGTGCAGAGTTTGTTTCTTTGACATAGAGTCTCGCTGTGTTGCCCAGGCTGGAGTGCAGTGGTGCAATCATAGCTGAGTGCAGTGGTGCAATTGTGGCTCACTGCAGCCTTGACCTCCCTCAGCTCAGGTTATCCTCCCATGTCAGCTGCCTGAGTAACTGGGACTGCAGACACGTAACACTGCATCTACCTCCTTTAAAACATTTTTTGTAGTGATGAGTTCTCACTATATTACCCAGGCTGGTCTCAAACTCCTGAGCTTGAGCAATCCTCCCACCTTAGCCTCCATAAGTGTTAGGATTACAAGTGTGAGCTGCCACATGGGCTACGGCAGTTTCATAATGAGTCTTTATATTTGGTAAGAGAAATCCCTTATGAATCTTTCTTCCTTTTTTTTTTTTTTTTTTGAGACAGAGTCTCGCTCTGTTGCCAGGCTAGAGTGCAGTGTTGCCATCTCAGATCACTGCATCCTCCGCCTCCCGGGTTCAAGCAATTCTCTTGCCTCAGCCTCCTGAGTAGCTGAGACTACAGGCGCGCACCACCACACCCAGCTAATATTTGTATTTTTTGTAGAGACAGGGTTTCACCATGTTGGCCAGGATGGTCTCAAACTCCTGACCTTGTGATCTGCCTGCCTCAGCCTCCCAAAGTGCTGGGATTACAGGCATAAGCCACCGCGCCTGGCCAATTCAATAAACATCACAATATCTTGAGTAATGCTTAGTTGGGAGGAACGCTTGAATTTCATATTTATTTACTTTTTTCCCTCCCTGAATTTCATTCTTAATTTTATTAATAAACAACCTTAATGGTTCTAGTATCATGTAATGTTTAACAAGCACTACCTGCATACTATTTTTATCAGATTCTACGTGTTTTGTGAATTAACATAAACGCTTCTCTCATGGTCACAATTCTTCCTTGAAGACAAACTTAGACACTTAGTTAAAATAAAAATGCTTTTTCACTTCTTAATTTTTGCCTGTATCTTACATTATCACCATCACTGTTTTTTTGTTTTGTTTTGTTTTGTGTTTGAGACAGAGTTTCGCTCTTGTTGCCCAGGCTGGAGTGCAATGGCGTGATCTCAGCTCACCGCAAACTCCGCCTCCTGGGTTCAAATGATTCTCCTGCCTCAGCCTCCCGAGTAGCTGGGATTACAGGCATGCGCCACCACACCCGACTAATTTTGTATTTTTAGTAGAGATGGGATTTCTCTATGTTTGTCAGGCTGATCTCGAACGCCTGACCTCAGGTAATCCGCCCACCTCAGCCTCCCAAATTGTTGGGATTACAGGTGTGAGCCACCACGCCCGGCCATCATTGTTATTTTAAATGTTAAGTTGTCACATTTCCTTGTAATTAATAATCATGAATTTAATTTTTCTCATGTGAAACCTTGGAAAACTTTGTTTTTTTTCCACATATAAAGTGGCATTATATTCACTATAGCCTCCTTCAGTGCAGTAAACTTCAGTGGTGCATGAAAACCAAAGCTATAATTTTTTATTGGTGGTAATTTTGTCATCTTTAGGTTATTTATGTACACAAATCTTTCTATTTTAAATTAAGCCAAACACCAGAAATTAGGAAATGTGTTTATTATTTAAGAATGGTGTCTTTTTCACAGCTCATGTTATGTTAAGCATCATGGTGAATTTATTTTTTGTTTTTCAGGTGTTTCATTTTTTACTTTTGGTACCTTGAAGAGTGTTGGGCTTTCCCATGCTCCTACCCTTCTTGGCAGACCTTCATCAGACAATCCTAATGTCTTAGTTTTGAAAACTCATGTAAACTTACTTTGTGGTGGTGTTGCTGGAGCAATAGCGCAGACAATATCGTAAGTTTCTTCACTAACTTAATTTAATCAAATTATAGTTACCCAGTCCTGATTTTCAGCATTGTTTAATCATTTATTTTTTCTAATAGATTATTCAAAAAGAGGATCCTTGCAAAATATAGGTCTCAATTTAATACATTTTTTCAGATGTGTGTGCACTTTAAGCATATTATAAATAATTACATGTTTGGATGCAGTAGTGCTGCCTATTGTCCCAGCTACTTGGGAGACTGTGGCAGGAGGATTGCTTGAGCCCAGGAGTTTGAGGCCAGTCTGGGAGACATAGTGAGACCTTGCCCCTAAGAAAAAAAGAAAGAGGGTGGGCGCGGTGACTCACGTCTGTAATCCCAGCAGTTTGGGAGGCTTAGGCGGGTGGATCACAAGGTCAAGAGATTGAGACCATCTGGCCAACATGGTGAAAACCCGTCTTTACTAAAAACACAAAAATTAGCCGGGTGTGGTGGCAGCCACCTGTAATCCCAGCTACTCGGGAGGTTGAGGCAGAGAATTGCTTGAACCTGGGAGGTGGAGGTTGCAGTGAGCCAAGATTGCGTCACTGCACTCCAGCCTGGGCGACAGAGTGAGACTCCATCTCAAAAAAAAAAGAGAGATTGCATTTGTATATTGTGTATTTAATTTCAGGCAGTTATCTGTATTATTAGTTTTAGCCCTTATGGAAAATTTTGTATTGGTCTACTGTATTCAAGGGGACTTGCTGCATAGCATTAGAGCAGTTCTCTACTGGGGTTGATTTTACCACCAGTGGACATTTGTTAATGTCTGGAGACATTTTTGGTTGTCACAGCTGGGAGAGTGCTACTGGCATCTAGTGGGAAGAGGTCAGGGATGTGCTTAAACATCTCTAGTGCACAGGACAGTTCCCCACAACAAAGGATGATCCAACCGAAAATGTCAGTAGTGCCAGTGTTGGAAACTGTATATTAGTGTTCAACAATGAAAAGCAACCAGTTTGTTTCTTCAGGAACTGGCATTTAATTTGACCTTTAGGAATGAACAGAACTTGATATTACGGTGATGGGAGAGAAGAATCCTCTAATCAGAGGGATCACATAAGCAAAGACTTCTGTATTGTTAATTGATTTTATTCATATGCCTATATCCCGACTCCTAGGTTAGACAGAACAATAAGAGCAGTAACACGTTATTTCTTTGAATTTATAGGGCTTTGTATTCAATAGTTGTTGAGTAGAAAACCAAAAATTTTTAATTCTTTATGCCTTTTTCTTCTTTTAGCTACCCATTTGATGTGACTCGTCGGCGAATGCAATTAGGAACTGTTCTGCCGGAATTTGAAAAGTGCCTGTAAGTTCATCATATGTCATTGTTCATTTTCTTTAGGAAATGTAACATTAAACTCAGTAAGGAGATAGGACTCTAGTTTGACCAATAGTCTGTATCTTCCGTTTTATCTCCCGAAGTTTATTTTGGTAACTTTATAAGATTACAATCAGGCAATCAGGTTCTTTTTTTTTTTTTTTTTTTTTTTTTTGAGATGCAGTCTTACTCTGTCACCCGGGCTGGAGTGCAGTGGCATGGTCTTGGCTAACTGTAACCTCCGCCTCCTGGGTTCAAGTGATTCTTTTGCCTCGGTCTTCCAAGCAGCTGGGATTACAGACACCCACCACCATGACTGGCTAATTTTTTGTATTTTTAGTAGAAATAAGGTTTCACCATGTTGGCCAGGCTAGTCTTGAACTCCTGACCTCAAGTGATCTGCCTGCCTGCCTGGTCTATAATCAGGTTCTAATCCTCCTGTTAAAAATTTAATTTAGGGCCAGGCACGATAGCTCGTGCCTGTAATCCTAGCACTTTGGGAATCCGAGGAGGGCGTATCACCTGAGGTCAGGAGTTTGAGACCAGCCTGGCCAACATGATGAAACCCCATCTGTACTAAAAATACAAAAATTAGCCAGATGTGGTGTCGGGCGCCTGTAATCCCATCTACTAGGGAGGTGGAGGTTGCAGTGAGCCAATTTGGCGACAGAGTGAGACTCCATCTCAATAAAAAAAACAAAAACAAACTAAAAAAAACAAAGAAAATATTAAATTTAGGCTAGTTGTGGTAGCTCATGCCTGTAATCCGAGCAATTTGGGGGGCCAAGGTGGGAGGATCACTTGAGCTCAGGAGTCCAAGACCAGCCCAGGCAACACAGTGAGACCTTGTCTCTATAAAAAAAAATATTATTTTAGAGGTTGTGTTTTTTTTTTTTTTTTGTTTTGTTTTTTTGAGACAAAGTCTCACTCTTGTCCCCCAGGCTGGAGTGCAATGGCATGAACTCAGCTCACTGCAACCTCCCCCTTCCGGGTTCAAGCGATTCTCCTGCCTCAGCCTCCCGAGTACCTGGGATTACAGGTACCTGCCACCACGCCTGGCTAATTTTTGTATTTTTAGGAGAGACGGGGTTTCACCACGTTGGCAAGGCTGGTCTGGTACTCCTGGCTAACATGGTGAAATCCCGTCTCTAGTAAAAATACAAAAAATTAGCCGGGTGTGGTGGCAGGCACCTGTAGTCCCAGCTACTCGGGAGGCTGAGGCAGGAGAATCGTGTGAACCCAGGAGGCGGAGCTTGCAGTGAGCCGAGATCGCACCACTGCACTCCAGCCTGGGCGATAGAGTGAGACTCCATCTCAAAAAAAAAAAAAAAAATATTGCTTAGGAGGCTGAGGCACGATAATTGCTTGAACCCAGGAGGCAAAGAGCTGAGATGGCGCCACTGTACTCCAGCCTAGGTGACAGAGTGAGACTCTGAAAAAAACAAAAAAGGCCTGTCGCAGTGGCTCACGCCTATAATCCCAGCACTTTGGGAGGCAGAGGTGGGTGGATCATGAGGTCAGGAGTTCAAGACCAACCTGGCCAAGATGGTGAAACCTGTCTCTACTAAAAATACAAAAAAAATTAGCTGGGCTGGTGGCAGGTGCCTGTCATACCAGCTACTCAGGAGGCTGAGGCAGGGAATTGCTTGAACCTGGGAGGCGGAGGTTGCAGTTAGCCAAGATCATGCCACTGCACTCCAGCCTGGGCGACAGAGCGAGACTCTGTCTAAAAAAGAAAAAGGGCTGGGACGCGGTGGCTCACACCTGTAATCCCAGCACTTTGGGAGGCTGACGCGGGAGGATCACAAGGTCAGGAGATCAAGACCATCCTGGTCAACATGGTGAAACCCCATCTCTACTAAAAATACAAAAAAATTAGCTGGGTGTGGCGGTGTGCGCCTGTAGTCCCAGATACTCTGGAAGCTGAGGCACAAGAATCACTTGAGCCCAGGAGACGGAGGTTGCAGTGAGCCGAGATCGTGCTACTGCACTCCAGCCTGGCAGCGAGGCTGCGTGTCAATAAAAAAGAAAAGAAAAAGAAGAAAAAATATATATATAATTGTTAAAAATATTTTTTGTTTAACCTAAACTTTTATCACCTCAACATTTCATTATTTTGTTTCTTTTTTTTAAATACAAACTATTTGAAATCCAGGGTGTATTTTACACTCACAGCACGTCTTGATTTGGACTGCCACATTTCAAGTGCTTAATAGCCATATGTGGCTAGTGGCTGCTGTGATTGTATAGCACAGCTCCAGAGTTTTCTTTATAGTAATTTAGAACCATTCCATTTGATTGGTGATATGTTGTCTCTCAGGGGAAGAGCAGAACATTTGTTCATGAATTTGGATTGCCGTGTTCACCCAAAAGATTTTTTGGGCTGGGAGCATTACCCTGTGCTTGTTGTATCCAGCTACTTGAGAGGCTGAGGTGGGAGGTTCACTTGAGGCCAGGAGTTTGAGATCAGCTTGGAAAACATTGTAAGACCTTGGCTCTAAAAAAATTTTTTTTAACTAAAAACAAACAAACAAAAAATTTAGTGAGGCATGGTGGTGTGTGCCTGTAGTCTCAGCTACTGAAGAGGCTGAGGTGGGAGGATTGCTTGTGCCCAGGAGTTGGAGGCTGTTGTGAGCTATGATTGCCACTGCACTCCAGCCTAGGCAACAGAGTGAGAACCTGTCTCTTAAAAAAAAAAAAAAAAAAAGATTTTTGAAAAGATTTCGGTCCAGATTGCCTATTGAAAGGGAAAGCCCAAGCCCAAATTATTGGTTTGAAAGGAAAGGAACAACTCTGAAACAGGAAAGTGTTCATTGCTGAAATCTGAAAGATAGTCCTTCAAGCTTTAGTTCTATAACCACCTGCTGTTGATACTATACAACTTGAGCTATAATAAAGGCTTAAAGGGCAACTGGATATACATCCTTTAAAAGGATTGCATTAGTATTTCAAATATAAGTATGAAATAGTTGTTGTCCAGTAAATGTCATAGACATAGTACAAACAAAATATGTTGTACTAATGAGTCCTGAAATTTGATGCATAATGCTTGTACTTGTTTAGAATGACTTGCCTTTTTATTATGAAAAAATTTTCACTTGTTAAAACATTTGTCTTTCTAAAGCTATTCAAGATGGCATTTAACCTTCTTTAAAAATTAATATTATGGGCCGAGCGAGGTGGCTTATGTCTGTAATCCCAGCACTTTGGGAGGCCAAGGTGGGTGGATCACCTGAGGTCAGGAGTTTGAGACTGGCCTGGGCAACATGGAGAAACCCCGTCTCTACTAAAAATTACAAAAATTAGCTGGGCATGGTGGCGCGTGCCTGTAATCCCAGCTACTCAGGAGACTGAAGCAGGAGAATCACTTGAACCTGGGAGGCAGAGGCTGCAGTGAGCCAAGATCATGCCACTGCAATCCACACTCCCATCTGGGTGACAGAGCAAGAGTCCATCTCAAAAAAACAAAATTGATATTATGGATCCTGAAATTGTTTCTTCATGAGTGGGCATAGAGGTCATCATTTAATCATTGTCTTTCAGTACCATGCGGGATACTATGAAGTATGTCTATGGACACCATGGAATTCGAAAAGGACTCTATCGTGGTTTATCTCTTAATTACATTCGCTGTATTCCCTCTCAAGCAGTGGCTTTTACAACATACGAACTTATGAAGCAGTTTTTTCACCTCAACTAAAAAAAAATTATGGTTGGTTTTTCTTAATACATTCTCAGAGGGAGAAATGAAACATTACTATAATTGTGGGGGGAACATTACTTGAATGGGGATATTTACCCTGTCACAAGAGCCACTGGTATTTTAGTACTTGATTATTTTTTCTTTAGTCACAAATCAGAACTGCTTACCATACTTTTTGATGCCAAACATTATACCTTAGAACATTGAAGAAAATATTCCTAAGCTGATGCTGGCTAAACCGCTTTAAAGTTTTATTTGGAAGTAGAACTAGCTTTAAAACGGGGTTCAAGAGGTTGCCATTAGCTTTGTCATGCTGTTCAAAGTTTTTAATTGTTATCATGGTTTTTAAAAGACTGACAGTGTTTATTATTATTAAAATAAACAGGGTTGGTTATATTGCAATAGAATAATGAGAATTGAATTTTTAAGTTCTATGAAACAGCCAGCATTGACATTTTATTTTTGTTATCTCTCTTCTCACAATTATGCTCCACTGGATAATAGGAAAAACACTTCTTTCCTTCATTTTTTAAATAAAATTAATGTTGTATTTAAAAGGTAGCCATGTAGAGACACAAAAATAAATGAAGAAGCTGGACATGGTGGGATGGGCATGTGGTCCCAGCTACTCTGGAAGCTGAGGTGAGAGGATCACTTGAGCCCTGGAATTCCATGCCAGCCTATGCAACATCATGAAACCCCACTTAATAAATGAATGAACGACTAAGTCTTGCTCAAATGTTATTATGAGGTACTATGAGTGACTTACATGTGTTTTAAAATGTCAGTGTGTTTCCCAGAGGCAGAAATAAAAATACTGAATATCTTTGCTCTTAAAAAAAAAGTAACACTATAGATTTGTTTTTGTTAGATGATTTGCTCTATAGTAGAATATTTAAGTAGACTGTGAAATATTTATTAATATAGATGTGAATATCAAAAAATGTTTCTAAGGTATTATGATGCATCAACTAGTTCTTCCATGTAAAATAATTTTAGTGCAATATGAAGACGTAGAAATGTAAAATATGATTTGAATTGTTATCCTTTATATTAAGAAAATGTTTTAAAATGTAAGAATTCCATTTATTCTGTTTAGAGTACTTTTTATGATTTATTATAAGCGTGTCATAAATGGGAAGGGAATATTTAAAGTTCTGTGTTCAGAAAGAGTAATTTGTAGAACTGATGTGACTTTTTTTTTTTTTTTGAGATGGAGTCTCGCTCTATCGCCCAGGCTGGAGTGCAGTGGCGCGATCTCAGCTCACTGCAACCTCTGCCTCCCGGGTTCAAGTGATTCTCCTGCCTCAGTCTCCCGAGTAGCTGGGACTACAGGTGCCCACCACCAAAAATTCGCCTGGCTAATTTTTGTATTTTTAGTAGAGACGGGATTTCACCGTGTTAGCCAGGATGGCCTCGATCTCCTGAACCTCATGATCTGCCCACCTTGGTCTCCCAAAGTGCTGAGATTACTGGCGTGAGCCACGGCGCCCGGCCCTTTGATGTGACTTTAAAGACATTAGAAGGCCAGGTGTGGTGGCTCACGCCTTTATTCCCAGCACTTTGGGAGGCCGAGTTGGGTGGATCACCTGAAGTCAGGAGTTTAAGATCAGCATGGTGAAACCCCACCTCTACTAAAAATACAAAAAGTAGCAGGTGTGGTGGCTCGTGCCTGTAGTCCCAGTTACTCGCGAGGCTGAGACATGAGAATTGCTTGAGCTCGGGAAGCGGAGGTTGCAGTGAGCTGAGATCACACCACTGCACTCCAGCCTGGGTGACAGAATGAGCCTCCATCTCAAAAAAAAGGAGACATTAGAAAACTAAGTTGAGTCCAGGCGTGGTGGCTCTTGCCTGTAACCCTAGCACTTTGGGAGGCTGAGGCGGGAGGATATCTTGACCCCAGGAGTTCGAGACCAGCCTGGGCAACATAGTGAGACCCCGTTTCTTTCAAACAAAAGAAGGAAAACTAAGTTGAAAGTGTTATTTTTGCTTCAATTTTTATTTCTTTACATAAAAGGTTTCTTGTCATACCTTGGTAAAAATTTGATGAGCTGGTTTCATTTTGAAAGCCTTTATTTTAAAAATAAGTATGTATCTTTGTATGATTTATAAGTGTACCAGTAGGTAGAAATACATGTGTTCTTGGCCAGATGTGGTGGCTCACGCCTGTAATCCCAGCATTTTGGGAGGCTAAGGCGAGTGGATCACCTGAGGTCAGGAGTTCAAGACCAGACTGGCCAACGTGGAGAAACCCTGTCTCTACTAAAAATACAAAAATCAGCCGGGCATGGTGGCGGGCGCCTGTAATCCCAGCTACTTGGGAGGCTAAGGCAGGGAGAATTGCTTGAACCCAGGAGGCACAGGTTGCAGTGAGCCAAGATTGCGCCATTGCACTCCAGCCTGGGTGGCTGTATAAAAGCCTGTATAAAAATTTCTTTTATACAGAGTGAGACTGTATAAAAGAAAAAAAAAGGCTGTACAAAAATTTCTTTTATACAGAGACTGTATAAAAGAAAAAAAAAAGAAATACATGTGTTCTTAAAACCATTTGTATATTTTCATTTCTAGACCACACTGTAGCTAATTATTGTTATTAAATGTTAAGATAATTTAAGTATATAAAATAAGTATTGAGCCGGGCATGGTGGCTCACCCCTGTAATCTCAGCACTTTGGGAGGCTGAGGCGGGGGGATCACGAGGTCAGGAAATCGAGACCATTGTGGCTAACACGGTGAAAACCTATCTCTACTAAAAATACAAAAAATTAGCTGGGCGTGGTGGCACGCACCTGTAGTCCCAGTTACTCAGGAGGCTGAGACAGGAGAATCACTTGAACCTGGGAGGCGGAGCTTGCAGTGAGCCGAGATCGTGCCACTGCATTCTAACCTGGGCGACAGAGCAAGACTCCATCTCAAAAAAAAAAAAAAAAAAAAAAAAGATACCTCAGTTAGGTTATCAGTAAAAGGGGATTGCAAATATCTTTTAAATAAAAATTTGCATTCTATATGTTATAGAATACAGAGGATATTAAAAATAAATTTTATCCATGTTTTGACAATTTCTTTCTTTCAACTGTTTACATATTGAAGCACAAATGCTAAACATAAGTCAGAATGGAAGAATATTTAAAATAATGACTGTGTTTATATCTGATTTATTTCAGATTGCCCAAAGTGCATCTTGCCAGGTTATCTTCCATTTGAAGACTGACATTTTATTTCTTTTTTGATCTTTATTGTTCCTCTCTTCCACCTCTCAGTGGGTATAGCTCTCTGGTCTGTAGAATGGGACAGTGGTCTGGTTTCCAGATTGATAAGTGAGGTATACCTCCTAGTTTTCAGTAATTACCTGTAGAAGGTGGAGAAGTTACTGGATATGTTTAATAATATCTCATTACATTCTTTTTTTTTTTTTTTTAACGAGAGTCTTAACTCTGTCACCCAAGCTGGAGTGCAGTGGTGCAATCTCGGCTCACTGCAATCTCCACCTCCGGGTTCAAGCGATTTTCCCGAGTCATCTTTCCAAGTAACTGGGATTACAGCTATGTGCTACCATGCCCAGCTGAGTTTTGTATTTTTCTTTCTTTTCTTTCTTTTTTTTTTTTTTTTTTGAGACAGAGCCTCACTCTGTTGCCCAGGCTGGAGTGCCCAGGCTGGAGTGCAGTGGTGTGATCTCAGCTCACTGCAACCTCCACCTCCTGGGTTCTAGCGATTCTCCTGCTTCAGCCTCCCGAGTAGCTGGGGTTACAAGCACCCGCCACCACGCCCAGCTAATTTTTGTGTATTTAGTAGAGCTGGGTTTTGCCCTGTTGGCCAGGCTGGTCTTGAATACCTGACCTCAAGTGATCTGCCCCCCCGACTTCCCAAAATGCTGGGACTACTGGCATGAGCCAGTGCTCCTGTCCTCATTCCATTCTTCACCGTGGTACTGACCATCCATTTATTCAGCACCAATTGTGTGCCAGACCTTGTGTCAGCATTATGGAGGACTTCCCTTGGGAGGCTTGTTAGCTGTACTTGCAATCTGATTTGGGTTCCCAAATCAGCATATAACACCAGGTATTTCTCTAATAGAGTATGTGCCACACTTTCTGCTAACTGCCTGTTTATCAGTGTCCCCACATCCCAATATCTGGTTCCTTCAAGGGCAGGGAGCACAGGGTATGGCGTCAGAGTGGTACTCAGTGATGTTTACTGGTGGGTAGAAGGAAGGGTTAGTCCCTGTTTTTGAAGACTTTATGTTCTAGCAGGCAGAAATGAAGCACAAATAGTTCAAGAAATAAACAATTTAGGAATAAAGTCATTTGGTTTGCTTCGCAGAAATGTCTTATTGCTGATTTGCCAGCATGAGTGGCAAATATATAATAAAACCTGGCCGGGCATGGTGGCTCACGCCTGTAATCCCAGCACTTTGGGAGGCCAAGGTGGGCGGATCACGTGGTCAGGAGATCAAGACCATCCTGGCCAACATGGTGAAATCCCATCTCTACTAAAAATATAAAAATTAGCCAGGCATGGTGGTGGGCGCCTGTAGTCCCAGCTACTTGGGAGGCTGAGGTAGGAGAATTGCTTGAACCCAGAAGGCGGAGGTTGCAGTGAGCCAAGATTGCCCCACTGCACTCCAGCCTGGGTGACAGAGTGAGACTCTGTCCCAAAAAATAAAAATAAAAATAAATGAATATATAAAATAAAAAATATATGTATACATATCATATATATATATAAAATAAAACTTATAAATAGTTTTTATGGCTGGGTGAAGTGACTCATGTCTGTAATTCTAGCCCTTTGGGAGGCTGAGCGAGGAGGATCACTTGAGCCTAGGCATTCGAGCCCAGCCTGGGCAACATTGCAAGACTCTGTCTCATTTTTTTATATAAAATGTTTTTTTAAAAAACCCTATGTATAATTATTTATTTTTTTTCCCCAAGGATTATTCCCAAACTATGTACAATTAATGGGTTGCCTTGCAGAGTTGGATCAATAATACCTGACACACTTGTATAGCAAGCATACACTTTACATAGTTCCTCGCATCTATTCTTTGAAACCCAGACACATTCTAGTATTGGGCACTAGAAACTGGTGATAAATAATAACAATTACATATATTTCCTGAAGAATTATGTGGCATTCCTTGTTTTAAGCACCTTTGATGCCTTAGCTCAATCTCCATTACAATACTATGATATAAGTACCATTTAATATTTCTTTTTGACAGATGGGAATAATCGAGGCCTAGGGAGATTAAATTACTTGGCCAGGTTCATGTAAGTGGCAGATCTAGGATTCAAATTCAGCCGGTCTGAATCTAGAGCCTATTCTTTTAGCTATGATGCTATACTTTAATACAGTAATACACTGTTCAAATGAAACTGTAACATGTCATTAAATTTGAACTTGTCAATAAACATACCAAGCAATAAAATAATTACAGCTTGTGGAAAGTGCTTATGAAAACAGTAAATAAGCTACTTGAGAATGGTCAAGGAAAGGTTTCTTTGATGTGCTATATGTACATTCAACAGACACATGGAGGATGAAAAGGAAACAGCCATGCAAAGAGTTCAGGGGAAAGACTGGCCCAGGTGAAGAGAACGCCAAGCACAAAAACCCTGAAACAGGAAAAAGTTTGGTTTGACAATGGAATTGCCGAAAGGCTGGTGTGACTGAAGTATTGTGCGTGAAGGAGTAGCAACAGATGGAGTCAAAGAAATAGACAAAGGCGGTGGGGCATGGTGGCTCATGCCTATAATCCCAGCACTTTGGGAGGCTGAGGTGGGCGAATCTCGAGGTCAAGAGATCAAGACCAGGCCAGGCACGGTGGCTCACTACTGTATTCCCAGCACTTTGGGAGGCTGAGGTGGGCGGATCACAAGGTCAGGAGTTCAAGACCAGCCTGGCCAACATAGTGTTAACTCTGTCTCTACTAAAAATACAAAAATTAGCCGGGTGTGGTGGCATGTGCCTGTAGTCCCAGCTACTCGGGAGGCTGAGGTGGTAGAATAGCTTGAATCTGGGAGGCAGAGGTGGCAGTGAACTGAGACCACGCCATTGCACTTCAGCCTGGGTGACAGACTGAGACTCCATCTCAAAAAAAAAAAAAAAAAAAAAAAAAAAAAGATCAAGACCATCCTGGCTAACATGGTGAAACCCCATCTCTACTAAAAATACAAAACTTAGCCGCGCGTGGTGGTGTGCACCTGTAGTCCCAGCTACTCGGGAGGCTGAGGCAGATGAATCACTTGAACCCAGGAGGTGGAGATTGCAGTGAGCTGAGATCGCGCCACTGCACTCCAGCCTGGTGACAGAGTAAGACTCCATCTCAAAAAAAAAAAAAAGAAATAAATAGACAAAGGCCAGATCATGTAGCCGTTTACAGGATATGGTAATGATTTTGTTTTTTATTCTAAATGCAATGGGAAGGCCGGGTGCAGTGGCTCACACCTGTAATCCCAGCCCTTTGGGAAGCCGAGGCTGGCGAATCACCTGAGGTCAGGAGTTTGATACCAGCCTGGCCAAGATGGTGAAATGCTGTCTCTACTAAAAATACAAAAAATAGCTGGGCGTGGTGGTGCACGTCTATAATCCCAGCGACTTGGGAGGCTGAGGGAGGAGAATTGCTTGAACCCAGGAGGTGGAGGTTGCAATGAGCTGTGATCACGCCACTGCACTCCAGACTGGGTAACAGAGTGAGACTCCATATCAAAAAAAAAAAAAAAAAGAATGCAACGGGAAACTATTGAAGATTTTCAGCTGGTGTCGTTGTCTGATTATGTTTTTACAAAGATCACTGCTTTGTCAGTGATGGTTTGCAGTTAAAACAGAAATAAAAGGCTGGGATCACACCTGTAATCCCAGCACTTTGGGAGGCCGAGGTGGTTGGATCACCTGAGGTCAGGAGTTCAAGACCAGCCTGACCAACATGGAGAAACCCTCTCTCTACTGAAAATAGAAAAATTAGCCAGTTGTGATGATGCAACCCTGTAATCCCCGCTACTCGGTAGGCTGAGGCAGGAGAATTCCTTGAATCTGGGAGGTGAATGTTGTGGTGAGCCGAGATCGCGCCATTGCACTCCAGCCTGGGCAATAAGAGCGAAACTCGGTCTGAAAAACAAACAAAAACAGAAATAAAAATTAAAAAGACAATAGAGAAAATAAACCCCAAATCTCAAGAATGAGAAAGAGGACATCATTGTGGATCCTACAGATGTTTAAAAGATATTAAGGGCCAGGCGTGTGTGGTGGCTTATACCTGTAATCCCAGAATTTTGGGAGGCCAAGGTGGGTGGGCAGCTTGAGCTCAGGAGTTGGAGTACAGCCTGGCCAATATGGCTAAACGCCATCTCTACAAAAAATACAAAAATTAGCTGGGTGTGTTCGCGCACGCCTGTGGTCCCAACTACCTGGGAGGCTGAGGTGGGAGGATGGCTTGATCCTGGGAGGGGAAAGTTGCAGTGAGCTGAGATTAGGCTGCACTCCAGCCTAGATAATAGAGCCAGAACCTGTCTCAAAAAAACAAACACAAAAAAAACAACAAAAAAAAGAAATTTGACAATTTATATGAAATGGAAAAATACCTTGAAAAATTCAACCAAGACTGACATAGATGAAACAGAAAATCTGTGTAGCCAATTAAAGAAAGTGAGGCCAGGCGTAGTGGTTCATGCCTGTAATCCCAGCACTTTGGGAGGCCAAAATGGGAGGATCACTTGAGCCCAGGATTTTGAGACCAGCCCAAACAACATAGTGAGACCCTGTGTCTGCTTTTAAAAATATACCTGGACATAGTGATGTGCACCTATAGTCTCAGCTACTTGGGAGGCTGAGGTAGGAGGATCAACTGAGTCTAGGGAGGTCAAGGCTACAGTGAGTTGTTATTGCAGTACTGCATTCCAGTCTGGGTGACAGAGTGAGACCCTGTCTCAAAAAATTAAGAAATTGAGGGCCGGGCGTGGTGGCTCACGCCTGCAATCCCAACACTTTGGGAGGCTGAGGCGGGTGGATCACCTGAGGTTGGGAGTTCGAGACTACCCTGACCAACATGGAGAAACCTCGTCTCTACTAAAAATACAAAATTAGCTGGGCGTGGTGGCACATGCCTGTAATCCCAGCTACTTGAAAGGCTGAGGCAGGAGAATTGCTTGAACCTAGGAGGTGGAGGTTGTGGTGAGCCAAGATCATGCCACTGCACTCCAGCCTGGGTGACAGAGACTCTGTCTCAAAAACAAACAAAAAAACCCTTAGATGGTAACAGTAACATCATAGATGACCCAGATATCCTTTGAAAAAAAACAAAAAAAACACAAGTACTTTCATTTAAAAAGATACGGCAGTGGCCAAGCACGGTGGCTCATGCCTGTAATCCCAGCACTTTGGGAGGTCGAGGCGGGCGGATCACAAGGTCAGGAGATCGAGACCATCCTGGCTAACACGGTGAAACCCCATCTCTACTAAAAATACAAAAGATTACCCGGGTGTGGTGGTGGGTGCCTGTAGTCCCAGCTACTTGGGAGGCTGAAGCAGGAGAATGGTGTGAACCCGGGAGGTGGAGTGTGCAGTGAGCCGAGATCACGCCACTGCACTCCAGCCTGGGTGACAGAGCGAGACTCCGTCTCAAAAAAAAAAAAAAAAAACCTTTCCACAAAGAAAACCCCAGGGCTAGGTAGTGAAGTGTACTAAATAGCTAAGGAATAATCTCAGAAACTTCTAGAAATTAGAAGAGAGCACTTCCCAACTCATTTTATGATGCCAGTATAACCCTGATACCCAAACCCCACAATGCTGTTATAAAACAGAAAATTACAAATCAGTATCCTTCAAGAACTTAGATGGGCTGGGTTTGGTGGTTCACACCCATAATCCCAGCACTTTGGGAGGCTGAGTTGAGAGGATTGCTTGAGCTTAGGAGTTCAAGACCAGCTTGGGCAACACAGCAAGAGCTTGTGTCTACTAAAAATAAAAAAATAAATTAGCTGGGTGTGATGGCACACTCCTGTAGTCTCAGCTACTTGAGAGGCTGATAGGGGAGAATCACTTGAGCCTGGCAGATCGAGGCTGCAGTGAGCTGTCATTGTGCCACAGCACTACAGCCTGGGTGACAGAGCAAGTTCCTGTCTCAAGAAACAAAACAACCAAAAAACCAACAGATGGAAAAATTCTTAACAACAGAGCAAATCAAATCCAGTAATACATAAAACGTTTATTATGTCATGACCAATTTGGGTTTATCCTAGGAATGCAAAGTTTTTTTTAACATTGTGAAATCAATGGTAAAGCTTCTCATAATAACAGAATAAAGGAGAAAAACCATACAGTCCTTCTATAGATGCAATAACTGCTTGACAAAATCCAGCATTTATTCGTTATCAAAATGAATCATATTTAGAACAAAGGGGTCTTCCTCAATCTAATAAAGGACATTTTGGCAGAGTATACCTTTATACTTTCCAACAATGACCAGAACACATCCCAATTCATATGGTTTTATTTTTTTTTTTAGATGGATTCTCGCTGTTGCCCAGGCTGGAGTGCGGTGGCACAATCTTGCTCACTGTAACCCCTGCCTCCCAGGTCCAAGCGATTCTCCTGTCTCAGCCTCCCAAGTAGCTGAGATCACAGGCATGCGCCACCATGTCTGGCTAATTTTTGTATTTTTAGTAGAGATGGGGTTTTGCCATGTTGGCCAGGCTGGTCTCAAACTCCTAACCTCAGATGATCCTTCCGCCTCAGCCTCCCAAAGTGATGAGATTACAGGCGTGAGCCACCAGGCCCCATATGCTTTTCTTATGTGTCGTTGACACTCATCCCATCAAGAGGTAGGAACTGTGTTCCCCTTCCCTTGAATCTGGCTGAGTGGGCCTGTGACTACCGTGATGTTATATCACTTGCAAAGGTAGGTCATAAAGCTGTTGATATCAGGGACAAATACTAATAGAATAACTCCCATTCCAGTGTGTACATATTTGAAAGCCCATGTACATGATAAATATATTAACTTTTTGCCAATTTTTTTTTTCTTTTAGACTGAGTCACTCTTTCACCTAGGCTGGAGTACAGTGGTGTGATCTCAGCTCACTGCAACCTCTGCCTTCCAGGCTCAAGTGATTCTCCTGCCTCGGTCTTCTGAGTAGCTGAGATTACAGGAGTGCACCACCACACCCGGCTAATTTTTATATTTTTAGTAGAGACTGGGTTTCACCATGTTGGCCAGGCTGGTCTTGACCTCCTGACCTCAAGTGATTCACCCGCCTCGGCCTCCCAAGGTGTTGGGATTACAGGCCTGAGCCACCGGGCACCCGGCGCATTTTATCTATTTAAAAAATGAATAACAAAAATCAGGATAACAGTTATACCACTGATATTTAACATGGCTCTGGATGTTCTTGTCAGTGCCTCCAGATGAGAGAAGTATATAAATATCAAAAATCGGTGCACACCACTGTGCCCAGCAAGGAAACATCTTTTAAAAATGGGAGACACCAGGCCATATTAGAGGCTCAATCCAATAGTGAGGGCGAGGCTGATGATACAAGAGAATAATTGAAGAAGCGATGCCCTTGAGAATGCTTGAAGCCCTGGGATGCCAAGTGCAAGTGGAGCGATTGCCCTTTAACCAGAAGAACACTTTGTCTGCTATTGAAAAAAGGTGGAAAGAGGTTATGAAGAATGGTGCAGATATTAGAAGTTTTGTAGAATTTTTTTTTTTGGAGACGGAGTCTCGCTCTACCCAGGCTGGAGTGCCGTTGCAGGATCTGCAATCTCCACCTCCCGTGTTCAATTTATTCTACCTCAGCCTCCTCCCGAGTAGCTGGGATTACAGACGCATGCCACCACGCCCGGCTAATTTTTGTATTTTTAGTAGAGATGGCGTTTCACCATGTTGGCCAGGCTGGTCTCAACTGCTGACCTCGTGATCCTCCCGCCTCAGCCTTCCGAAGTGCTGGGATTACAGGCGTGAGCCTCCATGCCTGGCCAGAAGTTTTGTAGATTTAGCCGTGGCATGATCAAGGAGTTCCTATCCGACAGTTTCTATTTTCTCAATAAGTTTTCTGAAAAAAAGGGGAGAGGCTGTTTCCCAGGGAGTGCACAATTCTGAAGGCTAACCAGGGGCGCCTGGTTTTGGGCAACTACAAATGTGGTTGTGTTCAAACTAAGCGTGTAAAGGTTGTGTTCAAACTAAGCTGGGCGCCTGTAGTCCCAGCTACTTGGGAGGCTGAAGCAGGAGAATGGTGTGAACCCGGGAGGTTTCGGACACGGGTTGGAGTGTCAAGAGAGAAGGCAGGAGCGTTTAGTCTGCTTCAGATATGAAGACTCCCTGTATTCCCAGTCCTAAGCAAGGGAGCAAAGGCAGGGGACAGAGCCCTGCTGCTCAGGTGAGGGGCCCCACGTGGAACGCGCCGGCGCGGGAGGGGCGGCCTGGCGCAGGTCATTTGGGACATCTGCGGGTTGGCGCATGCGCGCGAGGTGCGCAGGCTCGCGCCTTTTTCCCTTTTCTAAGCTTTCTGTGTTACCCCCGGTTCCGCTGTCTTTTCTGTCTACAGTTTGCGATCCCCGCGTCCAGGATGGAGCAGCTGAACGAACTGGAGCTGCTGATGGAGAAGAGTTTTTGGGAGGAGGCGGAGCTGCCGGCGGAGCTGTGAGCGGAGAGGGGGGAGGGTGTGGGAACAAAGCGGGAGATTTGAAAGAAGGAGCGGGAGAGGCTGCGTCCGCACCGCCTCAGACTGACCGGGCCCGGGGCCCAGGGACCCGGTGCAGCTCCCTGGGCACCCGACGAGCCTCCGGAGTCGGGGCCTGCCTCCCAAGGTGTTCTTTGGGGCCACATTCAGCCAGAGCCTGGACTCTCCCTCGCCGAGCAGTTCATTGTTTCCCTTGATTTCACCTCTCTCCCTAAGTTGAGGAGTTTCGGCCACTGGAATGTTTTTATAATAGGAAATTGCAACCGCCGTAGGCTTTTCTCGATGTTTAGTTGGATTAACTTATCCTTGGGGGATCTCTGCACCCTCAGCATGGTGTATATAAATGATCAGAGGAAGTTAACCACGGTCATAATGTGGAATTACTTTCAATATTATAGCAATAATGCTAATTAGCGTTGAGGGACTTTTGCGTTTGGGCTTTTGATCAGCAATACCTTTTGAGAAACATCTTTAAGGCATCATAGCCAATCTTGCGAAATTCATGGCCTGAGGTTAGGTGGACTACAGGAATAAAGCGTTTGCAAAATAATAGAACCTACGGTCAGGTAACAAAAGATAACTTGCAGTGTAATGTGAAAGGCGTTTGGTGTTATCACTGGAGAGGTAATGACTTTGGACCCTCCTTTGGTCCCTCACTGATGCCTCAGTCAAACGGGGAAGACTTAAGAGGTACTTAATAGGAGAAGGGCTGTTTTCTTGAGAGATTATTATTTTGCATAATTTTAGACAGCTTGGACCGATGGATGAAAGTATTGACAAATTGACTTACCCACTATAAATATAAGTAATAAAGTTCTGAATTACTCTGTAAAGGATTGAGCTAAATCGATAGGTATTAAGCCTGCTTTCTGTCCAGTGAGATTTTATCGAAAGATTTCCGGCATTACTTTAGCAGGTTGGACTAAATTATTTCTAAGTACAATTCTGTGGCTCATGATAGGACTTTCAGTGAACCACGGACAATACCCTTTTCCGTAACATAAGTCTCATATTTACAAAAAGGATCGTGTCCAAAACATCTCCTTTTACTTGTACTTTGGGAAGGCTTGCACCAGTGGTAGAAATTTCTTGTTTAATGTTGTCCAATTTATACTTTCCTTTCTTTTTTCTCCGCCAGAACCGGGGTCTTTTTCTGTCGCTCAGGAAGGGGTGCAGTAGCATGATCGTATCTCACTGCAGCCTCAAACTCCTGGGCTCAAGCAGTCCTTCCACCTCAGCCTCTTGAGTAGCTGGGACTACAGGTGTGCGCCATCATGCCTGGCTTCCAGTTTATTCTTAATCCTCATTGTAATGAGTGTCCCACAGAACGCTTTACAGAAATTAAAATGGAAAATCTCATATCATGAGCATGTTTGAAATGGCATTACTTCTGGGAAGTTTTTATAATAGGAATTCTTCTGTGTCTTTGCTCTCTTAATTTTACCTATTTTGTCTAAATGTCATTGCAATAAGCTTTTCAGAAGAAAGAAACCTAGAAAACTGGAAGATTGGTTTGTAGATAAAACATATTGGATGGCTTCTTATTTCATGGTTGTGCTAAAATAGTTTTGTATGTGTGTGCTTTAGATTTCAGAAGAAAGTGGTAGCTTCCTTTCCAAGAACAGTTCTGAGCACAGGAATGGATAACCGGTACCTGGTGTTGGCAGTCAATACTGTACAGAACAAAGAGGGAAACTGTGAAAAGCGCCTGGTCATCACTGCTTCACAGTCACTAGAAAATAAAGAACTATGCATCCTTAGGAATGACTGGTAATTTTTATGTGACTTTGAGCACCGATTTGAATCTTAAGGGTACTGTCGTAAAACTCATCAAATGGCTTCTGTGAATGTTACTATAATTTAATTGTTTAAAAGGGAGTAGGTTTGATCTTAGCCTAATTCTGCATGAAAATTGTATCTATTACTCCTGTATCTCAAGTCTCATATTCCAAAAATTGACTTTTGTTGTCATTTGAAAATCACGTGGGCCAGGCATGGTGGCTCACACCTGTAATCCCAGCACTTTGGGAGGCCAAGGCAGGCGGATCACCTCAGGTCAGGAGTTTGAGACCAGCCTGACCAACATGGAGAAACCCAGTCTCTACTAAAAATAAAAAAAAATTAGCTGGGTATGGTGGCACTTGCCTGTAATCCCAGGTACTCTGGAGGCTGAGGCAGGAGAATTGCTTGAACCTGGGAGGTGGAGGTTGTGGTGAGCTGAGATCATGCCATTGCACTCCAGCCTAGGCAACAAGAGCGAAACTTCATCTCAAAAAAAAGAAAAGAAAATCACGTACAAAGGACCTTATTAATGACTACTTCCTATTTCCCAGTACATTCTTTTTTTTTTTTTTTTTTTTGTATTTTTAGTAGAGACAGGGTTTCACCATGTTAGCCAGGATGGTCTCGAATCCCCTGACCTCGTGATCCGCCCACCTCGGCCTCCCAAAGTGGTGGGATTACAGGCGTGAGCCACCGCGCCCGGCCTTCCCAGTACATTCTAAGATTGCAGTTTAAACACATGTTAGTTTTAACTAAAAGCAAAATTAATTAAAACATATGGACATTCTTAGGCCTTAGATTTCTCTACCCAAAGTGTGGTATGTGAGGGGTGGAGTGTAGATGCAGAAAAGCTAGAGGTCTAACTTTGACTCTTCGTCTAAGCCGTGAATTAATTTGTTTTTTGTTGTTGTGGTTTTTGGAGACGGAGTCTTGCTCTGTCGCCCAGGCTAGAGTGCAATGGCGTGATCGCGGCTCACTGCAACCTCCGCTTCCTGGGTTCAAGCGATTCTCCTGCCTCAGCCTCACAAGTAGCTGGGATTACAGGCGTCCGCCACCACGCCCGGCTAATTTTTGTATTTTTAGTAGAGACGGGGTTTCACCATGTTGCCCAGGCTGGTCTTGAACTCCTGACTTCAGGAATCCACCTGCCTCGGCCTCCCAAAGTGCTGGGATTATAGGCATGAGCCACCGCGCCTGGCCTAGTTTCAACTAGTTCAGTTTGATTTTATTCTTGCTACACTGGATTTGGCTTCATGCTTCAAGACTTATACAAGCTGTAGATTTCCTAAAAGTCTTAAGAAAGAGTAAATTATTAAAACAACCCAATTCATAATTGGAGCTATATATTACATTAGCAAAGGTTTTTTGATAGCTTTTGCAATAGACTTTACTGGCACTAAGTTGTTTTCCCTTTGGGATTTATAGAAGACCCTTGAGTATTCTCAGATGTGTTTGACACATAGAAAGGGGTAGAATAACTAGGGGTTGTTTTAGAAGACTGTATCCTGCTATTTGATTTTTTTTTTTAAAGACCCAGAAATTTAGAAATATTTTTTTCTTCTTCAGATAAAATACTCATTTATTTTTTTGAAGCCTCCCTAATACGTTTACATGTAGGAACCTAAGCTATGTATTTATACTTTAACTTTGCTTTATTTTCAGGTGTTCTGTTCCAGTAGAGCCAGGAGATATCATTCATTTGGAGGGAGACTGCACATCTGACACTTGGATAATAGATAAAGATTTTGGATATTTGATTCTGTATCCAGACATGCTGATTTCTGGCACCAGCATAGCCAGTAGTATTCGATGTATGAGAAGAGCTGTCCTGAGTGAAACTTTTAGGGTAAATAATAGTAACAGTTAATGTTTCTGCAGGGTCTGAGAGTTTTACAGAGCACTTTTACATTTATTATTTCACTTAATCCTCCCAGCAACCCTATAAAATAAATGGTATTAATTAGCTGCATTTTATAGATGAGGAAAATGGGCTCAGAGAGGTGAAGTGACTTGCCCCATAGCCACATAACTATGAGGTGGCAGTGCTAGGACTAAAGGCCAGGTGCCTGAGTCCTTCGAATCTTGTTCAGGGCTTAATAAAATAACTAATTATAATAAGAAAATTAATTTAAATGATAAACTTTTAAATTTAAACACACCTAGACATTTCCAAAGTTGGCTTCATGTGATTCCCACTAAACTAAAAATAAATGTGCAAACTGCTTTTAAAAAATGTATTTTGCTAGAAAAATTAGCCAGGTGTGGTGGCGTGCACCTGTAGTCCCAGCTACTCAGGAGGCTGAGGCAGGAGAATCGTTTAAACCCGGGAGATGGAGGTTGCAGTGAGCCGAGATCATGCTACTGCAGTCTAGCCTGGGCGGCAGAGCAAGACTCTGTGTCAAAACAAACAAACAAAAATGTATTTTGGACTATTTCAAACATACAAAGAGATGATTGTAATAAACTCCCATGTACTCAACACCCAGCTTTTTATTTATTTTTCTTGAAACATGCAGTTTTATTTTAAAATAAAAAGTCTCAAAAAAAAAACGTATTTTGGGGCTGGGCGCAGTGGCTTACGCCTGTAATCCCAGCACTTTGAGAGGCCGAGGTGAGCAGTTCATGAAGTCAGGAGTTCAAGACCAGCCTGACCAACATGATGAAAACCAGTCTCTACTAAATACACAAAAATTAGCCGGGCGTTGTGGTGCGCGCCTGTAATCCTAGCTACTCGAGAGGCTGAGGCAGAATTGCTTGAACCCTGGAGGCGGAGGTTGCAGTGAGCTGAGATCCCACCACTGCACTTCACGGTGGGAGATAGAGGGAGACTCCGTCTCAAAACAAACAAAAATGTATTTTGGGCTATTTCAAACATACAAAGAGATGATCGTACCCAACACCCAGCTTTTTATATATTTTTCTTGAAACGTACTTTTATTTTATTTTGAGTCTCACTGTGTCACCCAGGCTGGAGTGCAGTGTGTCACTGAAGCCTTGACCTCCCAGGCCACCTCAGCCTCCCTAGTAGCTGGGACTATAGGCATGAGCTACTGTGCTTGGCCTGAATATTAAGTTTTAAAAAACTTTTTGGACCGGGCGCAGTGGCTCACGCCTGTAATCCCAGCACTTTGGGAGGCCAAGGCTGGCGGATCACGAGGTCAGGAGATCAAGACCATCCTGGCTGACATGGTCAAACCCCATCTCTATTAAAAATACAAAAAAATTAGCCGGGTGTGGTGGCGGGCGCCTGTAGTCCCAGCTACTCGGGAGGCTGAGGCAGGAGAATGGCGTGAACCTGGGAGGCGGAGCTTGCAGTGAGCAAAAGTCGCGCGGCTGCACTCCAGCCTGGGTGACAGAGCGAAACTCTGTCTCAAAAAAAAAAAAAAAAGGTCTAGGCTAATACAAGAGTTAATCAAGAAATGTAGTGTTTCTTTTTGAGTGGAGAAAAATTCCTTGCCAAAAATCTCTGCTGTAGGTTAAAAAAATTTTTTTTCTTCCCAAACATTACTGCTAAGTAGGTTTACATTTTATGTTTGAATGGTATCTTTTACTTACATGAGTTTATCAGCTATGCCTTTATTGACTTTTCTATTGGGTGGATTATCAAGTGAAATAAGAGAACAATACTTTAAATATTAATTATTTGAGAATATTTTGAATTTTAAAATATTGGTTATTTTAATTTTTTTCAAAATGGAGAACATTGATTTTAAAAGTAATTCATATCAGCCTGGCCAACATGGTGAAACCCTGCCTCTACTAAAAATACAAAAAATAAAAGTTAGCCGGGCATGATAGCACACACCTGTAATTCCAGCTACTTGGGAGGTTGAGGCATGAGAATCATTTGAACCTGGGAGATGAAGGTTGCAGTGAGCTGAGATTGTGCCACTGTGCTCCAGCCTGGGTGACAGAGCAAGACTCTGTCTCAAAAAAGAAAAAAAAAAGGATAACTCATACAGTAATTCAGACAATTCTGGATAGAAGAAAGTGAAAGTCACTTATAATTCCACGCACCAGAAAAAAATTTTTTTAATATTTTGGCATTTGTCTTACCAGTGCATTTTGGCTATGGTGGTTTAATAGATTAGGTAATAAATATACAATTGTGTCTGTTAATATGTTGTGAAATAAACTGTGTGATTTGCTTTTGTAGAGCTCTGATCCAGCCACACGCCAAATGCTAATTGGTACGGTTCTCCATGAGGTGTTTCAAAAAGCCATAAATAATAGCTTTGCCCCAGAAAAGCTACAAGAACTTGCTTTTCAAACAATTCAAGAAATAAGACATTTGAAGGAAATGTAAGTAGTTATAAGAAGAACTGCAGGTATAATTTTATTATATAACTTCTGTCCTAGAAACTATAAAGTATTTGTGTAGACTATCCAATATAAATTAGTGTAATCTAAAATGCAGATTTCATAGTTCTAGTACATTGTTGGAACTCTGTGAAGAGTTTCTGAAATTGCTCAACAGGAACTTTTTGGGTAAAAATACCTAAATATTTTGTACATGTGCATAACAGATTCCTTAAGTACTTTCAGAGAATGTATAAAGAACTTTTTTGCATTAGTTCTAGAAACAGTGTGATATACTGAGAATTATATGGGGTTGGGAAGAAGATGAAACTGGTTTCAAAGTGCATCTTTACGGCCAGGTGCGGTGGCTCACGCCTGTAATCCCAGCACTTTGGGAGGCCGAGGTGGGCGGATCAGAAGTCAGGAAATCGAGACCATCCTGGCTAACATGGTGAAACCCCGTCTCTACTAAAAATACAAAAAATTAGCAGGGCATGGTGGCAGGCGCCTGTAGTCCCAGCTACTCGGAAGGCTGAGGCAGGAGAATGGTGTGAACCCGGGAGGTAGAGCTTGCAGTGAGCCGAGATCACACCACTGCACTCCAGCCTGGGTGACAAAGCAAGACTCCATCTCAAAAAAAAAAAAAAAAAATGCAGCTTTACAGTATTTTTTTTTTGGAGGGGAGATAGGGGTCTTGCTATGTTGTCCAGGCTGTACTCAAACGACTGGGCTCATGTGTTTCTCCCCACCTCAGCCTCCTGAGTATCTGGAACAACAGGTACATGCCACCATGGCTGGCCTGCCTTACCAGTTTTTTTTTTTTTTTTTTTTTTTTTTTTTGAGGTGGAGTTTCGCTCTTGTTGTCCAGGCTGGAGTGTAATGGTGTGATCTCAGGTCACCACAACCTCTGCCTCCCAGGTTCAAGCAATTCTGCTGCCTCAGCCTCCCGAGTAGCTGGGATTACAGGCATGCACCACCACGCCTGGCTAATTTTGTATTTTTAGTAGAGACGGGGTTTCTCCATGTTGAGGCTGGTCTCGAACTCCTGACCTAGGTGATCCGCCTGCCTCGGCCTCCCACAGTGCTGGGATTACAGGCGTGAGCCACTGCGCCCGGCCTACCTTACCAGTTTTTGTTTTGTTTTGTTTTGTTTTCGAGACGGAGTCTTGCTCTGTCACCCAAGGTGGAGTGCGGTGGCTTGCTCTTGGCTCATTGCAGCCTCTACCTCCCGGGTTCAAGCAATTTTCCTGCCTCAGCCTCTCGAGTAGCTGGGATTACAGGCATGAGCCACCACACCCGGCTAATTTTTTTGTACTTTTAGTGAAGACGGGGTTTAACCATGTTGGCCAGGCTGGTTTTGTACTACTGACCTCAAGTGATCCACCCACCTTGGCGTCCCAAAGTGCTGGGATTACAGGCATGAGCCACCAGGCCTGGCCTAAAATTTTGATACATATTACCAAATTGCTCTCTATAGACATTGTCCAAGTTTACATTTCTACTGGCAATATATGAGACTTTGTGAGACCATATGGTCATCTACATCATTTTTAATCAACTGGAAACTGCCTGATTTCAAACAGCCTTTTGCAAGGATAACCTTCATCTTCAGTACTCTAAATGTGTGTTTCTCTAGATCTTTTTTGGATGCTTTGGTATTAGCAGTTGCTTTCTGGCTTGAGGAATTTCAGCTTCTCTTTCAACCTGTGGTTGCTATTTTGTTTAAGTCAATTTTGGCAGAGCTAGCATTGCTAATTTTGTCTTCTCTGTTGGACTGGCTCTCTCAGAGGGCTGACACAACTCTGCTCTGTCAGTCTTGGTAAGCTGGAGGTGGCAGAAACCTAGGAAAGTAACAGCTTATTAAATTTGGTGTTTAATATTGCACAGTTATATGGTAAATGTGTATTATCCTGAAGTCTCAATGTCTGATGAATGTGTTATTATGGTGCTCCCTTAAGCAAGTGAGAAAAATTGTAAGTTGTATCTTTTTTTTTTTTTTTTGAGATGGAGTCTTCCTCTGTCGTTCAGGCTGGAGTGCAGTGGCTCACTAGGCTCACTGCAAGCTCCACCTCCTGGGTTCACGCCATTCTCCTGCCTCACCCTCCCGAGTATCTGATCTGGGACTACAGGCGCCTGCCACCACGCCTGGAATAGTGCTGACCTATAGTTAGCACTGTATTTATGGTTATCATCATGGTCTTTACATCTTTTTTTTTTTTTTTTTTTGAGATGGAGTCTTGCTCTGTCCCCCAGGCTGGAGTGCAGTGGCACAATCTCGGCTCACTGCAAGCTCCGCCTCCTGGGTTCACGCCATTCTCCTGCCTCAGCCTCCCGAGTAGCTGGGACTACAGGCGGCCGCCACCACGCCCGGCTGAATTTTTGTATTTTTAGTAGAGACGGGGTTTCACTGTGTTAGCCAGGATGGTCCCGATCTCCTGACCTCGTGATCCACCCGCTTCGGCCTCCCAAAGTGCTGGGATTACAGGTGTGAGCCACTGCGTCCGGCCAGGTCTTTACATCTTAATGATTTTTTTTTTTCTTTTTGAATCTGGCTCTGTCGCCCAGGCTGGAGTACAGCACCGTGATCTCGGCTCATTGCAACCTCTGTCTCCCAGGTTCAAGTGGTTCTCCTGCCTCAGCCTTCTCTTTAGCTGGGATTACAGGCGTGTGCCACCATGGCCGGCTAATTTTTTTGCATTTGTTAGTAAAGATGGGGTTTCACCATGTTGGCCAGGCTGGTCTCAAACTCCTGACCTCAGGTGATCCACCCTCCTTGGCCTCCCAAAGTGCTGGGATTATAGGTGTGAGCCACCATGCCCAGCCTATACTTTAATGAGGGCTTACCATCAGCTAAGTGCTTTACATACATTGTTCTATTTAATCCTCAGACTGACACTGTAAGGTAGTTATTATCTCCTCCTTACAGATGAGGAAACAGGCTTAATTAACCGTGACTTGCTCTTAGTCATACATCTGGTAGTGCAGAGTTAGGATTCAAACCTAGGTGTGATTTTATATACAAACTGATAAGCCCCTACCACCCTAGAGTAGTTATTAAGATTGCGGAGCTTAAACATAAAGAAGGAACTGGAATAATCATCCTGGGAGGGTAAGTTTATAACAGCAGTTCTCAAAACTTTTGCTCTCAGGACCCCTTTACACTAAAAAATTATTAAAGACTGGAAAGAGCTTTTGTTTATGTGGGCTATATCTATGATTAATTACTGTACTAGAAAGTAAAACATGTTTATTAATTCATTTGAAATTAACATGTATATTCATTTTTGCTGTGGTTGTTATTGAGACAGTCTTGCTCTGTCACCCAGGCTGGATTGCAATGGCATGACCTCGGCTCACTGCAACCTCCACCTCCTGGGTCAATCAATTCTCCTGCCTCAGCCTCCTGAGTAGCTGGGATTACAGGTGCCTGCCACCACACCCGGCTAATTTTTGTGTTTGTGAGTAGAGACAGGGTTTCACCATATTGGCCAGGCTGGTCTTGAACTCCTGACCTCAAGTGATCCACTCGTCTTGGCTTCCCAAAGTGTTGGGATTATAGGTATGAGCCACTGCACCTAGCCTAAAATGTATTTCATTCAAAAATATCAATCTATGCTTGTTAACATAACATTTTAATGAAAAAACTATTGTAAAAAAATGTAATGAATGTCATTGTTTTACATTTTTTTCAGTTTCTTTTTGCTTTCTTTCTTCCTTATTTATTTTTTTTGAGGTAAGGTGTCTCTCTGTTGCCCAGGCTGGAGTGCAATGATGAAATTATCACCCACTGTAGCCTCAAACAATCCTCCAGCCTCTATTTTTTTTTTTTTTTTTTTTTTTTGAGACGGAGTTTCACTCTTGTTTCCCAGGCTGGAGTGCAGTGGCATGATCTCAGCTCACCGAAACCTCCGCCTTCCGGGTTCAAGCAATTATCTTGCCTCAGCCTCCCGAGTAGCTGGGATTACAGGCATGCACCACCATGCCTGGCTAATTTTGTATTTTTAGTAGAGATGGGGTTTCTCCACGTTGGTCAGGCTGATCTCAAACTCCCAACCTCAGGTGATCTGCCCATCTCTGCCTCCCAAAGTGCTGAGATTACAGGCATGAGCCACAGAGCCTGGCCATTTTTTTTCTTTCTTTCTTAAAGCTACAGCACCCAATATTCCCAGGTGGTCTCCCATCCAAGTAGTAACCAAGCTCAACCCTGCTTAGCTTCTGAGATAAGATGAGATCGGCTGCGTTCTGGGTGGTATGGGTGTAGACCAAGCCTCTATTTTTGCAAATGTTTTAAATGTATGACTTCATATAAGATCGTGGATTCTTGTATCTGCTTCTGCATTCAAAATATTTCTATGTTTTATGTCATGTACCCTCAGAAAATTCAACTGTACTCTTATGAAAGGAAAATGATAAAAAATGTATTCATATTGTTACGACATAATTTTGACCTTGTAAGAACCCTGAAAAATTGAGACTTAGTTTTTTTGTTTCTGTAGATTTCTCACATAAGAAGTTAACATTCCTATATACTGTCCTTTCATGTTGTAAGGCTGATACTGCCTTTCTGTCCATATGACCCTTTTTTCTCTTTTACATTTCTACTTTCCATTGCTTGGTTTCAGGAGCAATATCTCCATTTTTTTAATCCCAAAGGTGTAACTGGGACTCTTCCAATTAGACCATGGTATGAATTAGAGCAAATTATCTGAAATTTGATGTCATGTCACTGTTTCAGTGTTATTTGGATTTTTTTTTTTTTTTAAACAGGGTCTCACTCTGTCACCCAGGCTGGAGTACAGTGGTGAGATCACAGGTCACGTAACCTCAAACTTTTGGGCTGAAACGATCCTTCCGCTTCAGCCTGCTGAGTAGCTGGGACTATAGTTTCACACCACCATGCTTGGCGTTATTTGGATGTTTTTTAAAAATTGTGGTTAAATGCACATAAAAATTACCGTGTTAGGCCAGGTGCAATGGCTCACCCCTGTAATCCCAGCACTTTCAGAGGCCGAGGCGGGCAGATCACGTGAGGTCAGGGGTTCAAGACCAGGCTGGCCAACATGGTGAAACCCCGTCTTTACTAAAAATACAAAAATTAGCTGGGCGTGGTGTCATATGTCTATGGTTCCAGCTACTCAGGGGACTGAGGCAGGAGCATCATTTGAACCTGGGAGGCAAACGTTGCAGTGAGTAGAGATCGCGCCAGCCTGGGCAACAAGAGTGAAACTCTCTCTCAAAAAAAAAAAAAAATTACCGTATTAGGTCAGGTGCGGTGGCTCATGCCTGTTATCCCAGCACTTTGGGAGGCCAAGGTGGGCAGATTGCTTGAGCCCAGGAGTTTGAGACCAGCCTGGCCAACATGGTGAAACCCAATCTCTACTGAAAATACAGAAAAATTACCTTAGCATGGTGGTGTGTGCCTGTAATTCCAGCTACTCTGAAGGCTGAGTGGGGAGAATCACTTGAGCCTATAAGGCAGAGGTTGCAATGAGCCGAGATAGCGCTACTACACTCCAGCCTGGGTGACAGCGTGAGACCCTGTCTCAAAAAATAAAAAAAGAAAAGAGAAAAAGAAAAAGAAGAAAAAAAATTACCATGTTAACTTGTATGTGTGTGTGTGTGTGTGTGTGTGTGTGTGTATTTGTGATGGAGTCTTGCTCTCTTGCCCAGGCTGGAGTGCACTGGTGCGATCTCAGCTCACTGCAACCTCTGCCTCCTGGATTCCAGCAATTCTCCTGCCTCAGCCTCCCAAGGAGCGGGGATTACAGGCATGCACCACCATGCCTGGCTAATTTTTGTGTTTTTAGTAGAGACAGCGTTTCACCATGTTGGCCAGGCTTGTCTCGAACTGCTGACCTTGTGATCCACCTGCCTCCGCATCCCAAAGTGCTGGGATTACAGATGTGAGCCACTGCGCTCTGCCCATGTTAGCCATTTTTAAGGGTACAGTTCAGAGGCAAAGTACATTCACCTTGTTGTACAGCCATCACCCTATCTATCTCCAGAACTCTTTGCATCTTCCCAAACTGAAGCTTTGTGCCCTTGAAACAATAACGCTCCCTTCTTTCCTCCTCCCAGCCTCTGACAACCCCCATTCTACTTTCTATCTCTGTGATTTTCACTACTGTAGGTACCTCATATGAATATTAGTCCTTTTGTGACTGGCCTATTTCACTTAGCGTAATGTCCTGAAGGTTCTTCAATGTTGTAACATATGTCAGAATTTCCTTCCTTTTTATAGCTGAATAATACTGCATTGTATGGAATATGCCACATTTTGTTTATCCATTTATTGGCTGACGAACAGTTGGGTTGCTTATATGTATTTTTTTGTCCTCGTTTACTTTTCTCATATTTATACTTTCATATTCGCTATCATATTTTTGGCAGGTACCGCTTAAGTCTAAGTCTATTTACTATTATATTTTTGGCAGGTACCGCTTAAATCTAAGTCAAGATGAAATAAAACAAGAAGTAGAGGACTATCTTCCTTCGTTTTGTAAATGGGCAGGAGATTTCATGCATAAAAACACTTCGACTGACTTCCCTCAGATGCAGCTCTCTCTGTAAGAAACACATTTTGTTTATATATATAGTCTTCATATTTTTAGACCAGGATGCCATTCTGTGTGTTGAATCAAAGTTTTTAAAGATTGAGTAATTACAATTAGCCATTTTGCTTGCTTATTTTATAAATTATGGTCCTAAGTATCTTTCCATGACAAAAAAGAACCCAGTGAATAGAAAATTTTATTTTCATTATTATGATAGCTTATTTTCTATATGTAGATATGTATTTTCTTTTTCTTTCTTTTTTTTTGAGATGGAGTTTTGCTCTGTCGCACAGGCTGGAAATACAGTGGCACTGATCTCTGCTCCCGGCAACCTCCGCCTCCCAGGTTCAAGTGATTCTCCTATCTCAGCCTCCCAAGTAGGTGGGATTACAGGCGCCTGCCACCACACCTGGCTAATTTTGTATTTTTAGTAGAGACAGGGTTTCACCATGTTGGCTAGACTGGCCTCGAACTCCTAACTTCAGGTGATCCACCCGCCTCAGCCTCCCAAAGTGCTGGGATTACAGGCATGAGCCACTGTGCCCAGCCTCTTTCTTCTTCTTTTTTTTTTTTTTCTTTTTTGATACAGAGTCTTGCTCTGTTGCCCAGGCTGGAGTGCAGTGGCATGATTTCGGCTTACTGCAACCTCCGCCTCCCGGGGTTCAAGCAATTATTCTGCCTCAGCCTCCCAAGTACCTGGGATTACAGGCGCCCACCACCATACCCGGCTAATTTTTTGTATTTTTAGTAGAGACAGGGTTTTGCCATGTTGGCCAGGCTGGTCTTGAATGCCTGACCTCTGGTGATCCACACACCTTGGCCTACCAAAGTACTGGGATTACAGGTGTGAGCAACTATGCCTGGTCTGTATTTTCTTATAAAGTAATCAATTTATAAATATTCTGGGGGTCCTAATTTTTATCATTTGATTCTTTTTTTTTTTGAGACGGAGTCTCATTATGTCCCCCAGGCTGGAGTGCAATGGTGTGATCTCTGCTCACTGCAACCTCCACCTCCTGGGTTCAAGCAATTCTCCTGCCTCAGCCTCCTGAGTAGCTGGGATTACAGGTGTGTGCCACCACACCTGGCTAGTTTTTGCATTTTTATTAGAGATGAAGTTTCACCATGTTGGCCAGGCTGGTCTCGAACTCCTGACCTCAAGTGATCCTCCCACCTTGGCCTCCCAACCTGCTGGGATTACGGGCATGAGGCACTGTACCTGGCCTCATTTGATTCTTTCATGTGTATTTTTCTGTGTTACTAGCATATAGTCTGTGTCATGTGTTGACTGTCATATGGATGTGCTATATATTTACTGTGTTTAGCCATTTAATGCTGTTTGGCATTATGTGTATTTTCAAGTTTTTTTTTTTTTTTTCTCAAAGTGGCATTGTTATAATTTTATAGGGGAAATATGTTTTTTTCTGTTATTCATTTAGCAAATATTTATTGGGTGTCTAATATATGCCAAGTAATGTTTTAGGTGCTTGGATCATGGTAGCAAAAAACAAAACAAAACATACAACTGCCTACTTTGTGGAGTTTCTATACCACTGTACAAGTAAACAGCAGGGGACCAGACTGTGATTAATGCAGTGCCGAACAATGAGGAGGATAAGAAGAAAGGGAGAATAGGTAGGTAGTGGTGGCAGGGATATTCCATAGAATGTTCATGGAAGGCCTTCCTCATAAGGTAGCATTTGAGCAGAAGCTTAAAGGAAATGAAGTAGTGAACCGTACAGCTGTCTGTAGGAGGAATGTTCTAGGTAGGGGAAACGGCAAAAGCCCTGTGGCTGACACATACTAGCTGTGTGTGCAGTATCTCAGCGAACTAGTGTGATGGCTAGAGCAAAGTGCAGTAGGAGAAGAGCAGCAGTAGTTCCCCTGGAGCCTTATCATCCTGGTCAGGACTTGGCTGCTGCTCTGATTAGAATGGAAGCCATTGGAGGGTTTTTATCTGATTTCCATTTTTTTTTTTTTTTGAGATGGAGTCTCGCTCTGTTGCCCAGGCTGGAGTGCAGTGGCGCGATCTTGGCTCACTGCAACCTCCGCCTCCCGGGTTCACGCCATTCTCCTGCCTCAGCCTCCTGAGTAGCTGGGACTACAGGTGCCTGCCACCATGCCTGGCTAATTTTTTGTATTTTTAGTAGAGCCGGGGTTTCACCGTGTTAGCCAGGATGGTCTCGATCTCCTGACCTTGTAATCCGCCCACCTTGGCCTCCCAAAGTGCTGGGATTACAGGCGTGAGCCACCGTGCCCGGCTCCTTTTTTTTTTTTTAAACTGGCAGAGTTTTATTTTTCTTTAAATAGGCACGACTTCCATGTATACTAATATTCTCAATGTTCTCTCAATATTTTCAATATTTTATAACATTTTGTGATCTAAAAAATTTGCTTTAAGGGGGTCCGGGCATGGTGGCTCATGCCTGTAATCCCTGCACTTTTGGAGGTTGAGGCACTGTATCAACTGGCTCAGGAGTTTGAGACCAGCCTGGCCAACATGGTGGAACACCATCTCTACTAAAAATATGAAAATTAGCCAGGCGTGGTGGTGGGTGCCTGTAATCCCAGCTACTCGGGAGGCTGAGGCAGGAGGATTGCTTGAACTAGGAGGCAGAGATTACAGCGAGCCGAGATCGTGCCACTGCACTGTAGCCTGGGCAACAAAACGAGACTCCACCTCAAAAAACAAAAATGCTTTAAGATTTGTGAGTCACAAAGCTTTGCAGTAGTTAGTTCTTTGGACCTATTCCCTGTGGTTCGAATGATATAATGAGCCTGGATGTGAATCCCAGTTTGGCTGTAATTTAGCTGTATAACTACAGCAGGCTCCTTAACTTGTGTGTGCTAGTTTCTGCCTTGATCTCATTTACTTTTTTTTTTCTCTCTCTGTTTTGAGACAAGGTCTCACTCTTGCCCAGACTGGAGTGCAGTGGTGTGATTTAGGCTCACTGCAACCTCTGCCTCCTGAGTTCAAACAGTCATTCCACCTCAGCCTTCTGAGTAGCTGGGACTACAGGTGCACACCACTTTGCCTGGCTAATTTTTGTATTTTTTGTAGAGATGGTGTTTTGCCATGTTACCCAGGATGGCTAGTCTCGAACTCCTGGACTCAAATGATCCTCCTGCCTTGGCCTCCCAAAGTGCTAGGGTTACAGGCGTGAGCCACCATGCCTGGCCCTCTAATGGGATTTTCACATGTATTTTAAAAATATTTAGTAGTTTAAAAAAAGGCTTGTCTTGCTGTTAGAGTTGAGTTTTTTGTTTGTTTGTTTGTTTGTTTTGTTTTGTTTTTGAGATGGAGTCTCGCTCTGTCGCTCAGGCTGAAGTACAGTGGTGCAATCTTGGCTCACTGCAACCTCTGCTTCCTGGGTTCAAATGATTCTTGTGACACAGCCCCCTGAGTAGCTGGGACTATAGGCATGAGCCACCACGCCTGGCTAATTTTTGTATTTTTAGTAGAGGCGAGGTTTCACCATGTTGGCCAGGCTGGTCTCGAACTCCTGACCTCAAGTGATCCACCCACCTCAGCCTCCCAAAGTGTTGGGATTACAGGCATGAGCCACTGCGCCCGGCTGAGTTTGTTTTTTATATTTTTTATTTCTGTAGTGGTCATAAATTTGCCACCAGCTCCCTACACTAAGAAAAAAGCTAGAGTGAATAGATTGTTTAGTTTTTCTTGTGTTTTAAAAATAAATTTATAAATGTTTCATTTTTTGTTATTTCTTTGGAACAGACTGACATAGGGGTTGGATATTGGGCTTCACTGTGATAAACTGTGTTTATCAAGTAGTCATCCTTCACCTAGTTCCTTGCTTTGCTTTATAACATTCTGGTCTCTGTGAATGTTCTGTAACACTAAGAAAGTTAATTTTATCGGCCTGGCGTGATGGCTAATGCCTGTAATCCCATCACTTTGGGTGGCTGAGGTGGGCAGATCATGAGGTCAGGAGTTTGAGACCAGCCTGGCCAAGATGGTGAAACCCCGTCTCTACTAAAAATATAAAAATTGGCCAGGCATGGTGGCGGATGCCTGTAAATCCCAGCTACTCGGGAGGCTGAGGCAGGAGAATCGCTTGAACCCAGGAGGCAGAGGTTGCAGTGAGCTGAGTTCATGCCACTGCACTCTAGCCTGGGTGACAGAGCAAGATTCCATCTCAAAAAAAAAAAAAAAATCCTAATTTTATCTTCAACTGCTCCTAATTATTTATCCTCATTTACCCTCCTTCCTCCTCCCTCCTTTTTTCCCCCTCCTTCCTCCTTTATTTCTTTTTGTCATTTACATTTGCTTGAAATTTATTATTTTTTTTGAGATGGAGCCTTGCTCTGTCACCTAGTCTGGAGTGCAGTGGCGCAATCTCGGCTCACTACAACCTCCGCCTCCCAGGTTCAAGCGATTCTTCTGCCTCAGCCTCCTGAGTAGCTGGGATTACAGGCGCCTGCCACCATGCCTGGCTAATTTTTGCATTTTTAGTAGAGACGGAGTTTCACCATGCTGACCAGGCTGGTCTCAAACTTCTGACCTTAGGTGATCCACCCACCTCACCCTCCCAAAGTGCTGGGATTACAGGTGTGAGCCACTGCGCCCAGCTGCTTGACATTTTAAATTACGGTAGATATCTATTTTTGTAGTTTTTTTGGACATAAGCTTTTCTTTTACTTTTTGTTAATTGTTTTAGCATCCTGTCTGCATGTTTGCTTGTTTGTTTGTTTGTTTTCCTTTGGTGGAGTCTTAACCCAAATGTGTTTTTTTTTTTTTGGTTAAAATTAACCCATTGTTTTTACAATGATAAGCATGATTCTCAGAATCCTGGGTTAATAAATTCTGCAAACATTTATTCAATGCTATATGTGTGCCAAGGATTATACCAGGTACTGTTGTTACAGGGATAACTAAAGCCCTCAGGAACTCAGTGTATTGGTGGTAGATGAAAATAATAAAAGTGAAGAGGTTTGCTGGTGGATAAAATGTGGGTGACAAAAGCAGCATGGGACCCTGGCAGTTAACAGCATATAAGGCATAGAAGGAGATAATAGAATCTGTTGAAGAAGGCTTAGGATAGGTCAGCAAGGGATTTGCATCCTGGAAGAAGGGCATCACAGATGCTAAGGAAAGAGTGTGGAATTCAGACTCATCTTTGACCTGCAAGGAATCTTTGAAATCAAATCCCACATTTTTTTGTCAAAACACAAACTTATATACATTTTATATACAATGCACTCATGCTAGCTTAATGATGGGGATATGTTTTGAGAAATGTGGTGTTAGGCAATGTCATCATTGTGTGAACATCAGAGTGTACTTGTGCAAACCTAGATGGTAGAGCGCCTACTACACACCTAGGCCGTATGGTATAGCCCGTTGCCTCTAGGCTACACACTTGTACTACATGTTACTGTACTGAATACTGTAGGCAATTGTAACAACGGTAAGTATTTGTCTATCTAAACATATTGAAATATAGAAAAGGTAGTGTGTTGTATTACCACAATAGCTAGATGTCACTAGGCAATGGAATTTTTTAGTTCCATTATAATCTTATGGGACCACTATCCTAGGTTGACGAAATCATTGTTATACAATGGATGACTGTATATATAATTTTTCAAGTCACACAGAACTTTTACTGAAATAGATTATGCATTATGCCATAAGGGAAACACCAATAAATTTTAAAGGATCAGTATCTTAGAAACGATGTTCCGCAACTGTACTGTAACAAAGTTAGAACTTAAAAGGATATCTAAAATTCTCATGGTTTGTAGACTAAGGAAATGTTGATAAATGTTTTAAAAGGTCAGTCATAAAGGAAATTAACACATTTAGAAAAGGTGGTTACATACCAAATTTTGTAGACTATAGCTAAAGTAGTACTTAGAAATTAATTTTTGTTGCCATTTAAAAAAATTGTGGTGGCTGGGTGTGGTGGCTCACGCCTGTAATCCCAGCACTTTGGGAGGCTGAGATGGATGGATCACCTGAGGTCAGGAGTTAGAGACAGCCTGGCCAACATGGTGAAACCCTATCTCTACTAAAAAATACAAAAATTAGCCAGGCGTGGTGGTGCACGCTTGTAATCCCAGCTACTCGGGAGCCTGAAATGGGAGAGTTGCTTGAACCCGGGAGGTGGAAGTTGCAGTGAGCCGAGATTGCACCACTATACTCCAGCCTCTGCGACAGAGCGAGATTCCATCTCAAAAAAAAAAAAAATTGTGGTAATAAACATATAGTGGCCGCGCATGGTGGCTCATAACTGTAATCCCAGCACTTTGGGAGGCGAAAGCAGGAGGATTGCTTGAGACCAGGAGTTCGAGATCAGCCTGGGAAACATGGTGAGAACTTGTCCCTACAAAAAAAAAAAAAAAAAAAAAAAAAAATAGCTGGGCGTAATGGCAGATGCCTGTAGTTTCAGCTACTTGAAAGGCTGAGGCGGGAGGATCTCTTGAGCCCAGGAGGTCGAAGCTGCAGTAAACTGTGTTCGTGCTACTGCATTCCAGCCTGGGTGACAGAGTGAGACTCTGTCTCAGAATAATAATAATAATAATAAAGCCACATTGCTTCTTTTTCCAGGGCATTGAATTTTAGTAACAACTTTAAAAGTTTTTTTAACCTGTATTCTATTAGGTATACATGTGACATTTCATAAATAATAAGTTTTGCCTAATTTAATAAAAGCATATCTGAATACACACCGTGAACAAGTAACAGTTGGTGAGAGAATATAAATATTTAAGAAATTTCAGACCCAGTGCAGTGGATCTTGCTTGTAATTCCAGCACTTTGGGAGATCAAGACAAGAGGATTGGTTGAGTTCACCATGTTGCCCCACCTTTTGTAGACTCTGTCTCTGCAAATTTGAAAATAATTAGTGGGGTGTGGTGGTGCACACCTCTCATCCCAGCTACTTGGGAGGCTGAAACAGAAGGATTGCTTGAGCCCAGGAGGTCAAGGCTGCAGTGAGCCGTGTTCATGCCACTGCACTCTACCCCGGGCAACAGAGAGAGACCCTGTCTCACTAAGAAAGAAAGAAAAAGAAATTTTAGATAAATTATGGCTTCTCTGAATTGCACTACTGTCTTCTTCAACTATTCTGGAAGGATACATATCTTCCATGAGATTATATTTGAAGCATCTTGGAATAGTTTTTTTTTTATAAAAAATTATTTAAGACAGCATTTTTTTTTCTTAGAAAATATTCTCATTTGTTAAAAAAATTGCTGTCCATGGCCAGGTGTGGTGGCTCACTCCTGTAATCCAGCACTCTGGGAGGCCAAAGCAGGTGGATCACTTGAGGTCAGGAATTTGAGACCAGCCAGGACAACATGGCAAAAGCCTGTCTCTATTAAAAAAAAAAAGGAAGAAATAGCTGTCCAAAAAAAGAAATAGGGGTTGACCATAATAATATGAACTAAACAAAAATCAACTAAATAATCTATTCTAACCACTAGAATTATTCTATTTTTAAAAATCTTCATTTTGATAGGAAATGTTTTATTACTAGAAAAGTCATCTTTTTTTATGTAAGATTTCCACTAGATTTAGTATTTTATGTGGCTGGCTTTGAATCTAAAAGTGTAAAATATTTTCCCAGTAGATAGGATTAATAAGAGGTAACTCTTATCTTTCTGCAGAATAACCGTAACTGCTCTGAAAATGAGTAAATCTTAGATAAGAGAGGAGGTTTGTAAGTTATTTCCACCTCTTCTCGTTCCTTCAACATTTATATGTTCCCTTTTTTTCTCCTTTCTGTGCTCATGGGTTATTTACCAATTAAGAGATTAAAGTCAGAACCTCTTTTATAAAAAAAAAATTGAGTACTTACTTTAAATATTGATAGTGGGAGACATGGTTTCATTTAGTTATTAAGTAAAGAAAATGGAACACTTGGAAGTGACCATGAGCTCCTTTGAAGCTTTGAAGATTGTCACCTGGGGATGTGTGAATGAAGTGTTGGGTGAATGAGCCCCAGACTTCATAGATGATGGAGATAGCTCTTCTTTTTTTTTTTTTTTTTTTTTAGACAGTCTTGTTCTGTCACTCAGGTTGTAGTGCAGTGGCACGATCTTGGCTCACTGCAACCTCCGCCTCCTGGGTTCAAGCAATTCTCCTGCCTTAGCCTTTGGGTAGCTGGGATTACAGGCATGTGCCACCCTTCCCGGCTAATTCTTGTATTTTTTTAATTGAGACAGGGTTTCGCCATGTTGGCCAGGCTGGTCTTGAACTCCTGAACTCAAGTGATCTGCTTGCCTTAGCATGAGCCACTAGGCCTAGCAGACAGCTCATTCTTAATCAGTGTAATCTAGTGTTATGTGAAGGAATACATCTTTCATTGCTTAGGGCGCAACCACATGCAAGCCATTACATACTAATTTGCGTAATAATTGTATATCAAAATACTCAGATTGGAATTGTGGCTCTAGCAATTTAAGTAGCAAAACTGTTGTAATCTAGGCCTGAGAAAATAAGGGCCTGAGTTAAGAAGATTATAGTAGGAATGACTGAAAGGAACAGATGATAAATACCAAGAAAGACTAAATTCCATGAGCAGAGCCCGTAGAACAGTGGTTCTTAAACTTGAGCATGCATCAAAATTGTGGAGGGTTGGTTAAACAGATTGCTAGGCCTCACCCCTAGAGTTTCTGTTTGAGTAGGTTTGGAGTGGGTCTTGAGGATTTACTTTTATAGCAAGTTCTCAGGTGATGCTGATGCTACTGGTCCAGGGACCAAGTTTGAAAATCACTGCTGTAAAGGTAGGTAGACTCTTTCCCCTCCCCACATTCTCTGTGTGTAATAGGCAGTCAGAGCCAGCAGATGTGAAATGAGCTAAGAGTTCTAATTAAGTGTTTTTGTGCTTTTTTTTTTTTCAGGCCAAGTGATAATAGTAAGGATAATTCAACATGTAACATTGAAGTCGTGAAACCAATGGATATTGAAGAAAGCATTTGGTCCCCTAGGTTTGGATTGAAAGGCAAAATAGATGTTACAGTTGGTGTGAAAATACATCGAGGGTATAAAACAAAATACAAGATAATGCCGCTGGAACTTAAAACTGGCAAAGAATCAAATTCTATTGAACACCGTAGTCAGGTATAAATGTTAATAAGAAAATTGTCTGTTTTATACTTTTTTTTTTTTTTTTTTGAGACAGAGTCTTGTTCTGTCTCCCAGGCTGGAGAGCAGTGGCGTGGTCTTGGCTCACTGAAAGCTCCGCCTCCTGGGTTCATGCCAGGCTGGAGTGCAATGGTGTGATCTCAGCTCATTGTAATCTCTGCCTCTCGGGTTCAAGCGATTCTCCTGCCTCAGCCTCCTGAGTAGCTGGGATTACAGGCCCTCACCATCATGCCCAGCTAATTTTTTGTATTTTTAGTAGAGACAGGTTTCACTATGTTGGCCAGGCTGGTCTGACCTCGTGATCTGCCTTCCTCAGCCTCCCAAAGTGCTGGGATTACAGGCATGAGCCACTGAGCCCGGCCTTATGCCTGACTAATTTTTGTATTTTTTGTAGAAATTGAGTTTTGCCATGTTGCCCAGCCTGGTCTCGAACTCGCGACCTCACCTGATACTCCCACCTCGGCCTCCCAAAGTGCTGGAATTACAGGTGTGAGCCACTTGCACCCAGCCTTTTGCTATTAATTGTGTACGAAATATTGAAGGTTTTCACAAGAGCTTTACATTTGGGAATGAAAAGTAGGGTAACTTTGTTTCACCTATTATTAGGTTTTCTGTAGATGTTGGAAGTGGAAGAAAAAATGTTTCCCCTTTTTAAAGACTTGAACTTTTTACTTTAATAATACAGAAATAACTGAAATTACAAACTTAAATACTTGGCTAAATTATAACCCTCTGGAGGAAGGAACATTATGTCAATAGAAGAAAGGCTTGTTTTTGAAGTCAAAGGTCAGAAGGAATGTGTTTTGTGTATATGAGACTGAAAATTTTTAATTGATTTTTAAAATCACAAGTTTGAATGAAATCACTTTATAATGCTAAACAGGAGAGAAATATAAAAGCATTTCAGGCCAGCACAGTGGCTCACGCCTGTAATCCCAGCACTTTGGGAGGCCGAGGTGGGTGGATCACTTGAGGTCGGGAGTTTGAGACCAGCCTGGCCAACATGGTGAAACTACTACACACACACACACACACGCACACACACACACACACACACACACACACACACACCTGGTGTGGTGGCACATGCCTGTAGTCCCAGCTACTCGGGAGGCTGAGAATTGCTCAAACCAGGGAGGCAGAGGTTGTAGTGAGCTGAGATCACGCCACTGCACCCCAGCCGGGGTGACAGAGCCAGACTCCATCTCAAAAATAAATAAATAAATAAAAGCATTTCAATATCTTAAGTGATCTGGATTCCAAGATCTTTTTCCATTGAGATTGTTGCTCTAATTCACCATTGCTTCAAGGCAAAGAATATTACTGTATTTAATTTTGTTCAATTGGAGATTTTATTTTTGCAAGAAGTGCAAGAAAATTTTAAGAATAAAGTAGTAATTCTTGTATTGAAAAAAATGAGGAAATTTGCTAGAACAAGGCTTAAAAAAAGTTGGAATTTATATTGCATATTATGCACGAGACAAGACATTGAAAAATTAATTATGGTAGTTCATTATTATGTTGGGTATGAGGAAAAAAATGTTTCCCTACTTAAAAGATTTGACTTTTTAATTTTGATAATAAAAGGTTTAAGAAAGTTTTTTTTAGATGGGGTCTTGCTATATTGACTTACAGCTAAAGCTGTTACATGAGCTAAAAGGACTATTTTTAACTTGTCTTAGATGGTTTCTCCGAAGAATTTCATGAAACCTAAGGTGGTTAATGACATTTCATGCTCTGGAGAAACAAACTGTAGAGTTAGTATTATTTGTCACAGTAGCTATCATGTAAATGATAATCATTTTTGTTTTGGATCATTTATTTTAAATGGAGAAAATAGTCTCTACAGACTGTTAACTTCAAAATGTAAATCATAGTTTGATTAATTTCCTTCTTCAATTTATTGGATATCTAAATATTTGCTTTCTAAGAAAATTCTCTATAGAATTCTTGGTTATCTAAGTAAAACTGAGAAGCATGAACTATGTTTGTTTTGTGTAAATTAAATTTTTTTTTTTTTTTGAGACGGAGTCTCACTGTCACCCAGGCTAGAGTGCAGTGGCGCGATCTCGGCTCACTGCAAGCTCTGCCTCCTGGGTTCATGCCATTCTCCTGCCTCAGCCTCCCGAGTAGCTGGGACTACAGGCGCCCACCACCACGCCCGGCTAATTTTTTTGTATTTTTAGTAGAGACGGGGTTTCACCTTATTAGCCAGGATGGTCTCGATCTCCTGACCTCATGATCCGCCCGCCTCGGCCTCCCAAAGTGCTGGGATTACAGGCGTGAACCACTGCGCCCGGCCTTTTTTTTTTATTTTAAGACAGTCTCCCTCTGTTACCTGGGCTGGAATGTAGTGGCACGGTCTTGGCTCACTGCAGCCTTTACTTCCCAGGGTCAATCAATCCTCCCATCTCAGCCTCCTGAGTAGCTGGGACTATGGACGCACATCACCATGCCTGGCTAATTTTTTTTTTTTTTTTTTTTTTTGAGGTGAAGTCTCCTTCTGTCCCCCAGGCTGGAGTCCAGTGGCACGATTTCGACTCAGTGCAACCTCCACCTCCCGGGTTCAAGCAATTCTCCTGCCTTAGCCTCTCAAGTAGCTGGATTACAAGCATGTGCCATCACACCCGGCTAATTTTTGTATTTTTAGTAGAGACAGGGTTTCACTATGTTGGCCAGGCTGGTCTCGAACTCCTGACCTCAAGTAATCTGCCCACGTTGGCCTTCCAAAGTGCTGGGAGTATAGTCATGAGCCACCACGCCCAGCCGTGCCCGGGTAATTTTTAACTTTTTTTACATACATGTCTTTTTGTAGAAATGGGGATCTCACTACGTTTTTGTTTTTATGCTTTTAAATTTTTGTGGGTACTTAGTAGGTGTATACGTTCATGGATTACATGAGATATTTTAATATAGGCATGCAATACGTAATAATCATAACATAGTAAATGCGGTATCCATCCCCTCAAACATTTATTATTTGTGTTACAAATAACCCAGTTATACTCCTTTAGTGATTTTAAAATGCACAGCTAAATTATTTTTGACTATAGTCACTTTGTTGTGCTAGCAAATACTGTCTTATTCATTACTCTTTTTTTTTGTTTCTTGATACCCATTAACCATCCCCACTTCTCCCCCCGCACCACCCTCACTATTGTTCCCAGCCTCTGGTAACCAACCTTCTACTATCTGTCTCCATGAATTCAATTGTTTTAATTTTTTGCTCCCACAAGTAAGTGAGAACATACAAAGTTTTCTGTGTCTGGCTTTTTTTGCTTAACATAATGACTATCACTTGGTCTCACTATATTGCCCAGGCTGGTCTCAAACTCCTGGGCTCAAGCGATCTGCCTGCCTTGGCCTCCCAAAGTGTTGGGATTGCAGGCCTGAGCCACCATGCCTGGCCTAGATTAAATGTTTGACATCAAATTTGTTGTGTTATCTTTACCAATTTGGCTCATGTTACTTATTAAATAGAAATAACTTTATTGATCTTTTGAGTTTAAAATTATGTGTTGGTTGCAAGACAATGTAAGGAAATACAAGAAGTTATAGTTTTGTTTGAGCAAATGTCAATGTTTGCACAGGTTGTTCTGTACACTCTACTAAGCCAAGAGAGAAGAGCTGATCCAGAGGCTGGCTTGCTTCTCTACCTCAAGACTGGTCAGATGTACCCTGTGCCTGCCAACCATCTAGATAAAAGAGGTTGAGCCGTTTTTTTTTTAGTTTTACTTCTTTGCCCACCCCCCCACTTCAGCTTCTAGTGATACATATTTATACCTGACAATCTACTCACAGCACTTAATAGGTTATAATTTGTAGCTGTGGGTTTTTTTTGTTGTTGTTTTTTATGTGTGTGTTTTTGTTTTCGTTTTTTGAGATAGAGTCTCACTCTGTTGCCCAGGCTGGAGTGAAGTGGCACAATCTTGGTTCATTGCAACCTCCACCTTCTGGGTTGAATCGATTCTCCTGCCTCAGTCTCCTGAGTAGCTAGGATTACAGGCATGTGCCACCATGCCTGGCTAGTTTTACTTTTAGTAGAGATGGGGTTTCGCCATGTTGGCCAGGCTGGTCTTGAACTCTTGGCCTCAAGAGATCTGCCCGCCTTGGTCTCTGAAAGTGCTGGGATTACAGGCATGAGCCACTGTACCTGGCCAATTGTGGTTTTTTTTAAAAGAATTTTAATAATATACTCTATAGTTGAAAACATTATTAATCTTTTAAAATTTTATTATGCAAAACTTTATTTCAAACTTTCTATTTTATATTAAAGATATTCTAGATAGCTGTATTTATCTTCAGTATTCAGCTAATACCAACTTCACAATGCTTACTAGTTACGAAATATATAGTTTAAAGAATTTATCAAGTGAACAGAAACTTAAAGGAAATGTACCAAAATGTTGTTATTCTAGTATAGTGGGAAATATGAATACCAAAATGTTGTTATTCTAGTATAGTGGGAAATATGAATACTGTTTTCTCCGTTTTAAAATGTTTTTATTTTTATTTTATTTATTTATTTATTTATTTTTTTGAGACCGAGTTTCGCTCTTGTTACCCAGGCTGGAGTGCAATGATGCGATCTCAGCTCCCTGCAATCTCCGCCTCCCAGGTTCAGGTGATTCTCCTGCCTCAGCCTCCTGATTAGCTGTAATACAGTCATGCGCCACCAATCCCAGCTAATTATGTATTTTTAGTAGAGACGGGGTTTCACCGTGTTGGTTAGGCTAGTCTTGAACCCCTGACCTCAGGTGATCCGCCCACCTCAGCCTCCCCAAGTGTTGGGATTACAGGCGTAAGCCATTGTGCCCGGCCCTAAAATGTTTTTAAATCTGCAAGTTTTACATATGTAGTGAAAAAGACATGATAAACTTTATTTAACTCTTAAAAAGACATTCACCTTTTTTTTCATAGAATTATTAAAGCTAAGAAACCAGATGGCATTCTCATTGTTTCACCGTATTAGCAAATCTGCTACTAGACAGAAGACACAGCTTGCTTCTTTGCCACAAATAATTGAGGAAGAGAAAACTTGTAAATATTGTTCACAAATTGGCAATTGTGCTCTTTATAGCAGGTAAATATTGTCTACCAAAGGCATTATTTCTAGTTGAGTATGAACTCAACTAAATACGTTTAACACTGGTGGCCAGACGGGCATTGATAACATCATTTTAGTTATTTTTCCTTTATATTTTCCTTCGTATTATTTCTAAAATTAAGATAATAGAAAAAAAACCACAGTACTTTCTTTCTTTTTTTTTTTTTTTTTGAGACGGACTTTTTGCTCTTGTGGCCCAGGCTGGAGTGCAATGGTGCAATCTCGGCTCACCACAACCTCTGCCTCTTGGGTTCAAGCGATTCTCCTGCCTCAGCCTCCCAAGTAGCTGGGATTACAGCCATGTGCTACCATTCCCGGCTAATTTTGTATTTTTAGTAGAGAAGAGGTTTCACCGTGTTGGTCAGGCTGGTCTCCAACTCCCGAACTCAGGTGATCTGACCATCTCAGTCTCCCGAAGTGTTGGGATTACAGGCGTGAGCCACCGCGCCCAGCTAATTTTTTGTATTTTTATTTATTTATTTGTATTTTATTTATTTATTTATTTTTTTGAGACAGTCTCACTCTGTCACTAGGGCTGGAGTGCGGTGGCATGATCTCGGCTCACTGCAACCTCCGCCTCCCTAGTTCAAGCGATTCTCCTGCCTCAGCTTCCCGAATAGCTGGGACTACAGGCGCTCGCCACCGCACCCAGCTAATTTTTGTATTTTTAGTAGAGACAGGGTTTCACCATGTTGGCCAGGATGGTCTCGATCTCTTGACCTCGTGATCCGCCCACCTCGGCCTCCCAAAGTGCTGGGATTACAGGCATGAACCACTGCGCCCAGCAATTTTTTGTGTTTTTAATACAGATAGGGTTTCACCATGTTGGCCAGGCTGGTCTTGAACTCCTGACCTCAAGTGATCTGCCTGTCTTGGCCTCCCAAAGTGCTGGGATTATAGGCTTGAGCCACTGCACTATGCCGAAATACTTTTTTTCTTTTTTTTTGAGACAGAGTCTTGCTTTGTTGCCTGGGCTGGAGTGCAGTGGTGCAATCTTGGCTCACTGCAACCTCCACCTCCTGGGTTCAAGCAATTCTCCTGCCTCAGCCTCTCGAGTAGCTGGGACTACAGGCATCCGCCACCACACCTGGCTAAGTTTTTGTATTTTAGTAGAGACGGGATTTCACCGTGTGTTGCCCAGGCTGGTCTCGAACTCCTGAGCTCAGTCAATCCACCCGCCTTGGCCTCCCAAAATGCTAGAATTATAGGCATGAGCCTCTGCACTCGGCCTCATATAAATACTTTTTAAGGTATTTTTTCAAGGGATCTCTTAATGGCAGAGGACTGTGAACCGTAGGAAGTCTGGGCATATTTCTTTGAAATCTTATGTTTATCGTCAGTGTTTGGTATGCTGTCCTATAGCATGTTTGTTTCTATAGAAAATATTTTAATCTGGTATTAAGCAAAATCCAAATGATTCTCTGTGTTTTTATGTGTACTTACGTCACTGAGCTGGGTGTACAAATATTGTGATTTTTGAGAAATGAAGTTGTATTAAAAGCCAAAACTTGTTGCATATGGGAATGAAGATTAGGGTTTACCCAACCTGAGTTGTTTGGGGGATAGTCGCTGAAGGCAAAATAATGCAGTATTGAGTTTCTCACACATTTGGTTTTATAAAAAGCCATATGGCTTATGTTTAAATGACTTTTAAGGAACATTAGGGGCTGTGGTTATGAGTTATGATGATGATCATATATGTGTTCTTATTTTGGAATTATCTCACTTCGTACCCAGCCAGGGAAATGGTTTATAAGCATCTCTAACTTGGAACTTTATATTTAGAGCAGTTGAACAACAGATGGATTGTAGTTCAGTCCCAATTGTGATGCTGCCCAAAATAGAAGAAGAAACCCAGCATCTGAAGCAAACACACTTAGAATATTTCAGCCTTTGGTGTCTAATGTTAACCCTGGAGTCACAATCGAAGGATAATAAAAAGAATCACCAAAATATCTGGCTAATGCCTGCTTCGGAAATGTAAGTGGTCCATTTAGTACAGTAAGATTTCAGTAGTTTGGATTAGTGAATGAGGTGGCCTTTGGAATTTATGACAAATACAAGTTATGAAGCATGTTATAGATAACGTGATTTCATTTATTCATGACAACTGCAGATGGCTCTCTATTGTTTCTAAGAAGAGCACCATTCCTGTGTATCCTATGTGCTGCAATCATTGCTAGTTAGTAATATAGTTTCAGTAGACTAAATATACCTCAAGAAATCTTGTTTTAAAAATTACTTTTCTTTGGGAGGCCGAGGTGGGTGGATCACCTGAGGTCAAGAGTTTGAGACCAGCCTGGCCAACATGGCAAAACCCCGTCTTTACTAAAAATACAAAAATTAGCTGGGCGTGGTGGCGGGTGCCTGTAATCCCAGCTACTTGGGAGACTGAGGCAGGAGAATCGCTTGAACCTGGGAGGCGGAGGCTGCAGTCAACCAAGATCCTGCCATTGCACTCCAGCCTGGGCAACAAGAGCAAAACTGTCACAAAAAAACAAAAACAAAAAATTAGCCGGGCGTGGTGGCAGGCGCCTTTAATCCCAGCTACTCAGGAGACTGAGGCAGGAGAATTGCTGGAACCCGGGAGGTGGAGGTTACAGTAAGCCAACATCGCACCACTGCACTTCAACCTGGGTGACAGAGCGAGACTCTGTCTCAAAAAAAAAAAAAAAATTACTTTTGTCAGGGCGTCGGGTCATGCCTGTAATCCCAGCACTTTGGGATGCCGAAGCAGGTGGATCACTTCAGCTCACCAGTTTGAGACCCGCCTGGGCAACATGGCAAAACCCTGTCTCTACAAAAAATACAAAAATTACCTAGGTGTGGTCGTGCATGTCTGTAGTCCCAGGATGAGGTGGGAGGATGGCTTGAGCCAGAGGTGAAGGTTGCAGTGAGCTGAGATCACACCACTGCACTCCAGCCTGGGTGATAGAGCCAGACCTTGACTCAAAAAAAAAAAATTATTTTAAATCCTGTTAAAAATTTTCAGTATACACTTTTTCATCGGTGATAACATTATAAACTTGAGTATATCTTAAAGTAAATTGTTGTATATATTGGTATAATGCAAATTAATGTGGTATTTACTGGATTTTTTAAATACTCGCTTTTTTCTTTTTGAGATGGAATCTCACTCTGTCACCCAGGCTGGAGTGCAGTGGCATGTTGTCAGCTCACTGCAATCTCTGCTGTCTGGATTCAAGCTATTCTCCTGCCTCGGCCTTCAAGTAGCTGGGATTACAGGCGCCTGCCACTGCGCCCAGCTAATTTTTGTAGTTTTAGTAGAGACAGGGTTTCACCATCTTGGCCAGGCTGGTCTTGAACTCCTGACTTAGTGATCCACCCACCTCAGCCTCCCAAAGTGATGGGATTACAGGCGTGAGCCACCTTGCCTGGTCTAAATACTCGTATTTTAAATGTTTATATTTTCAGTAACTTTTGATACAGATGCAAATTTTCTAAAGGTCCATTTCATAGTCCTTGTGGGATTCATTTAAAAAAATAATAGTAATATGTACCTGTAAAGTTAGAATTTTTCTTTTTTTTTTTTTTTTTTTTAAGAGACAGGGTCACACTCTGCTGCCCTGACTGGAGTATAGTGGTGCAATCATGGCTCACTGTAGCCTCGAACTTCTGGGATAAAGTTCACAGTGCTCCTGCCTCAACCTCCTGAGTAGCTAGGACCATAGGTGTGCACCACCAAACTTGGCTAACTTTTTTTTTTTTAGAGATGGGGTCTTGCTATATGGCCCAGGCTGGTCTTGAACTCCTGGCCTCAAGTGATCCTCCCATCTTGACCACCCAAAGTGCTGGTATTACAGCTGCGAGCCACTGTGCCATGGCTAATTTTTTTGTTTTATTTTATTTTACGTGATTATAGAAACAGGGTCTTGCTATGTTGCCCAGCATAGTCTTAAATTCCTGAGCTCAAGTGATCCTCCCACTTTGGCCTCCCAAAGTGTTGAGATTATAGGTATAAGCCACTATGCCTGGCCTAGAATTTATCTTTGCGTAGTATTTTTCTTTATGTAAAATTTCATTGCTTTAGCTTCATTTTTTCTTTGCAGAATGAGTATTAATGATGTGACTTTAGAAATAATTGGATTATTATTTCCCTAATATTAGACTTTAACACAAGGAAACATTGCAGTGGAGAAAGTTTATGTAATTGTGGATAGACTGCGTATGTGTAGTGAGTATACTATACATATGTAAAATTTAATTGCTTTCATTTTTTTAATCTCAGGCCTTTTGTAGTATGTGAAACTTTTTTTTTTTTAGACAAAGTCTTGCTCTGGGCTGGGCAAGGTGGCTCACGCCTGTAATCCCAGCACTTTGGGAGGCCAAGGAGGGTGGATCACGAGGTCAGGATATTGAGACCATGCTGGCTAACACAATGAAACCGCATCTCTACTAAAAATACAAAATATTAGCTGGGCATGGTGGCAGGTGCCTGTAGTCCCAGCTACTCCCAAGGCTGAGGCAGGAGAATCCCATGAACCCGGGAGGCAGAGCTTACAGTCAGCCAAGATTGTGCCACTATACTCCAGCCTAGTCAACAGAGAGACTCCGTCTCAAAAAAATAAATAAATAAATAAAAAATAAAAAAGTCTTACTCTGTTACCCAGGCTGGAGTGTCTTGACCCACTGCAACCTCTGCCTCCTGGGTTCCAGTAATTCTCATGCCTCAGCCTCCCAAGAAGCTGGGTTTACAGGCACGTGCCACCACACCCAGCTAATTTTTGTATTTTTAGTAGAGACGGGGTTTTGCCATGTTGGCCAGGCTAGTCTGGAACTCCTGGCCTCAAGCAGTCCACCCACCTCAGCCTCCCAAAATGCTGGGATTATAGGTGTGAGCCACTGCACCCAGCCAAAAAAATTTTTTTTTTTGAGATGGAATCTTGCTCAGTCGCCCAGGCTGGAGTGCAGTGGCACGATCTCAGCTCATGCAACCTCTGCCTCCCGGGTTCAAGCGATTCTCCTGCCTCAGCCTCCTGAGTAGCTGGGACTACAGGTGCGTGCCACCATGCTCAGCTAATTTTTTTTTTTTTTTTTGAGACAGAATTTCCCTCTTGTTGCTCAGGCTGGAGTGCAATGGCACAATCTTGGCTCACTGAAACCTCCTCTTCCTGAATTCAAGTGATTCTCTTGCCTCAGCCTCCCGAGTAAACTGGGATTACAGGCATGGGCCACCACGCCAGGCTAATTTTGTACTTTTAGTAGAGACGGGGTTTCTCCATGTTGGTCAGGCTGGTCTTGAACTCCCAACCTCAGATGATCCACACGCTTCGGCCTCCCAAAGTGCTGGGATTACAGGTGTGAGCCACAGCACCTGGCTATTTTTTTGTATTTTTAGTAGAAACGGGGTTTCACCGTGTTAGCCAGGATGGTCTTGATCTCCTGATCTCGTGGTGATCCAGCTGCCTTGGCCTCCCAGAGTGCTGGGATTACAAGCGTTAGCCCCTGCACCCGGCCTCAAAAATTTTTTTTTCTTTTTTTGAGATGGAGTTTTGCTCATGTTCCCCAGGCTGGGGAGTAATCTTGCAATCTTGGCTCACCACAACCTCCGCCTCCGAGGTTCAAGTGATTCTCCTGCCTCAGCCTCCCGAGTAGCTGGGATTACAGGCATGCACCACCACACCCGGCTAATTTTGTATTTTTAGTAGGGATGGGGTTTCTTCATGTTGGTCAGGCTGGTCTTGAACTCTCAACCTCACGTGATCCGCCCACCTCAGCCTCCCAAAGTGCTGAGATTACAGGTGTGAGCCACTACACTTGGCCTCAAATGTTTTTTTATGTAAAACGTAACTTGTTTTAGTTTCATTTTTTTCTTTCCAGAATGAATTTTTTTTTTTTTTTTTTGGACAGATTCTTGCTCTGTTGCCCAGGCTGGAGTGCAATGGCATGATCTCAGCTCACTGCAACCTCCACCTCCCGGGTTCAAGTGATTCTCCTGCCTCAGCCTCCTGAATAGCTGGGATTACAGGTGCTTGCCACCATGCCTGGCTAATTTTGTATTTTTAGTAGAGATGGGGTTTCTCCATTTTGGTCAGGCTGGTCTTGAACTCCTGACCTCAGGTCATCTGCCCACCTCAGCCTCCCAAATTGCTGGGATTACAGGCATGAGCCACGGCGCCCGGCCCAGAATGAATATTAATAACATGACTTCAGAAATAATTGGATCATTTTCTTCCCTAACATTAGACTTTAACACAAGATAACATTGCTGTGGAGAAAGTTTATTTAATTGTAGTTAGACTGCATATATGTAGCGAATCTGTCATACATATATAAATACTAATAAGCTTCTGAGATTGCATGTTATTTAGTAGTGCTGCCAGAGAGATTTTAAATGGTTTTTTTTTCTTTTTTTTGAGACGGAGTTTCACTCTTGTTGCCTAGGCTGGAGTGCAATGGCGTGATCTTGGCTCACCGCAACCTCTGCCTCCCAGGTTCAAGTGATTCTCCTGCCTCTGCCTCCCGAGTAGCTGGGATGACAGGCATGTGCCACCATGCCCGGCTAATTTTGTATTTTTAGTAGAGACAGGGTTTCTCCATGTTGGTCAGGCTTGTCTCGAACTCCTGCCCTCAGATGATCTGCCTGCCTCGGCCTCCGAAAATGCTAGGGTTACAGGCGTGAGCCACCGCGCCTGGCTATAATTTTTTTTATATTGCATTTGGGAGCAGGTTATTATGGTTTGTTTTCTGTAATGGTATTATATGTATCAGCCCAAGAAGTGGGGGTATCTACCCCTCAGGGATCAAAGTGCCAATAAAACACCATTTTTGGAGATCCCAGCCTGTGGGTGCAACAAGGGTGGGGCGATCCCTAGCACTTTCTTGCAAGACTATTGTTGAGCAATTCATTTAAAACTAGTAGAGGGCCGAGCATGGTGCCTCAGGCCTGTAATCCCAGCACTTTGGGAGGCTGAGGCCAGTGGGTCACTTGAGTCCAGGGGTCCGAATCCAGCCTGGCCAACATGGTGAAACCCTGTCTCTACTAAAAATATAAAAAATTAGCTTGTCGTGGTGGTGTATGCCTGTAATCCTAGCTACTCAGGAGACTGAGGCATGAGAATCGCTTGAACAGGGTGGGGGTCGGAGGGTGTCTCAAAAAACCCCAGAAACTAAGAGAATGTTTACTTAACATTTCTAACATTTTACTGTAGGTTGTGGAAAATGTAAAAATGACAGGCTCAATATTAGTCTGTTTTGTTTTGTTTTTGTTTTTGTTTTTGTTTTTGAGAGGTGGTTTTGCTCTTGTTGTCCAGGTTGTTGAGCAATGGTGAGATCTTGGCTCACTGCAACTTTCACCTCCCGGGTTCAAGTGATTCTCCTGCCTCAGCCTCCTGAGTAGCTGGGATTACGGGCGAGCACCACCACACCTGGCTAATTTTTTATTTTTATTTTTTTTTTTTTAGTAGAGATAGGGTTTTCACCATGTTGGCCAGGCTGGTCTTGAACATCTGACCTCAGGTAATCCACCCGCCTCGGCCTCCTGGAGTGTTGGGATTACAGGCGTGAGCCACCACACCCGGCCTCAATAATAATTTTTAGGAGTCAGATGAACAAGTAAGTTGTAGGAAAATGCAGACACAATACTTACGTATGTAATATAAACAGAAGTTTTTTTCTCTTTGGTCTTTTCATAGGGAGAAGAGTGGCAGTTGCATTGGAAACCTGATTAGAATGGAACATGTAAAGATAGTTTGTGATGGGCAATATTTACATAATTTCCAATGTAAACATGGTGCCATACCTGTCACAAATCTAATGGCAGGTGACAGAGTTATTGTAAGTGGAGAAGAAAGGTCACTGTTTGCTTTGTCTAGAGGATATGTGAAGGAGATTAACATGACAACAGTAACTTGTTTATTAGACAGGTAATGAAATGTTACTTTTTTTGATAACAGCTTTATTGATATATAATTCACATCTGTGTAGTTCATCCATTTAAAATGTACAATTCGCTGGTTTTTAGTATATTCACAGCGTTGTGCAGCTATCACCACAATCAACTTTGAGTATTTTCATCACCCCAAAAAGAAACTCCCAAGGAAGAAGCCCTATACCCTTTAGTAGTCACTTTTCATTTTCCTCCAATTTCCCCAGCCCGTGGCAACCACTAACCTGCTTTCTGTCTCTGTAGATTTGCCCATTCTGGACATCTCATGTAAATGGAATCATGCAATATGTGGTCTTTGGTGACTGGGTTTTTTCACACAGCACACTGTTTTTGAAATTCATCTTCATGTTATAACATGTATCAGCATTTCATTCTTTTTATTTTAAATAAATTGAGGTAAAATTCATATAACAAAATTGATCATTAACCATTTTAATGTGTATAATTGAGTGGCGTTTAGTATATTCCCAATATTGTGCAACCATCACTTCTGTCTATTTCTAAGACACTTTTATCACCCTAAAAGGAAACCTCATTCCTATTACGCAGTCACTTCCCACTCTCTCCTCCCTGAAGTCCCTGGCAACCACTAAATTGGCTTTCTTTCTGTATGGATTCATCCATTCTGGATATATGATATAAGTGGAACCATACAATACGTGACCTTTTGTGTCTTGCTTCTTTCACTTAGCCTAATGTTTGCAAAGTTCATTCATATTTCAGCATATATGAGACCCTCATTTTTTTTATGGCTGAATATATTCTGTTGTATGGATACACCACATTTTGTTCATCCATTCACCAGCTGATGGACATTTGAGTTGTTTCCACTTTTTTGCTGTAATGATTAATATTGCTATGAACATTGACATGCATAGTTTTAGGTAGACATACTTTCATTTTCTTTGTAGTTACCTAGGCATGGGTCATGTGCTAATTTCATGTTTAACATTTTGAGGAACTACCAAACTGCTAAAGTTTTGTTTAGTACATTATGTTCCATAGTGATGATGTGGACATAATCTTATCTAATTCTTACAACCACATGTATAGCAGACAGCATAGATGCCACCCTGTGTTAGCTATAATGCTTATTTCTCCTTGCATGCTGGGCACTGACTATTTTGTTCTCTCCTTTTTTAAATAAAAATGTTTATTTTTCCCATTTATAGTTGTGATATAAGTATACCCATTTCAGTTACAACAAAATGGCTGATTTAAATAAAAATATATAGGCGGGGCGTGGTGGCTCACGTCTGTAATCCCAGCATTTTGGGAGGCCGAGTTGGGCGGATCACAAGGTCAGATCAAGACCATCCTGGCTAACACGATGAAACCCCGTCTCTACTAAAAATACAAAAAAATAGCTGGGCATGGTAGCGCACATGCCTATAGTCCCAGCTACTTGGGAGGCTGAGGCAGGGGAATCGCTTGAACCCGGAGGCAGAGGTTTCAGTGAGCCGAGATTGCACCACTGCCCTCCAGCCTGGGCAACAAGAGTGAGACTCTGTCTAAAAATATATATATATATGTGTATGTATATTCTACTATTAATATTTTTATTTAGGCTGGACCTTGTGAGCCACCACGCCTGGCCTAAATAAAAATATTAATAGTAGAATAATTGATAGGAAAATATGGGCAGGCAAGGTGGTGCACGCCTGTAATCCTAGCACACTGGGAGGCTGAGGTGGGTATATCGCTTGAGACCAGGAGTTTGAGACCAGCCTGGGCAACATAAGTAAAACCTCGTCTCTACCAAAAATACAAAAATTAGGAGGTGGTGCATGTCTTTAGTCCCAGGTACTGTGGAGGCCGAGGTGGGACGATCAGTTGAGCCCAGGAGGTTGAGGCTGCAGTGAGCTGAGATCACACCTCTGCACTGCATGTAGCCTGAGTGACAGAGTGAGACCCTGTCTTAAAGAAAAAAAAAAAATTGTGGCAGAGACCAATATCCATATTCACGAATAATCCATATTCCCTCCTCTTTCACAGTCAGATGGATTGTGTTTTCCAGCATTTCTTACAGTTAATACGGGCATGCCCGACCATTTCTTAATGGATAGAGGTCAGCAATTGGGACTCATTGACATCTGAGTAACTGTAATGGAAATGTCCAGGCTTGTTCCCTACTGATCAGTAATCTTAGTTGAGTCATAACCACCCCTTGTCTAGATGTCATGACATGGGATGGTGATCCACAATATTCCAGTTGTCTGCTTGGATTTGTGTATCCTTTGCAGTATTTATTTAGTGTCTACCATGTATTAAGCACTTTGCAAATCCTTGAGGAATTTATGGTCTTGCGTGTAGACATACATATTTTCTTTTTTTTTTTGACACATGGTCTCACTCCAGCCCAGGCTGGAGTACAGTGGCATGATCACAGTTCACTGCAGCCTGGACTTCCTGGGATCAAGCAGTCCTTCTACCTCAGCCTCTTGCATAGCTGGGACCACAGGTGCATGCCACCACACCTGGCTAATTTTTTAATTTTTTGTAGAGATGGGGGGGGTCTCACTACGTTGCCCAGCCTGGTCTTGAACTCATGGGCTCAAGTGATCCTCCTGCTTCAGCCTTCTGAAGTGCTAGCATTATAGGCATGAGCTACTACACCCAGCTTATTTTCAATCTGATATGTGTTCAAATTGATAGGAACACAGAGGAGAGGTATTTAATTCAATTTTAGGAGGTTCAGGGAAGGCTTTTTTTTTTTTGAGACCGTCTCACTGTTGCCCAGGCTGGAGTGCAGTAGCACGATCTCAGTTCACTGCAGCCTCTGCCTCCCAGGCTCAAGCGATTCTCCTGCCTCAGCCTCCCGAGTAGCTGGGATTATAGGCGTGTGCCACCATGCCCGACTAATTTTTATATTTTTAGTAGACGCAGGGTTTTACTATGTTGTCCAGGCTGGTCCCAAATTCCCGATCTCAAGTGATCCTCCTGCCTCAGCTTCCCAAAGTGTTGGGATTACAGGCGTGAGCCACCATGCCAGCCCAAGGGAAGCCTTTTCGAAGAGCTAATTCTGAATCTTCATCCTGTGGATTAATAAATTAGTCTGGTGAAACAGTGTGAGAAGAGAATACTATACTGGGCAAACCTGTTGCACAAACGTGTGATGTAGTGTGACATGGAGCATTCAGGATAATGCAGGTAATTACGTTATTTCTAGAATATAAAATATAAGGAAGAGAGTAATTAGATCAGGTCATAGAATGTCTTACGTATCATTTTAAAAAGTTTTCCATCCTGGGCCACATAGTGAGACCCCCATCTCTCCAAAAAATTAAAAAATTAGCCAGGTGTGGTGGTGTACACGTGTAGTCCCACCTACTCAGGGGGCTGCGGTGAGATAACAGCTTGAGCTCAGGAGTTCAAGGCTACAGTGAGCCATGATCATGCCACTGCACTCTAGCCTAGGCAACAGAACAAGGCCCTCTCTCAAAAGAAAAAAAGTTTAGATTTTATTTATTCTATTGAATAAATAGAATTGTATTGAAAGGTTTTAAACAGAAGAGTGGGTAATCATTGGATTTGCATTTTCCTCTGGCTACATTGTAGAGAATTGAGTTCATTAATGGAAGAAAAACTAAAAGCAAACCTGGAAGCTGTTGCAGTGACCCAGGCTAGAGGAAATTGAGGCAGGGTAGTGTTGGCAGAGAGAATGGAATGACTTTGAGAAGTATTTAGAAAGTAAAAGTGGCTGGCATTTGGATACTGATTGGGTGTGTGGGTTGGGGAGAGGATGAGGGAGAGGGAAGGATCAAGATGGCAGTGCAAATGCAAATGCCAATGCCATTAACTGTGATCAGGACCAGAGAAGGAGCATCAGGTTCAGCAGGGATGAGGAGGAGTTCTGCTTTGAAAGTACTGTGCTTTCACAGCCTGGGTTTAGCTAAGTGGAGAGATCTCACTGCCTACTAAATATCCAAACCCAAAGCTTGGGTGAGGAACCAGGTAGGAGAGGAGTGTGAGGTCAGGCCTAAAGATGGAATTTGGAATTTGGAGGCACGTGAGGGCCTGGGACCCTGGAGCAAACAATGAGAAAGAGTAGTACAATGAACCAGGGAAGGGACTCTAGGGAATACCAGAGCTTAAGGGACAGATAGAAGACAGGGAGAAGGTGGCAGAAAAGAAGCCTGCACTCCAGGTTAGAGGAAGGAAGAGCCATGCATTCAGGATCCCTCTGGGGATGGTGAACCCGTGTTCGACTGCAAGGGTAAATGAATTTTCAGCAAATGTTGCAGGTTCCCAATTATTAATTGCTTTGACCTTGGTGCCTTGGACCTTCCCCTTCCCTCTGCCTTTTCCCACCAATCCAGGGCCTCATGCTGTCCTTGATTGGCAAGTGTGACTGAGGGCTGGTAGCTATTTTAATAGCTATTCTGGCCCATTCATTCTTTTAGCAGATAGCAGCATATTTCTTATACAGACTATGCGAAATGGCGAGCATTCATGTATATTTGTTTTGTTGTTTTAGAAACTTGTCGGTCCTTCCAGAATCAACTTTGTTCAGATTAGACCAAGAAGAAAAAAATTGTGATATAGATACCCCATTAGGAAATCTTTCCAAATTGATGGAAAACACGTTTGTCAGGTTTGTAACAATGAGCAAATTTGAATTTCACTCCACTTTTCTAAGGAATATTACTAAAAGTGCTTTTTCACTTTTCAGCAAAAAACTTCGAGATTTAATTATTGACTTTCGTGAACCTCAGTTTATATCCTACCTTAGTTCTGTTCTTCCACATGATGCAAAGGATACAGTTGCCTGCATTCTAAAGGGTATGCTAAAATCACCATGTCTGCTTTGATTAATTTTTCTTGTTTCTATTTGATTTATACTGTAGTCTAATATCTTGATTAGACTTGCAACTACAATGTTTAGACCAAGACTCTTTGGAAATGGTTTTGTATTGAAGAATAGACTTGGATAGAGACTGCTTTTCTTATGAAATAATTAACTTTTCCTTTGAAATTCAACACTCTTTTTCCTGTTATTTTTGAATTTAAATGTAGGTTTGAATAAGCCTCAGAGGCAAGCGATGAAAAAGGTACTTCTTTCAAAAGACTACACACTCATCGTGGGTATGCCTGGGACAGGAAAAACAACTACGATATGTACTCTCGTAAGGTTATTATTCTTCTGCTTAGAGACAAAATATTTGTATCAGCTTCTCCTCAGTTCAGAGGATGTAATATTGAATATCAAAAGGGCTGAATTTTAATTCAGTGTCTTTGTTTCAAATGAACTTTTTAGAATGATGAGAAATAGTAAAGCTGAAGCACAAACAGTTGTAATCATGTAGATTTCTCGCATTTAGAATTTTCTAAGATCGCTTTCCGTTAGTGGTATGTGATATTTATCACTATATGTTTTCCTTTCCCTTTAAAGATGATGTTAGAGGCCGGGCGTTGTGGCTTACGCCTGTAATCCCAGCACTTTAGGAGGCCAAGGCGGGCGGATCACTTGAGGTCAGGAGTTCAAGACCAGCCTGGCCAACATGGTGAAACCCCCTCTCTACTAAAAATACAAAAATTAGCCGGGCGTAGTGGCATGCGCCTATAATCCTAGCTTTACTCGGGAGGCTGAGGCAGGAGAATCACTTGAACCCAGGAGGCAGAGGTTGTAGTGAGCTGAGATCACGCCATTGCATTCCAATCTGGACAACAAGAGCAAAACTCCATCCTAAAAAAAAAAGATGTTAGAGATTTTTCTTGGATTTTTTTTTTCATGTCAGTAAATTTCTTTTTTTCTTTTCTTTTTCTTTTTTTTTTTTGAGATGGAGTCTTGTTAACGTGAGCCAGGCGAGGTGGATCATGCCTGTAATCCTAGCACTTTGGGAGTCCAAGTCAGGGGGATTGGTATTTGAGACCAGGTTGGAATGCAGTGGCATGATCACAGTTCATGCAGTCTCAATCTCCTGGGCTGAAACAGTCCTCGTTCCTAAGCCTCCCAAGTAGCTGGGACCACAGGGGCGCACCACCTCATTTGGCTAATTAAAAAAAGAATTTTTTAAAAAGAGATGGCATCTCACTTTGTTGCCCAGGCAAGTCTTGAATTTCTGGGTTCAAGTGATCCACTTGCCTCAGCCTCCCAAAGTGCTGGGATTACAAGTGTGAGCCACCATGCCTGGCCTATGATGTATTATTGACATATTATTAATAACGTATAATAATGTCATGTAATTTTTGTAAAATGTTTTGGCTTCATAATTTTTACTTGGCTCAGCTCTTAGATATGGTTCTTGTTAAGTTTATAAACATGTTAAAAATTATCTGGAATTAAAAGTAAGGCTGTTTTTTCTTTTTTCTCTTACCCATTATTAGGTAAGAATTCTCTACGCCTGTGGTTTTAGCGTTTTGTTGACCAGCTATACACACTCTGCTGTTGACAATATTCTTTTGAAGTTAGCCAAGTTTAAAATAGGATTTTTGCGTTTGGGTCAGATTCAGAAGGTTCATCCAGCTATCCAGCAATTTACAGAGCAAGAAATTTGCAGATCAAAGTCCATTAAATCCTTAGCTCTTCTAGAAGAACTCTACAATAGTCAAGTAAGCACAATTATTGTATAATAATACTAACAGTTAATGTCCACAGCCAGAATGAGGGGAGAAACTGTACTCTGGGAAATTTAGTCACATTGACTGGATTTGCACATGATTAATTTATATGTACTATACGACCAGTTTATTAACTTATAGTTTGCTATTTCCTTCTGATCTGAAATAAGGTTTTGGGTTTATTATTTAGGGCTCTCTTCTAGTTTCAAATATCCTAGGAAACTACTAATAATCAGGGTTTCAGCCAGGTGCGATGGCTTACGCTTGTAATCCCAGCACTTTGGGAGGCTGAGGTGGGTGGATCATGAGGTCAAGAGTTCAAGACCAGCCTGGCCAACATGGTGAAAACCTGTCTCTACTAAAAATACAAAAAAAATTAGCCGGGCGTGGTGGTGGGCGCCTGTAATTCCAGCTACTTGGGAGGCTGAGGCACGGAGAATCGTTTGAACCTGGGAGGCGGAGGTTGCAGTGAGCAGAGATCGCGCCACTGCACTCCAGCCTAGGTGACAATGCAAGACTCCAGCTCAAAAAAAAAAAAAAAAAATCCGGGTTTTTTAGTAAGTTTGAATTAGAAACAATGGTACTTAATAGTCTTGTGATAACTATCTCTAGGCTTTTATATAGAATCTAATTTTTATTTTATTTTGTTATTTAATGTTTATTTATACTGGGAGTTCTTAACAGATTTTTTTTTCTTTTTTTTTTTTTTTTTTTTGAGATGGAGTCTTGCTCTGTCACCCAGGCTGGAGTGCAGTGGCGCGATCCTGGCTCACTGCAAGCTTCGCCTCCTGGGTTCACACCATTTTCCTGCCTCAGCCTTCCGAGTAGCTGGGACTACAGGCACCCGCCACCACGCCTGACTAATTTTTTTTTTTTTTTTTTGAGACGGAGTTTTATTCTTGTTGCCCAGGCTGGAGTGCAATGGCGCCATCTCAGCTCACAGCAGCCTCTGCCTCCCGGATTCAAGCGATTCTCCTGCTTCAGCCTCCTAAGTAGCTGGGATTACAGGCATGCCTGACCACGTCCTGCTAATTTCGTATTTTTAGTAGAGACAGGGTTTCTCCGTGTTGGTCAGGCTGGTCTCGCACTCCCAACCTCAGGTTATCCTCCTGCCTCGGCCTCCCAAAGTGCCAGGATTATAGGCGTGAACTACTGCGCCCGGCTTTTTTTTTTTTTTTTTAATTGAACCTTCCACCAAGTAGCTGGGATTATGGGCGCGGCTATAGTGCCTGGCTTAACTGATATTTTTGTCTTTAAAAAATTTCCCAAAGATTAGATTTAATAGAGTGTTCCTTTACCTCCTTTGTCTAATGCTAGCATATTTTTGTCTAATATCTGTCCCTGTTATTGATAAATTTAGAACTGGCTAAGATGTATATCTGGTTAACATTTTTATTAAATTAAACATTTTACTTTGAGGTAATTGTAGAGTCACATGCAGTTGTAAGAAATACTAGAGAGAGCCTGTGTCCCCTTTATCCAGTGGTGACATCTTGCAAGTCTGTAGTACAATGTCACACCCAGGATGTTGACATTGATACAGTCCCTATTCTATTACCACAAGATTCCTCATGTTGCACTTTTATAGTTGTATCCACTCTCCTGCCTTACCCCTCCTTAACCTCTGACAGCCATGACTCTGAGACTCTGATCTCCATTTCGATAATTTGGTCGTTCGAGAATGTTAAGTAAATGCAATAGCCTTTTGGGATTGGTGTTTTTTACTTAGCCTGATTCTCCAGAGCTTCCCCCAGATAGTTGTACGTATTAATAGTTTGTTCCTTTTTGTTGCCAAGTATTTTTCCATAGCATGGATGTACTGCATTGTGTTTAACCATTCACCCTCTGAAAATCTGGATTGTTTCCAGTTTTTGGATATTGTGAATAAAGCTGCTGTAAACAATCATGTTACAGGTTTTTGCGTAACATAAGTCTTCATTTCCCTGGGATAAATTCCCAGTAGTACAATTTCTGGATTGATTGGTAGTTGCATGTTCATTTTTTTTTTTTAATCTGCCAAACTGTTTTTCTAAGCAGGAACATTTCACGTGTATGAGTGATCTCCTCAGCATTTGGTGGCGATACAATTTTTTTTTATTTTGAGACGGAGTCTCGCTTTGTCCCCCAGGCTGGAGTGCAGTGGTGCAATCTTGGCTCACTGCAAGCTCCGCCTTCCAGCTCATGCCATTCTCCTGCCTCAGCCTCCCGAGTAGCTGGGACTACAGGCGCCTGCCACCACGCCCAGCTAATTCTTTGTATTTTTACTAGAGATGGGGTTTCATCATGTTAGCCAGGATGGTCTCAATCTCCTGACCTTGTGATCTGCCTGTCTCGGCCTCCTAAAGTGTTGGGATTACAGGCGTGAGCCACTGTGCCGGGCTTTTTTTTTTTTCTGAGATGGAGTTTGGCTCTGGCGCCCAGGCTGGAGTGCAGTGGTGCGATCTGAGCTCACTGCAACCTTTGCCTCCCAGGTTCAAGCAATTCTCCTGCCTCAGCCTCCTGAGTAGCTAGGATTACAGGCATGCGCCACCACGCCTGGCTAATTTTTTATATTTTTAGTAGTGACGAGGTTTCACCATGTTGGCCAGGCTGGTCTTGAGCTCCCGACCTCGTGATCCACCCGCCTTGGCCTCCCAAAGTGCTGGGATTAGAGGCATGAGCCACCGTGCCCAGCTGATACTATTTTTAATTTTAGCCATTTTGGTAGGTGTTTGGAGATTTTAATTTGCATTTACCCAGTTAAAATGTGTGTGTGTGTGTGTGTGTGTGTGTGTGTTTGAGACAAGGTCTTGCTCTGTTGCCCAGGCTGGAGTGCACTGGTGAGACCACGCCTCACTGCAGCCCTGACCTTCTGGGCTCAAGTGATCTTTCTGCCTCAGCCTCCTGAGTAACTAGAACTATACAGGCATGTACCACCATGCCTGCCTAATATTTTCAATTTTTTTATGTTGTCCAGGCTGGTCTTGAACTCTTGGGTTCAAATGATCCTCCCACCTCTGTCTGCCTCCCAAAGTGTTGGGATTACAGATGTGAGCCACTGCATCCAGCCATAATGTGGTGGGGTTTTTTTTTTGTTTTTGACACGTTATTGCCCAGGCTGGAGTGCAGTGGTGTGAACTCGGCTTACTGCAACCTCTGCCTCCCAGGTTCAAGTGATTCTCCTGCCTCAGCCTCCCAAGTAGCTGGGATTACAGGCATGCGCCACATATTTTTTTTTTTTAGTAGAGACGGGGTTTCACCATGTTGTCCAGGCTAGTCTCGAACTCTTGACCTCAGGTGATCCACCTGCCTCAGCCTCCCAAAGTGCTGGGATTACAGGCTTGAGCCACCACACCTGGCCCATAATGAGTTTTTCATGTGCTTATTTGTCATCTGTATCTCTTCTTCATGTTTTTGCCCATTTTGGATTATATGCTTTGTAGTGTTGAGTTTTGAGAATTTTTAAAATGTATATTCTAATACTAGCCCTTTAATGGATATGTGGTTTGCAGGTATTTTCTCCCACTCTATCGCTTGCTTTTTATCCTCCTCATAGGGTCTTATGCAGAACAAAAGATAGTTTTATTTATTTATTTATTTTATTTTTTTGAGACAGAGTCTTGCTCTGTCGCCCAGGCTGGAGTGCAGTGGCACAATCTCGGCTCACTGCAAGCTCTGCCTCCCGGGTTCACGCCATTCTCCTGCCTCAGCCTCCCAAGTAGCTGGGACCACAGGCGCCCACCACCATGCCCGGCTAATTTTTTGTATTTTTTTAGTAGAGACGGGGTTTCACCGTCTCTTAGACAGGTTGGTCTCCATCTCCTGACCTTGTGATCTGCCTGCCTTGGCCTCCCAAAGTGCTGGGATTACAGGTGTGAGCCACCACGCCCGGCCTATTTATTTATTTTTTGAGACAGACTCTCACTGTGTCACCCAGGCTGGAGTGCAGTGGTGTGATCTCCACTTACTGCAACCTCTGCCTCCCAGGTTCAAGCGATTCTCCTGCCTCAGCCTTTCAAGTAGCTGGGACTACAGGCATGAGCCACCATACCTGGCTAATTTTTGTATTTTTAATAGAGATGAGGTTTTGCTGTGTTGGCCAGGCTGGTCTCAAACTTCTGACCTCAGGTGATCCGCCCACCTCAGTCTCCCAAAGTGCTGGGATTACAGGCGTGAGCCACTGTGCCCGGCTGCAAAAGGTTTTTTTTTTTGAGGAAGTCCGGAATATACATTTTTTCCTTTTATAGATTATACTTTTGGTCTCAAGTCTAAGAACTCTGTCTAGCCCCAGATGCTGAAGGTTTTCTTTTTTGAGACAGAATCTTCCTCTGTCACCTAGGCTGGAGTGCAATGGCCCGATCTTGGCTCTCTGTAACCTCTGCCTCCTAGGTTCAGATGGTTCTCATGCCTCAGCTTCCCAAGTAGCTGGGACTACAGGCATGCACTACCATGCCTGGTTAATTTTTTGTATTTTTATTAGAGACAGGGTTTCACTGTGGTGGCCAGGCTGGTCTTGAACTCCTGGCCTCAAGTGATTCACCCATCTTGCCCTCCCAAAGTGCTGGTATTACAGGTGTGAGACACAGCGCCTGGCCTGGTATTTGTTTTTTGGGTTTTTGGGGTTTTTGTTTTTTTTTTGAATTATGAAACATTTCCCATTTTTATTTATAAAATTATTAATTAAATTTGCAAAAGTAGATTTACAGAGCCTCAGGTAACAAAACAGGAAATGAAATGTTCCAGAGATGGCCGGGCGCGGTGTCTCACGCCTGTAATCCTAGCACTTTGGGAGGCCGAGGCAGGCGGATCACGAGGTCAGGAGATGGAGACCATCCTGGCTAACACGGTGAAACGCTGTCTCTACTAAAAATACAACAAATTAGCCGGGTATGGTGGCAGGTACCTGTAGTCCCAGCTACTTGGGAGGCTGAGGCAGGAGAATGGCGTGAACCGGGGAGGCGGAGCTTGCGGTGAGCCGAGATCGCCGCCACTGTACTCCAGCCTGGGAGACAGAGCGAGACTCCATCTCAAAAAAAAAAAAAGAACACAAACATGGCCGGGCCCAGTGGCTCATGCCTGTAATCCCATCACTTTGGAACACCGAGGCGGGTGGATCACGAGGTCAGGCGTTCGAGACCAGCCTGGCCAACATAGTGAAACCCTGCCTCTACTAAAAATACAAAAAATTAGCTGGGCATGGTGTCAGGCACCTGTAATCCCAGCTACTCGGGAGGCTTAGGCAGGAGAATCGCTTGAACCTGGGAGGCGGAGGTTGCAGTGAGCCGAGATAATGCCACTGCACTCCAGCCTGGGCTACAGAGCAAGACTCTGTCTCAAAAAAAAAAAAAAAAAAAAAAAAGAAATGTTCCAGAGACATTCTGAAAAGTTCCAAAGAAACACACACTAGCCTAAAAATCTCAGTTAAACCATGGTTGCACAACAGGTTATATTTATTCCTGCATTTTCTCAATAAGTTCCTCCTTATATTTGCCTTTCTCTTTTCTGACTTGTCGAGACTTGGCTTTGTGTTCAATAATTTTTTTCCGATCCTTGTTGAGATTTAGCCTGGTGATAACCACCTTGTTTGGGTGAGTACCCACGTGGACGGTTGTGCTGTTGGCCTACTCACGCTGCACCTGCTCAGTGTAGATGACATCTTTCTTTCTGTACACCTGGACTACCTTGCCAATTTGCTGACCTTTGTAGTGTCCTTGAACTACCTGGACCTCGTCGTCCTTGCGGATGGGTGTGGAGCGGACATTGTACTTCTGCCGCAGCTCCTTGGAGAGCGGGGATGACATGATCTTCCGGTGCACGTGCAAGGGGGCATGGAAGTGACGTTTGCGGTTTTTGCTGCGGTCCAAGTTCACGAAGGGATTGAACTTCATGGTGATGCTCCGGCTAGCGGCGGCCTCAGGCCTGTTTTGTTTTTTTTTTTTTTTTTGAGACAGTGACTCACTTTGTCACCCAGGCTGGAGTTCAGTGGCATGATCAAGGCTCACTGCAGCCTCGACCTCCTTGGCTCAAGTGATCCTCCTGCCTCAGCCCTCCAAGTAGGTGGGACTATAGGTATATGCCAGCATACTCAGCTTATTTTTGTATTTTTTGTAGAGACCGGTTTTCGCTGTGTTGCTCGGGCTGGTCTCAAACTCCTGAGCTCCAGCAATCTGCCCACCTTGGCCTCCCAAAGTGTTGGGATTACAGGCGTGAGCCACTGTACCTGGCCCAGTTATCATATTTTTAGTTCTAAAATTTCCATTTTATTCTTTCTATCTTCTATTTCTTGGCTGAGACTTTGTTTTTTGGTTCATATTCAAGCGTGTTCATAATTACTCATTAAATGTTGTTACCGTGGCTGCTTTAAAATCTTGGTCAGATAGTTCTGACCTCTCTGTCATTCTGGTGTTGGCATTTATAGATTGTCATCTGTTTTCATTGAGTTTGAGATTTTCCTGGTTCGTCTTTAATTATTGATTTTTTTATTGAAACATGAGCATATTTTGTTGTTACTGAAAACTTCTGTTTTAGCTGGCTTCCTCTCACACTGCCATGGTAGGGGAAGAGGGGTACCACCTCATTCCTGCCAGGTGGGAGTCGAAGTGTGGGTTCCCCACTCAGCCTTCTTTGACCAAAGTGGGAGGTTCCTCGTTACCGCTGGGCCCACTTGGTTGGGGTGGAAGTCTAGGCTTCTGATGTGGTCTCTACTAACATGTGGGGTTGGTGCCAGTTACCAGTCATCGGGGATGAAAGACCTGACTCCCTACTTGGCTTTCTCTGACACCCGCCTGGTGGGGTGTGGGGCACCTTGTTACAGCCTTGAGAAGGGCAGAGATCTACCCTCCTCCCTGTTTGCTGGTGTCTGTGGTTGTGGGGCTGTACTTTTTTTCCAGTGATATTTGGCTAGAGTAGTTATTGTGTGAAAGTTTTCTGTCTAGCTAGGCTTTCCTTTTCCTGTTCCTTCAGCTGGAGAGAGCAGACTTTGGTTGCAGCTGTTTTTAGCACCCACTGGTGTGCCGTGGCTCCTTCAGTTCCAAATCTGGGATCTATGAGGCAAAAAGAAAGCCCAGGGAATCAACTACTGTGTTGTTTCTTTGGTCCTGAGCTCCCTAGCTGGTCTGCCTTCTCTCCACCTTTCAGAGTCTTCTTTTGTTTTTTTTTTTTATATATAATGCCTAGGGATTTTAGTTGTCGTTTGTGGAAAGAATAAGGAAAAGTACTCCATCTTCCCAGAAGCAAAGTCCTGGTTGACATTAAACAAACAAACAAACAAACAAAAAAAGAACTAACTTATTACCTCTTGAATGTTCCAGATTTCCACTGGGAAATATCCAAATGTGAGCATTGTTCAATAGTGTCTGGAAAGTTTACTTGATTATTTTTAATTTGTAGAAAAAAATTAAAATTTGCATGCTATAAATATTTCAGAATTAAATAATATCGAAGGATTCCTGATGCCATAGAACAAAAACCTTTTGATCTTTTCATTTCAAAAATGAGAGAAACAAAACTACATTTCTTTTACATGTTAAATAACTGATCTGTTTTCCTTGTTTTTAGCTTATAGTTGCAACAACATGTATGGGAATAAACCATCCAATATTTTCCCGTAAAATTTTTGATTTTTGTATTGTGGATGAAGCCTCTCAAATTAGCCAACCAATTTGTCTGGGCCCCCTTTTTTTTTCACGGAGATTTGTGTTAGTGGGGGACCATCAGCAGCTTCCTCCCCTGGTGCTAAACCGTGAAGCAAGGTAGGCAGACACTTAAGTGTTAATTTTAAACTAGATTATTTTCAAGGAACAGATTTAGTACACTGATAAACATGAATCTGATTTATTGACAGAGCTCTTGGCATGAGTGAAAGCTTATTCAAGAGGCTGGAGCAGAATAAGAGTGCTGTTGTACAGTTAACCGTGCAGTACAGAATGAACAGGTATTTGTAACAGTGTTAGCTAGGAGTGGTTTTCATGTTTGTTTCCATCTACCAAAACTAAAGTTATCTTTTGTAATTCCCTTAGTAAAATTATGTCCTTAAGTAATAAGCTGACCTATGAGGGCAAGCTGGAGTGTGGATCAGACAAAGTGGCCAATGCAGTGATAAACCTACGTCACTTTAAAGATGTGAAGCTGGAACTGGAATTTTATGCTGACTATTCTGATAATCCTTGGTTGATGGGAGTATTTGAACCCAACAATCCTGTTTGTTTCCTTAATACAGACAAGGTAAAAAAAAAAATTTCTGTTTAGTTTTTCTCATTTTGTCCTATTATTTAAATTTCTCAGTTTTCATTAGCACATGCCCTAATTAGAGCTTATCAGTTAAAAGGCAAAACTAGGCTGGGCGTGGTGGCTCACACCTGTAATCCCAGCACTTTGCGAGGCCAAGGCGGGCAGATCACAAGGTCAGGAATTCAAGACCAGCTTGGCCAACATGGTGAAACCCTGTCTCTACTAAAAATATAAAAAGTAGCTGGGCATGATGGTGGGTGCCTGTAATCCCAGCTACTCAGGAGGCTGAGGCATGAGAATTGCTTCAGCCCGGGAGGCGGAGGTTACAGTGAGCTGAGATCACACTGCTGCACTCCAGCCTGGGTGACAGAGCAAGACTCCCATCTTGGGGGGAAAAAAAAAGGCAAAACTAATGTACTTCTCATACTTCAACCCAAAATAGTCTTTTCTTTCTTTTTCCTTTCTTTTTCTTTTTTTGAGACGGAGTCTTGCTCTGTTGCCCAAGTGGCATGATCTCGGCTCACTGCAACTTCCTCCTCCCAGATTCAAGCGATTCTCCTGCCTCAGCCACCCAAGTAGCTGGGATTACAGGCACCCACCACCACACCAGACTAATTTTGTATTTTTAGTAGAGACAGGCTTTCACCATGTTGGCCAGGCTGGTCTTGAACTCCTGGCTTCAAATGATCCGCCTGCTTCAGCCTCCCAGAGTGCTGGGATTATAGTGTGAGCCACTGTGCCCGGCCCAAAATAGTCTTTCTTTCTATAGGCCCAGTATTTTTTGGAGGAGGTTTATTCTGGAGGTCAGTAGATATCAAAATTGACTTTTGAAGAAGGAAGGCCACAAAGTGAACTCAGGGGTATAATTCTATTTCCTAGAAAAGGAAATGGCACTGATACTATCAAAGGGCTGGGTTTACAAATGGACAGAGGGTATAATAAATTGATGTCCTTTTAAAGACTTTTTAAAAAACAGACTTTAAACCCGGGCACAGTGGCTCACTCCTGTAATCCCAGTACTTTGGGAGGCCGAGGGGGGTGGATCACTGGGGTCAGGAGTTCGAGACCAGCCTGACCAACATGGCAAAACCCTGTCTCTACTAAAAATGCAAAACTTAACTGGGTGTGGTGGTGCGCCTGTAGTCCCAGCTACCTGGGAGGCTGAGGCAGGAGAATCGCTTGAACCTGGGAGGCGGAGGTTGCGGTGAGCCGAGATCGCGCCACTGCACTCCAACCTGGGTGACAGAGTGAAACTCCATCTCAAAAAAAAAAAAAGCTTTATTTTTTAGAGCAGTTTTAGGTTCATAGCAAAATTATGTGGAAAGTACAGAGGTTTCTCATAACCTCCCTCCCCCACATATGCACATGAAGACCTTTTTACAAACCAGTCATTAAAAAGAAATCTGCACAACGACTTTTTTGTTTTTGTTTTTGTTTTTTAGGATGGAGTCTTGCTCTGTCTCCCAGGCTGGAGTGCAGTGGTGCAATCTCCTGGTGTCTCAGAAAAAAAAAAAAAAAATCAAGATTGCTTAGGGATGATGTAGGAGGAAAGTAGTCTTTGAAGAGATGTATCAGGAGGTAGGACAGCAGTTTTATCTGCTCCATTATTTGTATAAAAGGGGACAAGAAAATGGAAAGAGCACAGATATACGACCCAGATCTAAGTTTGTTTGTTTGATTCTGAGACGGAGTCTCACTCTGACTCCCAGGCTGGAGTGCAATGACACTGTGTCAGCTCACTGCAACCTCCGACTCCCAGATTCAAGCAATTCTCCTTCCTCAGCCTCCTGAGTAGCTAGGATTACAGGCACGCACCACCACGCCCAGCTAATTTTTGTATTTTTAGTAGAGACGGGGTTTCACTGTGTTGGCCAGGCTGGTCTCCAACTCCTGACCTTGTGATCCGCCTGCCTCAGCCTCCCAAAGTGCTGGGATTACAGGCGTGAGCCACCGCGCCCGGCCACCCTAAGTTCAAATAGTAGTGCCACAGTTTATTGTGAGGCCTTGGGAAAGTTACTTATTCTTTTCTGCCTTTGATTCCTGTAAAATGGGGGATAACAAAGTGAAGTATTTGAAGCTCAGTGTGTGATCAGCTTTCGTAGGTATTTTAGCCTCAATCATAGCATGTTTCAGATAGGTGGCCTCTGCGTGGCTTTCTGAAAGTGACTAATATTAATATTCATTTTTGTTGATTCTTTCACCTTCATCTTTTAGACAAAGCTATTTTTCATCTCCAAGTCGGTAGTATAGTCTTTATGGCCAGTTGCGTACTTATAGTACTCTTTAGAGATTGTATTATCAGCAGGCTGTATATTTTTCCACTTAGGTTCCAGCGCCAGAACAAGTTGAAAAAGGTGGTGTGAGCAATGTAACAGAAGCCAAACTCATAGTTTTCCTAACCTCCATTTTTGTTAAGGTAATTTAGAATTTTCAAGGCTAGCAAATATTAAAGTGCAGAATAAAAGAATGTTAGACTGTAAGACACTTACAATCTGGCATTAAGTCTCGTTTATTAAGATAAGGGGGGGATTGAAGCCCCATTGTTTTTATTTTGAGAAAATGTATCTAAGACATGTAATATTTTATAATGACATTTGGAGTTTTCATTTACGATAATAACTTTTTGTAATGTCAGCTAATTCTAATTGAGACAATACTATGTTGTAGTGATTAGGAATTGGAAATTTTTCTGTGAAAGAAATAGCAGAAGGTGAAATGTATTTCTTTGTACTGTGTGTGTGTGTGTGTGCACTGTTTTAGTAGCATATAATCCTTTACGTTCTCATGAAACTAAAAATTAAGGGAGCAATGTCTAAGGAATTATTTCATCCTGGGAAATATGGACAGATTTAGAGCAAATTCAGTAATTGTATTCAGTCTTTGAGATAGGAAAGTTTGTTATAAACATCAGTTGGGCACATAATGTAAACATTTAATTATTAAATTCAGAAAAGTTTAACTTAATCAGGATTTCTTTCTTTTAAATTGTGTCTTTTTCTATTTAGGCTGGATGCAGTCCCTCTGATATTGGTATTATTGCACCGTACAGGCAGCAATTAAAGATCATCAATGATTTATTGGCACGTTCTATTGGGATGGTCGAAGTTAATACAGTAGACAAATACCAAGGAAGGGACAAAAGTATTGTCCTAGTATCTTTTGTTAGAAGTAATAAGGATGGAACTGTGAGTTAATTGTGTTTGCTACTGATTCATTTGGGGCATTTCTCTCTCTTTAAAAATTGTGGGCCGGGCGCGGTGGCTCACACCTGTAATCCCAGCCCCCTGGGAGGCCAAGGCGGGTGGATCACCTGAGGTCAGGAGTTTGAGACCAGCCTGGACAGCATGGCGAAACCCTGTCTCTACTAAAAATACAAAAATTAGCCGGGCGTGGTGGCAGGCGCCTGTAATCCCAGCTACTTGGGAGGCTGAGGTAGGAGAATTGCTTGAACCCAGGAGGTGGAGGTTGCAGTGAGCCGAGATCGTACCATTGACTCCAGCCTGGGCGACAGAGCAAGACTCTGTCTCAAAAAAAAAAAAAAAAAAAAAATTGCGGTTTAACATTGAGAACATGTGGACACAGAGAGGGGAACAACATACACCATGGCCTTTAGCGGGTTGGGGGTGAGGGGCGGGAACCTGGTGGATGGGTCAACAGGTGCAGCAAACCGCCATGGCACATGTCTACCTATGTAACAAAACTGCACGTTCTGCAGATGTATTCTGGTTTTTTTTTTTTTTAAAGAAAATAAAATTGTGGTTTAAAAGAACACATAAAACATACATCTTACTTTTTTTTTTTTTTTTTGAGACGGCGTTTCCTCTTGTTGCCCAGGCTGGCATGCAGTAGTGCGATCTCGGCTCACTGCAACCTTCGCCTCCCAGGTTCAAGTGACTCTTCCGTCTCAGCCTCCCAAATAGCTGGGATTACAGGCATCGCCATCTTGCCCGGCTAATTTTTGTACTTTTCTAGAGATGGGGTTTCACCATCTTGTCCAGGCTGGTCTCGAACTCCTGACCTCAGATGATCCACCTGCCTTGGCCTCCCAAAGTGCTGGGATTCCAGGCGTGAGCCACTGTGCCCAGCCCATCTTACCATTTTTAGGTGTACAGTTTAATTAGTGTTGAGTGCATTCACAGTGTTGTTCAACAGATCTCTGGAACTTTTTCATTTTCAAATCTAAAACTCTGTATTCATGATTAACCACCCATTTTCTTCTTCCCCAGCACCTGTAACCACCATTCTACATTCTATCTCTGAATTTGACTAATCTAAGTACCTCATATAAGTAGAATCGTACAGCATTTATCTTTTTGTGACTACCTTATTTCACTTAGCCAGCTAGTTCATCCTGTTGTAGTATGCGACAGGATTTCCTTCCTTTTTAAGACTGAATAATATTCCATTGTCTCTATATACCACATTTTATTTATCCATTCATCTGTCAGATGGAATGGTTGCTTCCACCCCTTGGCTGTTGTAATTGAGGCCTGTTTAATATAAAATCTTCCTTGTATACTTTCAAATTTATAGACAATTCAGATTTGATTTTTTTTTTTTTTTTTTGAGATGAGATCTGGCTCTGTTACCCAGACTGGAGTGCAATGGCACAATCTCGGCTCACTGTAATATCCACCTCCCTGGTTCAGTGATTCTCCCATCTCAGCCTCCTGAGTAGCTGGGATTACAGGCATGCGCCACCATACCCAGTTAAGTTTTGTATTTTTTGCAGAGAGCCATGTTGCCCGGGCTTATGGGCAACTCCCGAGCTCTAGCAATCCTCCCACCTTGTCCTCCCAAATAGTGTTTTTTTTTTTTTTTTTTTTTGGTTTTCTTATTTTTACCTCTCCTTAGTTCATTTTTCTCAACTGTATAATACATCCATATGGTTTTAAAATATACGTAATAAAAGGTTTCCTTTGTACTCCATCCCTCATCTACTCAGTTCTTACCTCAGATAGTCTCCTTTTTTTTTTTTTGAGAGGCTAGGTCAGAGTGTGGAGGCATGGTTATGGCTCACTGCATCCTTGACTTCTGGGCTCAAGCAGCCCTGGCTCAGTGATCCTTTCATCTCAGCCTCCTGAGTAGCTGGGACCGTAGGTGCACACCACCACGCCTGGCTGATTTTTGTATATTTTGTAGAGATGGGGTCTCACTGTGTTGCACGGGCTGGTCTTGAACTTCTGGTCTCCAGTGATCCACCTGCCTCGGCCTCCCAAAGTACTGGGATTACAGGCATGAGCCACTACACCTGGCCTCATTCTATTCTTAAATTTGCACAGGTGTCCATTGTGTAGGGATGTGTTGTAATATATTTAACCATTCCTTTGAACTTGAATAATTGAAAATTATATTTCTTACAGGTTGGTGAACTCTTGAAAGATTGGCGACGTCTTAATGTTGCTATAACCAGAGCCAAACATAAACTGATTCTTCTGGGGTGTGTGCCCTCACTAAATTGCTATCCTCCTTTGGAGAAGCTGCTTAATCATTTAAACTCAGAAAAATTAATATCCTTTTTCTTCTGTATATGGTCACATTTGATTGCACTGTTGTGAGTATTTATTTGCTTGTTTAAATTAAAGCTCTCACTATGTTGCTTAAGCTGGTCTTGAACTCCTGGGCTCAAGCGATCCTCCTGTGTAGGCCTCCCAAAGTGCTGTGATTACAGATGTGAGCCACGGCCCCCAGCCTATAACCCTTTTTTAATCCAGAACAAATGATTAGATTAAAATGGAGTATTATTTATTTTATATACAGGGCCTTGCTTTGTCACCCAGGCTGCAGTGCAGTGATATGATCAGAGCTCACTGCACCCTCAATCTCCCAGGCTAAAGTGATCTTCCTACCTCAGCCTCCCCAGTAGCTGGGCCCACAGGTGCATTCCACCATGCCCAGCTAATTTTTGTATTTTTTTGTAAAGACAGGGTTTCACCATGTTGCCCAGGCTGGTTTTGAACACCTGGGCTCAAGTGATTCACTCGCCTCCTCCCAAAGTGCTGGGACTACAGGTGTCAGCCACCACATTCAGCCTTTTTTTCCCCCAAGAAGTGGTGCCTAACTTCACTCAGGCTGGAGTGTAGTGGCAGGATCACTGCTCACTACAGCCTTGACCTGGACTCAAATAGTCGTCCCACCTTACCTTTCTGAGTATCTGGGACCACAGGTACGTACCACCACGCTTGGCTAATTTTTTAAAATTTTTAATAGAGAGGAGGTGAGCCACTGCACCTGGCCTTAAGATAAATCGTTTTTTAAAAATGTGTATGGGCTGGGCCTGGTGGCTCACACCTGTAATCCTAGCACTTTGGGAGGCTGAAGCAGGTGGATTGCGAGGTTGAGATTGAGACCATCCTGGCTAACATGGTGAAACCCCGTCTCTACTAAAAATACAAAAATTAGCTGGGCATGGTGACGTGTGCCTGTAGTTCCAGCTACTCATGATGCTGAGGCAGGAGAATCGCTTGCACCCGGGAGGCGGAGGTTGTAGTGAGCCGAGATCTAGCCTGGTGGCAGAGCGAGACTCCGTCTCAAAAAACAAAACAAAACAAAACAAAAAAAACAGTGTATGAAGTTCTTAGGCTTCATAAGAACTTCATACTTCTTATGAAGGTATGAAGTAGGCTAAGATAAATAACTCTGAGGCTGGGCGTGGTGGCTCACGCTTGTAATCCCAGCACTTTGGGAGGCTGAGACAGGCGGACTACCTGAGGTTGGGAGTTCGAGACCAGCCTGACCAGCATGGAGAAACCCTGTCTCTACTAAAAATACAAAATTAGCCGGGCATGGTGGCACATGCCTGTAATCCCAGCTACTCGGGAGGCTGAGGCAGGAGAATCTCTTGAACCCAGGAGGCAGAGGTTGCGGTGAGCTGAGATCGCACCATTGCACTCCAGCCTGGGTAACAAGAGTGAAACTCCATCTCAGAAAAAAAAAAAAAAAAGATAAATAACTCCTGTTGCTTAAAGGCATAATTATTCATTGAATGCCATAAAGATCCTTATTTTTTTTTTGTGGTCCTGTAAGTCAAATTACAAAATGTTAAATAATAATGTCATAAATTTATGCCATTCCATATTGTGCTAAATATTTCTTCCTTAATTTATTTTACATCATTGATCTTCCATCAAGAGAACATGAAAGTCTTTGCCACATATTGGGTGACTTTCAAAGAGAATAAAACACTATTTCCCTTGCCTTTTCATACTAGGGCAGTATCTCCTCTAGCTAGTGCCCATACAGAAAATTCTATCACCATACAAAATTTAATGCAGTATTTATGTTTTAAAGCACAGGTGTACCGAAAACTGTGAAAAGTCTGAATTTATGGGTTCTATGCATGCATTTTTGCCTAACCTAGAGAAAGAGTTTGATAAATTTTTACCAGCTTTGAAGATGGATTAACTTTTGACTTTGAGCTTTAAACTTTTAAGTCAGACATTTCAGGACTAATTTGATTTTGTAGATATCATTGTAAGAACTTTATTTGAAAGACTGAATAAAGGGATTTGATTTGTTTTCATCATTTAAGCACAGTCTTGTGATGATGAGAACATAAGTGTGATTCTTTTCTGTATTTTGAGGTCCCTAATCCAAAGCCCATTTTGCTAGGATTTTTTCTGCTATCAGATGTGTTTTCACTCTAAACCTAGTCTTTTATGACATGAATTGATTACTTCCTGTTAATTTTCTATCCTCCCTTACTATCCTCCTTTTTTGTTTTCAGTATTCAGTATTTCAGTATTCTAGAGTAGATTTTGATATAAAAGAAAATAATTCTTACATCATCTTTTGCAACAAATTTTGTTTTCTGAATTGATAATAAATTTAAAAAGTTGATTCCTATTTTCACATATGTTCATATGCCCCTATGTTTGGGGGTATCACTCAGTTTTCCCTTTTTTGTGTAAAGATGTTTTGTAAAACAAAATTGTCTCAAAGTGATTATATTATATATATAAAAAGTAACAGATTTTAACAAAGGTTAAAAGATTCTTGGGGTAACAGATTCTTCTGGGGCTTGGAAATCTTCCATTTCTCTTGAGGGTTTTTTTTAATGAGTGTTAAATATGTTAAAATTTTTATTTCTACCTCATGTGTTTTTTTAAATTATTACTTGAAGTTTTTTATTTAATAAATTTTTTCTACTAATGGATCTTAACTGTGTCAATTATTATTAATACTGAATAATAATTAAACTCAGGGTTATCTAGCATGTTTTGTTTTTTTTTTTTTTGAGACGGAGTCGCCCAGGCTGGAGTGCAGTGGTGCGATCTTGGCTCACTGCAAGCTCTGCCTCCCGGGTTCACGCCATTCTCCTACCTCAGCCTCCCGAGTAGCTGGGACTACAGGTGCCCGCCACCACGCCTAGCTAATTTTTTTTTTTGTATTTTTAGTAGAGACGGGGTTTCACCATGTTAGCCAGGATGGTCTCCATCTCCTGACCTCGTGATCCACCCACCTCGGCCTCCCAAAGTGCTGGGATTACAGGCGTGAGCCACCGCGCCCGGCCGCATGTTTTCTGATAGTGACAAGTGAAGTATTGATCATGCTAGAAAGCTGAAACCAAGCAGCATTGATATTATAAAGAGATTTATGAAGGGCACACAGGATGGGCTTGATCATGGAGAGGGGTTATAGATTAGATAGGACAAACGGGAAAGGTTGCTGTGATGAACTTAAATATTGGTTAGATATAATGAGAGTATAAATCAGGAAGGAATCTGATGGTAATTTTAGTTCCTGGGAATGAAATGAATAAGAAAGTCCTTTTGCTTCATTACAGGTTTGTATGGCCTGAAAAGTAAAGCTCCATAGAAGAGAACCTGGGGATGTGTTCTGTGTTTCCTTTTTTTTTTTTTTTTTTTTGGATCTGTCTTGGTGATGAGTCTAGCCATTTAATTGTTTAAAAGAGTTAGGAAGCTCGGCATGGTGGCTCATGCCTGTATTCCCAGCACTTTGGGAGGCTGAGGCAGGTGGATTACCTGAGGTCAGGAGCTCGAGACCAGCCTGGCCAACATGGTGAAACCCTGTCTCTACTAATAATACAAAAAAATTAGCCGGGTGTGGTGGCCGGCGCTTGTAATCCCAGCTACTCAGGAGGCTCAGGCAGGAGAATCGCTTGAACCTGGGAGGCGGAGGTTGCAGTGAGCTGAGATTGTGCCACTGCACTCCAGCCTGGATGACAAGAGCAAGACTCCATCTCAAAACAACAACAACAACAACAAAAAAGTATAAAGCCACGATGCGAAGACAATGTGGCTGTTCCAGTGGCCCCTCTCCTGAATCAGTTCAGAGTTCCTCTCCTCTTCCCCCTGACTTCCCTCTTGCTGCCTGCCATCTCTGATTCCTTTCTTTTCTCCCTATTCCTGGCTGTCTAATGGCAGGCTTTCCCCAGAGCTCCAAGTCTGGTTTGGTCCTCTTTCTCCTTGGACAGTCACTGGCTTCACCCATCACCCATGTGGCTGTTTACTCAACCTGTACTACACCCTGTCTTCCAAGTTCTAGTTATATAGCTGCTTTCCAGCCAATGCCTTCAGAATATTCTGTGAACATTTTAGACTTAGTACAAAGAAATTGGAAATTTCCATCTTCATTTAATGCCTTCCTCCTGTGATCCCTATTTCTGTAAATGACATCATCTCACAGTTCACTGAGCTTAAAGATCTTGGCATAATTTTTCTTTCTTTAAAACATTTTTGGCCGGGCGCGGTGGCTCACGCCTGTAATCCCAGCACTTTGGGAGGCCGAGGCGGGCGGATCACGAGGTCAGGAGATCGAGACCATCCCGGCTAAAACGGTGAAACCCCGTCTCTACTAAAAATACAAAAAATTAGCCGGGCGTAGTGGCGGGCGCCTGTAGTCCCAGCTACTTGGGAGGCTGAGGCAGGAGAATGGCGTGAACCCGGGAGGCGGAGCTTGCAGTGAGCCGAGATCCCGCCACTGCACTCCAGCCTGGGCGACAGAGCGAGACTCCGTCTCAAAAAAAAAAAAACAAAAAACATTTTTGGCCTGGGCACGGTGGCTTATGCCTGTAATCCCAGCACTTTGGGAGGCCGAGGCGGGTGGATCAACTGAGGTCAGGAGTTCGAGACCAGCCTGGCCAACATGGTGAAACCCCATCTCTACTAAAAATACAAAAATTAGCCAGGTGTGGTGGCGGGCGCCTGTAATCCCAGCTACTAGGTAGGCTGAGGTAGGAGAATCACTTGAACCCGGGAGGCGGAGGTTGCAGTGAGCCGAGATCACGCCATTGCACTCCAGCCTGGGCAAGAAGAGTGAAACTCCATCTCAAAAAAAAAAACAAAAAAACAAAAAAACACCAAAACATTTTTCCCCCTGTAATTACAGAGCAGTACATGATTTTAGTAAGAAGTTCAAACACTACATATTTTAGAAAATGAAATTTCTGGTTTTTTTTTTTTGTTTTTTTTTTTTGAGATGGAGTCTAGCTCTGTTGCCCAGGCTGGAGTGCAGTGGCAAAATCTCAGCTCATTGCAACCTCCACCTCCCAGGTTCAAGTGATTCTCCTGCCTCAGACTCCTGAGTAGCTGGGATTACAGGCACCTGCCACCACGCCCAGCTAATTTTTGTATTTTTAGTCGAGTTGACGTTTCACTGTGTTGGCCAGGCTGGTCTCGAACTTCTGACCTCATGATCCGCCCACCTCGGCCTCCCAAGGTGATGGGATTACAAGCATAAGCCACCGTGCCTGGCCAGAAAATGAAATTTATTTGTAATTTCATCCTTTAGTAATTACATAGTTTGGTCTATGATGATCTAGGCTAGTATTTAAACCAAAATTACCACATCCACAATAAGAAATCCATTTTACATCATGACTCAATGTAGATTTGTGTATGAATATGCATCTGAAACAATACTGTCATAAAACAATATTTACCCTTTCTGTATATGATATACCCTGATTTGTTCCACTCTATTCCATTAAAAACAAAGCGTGGCCGGGCGCGGTGGCTCATGCCTGTAATAACAGCACTTTGCGAGGTTGAGGTGGGTGGATCACTTGAGGTCAGGAGTTCGAGACCAGCCTGGCCAACATGGTAAAACCCCGTCTCTACTAAAAATAGAAAAGTTAGCTGGGCATGGTGGTGCATGCCTGTAATCCCAGCTACTTGGGAAGCTGAGGCACAAGAATCGCTTGAATCCAATTCAAGCAGGTGGAGGTGGAGGTTGCACTGAGCCAAGATCATGCCATTGCACTCCAGCCTGGGTGACAGAGCGAGACTCTGTCTCAAATAAAATAAAATAAAAAATAAATAAAAACAAAGCTAATTGCAACCTGTTAAAATTGCTTTCAGGTGCCACTAGTAGGTCGGAACCCATGGTTTGTAATAGTGATTATTCTTTAATGGCATCTTTGTGTATTTGTTGTAACCATATGAAACTATTTTTGTTGTTCCTGTGCATGCCTATTCTGTTTCCCATTTGATCTACTCTCTAGATTTGTCTGTTCCTCTGTCACCATTTAGGCATCTCTACCCACTTAGACTTTAAGATGCCACCTTCTCCAAAAAGCCTTTTCTGATTTTTCTCCCAGCCAAAAGAATTATCTTCATCTTTATACAGTACTATAACAGTACCTATATGGAGCTTCATAGCATTTACTGCTTTTATTTTTAATTTTTTTTAAGAGATGGAGTCTCTGTTGGCCAGGCTAGAGTGCATGGCAGGATCATAGCTCACTGCAACCTCAAATTCCTGGCCTCAAGCGGTCCTTCTGTCACAGCCTCCTGAGTAGGTAGGACTACCGGTGCACACCACTACACCCAGCTAACTAACTAAAAAAAATTTGTTTTTAGAAACAGGGTCTTGCTATGTTGGCCAGGCTAGTCTGGAACTTCAGGCCTCACGCAATCCTCCTCTCTCAGCCTCTTGAAAGTACTTGGATTACAGGCATGAGTTACCACATCTGGCTGTTTACTGCCTTTTTTTTTTTTTTTTTTTTTTTTGAGATGGAGTCTTGCTTTGTTGCCCAGGCTGGAGTGCAGTGGTGAGATCTTGGATCACTGTAGCCTCTGCCTCCTGCGTGCCAGCGATTCTCCTGCCTCAGCCTTCCAGGTAGCTGGGATTACAGGCACGCGCCACCACGCCTGGCTAATTTTTGTATTTATTTTTAGTAGAGATGAGGTTTCACCATGTTAGCCAGACTGGTCTTGAACTCCTGACTGGGTGATCCTCCCACCTTGGCCTCCCAAAGTGCTGGGATTACAGGCGTGGGCCACTGCACCTGGCCTGTTTACTGCTTTTTTAAAGTAGCAGTTGTAATTAGTAGGATACTTTAATATTTATCAATATTTTTCATGGATATTTTCCCAATTGAATTAAACCCTATAGAGAACCTATCATAGATAGTCTGTGTTAGCATGTGACCCATGGCAAGTCATTGCCAGAACCCACGTTTTCTGATTAGGAATTCTGCAATTTTCCTGGCCATTATGTGTATCTCCTTTTCCCCCCAGCGTGGTAACATTTTCCAGGTGCTATACAAATGTTCAGAAGCATTACAGTTGTCATTATAAGAAAATCATGTCTTGAGCCAGCTAAAGCTATGGCTGAAAGCTCTGTGGTATGATGTGACAAGCTGGTCCACCTGGATTCAGTGGACTATATTGCTCATGAAAAAGATGACTTGTAGGCTGGGTACAGTGGCTCATGCCTGTAATCCCAGCACTTTGGAAGGTTGAGTTAGGAGGATCACTAGAGACCAGGAGTTTGAGACCAGCCTGGGCAACATAGTGAGACCTCATCTCTACAAAAAATAAAATAAAAATTAATGGTAGCTAAATGATAACTCATGAACACAAAGAAGGGAAAAGCAAGACCAGGTGCAGTTGCTCATGCCTGTAATCCCAACACTTTGGGAGGCTGAGGAAGATAGATCACTTGAGCTGAGGAGTTCGAGACCATCCTGGCCAACATGGTGAAACCCTGTCTTAAAAAAAGAAAAAAAAAAAGAAGGGAACAACAGACACTGGAGTCTACTTGAAGGTGGAGGATGGGAGGAGGGAGAGGAGCAGAAAAGATAACCATCGGATACTGGACTTAACTGGGTGATGAAATAATCTGTACAACAAACCCCCATGACATGAGTTCACCTATGCAACCAACCTTCACATGTACCCTCAAACCTAAAATAAAAGCCTAAACAAACACACACACACACACACACACAATAGTTTAGGGAAAAAAGTAATCACAATGCCCCCACCCACACATCATAACTATTAACATTTTCATGTACTTTACTCAGTCTCTTACCTATGCATTTATTTTTCTAACTATGTATATATATCTATATATAGATATATAGATATACCTTCATATTGCTGTATTTATTGATAAACTAAAACTGGGATCATAAGTATATGTCATATATATGTAACTTTTTTTAAAAAATTAAGCACAAAAATACAAATGTTAGCTGGGTGTGGCAATGAGCGCCTGTGGTCCCAGCTACTAGGGAGGCTGAGGTGGGAGGATCACTTGAGCCTGGGAGGCAGAGGTTGCAGTGAGCTGAGATCGCGCCACTGCACTCCAGCATGAGTGACAGAGTGAGACCCTGTCTGAAAAAAATAAAAAATCTCTTCTAGCTAATAGGATATGCCTATCTAATTCCACTTGAGTCACTACTGGCCCTTACGATGACTAGGGCTCATAATCCTGGGAAATGTGAACCAAGATGGATCCAGGGATGAAGTCTGACTTTTTTTTTTTTTTTTTTGAGACGGAATCTTGGGATTACAGGCACGCGCCACCACGCCCGGCTAATTTTTGTATTTTTAGTAGATATGAGGTTTCACCATGTTAGCCAGACTGGTCTCGAACTTCTGACCGGGTGATCCGCCCGCCTTGGCCTCCCGAGTAGCTGGGACTACAGGAACATGCCACTACGTCTGCCTAAATTTTGTATTTTTAGTAGAGACGGAGTTTCACCATGTTGGTCAGGCTGGTCTCGAACTCCTGACCTCGTGATCTATCCAGCTCAGCCTCTCAAAGTGCTGGGATTACAGGCATGAGCCACCATACCCAGCCGAGGTCTGAATTTTAGTGCTTGTGTGGATATTGCTGTGGCACATAATGAAATATTTTTGAATTGTTTTCTCTCTTTTTTCACTTTAGCTTTTTGTAATGAGCTTTACCAAATTGTTTTAGGGCGGGCTGTGTGGCTCAGGCGTTATCCTAGCACTTTGGGAGGTCGAGATGGGCGGATCACCAGGTGAAGAGATCGAGACCACCCTGGCCAACATGGTGAAACCCCGTCTTTACTAAAAATACAAAAATTAGCCGGGCGGGGTGGCGCGCGCCTGTCATCCCAGCTACTCAGGAGGCTGAGGCAGGAGAATCCCTTGAACCCGGGAGGCAGAGTTTGCAGTGAGCCAAGATCACGCCACTGCACTCCAGCCTGGTGACAGAGCGAGACTCCATCTCAAAAAAAAAAAAAAAAAAACAACCCAAAAAACAAAAAAAAGTCGTAATTTGGGACTAACTAGTTTTATTAGGTTTCTGCCTACTGTTAATTGCTTCAGATTTTCTAAATTCTTTTGGTCCCCTTTGTGTTTGTGAAGGTGAATGGGCAGTAGTCAGGCGTGTTAGATCAGGCCCCACCAGCCCGGTGGAAGCAACGTTTGCGTGTGGCCGGCCGCCCCTTGAAATCCGGCCTTCGCGCTCCAGCGAAGCCCCCGGGACACGGGACCGAGGGCCCAGCACTCTGGCTCCTCACACATGTGGTCTCCTTCACGTTCCTTTCCTTCTCCTCGCGGTCCCAGCGGATGCGAGGAGGCTTAGAGACGGCGGGCTTCTCTCCCGCCCGCCGCAGGGTCCGCGGGTCCCCGCCCCGCCCGGGGCGCCGCTCCCCCTGGGGCCGCCCGGGCGCCCTCCCGCCGCCGGGGGCGCTGTGGGCTGCAGCGGGCCTGGCTGCAGATGCGGTGGTGGCCGCCGAGCGCCTGGAAGGAGCTGCTGGACAGGCCGAGGGAGCCTCCGCCCGAGACCGCGCAGCCGCCGCCGCCATGGGTAAGGCGAGCGGGCCGAAACCGAACGCTAGGCCCTCAGTCCCGGGCTGAGGGCCGCGGCCAGGCGGGGTGGACTGGGAGCTGGGGGAGACGCCGAGGCCGCCAGTCGGAACTGGGGCCCGAACCCAGGATGGGCGGGGACTGCCTGGGACTCGGGGGCTCCCGGGGTCGTCATGGCAACGCGCCCCCTCCCTTGTTCCGGCCCGTTCCCGCCCGGGTTCTGAGGCATAGTGGCCGAGGGCTCGAGGTGCCACGGCGTCCAGGAGCGAGGACAGGGCCAGGCAGGGTGTCACTCCCGGGTCGGGGAGCAGGCGGGGAGGGGCGATGACTTTTCAGGTTTGGGGGTGGCGGAGGGAAGACGCATCTCAGGTTTTGGCCTGGGTGCCTGACGCCGAGGGCGGGAGACGGGGAATGCTGACGCGCAGGAGCCTGGGTGAGCCCGCCGCGATGGTCCTGGGGGGCCCCCAGGCCTCTGGGCAGCCTTGCTGGGGGGAGGGGGCAGGAAGAGAGGCAGGGAAGGGGCTCTAGGCCCCGGCAAGGTGCGGGCACTGGCCCTGGTACTCCTTGCGCGCCTGCGGCCGGGTTTGGGGGTCGCGTACGGGCCGGAGAAGTCCTGTAGCGCAGCCGGGGCGTGGCCGCGGTGTGAACGCCCCTCGGCGTGGGAACTGCCGGTGCCCAGCACCGATCTGCCTCCCAGCAGCTGCAAAACACCCTTTGTGTGGTTGTCGCATCGCACGTTAGGAATTATGATGGGCTGTGTTAAAAATGAGAGTTGCCACGGATTATGAAACATGAAGTGGTTTCACTCCCGAAAAATAGTGGGAGTCAGACCACGATGCAGATTTGAAGGAATTCGTGTGTGGACATTTTTCCACCAGGCAGTTTGGCCATAGCAGTTGTGGCTGTTTGCATTTTAGGTTGCTTAGGATTCAGTGTCAGGCTTCATGCCTAGCTATCTAGAAATCGGAGCTGGAATACTAGATCATTGGAGACTCTGGGTTTTTTGTTGTTGTTGTTGTTCAGTGAAGGAAAAACGGGCACATTGATTACTTGTAAATTTGTCAGAGATTATGAAATGTTATACTAAGTGCTTCGTTTTTCCACACCTTAGTTTTGTCATCTGTGTTTGTTGAAGGTATTCCCACCAGTCACAACAGTGATGAGATGATGGGGAAGCGTCTGAATTTCTAAGTAAACTGAGAATAAAATTTGCGGGAAGGAGGACAATATTTTTGTGAATTGAAAATATCTTACTTGATGATACTGTGTCTTAAAAATATCAATTAAAAATCAGGCCTTTTAGAATTTGCATCTATTAACTTGGTATTCAGACTGGCGCTGTGGGCATCCTCAACTGTGTGGATGGGTGAGGAACATTAATGTAAAACTGGTCTCTGCTTTTATTTTCTCTTTGAAAATAAAACAGTCATGCAATACAGAACTACAGTCAGAATGAAGAAGCCAGACAGAAAGAGGGTAGACGAAAGAATTGGACGGCTTCTTCTGTGTCCCCTTGTCAGTGTATTTTACCTGTCATGTTTGTTGTGGATGACACTGGAATCCTAGAATTTTAACTACCTTTTATTTTATTGCCAGTTTATTCTGAACATTTTTGCCTTGGAATTCATCCTAAGACCGTACCTGCTATCTACCTTTTGCATGAGGCCCTTAAACCTGTTGTCTCTCACCCCAAATTTATCTCCATAGAAGATCATTTTAAAAAACTCATTCTCTATGAAGAGGTACCAGGAAAGTTAAATACAGGAGAATGGCAGATTTGCAGGATCTTGAGAATAATTCATTAACTTTGGCTGGAGTGGTCATGGAAATTTTCTTTTTTCTTTCTTTCTTTCTTTTTCTTTTTTTTTTTTTTGTGAGACGGAGATTCGCTCTGTCACCAGATTGGAGTGCAGTGGCGCTATCTCAGCTCACTGCAATCTCCGCCTCCTGGGTTCAAGTGACTCTCCTGCTTCAGCCTCCCGAGTAGCTGGGACTACAGCCGCGCACCACCATGCCCAGCTAATTTTTGTATTTTTAGTAGAGACGGGGTTTCACCATGTTGGCCAGGATGGTCTCAATCTCTTGACCTCATGATCCACCCGCCTTGGCCTCCCAAAGTGCTGGGATTACAGGCGTGAGCCACCGCGCCTGGCCGGAAATTTTTTACAGTATATGTGAGAGATGTAAAGAGAAGTTAATCAAGGGTGTGGTTTAGCTGGGGAGAATTTGTCAACCAAGGAACAGCAAACTACTGTTGGTTTTTATAGGGGAAGGGAATGGTTTGTATATTTTTCATTGTCATGTCTTACAAATGATGTTGGATTCCTTTCTTGTGTTTTCAGCTACAAAAGACCCCACAGCTGTAGAGAGAGCAAACTTGTTAAACATGGCTAAACTGAGTATCAAAGGACTCATTGAATCTGCTCTGAGCTTTGGCCGCACTTTGGATTCTGACTATCCCCCCTTGCAGCAATTCTTTGTTGTTATGGAACATTGCCTGAAACACGGTCTTAAAGGTATCATGAGATTTTAAAAAATTAATTCATTTTAGAATTTCCGTTTTTCAAGTGCCCTTGAGAATGGGTTATTTTTTGAGGCCATAATTACGTTACTGTGCACTAAAAAATATTGAGTGGATTGATTTTGGGAGAAAATATCTTATGACTATGTTTTCTAATAATGGAATAATAAATGGTCTTCAGAAAATGCTTAATTGTTAATATTTTGTAAACAGAATATTTGATTTTTTAATTTTTTAAACACATAATCTGAATTATTTTGTTTTCTAGGACAATTATAGAGTTATTTTTTAAAGCTGGTGATACTGTTATGAGCTCATATTAATAGTTCGAACCCTGTTGAACAACTGCATTGAAATAGTGGATTGTTGAAATAGAAACCTCCTAGATATATACACGAACATATGTAGAAATATCTTCTGGATGGAGTTATTGTAGAAATGTGAGCCATCCCTGAAGATGATAACAGCAGATATTGTACTCCACTCTCAGTACATATTGAATTATTGTTACATATAAAATGTTGGTTTTATATTTAATTTAAAAATATTCATTGCATAATAACTGTGCTTTTACTTATAATAACTGTTCACAGTTTTGGCCTCTAGTTCATACGATGAGTATCTATGTAGAGGGCTATGTAAGAGTTGTACACTAGAGTGACTATTATAGAGTAAAAGAAGCTTGACTGGCCAGACACGGTGGCTTAATGCCTGTAATCCCAGCATATGCCTGTGGTCCCAGCTGTTCGAGAGGCTGAAGTGGGAGGATCACCTTAGCCTGAGGAGGTCGAGGCTTCAGTGAACTCTGAGTGTAGCACTGTACTCCAGCCTGGACAACAGAGAGAGACCCTTTCTCAAAAAAAAAAAAAAAAGATTCAAAGATTTACCTAAACTTTGTTTTAATAAAAAGTACTTCAAAACAAGAAGGAAGCCTTGACATCAAAATTTGAGAAATCCTGTGTGATGTTATTAGCATACTCATTTCTTTTTCTTTAGAGACTTAAAGCAATTTCTTAAAATGTATAAATACTAGCGAAAGATACTCTTTTTGTACATAAACAACAGAGAAGTACACAGAGCAAAACATGGTTTTTATTCATTCTCTTCTATTAACCTCTCTAAAGGAAATTGGGCACCTGTAATCCCAGCACTTTGGGAGGCTGAGGTGGGTGGGTCACTTTGAGGTCAGGAGTTCAAGACCAACCTGGCCAGCATGGTGAAAACCCATCTCTACTAAAAATACAAAAATTAGCCAGGCTGGTGGTGTTCGCCTGTAATCCCAGCTACTCAGGAGGCTGAGGCAGGAGAATTGTTTGAACCTGGGAGGCGGAGGTTGCAGTGAGCTGAGATCGTGCCACTGCATTCCAGCCCAGGGTGACAGAGTGAGACTCTGTCTCAAAAGAAAGAAAATGGGAGAATTAGATATTCTGTTATCCCTTTTCTGTTTTTTTTTTCTTTAACTGTAATTGTAATCATGCTATTAGCATTATTCTGTGACTTCCTTCTTTAAAAAAAAAAGTGGCTGGGTGCGATGGCTCATGTCTGTAATCTCAGGACTTTGGGAGGCTGAGACTGACGGATCACTTGAGGTCAGGAGTTCGAGATCAGCCTGGCCAGCATAGTGAAACCCCATCTCTACTAAAAATACAAAAATTAGCTGGGTGTGGTGCTGCATGCCTGTAGTCCCAGCTACTTGGGAGGCTGACGCAGGAGAATTGTTTGAACCTGGGAGGCAGAGGGTGCAGTGAGCTGAGATCATGCCACTGCACTCCAGTCTGGGAGACACAGAGTGAGACTCTGTCTCAAAAAAAAAAAAAAAAAAAAAAGATATGGCTTGGAGATCTTTCCATTTACATAGACATCTGTATCAGAATTAATAGCTGTGCGATATTTTATGGTATGTATATGGCATAATTTAACCATGCTCCTCTTTTTTTTTTTGAGATGGGGGTCTCACTCTGGAGTGAGACTTGATTTTCAAAAAATCAGGAGTGCATCTTGATTTCAGAAAAAATCAGGAGTGCATCTTGATTTTCCCCAAGACTGCTGAAATGGAGTTTGCCAAATTATGGCCAAAATAGTTAAATTTTAAACTATTTTTAGACTGTATTTCCTTTACTTCACAACTTATGTTGAACCATGTCCTAGCAGTTATAGGCTTATCTGGATGAATCATTATAAAGCTACTTTGTGCGTGTGCTTTTCTCCCCCTGGGAAAAATTGCCTATCTTGGGTGTCCTTGGGTAGTGTATATGATAGGCACCCTGTATTTGCAGGAGATCTGGTCAGTAATAACAAAAATGTATGGCAATTTCATGGTTTTATATTGACCAAATCTCAGAATAAAATACAAGGAAAAGGAAATTCACAATTTTTCATATTTAAAATTAAAATAACTTCTTAGGCTGGGCGTGGTGGTTCATGCCTGTAATCCCAGCCAGCACTTTGGGAGGCCAAGATAGGAGGAACGCTTGAGGCCAGGAATTCAAGACCAGCCTGGTCAACATAGCAAAATGCCATCTCTACTTACTAAAAAAAAAAAAGGCATTATAAAAAATAAAATAACTTTTTATTTGTGCTTGGTTTGTTTAATAAACTTATAAAGATCAATCAGCTAGGGCCACCAGCCTTTATTTTGGTATTGGTAGAGAATGAGTGCAGTCATTTTTCACTTTAATTACCTTACTGCATATTTGATATGAAAGAATGGTCACTGTGTCTTTTTATCATGTGGAAAAAAATAGCAGGATGGGCAACAGGATCCTACTGGCACAGGCTCCAGATCCACTGGGATATGTAGTGGATAAAAGAGGAAAGATCTCTGAATAATTGTATGTTAAGTTAGAAATGTTGAAACTAAATATTTAAAAATAAGTTACTACAGTTTTTTATGTTGACATTGTGTGCATTATGTGTTCTTTTTTTCAGTAAGAAAATCATTTTTGAGTTACAACAAAACCATCTGGGGCCCTTTGGAACTGGTGGAGAAGCTGTACCCCGAAGCAGAGGAAATAGGAGCTAGTGTCCGGGATCTACCTGGTCTGAAGTAAGGAGGCCTATTACTTGTTCATCCCTAGCCACAGAAGTGTATTCATTGTTCCTCCAAAGTACCTCACACTCTAGCTTATTGTCTTCTCTTAGTCTTAAGTCCCCTTCTTCTAATCCTCTTATAATAAAATTATGTTCATTCTTTATGGCTCAACTCAAATCCCATTTCCTTTATGAAGTTTTTCTTAGCCTCTTCGATCAAAATTAACCACTCACCATTCTGCCTTGTATTGTAGGAAATTGAAAGTCCTTTTAAGATAGGATATATCAGTTATGCATCTTTGTTTTCTGAGTGTTAAATTAGTTTGCCTGTAGTAGAAAGTCAGTAAGTATTGAGGAAAGACTGATTTAGGCTGAATCCAGGGCACAGGCTCAGGATATTCCAGTTCTCAGATAAGCCAGTTGTATACCCTAGGACTGGTGTACATTTCTTTGCTTCCTCTGAAAATTGGTACCTATAATGTCACCAGCCTGTTTCATCAGACAAATGTATGTAAAATGTCTTAAAAGTTGGAGTATGTTAGCTAAGAATACTTTCATGAGTATTTAAAATTTTTTGTAGGTGTAAAGTGTTAAGACTCAGTTCTTAAATTCTTTTTTTCTTTGAGACGGAGTCTCGCTCTGTCGCCCAGGCTGGAGTGCAGTGGCACGATCTCGGCTCACTGCAAGCTCCACCTCCCGGGTTCACCCCATTCTCCTGCCTCAGCCTCCCGAGTAGCTGGGACTACAGGCGCCCGCCACCACGCCCGGCTAATTTTTTTGTATTTTTAGTAGAGATCGGGTTTCACCATGTTAGCTAGAATGGTCTCGATCTCCTGACCTCGTGATCCGCCTGCCTCAGCCTCCTAAAGTGCTGGGATTACAGGCGTGAGCCACCGCGCCAAGCCTATATTCTTTTTTTTTTTAGTTTTCTTTTTAATTTTTATTTTCTTTATTTTTTTTGAGATGGAGTCTTGCTGTGTTGCCCAGGCTGGAGTGTAGTGGTGCGATTTCAGCTCACTGCAACCTCCGCCTCATGGGTTCAAGCAACTTTCCTGCCTCAGCCTCCCGAGTAGCTGGGATTACAGGTGCATGCCACCATGCCTGGCTGATTTTTTGTATTTTTAGTAGAGACGGGGTTTCACCATGTTAGCCAGGATGGTCTTGATCTCCTGACCTTGTGATCCGCCCGCCTTGGCCTCCCAAAGTGCTGGGATTACAGGCGTGAGCCACCGTGCCTGACCAGTTCTTATATTCTTTAGAGTGTAATTAAAATGTAAGTGTTCTCTTTTGTTTGTCTTTGTTTATTTTATTTTATTTTGAGACGGACAGTCTCACCCTGTTGCCCAGACTGGAGTGCAGTGGTGCAATCTCGGCTCACTGCAACCTCTGCCTCCCAGGTTCAAGTGATTCTCGTGCCTCAGCCTCCCAAGTAGCTGGGATTACAGGCATGTGCCACCATCCATACCTGGCTAATTTTCGTATTTTTAGTAGAGATGGGGGTTTTGCCATATTGACCAGGCTGGTCTTGAACTCCTGTCCTCAATAGTGATGGAATTGGCCCAGCGCAGTGGCTCAGGCCTGTAATCCCAGCACTTTGGGAGGCCGAGGTGGGCGGATCACCTGAGGTTGGGAGTTCGAGACCAGCCTGACCAAAATGGAGAAAGCCTGTCTTTACTAAAAATACAAAATTAGCCGGTGTGGTGGCACATGCCTGTAATCCCAGCTACTTGGGAGGCTGAGGCAGGAGAATTGCTTGAACCCGGGAGGCAGAGGTTGCAGTGAGCTGAGATCACGCCATTGCACTCAAGCCTGGGCAATAAGAGAGAAACTCTGTCTCAAAAAAAGTGCTGGTATTACAGGCGTGAGCCACAGCGCCCAGCCTCCCTTTAGTTTATCTTAATTCTTGTTAATGAGATAACTTTTTTTGCATTAAGCATTTTCTGTAAGGTTAATCGTTTGTTTTCTCATAGTTTTACAACTTAGGGTTTATATATGTTGTGGGGAATATGGTAGTGTTTTGCTGTTATTTTGTTGTTGAATGTTCAAATGTTCAAATGTTTGTAAATTGGAATTTATTGAGTGATAAAAGTAAGTGGCTACTGTTGAGCACTGTGTTAGAGTAATAAGGTACCTGTTTTACATGAATTATCTCCTTTAGTGCTTAAATCAGTCTTACAGGTAGAGGTTATTATTATAATTGTATAGATGTGAAAAATAAATGCCAGATAAATTATAGTTAAAAAGTGGCAGAGGCAGGATTTAAACCCAGTTTTTAGAGTTAAATATAAAGTGGCTGGGTGTGGTGGCTCACGCCTATAATCCCAGAACTTTGGAGGCTGAGATGGGTGGATTGCCTGAGCCCAAGAGTTCGAGACCAGCCTGGGCAACATGGCGAAACCACATGTCTACTAAAAATACAAAAAAATTAGCTGGGTGTGGTGGTGCACGCCTATAGTCCCAGCTACTCGGGAGGCTGAGGCAGGATAATTGCTTGAACCCAGGAGGCAGAAGTTGCAGTGAGCCAAGGTCGTATCACTACACTCCAGCCTGGGTGACAGAGTGAGACTTTGTCTCCCCCACCAAAAAAAATTGGAAAAAAAAAAAAATCAAATGATATTTGTTCACAATTGATATTTTTGGTATATCAGGTGTAAAGATTTTTAACAAAGAGGAAAAACAGAATTTCAACTCTCAAAAACAAAAATGTAAGATTTGATTCATTTTAATATGAAAATATGTATTCATATTTTGTTAAAAAGCCAGACTCTACAATAGTAAAACCTGTTTTCTGATGGTGTTCATTAAAATGCTAAGCTATAAGAAATGCGTTAATTATTAGAAGTGAAGATCAAGTCTCTTCCTGTACTATCTGCCAAAATGTTCTCTGCATAAGAAAATATAAAAGTGTGAATGATACCACTCTCTTTAAAAAAAAAAAGTGGTATAAAAGTTGCTTTTTAAAAAAATTATTATTATATTTTATGGAGACTGAGTCTGTCTCTGTTGCCCAGGCTGGAGTGCAGTGGCGGGATCTTGGCTCGTTGCAACCTCCACCTCCTGGGTTCAAGCGATTCTCCTGCCTCCGCCTCTCGAGTAGCTGGGATTACGGGCTCATGCCACTGTGCCTGGCTAATTTTTGTATTTTTAGTGGAGACGGGGTTTCACCATGTTGGCCAGGCTGGTCATGAACTCCTGACCTCAAGTGATCCACCCGCCTTGGCCTCCCAAAGTGCTGGGATTACAGGCGTGAGCCACCACGCCAGGCCACTTTTATTTTTAATAACAGATAGAACTTGGGTAAGAGAGGTATGAGATTTAATTTCTTAAATGCAACCAAATTAAAGAAACATTTGAAAACCAGTAAGCAGCACAGTGATTTCTCTTTAATTACTAGCCTGGCACCCTCTTAGCTTTGTTATGATTTTTAAAATTCAGATATAATGTTACCTATGTTTTTGAAGGCATTATGGTGCCTTATTGTAGAATTTTTTTTTTTTTTTTTTTTTTTTGAGAACAAATCTTACCTTGTTGCCCAGGCTGGAGTGCGATGGTGCAATCTTGCCTGACTGTACCCTCCGCCTCCCGGGTTCCAGTGATTCTCCTGCCTCAGCCTCCTGAATAGCTGGGATTACAGACACCCACCACCAAGCCCAGCTATTTTTTGTGTTTTTAGTAGAGACGGGGTTTCACCATGTTGGCTAGGCTTCTTTCGAACTCCTGACCTTGTGATCCGCTCGCCTCGGCCTCCCAAAGTGCTGGGATTACAGGTGTAAGCCACTGGGCCCGGCCTGGTGAAGTTTTAATATTTATTTTTAGAGGGCTAAGCTCATTCAGACTAAATATTTCTTTTTTTTTTCTGAGACAGGGTCTCACTCTATCACCCAGGCTTGAGTACAGTGATGCAATCACTGTTCACTGCAGCCTCTGCCTACTGGGCTTAAGCAACCTCCTGTCTCAGCCTCCTGAGTAGCTGGGAATACAGGCACATGCCACCACACCTGGCATTTTGATTTTTTTTCACTTTTTTAATTTTTTTTATTTTTAAATTTAATTAATTTATTTTTTTTATATAGAGACAGGGTCTCCCTATGTTGTCCAGGCTGTTCTCTAACTCCTGGATTCAAGTGATCCTCCCACCTTGACCTCTCAAAGTGTAGGGATGACAGGTGTCAGCCACCGTGCCCACCTAAATATTTCTTATAGAAGTATTCTCACCAGAGTCCTGGGCTGCATAACATTTCATTAAATGATGGTGGTTCCAAAAGATTATAATACTGTATTTTGACTTTACCATTTCCATGTTTAGCTGTGTTTAGATACACAAATAGTTAACAATTGGTTAATAATTGCCTACAGCATTCAGTACAGTAGCATGCTATATAGGTTTACAGCCTAGGAACAATAGGGTATACTATATAGCATAGGTGTGTATACCATCTAGGTTTGCAAATGTACACTCCATGATGAAATTACCTAACAACGCATTTTTCTGAAAGTATCATTAAGTGACACACTACTGTGTTTAGAGAGTCATTTCTTCCAAGACATTAAATAGTACCTGGATGTCCTACAGGAGGAACAGATTTACCCAGCTCTCAGGGATTGGTTTGTGTGCTCAAAAAGATAAACCTATAAAAATGAAAACAAAACCATTATAAAAATGCCCTTTTTCCTTGTTAATGTTTACCTCTAGAGACAGAAGATGTGATCTTTGGGCTAGGGCTGTTTTCTGATCAATTGGTTCTTCTCTTTAGGACCCCTCTGGGTCGAGCAAGAGCGTGGCTTCGATTAGCCCTCATGCAAAAAAAAATGGCCGATTACTTACGTTGCTTAATTATTCAGAGGGATCTCTTGAGGTTAGTACTATTAAGTCGTGATCTTTTCATTTTTTATTTTATTTATATGCTGTCTTCCAAAAAGGATTTAAGATGTAATATGAAAGGATATATAACATATAATAAAATGATATAAAATAAGAGGAGGAGCAAAATGAGACAGAAAAACATGATAGAGACATAACATGGATCAGGAACTAGCCTTACATATGAATACCATAAGCTTTGTTATCAGCCAGGATGGGGAAATTTATATATATTACATTTCTTCCTCTTTGTTTAAAAATTTTTTCTTTTGCCCTGCCTGGAAACTGCCGTATATAATACATTTCTGTTAGTTTTATTTTTCTGAATATGGTTAATTCTATGGATAAAAATTTGTGTTGGAATTTGTGGCTTTAATTTCATAGGCTTTTTGTTTTTTGTTTTTTTTTTTAGAATTTGAATATCCATATTATTGCTTCACCTGTATTGTGGGCACAGTTTAAATTGAAGTCCAAACATTTATTTTGGCTGGGTGTGGTGGCTCACGCCTGTAATCCCAGCACTGTGGGAGGCCGAGGCAGGTGGATCACTTGAGGTCAGGAGTTCGAGACCAACGTGGTGAAACCCCGTCTCTACTAAAAACACAAAAATTAGCTGGGTGTGGTGGCGCATGCCTGTAATCTCAGCTACTTGGGAGGCTGAGGCAGGAGAATCACATGAACCCGGTAGAGGGAGGTTGCAGTGACCTGAGATCGCGCCACTGCACTCCAGCCTGGGTGATAAGAGTGAGACCCTGTCTCAAAAAAATAAAATAAAACGAAGGCCAAACATTTATTTAAGACAGATTTTCAAAGCAAGGCAATCAGTTCTCCAAGGGAGTGGGCCCATGGTGGTCCTCCATTCATTCTTGTTCTGTTAGAGTGCCTCTCTGATGTTGTGGAGAATTTAGTCCTGGTTTTGGTTTTACTTGTGATGCTGGTTTTACATTGTGGTTTTCCCAGTTGTTAAACGAGAATGACCATATGTTAAGCACCCATGGCTTCTCAATATTCTGAAGGATAATTAAAGTGATTAAATAATGTACATGGGCCTTATTAAAGAAGGCATGAGACAGTGATAACTACTTCTCTGAATGTATGTTGGTGAGACTTAGTTTTTGAACTGTCCTATTTCTTTCACAACTCTCTTTTTCAACAGTTTTTAGAATGTAGATATCCCAAAGTGTCTTTAATTGATGATTATCTATTAAGATTTATAATATACCTATCAAATGCATTGACTTGAACATGGACTTTGAAATGTTGCATATGTTCATTTTCTACCTTAGTCTTTATCCCAAGGGTCTTAATAAATCCGAGGATTGAAAATTCAACTCTAATAAAATATATCATAATCAGATCAGCAGCAGTCACTATATCCATCTGAGTCAGAAACGTCCCAGGGCTCAGTGTTGCCTCTTTTTTTTTTTTTATTTTCTTGAGATGGAGTCTTGTTCTGTTGCCCAGGCTGGAGTGCAGTGGTGCGATCTTGGCTCACTGCAACCTCTGCCTCCTGGGTTCAGGCAATTCTCCTGTCTCAGCCTCCCGAGTAGGTGGAATTACAGGCGTGTGCCACCACGCCTGGCTAATTTTTGTAGTTTTAGTAGAGATGAGGTTTCACCATGTTGGCCAGGTTGCTCTTGAACTCCTGACTTCAAGTGATCCTCCCGCCTTGGCCTCCCAAAGTGCTGGGATTACAGGCGTGAGCCACCGTGTCTCGTGCCACTTTTTCTTTTCATCCCTCCTTGCTCCTCTTTTCTCTCTCTCAAAAAAAATTTCCCTCTTTTATCTCCTTCAGTCCTTTTGATTTTTCAATAGAGACATTTAAATTTAAAAAATATGAAAAGTTGGCTAGGCGCGGTGGCTCACGCCTGTAATCCCAGCACTTTGGGATGCTGAGGCCCGCGGACCATGAGGTCAGGAGATCGAGACTATCTTGGCTAACACGGTGAAACCCCGTCTCTACTAAAAATACAAAAAATTAGCCGGGTGCGGTGGCGGGCACCTGTAGTCCCAGCTACTCAGGAGGCTGAGGCAGGAAAATGGTGTGAACCCGGGAGGCAGAGCTTGCAGTGAGCCAAGATAGTGCCACTGCAGTCCGGCCTGGGTGAAAGAGCAAGACTTCGTCTCAAAAAAAAAAAATTAATAAATAAAAAATAAAAAATATAAAAAGTTATTCACACGTATAAAGGCTAATTTGAAGGCACCTAACTGAGATGGCTTCCATTTCTGTAAGGTAGAAGATTAGGAAGATAATGGTGATTTTAAATTTTAGTTTTTGAAATAAATTTGTGATTTAAAGTCCTTATTTTTTAAATTTTCACAGTGAGTTTTATGAGTATCACGCACTAATGATGGAAGAAGAAGGAGCAGTAATTGTTGGGCTGCTGGTTGGCCTGAATGTGATCGATGCTAATCTGTGTGTGAAGGGAGAGGATTTAGACTCACAAGTAAGTGAAAGTGACTAGTGCCAAATGCAGAGTGTTTTCAGTTTGCACAGTTCCTCCTTGATCAGGTGTCATTTGAAGTTGTAAACAGGACTGTTAAACACTAAAGGAATATTAAGAGTAACATTCAGTAAAGGTACTTCTGATAAAGTATTTTCTCCCCTTTAAATTAAAAAAAACTTTATTTACTTCAGGTTGGAGTGATTGATTTTTCTATGTATTTAAAGAATGAAGAAGATATTGGAAATAAAGAAAGGTATGATTTTCATAAGTTATTTCACATATTGGGTTTTTTATATAGCTCTTTACAAATCATTATAAGATCCATCTATTTACAGTGTGGTTTTATTTTGTTGTTTTCCCCCCTGTGACTTCTTCATTTCATTTTCACTTCCATTACAAGCTTTACAAAGCAGATTATGGAAAATCACTTAGGAGAAGGAGGTTTTATTAATAGTATGAAGTGGGACCTTTGGTTATACCTGTAGTTACTGAGACCCATTTTAATAGTGGTTTTTTGGAATAAAAGAGATGAAAGCTTATTATTCACAAGTTTGCAAATACTGGTTTACTTCAAGATCGAACTATGTTTTTTTTTTTTTGAGACACAGTCTTGCTCTGTTGCCCAGGCTGGAGTGCAGTGGTTCTATCTTGGCTCACTGCAACCTCCGCCTCCTGGGTTCAAGCGATTCTTCTGCCTCAGTCTCCCCAGTAGCTGGAATTACAGGCACCCGCCACCATGCCTGGCTAATTTTTGTTATTTTTAGTAGAGACAGGGTTTCACCACGTTGGCCAGACTGGTTTTGAACTCCTGGACTCAAGTGACCTGCCTGCCTCGGCCTCCCAGAGTGCTGGGATTACAGGAATGAGCCACTGTGCCCGGCCCTAATTATGTTTAAATTTAAAAATACACTAATGGTATTGTTAAGTGTATTATTAGCAAGTAATTTATTCAACAAAGGTTATAGATACTTAGTACACAGTTTACTATTATTCTTATGTTTTATTTTAAAGGCAAGACAATGTTTTATTATTTTAGTTTTATAATAATTTTAGATGATTTAGATTTTTTTGTGCTTAATAAATACCTTTTCAACTAGCACAAAGCTACTTTTTTCCTCATTTAGGAATGTTCAAATTGCTGCCATATTAGACCAAAAGAATTATGTTGAAGAATTAAATAGACAACTGAAGTAAGTATTATGGATACTTAGCACATTTATGAATATTGTCTTAGGTTTTTGTTTTTTTCCCTTCAGCTTACCGTATTCCTTTCTTCTAAGAGTCTTTGAGAAGGGGTTGAGGGGATAGAGAGAAAATGGAAAGTAAGAATACAGAGAATTATTGGAGATAATTCATTTTAAGCAGAAAATGAGAGTCAGAATTTTTTTTTTTTTTTTTTTTGAGATGAAGTCTCACTCTGTTGCCAGGCTGGAGTGCAGTGGCATGATCCCAGCTCACTGCAACCTCCGCCTCCCAGGTTCAAGTGATTCCCCTGCCTCAGCCTCCTGAGTAGCTGGGACTATAGGCGCGCACCACCACACCTAATTTTTTTTTTTTTTTTTGTATTTTAGTAGAGACGGGGTTTCACCACGTTGGCCAGGATGGTCTCAATCTCCTGACCCTGTGATCTGCCCGCCTTGGCCTCCCAAAGTGCTGAGATTACAGGCGTGAACCACCACGCCTGGCCCGAGAGTCAGGTTTTTAATACAGAATCTTCATCAGATTTAAATAGAACTTAAAACTTATTGCTGTACCCTTGACAAAAAAGGCTAAGGTAAAAGTTTGTATCAGTTTGATGGTTCAGAAATTCATTTTTCCTACTTCAAAGGGCTTCATATGTAAATGTGGCTGTCTGTCATCTTCTGTGGTGGAAATTTTTGCTTTCTTACATTGTCAACTGGTCATTGAAGCCATCAGTGAATACTCTTGTTGAGAAGAATTTTTGAGACCTGTATGTAAAATAGCAAAGTGCAATTCTAATAGAAATATATGAGATGTGGCCAGGCGCAGTGGCTCATGCCTGTAATTCCACTTTGGAAGGCCGAGGCGGGTGGATCACCTGAGGTAAGGAGTTTGAGACCAGCCTGCCCAGTATGGTGAAACCTTGTCTCTACTAAAAAAAACAAAAATTAGCCAGGGGTGGTGGCGGTCACCTGTAATCCCAGCTACTCGGGAGGATGAGGCAGGAGAATCACTTGAACCCAGGAGGTGGAGGTTGCAGTGAGTCGAGATCGTGCCATTGCACTGCAGCTTGGGCAACAAAAGTGAAATGTGAAACTCCGTCTCAAAAAAAAAAAAGAAAAGAAAGAAATATATGAGATGCATAGTTTTTTTGTTTGTTTGTTTGTTTGTTTGTTTTTTTGAGACAGAGTCTCACTCTGTTGCCCAGGCTGGAGTGCAATGGCACCGTCTCAGCTCACTGCAACCTCTGCCTGCCCCCAGGGTTCTAGCGATTCTCCTACCTCAGCCTCCCGAGTAGCTGGGATTACAGGTGCCCACCACCACGCACAGTTAATTTTTTTGTATTCTTAGTAGAAACGGGGTTTCACCATGTTGACCAGGCTGGTCTCGAACTCTTGACCTCAGGTGATCCACTTGCCTCTGCCTCCCAAAGTCCTAGGATTACAGGCGTGAGCCACCACACCTGGCCTTTTTTTTTTTTTTTTTTTTTTTTGAGACAGGGTCTCACTCTGTTGCCCAGGCTGGAGGGTAGAGGGCAGTGGCATGATCAAGCTCACCACAGCCTTGACATTGCAGGCTCAAGCAGTCCTCCTGCCTCAGTCTCCCAAGTAGCTGGGACCACAAGTGTGCACCACCATGCCTAGTAATTTTAAATTTTTTCATAGAGATGAGGTCTCACCATGTTGCTCAGGCTGGTCTTCAACTCCTGGGTTAAAGTAATCCTCCCACCTCAGGCTCCCAAAGTGCTGAAATTACAGGCATGAGCCATTGTGCCCAGCCACATAAGTAATTTAAAATTTCTGGTAACTATAATAAAAATGTAAAAAAAACCCCAAAAATTAAAAATATATTTTATTTTACCCAGTATTCCCCAAATATTCTTCCAACATGCAATCAATATAAAAATTAGGGTACAGGCACGATGTCTCACTCCTGTAATCCCAGCACTTTGGGAGGCCGAGGCATGTGGATCACTTGAGATCAGGAGTTCGAGACCAGCCTGGCCAACATGGTAAAACCCCATCTCTACTAAAAAATACAAAAATTAGCCAGGCATGGTGGCATGTGCCTGTAGTTCCAGCTACTCGGGAGGCTGAGGCAGGAGAATTGCTCGAACCCAGGAGGTGGAGATTGCAGTGAGCCGAGATCACGCCATTGCACTCCAGCCTGGGCGACGTAACGAGACTCCATCTCAAAAAAAAAAAAAAAAAATTAGGCCAGGTGTGATGGCTCATGCATGTAATCCCAGCACTTTGGGAGGCTAAGGCAAGAAGATCTCTTGAGCCCAGGACTTCAAGGCTGTAGTGAACTATGATCGCATCACTGCATTCCAGCCTCGGTGACACAGTGAGACCTTGTCTCAAAGAAAAAAAAAAAACTATTATTAGCCTGGCATGGTGGTACATGTCTATAGTCCTAGCTACTTTGAGGCTGAGGCGAGAGGATCACCTGAGCCCAGGAGTTTGAGATAAGCCTGGGCAACATAATGAGACCCCCATCTCTTAAAAAACAATTATTATTAATGACATATTTTATACTCTCTTTTTTTTGGCACTGTCTACAAAATCCAATATATATTTTACCCTTACAGCACATTTCAATTTGGACTAGCCACATTTTTAAGTGTTTAGTAGCCACATGTGGCTCATGGCGGCCATACTGGACAGCACAGGTATAGCGAGTAATATTTGCTATGTAATTAGAAATGAAGTGTTTTCATTAATCACATTTAATAATTAGTAAAATATTCTCTGGGTGATAGGATTATGAATAATTTTTATTTTATTCTTTGTACTTTTCTATATTTTCTGAGTACTACTCAGTGAATATGTATTATAATCAGAAAATACAATTAAACATTTTTCCATTTTAGGAAAAGAAACTAATAAGCTGTGACTCTTGCTTTTCCTCTAAAGTAGAAATAGGAAAGACTTCATATAAGTCTTTTTTAAATGGAGTTTTAATAGAAATCGTAGGAAATATATGTATATTTTGTAATTTGTATTTCTGAGATTGTATTTCTAAATGCAAGCTTGTGTTTCTTAATTATTTATGTTTAAACTTCTAATCACTTTTTGGTAACAGGTAATATTAATATATTCATATGGCTCAAACTTCAAAAGGCACAAAAGGAACATAAAACAAAAGTCTCCCTCTCCTTGATCTTCATCCATCTAGTTTCCCTCTTCACAAGTAATTAATATATTAGGTTCTTGTGTATCCAGAGATACTTTATGCTCATAGCAATAATATGTATATCTATTCTCATATCTCTTCCCTCTCCCTCTTCTTACATATTAGGTAGCATACTTTCACACTACTCTATACCTTACTATTTTCACTTTTTTTTTTGAGACGAGAGCTCTTTGTGTTGTCCCTGGCTTGGGTGCAGTGGTGCAGTCTCAGCTCACTGCAACCTCCACCTACTGGGCTTAAGCAATCCACCCGCCTGGGCCTCCCAAAGTTCTGGGATTACAGGTGTGAGCCACCATGCCTGGCCAACAATTTATCTTGGGGTTATTCCATTCAGTTCAAAATAATTTTCTTTTTTTTTTTCGAGACAGAGTTTCGCTCTTTCACCCAGGCTGGAGTGCAGTGGTGTGATCTCGGCTCACTGCAACCTCCGCCTTCCAGTTTCAAGTGATTCTCCTGCCTCAGGCTCCTGAGTAGGGGATTATAGGTACCTGCCACCATGCCCAGCTAATTTTTTGCACGTTCAGTAGAGACAGGGTTTCACCATATTGGCTAGGCTGGTCTTGAACTCCTGACTTCGTGATCCACCCACCTCGGCCTCCCAAAGTGCTGGGATTACAGGCGTGAGCCACCGTGGCCGGCCCAGTTCAAAAGACTTTTCTCATTCTCAGTTGTTTAAATCATGTGTGTTAATCAGTTACAGCAATACTGGTGTCTGACTTTTGTATACCTTATGTTTTATAAATGTTTCATTGCACCGGGCTCAGTGGCGCATGCTGTAATCTAGCATGTTAGGAGGCTGAGGTGGGAGGATCACTTGAGCTCAGCAGTCTGAGACCAGCCTGGGCAACATGGTGAGACCTTGTCTCTATACACCCAAAACAGTACAAAAAATTAGCTGGTCATGGTGTTGTGTGTCTGTAGTCTCAGCTGCTCAGGAGGCTGAGGTGGGAAGATCACTTGAGCTCTGGAGGTTGAGGCTACACTGAGCTGAGTTTGTGCCGCTGCACTCCAGCCTGGGTGACAGATGAGACCCTGCTTCTAAATAAATAAATAAAAGTAAAAGTGTTTCATTGCTTTTTCTTTTTCTTTTCTTTTCTTTTTTTTTTTTTTTTTGAGACAGGGTTCTCATGGTGTCAACACAGGCTGGAGTGCAGTGGCCTGATCTTGGCTCACTGCAACCTCTGCCTCCCAGGCTCAAGCGATCCTCCTACCTCAGCCTACCAAGTAGCTGGGAGCACAGGCTTGCGCCACGACACCCAGCTAATTTTTTTTATTTTTCATAGAGCTGGGGTTTCACCATGTTGCCCAGGCTGGTTCAAACTTCTGAGCTAGGCCATCCACCCACTGTGGCCTCCTAAAGTGTTGGTATTATAGATGTTAGCCACTGCACCCGGCCTTTCATTGTTTTTCTAATAAAAAGTAGTTATTGTACCTTTAGAATATTTCAAAATATAGAAAACATATAGAAAAAAAGTAGAATTCACTTTTTTATGGAGTCTTAGTCTTGTCGCCCAGGCTGGAATGCAATGGCGCGATCTCAGCTCATTGCAACCTCCACCTCCCAGGTTCAAGTAATTCTCCTGCCTCAGCCTTCCGAGTAGCTGGGATTACAGACACGTAACACCACGCTGGGCTAATTTTTGTATTTTTAGTAGAGACAGGGTTTCACCATGTTGGTCAGGCTGGTCTCAAACTCCTGACTTCATGATCCACCAACCTCGGCCTCCCAAAGTGCTGGGATTACATGTGGAGCCACCGTGCCTGGCCTGAATTCGCCTATTATTCCTCACTCAAAACTACTATTGAGGGTTTGTTTTCAAAGTGCTTTTCTTGATGATTATTGTATCCTCGCATAAAGGCAAGGTGAATATTATTGTCCAATTTGTTGAAAAGAAACTGAAGCTCAGGAAGGTTTTGCAACTTTCTTTTATTATTATTATTATTTTCTGAGACAGAGTCTTGCCCTGTCACCCAGGCTGGAGTGCGATGGTGCGATCTCGGCTCACTGCAACGTCCGCCTCCCGGGTTCAATCGATTCTCCTGCCTCAGCCTCCTGAGTAGCTGGGATTACAGGCGTGTGCCACCACGCCCAGCTAAGTTTTGTATTTTTAGTAGAGACGGGGTTTCACCATGTTGGCCAGGCTGATTTTGAATTCCTGACCTTGTGATCTGCCCGCCTCGGCCTCCCAAAGTGCTGGGATTATGGGTGTGAGCCACTGTGCCTGGCTGGTTTTACAACTTTCAAGGTGACACAATTAGGAAGTAGAAAAGCAGGGCTCTTGGTCTTACGTCTCCTAGACTTGTGTTTGTCTGTCGTTACCATCAGGACATCCTGGTGCTATTTGTGAAAAACTCAAGTTGTCTACCTAAGAATGATTATGTCTTAAAAATGATTTAATATGAATGGAAAAACATTTTTCTTGTTTCACTAGTAAAATTAAAATACCAATACTTGTTTCTGAGGCTGGTATAAAATTTATTGCATCTATTGTTGATTTTGCTGAAACATACTACATATAGAATATTACATTTTATTAGAGAAGGTTTTGAGATGGTAGTATCAAGCAGGCCTTGGACAACATTCTTTTTTTTTGAGATGGAGTTTTGCCCTTGTTGCCCAGGCTGGAGTACAGTGGCGCAATCTCGGCTCACTGCAACCTCTGCCTCCCAGGTTCAAGTGATTCTCCTGCCTCAGCCACCCAAGTAGCTGGGATTACAGACGCCCGCCACCACGCTTGGCTAAGTTTTGTATTTTTAGTAGAGACCAGGTTTCACCATGTTGGCCAGGCTGATCTCCAACTCCTGACTTCAGGTGATCTGCCTGCCTCAGCCTCCCAAAGTGCCGGGATTACAGGTGTGAGCCACTGTGCCTGGCCAACATTCTTAAAATATACAATAATGTCCAGTCTTGATTCATTTAAACAAAAATGCAAAAAGTGTGTTCATCTGGTATAATCTGACCTTTGACTATTTCCTTTGAAAGACAGGGTGTTTAGCTGCCAGATCCTTGATACTAAGAACCTGATGCTGGGTATCTCATCTTCATATTTCTCAAACCATGGTTGACTTTGGATGTCTCTAAGTTCTCATGAAAATGGAGAGGGGAATCAAAATGGAGCTTGAATTAAAGACCATTGTTTATATGCCTCATGAAACCACATAATTATAAAGTAGACATTTAAAGCTCATCCTTTTAAATATAATTTTAACAATACTTAGTAATCTTTGTGTCGAATTTTTATTCCCAAATATTTTCAGTTAAATTTAAGAAGGACCCTAAGAAGACAATGTAAAAAAATGAGTAGGCCGGGTGCTGTTGCTCACGCCTGTAATCCAGCACTTTGGGAGGCTGAGGTGGGTGGGTCATGAGGTCAGGAGTTCAAGACCAGCCTGACCAACATGGTGTAACCCCGTCTCTACTAAAAATACAAAAATTAGCCGGGCATGGTGGCGCACGCCTGTAAACCCAGCTATTCAGGAGGCTGAGGCAGAAGAATAGTTTGAACCCAGGAGGCGGAGGCTGCAGTGAGCCGAGATCGTGCCACTGCACTCCAGCCTGGGCAACAGAGTGAGACTCCATCTCAGAAAAAAAAAATCAGTAGCACCAAATGGAATTTTAATACAAATATTATTTTGCTACACTCTTTATTGCCCTCCTAGCTAAATCAAGTTATCCAAGTTAATGAAATTTTCCACACTCAGAAATTTGGACAGGGCAGTTGGTGCCTGTCAGTAAACATAGTAAATCTAGGATAACATATTTTTTCGTGCCTTTTTGAGTTCGTGTGATTTTGAATGAGTTTTTTTGTTTCTTAATTTCAGCAGCACAGTCAGCAGCCTCCATTCAAGAGTTGATTCATTAGAAAAGTCAAATACTAAGCTGATTGAAGAGGTATTGTCTAATGGATAAATGTATTTCATGGACCTAGTGTTTGTGATCCTTTTCCATTTTAAGTATGAATGCATTAAACATACACACACACACGAACACACACTCATCATTGTGATGCAATACTTGTAATATAGTCGTAACTGATGATTATAAGTTCTAGAGAAACCATATATTCTTAGGCAAATCCTCAGTTATATGAATCTGAGATACTATATTTGAGATACTCAGCTTCTAAAAATGAGCCTCAGAGATGAAACTCACACAAATTCTTCAGTAGATAAGCTGTGATTTTCATTTTAAAATCTGGATGACCTATATTTACCTAGTGTAATCACCTGTAATTAGAAATGCTCGTTAAGTGCAGTAAACCACCATGGCACATGTATACCTGTGTAACAAACCTGTACATTCTGCACATGTATCCCAGAATTTAAAGTATAATACAAAAAAAAATACACATTAAAAAAAAGAAATTCTTGTTAAAATGATACCGTCCCTCTCTTCCCACTGTTCCACTAGTCAGATTACTTTTCTTCACAGGCATCACTGCATGATCATGTTGACCATTTTTCCACCTTCTCATGTGCAAAGCTCATCCCATGTGCTCTGTTTTCTTGCAAATTTATCTCAGCTCTCTTTTTTGTAGAGTTGCTTTCTAGATTTTTTTTAATGTATTAAATCACAGAATTATTGCTTATATATTTTCAGAAATATTTAGGCTTCTGTTATTTGTATTGTGAACCCTATTTTCCATGTTAATTAACATTCTCATTAGCCTAAATTTTTTTTTTTTTTGAGATGGAGTCTTGCTCTGTCACCCAGGCTGGAGTGCAGTGGCGCGATCTCGGCTCACTGCAACCTCCGCCTCCCAGGTGCAAGCGATTCTCCTGCCTCAGCCTCCTGAGTAGCTGGGATTAAAGGCACGCACCACCACGCCCGGCTAATTTTTTTGTATTTTTAGTAGAGACGGGGTTTCACCGTGTTGGTCAGGCTGATCTCAAACTCCTGACCTCGTGATCCACCTGCCTCGGCCTCCCAAAGTACTGGGATTACAGGTGTGAGCCACTGCACCCAGCCAAATTGGCCTAATTTTTCCAAACCAACGAACACATGATAACTTGCATGACTGCAGTTAAGAATGCATCTTTATTTTGATGGTTGGGCTCCTGATCGGGACCATTATAGAGCTACTCACTAGTTTGTGCCTCTTCTTGACTTTAGTAGGACTGTGAAGTTCAAGTTGATTCCTGATAAAATGTTTAGAAATGTGTTAATTGCAAACCATCATTAGGGAATGGTCTCTGCTTTGCTTTCATAGGATCTTTCTTTCCATTCTGGGCCTCAGAGTCAAACCACTTAATCATTCATGTTTAACTCATGGTGAGACCTGTCTCTTGTTTGTTGTAGTCACTTAAGTTCCTGTTACATGTCTAGACTTCATGGGGTGTCCAACTCAGTTACCACAAATGTCTGTATTACATTTTCAATGATAGCACAATCTTCTTTCCTTATGCATGTTTTTATCTTTACACAAGTCTTTAAAGCCTTTGTTATTTAATGCATATTTCTCTATTTGTTTACTCAGACACTTTGTATTCAGGACATACTGTAAATCATACAGTAAACATAATATGTTTATTATAAGCATAACAAATAAGCCTAATGTGTTTCAACTATAAAAGAAAATAGTAGGAATAATTCAAAAGGAAATAAGAGTATAATTTTTAAAATTGGTATCTTGGGATAATAACGAGCGTGTTTTCCTTATGAACGTTTCTGTGAATGTGACAGACCTTTTGCTAGTTGTGAGATTTTATTTTCTGATGTTTATGGCCATGCACATAACCTGCAAAGCAAGTATAAGGGTGTTTAAAATCTTTTTTCTTGCCCGTTTCTTAATTTTTAGTTAGCAATAGCAAAGAATAACATCATTAAACTCCAGGAAGAAAATCATCAATTACGAAGTGAAAATAAATTGATTTTAATGAAAACACAGCAGCACCTAGAGGTAAGTATAGACTGCTTTCAAGCAGACAATCTCGTGTCAGAAATTACCATTTTTGGGGATTTTTGGATGAAGTAGGTATTTCTATGCTGTATTAATAGTAGTGATTATAGAATGAAAAATTTTGTTTTCTTCCTAGGTTACCAAAGTAGATGTGGAAACTGAGCTTCAAACATATAAGCATTCTCGTCAGGGGCTAGATGAAATGTACAATGAAGCCAGAAGGCAGCTTCGAGATGAATCTCAGTTACGACAGGTAGGTTATATTAAAAATTACATTAGCAAGATCATCCTGGGAGTAATTTACCCTCAAGCAAGCACCATTTAAAATCTTTTTCAGCCTTATCCTTTTTGGTGTGGTATGTAGCAAGCTCACCCCTTAATCTTCTCAAATTTTCTAAGCTTCCACTATATCAATGTTTTATTGTTGTTTTGAGACAGATTCTCACTCTGTGGCCCAGGCTGGAGTGCAGTGGTGTGATCTTGGCTCACTGCAGCCTCTGCCTCCCGGGTTCAAGTGATTCTTGTACCTCAGCCTCCCAAGTAATTGGGAGTACAAGGCATGTGCCACCACACCCGGCTAATTTTTGTATTTTTTGTAGAGATGGGGTTTCACCATGTTGGCCAGGCTGGTCTTGAACTCCTGGCCTCAAGTGATCTGCCTATCTTGGCCTCCCAAAGTGTTGGGATTACAGGCGTGAGCCACTGCGCCCAGCCTATTGTTGTTTTGAGACAGAGTCTTGCTCTGTCACTCAGGCTGGAGTGCAGTGGTGCGATCTTGGCTCACTGCAGCCTCTGCCTTCCAGGTTTAAGCAATTCTTGTACCTCAGCCTCCCAAGTAGCTGGGACTACAGGCATGTGCCACCATGCCTGGCTAACTTTTGTATTTTTTATAGAGATGGGGCTTTGCCGTGTTGGCCAGGCTGGGCTCAAACTCCTGGCCTCAAGTGATCCACCTGCCTTGGCCTCCCAAAGTGCTGTGATTATAGGCATAAGCCACTGTGCCTGACCTGTATCAGTGTTTTTTAAACTGTAAGTTACAGTATATGATTGTGAATGAATGGGTTATGACCAGCGTTATAGAAAATGAAATAGAACAGAATGACATATTCAAATATTAGGAAAGTCATATTTAAAATTAACTTGTTTTTTAACCTTTGAAATTGTGAAATATAATGCCAACAGAAAAATACGAATATACAGCTTAATGAATTATAACACAAATAACCTGCGTAACCTCCACCCAGGTCAAGAAGAGAATATTGCCCATCTTTTTATCACCTTTTCTGTTTGTCTTGAATGCTAATAAATTTCTTTTTTTTTTCTTTTTTTTTTTTTTTGAGATAGAGTCTCGCTCTGTTGCCCAGGCTAGAGTGCAGTGGCGCCATCTCGGCTCACTGCAAGCTCTGCCTCCCAGGTTCACGCCATTCTCCTGCCTCAGCCTCCCGAGTAGCTGGGACTATAGGCGCCCGCCACCACGCCCGGCTAATTTTTTGTATTTTTAGTAGAGACGGAGTTTCACCATGTTAGCCAGGATGGTCTCGATCTCTTGACCTCATGATCTGCCCACCTTGGCCTCCTAAAGTGCTGGGATTACCTGCATGAGCCACCGCACCAGGCCAATAAATTTCTTAAAATAAATCATAAGAAACTTTTTAATCCTTCTGATAAAAAATTCTTAAGAAATTAAACTGTGTTGGCCGGGCACGGTGGCTCACGCCTGTAATCCCAGCACTTTGGGAGGCGGAGGCTGGTGGATCACAAGGTCAGGAGATCGAGACCATCCTGGCTAACATGGTGAAACCCTGTCTGTACTAAAAATACAAAAAAAAAAAAAATTAGCCAGTCATAGTGGCAGACCCCTGTGGTCCCACCTACTCGGGAGGCTGAGGCAGGAGAATGGCATGAACTTGGGAGGCGGAGCTTGCAGTGGGCCAAGATGGTGCCACTGCACTCCAGCCTGGGCAACAGAGCGAGACTCCGTCTCAAAAAAAAAAAAAAAAGGAAATTAAACTGTTATTTGAGTTACTTTGGCCTTTACATGTACAGACTGCTTCATTTCCTTTTGTTTAAGGAAAATTAATATTCAATCTATGAAGCATAAAAATGATTAATTCTTGGACCGTTAAAGAGTAATGATTAACAGAATATAGAAAATGCTTTCATTTTAACAAAAACTGCGTTTGAAAATATTTACTTACTTTTTGAGACAGAGTCTTACTCTCTTGCCCCCGCTGGAGTGCAGTGGTGTGATTTCAGCTCACTGCAACCTTTGCCTCCTGGGTTCGAGTGATTCTTTCACCTCAGCCTCTCTGGTAGCTGGGACTACAGGCGTGTGCCACCATGCCTGGCTAAGTTTTTGTATATTTTTGGTAGAGACGGAGTTTCACCATGTTGGTCAGGCTGGTCTTGAACTCCTGACCTCAAGTGATCCACCCACCTTGGCCTCCCAAAGTGCTGGGATTACAGGTATGAGCCACTGCGCCTGGCCCTGCATTTCAAAATATTTATTGCCTTGTTATAGGGCCTGGTTGATTCCCTTTAGTGGACTTAAAAGGTGTAGTCTGCATATTGAATGGAAAATCTTTCTTAAAGTATATCTAATTTTTACATCCTGAAGTGGCATGTGAATTGAGGATACATTGAAATTGCAGGATGTAGAGAATGAGCTAGCAGTACAAGTTAGTATGAAGCATGAGATTGAACTTGCCATGAAGTTGCTGGAGAAAGATATCCATGAGAAACAAGATACTCTGATAGGCCTTCGACAACAACTAGAGGAAGTTAAAGCAATTAACATAGAGATGTATCAAAAGTTGCAGGTAAGGATTGTTCTTAAATTTCATTTTATGTAAATTGAAAGTGAATATTTGTAGAAAGGTTTTGGTTTTTAAGAGATGAGCCCATTTTATTTTAACTGTGCAATATTATAAAGGCCAATGTCTTTTTTTTTCTAAATGAAAGCTTAAGAAATGTAATGAAAAAGGTATCAACAAACAAAATATCACCTGTCTAAATTTTTAATGTTGAAAGATTAAGAGTATGAAGATTAAATCTTTTGGGAAAACTCTCAATTTAAACTGCAAAACGTTTTTGTGAACTTCCTTTTCCAGTGTAGTTCTAAGAAAGATTTAATTTTGATTGAAATGCTACACTATCAAAATAGTAAATTTTCTTTCTTTGTTTTTTTTTGAGATGGAGTCTCGCTCTGTTGCCCAGGCTGGAGTACAGTGGTGAGATCTCGACGCACTGCAACCTCTGCCTCCCAGGGTCAAGCGATTCTCCTGCCTCAGCCTCCCTAGTAGTTGGGACTACGGGCATATACCAATACGCCCGGCTAATTTTTGTATTTTTAGTAGAGATGGGGTTTCACAATGTTGGCCAGGCTGGTTTCGAATTCCTGACCTCAGGTGATCCGCCCACCTCGGCCTCCCAAAGTGCTGAGATTACAGGCGTGAGCCACCATGCCTGGCCCATAATTGTGAGTTTTGTACGATGATATTGCTATTAAGTAGATATGTTGCCAAAACCCTTTACAATTTAATTAATTTGAAAAATGTCATATTTTACAAGAGTGTATTCTGTCATCTTCCAAAAATATTGAAGGTGGAGTTTTTTTTTCCTTTATTACATTTTATTTTTTAATTTTTTTTTCTTTTTTTCTTTTGTTTTCTGTAGAGATGAGGTCTCACTATATTGCCCAGGCTGGTCTCAAGCGATCCTCCCACCTTGGCCTCCCAAAGAGCTGAGATTACAAAGGCCTCCCAAAGAGCCACTGCACCCGGCCTATTACATTTTAAATGAGGACTAATAGAGGCCAGGTGCCATGGCTCATGCTGTAATCCTAGCACTTAGGGAGGCCGAGATGGGAGGATTGTTTGATGCCAGGAGTTCGAGACCAGCCTGGTGAACATAGCAAGACCCCATCTTAAAAAAAAAAAAAAAGGGCCGTGTGCGGTGGCTCATGCCTGTAATCCCAGCACTTTGGGAGGCCAAGGCGGGCAGATCACAAGGTCAGGAGATCGAGACCATCCTGACTAACACAGTGAAACCCTGTCTCTACTAAGAATACAAAAAAATTAGCTGGGCGCAGTGGCGGGCACCTGTATTCCCAGCTACTTGGGAGGCTGAGGCAGGAGAATGGCGTGAACCTGAGAGGCGGAGCTTGCAGTGAGGCGAGATGGTGCCACTGCACTCCAGCCTGGGCGACAGAGTGAGACTGTCTCAAAAAAAAAAAAAAATGACTAATAGCACTGCTTTATATCACACAATTATTTTAATGTATAAAGTAACTCTGTTCATTTCAAAGTAACAGTCCCATAGCAAAATGGTGTAAGAAACTTATAAATACTCAGGTTAACAGATCAGAACTCTACTTGGGAGGCTGAGAGGTGGGATAGCTTGAGCCCAGAAGTTCAAATCCAACCTGGGCTGCATAGTGATACCCTATCTATTAAAAACACGCACACACACACACACACAAACACACACACACAAATCAAAACCACCATAGCTTTTGTTTTTATAAATAGGGTTCTGAAGATGGCTTGAAAGAAAAAAATGAAATAATTGCCCGACTAGAAGAAAAAACCAATAAAATTACTGCAGCCATGAGGCAGCTGGAACAAAGGTACAGCATTTCCAGTCTTAGTTTCTTTTTTTCTTTTCTTCTTCCCTTTTTCTTTATTCAGTTCCTACACCTGCCACAAAAACCATTAGGAAGACATAGATTAGGACATGTTTTTTGTTTAAGCCCAGCAGGATTTTGCGTTTTTGCTTTGGTTGTTGCATGGAATCAAGTTGCTTTATATTACGCTGATTCATTTGAAGTTGTCATATTGTAGATTTTTCTTAGAGGCCTAATATCAGCAGTTTCATGTCGTTCAGTTACATAAAACAAATACACAAATAAAAATGTCAAAAAAATTAAAAATGAACAAACAGAGTGAGATTATCCCTGATTGATTTCCATGCATATTAATTGTCATATTCTTTGCCATTCACCATCTGTTTATCTGAAATCAAGCATTCCGAATTGGTGGTTTAGTTTTGTTTCTTTGAGCTAGGACCCTCAACCCAACCGAGGATATAATTTTGTTTAAATTGAATTGTTTTATATTGGCATTTTTCACTTTTATTGTTGGAAAATGTAATGTATTTCCATTGCCCTGTCATGTTGGTGTCAACATATGTCTTTTATCATTGCTTTCTTTGAATCTACTTATGAAAAACATAACTATTAATGCTTTATTGACATGAATATTCTTTTATTGACATCCTCTTTCTTCTTTTTTCTTTTTTGTTTTCTTTATCCCCATTTTTACATTTTGGACATTTTTATTACCTTTTTCTGTCTTTGATTTCTTTCCATTCCATTATGAAGTGACAACGATTTGTTAACTCAAACTAGGACAATTGCAATGTCATTGGTGAAATGTGCCAGCAGTGACACGCAGGACCAGTACAAGCTGGTTAAAGATATATCTTTCTGAAGACCACTTGTATTTAAACAGACTAAATGAAAAGAGAATCAACAATTTTATAATATATTAAATAGAAAGGAATCTAAATGCTATTAAATATTCTAAAAGGATGTTAGGAACCCTGTACATTTCTTGGTCAGCTGCTGTGGTAATACACTGCCATCAAGCAGAGTGGGTGCACTTGGATTTCCAGACATACGTTCCTCAAACCTTGTGCACAAAGGGTGATTTGAGTATTGACCCTTTGGAGGTCAGGATTTTCAAATGCAGTTTTATCTTTTTAGCTACTTTTTGATGAAAAATATAAAGATTGTTTAAAAATAACTTAACCTTCAGTTTTATACTGTGTTGGCACAGATATTTTTTTCTCATTGGCCCACTCTTTGCCCAATGGCTCCCTTACAGATTTTTACATATGCTTTAAAATAATTTATAACCCAGACTGGCCAACACCCTGTGCTTCAGCTTCTCAGTTTTCCGGTTCTCCCTTGCCCTCTTCTGTGATAGCACAACTTCAAGGCCTACCTCACTCTGACTTCTATTTTCCTTTTTGTAACCTTAGAGAAAAGCTTGGGTCCAATCCCAGCACCTGAATATTTTAATTTAAACTTGGATTTGGAGATAACTTAAATGTTACTCTCCCTTCCTTGGAAGCAGCATTTATACCCCTGAAATATGTGAGGGTTGCTCCATTGGTATGGTTTTAAGGAAGAAAGGAAGAGGAAGAGTTTTTTAGTTAGTTGAACCGAAATTTCTCTTGTGATTTCCTGCAAGGAGTTAATATCCTTTGAATCTTGGTAAATATTTTCTTATAAAAATATTGAAGTTAAATACAAGAAATCCTAGATGGCCAAAGAAGGCAGGGAGTGGAGCTAAGCACAGGAAAATGCAACGACTTACAAATAAAAACAGGAAAGATGAAAATCACAATGTTTTAGCTAATTTTTAATATTAAATGGTGAGGAACAAAAATGATCTCTAGCAAATGATGCCAACTGGCACCAAATTCTTTTTGAATCTTAAACATATATGCACACGTGCACACACACACACACACAGAGCTTCGGCATAATTTAGTAAATGCATAAAGATGCCGTAAGAAGGACTTGGCTATCATTTGGAGTAATTGCAGGTCTTTGCTCTTGGCCTTGTAGCACACTTGATTCCTGGCATACACATCCTAGCATAACATATAACAGTGTGGCTTCTTCACCTAGTGTAGGCATAAATCCTTTGCTTTTCATGGTTTTGTAAAAAGGTAGTAACATACCTATTATGCTTTGAAATTTGATTCGTTATGCTCTGCATAAGTGGTAAAGGCTGTATTGCTTTGCACTGTTAATTATGAACAAGAAATAAAACAAATTTGAAGATAGTATTCTGGGCATACTACATGTTATATTGAAAAAAAAAAATCACAAAACAACTTCTAGACATTGTGTGGCTCTTTCACGTTTGAGTTTGTGAGTTTTCCCCCAAACTTTGTTTTCATTTAGAAATGTTTCTATTTCCCCATTTTTCTTTTATTTGTCTTCTTCACCCTTTTACACCCTAGTTCTAGCCTCAGTTTTACCCAAAGTTGATTTGAATTACACCAGATTGCAGCAAGCAGAGAAGGCGCAAATGGAAGCTGAAGATGAGGATGAGAAATATCTACAAGAATGTCTCAGTAAATCTGATAGTCTGCAGAAACAAATCTCCCAAAAGGAGAAACAGCTGTGAGTATTTCACTCTCAGAAACAAATACTTGTGTTAACATAACCCCCTCATTTTTTTGCACATAATGATAGAATACCAATATTTTTATTTATCTAATGATGCCAGTTAGCTTTTAGTGTTTACTTTAAAAAACAAAAAAATTTAGAAAATATAATTGTAATAATACTTATGTTTTTACTCCCTTTATGATTTACAGAGTACTTTCAACTCTGTTTTGCTGTCTTCTTGCTCTAGGAGAGTTTTATTCATTCTTCTGTTGTTTAACATTAATCTGATGGTCATTATGTTTCTAGGTGCTGAGTATAGGCTTTTGTAACTACAAGAAACTTATATTATTAAAGGACATGCTGTTTTCTGAGAATATATATATATATATATATATATATATATATATATATATATATATATACACACATTTTTTTGAGATGAAGTTTCACTCTTGTTGCCCAGGCTGGAATGCAATGGCATGTGACCTCAGCTCACTGCAACCTCTGCCTCCTGGGTTCAAGCGATTCTCCTGCCTCAGCCCCCTGAGTAGCTGTGATTACAGGTGCCTGCCACCACGCCTGGCTAATTTTTTGCATTTTTAGTAGAGATGGGGTTTCACCATGTTGACCAGGCTGGTCTTGAACTACTGACCTCAGGTGATCCACCCGTCTTGGCCTCCCAAAGTGCTGGGATTACAGGCATGAGCCACTGCACCCAGCCGAGAACATTTTTTTTTAAATCAACTTTTTTTTTTTTCCTTCGAGATGGAGTCTCACTCTGTCGCCCAGGCTGGAGTGCAATGGCACGACCTTGGTGGCTCACTGCAACCTCTGCCTCCTGGGTTCAAGCAATTCTCCTGTCTCAGCCTCCCGAGTAGCTGGGACTACAGGCTTGTGCCACCACACCTGGCTAAGTTTTTGTATTTTTTATTAGAGACAAAGTTTCATGACGTTGGCCAGGCTAGTCTCATACTCCTGAACTCAGGTGATCTGCCTGCCTTGGCCTCCCAGAGTGCTAGGATTACAGGCGTGAGCCACTGTGCCTGGCGAACTTTTTGTTTTAATTGTGTCTGATTTTTTTTTTTTTTTGAGATGGAGTCTCGCTCTATCGCCTGGGCTGGAGTGCAGTGGTGTGATCTCGGCTCACTGCAAGCTCCGCCTCCCGGGTTCACGCCATTCTCCTGCCTCAGCCTCCTGAGTAGCTGGGACTACAGGCACTCGCCACCACACCCAACTAATTTTTTTTGTATTTTTAGTAGAGATGGGGTTTCACTGTGTTAGCCAGGATGGTCTTGATCTCCTGACCTCGTGATCCACCTGCCTCAGCCTCCCAAAGTGCTGGGATTACAGGTGTGAGCCACCACACCCGGCCAATTGTCTCTAATTTTTTTTTTAACTTTTATTTTAGGTTTGGGGGTACATGTGAAGTCTTGTTACTAGGTAAACACGTGTCATGGGTGTTTGTTGTGTATATTATTTTATCACCCAGGTATTAAGCCCAGTACCCAATAGTTATCTTTTCTCCTCCTTTCCCTCCCCCCATCCTCCCCCCTCAAATAGACACCTGTATCTGTTGTTTCCTTCTCTGTGTTCGTAAGTTCTTATCATTTAGCTCCCTAACATTTTTTTTAAATTGTGGAAATGGAGTCTTGCTGTGTTGTTCAGACTGATCTCTAACTCCTGGACTCAAGTGATTCTCCCGTCTCAACTCTCAAAGTGTTGGGATTACAGAAGTGAGCCACCATGCCCAGCTTCTGAGAACATTTTTATTAGAACTTTATATGATCTATATGTCACCAACCAGGAAGGATGTTAGTATATGTTGTTGTGCTGAAAAAAAGCAAGTTGCAGACAGTATGCCAAATATGATTCAATTTTAAAAATAAAATTAAAACCATGCATGCATATATATTTATATATAGATAGAAAAGATTTTAAAGAATACAGATTCTGGGGAGTGGTTATTTCAGGTGAATGCTGGCAGGTTGAGGTTGACAGGGGCATTTTAGTTTTATTTTATAAACATCAGTATTTTCCCCCAGTTAATATGCACCAATTCTGTTATTAAAAGAAAACAACAATAAGAACAAACAACCAAAGAAAAAAGAAAACAACAATGGAAAATAGTTACATATTATATTAACAGATCATTAAAACAAGACCACATGCCATGTATGATGTATAAGTTGCTAAGCTGCCTTTATACCTATTGAAGTGTTAAGTTCTTCTCTGTCCTTGGTGATTTTCTGTCTAGTAGTTTTTAATTATTGAGGGATGATTTGTTGAAATATCCAACTGTAATTGTGGATTGGTAAATATATTTTTTCAATTCTGTTTTTGCTTATTGTATTCTAAAGCTCTGTTACTTGGTGCCTACATATTCAGGACTGTTAATATGTCTTCTTGGTAGGTTGACCCTTTTGTCATTATATGATGTACTTCTTTGTCTTTGGTAATTTTTTTTTGCTCTGAAGTTAATTTTTCTGATATTAATATAGTGACTCCTGCTTTCCGTTGATTAAAGTGTATATTTTTCCATTTTTTAATTTTCAGTCTACCTTTATGATGTTTGAAGTTTCTTTTTTTTCTTTTGGAGAGACAGGGTCTTGCTATGCTGCCCAGGCTAGTCTTGCACTCCTAGCCTCAAGCGATCCTCCCACCTTTGCCTCCCAAAGTGTTGGGATTACAGGTGTGAGCCACCATCCCTGGCTTGAAGTTTCTTTTCCTTTTTTTTTTTTTTTTTTTTTTTTGGGACAGGATCTCACTCTTGCCCAGCCTGGAGTGCAGTGGCATGATCATAGCTCACTGCAGCCTTGATCTCCTAGGCTCAAGCAATCCTCCCAACCTCAGCTTGCAGAGTAGCTGGGACCTTAGGCATTGTGCCACCATACCCAGCTAACTTATTTTTCTTTTTATTTTTTTAGTAGAGACAAGGTCTTGGTATGTTGCCCACACTGATCTTGAAGTCCTGAGCTCAAGTGATCCTCCCACCTTGGCCTCCCAAATTACAGGCATGAGCCACTGCTCCCAGCCGAAAGTTTCTTATAGACAGCATATAGTTCATGTTTTGTTGTTGCTGCTATTTGTTTTTTAGAGACAGGATCTTGCTTTGTTGCCCAGGTTGGAGTATAGTGGTGCCATTATAGCTCATTGCAGCCTCTAATTCCTAGGCTCAAGAGATCTTCCTGCCTCAGCCTCCTGAGTAGCTAGGGCTACAGGCATACGCCACTACACCTGGCTAATAAAACAATTTTTTTTTTTAAGAGATGGAGGTCTTGCTATGTATCCTAAGCTGGTCTGGAACTCCTGGCCTCAAGTGATTCCTCTGCCTCAGCCTCCTAAAGCATTTGGATTATAGGCATGAGCCATCATGCTTGGCCTGCTTCATGCTTTTAAAATCAATTCTTCCAACTCTGTCTTTTCACAGTATATTTAGTCCATTTATATTTGTTGTAATTATTGATACAGTAGAGCTTAAGTCTGCCATTTTATTGTTTAATTTGTTTTTCCTGTTTGTTGTTCCTCTATTTAATTTTTTCTGCCTTCCCATAAGTTACATGAACATTATTTAGAATTCCATTTTGATTTATCTGTAGCAATTTTGAATGCATCTCTTGGTATAGATTTTTGGTGTTTGCTGTGGACATTATATTACACATATGCTATTTTTCCACAGTCTGTTGGCATTAACATTTTACCACTTTGGATGAAGTGTGAAAACCTTACCTCTATTTAAGTATTCATACCTTGTCCCCTCTTTAATATAATTTGCTTAATTATCTCTTTTACATATATTGAGAATCATGTTAGACAATGTTGTAATATGTGCAACCATAAACAGAATTTAATGTTTAAATTTAATCTAATTTAGAAAACTTCATTATTATTTTTTATTCCTGAAGCTCCAAGTTTTTTTGTGTGTGTCTGAACTTTCTTTAAACATTCTTTTTTTTTTTTGATACAGGGTCTTGCTGTGTCACCCAGGCTGGAGTGCAGTGGTGTGACCACAGCTCACTGCAGCCTTGATTTCCTGGGCTTAGTAATCCTCCCATCTCAGGCTCCTGAGTAGCTGAGACTACAGGTGCATGTCACCATACCTGGCTAATTTTTGTATTTTTGTATTTATTTATTTGTTTTGGTGGACACGGGGTTTCTTCATGTTGCCCAGAACGATCTCGAACTCCTGGGCTCAAGCGATCTGGCCACCGTGGCCTCCCAAAGTGCTGGGATTACAGCCGTGAGCCACTGTGCCTGGCCTCTTTTTTTTTTTTTTTTTTTTTTAAAGAGAGAGGGGTCTCACTCTGTCACTGAGGCTGGAATACAGTAGTGTGATCATGGCTCACTGCAACCTCAAGCTCCTGGGCTCAAGCAATGCTCTTGCCTTTACCTCCCAAGTAGCTGGGACTATAGGCATGTGCCACCATGCCAGCTAATTAAAAAACTTATTTTATTTTATTTTTTTGAGATAGGGACTTGTTCCTCTGTCGCCCAGGCTGGGGTGTAGTGGCGTGATCATAACTCATTGCAGCTTTGAACTCATGGGCTCAAGGGATCCTCTCACCTCAGCCTCCTGAGTAGCTAGGATGATAGTAGCATACCACCACACCTGGCTAATTTTTATAGGGACAGGATCTTGCTATGTTGCCCAGGCTGGTCTTGAACTCCTGGCCTCAAGCAGTTCTCCTGCCATGATCTTCCAAAGTGTTAGGATTACAGGCGTGAGCCACTGCACCTGGCCTTAAATTTTTTTTTAGAAATGAGGTCTTATTATGTTGCTCAGGCTACTCTTGAATGCCTGGCCTCAAATAAACCTACTCAGAAGGTGGGATTACAGGTGTGAGCCACCATGCTCAGCTCTTTAGCCATTCTTTTAGGGTAGGTCTGTTGGCAATAAATTCTATTTTACCTTCATTTCTGAAAGATATTTTCACTGGGTATAGAATTCTGGGTTGGCAGTTCTTTTAGCACTGGAGAAATCTTATGCCACTCTCTCTTGGCCTTTATGGTTTTCTGATTAAAAATACACTGTCATTTGAATTGTTGTTTCTCTTTAGGTGTTAATGTCATTTCTGTCTTACTGCTTTCAAAAAAAATGTTTTTTGGGCTTTAACCTATTTGGGATTTGGTCAGCTTCTTATATGTGTAGGTTTATGTCTTTGTCAGATTTGGGAAATTCTCAGCCATTACTTTTTCAGATTTTTTTTTAGTGTCAGTTGCTTTCTTCTCCCCTTCAGAGCCTCTGATACCGTGAATGTTGGGTCTTTTTTTTTTTTTGAGGCGGAGTCTCGCTCTGTCGCCAGGCTAGAGTGCAGTGGCGCGATCTCGGCTCTCTGCAACCTCCGCCTCCTGGATTCAAGCGATTCTTCTGCCTCAGTCTCCTGGGTAGCTAGAACTACAGGCGTGCGCCATCATGCCCAGCTAATTTTTGTATTTTTTTTTTTTTGAGATGGAGTCTCAGCCTGTCGCCCAGGTTGGAGTGCAGTGGTGCGATCTTGGCTCACTGCAACTTCTGCCACCTGGATTCAAGCGATTCTCCTGCCTCAGCCTCCTGAGTAGCTGGGATTATAGGCACCTACCACCACGCCTGGCTAATTTTTTTGTATTTTTAGTAGATACGGGGTTTCACCATCTTAGCCAGTTTGGTCTTGAACTCCTGACCCATCACACGGCCTCCCGAAGTGATGGGATTACAGGTGTGAGCCACCACTCCTGGCTTTTTTTTTTTTTTTTTTTGAGACAGAGCCTCTCTCTGTCACCCAGGCTGGAGTGCAGTGGCGCGGTCTCAGCTCACTGCAAGCTCCGCCTCCTGGGTTCACTCCATTCTCCTGCCTTAGCCTCCCGAGTAGCTGGGACTACAGGTGCCCGTCACCACACCCGGCTAATTTTTTGTATTTTTAGTAGAGACAGGGTTTCACCATGTTAGCCAGGATGGTCTCGATCTCTTGACCTTGTGACCCACCCACCTTGGCCTCTCGAAGTGCTGGGATTACAGGCGTGAGCCACTGAGCCCAGCTGACCTTTTTTTTTTAGTAGTCCCACAGGTTCCTGTTCAGATTGGATAATTTCTGTTGTTATATTTTCAAATTCATTCATTCTTCCCTCACCATCTTCATTCTTCTCTTGAGCCATTTCAGTAAGATTATTGTATTTTTCAGTCCTAAGATTTCCATTTGATCTGTTTTCTTTTGTTGTTTGTTTTGTTTGTGTTTTGTTTTGAGATAGGGTCTTGCTGTCGGCCAGGCTGTAGGGCAGTGGCATGTGCCCTACCTGGCTCACTGTGAACCTGAACTTCTGGACTCAAGTGATCCTTCTGCCCAAGCTTCCTGAGTAGCTAGGACTACAGGCATACACCACTATGCTTGGCTAATTTATTTTTATTTCAGCAAGACTCTGTCTCAAAAAAAAAAAAAAAAAAAGAAAAAAGAAATGCCTTGTTACTGCTGCATGGGGATTCAAGTCCCAGGTTACTCTTCCATTGTTACCAGTGGGGTTGCTTCAGAGACACTTTGTTTTCTTTTGTCTTTATTTTTTTCCCTTAGATCCAGGGATAGACTGGATTAGTTTACTTTCTGTTTTTTTGAGACAGAGTTTTCGCTCTGTTGCCCAGGCTGGAGTGCAGTGGTGCAATCTCGGCTCACTGCAACCTCTGCCTCCCCGGTTCTAGCGATTCTTGTGCCTCAGCCTCTTTAGTAGCTGGGATTACAGGCACTTACCACCATGCCCGGCTAATTTTTTGTATTTTTTGTAGAGATGAGGTTTTGCCATGTTGGTCAGGCTGGTCTCGAGCTCCTGACCTCATGTGACCCACCTGCCTTGGCCTCCCGAAGTGCTGGGATTATAGGCACGAGCCCCCGTGCCCGGCCTAGATTAGTTTACTTTCTATTAATATAACTGAATACCCGAGACTGGGTAATTTAAAAAGAAAACAGGTTTATTTCTTACAGTTCTGGAATCTGGGAAGTCCAAGATTGGGCAGCTACATTTGGTCATCTTCTGGTGAGGGCTTTGTGCTGCATCATAACATGGCAGAAGACATCACAGGGCAAGAGGGGTGTACCGAGAGTCAAACTGGCTTTTATTTTTTATTTTTATTTATTATTTTTCTTATAGAGACATGATCTCTCTATGTTGCCTAGGCTGGTCTTGAACTCCTAGACTCAAGTGATCCTCCTGCCTTGGCCTCCCAAAGTGCTTGGATTACAGGTGTCAGCCACCATTCCTGGCCTACCAAACTGGCTGTTATAACAGACCCATTCTTGTGATAACCTGTTAGTCCATTAACCTGTTAATTCATTCATGAAGGCAGAGACCTCATAAGCCAATTACCTCTTAAAGGCCTCGCCTGGTTTTTTTTTGTTTTTTTTTTTGTTTTTTTTTTTTGAGACAAGGTCTGGCTCTGTTGCCCAGGCTGTAGTGCAGTGGTACAATCTCAGCTTACTGCAGCCTTGACCTCCCCAGTTCAGGCAATCCTCCTGCCTCAGCCCCCCTAGTAGCTGGGACTATAGGCACACACCACCACACCTGGCTAAATTTTGTATTTTTTGTAGAGATGAGGTTTCACCATGTTGACCAGGCTGGTCTCAAACTCCTGACCTCAAGTGATCTGCTTGCCTTGGCCTCCCAGAGTGCTGGGATTACAGGCATGAGCCACTGTGCCGGCAAGGCCTTACTTCTTAATATTGTTAAATTGGGAATTAAGTTTCAATGTGAGTTTTGAAGAGGACAAACATTCAAACCATAACAGATGCCTTATTACTGCTGGGGGTTAGGAAGGTTCAGGCTCCCACTTGGCATTTTCTGATACTACCACAGCAGGGTGCAAGAACTTTACCTCATCATTGCCAGGCAAGAGTAGAAATCCAGGCTCCTCACTCAGCCTTTGCTGACTGAGGTTTGTTGCGGGGGCATGGGTTTTTTCTCGGGTGTTTTGCTGGAATAGGGCATTTATTGTCCAGAGTTTTCTGTCTTGCTAGGCTATTTCCTGGCCCTTTGGCCCGGGAACAGCTCCACTTGGGGCTTTTTTTGTCTATGCCCATTAGTATTTAATGGGTTGAGGGCTTCATCAACACCCAATATGAGCTATATATGAGATAAAAAGAAACCTGAGGTAACTCATCACCATGTTGTTCTTTGATTCCTGGAGTTCCTAGCTGATCAAACTTCTTCTCTTTACTTTCTGGAGTCTTCTCTTGTTGTTGTTGTTTTGAGATGGAGTTTTGCTCTTGTTGCCCAGGCTGGAATGCAATGGCGCGATCTTGGCTCACTGCAACCTCCGCCTCCCGGGTTCAAGCGATTCTCCTGCCTCAGCCTCCCAAGTAGATGGGATTACAAGCATGTGCCACCACTCTTGGCTAATTTTGTATTTTTAGTAGAGACAGGGTTTCTCCATGTTGGTCAGGCTGGTCTTGAACTCCCGACCTCAGGTGACCCGCCTATCTCGGCCTCCCAAAGTGCTGGGATTACAGGTGTGAGCCACTGCACCTGTAATTTGAGAAATTAATATTTCTCAAATATAATAATTTGAGAAATTTGAGGAATTAATATGTAGAATTCCCTGGCTTTAGGCCAGGAAGTATTACTGTGGTTAAAAACCTACAGGCTGGGCCTGGTGGCTCACGCCTGTAATCCTAGCACTTTTGGGAGGCTGAGGCAGGCGGATCATGAGGTCAAGAGTTCGAGACCAGCCTGACCAACATGGTGAAACCCCATCTCTACTAAAAATTAAAGAAAAATTAGCTGGGCATGGTGGCAGGCGCCTGTAATCCCAGCTACTCAGAAGGCTGAGGCAGGAGAATTACTTGAACCCGGGAGGCGGAGGTTGCAGTGCGCTGAGGTCACGCCACTTCACTCCAGCCTGGGCGACAGAGCGAGACTCCGTCTCAAAAAAAAAAAAAAAAGACAACCCACATTATTTCTACATTGTGAAAACTGTGAAATTGAAATCCACTCCCAAAGCCAAAAACAGGGCCAGGTGTGGTGGCACATGGTTGTAATCCCAGCACTTTAGGAGGCTAAGGTGAGAGGATTGCTTGACGCCAGGAGTTTAAGACCAGCCTGGGCAACATAGTGAGACCCTGTCTCTACAAAAAGAAAGAAAGAAAGGAAGGAAAGAGAGAGAGAGAGAGAGGGAGGGAGGGAGGGAGGGAGAGAGATAGAGAAAGAAAGAAAAAGCAGGGAGGGAGGGAGAGAGAGAAAGAAAGAAAAGAGAAAGAAAGAAAAGAAAAGAAGGAAAGAAAGAAAAAATTAGCTGGGTGTTGTGGCACACACCTGTAGCCCCAGCTGCTCGGCAAGATGAAGCAAAAGGATTGCTTGAGCCCAGGAGTTCAAGATTGCTGTGAGCTGTGATTGTGCCACTAAACTTCAGCCTACTGGGTGACAGAGTGAGTTCCTGTCTCTAAAAACAGAACAAAATAAAAACCCCAAAACATTCAGAAAAAAAATAATTCCTCTTAATTTTAAGTTACAAGGAGCATTTAAGTCATCAGATTTATTAATGGTGCACTGGGTTTGTTGTGTAAGACTCTGTGCCTTGCCAAATGAAACACATGAAGAACACGACTGGGATACTTTGCTGGTCAGTAGAATACAGTCTTGAAACTCTGGTACTCTGTTACTGAATTACCTTTCTAGTGTTTGACAAAAGCATAGGTAAGACAAATCTGATATTCTGCAGTAATGCAACTTATTCTATAGTGATACCACTATTTTTTTTTTTGTCACCCAGGCTGGAATGCAGTGGCGCAATCTCAGCTCACTGCAGCCTCCGCCTCCTGGGTTCAAGCAATTCTCATGCCTCAGCCTCCCGAGTAGATGAGATTACAGGCACCCGCCACCACGCCCAGATAATTTTTGTGTTTTTAGTAGAGACAGGGTTTCACCATGTTGGCCAGGCTGGTCTCGAATTCCTGACCTTGTGATCTGCACGCCTCGGCCTCTGAAAGTGCTGGGATTACAGGCATGAACCATAAATATATATATTTATATATATATATATTTATTTAATATATTTATTTATTTATATTATATATTATTATAATATATACCATATAACATTATATTATATATATTATATATTATTAATTATTTATTTAATATATTTAATATTATATATATATATATATATATTTTAGAGTCTCACTCTGTTGCCCAGGCTGGAGTGCAATGGTGCGATTTTAGCTCACTGCAACCTCTACCTCCAAGGTTCAAGCAATTCTCGTGCCTCAGCCTCCTGAATAGCTGGGATTAAATGTGTGTGCCACCATGTCTGGCTATTTTTGTATTTTTAGTAGAGACAGGGTTTCACCATGTTGGCCAGGCTGTTCTCGAACTCCTGACCTCAAGTGATCCACCTGCCTCGGCCTCCCAAAGTGCTGGAGTTACAGGCATAAGCCACTGCGCCCAGCCTGAAAATTTTTTCTAAGTTTATTGTTTATCTTAAAATTTAGATTATAGTGATTTTTATTTAGACATTTTAATTCTTTATGTACTTACATCTTCCTTTTTCTTTCTCTCTCTTTTTTTTTTTTTTTTTTTTGAGATGGAGTTCTTGCTCAGTCACCCAGGCTAGAGTGCAGTAGTGAGATCTTGGCTTACTGCAACCTCCGCCTCCCGGGTCCAAGCAATTCTTCTGCCTCAGCCTTCCAAGTAGTAGCTGGAATTATGGGTGGGCACCAGCACACCCGGCTAATTTTTGTATTTTTAGTAGAGATGGGGTTTCACCATGTTGGGGAGGCTGGTCTTGAACTCTTGGCCTCAAGAGATCTGCCCGCTTTGGCCTCCCAAAGTTTTGTGATTACAGGCATGAGCCACCAAACTTAGTACATCTTCCCTTTTTCCTTTTGTGGTTTTTGCCTTTAGTATTCAACATGTATTCTTACAATATATTTATATAACTTAAAAACAAAATTTTCCTTTGCTTTTTCATTCACTTTTTTTCTGATTCTGGATGATGAGGCCATTCAACAGGGTACTGTGTGCTTTGGTTACTTCAGTGTTTGTAACATACACAGTAAGTCCTCACATTATGTAACATACACAGTAAGTCCTCACTTAATGGCATCAACGGTTCTTGGAAACTCTGACTGAGTGAAATGATGCTAAATGAAACCAGTTTTATCATAGGCTACTTGATATGAAGAGTTAAGTTTCTACTGCATAATTATGTTCACAAAAACATCACTAAACTGCTAATTAAAGACCAGAACACTTCTAATATTAAATATTGAAATAAACGTGAGTTATGCATACATTTAAGAAAGATGGATAAAAACGAGTAAGCTAATTCTTTGCCCAATTTTACAGTTCAGGCTCTCTGGTGGCCGGAGCCTGTCCTGGTGGCTCAGGCACCCAGTAGGAACCAGTCTTCCACAGGACACCATTCCGTCACAGGATGCACCCAAACACACCCACACTCAGGCTGGGACAATGTAGATAATGCCAGTTCATCTAACGTGCACATCTTTGGGATCTGGGAGGAAACTGGAGTACCTGGAGAAGACTCACACAGACATGGAGAGAATGTGCAGACTTCACACAGACAGTGGTGCTAGTGGGAATCAGTTTTTTTTCTTGTCAGCATTGTAATGAAATAACATTAGTTGAAGAGATGCTGTTCAAATTTTAACTTTGTAGTAAAATAGTATTTATCAATAATTTGTAAATTCCATTTTCAGGTACTCTTCTCTTCAACCTGAATTACAAAATCTGAAATTTATTCCACTGAAAAATATATGGCTGTATGTGGAAATGCTAACTATGAGGAAATAATAAAAAATAATCTAAATATTAACACAAACATATTAAAATAATGTACTCAACATTATAATGTTGCAATTAAAATATAAAGTATTAGTAACTGTAGTATTGTTAGTAGATAAATGCCTCACTTGTTATACCTGCTTATGAGCAATAATCATGGAAGTGATTTGTGTTTGTTTTTTTTTTAGTCAACTTAAAATGTGGAAATTCAACTATGTTTGCTTTGCCAGCTAGCACCTGTTAGAATAATTTAGGAGTTTTGGTGGCAGGCCTATAGTCTCAGATGCTGAGAGGCTGAGGTGGGAGGAGCCCAGGAGTTTGAGTCCAGGAGTTTGAGTCCAGCCTGGCAACATAGCAAGACCCTGTCTCAGAAAAAAAAAAAAGAAGAACAATGCAGGAATGCTTTCAGAACTGGCATTTCCAGGCAGTGTGGACTTTCCCCCAATGTCTGCTTGGTTTTAGGTCTTTCCTGTAATTGGTCAGCTTCCAACAGTAGTTTGCAAATTAGCACTCTGCAACAGGGCTGATTTTGCCGTTACTGAAGTTAAACTGATTTAGCAATTGCTGTAATTCTTATATTGGAATAAAGTTTGTTGTAAAATTTTTCACATGGCATAGAAGTGTAAGACAATTAGAATCTTACATTCCTCCTCTTAGTTCCATTCCCAAGATGTAACCAGTTTTAATATTATGGTGTGTGCCTTTCCAAGGCATTTTCTATGCTTATGCAATATTTATGTATATGAAATTAATTAATGGTATAAATGGTTTAGCAAGGATTTTTTCGTGGCTGGCAAATGAGTCAGTATTTTGTGACTGGAAAACCCTGTGCTGCTGAACTTGTTTACTGAAAAATATTTGTGAAAGAAAATGTCTGAAAAATGCATTACAAAGGCCAAAGTAATAAACCAAAAGGGTGATTTTAGTAAAGAATACATAACAACTGTCGTGTGAGAAATAGCACTGAGCTTCTGTGTGTTATTTGTCATTCAAGGGTGCAACTGGAAACTGACTTGAAGATTGAGAAGGAATGGAGGCAGACTTTGCAGGAAGATCTTCAAAAGGAGAAAGATGCCTTATCTCATCTTAGAAATGAGACTCAACAAATCATTAGTCTTAAAAAAGTAAATAGTGGTAAAACTTTAAAAATTCTGTCTTGACAAATGTTAACTTATTTAAAAAGATAAATCATAATTTACATTATACCAAGGAAATGGATATACTAGTCATCTTAAAAAATATCAGTAAAGAGATTAAGTAAATGGAAAATAGTTGATACAGCAGCTAGGAAAGAGCTTTGGACACAATTTGTTTCTTTTAAAAAGCTAAAGGATGTTTGTTTCTAATTAATGGTATATGTACAATCTGGAGTTTCTTGTTTCTTTCTTTTAAATTTCATTTTCTGTCTTTTATTGTTCTGAAGGAGTTCCTTAACCTCCAGGATGAAAATCAGCAGTTGAAAAAAATATATCATGAACAAGAGCAAGCTCTTCAAGAACTCGGCAACAAGCTTAGCGAGTAATTTCTTTTTTCCTTCAACTAAGTAGTCATTATTGACTTTTATAAAAGGTATAAGTGTGCCAAATCTATTAGGCAGAAGAGTTTAAATATAGGAAAGATACGAACTAGGCCGGGCGCGGTGGTTCACGCCTGTAATCCCCGCACTTTGTAATTCCTGGCCGAGGCGGGTGGATCATGAAGTCAGGAGGTCAAGACCAGACTGGCTAATATGGTGAAACCCTGTCTTTACTAAAAATGCAAAAATTAGCTGCTTGTGGTGGCGTGTGCCTGTAATCCCAGCTACTCGGGAGGCTGAGGCATGAGAATCGCTTGAACCCAGGAGGTGGAGTTTGCAGTGAGCTGACTCCAGCCTGGCGACAAAGCAAGACTCTGTCTCAGAAGAAAAGGAGAAAGATACAAACTATTAAACAAAACAAAAACTCTAAAGATTAAAAAATGAGACTAGACTAGAGAGATTTTATTAAAAGTTTTATTCAATTTAGTAGACTTAGCTTTGAATATTTCCCAGTAGATGAAAGCTAACACTCTTGTTCAATTTATTCAATGTCAGAGAATTCAGAAGTTATTAATATATTTTTCTCAGAAAAACAGAAGCTGAATTTTCAAAATATCCGGGGAGCTGTCTTTGAGATTGTTTTGAGAAGAAGCCAGCATCACGAGAAGTGGAGGTGGTTTCATGCCTCCTGGAGACAGGGCTTAACTTCATACAGTTTGGTTTTGTTGCAGTAAAATGTCACTGGGATCCTGTAAAGACAAGAAGGAGAAATGGTGTTTTGCCTTTCTTTCATTTCCTTTTTTTTTTTTCAAAGACAGGGTCTCGCCTAGGCAGGATGTAGTGGTACAATCATAACTCACTGCAGCCTTGACCTCCTGGGCTCAAGCAACCCTTTCACCTCAGCTTACCAAGTAGCTGAGACTACAGGCAGGCACCATCATGCCCTACTAATTTTTTATTGTTTATAGAGATGGGGTCTTGCATGTTGCCCAGGCTGGTCTCAAACTCCTGACCTCAAGCAGTCCTCCCACCTGAGCCTCCCAAAATGCTGGGATCACAGGCGTGAGTCACTGTGCCCAGCCACATTTTCCTTTTGTTCCCCATAGTCTGTGTTTTGGGGTAGCAGCTTTGCGCCTGATTGAACATATTGCCAGATATTTGGAATAAGCTCAAGAGGGTTTAATTTAGTATTGAATGTACCACTGCCACATTTAAAATATATAGTCGTTTTAAATATTTTTTGTTTATTTTTATTTGTTTTGAGACAAGGTCTTGCTCTCAAGTTGCCCAGGCTGGAGAACAGTGACGCAGGCACAGCTCATTGCATCCTTGATCTCTCAGGCTCACGCTATTCTCTCACCTCAAGCCTCCGGAGTAGCTGGGACCACAGACGCACACCACCATACCTGGCTAATTTTTTTTTATTTTTTGTGGAGTTAGGATCTTGGTATGTTGTCCAGGCTGGTCTTGAACTCCTGGGCTCAGGACATCATCCTGCCTCAGCCTCCCAAAGTGCTGAGATTACAGGTGTGAGCTACTGCACCCAGCCCACTTTTTTAAGTACAGAAAAGTAAAAATAAGAAAGCTACAATGTCTCATAATCTCTTCACCTGTATAAATCTCTTTGATGTTTTATGTGATTAGAACATTCAAATAGCACAAAAAGGTTTAAGATAAAAAAGCAAGTACTTCCCTTCTCCCAAGTATTAATCTGCAAAGTTTAACTAACCTCAAACAATTCTATGTGTAAACATCTTGTCATTTATTTAGATAGAATTAGTTATATGGACATATGTCATTTGTATATATTCAATTAAGTAGAAATCATACTAGAATGGAGACTTAGTTGCTAAAGGTGGGATTCCATTAAGAGATAATGCAACCAATTTCCAAGGGCATAAGAAGGAGTAATTCACTAGAACCAGAAAAGGAAATATTAGATCTCAAAAAGATAAAGCTGTTTTTGTCTTTACAGCTCTTCAAAGAACAATCTGCATTGTGGTTCTGATAAGCAAGATTTCAATTCCAATCTGGCATCCATTTATTGAGCACTTTGAGCCAGACCCTGTGCTAAGTGCTTATTACCTTATTTTCCATTTATTTCTTGACAGACACTTATTGAGCTTCTACTATGTGCCAGGCACTATACTAAGTGCTAGAGACTCAACAGTGAGCAATCCTCACAATATAAAATAAGCATGTTTGCGTTTACTAAGATCATAATGGTTTAATATTAAAACAGTGGAATAGTAAAGTAAGGAATATGTGTTACTTTTCACCCATTCCCCAACTAATACTTTTTTTTTCTCTTTGAGAGGAAGTTTCGCTCTTGTTGCCCAGGCTGGAGTGCAGTGGTGCTATCTCAGCTCACTGCAACCTCTGCCTCCTGGGTTCTTTTCAAGCGATTCTTCTGCCCCAGCCTCCTGAGTAGCTGGGATTACTGGCGCCCACCACCACACCTGGCTAATTTTTAGTAGAGACAGCGTTTTACCATGTTGGCCAGTCTAGTCTTGAACTCCTGACCTCAGGTGATCTGCCTGCCTTGGCCTCCAAAGTGCTGGGATTACAGTCATGAGCCACCACGCCCGGCCCCTCACTTCATACTTAATAGAGACTTTATAGTTGAATTACAGGCATGATCATATAAATGTCTAGATGTTGCCTTTATTTATTTATTTATTTATTTATTTATTTGAGACGGGGTCTCACTCTGTCACCCAGGCTGGAGTGCAGTGGTGTGATCTTGGCTCACTGCAACCTCCACTTACTGGGTTTGAAAATTGAAATATTTGCTCTTATCGGCTTATTATTGAAAGATGATGATGATTATTATTATCGTTTTTTGAGATGGAGTCTCGCTCTGTCGCCCAGGCTGGAGTGCAGTGGCAGTATCTCAGCTCACTGCAAGCTCTGCCTGCCGGGTTCACGTCCTTCTCCTGCCTCAGCCTCCTGAGTAGCTGGGACTACAGGTGCCCGCCACCATGCCTGGCTAATTTTTTTTTGTATTTTGGTAGTAGAGATGGGGTTTCATCATTTTAGTCAGGATGGTTTCGATCTCCTGACCTCGTGATCTGCCCGCCTCGGCCTCCCAAAGTGCTGGGATTACAGGCGTGAGCCACCGCACCTGGCCTGAAAGATTATTTTTTTAAAAAAATTAAATAGAGACAGAGTCTCACTGTGTTGCCCCAGGCTGGTCTCAAACTCCTGGCCTCAAGGAGTCCTCTTGCTTCGGCTTCCAAAAATATTGACATTACAGGTGTGAGCCACTACATCCAGCTTGAAGGATTCTTTTTTAAATTTTTATTTATATATTTTATATGGAGGCGGGGTCTCACTATGTTGCCCAGGCTGGTCTCAAACTCCTGGGCTCAAATGATGCTCCCACCTCCTCAGCCTCACAAAGTGTTGGGATTACAGGCTTGAGCCACCACACCTGGCCTGAAGAATTCTTATAAAAAGATAGATTTGGGCCAGGTGCTGTGGCTACGCCTGCAATCCCAGCACTTTGGAAGCTGAGGCGGGCGGATCACTTGAGGTCAGGAGTTCGAGGCCAGCCTGGCCAACGTGGTGAAACCCCATCTCTACTAAAAATACAAAAATTAGCCGGGTGTGGTGGCATGTGCCTGTAGTCCCAGCTACTTCGGAGGCTGAGACAGGAGAATATGTATACGTGTATACATATATGTATATATTTCCTTTCAGGCTTATTTTCATTTCCTTAATTATTAGACAGTCTAATTATAATTTACTCAGAAGAATAGTCAGTGTTTAAAGCCTTCCAAATCTATCTTTTTTTTTTTTTGAGACGGAGTTGTTCTGTTGCTTAGGCTGGACTGCAGTGGTGCAATCTCGGCTCACTGCAACCTCCACCTCCCAGGTTCAAGCAATTCTGCTGTCTCAGCCTCCCGAGTAGCTGGTACTACTACTATATATATTTTTATATATATAGTAGCACTACTACTATGTATATTTTTATATATATATAGTAGCACTACTACTATGTATATTTATATATAGTAGTACTACTATATATATTTTTATATATAGTAGCATTATATATATAAATATACTACTATGTATATTTATATATATAGTAGTACTACTATATATATTTTTATATATAGTAGCATTACTACTATGTATATTTATATATACGTATATATACACGCAATACACACATATTTATATATGTATATATACGTATATATACACACATATATACGTATATGTATACATATGTATATTTTCCTTTTAGGCTTATTTTATATATGTATATATACGTATATATGTATATATACAAAATCTCCTGCCTCAGCCTCCTGAATAGCTGGGATTACAGGCGTGTGCCACCACATCTGGCTAATTTTGTATTTTTAGTAGAGGTGGGATTTCACCATGTTGATCAGGCTAGTCTCGAACTCCTGACCTCAAGTGATCCACCCACCTTGGCCTCCCAAAGGGTTGGGATTACAGGCATGAGCCACTGTGCCTGGCTGAGAAGGTATTCTTGTACATTATGGTTATTGGGATTGTAACCGATGCTCCTTTCTTTAGGACACTTAGGCAATATGTATCATAGAGAGGCCGTCTTTTTTGAGTCCTTATTTATGAATAAGAGCATTTAAATCAAAAATCTATCAATACCAGTAAATTATCATAAAGTATTTCCTAGGCCGGGCATAAGACCGAGTGTTGCTCTGTCGCCCAGGCTGGAGTGCAGTGGCGTGATCTTGGCTCACTGCAACATCTGCCTCCTGGGTTCAAGCGATTCTCCTGCCTCAGCCTCCAGAGTAGCTGGAATTACACGTGTGTGCCATCACTCCCGGCTAATTTTTGTATTTTTAGTAGAGACAGGGTTTCACCATGTTGGCTAGGCTGGTCTCGAACTCCTGACCTCAGGTTATCCGTCTGCCTTGGCCTCCCAAAGTGCTGGAATTACAGGTGTGAGCCACTGTGCCCAGCCAAGAAAATATTTTCTGTGGTGAATATCATTAAGCCACTTTAATTCCATATTCAGTTTTTCTGTATAGCATAATTAAATCATCACTGTTGTGGCCACTATTCCCAAGAGTCAGTTTTCCTGAGGCACATTTTGTAGATGTGAATTTAGCCAAGAAAATGTGATGATTATGTCAGTATTTTTACAGTGTGTAGTTTTACATTGATTATTTCCACCGTAAGAGTCAATATGAGGTAGGTGAAAGACTCACACTTTGTTTTTATGTCTTGGAATGAAGAGCATTTTATAGGGCAAAGCAGATTTTTAATGTCCTGCTTCAGTAGTAGAGGCTTTAGTATCTGATATATCATTTGATTCAGGAATTTCATTTGTAAGAGAATTAATACTAATGTTTTAGTCATTCCAATTTTTTTGTTGTTGTTTGTTTGTTTGTTTGTTTTTTGGAGATAAGAGTCTCGCTCTGTTGCTCAAGCTGGAAGGCAGTGGTGCAATCTTGGCTCATTGCAACCTATGCCTTCCAGGTTCAAGCGATTTTCCTGCCTCAGACACCTGAGTAGCTGGGACTACAGGTGCATACCACCATGCCTGGCTAATTTTTGTATTTTTGATAGAGATGAGGTTTCACCATGTTGGCCAGGCTGGTCTGGAACTCCTGACCTCAAGTGATCTCCCCACCTCAGCCTCCCAAAGTGCTGCGATTACAGGCAGGAACCACCATGCCTGAACTAGTCATTGTAATTTTAATAAACAACTTTTGTGGCGAAAAATTTGAAACAAGTTGAAAGATCAACAGTAGATAATTATATATACTATTTTATATTCTTTTTCATGGTATATACCAAGTGACCATTTACTATAATGATAATGGCAGATACTCGGTAACAAGCCAGTAGCTGCAAGCTGTTCAGGATATATTGTGAAAATAGCTGGTTATGGAAAACTATGTAGATAATTATTCCATTTAAAATACACAGATATATAGAGAAGATTACCTCTGGGTAATGGGATCACAGGTAATTAAATATTGTTTTTTATAATTTGCATTTTCATTAACACATTTTCTTTTTTAAAGAAAAAAAAATTTAAATTATACCAACTGGGGCTTGGCACGGTGACTCACGTGTGTAATCCTAGCACTTTGGGAGGCCGAGGCGGCGGGTGGATCACCTGAGGTCAGGAGTTTGAGACCAGCTTGGCCAACATGGAAAAACCCCGTCTCTACTAAAAATACAAAAATTAGCTGGGTGTGGTGACAACTGCCTATAATCCCAGCTATTCGGGAGGCTGAGGCAGGAGAATCGCTTGAACCTTGGGGGCGGAGGTTGCAGTGAGTCGAGATCATGCCACTGCATTCCAGCCTGAGTGAAAGAGCAAAACTCCATCTAAAAAAAAAAAAAACAAAGTTATACCACTTGGTAGCAAATTGATCCCAACATATGTATTTTCTTTTTTCTTTTTCTTGTTTTTTGAGATGGAGTCTTGCTCTGTCACCCAGGAGTGCAGTGGCACGATCTCGGCTCAGTGCAATCTCTGCTTCCCCGGTTCAAGTGATTCTCCCTGCCTCAGCCTCCTGAGTAGCTGGGATCACAGGCGCCCCTCACCACGCCCAGCTAATTTTTTTGGTATTTTTAGTAGAGATGGGGTTTCACCATGTTGGCCAGGCTGGTCTTGAACTCCTTCCTGACCTCAGGCGGTCTGCTCACCTCTGTCTCCCAAAGTGCTGGCATTACAGGCATGAGAGACCGCATCTGGCCCAACATACATATTTTCAAAAGGTGGAAAATGCCAGGCTTGGTGGCTCACACCTGTAGTCCCAGCACTTTGGGAGGCCAAGACAGGTGGATCACTTGAAGTCAGGAGTTCGAGACCAGCCTGGCCAACGTGGTGAAACCCGGTCTCTACTAAAAATACAAAAATTAGCCTGGGAGTTATTGCGGGTGCCTCTAATCCCATCTACTCAAGAAACTGAGGCAGGAGAATCACTTGAACCTACGAGGCAGAGGTTGCAGTGAGTTGAGATCGTGCCACTGCACTGCAGCCTGGGTAACAGAACGAGACTCCATCAAAAAAGTGGGAAAGTATTTGCAGCTGTGTCTTCCACAGTATTTTCTTTTTTGTTGCTGTTTTTGAGACGGCATCTCGCTGTCACCCAGGCTGGAGTGCAGTGGTGTGATCTTGGTTCACTGAAACCTCTGCCTCCGGGGTTCAAGTGATTCTCCTGCCTCACCTTCCCGAGTAGCTGGGAATACAGGCGTGCACCACTATTTCCAGCTAATTTTTGTATTTTTAGTAGAGATGGGGTTTCACTGTATATTGACCAGGCTGGTCTCGAACTCCTGACCTCAGATGATTCACCCGCCTTGGCCCCCAAAAGTGCTGGGATTACAGGTGTGAGCCACCGCGCCTGGCTCACAGTATTTTCTTCCTTAGCACTTCTGTATTTGCTAGAGAAATAATGTGAATAATGGTTAGCATGTGCCCTTTGGGGTCACAGACAAGGGTTTGAATCCTAGCTCCCCCAGTTGGAGCTCTCTGACTTCTTACAAGTGACTAAACTTCATCAGTCATTTCTTCATCTTTAAAATAGGTTTTTGTGTAGATTACATGAGATTATGCATGCAAAGGCACATAGTAAACCTACAATAAATGATAGCTATAAATATTGTCATGATCACATGAAAATGCCAATATTTCTTTTTTTTCTTTTTTTTTTTTTTTGAGATGGAGTCTCACTCTGTCACCCAGGCTGGAGTGCAGTGGCGTGATCTTGGCTCACTGCAAGCTCCGCCTCCCGGGTTCACGCCATTCTCCTGCCTCAGCCTCCCGAGTAGCTGGGACTACAGGCGCCCGCCACCATGCCTGGCTAATTTTTTGTATTTTTAGTAGAGACGGGGTTTCACCATGTTAGCCAGGATGGTCTCGATCTCCTGACCTCGTGATCCGCGGGCCTCGGCCTCCCAAAGTGCTGGGATTACAGGCATGAGCCACCGCACCCAGCCGAAAATGCCAATATTTCTTAAAAAGCAAGTTTTAAATCTAAAATATTTTTGCTTTAGGACATTTAGAAAATATAGGAAAATATGAAATATTCCACTAGCCAGAGAAGGCCATAAAAATCATATACTATACATAATTTTATATCCTATGAAATACCAATACCTACTGAAATACTAAGTGTTCTATATTTAAATATGTGTACTGAAATTTGGACCTATTTGTAATCTTTTTAGATCAAAACTTAAAATTGAAGACATAAAAGAAGCCAACAAAGCATTGCAGGTGAGTAGAACGTTTTCCTAAAGTGGGAAGGTATGTGAAAGTCTCCAATGGAAGGTAATGCCCTGTGTGAATCTAATGTATTATTAACCCCAGGATATATAGAGGCCGAAGCACTGAATGAGGAGCTTGGATGCTGGGGGTTCAGCTCTTCCCTGTACCCCTAGAGTCACATTATTAATAACCTTCCTTTAGAAACTGACCTTAGAGGCCGGGCGCAGTGGCTCACGCCCGTAATCCGAGCTCTTTGGGAGGCCGAGGCAGGTGGGTCATTTGAGGTCAGGAGTTTGAAACCAGCCTGGCCAACATGGTGAAATCCCATCTCTACTAAAAATACAAACATTTGTTGAGTGTGGTAGTGGGTGCCTGTAATCCCAGCCACTCAGGAGGCTGAGGCAGGAGAATTGCTTGAGCCCGGAAGGTGGAGGTTGCAATGAGCAGAGATCATGCCCTTGCACTCCATCCTGGGCAACAGAGCGAGACTCTTTCTCAAAAAAAAAAAAAAAGAAACTGACCTTAGAAATAATTTTGTTTACTTCCCTACAAAGTATGGCATGATAGAGTGAAATTGCCTATGAACTTGAGAATCTTGAGTTCCTATGCCAGTCTATTACTTACTAGTTCTTTTACTTTCAGCAAGTCATGTATCCTCATTGAGCCTCAGCTTCCTTCTCTGAAATAGGCTGATGATTCTGCGTAGGGTTGCTCTGAATATTGAGTAGGTTAATACATGTGTGTGAAAGTGGTTGGAACACTTTACCAGTATGGTTGTGAATGTGTCTGAATCCTTGCTACAACATAGAAGAAAGGACAGTGTCTGTGTGATCACTTCAGTGATAGGTGGCTTCCTACCCAACAACTTCATTTTTTAAAATCAAAAAGTGTTACATGATACTGGGTGTGGTGGTTCATAGCACTTTGGGAGGCCAAGGCAGGAGGATTGCTTGAGGCCAGGAGTTCAAGACCAGCCTGGGTAAAATAGACCTTATTTCTACTAAAAAATAAGAAAAAATTAGCCAGGTGTGGTGGTGCAGGTCTATAGTCTCAGCTACTTGGGAGGCTGAGGTGGGAGGATTGCTTGAGCCTGGGAGGTCGAGGCTGCAGGGAGCCTTGATCATGCTACTTACTGCACGCCAGCCTGGGTGACAAAAAAGTGTTACATGAAAATCATTTTTAAAAAATTATACTAAGAAGATTTAACTCCAAATAATATTATTAATAATAATGATGATGATGGTAGCAGTCTCTTGTTCTTCACTCCCTTGCCCTTTATCTGCCCTAGCTCCTGCCACCCAAAGGGAGCTACTTCCAGTTTTTTAGCTGTTTCTTCTGGCATTTATCTCTGTATGTCTAACTAATGTTCAGTATGTACTATTTGCTCTTGATTCAGCAGTTTTAGACTTATATATTAACGTCATCATATGGTGGATGAAGAGTTTTGCTCACTCTCATTTTGGTCTTTCTGGTCTCCCAGTATAATCAAGTAAGGTTTTTTGTGGCATTCATTTACTTTATATATATATTTTTTATTTATGTTATTTTATTTATTATTTTTTTGAGATGGGGTCTTGCTGTGTTGCCCAGGCTGGAGTACAGTGGCACAATCATAGTTCACTGCAGTCTCAAACTCCTGGGCTCAAGCTGTCCTCTTGCCTCAGCCTCCTGAGTAGCTGGGACCACAGGTGCGTGCCACCTTGCCTGGCTAATTTTTAAATTTTTTGTAGAGACAGTATCTGCTGTGTTGTCTAGAGTGGTCTTGAACACCTGTCCTCGGGCAGTCCTCCAGTCTTGGCCTCCTAAAGTGCTGGGATTACAAGCATGAGCCCCCAAAACCCGTCTTACTCTGTATTTTTTTTTTTGAGACGGAGTCTTGCTTCTTCACCCAGGCTGGAGTGCAATGGCATGATCTCGGCTCACTGCAACCTCTGCCTCCCTGGTTCAGTGATTCTCCTGCCTCAGGCTCCCCAGTAGCTGAAATTACAGGCACCTGCCCCCACGCCTAGCTCATTTTTTTTTTTTTTTTTCGAGACAGGGTCTCGCTCTGTTACCCAGGCTGGAGTGCAGTGGCGCGATCTCGGCTCATTGCAACCTCCGCCTCCCGGCTTCAAGAGATTCTCCTGCTTCAGCCTCCCGAGTAGCTGGGACTACAGGTGTGTGCTACCACACCCGGGTAATTTTTATAGTTTTAGTAGAGATGGTTTCGCCATGTTGGCCAGGCTGGTCTCAAACTCCTGACCTCAGGTGATGCACCTGCCTCGGCCTCCCAAAGTGCTGGGCTTACAGGTGTGAGCCACTGCATCTAGCCCCTATTCTGAATTTTTTATTATGATTATTTGAATGTTGTTCCTTGCTGAGCCAGGTACTGTGATTATATTTTCTTACTTGAACTACTTTATCCTTCCTCTGGAGTTAATAATTGCCCCCTCTTTTTTTTTTGAGATGGAGTCTCCCTCTGTTGCCCAGGCTGAAGTGTAGTGGCACGATCTTGACTCACTGCAACCTCCACCTCCCGGGTTCAAGTGATCCTCCTGCCTCAGCCTCCCAAGTAGCTGAGATTACAGGCATGTGCCACCTAATTTTTATATTTTTAGTAGAGATGGGGTTTCACCATATTGACTAGGCTTGTCTCGAACTCCTGACTTTGTGATCTGCCCACCTTGGCCTCCCAAAGTGCTGGGATTACAGGTGTGAGCCACCGTGCCCAGCCACCCCTCTCTTTTTAAAAACAAATTAGTTGTATAACATTTGAGTTTTCTCATACCTTGAAACACCTCTATTTAAAAAAGCTTCTTGATAAAGTTTTCCACATGGTAAAATATATCAGGTACTTGGTTACGTCATTATTTTTTCTTTGACGTCTTGCCTCCAACTTCAAGAGTTCTCTGCTCTCCTGCTCATGTTTGTTCTGGTCCTGATGTTTCCCTTTGCTGGTATTCTCAGAATTTCCTTTACCTTCCCCCTTTGTGGGAGCTCCTGTTGCCTGAATTCCCTAACTTCTCTCTTTGTATACTCCCTTATTTTCGGCAACACATCTTTCAGTAGCTTCCTGAAAATGGTGAATGAAGATAGAGGTTGTAAGAATTTACACATCTGGAGACTAGGCATGGTAGCTCATACCTGTAACCCCAGTGCTTTAAGAGGCTGTGGTGGGAGAATTGCTTGAGGCCAGGAGTTTGAGACCAGCCTGGGTAGTATAGCAAGCCCTTGTCTCTACCAAAATTTGAAAAAAGAAAGAAAAGAATTTGCGTATCTGAATATACCTTTGTTTTATCCTCACACTTTTTTTCTTTTTTTTTTTTTTGAGACAGTCTTGCTCTGACACCAAGGCTGGAGTACAATGGCATGATCTCGGCTCACTGCAACCTCCCTCTCCTGGGTTCAAGCAATTCTCCTGCCTCAGCCTCCCAAGTAGCTGGGATTACAGGCACCCACCACCATGCCCAGCTAATTTTTGTATATTTAGTAGAGATAGGGTTTCACCATGTTAGCAAAGCTGGTCTCGAACTCCTGACCTCAGGTGATCTGCCCATCTCAGCCTCCCAAAGTGCTGGGATTACAGGCGTGAGCCACCTTGCCAGGCCGTATCCTCATACTTTTCAAGAAGATGGGGCCGGGTGCAGTGGCTCACGCCTGTAATCCCAGCACTTTGGGAGGCCAAGGTGGGCGGATCACAAGATCAAGAGATTGAGTCCATCCTGGGCAACATGGTGAAACCCCGCCTCTACTAAAAATACAAAAATTAGCTGAGTGTGGTGGCACGCACCTGTAGTCCCAGTTACTTGGGAGGCTGAGGCAGGAGAATCACTTGAACCTGGGAGGTGGAGGTTGCAGTGAGCTGAGATTGCACCACTGCACTCCCGCCTGGGCGACAGAGCAAGATTCCGTCTCAAAAAAAAAAAAAAAAAAAAAAGATGGGTGGAGGTTGGGCGTGGTGGCTCACGCCTATAATCCCAGCACTTTGGGAGGCCAAGGCGGGTGGATCACAAGGTCAGGAGTTTGAGACCAGCTTGGCCAACATGGTGAAACCTCACCTCTACTATAGATACAAAAGAAAAAATTAGCCGGGCGTGGTGGCACATGCCTGTAATCCCAGCTACTCAGGAGGCTGAGGCAGGAGAATTGCTTGAGCCCGGAAGGTGGAGGTTGCAATGAGCAGAGATCATGCCCTTGCACTCCAGTCTGGGCAACAGGGTGAGACTCCGTCTCAAAAAAAAAAAAAAAAAAAAAAAAAAATGTATGGATACATGGATATTTGCCAAAACCATCATTATGTAAACTCTAAAAAAAGTTTTGTGAAATATGCATATAAGAATGCATATATAGTACAACTTAAAAACACTTGTGGGGCGGGGCACGGTGGCTCATGCCTGCAGTCCCAGCACTTTAGGAGGCCGAGGTGGGCAGATCACCTGAGGTCGGGAGTTCGAGACCAGCCTGACCAACATGGAGAAACCCATTTCTACTAAAAATACAAAATTAGCCGGGCATAGTGGTGCATGCCTGTAACCCTAGCTACTCAGGAGGCTGAGGCAGGAGAATTGCTTGAACCTGGGAGGCGGAGGTTGTGGTGAGCTGAGATCATGCCATTGCACTCCAGCCTGGCAACAAGAGCAAAATTCCATCTCCAAAAAAAAAACCAAAAACAAAAAAACACTGCGTATCCTCCGCTTAGGTTAATGATAATAGAACATGACCAGTACCTTAGAAGCCTCATCTGCTTCTTGATTGCACTCTCCTCTTTATGGCATCTCTCCTGTATTTTGTGTTAATTATTACTTTGTTTTGCTTTATACTTATTACTCACATCTGTCTTTAACAGAATATTATCTGCTTTTCTCAGTTTTTTTATGTGGAAACTGGATTCATATCTGAGTTGACTTTTTTTTCTTTTCCATGCTGTTGACCAGCTGAAGGGTCTAGAACAGCTGTCCTAAACAGTTTTTCACATTCTGGATTTTCTCTGAATGTTTGTTTGCAGTGTTTGTTAACTTGTTCCTGTCTACTTGTTGCCTGTGAACTGGAAGTTAAATCTAAAGCCTTGATTAGGCCAAGCATGGTGGCTCACGGCTGTAATCCCAGCACTTTGGGAGGCCGAGCCAGGTGGATTGGCCTGAGGTCAGGAGTTCGAGACCAACCTGGCCAACATGGTGAAACCCCATCTCTACTAAAAATGCAAAAATTAGCCAGGCATGGTGGTGTGCGCCTGTAGTCCCAGCTACTTGGGAGGCTGAGGTAAGAGGATCACTTGAACCCGGGAGGCGGAGGTTGTAGTGTGCTGAGATCCCACTACTGCATTCCAGCCTGGGCGACAGAGCGAGACTCCATCTAAATAATAAAATAATATGAAAAATAAAATAAAATAAAGCCTTGGTTAGATTCAGGTACAACCTTCTGGGGGATATTTTTTCTGCAGGCATATTTTTAACATTCAGTGGGTTATTATTTGCTCATTTTTCCTTTTAAAAATAGCGTCCTGTTATATTTTGTCTTTGATATTATTATTTAAAAAATTTTTTCTGGCCGGGCGCGGTGGCTCACGCCTGTAATCCCAGCACTTTGGGAGGCTGAGGCGGGCAGATCACGAGGTCAGGAGATCGAGACCATCCTGGCTAACACGGTGAAACCCCGTCTCTACTAAAAATACAAAAAATTAGCTGGGTGCAGTGGTGGGTGCCTGTAGTCCCAGGTACTTAGGAGACTGAGGCAGGAGAATGGCGCGAACCCGGGAGGCGGAGCTTGCAGTGAGCCGAGATTGCACCACTGCACTCCAGCCTGGGTGACAGAGCGAGACTCTGTCTCAAAAAAAAAATTTTTTTTTCTTTAAAAAAAAATTTTTTTAGAGACAGTGTCTCTGTTGTCCAGGCCAGGGTGTAGTGACTCCATCATAGCTCACTGTAACCTTGAACTTCTGGGTTCAAGCAATCCTCCCCCCCTCAGCCTCCTGAGTTGCTGGGACCACAGGTGTACATCACCACACCCTGCTAATTTTATTTTATTTTTTAGAGATGGTGGGGGCCTCACTGTGTTGCCCAGGCTGGTCTCAAACTCCTGGGCTCAAGCGATCCTTCCGTCTCAGTCTCCCAAAGTGGTGGGATTACAGGTGTGAGCCACTGTACCCGGCCTCATTATCGATTCTCTGAAGTTTTCTCAAATGTTGTGATATCCCCCAATTTCAATAAAAGGCACAAATAAGAGTTATCGGAAACCTTGTGTGTGTATTGGTTGGGTGGGTTGTTAAAAACTGGTAGGCCTCACCATAGAGAAATCTGCTATGATTAGTGAACTATTGGGTACCCTCTACAAATGTTTAGTATTTACAGGACTTTTCTCTGTGGCAGTTGAATTTCTCCAGAGAAGAATCCTGTAGTATCCTATCTAGGGGGTGTAAGTCTAGCAGCTAACTTTCTGGAATTGGGCAGAGAAAAATTGCTGTTTATTTGCAGAGCAAGAGGTTGTTCCGTTCTAGTCTTAGCTCTTCTGGTAAACGGCTGTTTCCTTGAGCAGGCAGCTTCAGCTCTCTAGGCTTTAAGTTTTCTCATGTGTAAAATGAGAGGGCTCCAGGTGCTCATCTCTGAGATCCCTTCACAGGGACACACTAGGCTTACTTTAAAGTGAGCTTCTCTCCTGGGAGGGCGGCAGGTAGTTTCAATGAAAAGAAGTCTCCAAAGGCCTAGTCTCCATGTCAGCAAGGTTGTTTCCGAACCTGATGCCCTTACAAGCTGCTTCCACTAGGTGGCTGTGGGACATTTGGCAAATCACTTTGCTTTGTATGGTTTTCATCAAGTTGGATTATCTTTTAGGGTCCCTTCCTGCTGCTGCCTTTTTTTTTTTTTCCCCTCAGAGACAGAGTTTCCTCTGTTTCCCAAGCTGGAGTGCAGTGGCATGATCACAGCTCACTGTAACCTTGAACATATGGGTTTAAGCAATCCTCCCACCTCAGCCTCCCAAGTAGCTGAGACTACAGGTGCATGCCACCATGCTTGGCTAATTTCTTTTCATTTATATTTTTTTTTGTAGAGATGGGGTCTTGCTATGTTGCCCAGGCTGGTCTTGAACTCCTGGTCTAAAGAGAGCCTCTCACCTTGGCCTCTCAAAGTCTCAAAAGTGCTGGGATTACAGGTGTCAGCCACTGCACCTGGCCCCCGTCCTGCATTAAAAAAAAAAAAAAAATTCTATGATTCAAGCTATCTGACTCTTTGCTGGTGTTTGTCTGATATGAACTATCTAGTTAAAAAAAAAAAGCCCTTATAATCCTGTGTTCTAAGGAGAGTTAGGCTTCCTCATATGCAGTAACCAATACTGTATTATCTCTGCTGTATAATAAGTGCTAGTTATTAAGACTGTGAAACAAAAAGACCTGAAATTAACCTTGTGATCTTGATCTGTGAATGCTTTGTCTTTTTTTTCTTCAAAGAATTCTGCTTTTGGAAAAGTCTTAAGAAAACTCTTGTTTTTAGAAATGTATCTATGGGCCTTTTTTTCCTAAGAGAATTTTTCTCTCATTAGGTAATAAAGGTTCCTGTGCTTCAGTAGTAATTGATAGGTTGCAGTTGCTCCATGTCCAGGTTGGAATCTTCAGTTATACTTGGGTTCTTTGGTCTGGGCTGTTTTAGGAACATGTTTTAGGAAATCAATCAGTATTGAGGCTCCTCCTTCATCTGGGTCTTCTCATTGTGAAACTGATAATCATCTAACAAAGTTGCCTTCACAGGGGAAAAAAGGTCTTTCTAGCCAAGATTGGTTAAGCAAGCTGGTTAACAATGGGTCAAGTAGGCTGGGCCTGGTGGTTTATGCCTGTAATCCCAGCACTTTGGGAGGCCGAAGTGGGCGGATCACCTGAGGTCAGGAGTTTGAGACCAGTCTGGCCAACATGGTGAAACCCCATCTCTACTAAAAATACAAAAATTAGCCGGGCATGGTGGCGTGTGCCTGTAATCCCAGCTACAGGGAAGCTGAGGCAGGAGAATCACTTGAACCTGGGAGACGGAGGTTGCGGTGAGCTGAGACTGCACCACTGCACTACAGCCTGGGCGACAGAGTGAGACTCTCTTTTCAAAAAAAAAAAAAAAAAAAAAAAGGGTCAAGTTGTCATAAATACTGCTTAAGACTACTTACATCCATTTTTTTACTAACGTTTACATAGCAGCTATTAAATATGTTATAAAAGTTGAGGGAAATAGCCATGTAAAACTTTTAAAGTGAGGTCCTTTTTTTTTCCCCTCTTTTTCTTGAGACAGGGTCTCACTCTTGCTCAGGCTCGAGTGCAGTGGCACTCAAGCCTGAGTCATAGTTCACTGCAGCCTCAAACTCCTGGGCTTAAGCGATTCTCCCTTCTCAGCCTCCAGAGTAGCTGGGACTATGGGCTTATGCCACGCAGCCTGGTTAATTTTTTTGTAAAGATGGAGTCTGTTCCCCAGGCCAGTCTTCCTGGCCTCAAGCAATCCTCCTGCCTCGGCCTCCTAAAGAGGTCTTATAAAATAATGAACTCCAATATCTGATTTCCCCAATTTCCTTCAAATTTTAGGGTCTTAAGGTATAAGTTATACATAATGCCAAACTATTGCATTTTACACAGTGAGAATTTATCCTTAAATATTGTTGGACTAGGATACCCCATTCTCCATGATGTGCTTATTTCGTATTGCATGCCTGTATCAAAACATCTCATGTACCCCATAAATATGTAACTACTATGTACCCACAAAAATTTAAAAAATAAAATGTTGTTGTACTATTTTAAGGTTTTTTTCATCTTTAAGGTTCTTTTCCTGAAGAGAATTCCCATCAGCAACAGATTATCTCTTTAAAGCATTTTTACATGTTATATGTTCTAATATATACAATTGTATAGAAAAGAGCAAAATGAACCATTACCCATTTCAATATTTATCATGTGCAGTCTTGATTTTTCATTTTTTCAATTTTTATTTTTTAAGAGACAGATTCTGTGTTGCCCAGCTTGGTCTTGAACTCCAGGCCTCAGGCGATCCTCTCACCTCAGCCTCCCAAGTAGCTGGAATTACCGGTGTGAGCCATTGTCGCCTGGCTGCAATCTTGTTTTTTATACTTAATCCACATCCCACCTCCCCAACCCAGAATATTTTGAGGCTAATTCCATACATATTTACATATATATACATCTCTCAAAGAAAATAACTTATTTTCCATTCTTCATATATCTATTCCTATAAATAATGTTCTTGGGGGAAAAAGTTTTCACATTTAATTTTTAGTGTTACCAATTTGAGCATTAATATTTTCTTCCTACTAGGGACTGGTTTGGCTGAAAGACAAAGAAGCAACACATTGTAAACTTTGTGAAAAGGAATTCTCACTCTCTAAGAGAAAGGTAAGGGAGATAAGAAGTGAGTCCAAAAATTTGGAGTGCAAAAATGCTAATTTTATTTAAAGTGTTTTTTTCCCTCTGATTTTTCTGTTTAATAGCACCACTGTAGAAATTGTGGGGAAATTTTCTGTAATGCCTGCTCTGACAACGAACTACCTTTGCCTTCTTCACCAAAACCAGTACGGGTTTGTGATTCCTGTCATGCACTGCTCATTCAGAGATGCTCATCTAACTTGCCCTGAGACTCCAGAACTAAATCCTTATGTATGAAATTACCTACAATGAATGTTATGATGTTGTATACAAAGGTAACCAGACAGCTCTCCTTAAGCGGCTTTCGGTCAGTATTTGGTACCAGTTTATCTTCTACATATTCAGCTCATGGAAATTACAAGTTATATATTTCCTTCCCCATTGTTTTTCAAAATGTATTTTCAACAGAGCATGCTTAAAAATCATGTAACTCATTAAAAGGCCAGAGAGCAGAGCTAACACAACTTGCCTTATCTTGTAAAGGCCTTAAAAATAAGGCTTCAGATTGTTTTTTTCTTCTGAATTCTGTCAATTTGGTATTTGATGGTGCCTGCAGTTCTCTTAATGCACTTTAAAGCTTCACAGTTCTGAAACTGGAAACGCATAAAACTTTTAAAATTATTAATATTCTAATTCAACAGATTTTCATTATCTTTGTAAGATTTCAACTATATTTATTTGCCCTTTCTTCTCCCCCTCTCCCTTTGCCTCTTGCATTAGACAGGGCCAATATTTTGTCCTACAAAATTTCCTCTTGGTCTCTTTAAAAATCAGTTATTGTCGTGCTTGCTGAAGATTTTCAGCTACAGTGGATTAAATTAAAGGGGGCATTATTTGGCCTCGGCCTCTACTTTTTTCCTTTTAATCTTGAAAGGAAGTTACATATAACCATCTTTCTTTTCCTGATTTATAAATCTTCCCATATGCTGTTTCATTAAATTGCTGTTTTTTTAAGGGGTGACTCAGACCCCAATTCAAAGATGAAAACACAAATCCTTCCCCAGAAAAAAAAGTATGTAATAGTAGGGGATGTTACAGGCTCCTTATAAAGGTCCTCTCCTCTAAGCATTAAAAGTGAGAAAAAAATCAGGACTTTGCTTTGGTAATGTATTAGAGTTCAGTTCAAAAAATTTTGTATTAACATTTTCATTGGAGTAAATTTTAGGAAGTATCACATTGTAGTGGCCTACCTGTATACATCCACAGTAAAATTTCACCATGTCCATTGAGCACCTCTATGCCAAGGGTGTTGAGATGATGAAATATACACTTGACCTATTTCTTTTTTTTTCGAGATGGAGTTTCACTCTTGTTGCCTAGGCTGGAGTGCAATGGCACGATCTCCACCTCCTGGGTTCAAGCAATTCTCCTGCCTCAGCCTCCCAAGTAGCTGGGATTACAGGCGTGAGCCACAGCACCTGGCCAGTACACTTGACCTATTTCAAGCTGACTCAATGAACACTAATCCAAGTTATATTGCTTATGGCATACTAAGAATTTAACTTGTATAAATTACCTCTGAATAGTTACATAAACACTATCACCATTCAGTATCCTATTTTTTACATTAATTTTTAACCATGCACTTTAAGTTTGTGAGCCTATAAAAAATACATAGAAAATTTATGGATTAAGAGCATTATATTTAGTGGTTAATCCTAGGTACCTCCCTGCCTACAAAGGAGTTCTTATTAATACTGCAGGATCTTTTCTTCATGAATATATGCTTCCATGAAATTTAAATTTTTCTGAATAGCCTAAGTATGAAATGAATATTTTACTTGAAGATCTATTTTTTCCAAAACCCGTAAATTTCCAGTCAGCTTTTGAGGTGTCAGATGTGACACAGATTTCTAGATGGTCTTTCTTGAATACTGACAGAAATGTCCTCAAGAGAGGATTATATTCTTGAACCATTTTGTATTGATAGGTGGGATGGGCTAACATTTTTATGATTACTGAATAAACAAAAAATGAAATTTTCAAATATGCTTTTTTATTACTGTGCTTAGAACAAATTTTAAAATGTGACTTAAGTTGCTTAAATTCCAAGGCTAATTTCATTCAACAAACCATGATTTTGTCATCCTTTAAGTAAGTTTCTCACTTTTCAAAACTCATGTATCAACACTGACTGACTTGCTTTTTTTTTTTTTTTTTTTTTTTTTAGGCAGCTTTTATGACAGCAACTTGCTCCATGTAGTTTTGGCTTATTTAAAAACTATACTAACTTTGGATTTTTCTGTTACAAGACTTTTAACAATCTGTATTTCGTGATTGTGAACTCGTATTCATTTTACTTTTCAAAAACAGACTTAACATACCATTCCCTCACCTAGCAGTACTACCACAATAATGCTATCATGGTGCCAGGGAATTACAATTGTAATTCTTCTAACCTATAATGTTTAAAAAATAAAATGTGAATTTTATGAACTAAATAAATATTTGGAAAATTAGCCTGCTTTAAAAGGGCAATTTTGGTTTCATTAATACTGTATACTTTTACTGCTTTAAGATGTTAAGAGAGTAATCCTGGGAAAATAAAACACATACAACTTTCAAAAAAGACAGGTGGTGTATGCCCTAATATTTAAATTGCTCATTAAAGGAAGTGGATACAAGCATTAAGATGAATCATAGCTTCAGTCAAGAGGCTCCACATATATAGGCTGCCCCGGCTCCCTCTCCTAAATCATAGACATCGTATGTAGTACCACCTTCTACCAATTTGATTTTAGAATTAGTAACTGACACAAAGCATTCTAGGACAGACGCCATACTATTATCTCCCACAATGACATTTATTAATAACATTTCTGGCAAAAACAAGTAACAAGTTCAATAACTGAATTCACATCAACAGGTTTCATTTTGATCCATTAGCCAATTTGGAAAAAAGCCATATTGATCAAAGGGATTAAAATTAAAAAGCACCTTTTCCTTGCTACATATAGATTCTTTAAACTAAAACTCCAAGCAGGGATCAGATACAAAACCCAACTGCAGGATTGTTTTTATTGACTATGACATGGACTTGTTGCTTACATTTTTTTAAAGTCATCATTTATACAGTTATTTAAACTCTATTGGGCAGAAAACTGAAAATACAATTGTGAGAATTATACTCCATAGTAAATACCTATGTACTTAATACTGAATTCTTGTGTCACTGAGAACCTTAACCCTACTCTAAGACATCTTGCGATAACCTGCAACTATCAATTTTTTGGAGACATTTTTGGTATTTCGGTCAAGTGCTGAAGGGGTTTTACTCCAAAATCTAGGGCTAGAATTCAGCTTCCAACACTCTCATACCCAGGTAACACAATTATGAATATTCAGAAATCAATACCTCTTAGATCATCAATGTTTCAGAGCTATGCCTGATAAATGACATTTGAAAAATAATAATATAGAAATAATTAGCTGAATTTATACTCCTGAAGCCACTTCATCTTTAGGCTTTATATTTACAGTGTTGTCCAGGAGGAACTAAAGAAAAAAGTTACACTAATTATTTGTCAAGCTCTATTCCAGATGTCTGCTTAAGACTTGCAGTTTACGCAGAGGTGAACCATTATCCTCTAAAATTACACCACACTACTTCTTGTAGAACTAATAGTAAAATACATCAACCCAAATCTTATGAAGGCAGCACATCTTTAGGAGTAACTAGTATATAAAAAGTATCAACATCAGTGGTTTGAATATAAAAATTTATTTTTAAGTCAAAGTATGCAACAAATAAACCTACAGAAAACATTTTCCCATCACAATCTGTTGCTTTACCAAATAATATTTTGAAAACACATTCCTTCAGTCATTATAAAGTTCTTAAAATACAAAAGAAATTAAATCTGTAAGAAAGTCTAGTAGACCAGATGCTGTTGTCAAGACTTGTATGTTGGTGTTTTTGCTTTCAGTACATCCCACGCCATCCACCTCCACTCATGCCGCCTTGCCCATAGTAACCTCCACTGCCTCCACCACCACGGCCTTAAGAAAAAGATATTAAGAATCACTCAGCAGGAGATATCTGCATAAAATAATAAAAGTAATACCTGCACTTTAAAGTTTGCACTACATATGCGGACTAACACAAACTGAACTAGAGATACTTACCATAACCACCCAAACCATCAGGAGTACCATATCCTCCACTGTAATTGTTCCCCATTCCCATTCTTCCAACTGATCCATAGCCTCCCTGATTATCTTTAAAAAGAAAAAAGAAAAAAAATTGAGACTCATCGATAAGCAGCTAACCCTGCATATTTTAAAAACTTTACATACCCATTCCATCTCTTCCGTAGCCTCCCATTCCAGAACCTCCCATGCCAGAGCCGCCTCCAGGAGTAGAATTCAAGAAGAGTTCAATATATCGATGTTCTTTAAGAAAAAAAGAAAGAGTAACAGGGGAGAAAGGAATGATGGATAAAATTCATCAATACAAGCTTTGTAAAAAAGATCAATTAAGTAATATTAAACAAAGTATGCTTATTAATTACTAGTACAGCGATATATAAAGCCCACAGAAAGCCATTATAGAGGTCAAATGGTTTTAAATCCCAACAACTGCCAAGCGTTACCTACAGATCTTAGAGCCTCTTATTTTATAAATTCACGTTTAGGAAATAAGATTGTGTGCCAAAGACACCACTTACGCATGTTATTTTTATCTTTAGACATGGCAGCTACTGCATCTTCATGTGTCACAAACTCTACATCTGCTTCTCCTGTGGCTCTGCCATCAGCTCCAATATCAATATGAACTCGTATTGGATTTAGTGGTGAGAAGAACTAAATAAAAGGAAACACTTATTTACTTTTCTATTGAGAATATTAAAGTAAATTACCACATACCTTGATTTTTCCTCATCAATTAAAACAAACCCTTCCACTGCCCTGTCAGACTAATAACTTAGTCAACTACAGAGGTTCTGTGAATATCAGAGTATACACTTAGGGATAATGTAAAGAATTTACTGCTTTTAAAATAAGCAGATAGGCAGGGCGCAGTGGCTCACGCCTGTAATCCCAGCTACTCAGAAGGCTGAGACAGAGAATCGCTTGAACGCAGGAGGTGGGAGCTGCAGTAAGCAGAGATCACGCCACTGCACTCCAGCCTCAGAGAGACAGAGTGGGAGACTGTCAAAAAAAAAAAGCACACAAACACACAGAGAGAAATACGGGATATCATGATTTGGAACTATGCGGTTTGAATAAAGCCACCTATTTAAGACTATATGAAATTGTTCCCCAAAAGATATCATTTGGTTCTAATCACAAGTTAGCCAGGTTTTAAACTATCATTAAAAGCAGTTGGAACTCAGGCCAGCTGATTCCCAGTAAGATCTAGAGCACACCATTGCTTTTAAAGCCAGAGTCAGTACTTTTGGCCTGAATGGCCATTGGGTCTCTAATGTAACCACTCAACAGGTAGAGGAATGGTGTGACCGGATTTAGCCCATGGACTGAAGTTTGCTGACCTCCTAACAAATCTGAAACCAACCAGTTTCACATCAGTGACAACAGCAGCATCTATTCCTGTTATTTCCAACTCCTCAGTTTCTAATCACCATCTAGCCTAGAAAGCCAAACCAAATCACTAATATTTATATATTCACTCTTTCAAACCCTAATACAGGTCAGGCGCAGTGGCTCACGCCTGTAATCCCAGCACTTTGGGAGGCCAGGGCAGGCGGATCATGAGGTCAGGACCAGCCCGATCAACATGGTGAAACCCCATCTCTACTAAAAATACAAAAAGTTAGCCAGGAGTGGTGGGGTGTGCCCCTGTAATCCCAGCTATTCAGGAGGCTGAGGCAGAAGAATAACTTGAACCCGGGAGGTGGAGGTTGCAGTGAGCCGAGATCGCGCCACTGCACTCTAGCCTGGGCGACAGAGCAAGACTCTGTCTCAAAAAAGAAAACAAAACAAAAAACGGTACAACAAAAGACACCAGCACAAAATGGTATAGTCATCACCATTCTATGCTGATCAGTCTTTCATTATACTCTTAACTGGACTTCACGAATGTAGCTTTTTACTTGTTTGAATCCTATGTAGGTTGACACACAATGGATACAAAAATATCCATCAGTGATTAGAATTAAAGGTAGATCTAATTAGCCAGGCGTGGTGGCGGGCACCTATAGTTCCAGCTACTCGGGAGGCTGAGGCAGGACAATGGCGTGAACCTGGGAGGCAGAGCTTGCAGTGAGCCGAGATCACACCACTGCACTCAGCCTGGGGGACAGAGCAAGACTCCATCTCAAAAAAAGAATTAAAGGTAGATCTATTTTTATATTCAAGGGATTTTGGTATTAAGCTATAAACATGAGAACATTAAGAATGCTTAAAGATTTAGACACCAGGATAAGTATAAAACCACTAATAGTTATTAAAAATTACTCACATTAGCAATGTCATTTTCAGTTGCACGAAAAGGCAACCCTCTCATATGTACGAAATGACCACCATGAAAACCTGAACTTGCATCACCAGCTCCACCATAGCCATGTCCTCCCATACCTGGAAAACACAATTTGCCAAGATTATAAACTATTACAGATACAAGTAGGGAAGTATACATACATACTATACAAGGTATAAAGCTCTATATAGGAATGCACTGAAATTTGTCTGAATTAACTTTATACAAGTTTCCTATATTACCACTAAGAGCTTGCAAAGCAAATACTAAAATTTACCTATGAATAAAAATGTCTTTAATATTTATTTTACCTCTTCCATCTCTCATTCTGTCATCAAAGCCATCATTCCCATAGCCGTAATTATTATAGCCACCATAGTCATCAAAACCTCCATAACCTGTGTAATTTAAGGAGAAACACATGACTACACACTTTCCAGAGATAAATTTTATAATTTAGTTTACAAAAACATTTTGTGGTAACAGTCTGTGTAACTTGATTGCAAGTTTGCAATTCCCAACTTAAAACCTATGAAAAAAGCAGTCAACGTGATGGAAATTTAAAATCTCAGAAAGTTAATTAAGTTCAGACATGTAAATTAAATTTCATCCTTAGGCAAAAAAAGGTCAAAATATGCCAACATCTTAATTTTAATTTCTGTGTAAGTTTTCTAGGTGCCAATATGTGCATCAGTCAAGTCCCACAGCTAGCCATGGGAATCCGTATTTTCATGAACAGGTTTTAAAACCTAATAGGTACTGAAATTACTGCCATTTCTGTATTTCTTGACAAAGTGTCAGGAACATTAAGAAAATGACAACAGAACCTTTGTTCATTAGATACACATACCACCATCATATCCATCACCTCCTCGTCGCATTCTGTCATACATACTTCCACGCCCAGCTCCATAATAACCCCCTCTTCCTCCTATTGGTCTATCATATGGTCCCGGTCGCTGTCCCAGCAATCTTCTTGGTGGATCATAAAATCCTTTGATTTCACTCCTGCTACTTCTGAAGATCTCAATATACCTATTTAAAAATGTTTTAAGGTACAGGTTTCAGCATAAATGTATTAGTGTAAATTAGATACTGGGCAAAATGCAGTAAGTTTTTCTATATCTAGATACATAACCCAATTTAAATTGCCTAAATACACCGTAAGTTAACAGTTTAAACCTACAAACTTAATTAAATATTTAAGTTTTACAAAGAAATTAGTCACGGAAAACAATTCATAAAGTATATTTTTACTTTGTCTCTTTTAGTACATAATAGGTGTTTTAAAGGAAATAGGTGATTATACAAAAGCATTTATCAACAACATCCTACAGAGAAATGGAAACAATCTAATTTTAATTTAACTATTAGCATTAATTCCCCACCCAAATCTGTAGTTTCCAAGTTAAATTTAGATAATTATCAATTCTTTTAAACTACCCCAGAAAAATGTTATGGCTACCCCCCCATTTAAGCAATAGTGACCCACAACCCCCAAAAATAAAAATTTAACACCATCCCAAACTCTCCATCCCCACCTGTGCCCTATTCTTTCCTTGTGTTTCCCCAGAGCATTTTCTGCTATCTCCTTTGAAGCAAACTGCACGAAGGCCTCCCCTGTGCTTCTCCCCTGGTAGTCCATCGTCAATGTTATCCCATTTGGCACGATTTCCAACCCTTTAACCCAAGGACAAATAACCCCATCAAGGGGAACAGTGTTAAAGGCTGAAACATTCCCATCTGAATCAAATATTTAAAACAAGTCTAAACAAAACAAAACAAAACAAAAAAGCTTAGTTTCCCATCACCCCATAATACAAATGAAAGATTTTTTCAAATATTACTGGATTAAATAAATTTTTTGCGACCAGTGTAAAAACACTGTGTAATTACACACTCTAAAAGCCCACCTATATTACATGAAAAAAGGCTACAAAATCAAATATATGCTCCATATACTAATTCACGGTTCATTTCATCACAATTCTCAAATATGTTACTGCACATTAACTAGGTTTTACATATTCTACACATTCTGTATTGAATATTAACTGGAGCATATTATTTTAATACATTAACCAAGACTATCATAGTTAAACTTAAAAGTTCCAAAATCAAATGGGTTTTACAAATTAAAAACAGTAAAACAATACAAATATAAAATTACAATACTACTAAACTTTGACTAATACTAGAGGTACCTTGAAAGAACTGAACTATTTCCTCTTTGCTGCAACCAAATGGTAGTCCACGAAGTCGTACTGTCCCATCACTAGCGTCATTTGGACCATTATGTTTCATAACCCAATCCATCTCAATACCGTTTGATTTAAATGCTATAAAAAATAAACAAGCACATAGAGCAGTCAATCAAAATATACTCTTGTCAAGAGGTAATGAAGAAACACCTCTCAGAGGTGCCACAAGAGGAAATGTAACATGGGGCCAACTGCTGTGACAATGCCACAACAAAATTGTAGACCACCTTTCATATTTTGGGGTACGGAAAAGGCAATGAGACCTGACCCCCTCCTACGGAAAAGTACTGAATTTCGTAGTATCAATATTATATATTGCCTAATTTTAAGAAAACTTGCATAATTCTACTACCAGAGTCTTCAAACTATTTGTGTCCCCTGAATGCCAACTCTAGCCTTTCCTTATCTCTCAAATTTTCATTCACCACTTTTCAGGTTTTTATTCAACTGATTATTCAAATTCTTTAAAACTTATTCAGAAGTTGCATATAATACCAGTATCCACTAACATCAAGAGCCTAAGTAAAAAAATGCAATGAGTACTGATTGACGTTGGACAAATATCACAGAAGTCTAACCCTTTTAAATGCACTACAATTTTGAACACATCAAACTGTCTTTGAAGGGCCAACACTCCCACCTCTATTTTAGCCAAATCTAGTTTAAACTCACCAAGAGCAAGATTATAAAATGACTGAATTAATCAGATTAAAACTGAGGTCAAAGGCCACTCAAAAGTGAATGCCTTCCAACAGTACCTGTGTTTTTGAAGCCACTGGAGACAGTGTTTAGAAACCAGTTTACTCAAATTTTTAATCAAATAGATTTAAACAAACTTTAATAGGTAATATACTTTTTAATAAAGCATAAAAGGTACATCTAGAAGCCCCCCTTCCCCTCCAAAATAACCTCAGTTCCCAGTTCCCTTCCCCAGAGGCAACCATCCTTCCTTTTAAAATTCCATAATATTTACAAAAGAGGTGAATGCAGAAGTCCTTCAGCTGCAGAAACTTACCAGAACCTTACAAATCTCACTATGCAGCTGTAGGAATCCTACTCACCTGAGTATTTCAAACCTTTCCCTCACCACCTCCTCCCCTGTAAACAAAGTTTGTTCATTTGATTCCTTTATGTTTGAAGATCATATTTCGTATCAACAGCATTCACTAATGCTTAATTTCATGTCATCTATTTGTTGGTGCATCTCTTAGGGGTGGCATCTGCAAAGGGTAAAATATTTTTCCCTAGAATTCATGCACTTAAAATAAGCTAATGTAGAAATTCTCTGGAAGTAGTTAAGTACCTCTAGTGTCAATCACCTTCAGCCCTAGGTGCCACTCTAGACATAGAAAACCAAAATGGGAATACAAACTTTTAACTGACATTACAACTACTTGTTATGCACACAAATAAATATTATGAATGTTCTGGGTCTGAATCCCTACTCTGCCACTCACTGGCTACCTGAACCACTTTACCTCTGAGCCTCTTCAATTGTAAACTATAGCAGTTGTACCTGTACCTCACTGGACTATTCAAGTGCTTGGTCTGCCTCATGGTAAGCATTTACTGATGGCAATTGTTACTGGACTTTAAGGGGCCCTGCAAAAGCCAGTGAGCTATACCATACACAAAATATGTGAACCCTGAAGGACAGAAAACAATTCAAGCCTTGAAAAGAACTGAGAATTATTAAAAATTTTATTTCCCAAAGCCAGCAAAGGCTTTTATAAGTTTAATACTATTCTAAAGAGTAGCTCTGAGAGGAGGCGGCCCCAATCCAGTTTGGGAAAAAAAAAAAGTTCAGAGATGTTTTGAAAATGCCTACCGTTTTATTTATTTTTTTTAAATAGCACCAACCTAAAAAACAAGTGTTTCCCATAAACGGTGATTTACACAGAACGGAAAAAGTGGTACAGATCTACCCTCACTGCTTCATGAAAAATTGAAGAACTCTGCAAATTCGACCTTAATCTGTTGTGAGAGGATCTTAGTGGTACGATTTGCATTTAAGGAGCAAATGCTTAAAAAAAAAAAAAAAGAAAAGAAAAAGAAAAATTAATTTACCCATAAATCTTAGCAATTCACAGGAAAAAATTACTAGCAAGCCAATTGGATTTTTGGATCAGTCTGTACCAATGATAAGACCCAATGAAAACAAAAAAAGTGTTATCAGTGTTATCTGTAAGAAACACTAAACTGTTAACACAATTTTTAATTGCGGAAAACCCAACCGAACTCGGAACACTTAATCTATTTTATAGGGTGACTGTGTATGCAAAGCACATACAATAAAAACAGCCTCACTCTACCAACCCCTTCAAAACTAAAAATCCTACCTACAAAACAAAAACAAGAAAAACTCTAAGGGCACAGGAAGAAGCAATCTGCTCTAATAAAGCTGTCAGAAACTACTTAAAACAGTTTACTAATTATTCAGGATAATCCACCTCAACCTTTCTTTGCAACAATGTCATGGCTAATCACTACTCTGCTTTAAGAATTCTAGGTGCTAGTACCAATAAAAGATACCACAGTTAAAATATGAGGATAGCTTTGGTCAAGTTTTATGAGACTTTAAGTATAATTTTCTAAACATTACACCAAGTGAAACAAGCCAGTCACAAAAGACTACATATTGCATGATTCCATTTCTATTCATGATTGTCTGAGGCTTGAGGGGAGGGAGGATGCCAGCAATGGGAATGACCAGTAAAGGGTATGGATATCTTTTTGGAGTGACAAAAATGTTCTAAAATTAAATTGTAGTGACGGTCACACAACGCTGTGAATGTACTAAAATCCACTAAACTGTACATTTAAAATTGGTGAAGTTTACGGTATGTGAATTATATACCAAAGTCGTTAAAGAAAAAAAATCCACTAAAGAACAAATGAAATAGAGAATCCTCTTAACACGGAGGCATAGCCTATCTTCTGAAGTAATACATAAAGGATTTTACATCAATAAATAACTTTCTAAATGGTAGCCCAGTGGTCAAGAAATGAGAATGAATTTTATTTTTTGGAAAAAGTGCTGATGATTTAAGTTTAACAGAAAATTTACATCATTCCTTCCCAATGGGCTTGCTCTTTACAAAAACAAAAAACTAGACACACCCCTAATAGCTTAAGGAGGTAAGGTCTCTAAAATGTTAGTTCACTAGAACCAGGTTTTTATCTACTGCAGTTCAGTCAGTTTACCAAAACAAGGAAATCAAAGATAACATTATTTTAAAAAGGCAATTAGATGGATTTCCAGATAACGGCACAAATGAAAAGAGGACAGAAAAAAGATGTGTAGTCCAATCCAATTAGTAAAGCTATTTGTTATATCATATATAACTTTACAGGACAGTCTGGACTATCTCTTCAAAGGGTCACTCAAACCTACTGTTTCAAGGTAAGATTTTCGTAAACTTTTCCTTGGCAATCTTGAGAAAGCATCACTGAACATCTTCAATAATAATAAGTTTTTGTTTTTAGAGCTGGAAAAGTAGGTAACAATATTCTTATAAAGTTTTACATGAATTATCAGAAATTCTTACTCTCAGGCCTTTCTCCTCCCTTTTGTACTGTCTTCAATGAAAATTACGGATCCAGTTCTCAGGACCCTCATCCGAATCACACCACCACCACGTGACTGGGTTTACAATTTGTTTTTATGTTTAGTAGGCTTATTCCCTTGTTTAAAATACGATTACAGTGTACTATACTCCTACACTAAAGAAAAAACATGCCTAGCTACCAAAAGAAAATAAACCATAACCGTATTTTGAAGTATTTTACTTCTAGAGCCTTAATGCCATCGGAAAAAAAAACTGCACAAAATACAACTCTTGGAAGATTTAACATCGAAAGCTCAATTTCAATACACACACATCTACCATCACTGGGTTGTTTTAACTGTTTCCCAAAAGTAAAACTTAAAAACAAATTCTAACATATATACGCCAAACTACGCAAAACAATTGCTACATCACCCACCCCCACCCCGAAAGTTCAAAAAGCAACAATTATAGTTCACTGGGCCCAGACGACCTACTTGAAACATGCCCATTTCACATTCCTATTTGATAAATCACCCACTTTTCTGCTCACAAAATCATCCCCGAAGTCCTTATTAACGTTTAAACATGAAAAAAAAAAAACCCTTTGGAAAATCAGTACGTACTCTTTTCGAAGTTCCAAATCTGGAATATAAGGGCCGGCTAAGCGTCCTTTATTCCTCCCAGGAGACTTTCCGTTTATCTAGCTGCCCTAGAGACCAGAAAGCTAGGGAGAGTACGCCCCTTCCCCCTCCCGTCAGCAGCCAAGCCTGGCTTAAAACCCTTCGCCACCGGGCGGCAGAATTACAAAGGAGGCCGTCTGCCTCCTTTGTCCTGGATTTGGGAGTTGAGCACCTTCGTCGCCATTGGCTTTCCTCCCCCAGCTCCAGCCTCTCTCATCTTGGGAATCTGCGTCAGAAGTCACTCGCAGTCCCGTCAGCCCAGGTAGCCCTGCCGAGACTGCGGAGGAAGGGAGGCCGCGGTGGGAGGCCAGGCCCATCCGGCGCCATTTCCATCGGGAGCGCGCCCGGCAAACCCGATCCTCCCTCCACCCAACTGCCCGGCCTTTCCCTGCTCGCTTCACTACCCACCCTCATCCCTTCCAGGGAGCTTTGACCACCCCCTCCCCTGGCCTTCTAGATCAGTTTTCGGAAGCTGGGGAACAAAAAAGTAAAAAGAGCGGGGAAGGGCGGGAAGCCGAGGTGGCCGCGCCACTGTACCCAAAATGGCGGAGGCCAAGCCAGCAGGGAAAGGGGAAAATGCTGGATGTCCCCTACTTCGGGCCTCGGCGTCGTCCACTGAATTCCACCTGAGCAAGTCCTCCCATCGGCAAGCCGCCCTCCCTGAAGTGGGAGATGGTCGGGGAGGCGCAGCCCCGCCGCTTCCAAGCGGCGGCCTCCGAGCGGCGACCACCCCACTACCCCCCAACCCAGCCCCTCCCGGCCTTTCGTCCTTCTCCCGACTCCGCTCTCGAAACCACCAGCCCAACCTACCCCCTTTTACTTCAGATACCCTGTCAGGCGATAGTTACGCCGACTCTGGTGCTCGCGGGGTCCAGTTCAAAGAAGGGAGAAGTCGTTTGCCTCGTGTAGCGCTCGCCACAACGGTTCTCCCAACCGTCTCCAGCGGTGACAACCGCTTAGGGAGCTGCGCAGCACAGCTACTGGCTTGGGGGGATGGGAGGGAACGAGCAAGAAGTGGGGGGCGGAGCGAGAACTGCGAAGGCGGCCGGCCCCACTCTCGCGAGACGGGAAAGTCGGTTTCGCATGGCGCTGGCGGCACGCAGCGCGCCTGCGCGGTGGTGGGTTGCGCAGCTGTTGGGGGCGAGGTAGACCGAGCAGAGGCTGTTCCAGTTAAAGAGCTGCAGCGCGCACCGTTTTTCTTGCTTACGTTAGAACCATCCAGTTTTCAGAGCGTACCATTCTGCCGCCTCGGGGCGATGGCAATGGCAGTTCTGCCAGTGTGTAGAAGGAACCGTGCCGTAGCGCTCTGGAGAAGTTCTCCGGTGATCTGCCCCCACCGTGAACAAATTCTGTGAGGGCCCCGCCCTGGCTAGGCATCGACGGCGCGGAAAGGGCCCCACGTGGTTCGACCGGCAAACGCGGGGCGGATTTTCTGGTCCACCATGTTTGCATTGTGCGGTGAAAAATAGGAGTGTTTCTGGGCCGCGAAGATGAAAGCGTCCACTGGGGCCGATTTCGGCTCTCGGGCTGGGTGTCCGCCTCCTTCCCCTGGCCCAGAGTTGCTGGCCGCCCGCCAGCGCGCTTCGTCCCAATGTGCCGCGCGGGATCCGGGTTTCTTGGGTGTATTCATGTCCACCACGTTACCGTTCTCTCTGCAAATCCTTCCTCTTTTTCTCCTCTGGCCTTCGCGTTTTCATCTCTCCCGCCGTCAGTGCCTCGGAGACTGATTAGCCTGTGGAGGCCGACGTTGGGTTTTTTTTATAGTTTTGCGTTGTTGAAAATTGCGCTTCCAAGTGACACCTAATAAATAAGTACATTTTGGTTTTGCTGTCATGTCACCAAGGTTCCTAATGACACATTATGGCTTTTTTTTTAAGTTCCAAAAAAGGCTGGCCGCGGTGGCTTACGCCTTTGAGAGGCCGAGGGGGAGGATCGCTTGAGCGTAAGAGTTGGAGACCAGCCTGGGCAACATAGTGAGGTGCTGTCTCTACAAAAAATACAAAGATTAGCTGGGCGTGATGGCAGCGCACGGGAGTAGATGGGACTCCCGAGTAGTCCCAGCTACACAGGAGGCTGGGCAAAAGGATGGCTTGTGCCCTGGAAGTTGAGGCTGCAGTGAGCCGTGATTGCGCCAGTGCACTCCAGTCTGGGAGACCGAGGGAGACTCTTGTCTCAAACACAAAGAAAAACCCCGAATTTCTGCGCAGAGGGTTAAGGGGAAGCCTGGTAAAGAGATCAGTGCAAGTTCATCCTGGCTAACACGGTGAAACCCTGTCTCTACTAAAAATACACACACACACACACACACACACACACACACACACACACACACACACGCCGGGCGTGGTGGCGGGCCCCTGTAGTCTCAGCTACTCAGGAGGCTGAGGCAGGAGAATGGCGTGGACCCGGGAGGCAGAGCTTGCATTGAGCCCAGATCGCGCCACCGCACTCCAGCCTGGGCGACAGAGCGAGACTCCGTCCCACCTCCCTTTCCCCCCCAAAAAAATCAGTGCAAGTTCAAGTACAAAGGTAGGAACATACGTGGGGTGTCAGGAAGATGGGGTAATGTTAGAAATGTGGATGAAGCTAGATTGTAGACAATCTTCAATGTCCGGCCAAAAGACTTTCAACTTTGTGGTACAGACATTGGGAAGCCTGTTGGGGGTAGGGTGAGAGGTGTTAGCAACGTAGGAGGATGTATAATTTTTTCTCCCATGAGATCTGCAGTGTGTAGGATGGAGACAGGTAAGTTTCCATTACCTTCATTTAATGGAAACTTCATTTCAAAGCTTTAATTCATCCTCAAACCTGCTTAAGACGAGTGTGGGGCAGTAAGAATTCCCTAAGTCATGATGCTCACATACCCCCAATGGCCCACTCCCTAAAAATACTCAGTGGAAGGAAGAAAGGACAGTGTTATCATCATTAAAAGAGATGGAAAACCAAACAAGGATGCTGTAGTAACAATGGCTCATATTTATTTTTCAGGGTTGTAAAGAGCAAATGGAGTACAGTGTGTAGCATAAGCTACACACTGTACTCTTACAACCCTGAAAAATAAGTATCTTCATTTTACAGATGAAGTGCCTAAGTCCTAGAGAAGTGAAAATAGTTGCCCAAGGTCACACAGTTGAGTGGTAGAGCTAGAATTGGAGCCCATAGGGTTTTACCCAAGGGCCAGGGTCTTAAAACACTATGAACCTTCGTGAGGTTACAAATAACTTATCTATAACTTAAGGAAACAGACATCATTTTTGGAAAATTGAGGTTATGTTGCCTAATTAACACTGGAGTTACCATTTCAGGAGACCTGTGGTTACTAGCTTATTGGCTGGAGACTTTTTGAACAGGCCTGAAACTTTATAGTCCCATTATCACTGACACTGTGAGTCCCAAGACACTGTGAGTCCCAACCCCTCTCCCTCCTTTTAAAAAAAAAATTGCTGTATTAATAAGACTCTAAGCTCCCACAATTCTGATGGAGTTCTTCCCTTGGTCCTCCTGGGTTCAAGTTACATGGCTACTTCTATCCTTTCAGTCTTTCAACCGATTTGGCAGATGGAATTCTGTAATCTCCTTCACTCCTTGCTTGAATTCAAACAATTTGTTTTACTGCCTAATTGAATTTGGCATTCCTTCCGCATATTTTGTGTGGTTATGGGCCACAATCTTAAAATCATTCTAATGACATGACTGACTTTTCACTACCAAACTGCTGCTTGCTTGCTTGCTTGCTTGCCATAATTTCTTTGGGTCAGGCACTCTGCCAGTGTGCATACTCAGGAAGGACTTGAAATTGGTTTACACATTCCTTTTGCCTTTTTATTATTACAGTAGGAAGTTTTGAGTTAAAAAATACACTATATAGGCTGGGTATGGTGGCTCACGCCTGTAATCCCAGCGTTTTGGGAGGCCGAGGCAGGTGGATCACGTGAGGTCAGGAGTTTGAGACCAACCTGGCCAACATAGGGAAACTCTGTCTCTGCTAAAACTATAAAAATTAGCTGGGCGTGGTGGCACATGCCTGTAATCTCAGTCACTTGGGAGGCTGAGGCACAAGAATTGCTTGAACCTGGTGGGGCAGAGGTTGCAGTGAGCCGAGATCGTGCCACTGCACTCCAGCCTGGGTGACAGAACGAGACTCCGTCTCAAAACAAACAAACAAACAAACAAAACCGCTACATAGTCATAAATGTACATTTTATTTGGCTTCCTATTTTACTACCTTTCTTAAAAAAAAAAAAAGTCTTGTCAACGATTCTCATTTGCAAGTTGAATCCTGTAAATAAGGCTTGGTGAGACTGGCTCACCACTGCTCCAGTGATCCCTACAGAATTGTTTCCAGACCTATCTGTGTGGAATTGTTTCCATAGAGATGGTTAAAACCAAGGACTGCCAGCTGCTTTTGGGACTTTTTTTTCTCTTTGTCTTCCTTTTCATCATTCCAGTGCTTTCCTATTAGCATAGAGATCAGAGGGACCCTGGAGAGGATCTTGTTAGAGACCATAATGAGAGAAAAGATGAAAAAGGAGAAGGAAATAGAAGTACCCATGTGACCCAGAGGAAAACAAGACAACAAACACGTGATCATGTATTACACCATCAGGATGAAGAGGAGAGGAAAATTCCGTGCAGAGCCTGAGAGAAAAAAAGAAATTGAAAGAGATTACACTCTTCGGGGGGAGGGAAGGCACATTAACGAAAAATTGGTTAAGATATTTGTTCACATATCCCCAGTGGCATTGTGAAGTACCATAAAAACTGGATTATCATAATCTTTTGCCTATGTAAAAAGCAAATAATCTAAAAAATGTAACAAAATCCACTAAATTTCATCTAATTAAGGTAGTTAATGCCTTTTAAACACTAAATTTGTGTAAGACTGTGAAATGCTTATTCTTTGGTTTATATCCTATGTATCTTGTCTTTAGAAAGCACTAATCTCCTTTATTATGGTTCAACATTGTTTCTCAAGACAAGACTGAATTACACAGTTTATATTCTTGATACTTTTTTGTTTCTCTAAGTCACCTAAGTGTTCTTTGTGAATCTGGCAACCAAAAGGCCTGTTCAATCTTAATAATTATACTAAGTAAACAAATGAAAACTCAAAAGGAAGAAAGCACCTAAACATATTCTTTCTCTAATTTTTGAAAATAATTAAAATAATTGAACATTCTTTTTGTTCCAGTGAATTGCTGTGAAGGCTAGGGAAAGCAGCTTAAAAAGATAGCTACTTAAATAATTTAAATGAAATTATTGTACTGCTTTTAGTGTGTCATAAGCACATTAATAACTTTGAAAATACAGCATTGATAATACAGTAATAGACCATTTCCCCCAACGTGATTTTTTTTTTTTTTTTTTTTTTTGAGGTGGAGTCTTGCTTTGTCGCCCAGGCTGGAGTGCAGTGGCATGATCTCTGTTCCCTGCAACCTCTGGCTCCTGGGTTCAAGCGATTCTCCTGCCTCAGCCTCCTGAGTGGGATTACAGGCATGCATGACCACGCCCAGCTAATTTTTGTATTTTTAGTAGAGACGGGGTTTCACCATGTTGATCAGGCTGGTCTTGAACTCCTGACCTCATGATCCACCTGCCTCAGCCTTCCAAAATGCTGGGATTACAGGCGTGAGCCACAGCGCCCAGCCCCACCCAGATTTTAAGCTTCTTGGTGGTAGATAAAAATATAGATCTCATTATTCATATACCTATGTTTTTAAGTCTGCAAAAAATAACGATGGTCACACTGGGGGCAGGGACACTTTAAGTCATTCATTTTCACTGCAGTCTTGCAAAGTTACTGTTTCATGGACCAAGAAATGAAAAAGCCAGTAGATAAAGTAGTGTTTCAAAGTTTACCAAAAAAGTAAATGGCAAAACTTAGACTTGACTTCATAATCAGGGAGTCCCAGTTCTGACACCAGCTACCAGTGAATTGATTCTGAACCAGTTAACTTTTCTGAACCCCAGTTTTTTTTTTATTGTTGTTGTTGTTGTTTTGTAGTGGAGTCTCGCTCTGTCGCCAGACTGGAGTGCAGTGGCGCGATCTCAGCTCACTGCAACCCTTGACTCCCTGGTTCAAGCAATTCTCTTGCCTCAGCCTCCCGAGTAGCTGGAATTACAGGCATGTGCCACCACACCCAGCTAATTTTTGTGTTTTTGGTAGAGATGGGGTTTCACCATGTTGGCCAGGATGGTCTCAATCTCCTGGTCTCATGATCCACTGGCCTCGGCCTCCCAAAGTGCTGAGATTACAGGCGTGAGCCACTGTGCATGGCCACCTCAGTTTCTTAATCTCTAAAATGGTTTGTTAGGTTATTATATAGGGGGTGGAGATTAGTAATTGAAATAATGTTAATTCTAGTTCCATGCTGTTTTATTTATTTGTGTTTGTCCTAGCATTGTTAATGAATCTGGTTCATTCCTGCTAAACTCATTTAATAGCAGTGAATTTAATAGAATTTTTAAAGTAAGTACAGTATCCTAAGAGCTACATTGGGAGCCAGGACATTATTCCAGTGAAATCTGTAACTCATATGAACTATTCTGTGGGCAGAATAAATAATATTTCCGATGTAATGTGCTGCTGATTTTCCAATATAGGCAGATGCAGCTGTTATTAATAAATGGAAATTGATTTGAGAGCATTACTGAATTCCTAGTAGGTCAGTATATGTTTCCATCCATCCATAAAAAATACAAGTACAGCTTGGCACAGTGGCTCATGCCTGTAATCCCAGCACTCTAGTAGGCCGAAGCTGGCGGATCACTTGAGATCAGGAGTTCAAGATCAGCCTGGGCAACATGGTGAGACCACGTCTCTACTAAAAATACAAAAATAATTAACCGGGCATGATACTGCATGCCTGTAATCCCAGCTACTCAGGAGGCGGAGGTTGCAATGAGCCGAAATTGCGCCACTGTGCTCCAACCTCGGCAACAGAGTAAGACTCCATCTCAAAAAACAAAAACAAAACAAAACAGAAAAATCAAGTACATTCTATAATGTTGGATGAGCTAAAAAAAAAATGCACGTACATAAAGTGAACCTGTCCCTGACTTTCAAGAGCATACAGATACATTCCATTACATAGATAAATTACATTAAACTGTAGCAAGTGACAAAATAGGGTAAGCACAGAGTGTTTGGGGAGCACAGAATCTGGCCATTCACACAGTCTAGGGCTTCAGAGAAAGCTTTCTGAAGGAGACAACTCATGAGTTAAGTGTTGGAGGATAAGTAAAATTTAGTGGGGCAATGAAAAATAGGAAAAGCATTTACAGTTGAGGACGCAGTAAGATCCAAGGCATGGATGTACAAAATAACGGCAGAAGTGGAAACTCTAAGCAGGTGAAACATTGTAAAATAAGGAAGTAGGTAGGAACCAGATCTTGGAGAAGTTTGTGTGCTACCCTATGGAGCTTGGCTTTTAAGATTGATGATCAATGTAGTGCTTTTTGGGTTTTTTTGTATTGTTTTTGAGATGCAGTCTCACTGTGTTTCCCAGGCTTGAGGGCAGTGGCGTGATCTCAGCTCATTGCAATCTTTGCCTCCCAGGTTCAGGTGATTCTCCTGCCTTAGCCTCCTGAGTAGCTGGGACTACAGGCATACACCACCACGCCTGGCTAATTTTTGTATTTTTAGGTAGACACGGGGTTTCACCATGTTGGCCAGGCTGGTCTCAAACTCCTCACCTCAAGTGATCCACCTCTCTTGGCCACACAAAGTGCTGGGATTACAGGCATGAGCCGCCATTCCCGGCCAATGTAGTGGGTTTTTGTTTTGTTTTGTTGTTTTCCCTGAGACGGAGTCTTGTTTTGTCACCCAGTCTGGAGTGCAGTGGCACAGTCTCAGCTCACTGCAACTTCCGCCTCCCGGGTTCAAGCAATTCTCCTGCCTCAGCCTCCCGAGTCGCTGGGATTACAGGTGCCTGCCACCGCACCTGGCTACTTTTTGTATTTTCAGTAGAAACAGGGTTTCACCATGTTGGCCAGGCTGGTCTTGAACTCCTGACCTCGTGATCTGCCTGTCTCGGCCTCCCAAAGTTCTGGGATTACAGGTGTGAGCAACTGCACCTAGCCCAGATGTAGTGTTTTAATTAGATAGTTCTGATTAAAGTGTGGAGAGTTGGCTGGGCATGATGGCTCACGCCTGTAATCCCAGCACTTTGGGAGGCCAAGGCATGTGGATCATTTGAGGTCAGGAGTTCAAGACCAGCCTGGCCAACATGGTGAGACCCTGTCTGTACTAAAAATACAAAAATTAGCCGGGCAATAGTGGCACATGCCTGTAATCTCAGCTACTTGGGAGGCTGAGGCAGGAGAATCGTTTGAGCCTGTGAGGCAGAGGTTGTGGTGAGCTGAGATTGTGCCACTGCACTCCAGTCTGGGCGAGTGACACCCTGTCTCTAAATAAATAAATAAATAAATAAATAAATAAAGTGTGGAGGGTAGATATTGGGAGGGTAAGAAGAGAGAAGACTAGGAGAAGGACCAGTAGAGATGATGAATACTTAAACTAGAGCAATGGTATTAGGGATAGATACAGGAGGCTCTCTTTAAGAAATATTTGGCTGGGCACAGTGGCTCACACCTGTAATCTCAGCACTTTGGGAGGCCAAGGTGGGCAGATCATGAGGTCAAGAGATCGAGACCATCCTGGCCAACATGGTGAAACCTCATCTCTACAAAAAATACAAAAATTAGCTGGGCATGGTGGCGCGCACCTGTAGTCCCAGCTACTTGAGAGGCTGAGGCAGGAGAATCGCTTGAACCCAGGAGGCAGAGGTTGCAGTGAGCCCAGATCGTGCCACTGCACTCCAGCCTGGCAACAGAGCGAGGCATGGTGGCGCACACCTGTGGTCCCAGCTCTATCTCAAAAAAAAAAAAGAAAATTAGGAGCTATTTATCAGCAGGGTTTAGTGCTTGAGTAGAAAGGCTGTGCATGGGTGAGTGAAAAGAAGTCAAGGATGAATTATTTTTGGCTTAGGGTTGGATGCTGAGAATTTTAACTGACATAGGAAATACAGGAATATCGGGTGTGTTGATTTTGAGATGCCATGTACTGTCCGAGTGAATGTGTCTAGTAGGAAATTAATCTGGATAGGAATGTAGATTTGGCATTCATTGACATATATTTTGCTTTTATACTTCAAAATAAGTTTTTTGGGATGGCCTCAGGCTAAGTAAATTTGCTGTGGAATCTGTTGTAAAAACTAGAATGAGAATTTATTATTTACAGTGAAGAATATAACTATCAAACAAATGGAATGCAAATTATCCCAGTGTTTTTGTGGGGGATACTTCTGAATATTCTACATAAAAGGAAGTATACTCTATTAGTTATTATTGCTGTGTAACAAATTGCTCCAAAACTTAACAGCTTAAAACAACAAACTTTTATTATTTCATAATTTCTGTGGATCAGAAATCTTGGGGCAGCTTAGCTGGATGCTTCTAGCCCAGGATCTCTTTTTCTTCTTTTTTGAGATGGAATCTCACTCTGTCCCTCAGGCTGGAGTGCAGTGGTGTGCTCAGCTCACTGCAACCTCTGCCTCATGGGTTCAAGCTGTTCTCCAGCCTCAGCCTCCTGAGTAGCTGGGATTACAGGTATGCTCCACGAAGCCTGGCTAATTTTTGTATTTTTAGTAGAGACGGGTTTTCCCAATGTTGGCCCACCTGGTCTTGAACCCCTGACTTCATGTGATCCACCCACTTTGGCCTCCCAAAGTGCTGGGATTACAGGCGTGAGCCACCATGCCCAGCCTAGGGTCTCTTATAAGGGTATAATTAAAATGTCAGCTGGAGCTTCAGTTATCTCAAGGGTCAACTAGGGTAGGATCTGCTTAAAAGCTCACTCCCATGGCTATTGGCAGGCCTCAGATCATTAAAAAAAATAAAATTTTAGATTTTTGAATAGTTGTAGATTTATAGAAAAGTTGCAAAGATATTACATAGAATTCCTATATATGGCTCACTCAGTTTCCTCTGTTAACATCTTATATTTGGCTGGCACAGTGGCTCACACCTGTAATCCCAGCACTTTGGGAGGCCAAAGAAGGAGGATTGCTTGAGACCAGGAGTTTGAGACCAGACTGAGCAACATAGTGAGATCTCATTTCTGCTAACAAATTTTTTTTTTAAGTTAGCCAGATGTGGTGGTGTGTGCCTGTAGTCCCAGTTAATGGAGAGGCTCACTTGAGCCTCTCAAGGTTGCAGTGAGCTATGATTGTACCGCTGCACTCCAGCCTGGATAACAGAGTGAGGCCCTGTCTCAAAAACAAAAAACAAAACAAAACAAATCTTACATTGATGGTAGCATCCATGCTACATTTGTCACAAGTTATGAAATTACATTGGTCCATTACTTTTTTTTTTTTTTTGAGACAGGGTCTCGCTGTGTCACCCAGGCTGGAGTGCAGTGGTACAATCATGGCTTATTGCAGCCTCGATCTCCTAGGCTCAAGCAATCCTCCTGCCTTAGCCTCCCAACTAGCTGGGACTACAGGTGTGTGCCACCATGCCTGTTTTTTTTTTTTTTAATTTTTTGTCGAGATGAGATCTCTCTATGTTGCCTAGCCTGGTCTTGAATTCCTGGGCTCCAGTGATCCTTCTACCTCGGCCTCCCAAAGTGCTAGGATTACAGTTGTGAGCCACCGTGCCTAGCTCTGGTCCATTACTATTAATTAAACTCCAAATTTTATGTACGGCTCAGTAGTTTTCCCCTAATGTCCTTTTTCTGTTCCAGGATCCCATCCAGGATACCACATTACATTAGTCATCATGTCTCCTTAGCATCTGCTGGTCAGGTATTTTGTGGAATATCCTTCAACTGGGTTTTTTTCTGATGTTTTTCTCAGGATTAGACAGGGGTTATGGGTTCTTGGGAGGAAAACCACAGAGGTAAAGTGCCATCCTCTTCACATGGTAATAACATGACTCTTTACCTTGATCACCTGGCTGAGGTAGTGTTTGCTAGGTTTCTCCACTGTAAAGTTACTCTTTACTGTCTTTCCATGCTCTGTTCTTTGGAAGCAAGTTACTGAGAGCAGCCCATACTCAGGGTCCTGGGGAAGTTAAGCTCCATCTCCTGGAAAGGAGATTAGGTAGTTAGCTAGATAAGCTATTTGGAATTCTGTAAGGAAGTTTGTCTCTTCTCCTCCATTTATTTATGTAGTCTTTTATTTATGTAAGTATGGGTTATGGATATTAATTTTATCTTTGGGTTATAATCCAATACCGTGTTGCTTCTTTTGTTACTCAAATTGTTCTTGCTTCAGCCATTGGGAGCTCTTCCAGGTTGACTCCTGTATTCCTTTTTATTTATTTTTTTGAGTACTGGTTTACTTTGTAGTACTAGAAGAGATTCCAGCCTCACCTGGTCTTTTCCCTGCACTTATGCTAGAATCAGTCATGTCTCCAGGAAGCTCCAGGTCTTTTTACTACTAGAGAATGTTGTTTAATTTCCACATTTTTTTGAATTTCCCAAATTTCCTTTCCTATCTGTTATGTAATTTCATTCTATTGTGGTTGAAGGACATGCTTTTTATTATTTCAGTCCTTTACATTTATTGAGACTTCTTTAATGGGCTAACAAATGGCCTACTCTGGAGAATGTTTCATGTGCTCTTGAGGAGAATGTGTTGTCTGCTGTTGTTGTGGAGTGTTCTGTAGGCGTCTGTTGGGTCTAGTTGGTTTATAGTGTTACTCAAGTCTTCTGTTTCCTTGATGATCTTCTGTCTAGCTGTTTCATCCACTGTTGAAAGTAGGCATTGAAATCTCCAGCTACAGTCAGTTCTCCATACCTGTAGGTCCTGTATCTGTGAACTCAATCAACCATTGATCAAAAATATTAAAAGAAGAAAGAAAGAAAATAAAAAGAGAAAAGAAAAGAAAAAAACCCTAAAAATATTAAAAGGGGTCGGGGCTAGGGGTGGTGGCTCATGCCTGTAATCCCAGCACTTTGGGAGGCCGAGGTGGGTGGATCACCTGAGGTCAGGAGTTCCAGACCAGTCTGGCCAATGTGGTGAAACTCCATCTCTGCTAAAAGTACAAAAGTTAGCTGGGCGTGGTGGTGCGCACCTGTAGTCCCAGCTACTTGGGAGGCTGAGGCAGGAGAATTGCTCAAACATGGGAGGCAGAGGTTGCTTGTAGTGAGCTGAGATCGTGCCATTGCACTCCAGCCTGGGCAACAGAGCGAGACTCTGTCTCAAAAAAAAAAAAAAGGGGGTTGAGCACAATGGCTCATGCCTATAATCCTAGCAGTTTGGGAGGCCTAGGTGGGCAGATTGCTTGAGGCCCAGGAGGTTCAGACCAGCCTGGGCAACATAGTGAAACCCCATCTCCATTAAAAAAAAATTAAAATAAAAAAATTAAAAGAAAGAGAGAAATACAACAATAAAAATTACAAATAAAAAAGCAATATATTGTTACAAGTTTTGACATAGCATTTACATCATATTAGGTATTATAAGAGTCTAGAGATGATTTAAGTATATGGGAGGATGTGCATAGGTTATATGCAAATACACACCATTTTATATAATGGACTTGAGCATCTTTGGATTTTGATATCCACAGGGACTCCTGGAACCAGTGCCTTGTGGATACCAAGGGATCACTGTATTGTTGTTGAATTGCCTGTTTCTCCTTTTAATTCTATCAGTTTTTGCATCATGTATTTTGGGGCTCTGTTGTTAGGTGTGTATATGTTTATAATTGTCTTATCTTCCTGATGGATTCTTCCATTTATTGTTATAAAATGTCCTTCTTTGTTTCTACTAACAACTTTTGTCTTAAAGTCAATTTTGTCTGATATTAGTATAGCTGCTCCAGCTCTCTTTTGGTTACTTTTTTCATGGCATATCTTTTTTCCACTCTTTTATTTTCACCTATTTGTGTCTTTGAATCTAAAGTTTGTCTCTTAGGCGGGCGAGTGGCTCACGCGTGTAATCCCAGCACTTTGGGAGGCCGAGACGGGCAGATCACCTGAGGTCGGTAGTTTGAGACCAGCCTGACCAACATGGAGAAACCTCTTCTCTACTAAAAATACAAAATTAGCCGGGCGTGATGGCACATGCCTGTAATCCCAGCTACTTGAGAGGCTGAGGCAGGAGAATCGCTTGAACCTGGGAGGCGGAGGTTGCCGTGAGCCGAGATTGCACCATTGCACTCCAGCCTGGGCAACAAGAGCGAAACTCCATCTCAAAAAAAAAATAAATAAATAAAAATAAATAAATAAATAAAAAATAAAAATTAAAAAGTTTGTCTCTTATAGAAAGCATTTAGTCAGTTTTTTGTTTTGTTTTATCTTTTTCTTTGTTTTTGAGATGGAGTCTTTGTCTGTCGCCCTGGCCGGAGTGCAGTGTTGTGATCCCAGCTCACTGCAACCTCCGCCTCCCAGGTTCAAGTGATTCTCCTGCCTCAGCCTCCTGAGTAGCTGGGCTTACTGGCACACACCACCACACCTGGCTAATTTTTGTATTTTTAGTAGATGCCACCACACCTGGCTAATTTTTGTATTTTTAGTAGAGACGGGGTTTCACCATGTTGGCCAGGCTGATCTTGAACTTTTGGCCTCAAGCAATCCACCTGTCTTGGCCTCCCAAAGTGCTGGGATTACAGGCCTGAGTCACTATGCCCAGCAAGTTAGATTACTTTTTGAAGTCCATTCTACCGATCTTTGCCCTTTGTTTGGAGAGTTTAAGCACTTAAATGTAATTACTGATAAGGTAGAGTTCATGACTGCTATTTTGATATTTGTTTTCTACATGTCTCATGTCTTTGTTGTTCCTTTTACTCCTGCATTACTGCCTTCTTTTATGGTAACTTGATATTTTCATCCTTTTTTTTTTTCACTCTCCATCAGTGGAGTCCCAACTAGATATTTTCTTGTGTTCCATTGCTATTTCTCCTTCTCTCTTTCTTTCTTTTTCCTTTCTTTCTTTCTTTCTTTCTTTCTTTCTTTCTTTCTTTCTTTCTTTCTTTCTTTCTCTCTCTTTCTTTCTTTCTTTCCTTCTCTCTCCCTCTCTCTTTCTTTCTTTCTCTCTTTCTTTCCTAACTTCCTTCCTTCTTGCCTGCCTGCCTTTCTTCTTTCCTCTTTCTTTCTTCTTCTTTGAGACAAAGTCTCACTCTGTTGCTGAGGCTGGAGTACAGTGGTGTGATCATACCTCACTGCAGCTGTGAACTTCTGGACTCAAGCTGTTCTCTTGCCTCATCCTCCCAAAGTGCTGGGATTATAGACGTGAGCCACTGCACCCAACTCACTTCATTTTCTATATATTTTGAGTCATTTTCTAATGGTTGCCTGGAGAATCATACTTAACATTTAAGTTTATAACAATCTAGTTTAGATTAACAGAAACTTAATTTTAATAGTATAAAAAAACTGCACTTATATAGCTCCATTCCCACCTCACCTGTTTGTGACTTTCTTGCCATTCAAATATATCTTTTTACATTTTATGGGCATCAATATAGATTTATGACTATTGCTTTATGCAGTTGTCTTTTTTTTTTTTTTAAAAGAGACAGGATCTCTGTTACCAAGGCTACAGTGCAGTGGCATGATCATATCTCACTGCAGCCTCCAACTCCTGAGCTCAAGGGAACCTCCAGCCTCAGCCTTTCATGCCACCATCCCTGGCTTTTTTTTTTTTTTTTTTTTTTTTTAATAGAGGCAGGGTCTTGCTGTGTTACCCAGACTGGTTTTGAACTCCTGGCCTCAAGCAGTTCTCTCACCTTCCTCCCAAAGGGCTGGGATTATGGGCACTAGCCACCTTGTCTGGTCTACTGGTGCTGTTTATTTATTTATTTATTTAGAGACAGAGTCTCACACTGTTGCCCAGGCTGGAGTGCAGTGGCTTGATCTCGGCTCACTGCAAACTCCGCCTCCCAGGTTCTCACCATTCTCCTGGCTCAGCCTCCCAAGTAGCTGGGACTACAAGTGCCTGCCACCACGCCTGGCTAATTTTTTGTATTTTCAGTAGAGACGGGGTTTCCCTGTGTTATCCAGGATGGTCTCGATCTCCTGACCTCGTGATCTGCCCACCTTGGCCACCCAAAGTGCTGGGATTACAGGCGTGAGCCACCGTGCCCGGCCTTACTTTATTTTTTTATTGTGGTAAAAATCACATAACATTATATTTACCCTCTTAACCATTTTGAAGTTAAGCTCAATAGTAATAAGTATATTCATATCATTGTGCAACAAATCTCTACATTTTTTTTGTTTGTTTGTTTTTTATGGGACAGTGTCTTATTCTGTCACTGCCCAGGCTGGAGTGCAGTGGTGTGATCTCGGCTCACTGCAACCCCTGCCTCCTGGGCTCAACCGATTCTCGTGCCTCAACCTCTTGAGTAGCTGGGATTACAGGCACATGACCATGCCCACCTAATTTTTGTAATTTTTTTTGGTAGAGACAGGGTTTCACCATGTTGCCCAGGCTCGTCTCAAACTCCTGACCTCAGGGGATGCCCTCCTTGGCCTCCCAAAGTGCTGGGATTTCAGGTGTGAGCCACCACACCTGGCATTTTCTGTTCTTTTGATAGTGGCCATCCTGAAAGGTGTGAGATGATGTCTCATTGTGGTTTGGATTTGCATTTCCCTAATGATTAGTGATTTTGAGTACCCATTCATGTGCTTATTGGCCATTTGTATGTTTGTTGCTCTTTGTTTTTTTATGTTGATTTGAGTTACTGTCTAGTGTCCTTTCATCTTAGCCTGAAGGACTCCCACTAATACTTCCTCCAGAAAAGGAATACTAGCAACAAATTCTAGCAACAAGTTTTTGTTTATCTGGAAGTATCTTAATTTTACCTTTGCTTTGAGTGATAGTTTTGCTAGACATAGAATTCTTGGTTGACAGTTGTTCTTTTGGTCTATATTCTTGCTTTGAGTATATCATTTTACTGCCTTCTGGCATCCATAGTTTCTACTGATAAACCAGCTGTTAATCTTATTGAAGGTCCATTTTACATGATGAGTTATGTCTCTCTTGCTGGTTTCAAGATTCTGTTGTTTTCTCTTTTTTTTGAGATGGAGTCTTACTCTGTAGCTCAAGCTGGAGTGCAGTGGCATGATCTCAGCTCACTGCAACCTCCATCTCCGGGTCTCAAGCGATTCCTGTGCCTCAGCCTCCCGAGTTGCTGGGACTACATTCGCACGCCACTATGCCTGGCTAATTTTTTGTATTTTAGTAGAGACAGGGTTTCACTGTGTTGCCCAGGGTGGTCTCGAACTCCTGAGCTCAGGCAATCTGCCCTCCTCAGCCTCCCAAAGTGCTGGGATTACAGGCATGAGCCACTGTACCCCACCAATTCAGTCATTTTCTTTCTGCAGTTAGATTATTGTGTGTCTAGGTGTTTGTCTCTTTGAGTTAATTCTATAATACTTGGAGTTTGCTGTGTTTCTTTGCTGCATAGATTAATGTTTTTCATCAAATATGATAAGTTTTTGACCATTTATTTCTTCGAGTAATTTCTCTGCCACTTTCTCTTTTCTGTTTCTGGGACTCTCATTATGCATATAGTGGTATACTTGATGATGTCCCAGAGATCTCTGAGGCTCTTATAATTTTTCTTCATTCCTTTTTCTGTTTCTCAAACTGAATAATCTCAATTAACCTATTTTCAAGTTCACTGGCCTTTTCTTTTGCTTGCTTAAACCTGCTGTTGGACCTCTCTAATTAATTTTTCATTTCCATTGTTATACTTTTCAATCTCTACAATTTCTACTTGGTTCTCTTTTAAAAAATAATTTCTTTATTAATATTCTTTATTTGATGAGACATGCTTCTCATACTTTGCTTTAGTTTTTTAGACTTGGTTTCCTTTTGTTTTTGGAACATATTTAACTACAGCTGATTTAATGTTCTTGTCTAGTAAGCCCGACATTGGGACTCCCTCAGGGACAGTTTTTATTAACTACTCTTTATTCTTTGTATGGTATACTTTCTTGTTTCTATATACACCTCTTTTTTGTTGTTGAAATCTGGAAATTTTAGATAATATACTGTGGTACCTCTGGAAATCAGATTCTCCCCTTCACCATTGTTTGTTATTGTGAGTTCTTTAGTTACTTTTCTTTACTTTCTCTCAAGTCTGTATTCTTTGTGGTGTGTGGCCATTGAAGACACTGGTATGTTAGCTTAGCATCAGCTAATTATTAGACAGAGATTTTCTTACGTTCCTGGAGTCAATATGTCTCTCAGTCTTTGCTGATGGACTCAGTTGTACATGCTGGGGCACACCCTTGACACTCAGCCAGACAGGTAGTAACTCTGCCTTACCTTTCACTTTCTGCTTGCACAAAACCCCTAGGTCTCAGTCAGAGGTGAGAGCTTAGGGTTTCTTCAGGTTTTCTGCATGCACACAGTCCTAGGATATATGCAGAGCCCTATGTATGTATATTGCCTTCTAGATTCTCAAGACTATGTCAGAGCTTTTTTTTTCTTGTCTTTTTTTTTTTTTGGAGACAGACTCTCACCAGGCTGGAGGGCAGTGGTGCGATCTTGGCTCACTGTAACCTCCACCTCCCAGGTTCAAGCGATTCTCCTGCCTCAGCCTCCTGAGTAGCTGGGATAACAGGCACACACCACCATGCTCAGCTGATTTTTGTATTTTTAGTAGAGACAGGGTTTCACCATGTTGGCCAGGCTGGTCTTGAACTCCTGACCTCAAGTCAACCACCCTTCTAGGCCTCCCAGAGTGCTGGGATTACAGGCACAAGCCACCATGCCTGGTCATCAGAGCTTTTCAAAACCCTTTCTGGACATCTCATTCCCTTGCTATTCCTTATCAACTTTTGATTAGCCTATCATTTGCCTTAGCTATTATCCACTGACTCAGACAGCCATGGTGCTATTAAACAGTTGCTGTTTGTTTTTGACAAACAACCCTTGAGGAAAGGCTGTTTGTGTTGGGTGAGCTTTGACTCAGGTCAATAAAGACAAGCCACAGCCGGGCACGGTGGCTCACACCTGTGATCCCAGCACTTTGGGAGGCCGAGGTGGGCAGATCACCTGAGGTCAGGAGTTCGAGACCAGCCTGACCAACATGGCGAAACCCCGTCTCAACTAAAAATACAAAACCTAGCTGGGCATGGTGGTGGGTGCCTGTAATCCCAACTACTTGGGAGGCTGAGGCAGAAAAATCGCTTGAACCCAGGAGGTAGAGGTTGCAGTGAGCCAAGATTGTACCATTGCACTCCATCCTGGGCAACAGAGTGAGACTCTGTCTCAAATAAATAAATAAATAAAATTAAATTAAAAATAATACAAAAATCAGCCTGGTGTGGTGTTGTGCTCCTGTAATCCCAGCTACTTAGGAGTCTGAGGAAGGAGAATCGCTTGAACCTGGGAGGCGGAAGTTGCAGTGAGCCAAGATTGCGCCACTGCACTCCAGCCTGGGTGACAGAGTGAGATTCTGTCTCAAAAAGAAAAAAAAAAAGACAAACCTTGTTAGTGGGGGTCTTCCAGGGAATTACCAGACAAGTCAAATGACAATTCTCTATGAATGCAGCTTTGAAGAGACTTCAACCACATCCTGTCCCTTCTAGTAGCTATCAGGTGATTGCAGGATGGTGGTTCTCAAAGCTATCATGTAGCTGGGGAGAGAGTATCAACTAGGGCAAGAGTGATAGGTAATATCTTTTCGTAAAGAATATGTGGACCAAGTTTTCCCCATTAATTTCAAGATAGAGCAAAACTCCACCAGTGCTTATAAACAGATTCTTAAGTCTTTAACTGTGAAACTGAAAATTCTAAATTTAGGCTAGGTGTGGTGGTTCATGCCTGTAATCCCAGCACTTTGGGAGGCTGAGGTGGGCGGATCACCTGAGGTAAGGACTTTGAGACCAGCTTGGCCAACATAGTGAAACCCCATCTCTACTAAAAATACAAAAATTAGCTGGGCACAGTGGTGCACGCCTGTAGTCCCAGCTACTCGGGAGGCTGAGGCAGGAGAATCACTTGAACCTGGGAGGCAGAGGTTGCAGTGAGCCAAGATTGTGCCACTGCATTCCAGCCTGGGTGAGAGGGTGAGACTTTGTCTCCATAAATAAATAAATAAATAAGTAAAAATAAAAATAAAAATTAGAAGTTTAAAATATAAACCTCCAGTTCAATTGGATTGTCAAGTACAGCTTCCTTAACAGAGCAGCAGAAAGAACCTAAACAATTTTTGGCATATGGAAAAGGGTTTTTTTGTTGTTGTTGTTGTCTTTTTCTGGCATATGGTAAAGGTTTTACCACTGCAAAGTACTGAACTATGTTTTCTTATTTAGAAAGCATCTTAATATCAATTTATAATCTATTTTCTGAAGTCCCTTCCAGGCCCTTGAGCTTTTGAGGAGCAAGAATGTGGATCTTAACACCAAAGTGTTTTCATAAAATTTGTTTGGTAAATGGTAAATCATGATGATAATATGAGAATCCTAAATTTTAGCAGAAAAGTGAAAAAATTCCCAAACATCAGGTGTTTGAACATAAATCTGGTTGAGGAATTCAGAACTAGCCTATGAACATTTTAACAAAGGCGGTGTTTGGAGCTTCTGTGACATCCGGGAAGTATGCATAAAAGTAAACACAAAGTAGTTGAACACTACATATGTCGTATTTGAATAGATCTATATTAGTAGCTAGATGAAACTAATTTAGAGGTTAGTTTTCTTCAGGCAACAAAACAAAAAATAGACAAATGGGATTACATAACTAAAAAGCTTCTGTACAGCAAAGGAAACAACAGAATGAAGAGACAAAGTATGGAATGGGAGAAAATATTTGCAAATTATACATCTGATAAGGGATTAATATTCAAAAAATATAAGAAACTCGGCCCGGCACGTTGGCTCAAGCCTGTAATCCTAGCACTTTGGCAGGCCAAAGCAGGCAGATTGCTTGAGCCCAGGAGTTTGAGACCAGCTTGGGCAACATGGCGAGAACCCCTCTCTACAATAAATACAAAAGTCAGTCAGGCGTGGTGGTGCATGCTTGTAGTCCAGCTACTCAGGAGGCTGAGGTGGGAGAATCACCTGAGCCTGGGGAGGTCGAGGCTGCAGTGAACTGTGATTGATCGCACCACCACCACTGCACTCCAGCCTGGGTGACAGAGTGAGACCTTGCCTAAAAAAGAAAAAAGGCTGGGCCCGGTGGCTCACGCCTGTAATCTCAACACTTTGGGAGTCCGAGGTGGGCGGATCTCAAGGTCAGGAGATCGAGACCATCCTGGCTAACATGGTGAAACCCCGTCTCTACTAAAAATACAAAAAAATTAGCCAGGCCATGGTGGCGGGCGCCTGTAGTACCAGCTACTCCGGAGGCTGAGGCAGGAGAATGGCGTGAACCCGGGAGGCGGAGCTTGCAGTGAGCTGAAATCGCACCACTGCACTCCAGTCTGGGAGACAGAGCAAGACTCTGTCTCAAAAAAAAAAAAAAAAAAAAAAGGAAAGAAACTCAATAACAAAAAGAAAGAAAATCAATAACAAAAAGCCCCCAAATAACCCAGTAACCCTATTCTATTAAAAAATGGACAAAAGGCAAAGTATCCAAATAGACATTTCTCTAAAGAAGATATACAAATGGTCAATAGCTATATTATAAAATGCTCAGTATCACTAATCATCAAGGAAATGCAAATCAAACCACAATGAGATATCACTTAACTCCTGTTGAATGACTATTATAAAAAAAAACACAAGATAACAAGTGTTGGTGAGGACGTGGAGAAGAGGGAACCCTTACACACTGTTGGCTGGAATGTAAATTAGTATAGCCATTACAGAAAACAGAATGGAGATGCCTCAAAAAATTGAAAATAGAACTAACCATGTAATTCAGCAATTCCACTACTGGGTGTAAAACACAGTACGTTGAAGAAATATCTGCGTTCTTGTGTTTATTGCAGCAATATTCACAATAGCCAAGATGTGGAATCAACCTAACTGTTCCTCAATGAATGGATAAAGAAAATGTGGTATACAGATGGCCCCTGACTTATGATACTTTGACTTACAATTTTTTGACTTTATGGTGGTGGGAAAACAATATGCATTCAGCAGAAACAGTACTTTGAATTTTGAATTTTGATCTGTTCCCAGGCTACTGATGTGTGGTACAATACTTTCCCACAATGCTGGACAGTGGCAGCCAGCTGCACTCCCAGCCAGCCACACGATTATGGGGGTAAACAGCCAGTATTTGCCATCTTCCTAAAAAACACTATGCCTGCTAAACCATCAACAAATGTTGGCACCCTAGTGCTTTCTATCAGTTATTCTTTTTTTTTTTTTTTTTTTTTGAGGCAGGGTCTCGCTCTGCCACCCAGGTGGGAGTGCAGTGGCATGATCTCGGCTCACTGCTATCTCCGCTTCCCGGGTTCAAGCGCTCCTCCTGCCTCAGCTTCCCGAGTAGCTGGGACTACAGGCATGCGCCACCATGCCCAGCTAATTTTTTCTTTTTTTTTTGACACAGTGTCTCACTCTGTCACCCAGGCTGGAGTGCAGTGGCGCGATCTCCGCTCACTGCAAGCCCCGCCTCCCAGGTTCATGCCATTCTCCTGCCTCAGCCTCCCAAGTAGCTGGGACTACAGGCGCCCGCCACCACACCTGGCTACTTTTTTGTATTTTTAGTAGAGATGGGGTTTCACTGTGTTAGTCAGGATGGTCTCAATCTTCTGACCTTGTGATCCACCTGCCTCAGCCTCCCAAAGTGCTGGGATTACAGGTATGAGCCACCATGCCTGGCCGCCCAGCTAATTTTTGTATTTTTAGTAGAGATGGGGTTTCACCATGTTGGCCAGGCTGGTCTGGAACTCCTGACTTGATCCACCTGCCTCGGTTTCCCAAAGTGCTGATATTATAGGTGTGTGCCACTGTGCCTGGCCAATTTTAGTTTAATGCTTCAAACTGAAAACACACTGAAAGCCCAGTGTGCTTTCAGCGGTGTACGTTAATGGTGTGTACCCATACAACCATTTTGCTTTTTACTTTCAGTAGGGTATTTAATAAATTACATGAGATATTCAGCACTTTATTATAAAATAGGCTTTGTGTTAGATGATTGCCCACCTGAAAGCTAATGTAAGTGTTCTGAGCATGTGTAAGGTAGGCTAGGCTAAGCTATATTGTTTGGTAGGTTGGGTGTGTTAAATGCATTTTCAGCTTATGATATTTTTAACTTATGATGGGTTTATTGAGATGTAACCCCATCAAAAGTAGAGGAGTGTCTATATTTATGCAATAGAATATTATTCAGCCATAAAGAAGAAAGAATTCCCATCATTTGCATCAACATGGGTGAACCTGGAAGGCATTATGCTAAGTGAAATAAGCCAAACACAGAAAGACAAATACTGCATAATCTCACTCAGTGAGGAATCTAAGAAAGTTGACACTGTAGAAGTAGAGAGTAGAATGGTGGTTGTCAGAGGTGGGGGTGGCTGGGGAGGGGAGTGGTTGGGGAGATCTGGCCAAAGGGTACATAATTACAGTAGATAGGAGGAATAAGTTCAAGAGATCTATTGTATAGCATCATGACTATAGTTAATATACTGTATTCTTGAAAAATGCAAAGAGAGTGGATGTTAAGTGTTCTAATCATAAAAATAATGATTATGTGAGGTGATGCATTTGTTAATTAGCTAGATTTAACCATTTCACAATGTGTATATATATATATATATATACTTCAAAACATTATATTGTACATGATAAATATAATTTTATCTGTCAATTAAAAGAAACATAAACAAAGTAAAAAGAAAAATTTTCTTTCAAATTTTGATTTAAAACTTATTTTATTTACACTTTATAATTCTTTTTGATACTTATTTTCTTTTCACCAACTGAAAAAAAAGTAGATGGTGTTCGGATACACTTTGAATGCCCGTACTCTATTATTTTCTTTTTTCTTTTTGAGACAGAGTCTCTCTCGGTCACCCAGGCTGGAGTGCAGTGGTACAATCTCAGCTCACTGCAACCTCAGCCTCCCAGGTTCAAGCAATTCTCCTGCCTCAGCCTCCCAAGTAGGTGGGATTACAGGTGCCTGCTATCATGCCTGGCTAATTTTTGTATTTTTAATAGAGACGGGGTTTCACTGTGTTGGCCAGGCTGGTCTCGAACTCCTGACATCAAGTGATCCACCCACCTCAGTCTCCCAAAATGTTGGGATGACAGGTGTGAGCCGCCGTGCCTGGCCTACATATTTATATTTTCTTTTTCTTTCTTTCTTTTTTTTTTTTTTTTTGAGACGGAGTCTCTCTCTGTCACCAGGCTGGAGAGCAGTGGCGTGATCTCGGCTCACCACAACCTCTGACTCTGTGTTCAAGCGATTCTCCTGCCTCAGCCTCCCTAGTAGCTGGGATTACAGGCATGTGCCACCATGCCCAGCTGATTTCTGTATTTTTAGTACAGGCAGGGTTTCACCATGTTGGCCAGGATGGTCTCGATCTCCTGACCTCGTGATCTGCCTGCCTCGGCCTCCCAAAGTGCTAGGATTACAGACGTGAGCCACCACACCTGGCCAATATTTATTTTTTTCAAAGAACTAAACTGATATTTATTAATGAGTAGCCTCGTTTTGAGGCGGAAGTTATAAAAGTTATAAGCAAGAGTGAAGTGGGTTCTTTTTTTTTTTTTTTTTTTTGAAACATAATCTCACTCTGTTGTCTAGGCTGGAGTGTAGTGGCACAATCTCGGCTCACTGCAACTTCCGCCTCACAGGTTCAAGCGATTCTCCTGCCTCGGCCTCCCAAGTAGCTGGGATTATAGGCACGAGCCAGCACACCTGGCTAATTTTTTCATATTTTTGGTAGAGATGGGTTTCACCACGTTGGCCAGGGTGGTCTCAAACTCCTGACCTCAAGTGATCTGCCTGCCTTGGCCTCCCAAAGTGCTGAATTACAGGCGTGAGCCACTGCACCAGGCCATGAAGTGGGTTCTTTTGTGCTAACAGCTACAGAATAACAGGAATCTGCAGTGACAGGAAAACTGTAAACAAACTAAGACTATTGCAGAGGGACAAATATACATCACTCTCCCCAGGCACATCCATGGGCAGGTTTAATGACTAAGCTATTTGGACAAGGAAGCTTTCTGATTTTCCTACATTTACGTGGTAAATGGAACCAAGATTAAAATTCAAGAGAATGGTCTCAACACACACACACAAACACACACACACACACACACACACACACACACACACCATGCAGGTCAGGTGCAGTGGGGCACGCCTGCAATCCCAGCTCTTTGGGAGGCCTAGGTGGGAGGATCACTTAAGTGAGGAGTTCCAGACCAGCCTGGCCAACATGGCGAAACCCTGTCTCTACAAAAAATAAGCCAGGTGTGGTGGCACGTGCCTGTAATCCCAGCTACTTGGGAGGCTGAGGCATGAGAATCGCTTGAACCCAGGAGGCAGAGGTTGCAGTGAGTGGAGATTGTGCCATTGCAATCCAGCCTGGGTGACAGAGTAAGACTCTGTCTCCAAAAAGAAAGAAAGAAAGAATAATCTAAGAAATGCAAATGAAAACAAGATATTTTAAAATCTATCAGATTAGCAATGATCAGACACTCTCATATACTGTCTAAATTGGTATACTTTTTCTGCAGATAAATTTAACTGTTTAAGTTAAAACATCTGTACTCTTTGACCCAGGGATTTCACTTTTAGGAATATATATAAAAGAATCAGGAACACAGAAGAAAATTTACATTTAACAGGTTTGATCACTGCATTATCTTTACAAGTGAAAAATTAGAAACAACTTAAATATTCACCCAAAGGGATATGGTTAAACAACTTATAGCATATCCATAAACGTATTGTAAATCTATTAAAAGGGTGTTTTTGAAGCATTTGGTGTGTTTAGAAAATATTCATGCTATACAGTGTTTTCCAATTGTATTGGAATGTCCCTTGAATTACGCTATTTTATATAAGGGACTTGAGCATCTGTGGGAGTATGGTGTCCTCAGGGGGTCCTGGGATCTATCCTCTGTGAATACAGAGGGCCAATTTACTGTTAAGAGGGTAAAATTCTGATAAAAGCTGTACATCCAGAACATTAATAATGTTATTGCTAATTTGTGCACTTATGGGTCTTTATTTTCCAAGTTTTTTATAATGAGCATATTTTTTAATTAGAAAAAATGCGTTCTTTTAAAAAATAGTAATAATATTCATTGGGAGACTGTAAGCAACATACATGCCTCTTGTATGTTTCATGCATTTCATTAAAAGCAGAGCTTAAGCGGCCGGGTGCGGTGGCTCATGCCTGTAATCCCAGCACTTTGGGAGGCCGAGGCGGGTGGATCACAAGGTCAGGAGATCGAGACCATCCTGGCTAACATGGTGAAACTCCATCTCTACTAAAAATACAAAAAATTAGCCGGGCGCAGTGGCGGGCGCCTGTAGTCCCACCTACTCGGGAGGCTGAGGCAGGAGAATTGCGTGAACCTGGGAGGGGGAGCTTGCAGTGAGCCAAGATCATGCCACTGCACTCCAGCCTGGACGACAGAGCGATGCTCCGTCTCAAAAAAACAAAACAAAACAAAACAAAAAACAGATCCTAAGCTAGTTCTGGCTACTCTAAGAAAGACTATGATTATGCTGCTAAGTTCTATGTATAATATGAAAAGTCAATACAGAATATGGAAAAAATCAATTTAGCCAGTATTTTAAAATGAATTTCATTTTAGAGGTTTTAAAAAGTTAGGGGATTGGCCAGGCACAGTGGCTCATGCCTATAATCTCAGCACTTTTTGAGGCTGAGGAGGGCAGATCACCTGAGGTCAGGAGTTCGAGACCAGCCTGGCCTACACCGTGAAAACCTGACGCTACTAAAAACACAGAAATTAGCCAGGCGTGGTGGCAGGTGCCTGTAATTCCAGCTACTCAAGAGGCTGAGGCAGGAAAATCGCTTGAACCGGGGAGGCGGAGGTTACAGTGAGCCGAGATCGGTGCCACTGCACTCCCGCCTGGGCAACAGAGCAAGACTCCATCTCAAAAAATGAAAAAAGAAGTTAGGGGATTATATATCTTTAAATGTAGTATCTTTGAATAATTGCTTGACTTTGTATCTGGGAACTGTTCTTTGCGTCTGGACACCAAGTAAAACATTAACTTTTTGATTTCCTTTTCCAAGAAGAAGACGTAAAGCAGGCTACCAGCAATTTTGAGAACTTGCAAAAACAGCTTGCAAGGAAAATGAAGCTTCCTATTTTCATAGCAGATGCATTCACAGCAAGAGCATTTCGTGGGAATCCTGCTGCTGTTTGCCTCCTAGAAAATGTAAGTGCTTGGTTTTGAATTACAGTACCTGAAATTCTAGATTCCTGTAGAAACAATTACTTATTTTAAAAGACTAGTTTCACCTGTTTGTTTACCTCTTTGGTTTGTGTTCTTTGCCATCATATCAGTAATGTTCATGTATGCAAGTTGATTTTGACCAAAGTATTTGATAAAAATGCCTATGCCTTGGGTACGTCCAATGAAATGAAGATTCAGATAAAGAGGAACTAGAGCCAATTTTAAAAAAGAAGAGCTAGAGCTCCCTTTTAGCCATCAGGTTTTCATTTAGTTAGCACCAAGTGTTGAGGAGAATGAAATTAGATGAGTTTTGTGTGACTAGACATAGCCAATTTCACATTGAGCATAACAGATCCTAACTGAGTATCTTTAACCTTATCTATAGCTCAGGCAATTAGAAATTCTTTTCAGGATCAAGAAAATGAGACATTTTGCAAGGAATTAAGTAGTTAAGTAGAGAGGTAGAAGGAATTAAGCTATAGTATATAAATAACTTACTGAAAGACTCATTTTTAAAATGGCTTTTTGATTAGGATACATATTAATGGAATAGTTAAATATTAATGGAATAGTTAAATATTAATAGTTAAATAGATAAATATTAATAGAATAGTTAAATATTTAAATATTGTTAATAGTTAATATTTAAATATTGACCCTCAAGGTCAAGGAATATTGACCTTGTGTTGGTCCCTAAGTAGTGAGAAACAAGGTAAGGCGTTTCTGAGTGCTTTCACTCAGAGCAGTTAGCACAAGAGTAGATTATCTGAAAATTACTTCAAGAAGACAGTTAGCAATTGATGATCTTAAATAAGTCATATTAAGTTGGGCAAAGTGTGTGTTGGGGCCTTCAGGGACAGTGAATCTCAACCTGGCTATACATGAAAATCACCCAAGGAACTTTGAAAATGCTGTCTTCTAGAGCAATTACAACAGGCTCTCTGGGAGTTGGGGGGAAGCAGTGTTTTTTTGTTTTGTTTTGTTTTTGAGACGGAGTTCCGCTCTTGTTGCCCAGGCTGGAGTGCAATGGCGTGATCTGAGCTTACTGCAACATCCGCCTCCCGGGTTCAAGTGATTCTCTTGCCTTAATCTCCCAAGTAGCTGAGATTACAGGTGCCCGCCACCATGCACGACTAATTTTTTATATTTTTAATAGAGATGGGGTTTCGTTATGTTGGCCAGGCTGGTCTCGAACTCCTGACCTCAGGTGATCTACCTGCCTTGGCCTCTCAAAATGCTGGGATTACAGGCGTGAGCACCGCGCCCGGCCAGCAGTGTTTTTTTTAAAGTTCCCCAAGTGATTCCAGTGTGCAATCATGATGGAGAACTGGGCTGGGTGTGGTGGCTCTTGCCTATAATCCTAGTACTTTGGGAGGCTGAGGCAGGAGGATTGCTTGGGGCCAGGAGCCAGAGTCCAACCTGGCCAACACAGCGAGACCGTGTCTCTAAGAAAAAAGAAAAAAAAAAAAAAAGGAGGACTGATGAGCGGAATGTCGTTTTTTATTGCTGTTGTTGTTGTTTTTTATTTTTTAAAACTTTATATAAAATAGAGATGTGGTCTCGCTAAATTGAGCAGGCTGGTCTCAAACTCCTGGATTCAAGTGATTCTCCTATCTTGGCCTTCCAAAGTGCTGGGATTACAGGCCTGAGCCACTGCACCTGGTGGAATATTATTAATTGAGTCCTTTTCACACTTATTTTCTCCCTTAAGTGGAGCAGTAAGGTGGCCATCAAGAGTCCTTGTCTTACCTTAACTCTACATTCATTACGCAGACTTGAGCTGGTATTTTCTCTCCACAAAATGCAGAAGGTAATAAACTTTGTCCATTATTACAAGAGTTTGGGAAGATTAGTATGAAAACAATTAACAACCAGATTCCAAGTCATGACCTTTCTTTAGAAACAATCTGGCAGACACAACTTCCTGTCAAGGAATTGTGGAATTGACTATAACTGCTTGTCAAAAGTCTTAATACATTTGCCCCATGTCTGCATGTAATATCCTTGAAGAGTTTTGACAGTAGTTTATATTGAATAGAATATATTCCATTTTTATCAGATAACAAGAATTGGATTATTGTCCAACTTACTCCTTTTATTTCCAGTAAATTCAGCAAACATCAGACTTATGGGATTGATATCTCTTTCTTTCTTTCTTTCTTTTTTCTCTCTCTTTCTACCTATCTCTCCGTTAAAACATATTTTGTATGTTAATTATATATTTGGAAAAACTAGGAAATAAAAATTTAAGCAAAGAACTTACAGTTTAAAACAACACGCTTTAGTATGAATGGAAGAAGGAAAAAGAAGATAAGGAAGTCCATGATTTGGGGATGCTCTCTAAAGAGTTTTCCAATTCACTTCTTTTGAGGCTTGGGCCTGTGAGACCAGGAAAATTTCACGGCCTGTCAGAGACACCTGAATAGATATCTAAAGATTAGTTTGCTACGCCTCTTTGTCATGCTTTTCTGCTCTTTGGATGTGAGAATCTTATCCTCCTAGAGGCGAAGATAGCACTTTTCCTAATTCGTAATCAATAAAAATTATAATAGACGTATAAATGGTGGTGTCTGCCCTTGGGTTCATTGTCCTGAGATGGTGGAGAGAATACAGGTGGCCACAGGAAAATGTCAGAGACAAATAAACGCTAAATCTTATAATATTGGACACAATTCAGTAGGAATTCAGCCAGGCTCTGGGCTAGGAGCCAGAGGTACAAAGGTTAACAAGTTCACCTGCCCTTGAAGGGCTCAGAGTCTAGTGCAGAAAATGGGCATGTAAACCCATCGTTATTCAGTAGTCACTACAGAGACTAAAAGACCTGAAGGTACCAGGCCTCAGAGAATGGAATAATGTTAGGTTTTATGAGGTAAAAATACCTCAGATTTTAAGTGCAGGGCTTCAGATGATTTTTTTTTTTGTAGCTTTGTTTTAAGTTATTCAAAATTTGACCAGGATGAGAGTAACCACAGGAAAACCTGGTGGATAGACTAAAGACTAGGTCGTGGTGCTTTGAGCTTTTTGAACACTTGATAAAAGACTACTGAAAGTAAAGTAAAAACTTCTGAGTAATAAAGTTCAAGAGCTTCTATAATATTCTAAAGGATTTTTTGTTTTCAAGACAAGTCCATTTTTAAATTTTTTAATTTTTATTTTTTTGAGACAAGCAATCTTCCCACCTCGGCCTCCCAAAGTGCTGGGATTACAGGTGTGAGTCACCACGCCCGGCTGACATTTTTAAATTTTTAAATTTTTCACATGACAACATATAACACTATACATTAGGTGAAAACAAAAACAAATTAACGGCTACCTGGAAACATAGAACAAATATTTGAAAACAATGTAATAAAAATTGTCTGGGTGCGGTGGTTCACACCTGTAATCCCAGCACTTTGGGAGGCCGAGGCAGGCAGATCACCTGAGGTCAGGAGTTTGAGACCACCCTGGCCAACATGGTGAAACCCCGTCAAATTAGCCAAGGTTAAAGACCAGCCAAAAATTAGCCAGGTGTGGTGACGCATGCCTGTAATCCCAGCTACTCGGTAGGCTGAGGCAGGCGAGTTGCTTGAACCTGGGAGGCAGAGGTTGTAGTGAGCCCAGAGAGCACCACTGCACTCCAGCCTGGGCGACAGAGTGAAACTCCTTCTCAAACATAAATAAATAAATAAATAAATAAATAAATAATTGATGGTGTCCTCAGATGCCTGACAATCCGTTTGACAATAAAGACCTTGTAGAAACATGGAAAATGTATAGAAGCAATGTAAAAAGTAAAACAGATACATTATGATGATAGCTGGGTAAAAAACTAGAGGGACCCATGACTAGCTACTGGTTGTGGTGGTAACAACCAGTGGTGCTTTTTTTTTTTTAAATTCTAATTTTTTTTTTTTTTTCCAGAGACAGGACCTTGCTTTCTCCCCTAGGCTGGAGTACAGTGGCATGATTATAGCTCACTGCAGCCTTGAACTCCTGGGCTCAAGCTATCCGCCTGCCTCAACCTCCAGAGTAGCTGAGACAACAGGTGTGCACCACCACGCTCAGCTAATTTTTATTTTTTGTAGAGACAGGGTCTTGCTATGTTGCCCAGGCTGGTCTCTAACTTCTGGCCTCAGGTGATCCTCTCACCTCAGCCTCCTAAAGTGCTTGGACAAGAGCCACTGCACCCAGCCTAATGTTTTGTCAATTTTAGTTTACAAGTTTGCCACTTCCTTGATGGTTTTAGAACTTTCTCCATCCAGGTGTGTTGAATTTACTGGAACCTTATCTACAGCAGAGGGACAAATGAACAATAAGGACTGATAAGTCGGGACTGTCATATTCAGGTTGCCATATTTCAAAACTGCCACAAGATGGGAGTATTTTAAAACTTTACTCTGATTTTCTGATCATTAATCTTTGTGGGTCATAAGGCGATGGAACCTCGGTATGCCAAAGCAGTACACTGGAATTCAGAAAGGCAAACATCACTCTGTTTTTGCTGTTGGAAATTTGATTCACATGAGATGGCCAAAGGGAAATGGATATTAAAGCAAGGGAATTCATAGCTGTTGGTTTGTAACTGTTTTGTGCAGCGTTTGAAAAGAAGCTCCTAGTGTAAAATGGAAAAATTGCTGAAAAGAAAAGCCAGTATTTTGAACAAATGCATCCTCTCTCTTTTGTTTGTAAGGCTTTCAAAGTTGAAGTCTTTCCATGATTCACCATTGTCTTGACCTTTGGTTGCAGTGTAGAAATTCAGTGAAAGTCCAGCTGCCAGTGGTACATGTTGTGGGCTGCTACTGTTAAACTTTCCACGTGTCTCTGGTCCCTCAGGCAAATAGCAGGTGCATTTTTTAGTGTCCTGAAATAGAAGTTACAGTTATATAAATTCAAATTGCAAGAAATGCAGTATACCAAGGTAGAGAGGATTAAAGAGCTGGTGGGCAGTGGACTTTGCGTCCTAGCTAATGTGTGAAAGGGCCCATTTGCAAAGAAATCTATTACCAATAGATGGTGAGCTTGGCTACAATGTAGGATGTTTTAATACTTTTAAAGACTTATCCTAAAGGTCACAGGGAGCTATAGAGAAAGAAAGGAAGGACGAAGATAGGAAGTTTCGCCAGATCATATAGAGGAAGGACTGACAGGCACTTTAGGTTTCTGCAAGCAAGGAGGCAAGTCCAGGAAGGCCAGCAAAGGCTTTTCTTGATCACCTTTCGATTACCACTGAGACTTGTGATTGCAGACTCTGCACTAAGGGGCTTAAATACCTCCCAGTTTCTATCAGGTGTTGTGTGCATGTGCATCTGGACCAGTTTCCACAGAAAACATTCAACAGGCCATGGAGAGTGCTTGAGTTCAATTGTTAACATTGTTGTCTTGTTGGCTGGGACTTTCCAGTGGCCCCCTCTACTCCTCTTCTTAGGTGGGATTTCTCACTTATCCAGGCCCACAGGTGCCCACAGGTGGGACAGGTACTCATCCCACTGCATTTTCACCATCCTACTTCTAGAATTCTAGAGTGTCCATTATGTTAAAGTTTAATCTCTGATTTAACAAGAGAATGGGCGGGTGCGGTGGCTCATGCCTGTAATCTCAGCACTTTGGGAGGCCGAGGTGGGTGGATCACCTGAGGTCAGGAGTTTGAGACCAGTCTGGCCAACATGGTGAAACCTCATCTCTAATAAAATACAAAAATCAGCCGGGTATGGTGGCACACACTTGTAATCCCAGCTACTCAGGACGCTGAGGCAGGAGAATCACTTGAACCTGGGAGGCAGAGGTTGCAGTGAGCCAGATCGCACCACTGCACTCCAGCCTGGGTGACAGAGCGAGATTCCGTCTCAAAAAAACAGAACAAAACAAAAAAACAGAAGTGAGATCAAGCAACTTGCCTAAGAAGCTGTCCTAATACAAAGCTCTTTGCACACACTTTTCTGTCCAAATCACCGAAATCTCCCCTCTTTTCTAGGTTCACCACAAGACCTCATCTTTAAAGTTTTAGAGTATTTATTGTCAAAATCTATGTGTCTCAATGACATTTTCTCTGGTATTGTTCACAGTTGCTGTCTGTGGCTGTCTTGACTCCCCACCTAGATGCTAAGTCCCTTGAACACAACCATGGCTTATACACAAGGGTTTCTCAAACTTTAATGTGCACACGATCACCTGGGGAGCTTGTGAAAATGGAGATTCTGATTCAGAATGTCGGAGGCCCAAGACAGGGGGCCTCGGACTCTGCATTTCTAACAAATCCCCTTAGTTGTGTTGCCGTGCTCCTGGCTCAGCACAGTACTCATTAATTTATTTATTGCTGTTCCGTCTTAGAAACCTTGCAGGGGTCCATTTTCTCTGCTAGACGTTTGTTTTCCCTGTCTGTAGCATGTTACAGGGTTAATAATCGTTTGTCTTTGTGATGGGCAGGCAGTGTAGTGTGGCTAGTTAAAGCATGACTTTGAGCCACTCAAATAAAAAGCTAACATGTATCAAGTACCTACTACGTGTTGGGCACTGGGATGAGTTATCTCTTTCTCTCTCTCTTTCTGTTTCTTTCAGTCTCTCTCTGGGTAAGCCGGGGCGTAGAGGATCATGCCTGTAGTTCTAGCACTTTGGGAGGCCAATATGGGCGCATTGCCTGAGCTCAGGAGTTCCAGACCAGCCTAGGCAACATGGTGAAACTCCATCTCTACTAAAATACAAAAAATTAGCTGGGCATGGTGGTCTGCACCTGTAGTCCCAGGTACTCAGGAGGCTGAGATGAGAGAATCGCTTGAACCCAAGAGGCATAGATCGCAGTGAGCTGAGACAGTGCCACTGCACTCTAGCCAGGGTGACAGAGCGAGACTCTGTCTCAAAAAAAAAAAAGCTTATTATGTTTCCTGCCATGATTTATTTATTTATTTATTTTTGAGATGGAGTCTTGCTCTGTCACCCAGGCTGGAGTGCAATGGCATGATCTCGGCTCACTGCAACCTCTGCCTCCCGGGTTCAAGTGACTACTGCTCAACCTCCTGAGTAGCTGGGATTACAGGCGCGCACCACCACTCCTGGCTAATTTTTGTATTTTTAGTAGTGATGGGGTTTTGCCATGTTGGCCAGGCTGGTCTCGAACTCCTGACCTCAGGTGATCTACCCGCCTCGCCCTCCTAAAGTGCTGGGATTACAGGCATAAGCTGCCACACCTGGCCCCTGCTAAGATTTTTATATCAGCCGGTAGTTTTAAAATCATGACTGATTTTTCACAATAATCACACTTTTATGCCCTATATAATTATATGGAACATGTTTCAAAAGATTTTGAATCAAAGACAAGAGTGTTTAATTTGGATAACTCAGAGAAGTGAATTATGAATTTATTAATATAAAATTATAATTCTTCTGGGTTTCAGGAGATCAAGAGCAATAAATTTGGCCAAAACAAAAATGCATTTGTCTTGAAATTTCTTTAAAATTCAAAATCTAACTAGTAGATTTCCGTTAGAAAGAGTTTCAGGAGATCAAGAGCAATAAATTTGGCCAAAATAAAAATGTGTTTTCTTGAAACTTCTTTAAAATTCAAAATCTAACTAGTAAGCATTTTATTGATTAAAAATGGATTTTTCTTCTCAAAAGGAAAACATACTTCGGGTCCACTTTTTTTTTTTTTTTTTTTTTTGAGACGGACTCTCACTCTGTCACCCAGGCTGGAGTGCAGTGGCGCGATCTTGGCTCACTGCCACCTCTGCCTCCCAGGTTCAAGCAACTCGCCTGCCTCAGTTTCCCGAGTAGCTGGGATTACAGGCGCGTGCCACCACTCTCGGCTAATTTTTTTGTATTTTTAGTAGAGATGGAGTTTCTCCATATTGGCTACGCTGGTCTCAAACTCCTGACCTCGTGATCCACCTGCCTCAGCCTCCTAAGGTGCTGGGATTACAGGTGTGAGCCACCACGCCCAGCTGGGTCCACTTTTTTCTTGAGTTAAGAGGAATGTGTGTGTGTGTGTGTGTGTGTGTGTGTGTGTGTGTATTCGTATGCATGTATATATCTTCACAATAAACCTTGACTTAAGTGCTATTATTCCCATCTTAAAGGTGTGGAAACTGAGGCCATAAGATTAAATGACTTGCCCACTTTTACACTGCTGCTAGGAGCTCACACAGGATAGAAATTCAATTCTGTTTTCAAACCCACATAATTTTTCTAAATATTTTATTTTGAAAAATTAAAAACCTACAGAAAAGTTTCAAGAATGGTATGATGAACATGCATATTCCCTTTCTCTAGATTCACCAGTTGTTACTGTGTAAAAAAAAATTTTTTTAGAGTCAGGTTCTCGCTATGTTGCACAGGCTGGTCTCCAACTCCAGGGTTCAAGCGATCCACTCTCCTTGGCCTCCCAAAGTGCTGGCATTATAGGCATGAGCCTCCCAAAGTGCTGGGATTATAGGCATGTGCCTGGCCAGTTGTTACTATTGTCCACATTTGCAAAGCCCTCATTCTTTTTCTTTTTTCTTTTCTTTTTTGTTTTTGAGACAGGATCTTGCTCTGTCGCCCAGGCTGGAGTGCAGTGGCACAATCATGGCTCACTGCAGCCTTGACTTCTGGGCTCAAGAGATCCTCCTACCTCCGCCTCCCGTATAGTCTGGACCATAAGCAAGCACCACCATGCCTGGCTAAATTTTTTATTTTTATTTTTTATTGAGACTGGGGGGTGGTCTTGAACTCCTGGTCTCAAGCAATCTTCCTGCCTTGGCCTCCCAAAATGCTAGGATTACAGGCATAAGCCACCATGCCCAGCTAAAGCCCTTACTCTTTTTTTTTTTATTTAAATCTTTTTTTACAGAGACAGAGTCTTACTATGTTACCCAGGCTGGTCTTGAACTCCTGGACTCAAGCTGTCCTCCCGCCTCAGCCTCCCAAAGTGCTGGGATTACAGGCGTGAGCCACCATGCCTAACTAAGCTCTCATTCTTAATCACTGTACTGTTTATTAGGTATATTGTGGTCTTAGGATATTATATGATCTCTCCGTTTAATTTCTTCATTTGTAAGGGTATAAAAATATTTACATTGAGGGTTTTAAAAATGAGATTAAGTGAAATAATGTACTTATTTTTTCAACAAATGTTTACTGATCTCCTACTGTGCTGGGATGAATACCAGGCATTGTTCCAGGTCCCGGCAAAGCAAGACAGCACAGTCCATACCCCAACAGAACTTAGAATCAGAGGTGGCGAGGCCAGACAGTAAAGGGCACACCAGGCAATTTCAGGACATCTAAGCACTGGAGAGGAGACAACACCTTTAGACACAGTGGTCTGGGAAGGCTTACTGGAGGAGGTGACCCCTGGCCTGAAGCCCTTCCCATGAAAGAGAGTGAACCATGCAAAGACAGGGGAGGAGTGGTCCAGCCTGCCCAGAGTGAGTGCTGAACCTCGCTTTCACCAGCAAAGCAAAGGAGATTGGGGTACTTCCTTGTGTGGAGATTGTTTTTAGAAGACAGCACACTCTGTCAGCTAGACTAGATCTTACTGTGACAAAAGACAGGCCAGGCCAGCCAGTTTTTCACAGTCTATTCCAGCTTGCACATTTATAACCCTTCTTCACAGGGCACTGCAAGCATGGGTTTCTGAGAACCAATCTTTATAAAAGTGCCTTGAATTCCTTGGTAATTATTTCCTTTTAAGCGTGTAACTCTTATTATTGCTAAACTGCTTTTTAAGTTAATGGTAGTTGTTGTCCAAAGGAAGTCTGATCTGTGTTTTTGAAACCTCAATGATCGTCTGTTTCTAATTAAGGAATTGGATGAAGACATGCATCAGAAAATTGCAAGGGAGATGAACCTCTCTGAAACTGCTTTTATCCGAAAACTGCACCCGACAGACAACTTTGCACAAAGTAAATATGCATTTTTTTTTTTTAAGAACTGTTCTGTCGCACGGGCTGGAGTGCAGTGGCATGATCTTGACTCACTGCAACCTCCGCCTCCTGCGTTCAAGCAATTATTGTGCCTCAGCCTCCCGAAGTGCTGGCATTATAGGTGTGAGCCACCACACCTGGCCTAAATATGCACTTTAAAATAATTCTTGAATGACATCAGAAATTATTTTTTAGGTGGGGGAATGATCTTTAAGGAAAATGCCCCCTTATTATTTGCATGCAGATAGTAGATAGAGCGGGAGATTCTGATTTGGTTTCGGTTCATTTGGGGAAGGGGGTTTTGGTGAATCTGAATGTTTCCATTCCAGATCTAGCACTGGGGAGCCCTAGGATGCTTGCCTAGCCATCATTCCTCCTTTTACAACATGTTTTGGCTACTCATCATGCTAGAGAACTATATAGGAAAGAAGAAAATGAGAAATCTGTGACCTGCTTGCATGGGAATGATCTCATCTCTCTTTGGCTTTTCCTATCCTCAGGTTCCTGCTTTGGACTGAGATGGTTTACACCAGCGAGTGAGGTCCCACTCTGTGGCCATGCCACCCTGGCTTCTGCAGCTGTGCTGTTTCACAAAATAAGTAATGTGATTTTCTTTAATGAATCTAACACTTAGCAAATGGCTTTTTTTTTTTTAAGTTCTCACACACACTTTTTCTGATGGTCCAAAGTGACTGGTATAAAGACTCTGCAGAGTTTACTTCATGCTATTCATAATGCAGAAACAAAACCAGCGACCTTCAATAGCACTTTGGCCTTTCTGAGTATGTGCCCAGCATCATTGGAAAGCTGCGATCAGAATGCTATTTTATTTTATTTTTATTTTATTTTACTTTCTGGTCTACAAAGAATTTGACAACCATTTTATTTTATTTTATTATTTTTTGAGACAGAGTCTCACTGTGTTGCCCAGGCTGGAGAGCAATGGCACGATCTTGACTCACTGCAACCTCCGCCTCTCTCCACCTCCTGGGTTCAAGCGATTCTCCTGCCTTAGCCTCCTGAGTAGCAGGATTACAGGCGCCCACCACCACACCCAGCTAATTTTTGTATTTTTAGTAGAGATGGGGTTTTACCATGTTGGCCAGGCTGGTGTCAAACTCCTGGCCTCCAGTGATCCATCTGCATCGGCCTCCCAAAGTGCTGGGATTATAGGCGTGAGGCACCATGCTTGGCCTCATTTTAAACTGGAGATCTCTGGTCTTTGTGAAGCTTGCATGGGCAGAATTGTCATCTCATACGATATGAGATTGGAGATCAACAGGAACATTTCACTCCAATTATTTCCGCTCCCACATTGAAATTCATTTCACAATAAGAGATTCTTCAATAAACATTTTTTTTTTTTTTTTCTGAGATGGGGCCTGGCTCGGTTGACCAGACTGGAGTGCAGAGGCAGGATATCAGTTCACTGCAACCTCTGACTCCTGGGCTCAAGCCATCCTCCCACTTCAACCTCCAAAGTAGCTGAGACCCCAGGTGCACACCACCACACCTGGCTAATTTTTGTATTTTTGTTAGAGACAGGGTTTTGCTATGTTGCCCAGGCTGGTCTCAAATTCCTGAGCTCAAGTGGTCTGCCCACCTTGGCCTCCCAAAGTGCTGGGATTACAGGCATGAGCCACCACGCCCGGCCAATAAGAGCTTCTTTGCTCTAAATTTGAAGATTCCTGGGCCCCCACTGTATACATTCACCTTAAAAGGAGTTGCAGCACCTTAATTCTGCCAGTTTCTATCTTAGCTGCATTTAGTTTAATGGACAAAGATCAGGGCCTTGTGGGGATGGGACAGAGAAGAGATTCCTGGGAAATGCCCTAAAACAGGAGATGGAAGCAGCCACAAACAAGCATAGACAGCAAACGGAAATGGAAACAAGGAAAGAAACAGGATGATAGGACAGAATGTCACTGTGGGGGATGGGCAAAACCCCGTCTCTACTAAAAATACAAAAATTAGCTGAGCATGGTGGCGGGCGCCGGTAGTCCCAGCTACTCAGGAGGCTAAGGCAGGAGAATCGCTTGAACCTGGGAGGCCGTGGTTGCAGTGAGCCGAGATTGTGCCATTGCACTCCAGCCTGGGCGACAGAGCGAGACTCCACCTCGAGGAAAAGAAGAAAAAGAAAGTAGGATTGAATAGAGGGAGAAATTGAACTGCAGAGTAGTAGCAACAAGGAAAGGCCTAGGCCAAATCCGTGGGGAGCTCTAAAGCTGGACATTTTTTCAAGTAGTATAGTTCCAAGTAGAGGCAAAGATTCAGGCCTTTTTACCCTCCATGGACCAGTTCCCAAAGCCTGGAAAAGATGTATGACTTTGGGCAAGGTAGCTCTACTCAGCCAAAGGTAACTCCAAGAGAGTGACTCAGTTGAGAGCTGTTGGCCACTAGCACTCTGGGCAAGCAGGGTCAGGGCCAGGTGTAGGCAGAGCCAGCAAGGCCCCAGGTTGCAGCTGAGAGCAGGTGTCTCCTTACATTTTGTACCCTATGGTACTTCCTTGCCTCATGGAGTCCCAGTCCTGAGGCCATGGGTCAGACATAGAATATGGATCAGCACCCACCAGAGAAGGGGAACTTTGGGCGAAAGGATAAGATGAAGCATCTGTGGGATGAGCTAGAGCGAGAGGAGGAGCATCCCAGGCAGAGGCTAACAAGTGCAAAGTCCCTGGGGCCTGTCTATATGATTGGCAGGAGATAAAGTTGAGAAGCCATATAATGTAATTCAATATACATTTTAAAAAGATGATTTTGGTATCTGTGGATAGGGGACATGTGCAAAAGGCAAGCAAACATTCCGAAATGTTTAGGAATTGAGTCTTGAAAAATAGGGTTTACTGAAATTAAATTGAGTGTCTTTTGTTTTTTTGTTTTTGTTTTTTTGAGATGGAGTTTTGCTCTTGTCACCCAGGCTGGAGTGCAATGGCAAGATCTTGGCTCACTGCAACCTCTGCCTCCTGTGTTTAAGTGATTTTCCTGCCTCAGCCTCCCAAGTAGCTGGGATTACAGGTGCCTGCCACCACGCCTGGCTAATTTTTGTATTTTTAGTAGAGATGGGGTTTTACCATGTTGGCCAAGCTGGTCTCAAACTCCTGACTTCGGGTGAACCACCCGCCTCGGCCTCCCAAAGCAAGATTGAGTGTCTTTTGAAAACTGGACTCCACGTGGGTTGGTTTGATGCTGAGGTTTGGAATAATAACATCCTGGAAACCCCCATAGGGCAGTCTTCAGGTTAGATAAGATAAGGTATGAAAAAATGCTTTGTAAATAATGTCTTATGCAAATCGTAATGAGAAAAATTAAGCTTTGTGTTTCTGAATGTCAATTTTATGCTCAATAAAAGTTAACAAGCCAAAGTTCTTCACCTTTGACATGTGGTTTAAGTTTTACAGAAATATTAAGGGAGAGAAAAGAATTGGGTCAGCATTCTTTGTTTTCACTAAAAATGTTATACACACTGATAAGTAGCCCAAGTTGTATCAGTAACATGGGATGCCAACATTTGTGGTGCATTCTTTAAATTACATTGTTATGTAAAAAGTTTGGTTCATTTAGGATAAACCAAATTTATTTCATATAACACTGATATTTACAACTTAAATGTTTTGTTATTCCCTTGGCGTATCTTAGACTAGAAGAGGTTATGACTCTATGGTTGTTGCTGCTGGATATTTTAAAATCTGTATTAGAAACATTACAGGCTGGGTGCAGTGGTTCATGCCTGTAATCCCAACACTTTGGGAGCCAAGGCGGGAGGATTGCTTCAGTCTAGAACTTAGAGACCAGCCTGAGCAACATAGTGAGACCCTGTCTTTACAAAATATTTAAAAATTATCCAGGCATTATGGCTCATGCCTGTAGTCCCAGCTACTGGGGAGGCTGAGGTGGGAGGATTGCTTGAGCTCAGGAGGTCAAGGCTGCAGTGAGCCAGTCCCCAGCCTGGTCAACAGAGTGAGACAGTTCCTCAAAGAAAGAGAAAACATTATAAATGGTAGGTTTAATGTATTAACCTCATTTTATAGATGAGGAAACTGAGATTTAAGGAGGCTGGCCAGGTGTGGTGGCTCACGCCTGTAATCCCAGCATTTTGGGAGGCCGAGGTGGGTGTATCACTTGAGGTCAGGAGTTTGAGACCAGCCTGACCAACATGATAAAACCTCGTCTCTACTAAAAATACAAAAATTAGCTGGATGTGATGGTGCACACCTGTAATTCCAGCTTCTTGGGAGGCTGAGGTGGGAGAATCACTTGAATGTGGGAGGCAGAGGGTACAGTGAGCTGAGATCGTGCCACTGCACTCCAGCCTGGGCAACACAGTGAGACCATGTCTCAAGAAAAAAAAAAAAGGAGGCTAAGTTAGTAAGGGCACAGTAAGCAGTAAAGAGCTGGGATCTGAAGCCTTGAAGTATGACGCCACATCTGATCAGTTATGTTCTTGGTTCTCAAGTTAGAATCTAGTGAGAGTTTTCTCCATTCTAGACCTCAGCAACCCAAACCTCGCTCCATCATAGAAAAGGATGACAGTGCCAGAAAATCTAAGACAATGCAAAGGTGTTTGAAATGGACATGCGCATATATGACAAAGTTTATTTCCTATTTCTTGATTCCTATTTTGGCCAGAAAACATGAATAGCACGCTCACGTTTGTCACTCTGAGTGGAGAACTAAGGGCCAGACGAGCAGAGGATGGCATCGTCCTGGACTTGCCTCTTTATCCAGCCCACCCCCAGGTCAGCTCTTTGTAATTATTGCCCTAAGCCATCTACAACCGACAGCTCTCCTGTTTTATAATAATTTTGTTTTTTTTCCCCCCATCTAGGACTTCCATGAAGTAGAGGACTTGATAAAGGTTGGTAAAAAGAATCAAACCTGAGCCTAGTTATTTGTTATTGTTTGCACACAAAGATTTGGTATCATTTGATCCACAAAGATAGGCATTTTACCAATATAAATGTTACAGTGTTTCAGGTTTGAATTTTAATATTCAGTCTATTTGGTGAGAAGGTTGACCAGTTTTCCTTGGCTCCTGATTGTCACTGCTGGCCCCCATGGTAGGATGGAGGGAAGAGACACTGTTATATGACAGGCTGAAAGGCACAAAAGAACCAATGGAGGTGGTAAAGAAGAGGGAGAATAGGATGTCTTAAGGAAATGTAAGTTTCTGGGAGGAGACCAGCCTTTAGGGAAATTAAGGGATGTTGAATTTCTGTGCTTCTCTAGCTAGAAGGAGAGGAATGGGCCCCGAGCATGGCTGTGCAAGTTCAGGTGTGAAAGTTGGGAATTTCTGGCAGAAAGAGGTCATTCCATAAAATCCATACACACAAGATGGAGGGAAAAAATGGAACCTTCCTGGCAGCTGTCAGTGTCCCCAGTTTCTGTAGTAAAGGATGGGACTGAGGTGGGGGAGGGCTGTGCTTTGATAGAGGAAACCAAGAAAGCATGAGTACCTTGCAGATAAGACAAGATACAGAACATGGGCTCCTCATGGGGTCTGTGTGGGCATGGGGCTTAATAATATTAATGATGATGAAACATTTTGAGAGTCTCTCTGTGTGCAGTGCCACATGCTGAGCATTTCACTTGCATTGTCCATTTAATTCTCAATGTTTCTCAGTAAGGTAGGCACTGCAGTTGTCCCATGAAGGTTCTGCAGGGCCAGAGCAGCCCTGGATGACCAGGGGCTTGGTGTGTAGAGAAGAGAGGGCCCAGGTCAGGACCAGGGCAAGGGCTGTCATGAGAAAAATGATTCTGTAGCTTAGTCTATTGTGAGTACTACTTGGGTATTTCTCAGTGAATTTTTAACTACAGCATTTGTAGTCTCTAGTATTTGGCTTTATCTGTGTTTTCAAAGAATATAAACAAATAAGCATGATGGATTCTGATTTTATACTCAACCCCATCCATGGCTTGGGTTTTGGAGACAAGCCAAATTTAAAAACAAACTGCTTTAAACATACTGGTAAGAAAGTGGAAAAAACTTATAATGGTAGACCTTGTTCATGGTAGAAAGAACTCAACTTAGTCTCAGGGTCAGCATTTATTAAATGGGATAACAAAGGGTTGTAAGTATTGCCATTTTGTGTTCTTCCCTAGAAACTGGCAGTAAGATTCCCAGCCAAGAATTAAACCTTTTTTTTTATTTGAGACGGAGTTTGCTCTTGTTGCCCAGGTTGGAGTGCAATGGTGTGATCTTGGCTCACCACAACCTTCACCTCCTGGGTTCTAGCAATTCTCCTGCCTCAGCCTCGCAAGTAGCTGAGATTACAGGCATGCGCCACCATGCCTGGCTAATTTTGTATTTTTAGTGGAGACGGGGTGTCTCCATGTTGGTCAGGCTGGTCTCGAACTCCTGAGCTCAGGTGATCCGCCTGCCTCGGCCTCCCAAAGAGCTGGGATTACAGGTGTGAGCCACCGCGCCCACCCCTGAACTTTTAAATCAATGTACAAACTCATGCAGATAAGGGCTGGGTTCGAGAGACTAAGGCTCTGGAGAACAGATGGGATCCGGCTGTAGGAGTTCCCATTTCTTGAGGAAGTTACATTGGTCAGCCCATAGTCACAGAGGCAGAAAGCCCAAGTACCACCCAAGGCAGAAGGAATTCTGGATGTGGGAACTGGAGTATCTTGGCCTCTAACAAGGATTAGAGAACCTGAAGCCACCTAGTGACTGCCATACAATTACCATGTAATTACCATCTGCTGGGCCTGGCAGCTGGGGCTGGTGCCAAAGGATGACTTGGTGGTGTGGGAAGGGGTTGTCTCCTCATAATCCCCCTCTGCCCCAAGCCACCCTCAAACAAACATACAAACAAATGATGTTCCTGGATTTCAGCAAGATTATGTGCAGTCAGGTAGAGTGAACCAGGGTATCTTGAGAACATGTTATGTTATTGATCTGTCACATACAATCTGAGTGAAAGTGGTGTGCTTGCCAAGCAGAGCAGCACAGGACGAGCCCTCTAGTCCCTCCTTCCAATCAAGCTGCTAGCCCTGAGTGCTTGCCGTGTGGAACGTTCTAATTGCTGCTGCAGATACTCCACATATACGATTTTATTTAATCCTCACAGCTCTAAGAGGTGGACATGAGGCCCCTCCATCTCTAAAGATGATGGACAGTAGGGATTTAGAGCTTTTTCTCTGACCTTCTCAGACCTGGGTCAAGATATGTGTGTGTGTGTGTGTGTGTGTGTGTGTGATCTTTGGCCTTTCTAAGTCTCTTTCTCCTTCTCTGTGGGGAGAATACCTACTTGAAGGAGTTGTGCATTGAGGCACATAGTAGGCACTTGTGAGAATGCCTATGTTTTTTTTCTTTTTTGAGACAGAGTCTCATTCTGTCTCTCAGGCTGGAGTGCAGTGGTGCGATCTCGGCCAAGTGATTCTTGGCTCACAAGTGATTCTTGGTTCACCAGGTTCAAGTGATTCTCTTGCCTCAGCCTCCCGAGTAGCTGAGATTACAGGAGTGCACCACCATGCCCGACTAATTTTTGTATTTTAGTAGAGATGGGGTTTTGCCATGCTGGCCAGCCTGGTCTCGAGCTCCTGACCTCAGGTGATCCACCTACCTCAGCCTCCCAAAGTGCTGGGATTACAGGTGTGAGCCACTGCACCTGGCCACAATGCCTGTTTTGAGGCTCACAGAGGCCTCTTTGGTAGCCAGGAGACTGACCATCCTTGGGCAACACCTTAAGCTCTGAAACTGCACTAACACTCTTGGGGACTGGAGACGATGGGCATGCTTGGCTCACAGTGGATGCTCAATGAGAGGTCATTTCCCATTTCAGGGGATCAAGGACTTGGCCCAGGGCATGTCCCTGAGGAGTTTTTGGTCTGTCTCCACAGACTGCCATAGGCAACACACTGGTCCAGGACATCTGTTATTCTCCAGATACCCAAAAGCTCCTCGTCCGCCTCAGTGACGTTTACAACAGGTAAGATTTTTGGCTGCATCAGCACTTTGGGGAGGGCTGAGTACCCAGATTTATAGCTCTTCCTTAGTCTGGCTGTGCTGTGTCCAGTCAAACCATGATTTACGCAGCCAGAGTGTTTCTTTCCCTGATAGGAAGACATTCCCACTTGTTCTTCCTTCCCCTCCTGTTAAGCTCTTTGAGCAAGCTGCACCCTGGCCTGCTTCACAGAGTCTGTGTGGTGAGTGGGCTGTGAAATGGGTTTGTCCTAATCCATCTTGTTTATGAACAAGGTCGTTTCTGGAGAACCTGAAAGTGAACACGGAGAATCTGCTGCAAGTTGAAAACACAGGGAAGGTGAAAGGGCTTATTCTTACCCTTAAAGGAGAGCCTGGTGGGCAGACCCAAGCATTTGACTTTTACTCAAGATATTTTGCACCGTGGGTTGGTGTGGCTGAAGACCCAGTGACAGGTACTTTTTACTTGAGCCCAGGGGAGGGTTAAACAATGGAAGAGGAGGATCACAAATAGTTATTTAAGTGCACTTCCTGTGACCTTTCAGGTGGCTTGAGTTTTGAGCTGCCTTGTTCCTCTATCTTTCCCCATCCCTGCCATCCCTTCACTGAAGTCTTCCATGAAAAACATAAAATAGAGCAGGTGGATAACAGGGTTAAACCTGAGTGTCAGACAGCCTGGGTTTACATTCCTAGCTTCCTAGCTTTTGACCTTGGGCAAGTGACTTGACTTTTAAAAGTCTCAGTTCCCTCCTCTATAAATTGTATATAATACCTCATAGGGCTATAAAAGCACAATGCATGTTAAGGGCTTAATACAGTGCCTGGCACCTAGTAAGTGCCCAATAACTACTAGCTATTATATTGTATTATTATATCTTTTTGAGACATAGTCTCACTTCATCACCCAGGCTAGAACGGAGTGGCATGATCCCGGCTCACTGCAACCTCAGCCTCCCAGGTTCAAGTGATTCTCCTGCCTTGGCCTCCCCAGTAGCTGGAACTACAGGCGTCTGCCACTACACCCGGCTAATTTTTGTATTTTTACTAGAGATAGGATTTCATCATGTTGGCCAGGATGGTCCCAAACTCCTGACCTCAAATGATCCCTCCTCGGCCTCCCAAAGTGCTGGGATTACAGGCATGAGCCACTGCGCCTAGCTAACTACTAGCTATTTTAATAATAACAACAAAACTAGCTCCTTGAGCCAACACTTCTAGATTGTCCACCACCTGGGAGCAGAGGGATGAGTCAAAGGTGGGCAGAAATGTCATGACTCCTACTCTCCCTCTCTTTGGGAACAGTGGGCTGCACTGCAAAGGACGAGAATGCTTGATGTGGGAGGATGGTGGGTGGGATGGTGAAGGGGCCACAGGAGGCTGGGCAGACCCTTCAGGGCTCCTGTTCTGGTCAGATGGCAGGGCCTGGATGGCTCAGTTACTCTCTGAGTAACAAAACACGTGAAATTCAAAACTCAGCAAACAAGCACTTTTAAGACTCAGGAAAATGCCCAACCATATCCAGAGTGCAGCTTCCCCATGGAAGAAAAGTTCCAAGCAGATTGCACAAGCACAGCTGCTTCACAAAGATTTTAATTGGCACAGAGTGCAAGTTTGTTTGTTTGTTTGTTTGTTTGTTTTTCCCCGTAATGCTTTTCTAGAGTATAAAGGCCTTTGGACTTTGATAACCAACATCTGAGTTTGCTTGGGACTGAAGGGTTTCTCAGGGCTCAGAACTTTCAGTGCTAAAACCAGAACAGTCTCAGGCAAACCAGGCAGGATGGTTGGTTGCCTTACTTGAACATCCCATAACACTTTTTTTTTTTTTTTTTTGCCCAGGCTGGAGTGCAATGGCACGTTCTCAGCTCCCTGCAACCTCTATCTCCCAAGTTCAAGAGATTCTCCTGCCTCAGCCTTCCGAGTAGCTGGGATTACAGGCAACTGCCACCATGCCAGGCTAATTTTTTGTATTTTAAGTAGAGACAGGGTTTTGCCATGTTGGCCAGGCTGGTCTTGAACTCCTAGCCTCAGGTGATCCACCTGCCTCGGCCTCCCAAAGTGCTGGGACGCCCACCCCATAACACTTCATAGGTTTTCCCAAACGAGAGGCTTTTCCTCCCCATCTTTTTCTTCGCAAAATATTTTTCTGTCAGTTATTGCTGTATATTTTGTTATTTCATTTTAAAATCCAATCTCTGATCTAAATCTAGAGTACAAACGTGAAAAAATACCTCACTAAAAAAGAAGTTCTTTTGGTGCCAAAAGCTCAGGAATGTTAGCTTGGTGGAAGAGTTTGCCTTTTGGCCAGGTGCAGTGGCTCATGCCTATAATCCCAGCACTTTGGGAGACCGAGGTGGGAGGGTTGCATGAGGCCAGGAGTTTCAGACCAGCCTAAGCAACATAGGGAGACCACGTCTCTACAGAAAAATTTAAAAATAATAGTTAAAAGAAAAGAAAATTTAGCCTTTTTTCAGAGTTTCCACCTTTCTTTGCATATGCACTCTGGGAAGAAGGAGATACTTTCCCTGGAAAGATGTAGAAAGACTTATGCAAGGCTGGGCGCAGTGGCTCATGCCTGTAATCCCAGCCCTTTGAGAGGCTGAAATGGGTGCATCACTTGAAGTCAGGAGTTCAAGACCAGCCTGGCCAACATAGTAAAACCCTGTCTACACTAAAAATACAAAAATTAGCTGGGCCTGGTGGCTCATGCCTGTAATCCCAGCTACTCAGGAGGCTGAGACAGGAGAATCACTTTAACCCGGGAGGCAGAGGTTGTAGTGAGCCGAGATTGTGCCACTGCACTCCAGCCTGGGCGACAGAGCGAGACTCCGTCTCAAAAAAAAAAAAAAAAAAAAGAATTATTCAAAGGCCTTGATTCTCCTACCAAGGGCTAAGAATGAGCTGGTAGACAAGACAAGAATTAAAACCTGCAGTCTAATTCAGCCTTAGGAGACTGTAAGGACCAGTCACCGTGGCTCATACCTGTAATCCCAGCACTTTGGGAGGCTGAGGCAGGTGGATCTCTTGAGATCAGGAGTTCGAGACCAGGCTGGGCAACATGGTGAAACCCCATCTCTACAAAAAATACAAAAATTAGCCAGGCATGGTGACATGCACCTGTAGTTCCAGCTACTTGCGGGGGGCTGAGGTAGGAGGATGGCTTGAGAACGGGATGTCAAGACTGCAGTGAGCCATGATTGTGTCACTGCACTCCCAGCTGGACAACAGAGCAAGACTGTGTCTCAAAAAAATAAAAATAAAAATAAAATAAAATAAAAAGAAAAAAGGAAAGAAAAGAAAGTGTAAGACATATTTGATACATAATTTGGCCGAGTTTATCCATAAATTCTATGTCTTCCTTTTTATCTCCTTTCATAATTCTACACCCTGCTGTGGCCTGGCCAACATAATGATTTAGGTGATCTAGAGTTTATTCAAACTGGATAATTGATTGTAATTGCTTAGAAATTTACCACAAAATCGCCTCTGTTTTCTTGGGGATTGTCTCCTAACTTTTCACTTCTTTTGAGGGTCTGCACACGCTGTTCTCAGCAGCTACTGGTCCCAGCATCTGGGGAAGAAAGAAATGCATGGTAGGACAGCTCTTTACCAATTTCTTTTTTATTTGCCTAATTCGAAGCTAGTGTTCCTTCTCATATGTACTATCCCCTTGAAAATGTAATACAATGTCATGTATCACCCATGTGAAAATGAAAGGTTTTAAAATTCCTTCACCCTTAAAGATCCTCCACCCCAAACAGCCTTCACCTCTGCCTCCCCCAACATACAGAGACTGTACAGACACAGATACAGTAACTGCCCAATAAGTGTTTGTTGAATAAAATAGCTGTATAACTTTGGCCCAGAGAGGTTATTTATAATGTGATGGGTTGAGACTGGATGATGACCAAGGTTCCTTACTGCTATTGCTAGTCACAGGATTGAATCAAACAAATTACTTTGGAACCAAGTCCCCTAGTGATTAATGTATTGCTTAGAGGCAGAGAAAAATGATGGCAGCCAATGGAGGCTGCACTGCCCTGATCATCCAAGGAGGAGTCTGTGACCCTGATTTGGAGAGAGCAAGGTGGCTATTCATTTTCCTTGGCGAGTCTAATTATTCTCCTAAGTACTGAGCTCCTGGAAGGCTGAGGCTATGCCTCTTTTGTCTGCCTGGAACACGTGGTTGCTTGAATATGTTATGAGTGAATGAACTCCCTCTGTCCTATTCAGAGCTGAGAAGATGGGGGCCTTCTCAAGAGGGCTGAGACCACCCTTCTTCATCTTCCTAGAGTTATAGGCCTGCCTCTATTGTTTCAAACATCTTTGCTTACTCCTAGAGAGAGCAGGGGAAGAAGCGATGAGTGGGGTGTGTCTGGGCCATTACAGGAATTAGTGAAGGAGATGGCCCAGGAAAAGGCTCAGGAAGGGAGTATGTGGAGCTGTGTGTTCTGTAGATCAAATTGAGTTTGTGGCTTTCTCAGTCTGCAGGAGAATGGGGATGGGAGTGGGCAGTACCATAAACAGACGAAGGAATTTATTCTTGAAACTGATCTGGGAGGACTCTAAGATTTGTAATAAGTCTTTCACTATGCTTTGTTAATTTAAAAGGGTGAAAATACTCTTAATTTGACCTGTTTGTTTTCTTTAGCTTTTCAGTGTTCCCACCGAGGAGGAGAGCTGGGAATTTCCCTTCGTCCAGACGGAAGGGTTGACATTAGAGGAGGTGCAGCTGTTGTTTTAGAGGGCACACTGACAGCCTAGAGGTGGTTATGCTGTGACGCTGCTGTCTCTAACCACCAAGTATTTTCTGCTTAAAAAGAAATGTAAGGGGCTGCCTTTAGCAAATGTGCGTAGTAGTCTACTTAATCCTCATGTTAAAAATCGAAAAATGGGCCAGGCGCAGTGGCTCATGCCTGTAATCGTAGCACTTTGAGAGGCCAAGGTGGGTGGATCACCTGAGGTCAGGGGTTCGACACCAGCCTGGCCAACATGGTGAAACCTCGTCTCTACTACAAATACAAAAATTAGCTGGGTGTGGTGCCACATGCCTGTAATTCCAGCTACTTGGGAGGCTGAGGCATGGAGAATCGCTTGAACCCAGGAGGCAGAAGTTGCAGTGAGCAGAGATCACACCACTGCACTCCAGCCTGGGCAACAGAGTAAGACTCCATCCACACACACACACACACACACAAAATTGAAAAGTGAAGACATTTTAATGGAGATTTAATAGTGCTTCCAGACTAATGAACTAATGGAGTTTTGGCTCCACTCATGAGTGTATTTGAAATGTAAGTAACCAGCTACAAAGAATAATGTCACTTCATTTGATTATGACTACCAATCAAGAGAAGGAGGAATACATTTCTGAGGAGTGATACTAAACCATTTGAGCTTAAATGAGTACCTGATTTTGCAGCCATTAAAATGAGTCAATAACTATGTGGAAATATAGAAAAATATTTTATAATATAATACTAAGAAAGAGGACAGTAGGCCATAAAGTGTTAGCAGTGTTATGCTATGTCTATATAAATAAGCATGGGCCATTAAAAATAGCAAACTGAAAACAGTTCATGTGTGGGGGGCAAGTTTAGAAGTAATTTTAATGTATCTAAGAAGTGATTTCCTTTATTGTTGTACTCAGGTACGAAGACTAAAAATCAGGATGAATCCAGAAAATTAACACAAAAAAGTATGTATTAGGCTACTTCCTGTCATAGTGAAATTAAACACTCAAAGTAATGTAATCTCAGCTGGGCGTGGCGGCTCATGCCTGTAATCCCAGCACTTTGGCAGGACAAGGCAGGAGGATCACTTGAACCTAGGAGTTCGAGACCAGCCTGGGCAACACAGCGAGAACTTGTCTCTATTAAAAAAAAAAAAAGGAATGTAATTTCAATCTTTTTCTTGATATATGGCTTGAGAATGATAATGTAAAAGGAATTCTTCTCTTACTTCAATAAAATGGGTTTTAACATAACTTTAAATTCAGTTAAATATACAATATTGAATACCTATAGTTGACTTTGGGATGGGGACTTTTTCAAGTCATTAAGAGTGTTTGTTTAAGGTGATCTCATTGATGGTAGTTCTCAGCCGTCTCAAAAACTGCAAGCTAATCAGTCAGACATTCTTTAATGACCCCAATTTTTTCACTTTAATTGTTACCATGTTTTCTATTTTTACTGATTTTTGCTAAAGCATGTAAGAGTGAATTTATTATAGCAGTAATCTTGTGTTTCTCCTGATGTGCAATAAATCAATAATTCACCAGCTTTAATGCCTTAACTTACTGAGTAACCAGTGCCCCACCGCCCCCCAGAAGACCTCACAACTCATCACAACACACCCACGGGTCATGATACCAAGGGCGAGAATCACCAGAGGGTTTTCCCCCAATTTTGGATTTTCCAAACCTGAGACTGAACTATATGAATAAGTTTATATAAATGTACAGTTGAGAGGGCCTGAATTTGATCAGATCTGAATCTGATCTTTCAAATGTATGCTAAATTCTTTTTTTTTTTTGAGACAGAGTCTTGCTCTGTCGCCCAGGCTGGTGCCATCTTGGCTCACTGCAACCTCCGCCTTCCAGGTTCAAATGATTCTCATGACACAGCCTCCAAAGTAGCTGGGATTACAGGTGCTCACCACCATGCCTGGCTAATTTTTGTATTTTTAGTAGAGATGGGATTTCACCATGTTGGCCAGGCTGGTCTCAAACTCCTGGCCTCAAGTGATCCACCTGTTGTGGCCTCCCAAAGTGCTAGGACTATAGGCGTGAGCCACTGTGCCTGGTGGTGCTATATTCTTAATAGATATTTTTGGGAAAGAAGTCTCTGACATAACTCTGGATTCCTTTTCACATGAAAGTTGTTATTTGTAGCACCTGACTTGACTTTTCATCCTATATATATATATATATTTTTTTTTTTTGAGATGGAGTCTCGCTCTGTCGTCCAGGCTGGAGTGCAGTGGTGCGATCTCGGCTCACTGCAAGCTCCACCTCCCAGGTTCATGCCATTCTCCTGCCTCAGCCTCCCGAGTAGCTGGGACTACAGGTGCCCGCCACCACGCCCGGCTAATTATTTGTATTTTTAGTAGAGACGGGGTTCCACCGTGCTAGCCGGGATGGTCTCGATCTCCTGACCTCGTGATCCGCCTACCTCGGCCTCCCAAAGTGCTGGGATTACAGGCGTGAGCCACCGCGCCTGGCCTCATCCTATATTTTCAAACCACATATTCACTTGTGTGATTTTTGTTTGAAATTGTCCAATGGATAGTTGAGTCCAAATAGTCAGAATACTGATTATGTTTTTTTCCATACATAGGCTGTTTATGTAAGAACACTGATTATGTTTACTGTGTTTCCTCAGCCTGCTGAAAATGGACTCAGGGGCTGCAGTGCACATGTGTGTGGGAAGTAGCCACCAGAGAAGCAGGGACTGGGACAGGACAAGCACACCTGAATAAACAAAACATCTATTTATCTTTATATAAATATGCCTACATTTATATAAAAATAAACATATTTAAACACTAAGGCCAGGCGTGGTGGCTCATGCCTGTAATCCTAGCATTTTGAGAGGCCAAGGTGGGTGGATCACTTGAGGTCAGGAGTTTGAGACCAGCCTGGCTAACATGGTGAAACCCCATCTCTATTAAAAATACAAAAATTAGCTGGGTGCGGTGGCAGGTGCCTGTAATCCCAGCTACTCAGGAGGCTGAGGCAGGAGAATCACTTGAACCCAGGAGGCAGAAGTTTTAGCGAGCCAAGATTGCACCCTGCACTCCAGCCTGGGCGACAGAGCGAGACTGTCTAAAAATAAATAAATAAACAGTAAAATCACATTTGGTCTTGACTGTGCATGTGTAGTCAAATTCTACTAAATTAAATACAGTATGATGGGATTTTAATTCACCAAGTGGGGAAGCTTATCATGTCTTGATGACGTCTACAATTTAAGTCCATTTTGCCATTTTGCTGACTCTTCTTATTTTGGCTTCTTTGTCACTATGCAGCTTTTTAATGTTTGTTTGTTTCTTTGTTTTTAAGAGAAAAGGTCTTGCTCTTTTGCCCTTGCTTGTTGCCCAGGCTGGAGTGCAGTGGGGTGATCATAGCTCATCGCAGCCTCAAACTCCTGGGCTCAAGTGATCCTCCCACCCCAGCCTCCTGAGTAGCTAGGACTACAGGCATGTGCCTCCATGCCCAGCTAATTTTTGAATTTTTTGTAGAGACAGGGTCCTGTTATGTTGCCCAGGGTGGTCTTGAACTCTTGGCTTCAAGTGATCCTCCTGCCTTGGCCTCCCAAATCATTGGCATTACAGGCATGAGCCACTGTGCCTGGCCAGCTTTTCATGTTTTTATACAAATATAAAAAGTGACATCTCTGGGTAGCAAGAGCAAAGAGCCTCTAGGGTATACGCTGTACAGTGAGTTATCTGCTGATATGAGCAGGGCAGGTTTGAGAGCCCTACTTCCAGATAGGTTTGTTCCTGCCTCTTCCACCTCTGCCCACCTCTTGCCTACCTGATCTTACTGAGAATGGCCAGAGGTGAGTGCAGAGGGAGCTATGTTTCTGCTTGTATTAGTCCATTTTCACGCTGCTGATAAAGACATACCTGAGACTAGGTAATTTATTTATTTATTTATTTTTTCTTATTTATTTATTTATTGATCATTCTTGGGTGTTTCTCGCAGAGGGGGATTTGGCAGGGTCATAGGACAATAGTGGAGGGAAGATCAGCAGATAAACAAGTAAACAAAGCTCTCTGGTTTTCCTAGGCAGAGGACCCTGGGGCCTTCCACAGTGTTTGTGTCCCTGGGTACTTGAGATTAAGGAGTGGTGATGACTCTTAACGAGCATGCTGCCTTCAAGCATCTGTTTAACAAAGCACATCTTGCACCGCCCTTAATCCATTTAACCCTAAGTGGACACAGCACATGTTTCAGAGAGCACCGGGTTGGGGGTAAGGTCATAGATAACAGCATCCCAAGGCAGAAGAATTTTTCTTAGTACAGAACAAAATGGAGTCCCCTATGTCTACTTCTTTCTACACAGACACAGCATCAATCTGATTTCTCTATCTTTTCCCCACATTTCCCCCTTTTCTATTCAACAAAACTGCCATCGTCATCATGGCCCGTTCTCAATGAGCTGTTGGGTACACCTCCCAGACGGGGTGGCGGCCGGGCAGAGGCACCCCCCACCTCCCTCCCGGACGGGGCGGCTGGCCGGGCGGGGGCTGTCCCCCCACCTCCCTCCCGGACGGGGCGGCTGCCGGGCGGAGACGCTCCTCACTTCCCAGACGGGGTGGCTGCCGGCCGGAGGGGCTCCTCACTTCTCAGACAGGGCGGCCGGGCAGAGACGCTCCTCACCTCCCAGACGGGGTCGCAGCCGGGCAGAGGCGCTCCTCACATCCCAGACGGGGTGGCGGGGCAGAGGTGCACCCCACATCTCAGACGATGGGCGGCCGGGCAGAGATGCTCCTCACTTCTTTCCAGACGGGGTGGCGGCCGGGCAGGGGCTGCAATCTCGGCACTTTGGGAGGCCAAGGCAGGCGGCTGGGAGATGGAGGTTGTAGTGAGCCAAGATCACGCCACTGCACTCCAGCCTCTGCTTTTCCTCAGTTCCAGCTTCTTTCTCTTTCATGGTACCTCAGTTGCTTCTACTTTATTGGATAGTGTTGGAGATCATGGAGGGAAGGCAAATATACGCGCGGCCGAGCCGAGGCGAATCCGGAGCGCGAATCCGGGGCTCAGGCCCATGGCCCCGCGGCGGTCCGGGAGGTCGGGGTGGGCGGTGGCGGCTGCGACCGCGGGGCCAGGCCTCCTCCCCTCTTCCGCCGCACCCCTCCCCCGCCGCACCCCTCCCCCGCCGCCGCTGCTGCCGCCACCACCCCGGCTGGAGAGCGCTGGGCGCGAGCTGCGTGCGCCGAGACTAGGTAATTTATAAAGAAAAAGAGTTTAGTGGACTCACAGTTTCACATGGCTGGGGAGGCCTCATGATCATGGCGAAGGTGAAAGGCATGTCTTACGTGGTGGCAGGCAAGAGAGAATGAGAGCCAAGCAAAAGGGAGAAACCCCTTATAAAACCAGCAGATCTTGTAAGACTTATTCAATACCACAAGAACAGTATGGGGGAAACTGCCCCCATGATTCAATTATCTCCCACCACCAGGTTCCTCCTATAACATGTGGGAATTATGGGAGCTACAATTCAAGGTGAGATTTGGGTGGGGACACAGGCAAACCATATAATTCCCTTCTTGGTCCCTCCCAAATCTTATGTTTTCACATTTCAAAACCAATCATGCCTTCCCAACAATCTCCCAAAGTTTTAACTCATTTCAGCATTAACTCAAAAGTCCACAGTCCAAAGTCTCATCTGAGACAAGTCAAGTCCCTTCCACTTATGAGCCTGTAAAATCAAAAGCAAGTTAGTTACTTCCTACATACGATGGAGGTGCAGGCATTGGGTGAATACAACTGTTCCAAATGGGAGAAATTGGCCAAAACAAAGTGGTTACATACAGGCCCCATGCAAATCTGAAATCCACTGGGGCAGTCAAATCTTAAAGCTCCAAAATGATATCTTTTGACTCCATGTCTCAATCCAGGCCACGCTGATGCAACAGATGGGCTTCCACAGCCTTGGGCAGCTCTACCCCTGTGGCTTTGCAGGGTATAGCCCCCCTTATGGCTGCTTTCACAGGCTGATGTTGAGTGTTTGTGGATTTTCCAGGTGCATGGTGCAAGCTGTTGGTTGATCTACCATTATGGGGTCTGGAGGACAGTGGCCCTCCTCTCATAGCTCCACTAGGCAGTGCCCCAGTGGGGACTCTTTGTGGGGGCTTGCACCCCACATTTCCCTTCCGCACTGCCTTAGCAGAGGTTCTCCATGAGGGCTCCATCCCTGCAGCACACTTCTGCCTGGACAACCAGGCATTTCCATACATCCTCTGAAATCTAGGCAGAGGTTCCCAAACCTCAGTTCTTGACTTCTGTGCTCCCGCAGGCTCAACACCATGTGGAAGCTGCCAAGGCTTGGGACTTGCACACTCTGAAGCAATGGCCTGAGCTATACCTTGGCCCCTTTTAGCCATGGCTAGAGCAGCTGGGATGTGGGGCACCAAGTCCCTAGGTTGCACACAGCAGGAGGGTCCTGGACCTGGCCCACAAAACCATTTTTTTTCCTAGGACTTTGGGCCTATAGTGGGAGGGGCTGCCACAAAGATCTCTGACATGCCCTGGAGGCATTTTTCCCATTGTGTTGGTGATAAACATTTGTCTACTTGTTATTTATGCAAATTTCTGCAGCTGGCTTGAATTTCTCCTCAGAAAATGGGTTTTTCTTTTCTATCGCATCCTCAGACTGCAAATTTTTTGAACTTTTATGCTTTGTTTCCCTTTTAAAACTGAATGCTTTTAACAGCACCCAAGTCACATCTTGAATGCTTTGCTGCTTAGAAATTGTTTTGGCCAGATACTCTAAATCATCTCCTTCAAGTTAAAAGTTCCATAGATCTCTAGGGCAGGGGCAAAATGCTGCCATTCTCTTTGCTAAAATATAGCAAGAGTCACCTTTACTCCAGTTCCCAACAAGTTCCTCATTCCCATCTGAGACCACCTCAGCCTGGATTTCATTGTCCATATCATTATCAGCATTTTGGTCAAAGCTGTTCAACAAATCTGTAGGAAGTTCCAAACTTTCCACATTTTCCTATCTTCTTTTGAGCCCTCCAAACTGTTCCAACCTCTGCCTGTTACCCAGTTTCAAAGTTGCTTCCACATTATTGGGTATCTTTACAGCAGTGCCCCACTCCCAGTACCAATTTACTGTATTAGTCCATTTTCATGCTGCTGATAAAGGCATACCTGAGACTGGATAATTTATAAAGAAAAAGAGGTTTAATGGACTCAGTTCCATATGGCTGGGGAGGCCTCACAATTATGGCAGAAGGTGAAAGGCATGTCTTACATGGTGGCAGGCAAGAGTGAATGAGAGCCAAGCAAAAGGAGAAACCCCTTATAAAACCAGCAGATCTCATGAGACTTATTCACTATCATGAGAACAGTATGGGGGAAACCGCCCCCATGATTCAATTATCTCCCACCAGGTCCCTCACGCAAGTTGTGGGAATTATGGGAGCTACAATTCAAGATGAGATTTGGGTGGGGACACAGCCAAACCATATCACTGCTTTCAAGTTTAATGTTGCTATTGGTTGAAAAGAGTGCTCCCAGTAAAGTTGGCATCCCATCTCTGGTGTATTGAATTAGACTAGGTTATGCTAAAGCACAAAATATCTACAAAATCACAGTGGCTTAAAATAACAAACATTTTATTTGACCTCAGTGTCTAGTACAGGCCAGGAGGGGTACTGTTCCTTGTGATCATGCAGTGGCTCAGGCTGATTTTTCATTCTGCCATCTCAACATGTGGTCTCTGTGGTTGTGGCAGCAGGAGGAAAGAGTGTATGGACACCTTCCTGTGCTTTGGCTCAGAAGTGATAGGTGTCAATTCTGTTCACAGCCTTTGGCCAGAACTGGTCACATATCTCCATCTAACAGCCAAAGAGCTGAGAAATGTGAGAGCTCATGGATCTATTCTGTGTACAGTAAATGTAATTGCTGTGCCTGGGGAAGGTTTTCAGGCCACTCAGATGGTTCCCTCTAGGATGACATTACATGGGTAAACTTATCACAGCCCAGGGGATTAGGGGTACAGTCTCAAAAGCCCTATTATGTAAGTGCACCAAGAATAAATCTATCTTTCAGGGGCAGACTCACATTAACCTAGCACATAGAGACTGACGTATAAAGCCAAAACACCAATTTGTTATTTTACAATGAGAAATATAACCACAGAATAGATTAGATCAGAGCATTTTCTCTGATCTAACCTATTCTCTGATTTCCCAAACAGCATTTGCATATCTGTTTGGGAAACCAAATTGTAATCAGAAAGCTCCTTGGTGACCAGGGAGCCAAAACAAGGAGAGTCAGCAAAATGGACTTAAATGGCAGATGTCATCAAAACATGATAAGCTTCCCCACTTTGACAACACAATAGAATCCTATCATATTGCACTTACTTTAGTCAAATTTGACTACATGTGCTCAGGTCAAGGCCACATGTGCTTTTAGTGTTGATTGATTGATTGAGATAGGGTCTTTCTCTGTCACCCAAGCTGAAGTGCAGTGGCGTGATCATAGCTCATTGCAGCCTTGACTTCTTGAGCTCAAGCCATCCTCCCACCCCAGCCTCCTGAGTAGTTAGGACCACAGGCATGTGCCACAACTCCTGGCTAATTTTTTGATTTTTTATAGAGATGAGGTCTCACTATGTTGCCCAGGCTGGTCTCAAACTCCTGGGCACAAGTGACCTTCCTGCCTTGGCCTCCCAAAATGCTGAGATTATAGGTGTAAGCCACCACACTTGGCCTAAATATATTTATTTTTGGTACAACTATGGTCCCTAGTTCAAGCAAACATCTTTGTCGGACACTCAACAAAACAGTGATTTGTTCTAGCACTGTAGGAAAAAACTGGTAGTGCTATGCTTGTGAACTGGTGTGTCTGTCAACTATGCTTTACAGGTTATTAATGGGATTTTCTTTCTTTCTTTTTTTTTTTGAGACAAAGTCTCGCTCTGTCGCCCAGGCTGGAGTGCAATGTCGTGGTATTGGCTCACTGCAACCTCTGCCTCATGGTTTCAAGTGATTCTCTTGCCTCAGCCTCCTGAGTTGCTGGGACTACAGGCGCCTGCCACCACACCTGGCTGATTTTTGTATTTTTAGTAGAAACAGAGTTTCGCCATATTGGCCAGGCTGGTGTCGAACTCCTGACCTCAAAAGATCTGCCTGCCTTGGCCTCCCAAAGTATTGGGATTACAGGTGTGAGCCACCACACCCGGCCTATTTGTGGGATTTTCAAGGATAATCTTGGAAAACTTAATTTTTGCCTTATGCGCTATGGTAGCCTGCCTCCAAAATGGTTTCCAATGATCCCCATCTTCTGCTATCAGGCCCTTAGGCAGTCCCCTCCCACATTGCACCATGATTGGTCTGTGAGACCAGTGGAATATCCAGAGGTAATGCAGTTAGGTTATAAAAGGCTGCATCTTCTGTTTTGGTCAGTTTCTGTCCGTCTACCTCCCTCTCTTGAATCCCTTGCCCTGTGGGAAGCCAGCTGCCTCATCATGAGCAGCCTTAAGAAGAAGCCCACGCAGCAATGAACTGAGGCCTTTGACCAACAGCCACATAAATGAGCTTGGAAGTGGACCTTCCCGCTCCGGTCATCCTCAGATGATGCCATCCTGCTGACACCTTGACAGTAGCCTTGTGAGAAACCCTGAACCAGAGGTACCCAGCTATGCTACTCCAGATTGTTAACCCACAGAGACTGAGATAATAAACGTTTGTAGTTTTAAGTAGCTAAATTTGATGTAATTTGTTTTGCAGCAAAAGAAAATGAATGCACATGGTGTCTTTATCTTTTATTTTTATTTACTTTTTTGAGACAGAATTTCGCTCTTGTTGCCCAGGCTGGAGTGCAATGGCACAATCTTGGCTCACCGCAACCTCCGCCTCCTGGGTTCAAGTAATTCTCCTGCCTCAGCCTCCCAAGTAGCTGGGATTACAAGCACGTACCACCACACCTGGCTAATTTTGTATTTTTTAGTAGAGACGGGGTTTCCCGATGTTAGTCAGGCTGGTCTTGAACTCCTGACCTCAAGTGATCCACCTGCCTCAGCCTCCCAAAGTTCTGGGATTACAGGTGTAAGCCACTGTGCCCAGCCTTTTATGTTCTTTTTTAGAGATAGTCTTGCTCTGTCTTTATCTTTTTAATTTTATTATGAAAATTTCAAACATATTCAAAGGTATAGAATAGTGTGATGAGCCCCCATGAACCTATCCCTCAGGTTCAGCAGTTTTAGTGCATGGCCAATCATCTATACCCCACTTCAGAGCCCACTTCTTTTCTCCCTTGGATTATTTTGAAGAAATCATACACTCTCATCAGCAAATATTTAAGTATTTATCTTTTAAATATAAGTACTCTTAAAAAAAAGTAACCTTAACACTAATATCACTTCTGTGATAGACAGACCATTAAGGTGGTCTGGTGTTCAAGCACTTATGTGATCACCTCCCCTTGAGAGTGACTTGCTTATAACCAATAAGTACAACAAAGATGATGAAATGTATGTGATTACATATATGTATTGCATGGTTATGTTATATAAGATTGTAGCATGGTCTTGTTGGAGACTCCCTCTCCCTTGCTGGCTATGAGGATGCAAGGTACCATGTTGGGGAATATAAACCAAAAACTATCTGAGACATGTCTCAATCAATTTAGAAAACTTATTTTGCCAAAGTTAAGGACATGCCTGTGACAGCCTCAGGGTGTCCTGATGACATGTGCCAAGGTGGTCCAGCTACAGCTTGGTTTTGTACATTTTAGAGAAGACATAAGGCATCAATCAATCAATACATGTAAGATGTTCATTGATTCGGTCTGGAAAGGTGAGACAACTGGGAACAGGGGCTTCCAGGTCATAGGTGGATTCAAAGATGTTCTGATTGGCAATTGGTTGAAAGGGTTATTATCAATAGAAAGGAATGTCTGGGTTATGATAATGGGTTGTGGAGACCAAGGTTTTTTTTTTTTTTTTTTTTTTAATTTTAAGTTTCGGGATACATGTGCAGAATGTGCAGGTTTGTTACATAGGTATACATGGGCCATGGTGGTTTGTTGCACCTATCAACAATCTAGGTTTTAAGCCCTGCATGCATTAGGTATTTGTCCTAATGCTCTCCCTCTTCTTGCCAAAGTTTTATCATGCAGTTGAAGCCTCCAGGAGCAGGCTGGAGAGAGAAAGATTGTAAATGTTTCTTATCAGACTTAGAGTCTGTTCTATCAGTAATGCCAAAAGGGAGGAGGGTATAACAAGTCATGTCCCCTTCCCATCATGGCCTGAGCTAGTTTTTCAGGTTAAGTTTGGAATGCCCTTGCCAAGAAGAGGGGTCCATTCAGATGGCTGAGGGGCTTAGAATTTTATTTTTGGTTTACAGCAACCCAAAAGGAACTCAGGGTGGTCTCTAAAAGCTGAGGGCAGCCTGTAGCCAATAGCCAGCAGGAAAATGAAGCTCTCGGTCCTATGAAAGCAAGGACCTGAATTTTGCCAACAACCTGGATAAATTTGGAAGCAGATCTTTCCCCAGTTGAGCATTCTTATGAGACTGAGACCCCAACCCTCGCTAACACCTTGATTGCAGCTTTGAAGAGAACTCAGTTGTGCCTGGACTTCTGATCCACAGAAACTGTGAAATAATAGATGTGTGTTGTTTTCAGCTACTAAGTTTGTGGTAATATTGGTGCAGCAATAGAAAACTACTATCCAAAACATTAGCAACAATTACTTAATATTATTGAATATCCAGTTAATGTTCCCATTCCCTGATTGCCTTATATATTTTTTTTCACAGTTTTGTTTGTTTGTGTTTTTTTTTCTTTTTGAGACAGAGTCTGACTCTGTCAGCCAGGCTGGAGTGCAGTGGCATGATCTCGCCTCACTGCAACTTCCACCTCCCAGATTCAAGTGATTCTCTTGCTTCAGCCTCCCAAGTAACTGGGACTGCAGGCATGCGCCATCACGCCTGGATAATTATTATTATTATTTTTTTTTTTGAGACGGAGTTTCGCTCTGTTGCCAGGCTGGAGTACAGTGGCCCGATCTCAGCCCACTGCAACCTCCGCCTCCTGGGTTCAAGCGATTCTCCTGCCTCAGCCTCCCAAGTAGCTGGGACTACAGGCGTGTGCCACCACACCTGGCTAATTTTTGTATTTTTAGTAGAGATGGGGTCTCACCATGTTGGCCAGGCTGGTCTCAAACTCCTGACCTCAAGTCATCTGCCTGCCTTGGCCTCCCAAAGTGCTGAGATTACAGACATGAGCCACCACGCCCGAGTTTTTCACAGTTTTTCTAAGACATGCTGACTTTAGCCTGCACTTCATGAGATGTGAGTCTACTGTATGTAACCTGCCTCATAGCACAGTCTGGATTCTTGTTTCCATGCCTTAGCCTTTCTCTCAGATAAGACCTGCCTGGGCCCTGCCAAAGCGTGACTCCCTGAGCAAGCTTTTCCAGAGCTTCCATGCTAACCAGTGCTGTCTTTCCACGTGGATCAGATTATAGTCAAGCCATTCTGTTCCTTTAATGTTGCTAGACATTGCCCAATGTCCCAGGGAGGTGGTTGCCAAGGGGAAAATCCATTATTCTGCTGAGAACCACTGCTTTAAGTTTATCTGTCTTTTTTTTCTTTCATTCTTTTGTTTGTTTTGTGGCTTAACTCTCAGAGGGTGAATTGTTTTCCTCTTTCCAAGTTCTCTTCAGGAGGGGAATCCCCCCGCTGTCCATCCCTGTATCCTGCGAGTTAGGTACCCAGCTGGGATCTGATTTCACAGCCTGGGGTCAGATGTGTTGTAAAGCAATCTTACATGGTTGGTAAAAAGCAATGTAAGACACTCTGCTAGAAGTTGGCAGGGCAGAGAGCTGGGGGGCAGGCGGCAAACATGATTAGAGAGGGAGCTTACCCGGCTCTCAAGGGACTCATGCTAACTGTGGAGACCAGGCTCATCCTTTTATGAAAAGATAATGAGCTCTTGTGTGGGTCTGTGATTAAGGCCTACATATGGCACAGACACCAAGGGCGATAGCAGGGGAGTATTGAAGAAAAGGGCTTAGAAATATCAGGGTATGAGCAAAGACTCAGAGATGAACGCTCAGGGCATGTGTGGGTTTTGTCTAGGGTTTCTACATCTAGAAAGTAGTTGTTAGGTTCTGGGGGCACACAGAAAGAAATTAAAAAAACAGCAATTTTTAAACTAACATTCCAGTTGAATAGATAACATGTAAACACAAGGACAGATAAACAATACTGAAAGTTATTCTTACTGGTGTTTTATTTTGGAAACTATTAAAATCTATAAAAAGGACTTAGAAATCATAGCAATGGTGAGTCATTCCCAGTATATGAGTAAAGGTAGAACCGTGGTTCTCTGACAATCAGCATCAGCACCACCTGGGAGCTTGTTAGAAATGCACATTCACGGCTGGGTGTGGTGGCTCATGCCTATAATTCCAGCACTTTGAGAGTCCGAGGCATGCAGGTCACCTGAGATCAGGAGTTCGAGACCAGCCTGGCCAACATGGTGAAACCCCCATCTCTACGAAAAATATAAAAGTTAGCTGGGCATGGTGGCACGCACCTGTAATCCCAGCTACTCGGGGGGCTGAGGCAGGAGAATCACTTGAACCCAGAAGGCAGAGGTTGCAGTGAGCCGAGATTGCGCCACTGCACTCCAGCCTGGGTGACAGAGCAAGACTGTCTCCAAAAAAAAAAAAAAAAAAAAGAAATGCACATTCACAGGCCCTAACCTAGACCAACTGAATTAGAAGCTCCGGGGGGAAGACCTAGTGATCTGGGTTGTAACAAGCCATCCAGGTGATTTTGGAGTATGTTTAAATTCGAGAACCATTAGGTGTTTAGGCTTTCAGACTTAGCCACCATTTTCTTCACTCTTGAGTGACAATTGCCTGTGCAGTTCAATAACTTTTAAATATGCATTGTCCCATGATCTCCCTGACTATACCAACACACTTGCTACTTAGTGCACTTTTAGAGAAGCTTTTATTTTTTTTTAATTTTTTATTAGCTTCTAGCTCTGTTCAGCATAGAAAAATTAGCTGTGCTCAGGTGGGAGCTGTTCAGTAATGTGTTGGTAATAAACAGATTAGTTAATCAGCCATGATTTATTAATGATGAATTAATTATACCTGATTGTGCAGTTCTGCTAGCTAAATGGAGCTTTAAAGGAGTTGTTTTATTAATCATCAGGGTGCTAATTGCAGAGTCTTACAGAAGGATCACTAATTAAACATGCAACCATATGCAGAACAAGTTGGGTTGCTGAGACCTGCAAGAATAAAACATACTCATTTTTAAGGGAGCCAAAACAAACTTTATTTTATGCAATATTAGGGAATTGACTTGGCAATGTTAATTAATCACTGCACATTAATATTGTACTTTTTTCCAGCAGGAATTGATCCATACAACAAAACTCATGTAGTATTCTAGTGAGATCTGTTATAGGCGAAGTATATTGCTCAATCATATTTTCTGTTTACACATATGCAATCTACTATAATGGAGACCATTGGTTAATGGGACGGGACTTAGAGAAGAAAGAGTGAAAATTACATACCAGGCCTTTGCACTTTATTCAGAGCATCAAGTGAGTGGGAGATGGTGAACTCCTAGAGACCAGGAACACTCCTGCATGTTGAATCACAAAAAGAGAATTTATAGCCTTGTGCTATTGGAGCAAGGAAAGAAATGAGACTGTCCAGTTAAAAAGGTATCAGATAAACTCAAAGACAGATAAATAACAGGGAAAGTGTTTTCAAATTTTAGCTCAAGGTAGATTAAAGGCAGTTCATGACTTTTTCTTGGGAATGAATATTTGTCATTTGGGGTTATTCAGCATCCAAACACCATTGTCCTGGCACCTGAAATTGGGAAATTCTCATTGTGAGTAGTCTAAGGAGGTAGTACCCAACTTCTATCATGGAAGCCAATGTGGCCAGATGCCATCTCTTCCTGCAAATCAGAGAGTGGGCATGCTACTCACGCTCAACCAAGTTAGAGACGTTGTCCTGGGAATTTGGTAGCTTCTCAGAATAATGGCTGCACGAACAATATTTGTTTAATTTTGGTCTAGTAGGTAACGGAATCAAGTCTGTGTTGTATGAACGTATGATAAATGTGTGATGATGAGGGGGATGATGATAGTGATGACAAACTTCAAGGTTGTCTTGATTTTTCTGGATTCCTCCATCTTGGACATTTCCTATCCTGTTCCTTGGTTTAGGAATGAATATGTGATACAATTCTGGCCAACGAGACATGAGGGTAAGTTTTCAGTTCAGGGAGTCAAGTGAGGAAAAAGGTGGGATGAAACAGCATTTGACATGCATAGGTTTACTTAAGCCCCTGATGTTCAGTAAGGTATCCCTCCTTCAGTTGTGCTTGGTGCCTTTGAGTCTTGAGATCTTCTTCTTCTGTTTTATATTCTCCAAAGAAAAAACCTCTAGTCTTTTTTCCCATGGTGGGGTAAGGAAATTGCCCAATGTGTGGGAGCTGTTCAGCACATATGTATTATTTTTATCTATCTATCTATCTATCTATCTATCTATCTATCTATCATCTATCTATCTATCTATCTTTTTTTTTTTGTCTGAGTTTCGCTCTTGTTGCCCAGACTGGAGTACAATGGCACGATCTTGGCTCACTGCAACCTCCATCTCCTGGGTTGAAGTGATTCTCCTGTTTCAGCCTCCCAAGTAGCTGGGATTACAAGCATGTGCCGTCACGCCCAGCTAATTTTTGTATTTTTAGTAGAGATGGAGTTTCACCATGTTGGTGAGGCTTGTCTTGAACTCCTGACCTCAAGTGATCGCACCTGCCTCAGCCTCCCGAAGTGCCGTCGTCCCCAGCCAATATTATATGTGTTTTAACATAAGTATACAATGTGTATCAGCCATCCAGATCAAGATATAGAATGTTCCCATCAGCCTAGAATGTTCCCTCATGCTCTTTCTTGGCAAAATAAAACAAAGCAAAATAACTCTCCATATCTCACTCCCTAAAATTATCACTATTCTGAAACTTCTATCACTATAAATTGGTTGCTTATTGTTGGGCTTTTTTTTTTTTTTTTGAGACAGGGTCTTGCTCTGTCGTCTGGCTAGCTAGAGTACAGTGGCTGGATCATGGCTCACTGCAGCCTCAACCTTCCAGGCTCAAGGAATTCTCCCACCTCAGCCTCTTGAATAGCTGGGACTACAGTAGGTGCACGCCATCACACCTGGCTAATTTTAGTATTCTTTGTAGAGACGAGGTTTTACCATGTTGCTTAGGCTGGTCTTGAACTCCTGAGCTCAAGCAATCTGCCTGCCTTGGCCTCCCAAAGTGCTGAGGTTACAGATGTGAGCCACTGTGCCCAGCCTATTCTTTAGCTTTTATAAATAGATTCATAAAGTATATACTGTTTGGTTTTGGTTTCTTTCATTCAACATAATGTTTTTTAGATTTATACATGATGGTGAGTTTATTCTTTTTTATTGCTATATAGCATTTCATTGTGTAACTATATTATGCTTTATTTTTACCATTTGTTCGTGATCATTTGGGTTGTTCCTAGTTTTTGGTTATAAATACATTCTTGTACATGTCTTTTGGTAGACATATACATGCATTTACTTTGAAGAGCATACTTAGGAGTATAATTGAGTAACAGATTTATTATATGTTTAACTTTGATACTGCCAAATGGTTTTCTAATGCAGTTGAATGAACGTACGCTTTTCACCAGTAACATCTGAGAGTTCTACTTGCTCTACATTCCCACCAGCATTTGGTAGTGTCACTCTTTAATTTTAGTCATTTTGGGAGAGTATAGTGCTATCTCATTGTGGGTTTTAAGTTGCATACCCCAGCGAGTTCTGTTATTGAACAACTTCATCATAGGTTTGTTGGACATTTGGGATCTTCTTTTGTCAAAATGCTGGTTCAAATTTTTGTCTACTTCACAACTGAGTTGTCTTTTTTATTGATTTGTAGGAGTTCTTTATATACTTTGGATATGAATCCTTCATCAGATGTATATACTGTGAATATTTTCTCCTAGTTTGTGGCATCTTCATTCACTTTCTTAATGGTATATTTTAATAACAAATTATTTTAATAAAGCCTAATTTATCAATCTGATCTTTTATGATTAGTGTTTTTTGTGTTCAGTCTAAGAAATCTTTGCCTTCCCCAAGAATATGAAAATTTCTCTCTATGTTTTCTTTTAGAAATTATTTTACTTTTCACATGTAGATCTATGACCTACCTGAAATTTATTATTATTATTATTTTTGAGACAGAATCTTGCTCTGTGGCCCATGCTGGAGTGCAGTGGTGCGATCTCAGCTCACTGCAACCTCTACCTCCTGGGTTCAAGCGATTCTCCTGCCTCAGCCCCCTGCCTAGCTGGGATTACAGGCATGCACCACCATGCCCTGCTCATTTTATATTTTTTGTAGAGAAGAGGTTTCACCATGTTAGCCAGGCTGGTCTTGAACTCCTGACCTCAGGTGATCTGCCCGCCTGATCACTTGGCCTTCCAAAGTGCTGGGATTACATGCGTGAACCACCACGCCTGGCCCCTCAAATTAATTTTTATGTATTGTAAGGTAGGGGTCAAGATTCATTCTTTTTCTATGTGGATAACCAACTGCTCTGGCACTGCCGACTGAAAAAACCACTTTCCCCCACTAAATTCAGTAGTGTTCTTACCTCAAATCAACCAACTGTATCTGTGGGGTATTTTTCTGGATTTTCTACTGTGTTCCACTGGCCTATTTATCTTTGCACCAACATGCGGTCTTAATTTAATGTAACATTATAGCACATTTCAATAGCTGAAAGTGTAAGTTAGCCAACTTTTGAGGATGACAAAGTCTTTAAAATCTTGCTGAGAATTTTATTTAGATTGCATTGACTCTACAGATGAATCTATAGAGAGCTGATATCTTAACAAGATTTAGTCTTCTAATCAATGAATTTTCCTTCCACATGTTTAAGTTTTTCTATTTCTCTTAGCAATATTTTGTAATTTTCAGTGTAGGACTTACACATCTTTCACTAGATTTATTTCCAGGTTTGTGATTTTTAAAAATGTTATCATAAATGGTAGTTTAAAATTTCAGGCTGGGTGAGGTGGCTCATACCGGTAATCCAGCACTGTGGGAGGCCGAGGTGGGAGGATTGCTTGAGCTCAGGAGTTTGAGACCAGCCTGGGTAATAGAGGGAGACCTCATCTCTACTTAAAAAAAAAAAAAAAAATTAGGTAGGCCTGGTGGCATGTGCCTGTAGTCTCAGCCTGGGAGATCAAGGCTGCAAAGCTGCAGTGACCTATGATTTTGCCACTGCACTCCAACATGAGACCCAGTCTCAAAAAAAAAAAAAAAAAAAAAAAGGAAAAAGAAAATTTCATCTTCCAGTAATTTATTATAAATATATATGCAACTGATTTTATATGTTTTGTCTTCTTTTCAGTGACCTTAATAGAATTTATTAATTCTAGTTGCTTGTAGATTCTTTTTTTGAGATGGAGTCTCACTTTGCTGCCCAAGCTGGAGTGCGGAGGGATGATCTGGTTTGCTGCAACCTCTGTCTCTTGGGTTCAAGCAATTCTCCTGCCTCAGCCTCCCAAGTAGCTGGGATTACAGGCACACACCACCATGCTCAGCTAATTTTTGTATTTTTAGTAGAGACAGGGTTTCACCATGTTGACCAGACTTGTCTTGAACTCCTGACCTCAAGTGATCCGCCCACCTCAGCCTCCCAAAGTGCTGGGATTACAGGCACGAGCCACTGCACCTGGCAGCTTATAGATTCTTTTGGTTTTTCTACATAAACAGTCATGCCATTTATGAATAACAAAGACATTTTTATTTCTTCCTTTCTACCTTTTACCCCTTATTTCCTTTTCTTGCCTTATTGCACTGGCTGAGACCTCTGGTACAATAGTGAGTAGAAGTGATAAGAGTGAACATCCTGCCGGGTACAGTGGCTCTCGCTTGTAATCCCAGCACTTTAGGAGGCTGAGGTGGGCGGATCACAAGGTTAAGAGATTGACACCATCCTGGCCAACATGGTGAAACATGGTCTCTACTAAAAGTACAAAAATTAGCCAGGTGTGGTGGCACACGCCTGTAGTCCCAGCTACTCGGGAGGCTGAGACAGGAAAATCACTTGAACCCAGGACGTGGAGGTTGCAGTGAGCTGAGATTGTATCACTCCACTCCAGCCTGGCGACAGAGTGAGATTCTGTCTCAACAACCAAAAAACAAAACAAAACAGAACAAAACAAAACAAAACAAAAACGAGTGAACATCCTTGACCTTGGGGAAAAATGTTCAATATTTCACCATTGAATATGATGTTAGCTGTAGCTTTCTTGTAGATATTCTATATCAGATTAAGAAATTTTTCTTCTGTTTAGTCTGCTGAGAACTCTCCTTCCTTCCTTCCTTCCTTTTTTCTTTCCTTCCTTCCTTCCTTCCTTCCTTTCTTTCTTTCTTTCGAGAGGGTCTTGCTCTGTCACTCAGGCTACAGTTTACTAGTGGGATCATAGCTTAACAGCCTTGAACTCCTGGGATCAAGCGATCCTCCCACCTCAGCCTCCTGAGTAGCTGAGATTACGGGTGCATGCCACCATGCCCAGTTAATTTAAAAAAATTTTTTTGTAGCGATGGAGTCTTGCTATGTTGCCCAGGCTGGTCTGAAACTCCTGGCTTCAAGTGATCTCCTCACCTCAGAATCCCAAAGTGTTGGCATTACAGGTGTGAACCACCTTGCCCAACTGAACATTTTCTTTTGGCGTGAATAGATGTTGCATATTGTAAAATGCTTTTCCTTCTTTATTGAAATTATCCTATGGATTTTCTCCTTTATTTTGTTAGTGTGGATGAAATACCTTGATTTCAGATGTTAAACCAACCTTATATTCCTGAAATACATACTAATTGGTAATAATATTTTCTTATTTTATGTATTGTTAGATTCTATTTGTTTATATTTTATTTAGGATATTGACTATATATTAATAAGTGATATTGATCTATAATTTTCCTTTCTCCTAATGTCCTTGTTAAGTTTTAGTGTCAACCTCATAAAATGAGTTGAGAATTGATTCCTCTTTTCCTATTCTCTGGAAGAGTTTGTGTAAGATTTTATTCCTTACATGTTTGGAAAAATCACCAGTGCAACCTTATTGGATACTCTGGTACTCAACCTAAATCTCTTCTAAGGTTTAATGCACCCTTTCTCCAACTGCTCAAATGTCTGATGCTGACAGCTCACAACATGTTCCTCCTTGGGAGCTACCTTCAGCTGCAGGGAACTGCCTCACCCAAGATTAAGCTTATTTTCAGGGTGCTAAGATAGGAATACTAAAGCCTAGCCCCTTTCCTCAAATTGATTCAATTCTCAATGGTTATCTCAGCTCTAGGGCTTGGCTGAGGCCTGGGTTGCAACTGCATTGTGAGTCAGTTTTTATTTCTGGCCAATCCTGTCAGAAACACCAGTTTCCTACAGATGTGTCTCCCACTCCTGCATGAAATTCAGCATCTCAGAATCTGTTTCCAGGGAAACCAATCTGAGACCAAAACCATATGGCCTTGATGTTTTCTCAGTAGAAGCCTTTTAATAATTGATTCAATTTATTTAACAGTTGACCAGTTAATTTATTTAACTATTGAATAGTTAATAATTGTATAACCATTCAAATTTTCTATTTCTTGTATCAGTTTTGGTAAATTGTGCTTTCCAAGGACTTTTTCCTTGGAAAATCTCTATTTTTAGTTTGTTGACATAAGGTTGTTCATAGTATCTTTTCACATTTTTAATGTCTGTAGGATATGTAGTGATATCCCTTATTTTATTCATAAAGATGACAATTTGTGTTTTCTTTGTTATGGATTAGTTGCTAGGAGTTTATCAATTTTATTATTCTTCTCAAAAAATCAATTCTTGTCTTTGTGGATTTTTTCCAGCATAGATTTATTTTTGATATCATTGATTTTTGCTTTTTTCTTATTATTTTCTTTCCTCTCCTTTCTTTTGAGTTTATTTTTCTATCCCACAATGTTTAGAGAACATGTCCTGTTTGATTTCAATCCCTTGAAATTTGTGAAGACTTGTTTGTGGCCCAAAACATGGTCTACTTGGATAAATGTTCTGTGTGTATGTATTAGTCTGTTCTTGCATTGCTATAAAGAACTACCCGAGACCGGATAATTTATAAAGAAAAGAGGTTTAATTGGCTCATGGTTCCACACCGTGTACAGGAAGCATGGCTGGGGAGGCCACAGGAAATTTACAATCATAGTGGAAGGTGAAGAGGAAGGAGTCACGTCTTACATGGCTGGAGCAGGAGGAAGAGAGAGAGAGGGGAGAGGTGCCACACACTTTTAAGCAACCAGGTCTCATGAGAACTCATTCCTTATCATGAGCACAGCAAGGGGGAAGTCTGCCTCCATGATTCAATCACCTCCCACCAGGCCCCTCCCACAACAATGGTGGTTACAATTTGACATGAGATTTGGGTGGGGACACAAATCCAAACCATATTAGTGTACTTGAAAAGAATGTGTTTTCTATATTGTTGGTGCAATATTTTATGGACCAAGTTAGTTAATCATGTTTTTCAATCTTCTATATCTTACTGATTTTTTTCTTTTTTGAAACAGAGTCTTGCTCTGTCGCCGAGGCTGGAGTGCAGTGGCGCGATCTCGGCTCACTGCAAGCTCCGCCTCCTGGGTTCATGCCATTCTCCTGCCTCAGCCTCCCGAGTAGCTGGGACTACAGGTGCCCACCACCATGCCCGGCTAATTTTTTGTATATTTTTTTAGTAGAGATGGGGTTTCACTGTGTTAGCCAGGATGGTCTCAATCTCCTGACCTCGTGATCTGCCTGCCTCAGCCTCCCAAAGTGCTGGGATTACAGGTGTGAGCCACTGCACCCAGCCTTACTGATGTTTTTGTATGCTTTTGCTATCAGTTACTCAGAGAAGTTGTTAAAATCTCTAACTATGTAAATGGAATGTTATCCCTGTTTTTAGTTCTGTCAAGTTCTCCTTTACATATTTTGAACCTGTATTATTAGGTACATGTTAATTTTTTAATGTATACGATTGTTAGCCCTCTTAATAAGGTATAATATCTCTTGTAATATTTCTTGTCTTAGAGTCTACTTTGTTTTATATTAATAAAGCACAACTGTTTTCTTTTGGATAGTGTTTGCAGGGTTTATCTTTTTCATCTTTTTACTTTCAACCCATCTGTGTAATTTGCTAGGGTCTCAACTGAATGTTGGGTGTTCACTGAAGTTTCTCCACTCTGGCTGGATCCAAATCCCAATGTCTCCCAGCACTGTGAAAACTCCAGATCTCCACCCAGCACTCCGTCTTCTAGTCACTGTTCTTACATGGCCCAGGAATTGGCCAAGACCTGAGAGAGTTTTCCACACAGACTTCTTGGGTTCTTTTTTTGTAGCACCGCCTCCGGCGTCCTGCCCCACCTTTAATCTCAATTGGCTCCTCAGCCTTCAACTATGAAATCTACTTCTCCTCCCCACACCCCTACACCCACCTTAGGCCATAAAACTTTATTGGCTGGCCAGGAAAAGAGCCAGGGGTAAGTGTCCCTCCCCTCCCTTTCCCCTACCCAGGGGAACTCCTCTCCTGGAGGACAGAAGCCCAGAAGCCAGTGGACTCAGAGGACCTTAGAGGCAGGAGGGTTGTTATTGGGCATCCTGGCCCAAGGACAGGCTTCAGTAGATAGTAATCTCCTCCTCCAGCTGAGACTTGATGTCCATGAACCACTGGTGCTGGTTCTGCTGCTGGCTGTCAGCACCCACGTCACCCTGCTGGGCTTCAACACCCCTGACCAGCGCCTGGATCTGTGCCAGCTTGGCTCCAAAGAGGGCCCTTGTTTCTTCCAGTGTGCCTTCCAGGGCGGCTTTCATGCTGAGCTGCTGCAGCTCAATGTCAAAACCCTGGGGGGTTCACCGCAGGTCAGTGACCTTGAATTTGCTCATCTGGAGCTGCTCATGTGGCTGGTAACCTCCTGATTCAGCTCCTGGGACTGGCTGGTTAACCAGGCTTCAGCACCCTCCTAGTTCTGCTCAGCCATGACTTCCTATTTGCTTCTCAAGTCGTTGTTCAGGATCTAGGCTGGGTTGATGCCTGGAGGGGAATCTATCACCACACTGACTAGGCCTCCCACCTGGCCCCTCAGGGCAACAATTCCTTTCTGGCAATTTTTCTTCAGGTAGGCCAGCTCCTCCTTCAGGCTTTCCATCCCCATCTCCAGGTCAGTCCTGGCCAGGCTCAGCTCGCCCAGCACCCTGCACAGAACGTTGATGTGGATCTCCAGGCTCAGACCCGGGGCCAGCTCCTTAAACTTGGTTCAGAAGTCATCTGCAGCCAGATGGGTGCTGTTGGTCATCAGGACAATCCTGAAGTTCTCAATGGTGGCAGTGAGAATCTTGTCCCATAGGTCCCTGATGGGCTTGAAGTAGTGGGTGTAAGCCACAGGAGGGCCCAGGCCCTTGCTTCTGGTACCAGCCATGGACCTTCACCCCCAGCTCTCAGGTGACCTCTTCCAGGGCGTTCACCTTGGCCAGGTAGGAGGCCAGATAGGTGGTTATTGAGGGTCTGCATGGTGATCTTCTCGTTGCCTACCAGCAGCCCATTGGACCTGGCCAGGGCATTAGCACAGCTGCCACTGTAACCCCCATCGTCCCCATCATAGCCCACAGAAAAGGATGAGGACAAGAAACCAACAGAGGATACTGACATGCTGTGGCCCATGGATCCTGGTGGATGCTGGGCATGCAGAAGGTGTCCCCTGCCTCAAAATGCATGGAGCTGCCACCCAAGCCCCAGGAGGATGAGGCTGGTCTGTGACTGGTGACAGCTGTAGGAAGGCATGGCAAGGCAGCAGACGTGAGCGACCCTGGTCTGAGGAGTTTTGATGGACAGGAGGAGCCTGACGTCTACTCCTAACCCGTGTGACGCTCTTCTCCCCTGGCTGTGTTCCCTGGCCCCACAGCCTGGCCCAGAAAATGGGAGAAAGCCAGGGTAAATGTGGAACTCACCTGTGTGAGTTCCTCGATGATCACAGCCCCTTCTCTCTGTGATCACAGTGTGGTATTGGTAACTGTTAGTGTCTGCAACCCTGGTTTTTCACATTTTGTCCAGGTTTTTAATTTTAATTTTATTTTTAACAGCCGGAGGTTAAGTCTGATACCAATTACTTTATGATGGCCCAAATTGAGCATTTTAATACCACTTCTTTTTTTTTTTTTTTTTTTTTTGAGACAGAGTCTTGCTCTGTTGCCCAGGCTGGAGTGCAGTGGCCTGATCTCAGCTCACTGCAACCTCTACCTTCCCGGTTCAAGCGATTCTCCTGCCTCAGGCTCTCCATCAGCTGAGAGTACAGGCGTCCACCACCACACTTGGCTAATTTTGTATTTTTAGTAGAAATGGGGTTCACCATGTTGGCCAGGCTGGTCTTGAACCAAGTGCCCATCAATAGAGGAATGGTATATACCTACAATAAAATACCATTTAGCTATAAAAAGGAATGATGTTTTGATATGTGCTACAACATGGACGGATCTTGAAAACAAGCTAAATGAAATAATCCAGACACAAAAGGGCACATATTGCATGATTCCGCTTATATAAAGTGTTTAGAATAGGCAAATTCATAGAACAGAAAGTAGATTTCAAGTTACCAGGAGCTAGGAAAAGGGGAGAAGAGGAGTTACTGCTTAACGGTGGCAGAATTGCTGTTTGGGGTAATGAAAGGGTTTTGGAAATAGTGGTGATAGTTGTACAACATTGTGAAGTAATTTAATGCCACTGAGCTGTACAATTAAAACATTAAATGGAGAGGTTACTGGAGGCTGAGAAGGGCACAAGGTTGAGGGGGTATTGGGAGAGATTTGTTAAAGGACACAAAATTACAGCTAGAGAGGAGGAATAAGTTCTAATGTTCTATAGCACTGTAAGTAACGATAACTACAGTTGATAATGTATTATATATTTTCAAATAGCTAGAAGAAAGAATATTGAATGTTCCCAACACAAAGAATTGATAGCCAGGTGCAGTGGCTCACGCCTGTAATCCCAGCACTTTGGGAGGCTGAGGTGGGTGGATTGCTTGAGGCTAGGAGTTTGAGACCAGTCTGGGAAACATGGTGAAACCCATCTCTACTAAAAATATAAAAATTAGCTGGGCGTGGTGACACATACCTGTAGTCCCAGCTACTCAGGAGGTTGAGGCATGAGAATAGCTTGACCCCAGGAGGTGGAAGCTGCAGTGAGCCAAGATCGCACCACTGCACTCCAGCCTAGGCAACAAAGCAAGACTGTCTCAAAAAAAAAAAGATAAGTGTTTGAGATTATGGATACGTTACGTACCCTGATCTGATCACTATATATTTTACATATCAAAACATCAGTATGTAGTCCATAATATATACAATTTTTATGTATCAATTTAAAAAATTAAAAAATGTGTTAAATGGAGAAGTGTCAATGAAGTGTCAACAAACATTCAGAAAAAAAGATAAAAATGGCTTCAATGGTAAATGTTATGTTACATATGTTACCACAATAACATATTTTTTAAAATTATGTTTATTCTCATTTTAGTGGATTTTAAGACTGAGCTAAATTAGATTCTTGTGTGTATTTGTCATCTTTTCCTCTCTGTTATTATCCTTTTTTCTTTTAAAATAATCATAGACAACAGACATGTTTACAGAATAGGATAACAACTTTTCTCCTTAAACAATTTAAAAATTCAGTTGCTAACCTAATGCCCCATCATCCCCAACTACATTAGTGTGTATTTCCTATGAACAAGAGCATTCTCCCACATATACAAAATAAAACCATCAAATTCTGGAAATTAACTTGGACACACTATTGCTCCTTATCGTTAGACCTGATTCATGTTTTTAGCAATAGTCCTTAATGGCAATATGCCCTTTATAGCAAAAGGATCCAGTCCCAAATGACACATTCCATTCAATTTTTCATATCTCCTCACTTTCCAATCTGGAATAGTTGCTCAGTCTTTCCTTGACATCATGACATTGGCACTATTAAAGATTACAGGCCAGTTTTGTGTGGCATGTCTCTCAATTTGAGTTTGTCTGGTGTGTCCTTGTGATTAGATTAGGATATGCAGCTTTGGCAGGTCTAATAAAGAGGTGACACTGTGACCTTGTTGCATCCTATTAGGTGGCACATGATTTTGATGAGCCTGTGGTGCTGCTGATGACATTCACTCTGATTTCCTTTTCTTTCTTTCTTTTTTTTTTAGAGGCAAGGTCTTGTTGTAGTGCCTAGGCTGGAGTGCAGTGGTGTGATCACAGCTCACTGCAGCCGCCTCAAACTCCTGAGCTCAAGCAATCCTCCCACCTTGACCCCAAAAGTGCTGGAATTTCAAGCGTCAGGCACCACACCTGGCCCACTCTGATTTCTTGATTAAGGTGGTGTCTACTAGCTTTCTTTACTGTAAATTACCCATTTCCCCTTTGTAATTAATAAATATTTGTGGGGAAGTACTTTGAAACAATTTAAATATCTTTTTCCTCATCAAACTTTCAATTTATAATTTATATTTCTCCAGATTCATAGTTTTCTATATTATGCAATGAACTATAATGTATTACTATTGATTTTTATTTTGATGTTCAAATTATCTCAAATTTGTCCAGAGAAAGCCTATTGAAGCTGGCTTTTGTCTACATCACTCTTTGAGCACTTCTTTGCTTTTTGGAATGATAAGATAGGTAGTCCAGTGTATCTTGTATTTTCCAAGTACCAGCCCTGGAATCAGCCATTTCTACAAGGAGCCCTGATTCCTTCTAGTGCAAAATGACAGCTTAGATGCCAGAATCTAGTTGTCAGATCTACTCATTGCTATTGGATGTTGCTGCTCCAGCCTCTCTCAGTGGACAGAGTTATGAAATATGTGTTTTACACACACACATGCACTCATTTATATTTATTTCTATATCTATATATGTTGAAAGCCATGAATTCAAATGAATACCTCCAATTCTAATTCAACATGACCAGTCCTTTCTGCATTTGTAACTCCCTTCACCATCAGTGAGAAACCTAATTTCCATTATCCTTAATATATTTACTTATTTGATCAATCTCCCTATACCTAACCCATCTCATATCTCTGCACCCCATACTCTGCAAGAGAGCCGTCCTATCTCTGCCTGGACTCTGATTCCCATTCCAAGCTACCACCATGCTTGCTTGCACAGATATCCTCCTCTCCCTGATTGGTTTCTCTCACCCTGGATCCCTGTGTCTGTGTGTCCACAGTTAGGCGTATTCCACTCATGTGGAATTCGCCTCCTTATCGCAGGGCTTTTATTGAATGCTGAGTGCTTAGTTTTCTACTCCTGTATTTGCTCAGAGTTCCATCTGCAAATACTGAGTCTTTTTCCTCTTTCCCCCAACTCTCACTTCTTCCTTCCCTAACTAGTCTTCCTCCCTCCCCATCCTCCACCCCATTAAATTGTTGTTGGCAATGTGGTACATTCTTCCATTCTCTTCTCCATGTTCATATAATAATATATCAGCTCATGAACACAATTACATATGATTTTTGTTTTACATGTTTGTTTTAAAGTAATGGTGTCATGTTCTATAACCCTCTCTGCACCTCCTTCTTTCTGATGTAACAGTCAACTGACATGACTCTTTAGCTCATGCTCTAGCTTATTCTTTCTAATGTTTGAACTTTATTCCAAGTATAGCTATACCACAATTTATTCAACCAATCCCCTCAATCTCCTATTGAAAATCTTTTCTTTTCTTTTTCTTTCTTTCTTTTTTTTTTTTTGAGATGGAGTCTCTCTCTGTCACCCAGGCTGGAGTGTAATGGCATGATCTCGGCTTACTGCAACCTCCACCTCCCGGGTTCAAGTGATTCTCCTGCCTCAGCCTCCCAAGTAGTTGGGATTACAGGCATGCGCAAGCATGCCCCTCTAGTTTTTGCATTTTTAGTAGAGAAGGGATTTCACCATGGTGGTCAGGCTGGTCTTGAATTCCCGACCTCAAGTGATCTGCCCGCCTTAGCCTCCCAAAGTGGTAGGATTACAGGCGTGAGCCACTGCACCCAGCCTTAAGTATTATTTTTATTAAACATTTTATACTTGTTACACAAAATTTGCCATAAAATTTCCAAAATTTTATTTATTTTAATTTTATAATTGTTTCAAAATTATTAGTGCAAACATTTGGTAAATGATTCAAGTAATGTAAAAGTATACAGAGTTAGTCTCCCTCCCAGCTCTGATCCCTAATCTACCATTCCCTTCCTCAGAGGCAACCACTCTTTCAAATTTTTATTCTCCTAGTTAAGTTTATACATGTACAAATGTATCAGTGTGGGTACATTTGTCTATGTACATATGTCTCTGTGCATATACATATGTCTTAACATTAACGGTAGCCTACTAATCACACTGTTTTGCATCTTAATTTTTAAATGTGATGTATATTTGGGTAGTGATTTATTTTTATTTTTTATTTTTATTTTTTAAGATGGAGTCTTGCTCTGTTACCCAGGCTGGAGTGCAGTGGTGCAATCTCAGCTCACTGCACCCTCTGCTTCCTGGGCTTAAGTGCTTCTCCTGCCTCTGCCTCCTGAGTAGCTGGGATTACAGGCACCTGCCACTACACCCGGCTAATTTTTGTATTTTTATTAGAGATGGGGTTTCACCATGTTGGCCAGGCTGGTCTTGAACTCCTGACCTCAATTGATCCGCCCGCCTTGGCCTCCCAAAATGCTGGGATTGCAGGCGTGAGTCGCTGTGCCCAGCCTGGGTAGCCATTATTAACCCCATTTTATAGATGAGGAAAGCAATGCTCAGAAAGGAAACTGACCTTCTTAAGGTCACTCAGTAAAGTGGTTAGGTCTGGATTCAAAACCAGGCTATACGACTGCAAACCTAATGCCCTTTCACACTTCAAGGAATACCCCTCAAGTGTTGTTCTAGTTACTATTCTGTGTAACAAATTACTCCCAAAATTTAGAGGCATAAAACAACCATTTATTACACATACAGATCCTGTGGGTTGGGAATTTGTACAGGACATAATGGGGAAAGCTTGTCTGTGCTCCTCTTGGTTTCAACTGAGTGGCTCAAAGGCAGAGGTTGTGGTCATCTAAAGGCTTGTTTGCTCACATATGTGGAGCCTGGGTTAGGAACACTCAAGACAGCCGGGAGCTGGAACAGTTAGAGCTCCTTGAGCATCTTTAATTCTATGTGGTCTCTTCATATGATGTTTCTAGCACGGAAGCTTTAGGATCACTGGACTTCATCCACATTGGCTTAGCTCATAAGGCACATGCCCTGAGGGAGCCAAGTGGAAGCTGTGTCACCTTTTGTGACTTAGACTCACACTGTTTCACTTCTGCTACATTCCACTGTTGGAGGCATTTACAAAGTTCTATCGGGGCTCAAGGGACAGGAACCATGAATCTAACCTCTTGATAGAGAAGCGTCAATATCACGTTGTAAGAAGAGCATACAGGATGAAATATATTTAACTGCAGCTACCTTTGGAAAATAGAATCTGCCACATGAGAGTTTTGGGAAGTTTCTCATATTTTTGGGAAGATGGGAACATAACTGGTTAGCAGGAACAAGGATACCTTCACTAAAAAAAAAACTTGGCCGGGTGCGTTGGCTCACGCCTGTAATCCCAGCACTTTGGGAGGCCGAGGCGGGTGGATCACCTGAGGTCAGGAGTTTGAGACCAGCCTGGCCAACATGACAAAACCCTGTCTCTACTAAAAATACAAAAATTAGCCGGGCATGGTGGCGGGAGCCTGTAATCCCAGCTACTCGGGAGGCTGAGGCAAGAGAATCACTTGAAGCCGGGAGGCGGAGATTGCAATGAGCCAAGATCGCACCGTTGCACTCCAGCCTGGGCAACAGAGCAAGACTCTGTCTCAAAAAAAAAAGAAGAAAACTTGATATAAATCTTGAACCTTTTTTGTATTGAGCAAAGACACCCCCTGTCATTGAACCATCATGACCAAACATATGGGTGTGCTTACAGTTCATCATCAAAGACTTTTGAAAATGTTCTCAGACTACTGAGCTGGAAGATACTTTCAAGGAACCAGAAGCATTTAACTGTCAGCTTGCAAGGACTTTGTGGCTCTTGAGCATGCTCTGCAAAGTAGATGGGCCAAATGGAATCTTTTCCACAGTCCTGCATCATTCCGAGGGTGAAACAGTGTTCCTTGGCTTAATCTTTTTGGGGCAGTGACTTCTAGTCACTGTTTCCTGATGCTGCCAAATACTTCTGGGGAAGCCAGAGTGGCCACTGCCAGGGATGCATGGCCTATGACTTTGGGTGATAGTCAGCTGAAGTTATCTCTATACCTTTGGGCCAGGTTATTTTAAGTTACAGTAGACAGTCTGTGTATCTCATCAACCAACTGGAGGTACTTTCTAGCTAAAAATCACGATTTCAGCATAAAAGAAAAGAAGAGGTAAGTTAAAAGTGAACACCTGTTCTTCTAAAATTGCTCTACTGCAGATACCAGCCCTAGAGAGTTGGCAGATGGTTTTGTGTTTCTAAGCCTGACCTTAGCAGCCCTTCATCAATCTTGAGCTGACTGATTCACAGGAAAGAGGAGACTCCAGCTTCCCAGGGTACCCAAGACATCTTTGATTTAGTTATTACCTGAAGACCAGTTAATTCAGCCACACTGATTCTCTCAAGTTTTCCTAACAAAGCTAGGAAACACTGGGCACAGCCTGGTTGGAGCAGCTTTTTATGAGCTAATTAATTACCCCAGTCATGGATACTCCTAAAAGATAAAGAAAAAAGCATCATGCTGCACCAGGGAAGATGAGTGATCTCCAAGGCCGGCAGCTACCCGGTGGTATGATTCCTACAGCCAAGGTGCTCCCCAGATTTAAAAACTTCCACCTACAGAGCTGAAACTATCGACTGCTTCTCCCTCGGCATTCTTACTCATTGCTGTCCCGGGGAGCTTGTTACTCTGTAGAGAGTTTGCCCCTTGGTTTTCTGGAACTGTTTATTTTTTTAATTTAGGAGCTTTATGTAAATTATTTTTCTTTTAAAGTCAGATAGGATAGTATTGGGTTTTTATGACATAGAAGTAATTCACAGTCAGCTCTCAGTTATCCTCTGGCTGGATTACCTGGGGATCTCTCTTACTTTTCTCCCCCACATAGAGCTCTTCTGCCTCTCACTTGGTTCGGTTTCTTTCCTAGCCACTCAGTCTTTGTTCTTCCAAGCGTTAGGGCTAAACTGAGAAGAGTAAGGGCCAGATCTGGGGATGTGTTGTTCATGTAATGAGAGGTGATTAAGGAGAAGTAATAGAACAGTATACCCACTTTTAAAGATTAGTGTCTCCAGAACTCTGCCCCATTAAAAGATAACCAAAAGCTGACTTTTGCTATTAACTTTCTCTCCATAACAGATGCTATTTTTGGCATTGCATGCATTAATTTTAAAAAATTAATATTTTAAACATATACAAAAGCAAAGCAAATTACTATACTTACCCTACCCCGCCACCAACCAACCAAGTACATGTCATGCAGTTTCAATGCTTATCAACCCATGATCAATTTTATTTCATAGGTGCCCCCAAACTCAGGTGCTCTGTGCTCCATGTTTGGGTTCACCCTCCAACCCTGTTTCCTCAGCTAACATGCCCAGAAGGAGGTGACCTAGGTGTGCTGGACTCCTGCTGTCCTGTCCTCCACTCCACTCATGAGGACCAAGGCTTGAGAACACCTCAAGTGTCACATTCTATTATACTTGATGGGGAAACTCGAGGCGTCCTGGTGGCAGGCAGGACAAAAGGACAGCTGTGCTGGGCTGCCCACAAATTAGGGCATCTTTGGAGGCTGTCCTCTGATTCTCAATTAATTTTTAGGAGAGCTTTAATTACGCCACCAACAGTCCTCACTTGAACAATCACAAGCACTTCAGCTTGGGGGGAAAAGAGCGACTGACTGGATTTGCATAATCATTTGCCCTAATTAGAATGTCAAAAGTTGGTGGCAAAGAGGCCTAGTTGTGCTGTGACTTAGGATCATTTTAATTTAGTCCAATTTCCCATTATTACAATTGCCTTCCTCTTTGCACCTCAGATCCTCTTTCCTTCTAAATGATTTGTAGCAAAACCAAAACTGAAACAATTAGTAACTTGCTTGTTAGGCTGAACTGAAAAAGTCTAAGGGGTTTCTTTCCTTAATTGGAAACACAATTTTAGTTTCCATCTAAATTTATAATTGCATGGATATTTAGATTTAGCACTGGTAACTTAGGTAAACACTTTGCTTTGCATTCAGAAGCCTACTCTCTGTGTGTGTGTGCGAGTGGGTGTGTGTGTGGAAGGGGGTAGAACTGTCTTCAGGTTGTACTACAAGAAACAAATAATGTCTTTGAATAGTCACTTTATTCCAATGTTTGAACACAAGGATTGGTGTGTAATAATAGCTGTATAAGATATACTCATTAATAGAACAATATTATTTTTAATAATTTGTAAAGCTTCCATGATGAATGTTTTGGACTACAGGTTTGAAAGTACAAAGGAAGCTGAGAATAAGCAGAACTCCAGATCTCAGGCATAGAACCACCCTGACCCATTAGAGACTGCTTAGGCATGCATCGGTGATTTCTGGGTCTGGCTGGTAAGCTACTTACCCAGGTCCTAGTTAAATCAGGCATCCTCTGTTTTTCCGCCCTCATTCCCTTTTAACAGCAGGAGGCCACCTATTTAATTAGTTGGGGGTGGGAGCGTCTGTAATCTCCTGGGGGTGGCTTCAGCCCCAGGGTTGGATAAGAGGTTGAATCCAACGCCAGGTGTGGCTGGCCTCTCCCCTGCAACATATGGGGAACCCACCACATTTTCAGCCCAAGTTCCAGTAGCAAGCATTAGTGGAGAGGCCTTCCCTGCTGGGAACACACCCCGCAAAGCCAAGGGCAGGCGGCGTCACTACTAGAGGTCAAGGCAGTTCTTAGACCAAACAGCATCTGGCAAACTGTGCCAATTGGAAATCAATGGCCCTCCCTGGGTGGGTTTAATTTTATGGTTATTTGCACAAACTTACAGCCTCTAATGGGCAGGGCAGAGCTCAGAGCATCCTCCCAGGATTGTTGCAATGAAGTCGGACATCTTCGCAGTGCATTGATAAGTTGAATTGAAGAGTCTGTTTACTAGGGGTTAGTGTTGAGCCTGGCTGTCATGCTAAGACAGAGTAAGGATGAGGTTAGCCATTATTTATCCAGGGCCTGGAGATTTGATTGTCAGTGCAATACGTGTAAGCCCCAAATGCCTTACCACATTGTCTCTAGCCTGAGGGAGACATGGAGGTTCCTCTGCATGTAGCAACATTGAATCATTATGTTCAATTATGTTCAATGTGCCAACTCCATTTTAAGCAGACCCGTTTTTCTTTACATAAGATTTTGTAGTAGTTACATAAAAGATTTTGTAGTAGTTACATAAGATTTTCTTTACATAAGATTTTAGAGCAGTTAAGAGGTTGTGCACTGCAGTCAGGCAAATCCAGGTTCCACGACTCACCAGCAAAAGGTATGTAGGGCAAGTTTCCTAACCTCCCTGGAACTTGCTTTCCTCATCTGTAAATGGGTATGATAATATACCCCCTTCACTGAGCTGCTGAAAGGATGAGGTAAGATGATATGTTGAAGGGGCTTAATATAGTGCCTGGTACATTAATGCACTTTTTCATAAACCTTGGGTGTTAAAGATGACAATAATGATAATAATAATTCCAGCCATAGGATAGGCCTGTTAAAATAGGCAGGAACAGTAGTGTTGAAGTAGTAGTGCTAGTTTTAAAACCTTCAACTTTTAACATTTTTACAATTGAACTCCATAGTCTTAAATTTGTATGAAAATTCTTTAACTTGTTTATTTCTCCCTTGCTCTGACTTGTTAAACTTCCTTGTTTTTCATCAAAGAGATGAGGATCCAGCCATCATGCTGTACTTTGATTCACCCTGAGATGAATGGGTTATTGCTCCGGAAGCACTTCATGCCAATTCCCGGGTCCCATCAGAAACAGAACTTGGGGTACCTGGCAACAGCTATGGCAATGGCTTCTGTCATATTTCTCAGGTGGATCATTCCCAAGAGAGATGGATAAGCAAGATCAAGTGATGATCCATGTGGGAGAAAAGCTTTCATGTAGCTGGGGATGGGGTTGCTTTTTTCAGGGCCAGACATTGATGGAGTGTGGGCTGCCTGGCCTGTACCACAAGGTCTCCTCTCTTCCATCAGAGGTAGTTTCATTGCAATGGACGCCAAGAGAATGGGAGTTCTTGAAGACCTCTGCCTCTGCCCCTGCATGGGGCTGAGTGAGGAGCATGGGAGAGGAAGGGCCAGTTCTACCAGATGAGTAGAGAGCAGCAGCGGTAGGGAGGACTGTGCTACAAACCAGAATCACAGCTTCTGCAAGATGCTTGATTACTTTTTTTTTTTTTTTTTAGTTAATCTACAGCTTCAGCTGGCTTCCATCATTGGGGCAGGATCCCTCTTTCTCTAGCAGGTCCTTCTTTCTCTAGTAGACACAACCTGCAGTGGCTTCTGGCTCACAACTGATCTCCCAGTGACCATGCTGGTGCTCCGTGTCCTGTTCTCTGGCCGAAGCTAGAGACACCTGTCAAGCTGGCCAGCTATGTTCTCTCTCCTGGGTATTTGAAAATGTGACTGAAATAGACAAGTCAGTTGGTGCAGAGTCGTCTCATGATAGTGCTCCAGTGCCAGGAGCAATAGCTCCCAAGGTCCCAGGTCACCTTCATTTACGTCCTGACAGAGAATTGATGGTTTCAGCTTCACTTGATTTAGTGAGCTACTCCCAGCATCTTTCTCATAAATCCCCTTTTTTGCTTAAATTAACCAAAGAGGCTGGGCGTGGTGGCTCACGCCTGTAACCCCAGCACTTTGGGAGGCTGAGGCAGGTGGATCACCTGAGGTCAGGAATTCGAGACTAGCCTGACCAACATGGTGAAACCCCGACTCTACTAAAAATACAAAATTAGCCAGGTGTGGTGGAGTGCAACTGTAATCCCAGCTACTCTGGAGGCTGAGGCAGGAGAATCGCTTGAACCCGGGAGACAGTGGTTGCAGTGAGCCAAGATCATGCCATTGCACTCCAGCTTGGGTGACAGAGTAAGACTCCGTCTCAAACAAAATAAAAAAATAAAAATAAATAAATACATTAACCGAAGAATGGTTATTTTCTTTTTTCTTTTTGCTTCTGAAAGATGCTTGAGTGATACTATTCCCCAACAAAGATTAAAAAAAAAAAAGAGTGAGAATGAGTTTTGTACAGTAGGCTTGTGATGTTTGCAAATGGTTTAACCCAAAACCTCTGGATTCTCTTTTTTTCTTTTTTCTTTTCTTTTTCTTTCTTTTTTTCTTTTTTGAGACAGAGTCTCGCTGTGTCACCCAGGCTGAAGTGTAGTGATGGGATCTCGGCTCACTGCAACCTCCACCTCCTGGGTTCAAGGGATTCTCCTGCCTCAGCCTCCCAAGTAGCTGGGACTACAGGCACCCACCACCATGCCCAGCTAATTTTTGTATTTTTAATAGAGACAAGGTTTCACTACGTTGTCCAGGCTGATCTTGAACTCCTGGCCTTGTGATCCACCTACCTCGGCCTCCCAAAATGTTGGGATTACAGGCGTGAACTACCTTGCCTGGCAGATCACCTGAGGTCAGGAGTTTGAGACCAGCCTGACCAACATGAAAAAACCCTGTTTCTACTAAAAATACAAAGTTAGCGGGGCGTGGTGGCACATTCTTGTAATCGCAGCTACTCGGGAGGCTGAGGCAGGAGGTGGAGGTTGCGGTGAGCTGAGATCGCCATTACACTCCAGTCTGGGTAACAAGAGTGAAACTCCGTCTCAAAAAAAAAATATATCATCATAATGTAACATTTTCCTCATAAAGGTCACCTGAGCTGTAAGGCACAAGAGTGTAAGGCTGCACGGGGATGCAGGTGCCAGGTGGTTAGCCAGCTGGATCTGTTCCTTGGCTAAGTGATTTGCATCCATGTCTGGCAATCTGGGATTGAAATTTATGCCTACCCAAAATACCCAAGTGGCTTCCTCGAGAAGAGGTGACACTGGAATGTTAATTCTTCAAATGCCAAAGGTCCACTGTATCAGAAAAAAGGCTTCAGGCTCATCTAAGCTGCTCGAACTTGTACAGCTAAGTACCTTCCTTTTCTTTATGAACCACAATATTGCCTTCAGTGATGAGCTGGAAATTAGTCTTGGCTCTGTTACTCCTACAGTGAGGCAGGCCATGGATTTCCCACAGTTATCACTGGGAATGGCTTCTTCCATAATATCCGTCATTGTAATTCATGTTTGGGCACTGATTCAAAATTGGAAGGCTCTGGCTTTGACTTCTCCAGAAGGCTTCATCAGGATCTGAACATGAGATTGGGTCCATTTATCTGTGACAACTCTGAAGCTGGGCAAAATTCTGACCAAGAGATTGAAATCTTTCTCCTACCTCCCTCAAATAGGGAGACCTTCTATATGATATCATCAAAGGCTGGGTAACTTTGTAGCTGAGCTGAAGCTAGAATTTCTTGTAAAGGCCAATTCATTTCCTTCTCTTCTCTGGCATGGAAATCATCCCCCATGGGTGGCCATGACATAACCCATCCTCACTTCTGCAGGAGTTAGCCTCAGCAGCATTGCTTTAGCTTATGATACATATCACAGGATCTACCAAAACCTCCTCTAAGCTTCCAAGGGTTTTCATGCTTCCGTGTCAGGAATTAGCAGTTACAACCTTCTTATGGCCTCCTCATCTTGAGGGCTCCCGTACCTTACATTTATCTCTCTAAGTCTCCTTTCCTTCCCCCTCCCCGCAACACACATGGTAGGTAACATCAGGACTGGGATCAGTCCAGCAGGGAGCAGCTAGGGGTGTCTCCAGGCAGGTTGTGAAATCAGCAAAGAGTTGGATTAATATCTGGGACCCCAGAGGGAGGTTCTGTGAGGTTCACTGACCTGTAAGCAGGTCACCTCCTTGAGGCCAAGGCACTGATGGTGACCACCAGCACTTGAAGACACACGCTGCTCCTGTTCTGAATTCTGTCCCCATTTCTGAAGCATCACCAAATACAACCTTGAAATGGAAATTTTCTACAGACTGATTTTTTTTTTCAATTTTCAGGAGCCCACATGATGATGATCGACTCATTCGCCCCAATCCCAACACACAATTTTTAAATTTGGTGTAATGGCAGGGCGCAGTGGCTCACGCTTTAATCCTGACATTTTGGGAGGCTGAGGCAGGTGGATCAGCTGAGGTCAGGAGTTTGAGACCAGCGTGGCCAACATGATGAAACCCCGTCTCTACTAAAAATACAAAAATTAGCTGGGCGTGGTGGCGCATCCCTGTAATCCCAGCTACTCAGGAGGCTGAGGCAGGAGAATCGCTTGAACCCAGGAGGCGGAGGTTGCAGTGAGTTGAGATCACGCGACTGCACTCCAGCCTGGGCAACAGAGCGAGACTCCATCTCAATAAATAAATAAATAAATAGATAAATAAATAAATAAATAAATAAATAAATTTGGTGTAATGGAGAATTTCAAACAGAGAGAATAGTACCATATAATGAACCACAATGTGTCCATAAACAGCTCTGACAATTATTAACTAGTAGGCATCTGATTTTGTTCCACCAATACCTTCACCTACTCCCCCCACCCTGAATTATTTTAGAGTAAATCTTACACATTACTGTATATAGTTTCATTTATATTTTAGTATGTACCCCTAACATATAAGGCCTTAAACAGTGTAACCATGATATCTTTATTACATCTAAAATAATAATAATTCTTTTTGTTTGTTTTAGAGACAGGGTCTCGCCGTGTCACCCGGCTTAAGTGCAATAGCATGATCATAGCTCACTGTAAATTTGACCTCTTGCGTTGAAGCAATCCTCCTGCCTCAGCCTCCCAAGTAGCTGGGACTACAGGTGCATGCAACCTAACCTCGCTAATATTTACACTTTTTGTAGAGTCAGGGTCTTGCTATGTTGCCCAGGCTGGTCTTGAACTCCTGGCTTCAAGTGATCCTCCTGCCCCAGCCTCCCAAAATGCTGCTGCGATTACAGGTATGACAGATGTGAACCACAACATGCAGCCTAATAATTCTTCTTTTTTTTTTTTTTAGATAGAGTGTTGCTCTGTCACCCAGGCTGGAGTGCAATGGCATGATCTTGGCTCACGGCAACCTCTGCCTCCCAGGTTCAAACGATTCTCCTGCCTCAACCTCCTGACTAGCTGGGACTACAGATGTGTGCCATCACACTCAGTTAATTTTTGTATTTTTAGTAGAGACAGGGTTTCACTATGTTGGCCAGACAGGTCTCGAACTCCTGACTTCAGGTGATCCTCCTGCCTTGTTCTCCCAAAGTGCTGGGATTATAGGCATGAGCCACTGTGCCCAGCCAATAATTCTTTATTATTACCAGCTATTTAGTCAGAGCTTAAATTTCCCTGATAGCCCCAAAAATATTTTTAGAGTTGGTTTATTTGAATCAGGATCCAAACAAGACTCACACATTGCATTTGGTTGATATGGTTCTAGTCTCTTATTCTAATTCTACACATTTCCCTCCTTTTTTTAAAAAAAAAATGCAGTATATTTGTTGGAGAAACCAATCAATTGTCTTATTCAGTTTCTTAATTCTGGATTTTGCTGATTGCCTCCCCATGGTCTCTCTTAACATAATTCTCTCTCCCCTGAATTTCATGCAAATTAATCATTAGATATGGAGACCTAATAAAATTCAGGTTTAATTTTTTAGTGAGTATACTAGATGCTGTGTTTTTCCATTGTGAGGCACATGATGTCTGATTCTGTTTTTCTTTTTAGTGGGTTAACTGAACAACAGTTAGAAGCATTCACATAGCAGAGGCAGGTTATTCACAGACATGTGTATACCACCAGGCCTTGGGCAATAAATTACGGGGAAGGCCAGAGTTTGAATCTGACCCTGCCACCATTTCCCTTCTCTCTATTGGCACTTCCTTCCTTTCCTGGGTTCCTGTATACACAGCCAAATTCTAGGCTGCCTGCAGACTGGGTTCGGGGCACGATCCCCAAAATATCTGAGAAAACAGCAGAAGCAGGAAGGTCACTCTCACCTTTTCCCTGCCCTTCTCCCCTGAAGCAGGTCAAACGACTGGTGGGCGGACCACCTGAGGTCGGGAGTTCGAGACCAGCCTGGCCAACATGGTGAAACCCCATCTCTACCAAAAATACAAAAAAGTTAGCCAGGCTTGGTGGTGCACACCTGTAGTCCCAGCTACTGGGGAGGCTGAGGTGGGGGAATCACTTGAACCTGCTAGGCGGAAGTTGCAATGAGCCGAGATCGGGCCACTGCACTCCAGCTTGGGCGACAGAGTGAGACTCCATCTCAAAAAAAGAGAGGTGACCCCCTTATACCTGGAGGAAAGGAATATCCTTTTCTTTGAAGACACAAGGAAGAATCTGAACAAACAGACCTTGCTAAGTTCCCCCAGTTTATCACCATTAGGTGATAAATCCCTTTGTGCAATCATACTTCTCCACAACTATCCACTTCTTCATCAAACCTGGCACACAAAACATGCAGGTTTACCTATTTCTTCAGGTTTTCGTTTCCTTATGAAGGCCTCCATGTCAAATAAAATGTATATTAAATGAATTTATATGCTTTTCTCTTGTTAATCAGTCTTTTGGTTTTTTTTGTTGTTGTTGTTTGTTTGTTTTGAGTCTGGGTCTTGCTCTGTTGCCCAGGTTGGAGGGCAGTAATGCAATCGCAGCTCACTGCAGCCTCAAACTCTTGGGCTCAAGCAATCCTCCCATCTCAGCCTCCTGAGTAGCTGGGATCACAGCTTCATACCACCATACCCCGCTAATTTTTAATTTTTTTTTTTTTGTAGGACAGGATCTTGCTGTGTTGCTCAGGCTAGTCTCAAACTCCTGGCTTCAAGTGATCTTCCTGCCTTGGCTTCCCAAAGAACTGGGATTACAGGTGTGAGACACAGTGCCTGGCTGTCTTTTGTTTTAGGGGCCTCAGCCAGGAGCATAGGATGGATGAAGAAAAGTCTTCCTCCCCTCACAGCCAACGGAACTATGAGTGTTTGAGCATCTTCCTTGCCAACCAGTTCTGTCCCTGAATATTCTCCCAGCACATCTACCTTACCCTTGACACTGCTGGAGAATTTGCATGCTTATAAGTCACTTTATAAGAGAAATCTTCAGGGCTCAAAAGAATGACTAGATTGCAGGGAGGAGGAATCTAGTTCTTTAATTTCAAAATAGCAAGTTTAAAAACTTCTGAGTGTAAAGATGTATGGATTTTTAAAAATTATCCACTGAAATGTTTTAAGACAGACTACTCTTTAATTTAAGTTATGGATTTAGCATTTTTCTTTTCTTTTCTTTCTTTCTTCCTTTCTCTTTCTTTCTTTCTTTCTTTCTTTCTTTCTCTTTCTTTCCTTCCTTCCTTCCTTCCTCCCTCCCTCCCTCCCTTCTTTCTTTTCTTTCTTTCTTTCTTTCTTTCTTTCTTTCTTTCTTTCTTTCTTTCTTTCTTTCTTCTTTCTTTCTTCCGTCTTTTTTTTTTTTACAGGGTCTCACTCTGTCACCCAGGCTGGAGTGCAGGGCTGTGATCTTGGCTCACTGCAACCTCCATCTCCTGGGTTCAAGTGGATTCTTGTGCCTCAGCCCCCTGAGTAGCTGGGATTACAGGTGCGCACCACCACGCTTGGCTAATTTTTGTATTTTTAGTAGAGACGAGGGTCTAGCCATGTTGACCTGGCTTGTCTTGGACTCTTGGCCTCAAGTGATCTGCCTGCCTCAGCCTCCCAAAGTGCTGGGATTACAGGTGTGAGCCACTGCACCCAGCTGGATTTAGCATTTTTCAAAATTTTTTTTATGGACATGCTCTTTGGATATTCTCTGAGATGAAGGAGCTCCATGCCATACAAGTTCAGGAAATGCTGCACATTCTGTCTTGAGAAAAACCATAATCATAGTAAACGTTCTAAAAAGTCCTGCAGTTAAAAAAAAAAAAACAATCATTGAGTTGGCTCTCCCTATCCATGGATTTTACATCCATGGATTCAGTCAACTGTGGATCAAAAATATTTGAGAAGGCCGGGTGTGGTGGCTCATGCCTGTAACCCTAGCACTTTAGGAGGCCAAGACAGGTGGATCACCTGAGGTCAGGAGTTCGAGACCAGCCTGGCCAACATGGCGAAACCCCCGTCTCTACTAAAAATACAAAAATTATCTGGGTGTGGTGGCGCATGCCTGTAATCCCACCTACTTGGGAGGCTGAGGAAGGAGAATTGCTTGAACCCGGGAGGTGGAGGTTGCAGTGAGCCAAGATCACACCACTGAACTCCAGCCTGCCCAACAGAAGTTAGACTCCATCTCAAAAAAAAAATTTTTTTTTGAGAAAAAAAATTGTGTCTGTACTCAACATGCACAGACTTTTTTCTTGTCATTATTCCCTAATCAATACGGTACAACAATAATTTCCATAGCATTTACTTTGTGTTAGCTATCACAAGTAATCTGTGGATGATTTAAGGTATATGGGAGGATATGCATAGGTTATATGCAAATACAACATCATTTTATATCAGGGGCTTGAGCATCCATAAATTTTGGTATCCAAAAAAGGTCCTGAAGCCAATCCCCAACAGGAACCAAAGGATGACTGTATAGCTTTGTCTAAGCCAGAATTTTCTTTTCTTTGTTGAAGGGTAGCAGTTTCAGGACAACATTTGGGAAACACACTTTGGAGGACCAACAAAGCTGATCTAGATAAAGTGAGTAATGAGAAAAAGGAGGGATTGGGGTTTGAGTCAGCACTCTGGAATTACTCCGAACCACTTGATTCTGGGGACATGTTGGGGATCCAATCAGTAAGAGGTTCTTTTAATGGGCTTCTGCAGAAAACTTATGTTATAGGAGTGTTTCTTAGCCTGAAGTGGTTAAGTATATAAGCCAACTTTGGCTTCCATCCTAGATGACTTACGTGAGTCATGTATGCCACCAAGGAGCATGGAGACATGGAACCAATGTTACCTGGGACCCAATTCAGTGTTCCTCGGATAGTAGCAAAGCAAGCTTGCTGAGGTGAATCAAGTGACGTAGAGTGACAAATTATATGGCAATTGGGAGTAGCCACTAGGGAATGGGACAAATGTGCTGAAAAGAAAGGTCATGAGTGTCACTTGTCACCTGAGCACTGCAGTCAGCAGGAATGTCATGACTGTCAGTGCCGGGTGCTCAGGTCCACCCCTGGTCCACCGAAGCCTCAAGAACAGGCAGTCCCAGGGAGGTGAACATGCAAACAATGGCAGCCAGGGTTGGAGGAACTGACTCGGGGGTGAAATTGGCATGTGAGCAGGATGGTCAGATGCTCAGTGGCAGAGGGACAAGGCAAACTGAGACTTTATTTTGGCACCAATGTGCAAGGATCTGATTTTATGTGAAGAGATGCAGAGGCTCCAGGTACGGTGCAGTGTGGGAGTAATCCAGTGGTGGGTGCCGGGGCTGGGAAGGTGTGTGTAGGTTAGGCAGGCCCCTAGTCCTCTGCTGAGAGAAGAGCAAGAGTCCAGGTCCTCAGAGGAGAGATCTCATGGTGGACAAGGGACCCCATTACCCAAGCTGATGGGAACTTTGGGAACCTAAGGAGGAGGGCCCATGGGGGAAGGGGTGTTGCAGGAAGGTCCAAAGAAGAAGGTGAGGTTTATGCATCTTCAGGAGCCTCTGGCTCACTCCCAGGTATATCAGACAACACCTAGTGGGAAATGGGGCTCCAAGGAACCCTTGGACTTGGTTCACAGAATGAGGCTCATCTGTGCCTGCAGATTGCTAGATCCTGTGCCTATAGTTTAGCAGAATGGGGGCCAGCTGGGCCTGACACAGTGACTGCTTACACATCCCAGCATATTTAATGAGTGCAACCGGGTCCCAGCTCCTTTTCTAGGAACTGGGTACACCGTGAAGAATAAGGCCGTGTTCCTGCCATCAAAGCTCTCACAGACAAGGGCCAGTGCAGCACAGAGCATGAGCTCTGTGTAGAAAGAGAGCTGGGTTCAAACCTGGCTGCTGTGTTGCTCAGTTTAACTAGGGCCTTGGTTTTCTTGGCCACAAAATGGGATTACAACTGTCCTCACTCAAAGAGGGTTATAAGAATTGGAGTTAACACTGGGTGAGCATTTGGTATTTCCTGAAGGTGCAAATATTGTTATGGTGATGATAACCATTTTTTTTAGCTTAAGGTCAGCCTGAATAAGTAAGAACTTCAGTCAGCCAAGCAGCAAATATGTATTTATTGAACATTCTAGCAAGAACCAGACATTGAAAATTTGTCCCTTCTCTCAAAGAATTTTTAGTCTATTTGGAGAAGCAGGAAATAAACATGTAAGAAGATACCAACATTACCAGTTTTAAATATGCACGAGGGCAGAGATTTTTGCAGTTTGTTCAGCACTATCTCTAGGGCCTACAATCCCTGGTACATTGTAAGTACAATAAGTATTTGTCAAACCTGGCGCAGTGGCTCATGCCTGTAATCCCAACACTTTGGGAGGCCGAGGCAGGTGGATTGCCTGAGCTCAGGAGTTTGAAACCAGCCTGGGCAACATGGTGAAACCCCGTCTGAAAAAATAAAAAATAAAAATATTAGCTAGGCATGGTGGCCACGTGCCTGTTTTCTCAGCTATTCTGGAGGCTGAGGTGGGAGGATCATCTGAGCCCAGGGAAGTTGAGGCTGCAGTGACCCATGATGTGCCACTGCACTCCAGACTGGGTGACAGAGTAAAACCCTGTCTCAAAAAATGAAATAAAATAAAATAAAAATTTGTTGAGTAAATGAACAAATGAAAATCAGTTTGAAACAATGAAACAAGTTGGTATATAGTTACCAAAGGAATAGAAAAGACTATACACTCATATGGCTTCCAGTTTGGGGTTCTACTTAAAGATCGCCTAGGAATCCGATTGGGACAGATGTCTGGCCAGCTAGCCATGGTATCTTTTTGCTTCCCTCTCAGTGGAGGTCAGTAGGAGGCAGGCACACAGCCAGGAAGTAAGAGTCAAAAACAATGGTGAGGAGTGATGGGAATACAACCTCAGAATCAGAAGACCCGGGTGTCTGGACACTTAGAATAACTTGTTTAGCCAAGCTGCTGAAATTGCACAAGGAAACAAAAAAGGCTAAACCAACTAAAATAAACAGAAAACCACTTCCCACGGGGCAGGGAGCCGACATCAGTGTCTGGCCTGGGCAAGTGAAGCCTCTGGGCTTTAACTCTGAGCTGACTCAGGTACCGCCTGAAACCTGGATGTAATGAGAGCCACCCTTTGGGGAAGAAAGCCACCTGCTCACTGTGAAACAGCAAATGCCACCATTTCAGAGCAGAAACAAAGCAGCAGGTCTGTTGCCATTGCTTTTGGAGGACATTATTTCTCTTGAAAGGGGCCATTAGCAAAAGGAAAAAGAGCTGTGTTGCTGGGAGTTGCTGGGGGGCAATGTCTACTCTCCCCCCGTGTGTGGGGTCCCTCCACCCCAAGACAGAAATTAAAAGAAAGATGTAAAACAAATGTCAGTAAAATTTATATTATTTTCCCATACTCTAATTGGTTGTCTTATGCACCTGTTGGGGAGCAAGACCCTGGTTTACTGCTCACGGTAGGTTTTTAATATCTGTTAAATGGATCTTACCTGCAGAATTGGATCGTGAATTCCAATAGGCTAAAGGCCGTCTTATCCCTGATGTTGCCTGGCACAGGGCTGAACAGATAGAAGTAGTAATCCCTGTCCAAGATACAAAGTCTCGTATCCTGGTGGACACATGGACACTGTGCAGATGGTCTCTCTCCACTGGCAGGCAGGGATAGGTCTTGTGGCCTTACTGAGGTCTGGATGAAATATCCCTTGCTCCAGTCAGGGTCCGGTCAGGAAAGCAGAGCCACTCTGAGCATAATGGAAGAAGGAATTTCTTAGAAGGACAAGGTCTTACACAATTGGGAGAGGAGCTAGGGACATAAAGGTCCAAAAAAGAAGTTTCTGGCCGGGCGTGGTGGCTCACTCCTGTAATCCCAGCACTTTAGGAGGCCCCGTTGGGGAAATCATCTGAGGTCAGGAGTTAGAGACCAGCCTGGCCAACATGGTGAAACCCCATCTCTACTAAAAATACAAAAATTAGCCGGGCATGGTGGTTCACGCTTGTAATTCCAGCTACTCAGGAGGCTGAGACAGGAGAGTTGCTTGAACCCGGGAAGTAGAGGTTGCTGTGAGCCGAGATAGCACCACTGCACTGCAGCCTGGGCGACACAGCAAGACTCCGTCTCAAAAAAAAAAAAAAAAAAAAAGTTGTTGAAGGATTGGATGAAAGTCCCTAAGCAGCACTGGCTTGGGTGAATGAATCCGAGCATGCAAGGACTCCGGAAGCCAGGGATGTCCAACTGCTGAAGTAAGGGCAGGGAGGTGGCAGAGAAGCCAGGTGCCCTGTGGCTGTCACCTCCTTGAGTTCACATGAAGCATCTGGTGGCGGGCCTGGGGCTGCTGTTGCTCAGTAGGGCCAACAGTCGAGAGGGTGTGTGCTGTATGTGGAATAAGAGAAGACAAACACAAACTGGGCTCCATTGGCACCTCTGTGTCTGTCTCTCCTGTCCCTCAACCTGCAGTCGTCTCCAGACTTTGGTGACTTTACTTATGCCTCCCATAGCTCATGCAACTGCTCGTTTGCCCAACTCAAATCTGGAGCCACACAGGGAAAGGCATTCTGAGAAATGTAGCTGCCAGCCTAAGTATGCCACAAAAAGCTTAGCACATCCTTAAGACCCATTCCCTTTGTTCTGGTTCTATATGTGTAAAGCAACATCATGATTGTCAGTTTGTCTCCTCAAATACCTCCGTACCAGGAAGGAAGAGGCCTGGATGGTAAATGCAAATATTTCAGTCACTGGACAAGTAGAGCATCCCCTGAAAATGAACACTTTTAACTATGTGTCTGCAACTGTAAAACTGAACCTCAAACTCTAATGAAATCACTAAACTTACTACCAACTAAGGCTTTCCCTGAGCAGCCTTTTGGCTTCTGTCACTGACTTTTTTTTTTTTTTGAGACGGAATTTCACTCTGTCACCCAGGCTAGAGTACAGTGGCACGATCTCGGCTCACTGCAACCTCTGCTTCCCGGGTTCATGCGATTCTCCTGCCTCAGCCTCCCAAGTAGTGGGGACTACAGGCGTGTACCACCATGCCCCGCTAATTTTTGTAGTTTTTTTGTAGAAACGGGGTTTCGCCATGTTGGCCAGGCTGGTCTCGAACTCCTGACCTCAGATGATCTACCTGCGTCAGCCTCCCAAAGTGCTGGGATCACGGCCGTGAGCCACCGCGCCTGGCCAGTCTCTGACATTTCAAACAAGATTGCTCCAATATCAAAGGCAAAATGAACCTATTTGAATTTTCCCTTCTCTCCCTGTCCCTGTTCACCCTAAGGTACCAGCACTCAAGAGCAGAAAATTGAAGCAAAAATAAGCAGGAGTGGGTGACTATTCTACACCCTGGAAAACTGCAACAGGTTATTTTGTTTATTTAAGCAAGCAGCTATATTACATTTAATTGTATGCCAGGCATAGATCTAAGTGCTTTACAAAGAGAAACTAATTTAATCCTATTGTATGAGATTGATTATACTATTACTATTCCTCTCTTACATATAACATGAGAGGCACAGAGAAGTTAAGTAAGTTGGCCAAGATCACACAGCTGAGATTCATATCATGACTTTATAGTTCGATGTATAAAAGGTTCAAAAATTATTCATTTAATTCAGAATCTTCAGAAACTGATGACAAGCTCATTTTTATTACGATTTATAAAAAAAATTCATAATATGTAATCCTCGCTGTCATTTAAAGGGTGACTTTCATAGGGACCAGGCAGGGTCTTTTGCAGGCCCAGTCTTATTTAATGCAATCTCCCCTATGAGGTAGGTATTATGATTCCTACCTTGCAGGTGGAGAAACAGGAGAAGTGACTTGCACAAGAGCACATAACTCAGCTAGTTGATGGGGGGTCCAGGATTCAAAATGGACTCCAAAGATGGTGTTATGTTTAGCCACAATGCCAACAGGACTCTAAGATCCACTAGCAAGAAGAGTGAAGGCAGAGTGCAAACTGTGCAAGTCGGTCTGGCTCATGGCAACTAGAGTCTAAATCAAAGTGCCTAGCCAGAATTCTCCAGCAGTGTGCCAAGTGACTGGAAGCTGGAGAACCTCCTGGGGTCCTTTGGTGAGCTTGGATTTTTCTGGTGAGTGATTACTGCCGAGGCCTGGGACAAGGCCCCCCATTGTTGTCATCTTTCTCTTGACCTCATGATTAGTCCCTGTCCCTTCTTAATTTCTGTCCTTCACTGGCTTTTCTCTTCCCTGGACCTTTGAGTGGCAGGGAGTAGAGGTACAAGATTTGGCTTCAATCCTTCAATCTTTTTGTGGGTTTTTCTCCTCCTGGTAACTACGCAGCACATTATAAAGTTACAGGAACTCGGCTGGGCGCAGTGGCTCACGCCTGTAATCCCAGAACTTTGGGAGGCCGAGGCAGGCAGATCACTGAGGTCAAGAGTTTGAGACTAGCCTGGCCAACATGGTGAAACCCCATCTCTACTAAAAATACAAAAATTAGCCGGGTGTGGTGGTGCACCCCTGTAACCCCAGCTACTCAGGAGGCTGAGGCAGGAGAACTGCTCAAACCCAGGAGGTAGAGATTGCAATGAGCTGAGATCATACCACTGCACTCCAGCCCAGAAGACAGAGTCAGATTCCGCCTTTAAATAAATAAATAAATAAATAAAGCTACAGGAACTGTTAACACACTGCACTTTTGGTTTTCAATAAAATAGGAGTGGACCTCAGCTTCATTGTTCCTTTGTCCTTTGCTGACTTTCCTCTTAGTCTTTAGGGGACCCAGAGTCTCCTGACTGCTACACTCTCAATAATGAAGGCTCAGTCTTCAATTTCCATAGTTTTCTCTGCAAATTTCAGAATGAATATTTTTTTCCAAGTGTTTTCCTTTCTCTCTTTTAATTTTGTGTGTTTGTGTGTGTGTGTGTGTGTGTGTGTTTGAGAGCTTTCATCTTAAAAATTAAACACAGTTTTGGATAATAAAGGAATGTTTACCCTTAAACCTATTCTACACATTTTATGTAATAATTTCTAGCCATGGATCTTTTACCTTTAAAATAATATTTTCTATTTTTCTATTCCTTCTGCATGTGCAAACTCCTTCTTCCCTGGGTCCACCCCCAATTCCTGCCATCTCCTTATCTCCATCTGCCAGTTTTGATTTCTGGCCAACCACCAGATGTATGGTAACCACCAATTCAACTAGTAAGATCATACATTCAGTATGGAAACACTGTGGAAATTAGTCTGACATACATGTTCTTCTGGCCCAAAAGGCTATGGATTTTTTTTTTTTTTTTTTTTTTGAGACAGGGTCTTGCTCTGTCACCCAGGCTGGAGTCAGTGGTGCAATCATAGCTCACTGCAGCCTTGACCTCCTATACTCAAGCTATCCTCCCTTACTTAGCCTCTCAAGTAACTGGTACTACAGGCATTCTCCATTACTCCCAGCTAATTAATTTTATTTCTGTAGAGACAGGGTCTTACTATGCTGCATAGGCTGGTCTGAAATTCCTGTGCTGAAATGATGGTGTGAGCCACTGCACCCAGCCTGTTTTTTAAGAAGTCATTCTGCATTCAAAATGTGCAGCTAGCTCCCGTTCCCTACAGGTGAGGGAACATGAATCATTGTCTGGGTTATTCACTAGGAATGTGTTCATTCTGGCCCGCATCTATCATTTACCTAGTTTATTGTTCCAGTCACTCATTCCAGGTTATTTACTGACTACTTATTATTTTCTAGTGTCTAGTGTGCTAGACACTAGGGTTATAAAATAACTGATGCTGTCCTTTATGCACAAAATTGCTAATTCTATTCCTGAAAATTTTATTAGTGACTTGTCTGACTGGGAAGTGACTGGTAGATATCAGTTGGCCCATTGCAAAATGAGGGGCTTGTATTAACTGATCTTCTAATTTTAAAGCCTCTAAAATGAAGGGATGCAGGAGATTTGACTTCTTGCCTTAATCTAATCATTAAATTGCTCAGTGCCTTTTAGTACAATGTTCAGTCTCTAGATCTCAGTCTCCTTCTCCTCTGTAAAATAAATGAAGGCTGAGCGCGGTGGCTCACGCCTGTAATTCCAGCACTTTGGGAGGCTGAGGCGGGTGGATCACCTGAGGACAAGAGTTCGAGACCAGCCTGGCCAACATGGTGAAACCCCGTGTCTACTAAAAATGCAAAATTAGCCGGTGTGGTGGCACATGCCTGTAATCCCAGCTATTTGGGAGGCTGAGGCAGGAGAATCACTTGAATTTGGCAGGTGGAGGTTGCAGTGAGCTGAGATTGCACCACTGCACTCCAGCGTGGGCAAAAAGAGTGAAACTTTGTCTCAAAAAATAAACAAACAAATAAATAAAATAAATGAAATGAAATGTACTAGAGCAGGTTAGAAAAAGTGTCCAAGGAACTTTGTTTGTTTTGAGACAGGGTCATACTTTGTTGCCCAGGCTGGAGTGTAGTGGTGATCACTGCTCACTGCAGCCTCCACCTCCCAGGCTCAAGCAAACCTCCCATTTCAGCCTCTCAAGTAGCTGGGACTACAGGTGCATGCCACCACACCCAACTAATATTTTTAAAACATTTTTCATAGAGATAGGATCTCACTATATTGCCTAGGCTGGTCTCAAGCAATCCTCCCGCCTCGGCCTCCCAAAGTGCTAGGATTATAGGCATAAGCCACTGCACCCAGCCAAGGAACTTTGTCAATAGATCTTTCTAGGATAAGAGGGTTCTGTGTTCAAGGAGATCTCAGAAATGCTGGAGTCAATAGGTTTCTTTACTCCAGGATTTCTCAGAAACTTTACTGTGCCAATTTTGCTTCATGACTCTCCAAGTGGAAGACAGCAGATACTGTTTCCCAAATTTATTTGACAATGGAACCCTTTCCCCCAGAAGCATCTTTGTCATTCTAATAATGTCTTTCAGAATACATTTGGGAAATGTGTTATACATGCCCTCTAAGACCCTTTACTGCAGCAATTCTCTCTATCCTTGGATCAACTTCATATCATAGGTATCTGCTAGTTTATGTTCTAATATAACTGTTGTGTGCACAGTAGTATTTCCTGTTTCTCTTCAAGTTATGCTTTCATTGCCTTTGGACTTGGGCTACAGTCTCATCAATCCTGGGTACATGGCCTGCAAAATCATACATCTCATTAGCACTTTGGACAATAACATCCAGAACAAATGTACAGTCCATTTTGCAGAGAAACATTCCACAGAGCAGCACAGAGGGAGCTCTTTGGAGGAAAGAGATGAAGCAAATGAATATGAAGAACAACGGCATTAATAGGGCAGATTTCCACAGAAACACAGAAAAATATATTTGACATTTTGATGACTATATAACATAGTCTTTTCTGTCACAGGACTGCTGTTCCCAACCAAGACTGTTATGACCCAAAGTAACAGAGCTGAGTGGCTCCATGCAGAAGTCTGTGTTCAACATCTGTCATGCTGGAGATCATTAATGTTCAATTGCTTCCTATTGTCTTCATGTCATTCAACTTCATTTCATTGTCATTGCTTCAGCTGGGGGATTAATCAACTATTTATGAGAAGACAGGACTTGGAGTCAGGGCGGTCACAATGGGGTTATAGTCTGAGCAATGGTGGGGAAAGCAAGTCACGGTTAAAAGACTACTAGTTTGTGACAGTTTGTTGACATTTTAATAAACATATTTGAGAATAATGCTGACATATCCATATTTCAAAAGGAGAAAGAGCATACTTGGTCTTCCTAAAAAATCCAGTAAGGATTCTGGATTGAACCTATTTGGAGGTAGTTTTCTTGCTCCTTGATTCCTCTTAAGAGTGAGAAATGAGCAGAGATGAGAGAATCAAATTAATGGTTTTTCTGCATCAATTAGATCGTCATTATCAATAGCAGAAATCATGCTTTGTTATTATTCCTGCGGGCAGTTGACACAACTGAAATGTTCAAAGATGTAAACTATTTTCAAAAATTGTGCTTTGGGAACTATTTTTTAAAACCTCAGAAGTTACTTAGATGTTCTCATTTTGCACAAAAATGTGCATTATGATTAGTTTTCTTTGATTTAAATGTTAAATGATTAAATGATTAGTTATCATCTCAGTGCATTTCCCACAAATATTTATGAACCTGTGTCAGGGGGAATGAAGTATAAATACTGAATTGATTTGCCTAAGTATCTGAATTCAAGCAACCCAATTATATAATTAGAATAATATAAAGTTTTATATACACGTTAATATCTTTTGATATGTTATAATACATTATTTCATAGAAAACAGCCAAATTATTTGCACAGTAAAATTCCAGGTCTGCAATAATATTGGAACCTGCTAATTTGTTCCAACTTACTTAATAACTAAAATTAAAATGTCAGTATATTAGATTAGCGTTATGCAAAATTGTCACACTTCTCAACAAAGCTACATCCTCTTATACTACAGTCCCGATGTATCTCATAATGCCGAAACCAACATTTTCACACAGATGATGTCTAATAATTTACAAGTCTCGGTTAAGTTTTTGATACGTAAGCTGCCCACTGATACGGGAAAAGATAGACCAAGCTCTGCCCCAACCCCCACCTTGTTATTCTTTTGGGGACAGCCAGGCCACTCCAGATGGTGTGTTAGTTAGTGTTGGACATAGCTTTGGAGAAACTTCAACAGACTAATGCTGTAATGTCAGGATTTTGCTGTGCGTCGCCCCCTCCTCCCCGCAGTTCCCAGGGTAGGAAGGTGCTGAGATAGAAGCCGAGGGACGCCCGCCCACCTGCCACCACCTGTTCCCTCCTTCAGCTCTTTGCTATAAATTCTCCTCCCTCCAAGATTCATTCTGCACTCTCCGACAGCTACTGCGCTAAAAGCGCTCCTTCCCTGAGCTTCGGGAAAGAGTTCATCTTCCTGCAAAGGAGTCTCAGGCTTTCCCAGAGGACTTGAAAGGCCTTCCTCGAACCAGCCACACCAAACTCTGCTGCAGAAGGTTTCCTTCTCTTTTTCAACTTCATGTTGAGAAAATGACTTTCTCTTGAGCATCTCATTTTCCCCTAAATTTGGGCAAGTGAAGAGATATCAGCCTGGTCATCCAGTAGAACAGAAGGCCGAGTCCCGCACTCCCCCACTGTAAACTATTTGATTGCACGTGAGTTGCTTTGTTTATGACTTATTTGCTCAGAAGAGGCACGTTGGGAAGCGGCTCGAGAGACCAGCCCACGCGCAGGTCCTGAGCGGGCGGGCGTGCGAGGTCGGCGCCTCGCTGCTTGGGGCCGGGGATGAAGTCCTGCAAGCCCAGCGGCCCGCCGGCGGGAGCGCGCGTTGCACCCCCGTGCGCGGGCGGCACCGAGTGCGCGGGCACGTGCGCCGGGGCCGGGCGGCTGGAGAGCGCGGCGCGCAGGCGCCTGGCGGCCAACGCGCGCGAGCGCCGCCGCATGCAGGGGCTCAACACTGCCTTCGACCGCTTACGCAGGGTGGTTCCCCAGTGGGGCCAGGATAAAAAGCTGTCCAAGTACGAGACCCTGCAGATGGCCCTGAGCTACATCATGGCTCTGACCCGGATCCTGGCCGAGGCCGAGCGATTCGGCTCGGAGCGGGACTGGGTGGGTCTCCACTGTGAGCACTTCGGCCGCGACCACTACCTCCCGTTCCCGGGCGCGAAGCTGCCGGGCGAGAGCGAGCTGTACAGCCAGAGACTCTTCGGCTTCCAGCCCGAGCCCTTCCAGATGGCCACCTAGGGCGCGCGCCTCCGCGGGGGTGGGTGTCCGGCAGCCGCTCCGAGCCTCGGCCCTGCCCCAAGTAGCCCAGAAGCCTCCGGCGGCCCAGGATTCTAAGGATGCAATCCTCGAGGAAAATTAGTCGATTCTCAGATTACCTTTATTCGCATCATCAGACCTATGGACGCAATCATTTAATTGCCTTTCTTTTCCCCTCCTCCTTTGTATTTTGTAGATTTCATTAATGGATCTTGTGAATGGGTTGATTGCTGTGAAAATAATGCCCCCTTTCCCCTTTTCTGGGCTACTTTGAGGGAAAACAATCTTAAGAAAAATAGGATTAAGCTATTCTGTTCCAGTCCTCAGAGAAATAATCACTTTCTTAAACTTTGTGAGTTTGTCCTGTTCGGGTGAAGTTACAGTATCCATTACTTGTGTTTGCTCACAACAGAGCTACCTTCCTGTTGTGTAAATGCGTTTTTGCTTTAGTGCATTGTGTGTGCAAGCATGAAGTAGAAACACTTTTTTTTTCTGGGTACAGTACATGGGTATCGGTGCTCTGTATTTTTTTAAACTGTGTACACATTATTAAAATATACATTTTATAAAATATAAATAAAAACGTGGATTTGTTTTTCATGCCAAGTACCTTGCCAGTTTCCTGATGGCGCTAAAGAACTCTTTGGAGGTGATGATATAGAATGCTTCCCTGAGCAAAGATGTGGAGTGTTTAAACCTAATCCGACCAATAAACGAATGTGCCGCTTTGTAGTAGTTCCTCAAAAAGCTGATGAGAGTACATGTAATTAATTTAAACATTTTCTCTGTCAACTTGTATATTTTTTGTTGATTTTTAAAAAGATTAAAGTGAAATATTTAGCTTTTAAGTAACTAGATACACAGTTCCTCAATATTTTATTATCCACATTAAGCAGATTGCTACTAAGTCCTTACAAGTACCCAAATATATGTAGTTATTCTTATATGTATACAGTAATGTATATATACACATATACAGGAATACACTTCTATATTTCTAAAACTAACACAGAAATTAAAAATATTGCCTTTGGAAGTGATTTCCTTTTAATCAGTACAAGTTGGACAATAAGGGCTTCACTACCATCAAGACCAATCAAAATGGGAGCAAAATAATAAACATGGTATTGGTTTGAATTACTTTCATTAATTTGCTTAACCATTGCGTGGATAAACCAAGCCCTTCATGTAAAGAGTGACTTGGTGAAGAGTGGTGCATGCATTTGGGAGAATGTCTTACTCATAATTAGGAAAAGCAGGACTCTAAGTTATCCATGCATTTGGAATTTGTCTTGTCACAAGTCAACAAAAACACCAATGACTCCCAAAACTCTTTTATTTTGGATTCCCAAGCCTAACCTCAGACACAGCTGCCTCTTCACAGTTTATCTACAGACTTTATTACAATTTTTATTTTCTTAGTTATCCCTATCAAAATCCGTTTGGTGTGTAATGAGGGAAAGTGTCTTCCCCAGCCCATACATACATTTACACTTAAAAAAATCACAGGTGGGCCAGGCGCAGTGGCTCATGCCTGTAATCCCAGTACTTTGGGAGGCCGAGGCAGGTGGATCACCTGAGGTTAGAAGTTTGAGAACAGCCTGACCAACATGATGAAACCCTATCTCTACTAAAAATACGAAATTAGCCAGGCGTGGTGGCATATGCCTGTAATCCCAGCTACTTGGGAAGCTGAGGCAGGAGAATCGCTTGAACCCGGGAAGTGGAGGTTGCAGTGAGCCGAGATTGTGCCATTGCACTCCAGCTTGGGCAATAAGAGCAAAACTCCGTCTCAAAAAAAAAAAAAAAAAAATCACAAGTGTATTTTCAGAAACCCCTTGGGAGTTTGAAGCTGCATTTCCCTTTCCAGGTGATATCCATTAATGAGAAACAGGAGAGCTCAGAACTTTGCTTCCTGCAAATTTGATAGTAAACTGAAAATTTAGAAACTGCAAATTCAATAGTAAAATGTTTAACCTCTTGACTCCAACAACTCTTAAAAGACGCTATGTGATCTAGCAGACAAACAACACAATTCTAGAAGTCATGATGCCAGGACCCCTTTCTAGTCACAACTCCACTCTGCAGTGTGCACTTGGGTCAATGGCAAGATTCAAGGCATTTGCCTTACTTGCTATTTGGGCACAATAGTCTACTTACTCAGATCTCCTGAGAAGCTTCATTAATAACTCCAGGAAGTGTGCAGAGTTCGAGAATGAGCAAAATCGGTGCTTTTGTTTATCAGAGAATGTCTCAAAAATATATTAAGATCATTAGTCATTTTTCAGGTAGGATGTCACATCTCCCTCTCTGAACTGTAAATACCTTGTGAAAGAGTAGTGTGCTTTTCATTGTATCTCTATGGCTTCTAGTATAGGGCTTTGCACAGAAAAAGTTATTTTTTCAACAGATATTTCATTTTTGGCTACCAATTTAACAACACTTTCTTAATGAAATAAGACAATTTAATTAAAATGATGGGATTCTAATCTCATACTTCTTCCCTGACGTCGCTCCTCCAAAAGAATGGGAGTCTGTCTTTTAAATACTAAGCCTTTAGCTTTCTGCTTCTGGGTTTTGAAGATTTCTGGAAGCAACTTAGCTTTTACCAAATTTCTAAACTTTCCACCCCACTCAATGTACTATTTTTTTTTTTCCTGGAAGACATATGAGGGAAAAGTAAATAAGTCTCAGTGATCAAATCCAATCTTTGATGAAACTCTTCAAACTGTATGTTGAGAGATCCATTGTGGTTTATTAAGTAGGAGCTCAGCTAAAACCAAGTATAAAATCTTTTTGCAGTCAAGATTCATATATCATGATATGTAATAGAATTTCGATTACCAAGCAACCTAAAACTTGCTATAGTATTTTATACTGTTCATCTTGGAAATTCATTTTCTTTTTAGTTTGACAAGACATTAAAATTAAAAAATATTTTTGTATCTGTGCTCCTTTTTTTCAACAAATCAACAAATATTATCAAGTACCGACACACACCCAGTCTTATGTGACACCATTCTTGTCCTTGGCTAGACAACCAAAAGAGAACACACACACATTAATCATTAAGTAGTCCTAAACAGAGTTTAGCCAAATCCTTCAATAGTGTTGTACCAGGGATATGTGCTGTAAGAGCTCCTAATAGAGGGGCATTAAATAATAAAGGAAGATCTCCTCTGGAAGTTTGACTAGCTATTATTATATGTGGGCTCTCCCTGGGTGCAAGCTAGAGATTGAGCTCCCAAACCCCAAGGTCAGAACTCTTGAAGAAACACATACAAATAAACAGGACTATCAAGATGGGAAAGGTAACTGGGCACCGTTGCTCATCCCTGCAATCCCAGCACTTTGGGAGCCTGAGGCAAGAGGATAACTTGAGGCCAGGAATTCAAGACCAGCCTGGGCAGCAAAGTGAGACTCCATCTGTACAAAAAATTTACAAATTAGCCAGGTGTGGTGGTGTGCATCTGCAGTCCCAACTACTCTGGAGGCTGAGTTGGGGGAGGATTGCTTGAGTCCAGGAGTTTGAGGTTGCAGTGAGCTATGATTGTGCCTCAGCACTCCAGCCTGGGTGACAGAGTGAGATCCTGTCTCAAAAACAAAAAGAAAAACAAAAAAAGATGGGACAAGCCACCATTAGTCTCATTACCAAAAACTGGTTATACTGACTTCCTATTTATTTATTTATTTATTTATTTATTCATTTTTGAGACGGAGTCTTGCTCTGTCGCCCAGGCTGGAGTGCAGTGGCGCGATCTCGGCTCACTGCAAGCTCTGCCTCCCGGGTTCACGCCATTCTCCTGCCTCAGCCTCCCGAGTAGCTGGGACTACAGGCGCCCGCCACGATGCCCGGCTAATTTTTTGTATTTTTAGTAGAGATGGAGTTTCACCGTGTTAGCCAGGATGGTCTCGATCTTCTGACCTCGTGATCCACCGGCCTCAGCCTCCCAAAGTGCTGGGATTACAGGTGTGAGCCACTGCGCCTGGCCGACTTTCTATTCTTTCTATTTGCAGATCATAAGGAAGACGAGGCTAAACATCCAATATAGCCAGTTTCTTAGTTAATGAGTTGATATTTATACTAATGAAGATCTAAAATTTCTGCTAGATATGGCACAGATGAGGGTGTATTTAGATTGTGGTTAGTGGAGCTGCAGGATTCAACAATTAAGGCTCAATTCACTTAAATTTCGCCATATTGCAGTAAAAGCAAAGTGCTATTTTGGTACTGAATTTGGCTAGCATCTGCTCTCTGTCTAGACATCACTGAAGATATCTCTTTTCTATACCTATGTGTGAAACACATTTCTTTCTTTCTTTTTTTTTTTTTTAAGATGGAGTCTCGCTCTGTCCCCCAGGCTGGAGTGCAGTGGCCCGATCTCGGCTCACTGCAAGCTCCGCCTCCTGGGTTCACGCCATTCTCCTGCATCAGCCTCCCGAGTAGCTGGGACTACAGGCACCCGCCACCACGCCTGGCTACTTTTTTGTATTTTTAGAAGAGGCAGGGTTTCACCGTGTTAGCCAGGAGGGTCTCAATCTCATGACCTCGTGATCTGCCCGTTTTGGCATCCCAAAGTGCTGAGATTACAGGCATGAGCCACCGCGCCCAGCCAGAAATTTCAAAGTACACATAAGACAATAAATATATGATCTATTGTCTCATATGTACACCTTTTCCCTTCTCTGGTTATAAATATACTAGTGGGTACAAATGTTAACAAGTATTATATTGAATTTACATAGGATTTTTAGATTGCTATTTCAGATGAATCGTGTATCCCCAAAATACCAAAGCTGAAAGACAACGGTCACACATTGCTCAACAATGGGCATACATTCTGAGAAACGCGTTGTTAGGTGATTTCATCATTGTATGAACATCAGAGTGTACTTACAAAAACTAGATGGTCTAGCCTGCTACACACCTAGGCTATATGGTACAGCCTATTGCTCCTAGCCTATAAACCTGTGCAGCATGTTACTGTACTGAATACTGTGGAAAATTATAACACAATGATAATTATTTGTGTTTCTAAACATAGAAAAGGTACAGTAAAAATACAGTATTAAAGATAAAAAATGGCACACCTGTAGAAAGCACTTACCATGAATGGAGCTTGCAGGAATGGAAGCTACTCTGGCTGAGCCAGTGAGTGGTGAGTGAATGTGAAAGCCTAGGGCATTGCTGTACACCACTGCAGACTTTATAAACACTGTACACTTAGGCTACACTCAATTTATAAAATATTTTCTTTCTTTAATAATAAATTAACCTCAGCTTATTGGTAATTTTTTGACATTTTCAAACTTTTTGACTCTTGTAAAAGCACACTGCTTAAAACACAAACACGTTGTGCAGCTGTACAAAAATATTTTCTTTATATTCTTATTCTATAAGATTTTTTAAAATTAAAATTTATTTTAATTTTTTTACTTTTTAAACTTTTTTGTTAAAAACTAAGACATAGAAACTCACATTAATGGCCGGACATGGTGGCTCACGCCTGTAATCCCAGCATTTTAGGGGGCTGATTTGGGCAGATCATCTGAGGTCAGGAGTTTGAGACCAGCCTGGTCAACAAGGTGAAACCCTGGCTCTACTAAAAATACAATAATTGGCCTGGCATGGTGGCGCATGGCTGTAGTCCTAGCTACTCAAGAGGCTGAGGCAGGAGACTCACTTGAACCCAGGAGGCGGAGGTTGCAGTGAGCTGAGATCGCACCATTGCACTCCAGCCTGGGCGACAGAGCAAGACTCCGTTTCAAAAAAAAAAAAAAAGAAACATTAACCTTTTGTAGGCCCACATTAACCTTTGTAGGCCCACATTAACCTGAGCTTACAAAGGGCTAGATTCATCAATGTCACTGTCTTCCTCCTCCACATTTGGTCGCACTGGAAGGTGTTCAGGGGTAGTATAAGGCCTGGAGCCATCTCTTATGATAACAATGCCTTCTTGAATACCACCTGAAGGATGTGCCTGAGTCTGTTTTACAGTTACCCATTCTTTTTATAAGTAGAAGAAGTACACTCTAAAAGTATTTTATAATAGATACATAAACCAGTAAGATAGTTGTTTATTTTCATTATCAAGTATTATGTACTGTACATAGTTGTATGTGCAATTGTTTGAATATGTATGAGTGGCAGAGCAGTTGGTTTGTTTATAGTAGCATCACTACAGACATGTTGAGTCATGTGTTGCACTACAATGTTATGTTACTGTATTATAGTCCATTCTCACACTGCTATGAAGAAATACCAGAGACTGGGTAACTCATAAAGAAAAGAGTTTTAATGGACTCACAGTTCCACATGGCTGGGGAGGCCTCAAGAAATTTACAATCATGGCAGAAGGCACCTCTTCACAGGGTGGCAGGAGAGAGAATGAGTGCCAGCAGGGGAAAAGCCAGACTCTTATAAAACCATCAGATCTCGTGAGACTCACTCACTATCAAGAGAACAGCATGGGGGAAGCTGTCCCCATGATTCAATTATATCCACCTGGTCCCGCCCTAGAACGTGGGGATTATGGGGATTACAATTCAAAGTGAGATTTGGGAGGGGACACAGAGCCAAACCGTATCAGTTACCTACAAAGTCACTAGGTGATAGGAATTTTTCAACTCTGTTTTAAGCTTAAGAGACCACTGTCATATAAGTGATTGACTAAAACCTTGTTATGCAGCAAATTACTGTTCTGGAAAACAAGAATTTACCCATCTCATATACTAAGTATATTGTTTAGTTTTAAAATGTTCTGTATATTATGCTGTTTTAACATTTAAAAAAACTTTCTGGGCTGGGTGTGGTTGCTCCTTCCTGTAATCCCAGAACTTTGGGAGGCTCAGACAGGAGGATCACTTGAGCCTGGGATTTGAGACCACTCTGGGCAACATAGTGAGACCCTGTCTTTACAAAAAATTTTAAAAGTTAGCTGGGTGTGGTGGTGTGCGCCTGTAATCCTAGCTACTTGGGAGGCTGAAGTGGGAGGATTGCTTGAGCCCGGGAGTTTGAGGTTATGAGTACCACTGCACTCCAGCCTGGGTAAAAGAATGAGACTGTTTCTTAAAACAAAACAGAACAACAACAAAAAACTTTTCTGGGTGGGGAGAGACTGCCCCTCTTAAGGCTGGCCAATTTTTAAGGATAGCAAAGGGCTCAAAGGAAAGCTTGCCTTTGGTATGCAGACTAACCAATCCAGAGATCTGGCCTGTACACACCAGGAAGTAATATTCACCTGCCTTAATTATCTCAGGGCCAGATACCAGGTAGCTAGGGACTTCTCCTTAGAGCCTTTCCAAATTATTTAAACAAGCCAATCCTGCCCTGCCTTGCCTTCCTCACAGGAACTACAATAAGGGCCGTGGCCTAGGCTCTTACCTTGCTCCAGCCCCTTCTGCCTCCTGACTGAAGCTGGTGCTTCCCCGTGTGGCCCTGCATGGTGTGACATGCCTCCTGTTTCTAGGATCTGTGAGTACAATAAAGTTTGTTTTCTTGAGCCTTTCCTATGACTCCTCTCATGGGCACACCTGAGTGACCATCACGTAACAGAACACAGAATACTAAGAGTGGGACAAAAAAAAAAAAAAAAAAAAGCAAAACCAACCCAACAATCAGTTGAGAATAAATAAAACTTTATTTAATAAATAAAGAAACAGTCCATCACATCCTCTAAATTGCCTTTAAAAACATGCAGCTTATATTAAATTCTGATTCATAAATTTAATTTTTATTCTTCTAATTGCAAAATTTCCAAACAAAACACAATCCCAACAAATCCTTAAGAAAGCAGGACTAGGGAACAGCAACGGGTGTCATGTAGATGACGTGTTCTACCAGAATACAATACCATGTGCCTTCTGAGGAAGGACGTGATTTATGCTCGCAGACATTTTGGCTTAAATGATCACTGGTTTTCAGTTCCACAGAAGGTCTTCACATGCATGATGTGGAGGAACATGGATAAAAGCCAAGATCTGTTAATTGCTTTCTAGTAATAGAGGTGAAATATACAGTTTATGCAATGCACGCATTTCAAAATAGTCACTATAATGGCTTTTGCATTAAGATTTCAATAACCAAAAAAAGTACTCTAGAAAATAAGTTGACTCCAGCTTCCTGAGATGGAAGCATACCATGTTTGCGGGACTTCTGGGGCCTGGTGTGTTTTCAAGTGGGAAGAACTTATGCATGGAGAGGGAGAAAAAGCGTTACAAGGTGTCACTTGATTTGGATTGAATTAAGTCAGCTGTGGGTGCTCCACGACTCCTTACTTGAAGTGTGTGTGTGTTTGTGTGTGTGTGGGTGTACATCATTTGTCAGTCTTCATGTGAATCAACAGGATTAAGTTCAGACGTGATGTAGCTGAGAATGCAAAAACAGAGACCAAAGGATATGCTTATTTTTGAGGGTCCACGTATACCAGGTATTCTAAAGCTGATTTATTCAATGTAAGGCCACTGAGATGCTGGCATGGGATGTTTCTTCATTAGGGTTTGGGACAGTACTGTGGAATTGTCCTGAACTACTTATGCCAGAAAGGAATACAGAAACTCCCTTGCTATTTCTCTGCACGGTGGAGTCATCATTTCCACTACCTTCAATCATAGACACAGAAGTCAAAATTCCCCTAGGCTATTCTGCCTACACTGAAGTGAATTTCCCTGGAATCTCCCTACAGAAAGCAGACAGGATATTTCTTGAAAATCCATTTGATTTTTCTTTAGGTTTGTCCATTTATTTCTTTGCTGCATGCCATCTTGGAAGACAAAATCCCATCATTGTGTACTACCCTTCTAAGGAAGGACAAAGTAGTGGGCAGGAAAGAAATGTGAACTTTTTTTTTTTTTTTGAGACGGAGTCTCACTCTGTCGCCCAGGCTGGAGTGCAGTGGTGGGATCTCGGGTCACTGCAACCTCCGCCTCCAGGGTCAAGCGATTCTCCTGCTCCAGCCTCCCAAGTAGCTGGGACTACAGGCGCACGCCACCACACCTGGCTAATTTTTGTATTTTTAGTGGAGATGGGGTTTCGCCATGTTGGCCAGGATGGTCTCGATTTCTTGACCTCATGATCTGCCTGCCTCGGCCTCCTAAAGTGCTGGGATTGCAGGCGTGAGCTGCCGCGCCTGGCCAGTAATGTGAACTTTTTAAACAAGTTAACTATTTACTTTGGAGAAAAATATTTTAAACATTAAAGACATTTTTAAAAATATATATTTAAAAAACTGCTACCACTCTTTTGGGGGGGGGGTTGTCTAAACGCTTCATAAATATTTATTTATGCATTTATCCTACCCTCCATCCTCAGCAAACCTCACTACTTTGCTTATTTTACAAATAAAGAGACAGAGATCCCAGAGTTATGAAAATATTAGAGAATCTATCTAAACTCATTTGAATGACTAAAATCCTCCTTAGAATTCACCTAAGAATTTACAAACTAGGAAGCTTTCCTAATGCTATTAAATATTCTAAAAATTTTTATCTGGACAGGGAGATAATGAAAAGAGAAGATTAGGTCAATAAATTTAATGCTAATGATTGCAAAAACTAAGTGAAAATCATAAAAGAGGATAAGGTGTCTCTGAAATCAAAATACTGGAAACATTTTTTACCAATACTGTGTTAAAATATAGTTGCATTAAAATTTTCTCATTTGAATTATTTTAGGATTTTTACTGCCCTTAAAACATGCAGTAAAACTTTTATACTGTATACATATTTAGTCATCTTTTGGCAGTGACAACTATAGTCAATACTAGTATACATTCACTGGATTCTTACAACAGTAATCATGTGGAAAGTACAGGAATCTATCTCTTGTTTGCTGATAACTCATTGAATCTGTGTAGAAACATTGGAGTTTTTGGAGTTTTGGAATATTGAGCAATTACTTTTACCATGCTAGCTATATACAAATAATTTATGTTTCTTGTGAGTATAAAAACACCTCTTATTGTAACAAGATTATATTCATATCTCCATGAATTTCCAGTCCAAACTGTGCTTGCCCATCTTTAAATCCCATTTTTTAATGTGTATTTGTTTTCAGTTAAGAAGCGTTTAAGAATGAAAACCAAAATCCAGTTATCTTTCTGTTGCTCCAGAGATATTTTAACCAGGTTGTAATACATGTAGTAATTTATACAATATAAATAAGAATCGTTTATAAAATTACTTTTAAATGTCAAATAAGGCCCAGGGCAGTGGCTCACACCTGTAATCCCAGAACTTTGGGAGGCCAAGGTGGGTGGATCACCTGAGGTCAGTAGTTGGAGACCAGCGTGGCCAACCTGGCAAAACCCCATCTCTACCAAAAATACAAAAAAAATTAGCCAGGTGTGGTGGCACATGCCTGTAATCCCAGCTACTTGGGAGGCTGAGGCACGAGAATCGCTTGAACCCGGGAGGCAGAGGTTGCAATAAGTCGAGATTGCGCCACTGCACTCCAGCCTGGGCAATACAGCGAGACGCTGTCTCAAAAAAAAAAAAAAATCAAATATATTTGTACATTTAAAAATTCGGGAGGCTGAGGCAGGAGAATCGCTTGAACCCTGGAGGTGGAGTCTGCAGTGAGCCGAGATCACACCACTGCACTCCAGCCCGGGCAATACAGTGAGACGCCATCTCAAAAAAAAAAAAAAAGAAAGAAAGAAAGAAAGAAAGAAGAATTGGTCCAATTGCTTCTTGGCCTTTTAGCTAAGACCAAGTGTAGTATCTGCTCTTATCAGTTCTAAGAAATAAAAAAAAATTGGTTCATTCATTATCAAAAAGTAATCTTTAAACCTGGAAACTATAACTACTTTCTACATTTTAAAGAAAAATGTACATTTATTTCAGCCTTAAAATACTATTGTCAAATAATGTTGAAATATTTTACTTTTTATTATTAGAGAAACAGTTTCTATTCACTTATATGTTAAAATCTTCTAGCAAATTAATGTTTATAGCAGTGCAGCCATTTTCAATACTCTCAGCATTTATGGCACAATTCTCAGAGGATTGAAAAGTATGCTCTTTCTTTATTTTTTGCAAGTTCAAGGCTATTTCTCTTTGGAATTTGAAGTGGCTATTATGTACATATTAACCAAAGGCAGCTTGTTTATGGTTCTATAATACCAAGTATGCTAACTAATGTAATTAGAAATAAGAGGCAAACATATTTTTAGCAAATATGCAATTTTTTGCACTGCACAGATTTTTAAAAACATGATATTAGCAACTTTTTAGCATACTGATGACCACTGCATTGTCAAAGTTTAGAAGATGCTTGGCATTCTTCAAACAATGCTTCAGTAATGAACTTTCTGGAATATTGATACACTTAAAACAAGAAAAAGCTATTAGTGATTAAAAGGACTTTGACTCTATTGAAGTCTAAGTAACTGTTCATTTACCGGTAAGGCATGTTGACTTTCAACTCAACCATTAGTGGAAATATTTTTAATGCAAGTTACCCAAGGACCCTGGAAGGGACCCTGAATAAAGGCTATTATGAGTAAATTTGCCTACATTTATGGTTTCCCTGGCAGTTTTGAGTTTACAATCGATTTATTAATAGCCCATATGCACATAAACTCAAGGTCCCGGCTTGGAAGGTACTTTGGGAGCACATGGAGGAGAAGGAAGAAAGGAAGAGGCTGTGATTGGCAGGAACAGTTCGGGTGTCTGAGTCAGTTCCCTCTATTTCCCCTCACAGTTTGATTTTTTTTTTAAAAACTCTCTCAGCAATTTTATTAAATAGAAGTTGATGGGAGGGAGAAAGCAATTGGTTTTAAAAATTCAGCACCTCTGTGAAGTTAAAAGACTCTCGGGCATTTAGAATTTGTTCAACTGGACTGGTTTCTTCTGGATACCAAGCCAAGATGTATGGAACTGGAGTTAGGTCATTGTGGAGCGTGAAGCACCCTGGCAGGCCTTGGGGAAGGGATGAGATGGGACAAGTTAGAGCAGTGAGATTATAGAACATGGGGCACAGGGCACCTGGGAAGAAAAACAAAGAATGAAGGCTAGATGCAGAAAGGATCATAGACACTCTAGCTTTGACACATCATAGGCACCGAAAAGGAGGAGGAAGTAGTCTTTTTTCTCTTATTCACTGCTTTGTCTGGTTCCCTGTTCTTGAGGCCATAACCCAATCTAGTGTAATAGGTACAGGTATGCCTCGGAGATACTGAGAGCTCTGTTCCAGACAATAAAGCAAGTCACATAATTTTATTGCTTTCACAGTGCATATAAAAGTTATGTTTATACTGTAGTCTATTAAGTGTGCAATAGCACTGTGTCTAAAAAACAATGTACATACCCTAATTAAAGAATACTTTGACAGGGCACTGTGGCTCACACCTGTATTCCCAGCACTCTGAGAGGCCCAAGTGGGCGGATCGCTTGAGCCCAGGAGTTTGAGACCAGCCCTGGGCAACACAGTGAGACGCTGGCTCTACAAAAACTTAAAAAAATTAGCAAGGTACTGTGGTGAGTGCCTGTAGTCCCAGCTACTTGAGAGGCTGAGGTGGGAGGATGGCTTGAGCCTGGGAGGCAGAGGTTGCAGTGAGCAGAGATGACACCACGGCACTCCAACCTGGGCGACAGAGCCAGACCCTGTAACAACAACAAGAACAACAACAACAAACCAAAAAAAACTTTACTCCTAAAAAAAAATGCTAACAATAATCTGAGCCTTCACAGACTCATAATCTTTTTGCTGTCAGAGGGTCTTGTCTTGATGTTGATGACTGCTGACTGATCAGGGTGGTGGTTGCTGAATGTTACAGTGGCTGTGCCAATTTCCTAAAATAACAGCGAAGTTTGCTGCATTGATTGACTTTTTCTTTCATAATGATTTCTCTGCAGCATGCAATGCTGTTTAATAGTACTTTACCCGCAGTAGAACTTCTTTCAAAATTAGAATCAATCCTCTCAAATCCTGCTGCTCCTTTATCAACAAAGTTTATGTTATACTCTAAATTGTTTATTGTTATTTCAACAATGTTCATAGCATCTCCACCAGGAGTAGTTTCCATTTCAAGAAACCACTTTCTTTGCTCAGCCATAAGAAGCAACTTCTGATCTGCTAAAGTTTGATCATGAGATGGCAGCAATTCAGCCCCATCTTCAGGCTCCACTTCTAATTCTAGTTCTCTTGCTATTTCCATCACATCTGCAGTGACGTGTTCCATTCAAGTCTTGAACCTCTTGGTCATCCATGAGGGTTGGAATCGAATTCTTCCGAACTCCTGTTCATGTTGATATTTTGACCTTCCATGAGTCATGAATGTTCTTAATGGCATCTAGAATGGTAAATCCTTTCCAGAAGCTTTTCAATTTACTTTGCGCAGATCCATCTGAGGAATCACTGTCTATGGCAACTATGGCCTTAAGAAATGTGTTTCTTAAATAATAAAACTTGGGAGTTGAAATGACTCCTTGATCCATGGGCTGGATCAAGAACGGATGTTGTATTAGCAGGCATGAAAGCAACATTAATCTTCTTGTATGTGTCTATCAGAGCTCTTGGGTGACCAGCTGCATTGTCAACGAGCAGTAATATTTTCAAAGGAAACTTTTTTTCTGAGTCTCAATGGTGGGCTTACAATATTCAGTCAATCACACTGTAAGCGGATGTGCTGTCAACCAGGCTTTGTTGTTCCATTTATAGAACACAGGCAAAGTAGATTTAGCACAATTCTTAAGGGCCCTAGGATTTTCAGAATGGTAAATGAGCATTGGTTTCAACTTAAAGTCACCAGCGGCATTAGCCCCTAATGAGAGAGTCGGCCTGTCCTTTGAAGCTTAGAAGCCAGGCATTGACTTGTCCTTTCTAACTAGGAAAGTCGCAGATGGCATCTTCTTTCAATACAAGGCTGTTTCATCTACATTGAAAATCTGTTGTTTAGTGTAGCCACCTTCATCAATGATCTTAGCTAGATCTTCTGGATAACTTGCAGCTTCTACATCAGCACTTGCTGCTTCACCTTGCACTTTAAGATTATGGAGATGGCTTCTTTCATTAAACCTCATGAACCCACCTCTGCTAGCTTCCAGCTTTTCTTTTTTTTTTTAGACGGAGTCTCGCTCTGTCACCCAGGCTGGAGTGCAGTGGCAGGATCTTGGTTCACTGCAAGCTCCGCCTCCCAGGTTCACGCCATTCTCCTGGCTCAGCCTCCCGAGTAGCTGGGACTACAGGTACCCGCCACCACGCCTGGCTAATTTTTTGTATTTTTAGTAGAGATGCGGTTTCACCGTGTTAGCCAGGATGGTCTTGATCTCCTGACCTCGTGATCCACCCGCCTCAGCCTCCCAAAGTGCTGGGATTACAGGCGTGAGCCACCGTGCCCAGCCTTACTTTCAGCTTTTCTTCTGCAGCTCTCTCACCTAGCTCAGCCTTCACAGAATTGAAGAGAATTATGACCTTGCTCTGACTAGGCTTTGGCTTATGCGAATGTTGTGACTGATTTGATCTTCTATCCAGACCACTCAGACTTTCTCCATATCAGCAATAAGGCTGTTTTGCTTTCTTATCATTTATGTGTTCACTGGAGTAGCACTTATTTCCTTCAAGAACTTTTCCTTTGCATTCACAACTTGGTTAACAGGCACAAGAGACCTAGCTTGTGGCCTAGCTCAGCTTTTGACATGTCTTCCTCTCAAAGCTCAATCATTTCTAGCTTTTGATTTAAAGTGAGAGATGTACTACTCTTTCTTTCACTTGAACAGTTAGAGGCCAATGTAGGGTTATGAATTGTCCTAATTTCAATATTGCTGAGTCTCAGGGACTAGAGAGGCCCAAGGAGAGGGAGAGAGATGTGGGAACAGCCGGTTGGTAGAGCTGTCAGAACACGCACAACATGTAGCGATTGAATTTGCCGCCTTCTATGGGTGCAGTTCATGGTGCCCCAAAGCAATTACAATAGCAACATCGAAGACCCCTGATCACAGATCACCATAACTGTATCATAATGTTGAAATTTTGAATTGTTGCCAGAATTACCAAAATGCGACACAGAAACAGGCAGTGAGAGCACACGTTCTCACAGGGTTGCCACCGACTTTCAATTCGTAAAAACTGCAGTATCTGTGAAGTACAGTGAAGTGAGAAGCAGTAAAGGGAGGTATTTCTGTGCTGTAATCAGTCATGAATTAGACGGGCTTTTCTGGATTCACTTGGGAATCCAGCGTTGGGTGATATGTGTGTAAGGAAATATAGTCTCAGTTTTAAACAACCACTTTACAAATGAATATGTGGAGCACAACCCATTTATCATGTGAGGATTATCCAGGTGAAACTGCCCTTACCAAAGTCATCTTTTGACTCCTCTGGGAATGATTCTTCCTTGTACGTGTTCCTCAGGGCCCTAAGTCTACTTGCTGCTTGTCTATTGACCATGTTTTCTTATTGAATGCCTACAAAAGTTAAGTGATGAATAAAAAGAGAAGGATGCATTTAAACCACTTCTGCTATTTGGAAATTCTGCATAATCCCTTAGTTTGGTGAAGAGTGATCTATCTCAACAAGGCAGTTTTGGTTTAAACGGTGCATTTTCTTTCTCCATTTTCCCTCTGATCCCCAATGCCATGACTAATTAAGTTATGAAAAGCCCTTCAGTTGCTTGGAGAGAAGGGTGCTTATGGAATCTGCACACATTTTTGAAATAAATGGCGAGGCAAATTGCATCAACTTTCCTTCTTTCCTTGATCCATTTTTTGCAGGTTTCTGAGCTTCCTTTGGGGGCTTCATGAATGCTGCATGTCTAACAAATGTAGCACAAAATAGTAGGGTCTAATAAAGCCAACGTGTGTGCTTATTTCTATTTTCCAGGCACATACTGCACGCGTAACCAGGGGCAGTACCTTCCTCATGGATTCCAGCACTACAGCTTTGTGCCATCTGCATCCCTTCAGACCTTTACGGGTAAGTTCTACGATAATCATGGTAATAAAATGATTCTTCTCAACCTTAGTCGCTCATCGGAATCACCTGGGAAGCTTTAAAAAATACTGATGCCTGTGTCACAACCCCAGGGCTACTGATTCAGTTGATTTGAGAAATGGCCTGGGTGTTGAGATTTTTTAAAAGCTCCCCAGGAGCTTTTAATGTGCAGGCAAGGTTAACAATCGCTGCTTAGACTGAATACACTTTATATAGAAATAAACCTACTTGTATACAATTTAAAATTCCATTTAGGTTGATAAATATTTATTGAGTGACTACTCTATATAAGGCATGAAAAAAAACTCCTGACACAGTCCGTACCAACAAATAGCCAAAACCTAATGCAAGCAAGAGTGGGCTAGTGTAAGAGGGAGGGCAGGCAGGTACACAGAGGCTGTGTTCTGTACAAAGCACTGTAGAGGCCGGGTGCAGTGGCTCACACCTGTAATCCCAGCACTTTGGGAGGCTGAGGCTGGTGGATTTCTTGAGGTTAGGAGTTCGAGACCAGCTTGGCCAACATGGTGAAACCCCGTCTCTACTAAAATTATAAAAATTAGCTGGGCATGGTGGGGGGTGCCTGTAATCCCAGCTACCTCGGGAGGCTGAGGCACGAGAATTGCTTGAACCCTAGGAGGCAGAGGTTGCAATGAACGAGATCACACCACTGCAAGCCAGCCTGGGCAACAGAGTGAGACTCTGTCTCAAAAACAAACAAACAAAAAAACACGTAGAAAGTAATCTTTTCTTCCTCCAGACTCAAGGAACTTGGTATAAGGCTTCAAAGAAAGTAGAATTATATTTGGTTGGAGTGTGGGAGATCCTAAAATATATCAGAGGTAATGGCATTTGAGATGGACTTGAAGGAACTGATAAGACTTCCGTAGGTGGAGACTGAGGAGAGCCTTCCAGGCAGAGGCAGAAGAAAGGCATGTGGCTGAAAAGCAGGGGCCTGTGTGAGGTTTGCTGCTGTGTTGGGCACATTTTCTGAGTAATGGATGAAAAGCTTTGGGATCATATTAGGTAGCACAGGGCAGGTCAGCTGGTACCTGAATTGGCTCCAGGTAGCCATTAGGGGTTTGAACACTTGGAAATAATATTAATATAACTGGAGCAGTATTTTGCAAAGAATGATCCGCTGCTGAGATCTGGGCTAGGTTTGAGTAGGAAGAAATGGCAGGACTAGAGGCAGGAAGACCAGAAGGAGTATGTTATGGTTGAAGTCAGTAGTATTGAGGTGAAGTGGCCGGACCTGGTGGCTCATGCCTGTAATCCCAGCACTTCGGGAGGCCAAGACGGGCAGATCACTTGTGGTCAGGAATTCAAGACCAGCTTGGCCAACATGGTGAAACCCCATCTCTACTAAAAATACAAGAATTAGTTGGGCATGATGGCTCACGTCTGTATTCCAAGCTACTTGGGAGGCTGAGGTAGGAGAATCGCTTGAACCTGGGAGGCAGAGGTTGCAGCGAGCCAAGACTGTACCACTGCACTCCAGGCTGGGTGACAGAGCAAGACTCCATCTCACAAAAAAAAAAAAAAAAAAAAAGAAGTATTATTGAGGGCAAGTGAAGGAAGTAATGGAAGTCTGAACTGGAGCACTGCAGGGGAAAGGAAGAAACTCCTGACTATAAGAAGAATGATAGAAGTAGAATCAGCAGGACTTGTCCATTGATAGGGTAGAGGAAGCAAAAACTGACTTGGATGTTTCTTATTAGAATTATGAGGAACGTTGATGGTGCCAATAACAGAAATCATTAAACTAGATTGAGGAATGGATTATAAAGGGAAGATGAATCTGATTTTGGATATGTTGAAAACAAACATCCAATGGAACTAAAATTTTTATTCAAATATTCCTCATTGTAATTGAATTCTAATTGGATTCTTTTTTGAAGTCAATATTTTGTAGGGATAGCATCTCACTATGTTGCCTAAGCTGGCCTCGAACTCTTGGGCTCAAGCGATCCTCCTGCCTCAGCCTCCCAAAGTGCCAGGATTACAGTCATTGTGCTCGGTTGAGTTCTAATGGAATTCTTAAAGCAGGGCCTTGATTTGTTTGACACAGTGGTTCTCAACAAAGGGGGATTCTGCCTTTCAGGGAACATACGGCCATGTCTGAAGACATTTTGGGCTGCCACAACTTGGGGAAGAACAACTAGTGGATAGAGGCCAGGGATGTTGCTAAACATTCTACAATGCACAGGACAGTCCTCCATAACAGAGAATTATCCAGTCCAAAGTGTCGGTAGTATTGAGGTTGGGAAACCCCGCTTTAACATAATCTAATAGCTCAAATTTCAGTAATTTTTAGGCCTGTTAATGTCTGGGGTGAGACAACGCCACCTAGTTGCCAAATGTAATATTTATCTTAGTTTTCTGTTCAGAAAGCTAAAACACAGAGATGAAGAACATCCTTTCATGGGAGAACTATCTAGGGTTTACAGAAGTAGCTGTGATGGGGAGGTCTGGTGTACAATCTAGGAGCAGTCCTGGAGTTAGAAAGTGCTCTTTAAGCTGGGCACGGTGGTTTATGCCTGTAATCCCAGCACTTTGGGAGGCCGAGGTGGGTGGATCACTTGAGGTCAGGAGTTCGAGACCAGCCTGGCCAACACGGCGAAACCCTGTCTCTACAAAAAATACAAAAATTAGCCGGGCCTGGTGGTGTGTGCCTGTAATCCCAGCTACTTGGGAGGCTGAGGCAGGAGAATCGCTGGAACCTGGGAGGCGGAGTTTGCAGTGAGCCAAGATCGTGGCACTGCACTGAAGCCTGGGTGACAGTGAGACTCCATTAAAAAAAAGAAAGAAAGAAAGAAAGAAAAAAGTGCTCTTTGTTTATAAGAGATCTCAGAAGTCAATATGGAAACAATATTTCACTGGATTCCATATGAAATGCATTCTATTCCATTAAGGATGCCTGTATTTTACTGCTGTTACTGAATACATTAAAAAACAGAATCTAATAATTCTGCTGAATAATTGAAATAGTTATTGCTTGAGGATGTAACCTATGGCATTTTGTTTCATTAAGAAATAAAGATTGAAAAGATTTTTAAAGTTATAAAAAAATAGAATGAAGAGCACTAGAAACTTCTATTTTGCTTCAAGAGACAGCATTCTGCACACCTCAAATATTACCTTCCCTAATAGGTTGTGAGCTCCCTGAGGGTAGGGACTGTGACTTGTTCATATCTTTATATCTGCCGCAGTATCTCTAGCACAGCATCTCATACAGAGTAGACATACAAATGATTTCTCCAGTGAATGAATTTATTTTTATGCTGGAAATCCTTGCCTTGAAGTGAAGACAGTTTCAAGCCTTTCTAAGCAGTTACTGTCTGTTCACACAAATACAATGCCAGCTGAGTGTGCTTGGCACAGACAGCACCAGGGATTCCAGCACAGGGAATTGAAAACAGACACCTGCAATTCATTTCCCTGCACAGCCTAGAGCAAACTGTGCTGTGATGAGCATTCCCAGGGCAGTGTTTGGACTGGTGTGTGGGTGGCATATTCCTGCAGAATATAAGATTAGGTTATCTTATAATAGACATAATAACAGAAGATTCATTCAACCAGCAAATATTTATTGAATGTCTACTTTGTGCTAGGTACTCTTCTAGGTACTAGGGATATCACAGTGAACTTAAGTCTAAAAATTCCTTAAGAGGCAGGGTTTGAATTGGTGATTAGAATAAAGATGCATATTCCCCTTTCTCCCAACTTTTCCACCTAGCAGAATATTCTCTACATAGAAAATGCAATTTGACCAATGATCTCAAAGCATTTCAAAGCTATTAAAGACCTCTCCTTCCAAAACCCCTGCTCTGCTGGGGCAAGTGACAAAAACAACACTCTCCCATCATTTCCTCTCCTTGTTTGTATCTCTTCCTTCCTCCTACACTTTCAGACTTTTGGGGAAAGGGGTAGGAGCCCATGAGGTGTATTTTATGGGCAAATGATGACTCTTGCACATTTTGTAAGTGGTAGTTGAAGCTAGTAGTTTTTAAAGTGACCCCACAGAGGATTTCTTTCTGATTGGTTTATTACCAATCCTTTAGTTCTAGTGTCTAGGGATATGCAAAGTCAGAAAAAAACAGTCACCACCCAAAAGAAAATAGTGCAGACAAGCTGGTAAGGCCATGCTTTGGCCACAAAATAAGTGCACTGTGCAATATCAAGTGTTTCAGCAAGTTTTTGGAATCTCAAGCACATTTTGACACCTTATTATGTGGCTCAGTACACCCAGGATATGCAAATCAAAAGTGTTTGCCCGCATACGTGAGTTGTATGGCATGACCTCCTAATGCTAAGTGGAAGCTGATTTGGTGAATTCACCAAAACTACTGCTATACATGTAATCGATGAAAGGTGATGGTGACCTGTCCGCCTTTCTCCTTGGCATTGTTTGGTGAGTTAGTCATATCCTAAGGTCACTACTGCCTAGCTCTTCTCAGCCCAGGCATATGGCTCCTAATTGCTCCTAGTATGACCTAAACATCCCTAACACAACAGGGAGCAGGGGAGCATGCTAGTTTTTTCCCAAAGCAGTGGATGGCAACTGTGTGACATCTTTGGTTCATCTGTATTATCTTCTCACATCTCTGTTGGAATCTTTAGAAGGCACAGCCCTACCTTTCTCCCTCAGCTGAGACTGCAAGAATCCCTAGCTGACTTATTCAAAGCACTCTTTGCCACAGGTCCAGCAGTGTGGGAACTTACTCAACTTCGGTTGCTTGGAAACCACCAAGTCTGGCTTGTTCTCATTCCCCCTCCACAGTCCGCTCTCTTACACAGCAGGTACCTAGACATTCTTAAAGTTCATCACTCTCCACTACACTCCGAGAAGAGCATGAATACACCATCGTGCTTTCCATGGAGGAAAAGGCAGAAAATATGTCAAGTCCTTTACTGGTGAGAGATCCGTAGCGACTGCCACTGGGCCGGACAGACATGGGCGGTGGGATCTGATGGTGCCACTGAGCTGGAAAATGGACCAAATAATGTGTTATGATCAAAGGAATGCAGTCCAGCATGTACGCTGCAGAGGTGCATTCTGTCCTCACCCCGATTCTCCCTGAGCATTCTTGGTAAAGCATATAACTATACCTGGGTCTGAATTGCCTCGTTTGTAGAAGAGAACAATAAAGCCTTCCCTGCCAGGAATAAGGAAACTGTGCTGGTGATATCTTAAGCCCCTAATTCCAAAATCTGTGATTCTAATTCAGTAAGAGATTAGAATCCTACAAGTGAGAGATTAGAATTCCTCTAAGATGCGGCCAGGCACGGTGGCTTATGCCTGTAATCCCAGCACTTTGGGAGGCTGAAAAGGGCACATCACTTGAGCTCAGGAGTTCAAGACCAGGCTGGCCAACATGGCGAAACCCAGTTTCTACTAAATACAAAAATTAGCTGAGCATGGTGGCATACACCTGTAATCCCAGCTACTCAGGATGCTGAGGCACGAGAATCACTTGAACCCAGGAGGCAGAGGTTGCAGTGAGCCAAGATCACACCAAGGCATGCCACTTCACCTGGGCGACAGAGCGAGACTCCATCTCAAAAAAAGAAAAAAACAAACAAAAAAAAAAAAAAAAAGAAAAGAATTCTATAAGATGGAAGAGTGGGTGACGAGGGTGATTTCTCAAGCTTATCCCCTTCCAGCGTCCTACCATGAAGACCTGTTAGGGGCAGTGTACAGAGGGTTGTAGGCTCTCAAAGAGGGTACCTCAAAAGATAGAGACAAGAAAGCTGCAGAAATGAAAGCCAAACAATGGGTTTGCCCCTCTGAGCAGTGCCTACCTCACACCCTAATCACCCTAATCAGTCATTACCTACCTACCCACCTCCCTAATCAGGTTCTATTGTTACAGCAAGAAGACTGAAAAGTAATTTAGATACAATCAACCATGGTTCAGGGACAAAAGATAATTTATTAGAGTTTCTATGTTCACCAAGTGCTGCTGTTTTTAGCAGATATGACTTTAAGGTTTGAACATGGCCTGAGCGAGCTATCTGTCCAAACTTCACAGTCTCTGCTGTGGTTTCTGATTCAGAAATTACTGGGCAATCTTCTGATTAGGTTTCTGGGGACCTTGGTGTGCAGAAGGGCGTTCCCTAGGTGGGGAACTCTCGTGCTCTGGGTCCTGGAAAGCTGTGCCCCTTTCTAGCATTCTGATTTAGAAATTGGTCCTTTGTTGATTTCATCATCTTGATTCAGTTTTCCAGTCTACATACCTCTGAGTGAATTCAGAAAAATCAAAATTTGGAGGACCAAACCTAGAGCGGTTTCACTAAAGAGCAGACACTCAGTAAGGCCTGCTCTTGCGCAGTCTCTCCTCCCAGCCCCTCCATCTCTTAGCCCTTCCCGGCTCTCTCTGACATCTTAACTGGACTACTGCATTTCCTAGGATTAGGAAGTGAGAGAAGAGAGGGGAGCCCTACGTGTCCCTATTCCTCAGAAAGGCAGGAAGTGTGGTGGCGGGGAAGGGAATCGATTCCAGCCCAAGTCCTCCACGCGTCCTCCATCCTAGGTCCCAACTGAGGAAACAGCACTGCCTATTGTTGGTGCTATGGAAGCAGGACAGGAACGAAAGGGAGAGGAGAGCCAGGGCAAAGTGACCTGGAAACTCAGCCACTGGAGGGCAGGATTGGCACAAGAGTCATCTGTTTCAGGGCTTATTGGTGGGGAGTTTCTCAGTTGGAGACCTACTGCCTTCTGACTTGGTGAAGACTGGGAAATGGTTAAGGACTGAGCCTTGATTAAGGAACATATCACTACTGGCCTCTTTCTCCCCCGATTTCTCCAGGGAAAAGTACATTAGTGTCTGCTTCCTTCACAGTTTAATCTCTTCTCAAGTCCTAGGATAAGGGAAAATAACCAGAAAATTATATATTTTCTCCAAAAACTAGACCTAGAGAAAATGGCAGGCTGAAGCCCCTCCTGTATGGTACTAAATAAAGGGAATACCTGCTATGCAACCATAAATAGCAGAGAGATCTATCAGGTAATAGACAGAGCTAGTCTTATTTATTATTTTGGCTAATTAGGTTAAGCCAGTTTTGAATGTGAGATTTTCTAATCAATTATGTTTTTTCAAAAAGGATTAAAAAAACCACTCTTTTGGGTTAAGAAATATGTCTCTAAAAATACCAGTTAATGTCAAAAAGTGTAGGATTGAGCACACAAATACATAAATAAAAATTTATTTCTTAGATCCTTTTGAAAATTGGAAATGTGGTTCAAAGAAACAATGCAAAGGCCTAGATTTGCTTCCTAGCTGTAGTCATTAACCTCTCCAAGTCTTCCACTAAATATATAGCACAGTCAATTTAAGTGTGGGGGAGCTTTCCAGAAGACGTGCTCCAGCTCAGTCTAAAAGGTTGAGTGGAAACTCACAGGGAGGGTGGGGTGGGCTGTTCCAGGTGGTGGGACAGCCTGTACAATGTTGTTACTCTCATGTAATTTTCAGCGTTAAATGAAGGTAACTACAATTATAATAATCTCATGGGTCTGGGAGATTTAAAGGTATCACTTTGAATCCCGCCTTTGGACGAGAGAGGGGAGCCTATGTGTCATCCTACAAATGTCACTTGATATTATTATTATTATTAGGACAGCTCTCTATTATTAGAGAAGTCTGGGGGATTGGAGCAACACACATTTGTTAAAGGAATAAATGAAAGGAGTTTCAAAAATTCTGCCGGGGCATCACAGGCAGTGGGAAGTTCCAGTGGGTGGCCCGCGGCAGCAAGGAGATGGCAAGAAAACATTGGCTGTTCAGAGGCACAAGCACTTGCAAACTCTGGACTAGCTGTAATTCCTGGTATTAGAGGCACTGTTCTGGAAGAAGGTGAAGCTCATAGTAAAATGTAAAAGTGTACAAACGCCCTGAGGTAACCAGGATGAGATGACTTTTAAAATCTATCTCTTAAGCACTAAAATATAGTATAGTCTACCCGATTCATTTATGGAAACATATTCCATCTATATTTATTTATTTATTTATTTTGAGGCAGAGTCTTGTTCTGTTGCCCAGGCTGGAGTGCAGTGGTGCAATCTCGGGTCACTGCAACCTCTGCCTCCTGGGTTCAACCAATTCTTCTGCCTCAGCTGCCCGAGTAGCTGGGATTACAGGTGTGTGCCACCATGCCTGGCTAATTTTTGTATTTTTAGTAGAGGTGGAGTTTCATCACGTTGACCAGGCTGGTCTTGAACTCCTGACCTCAGGTGATCTGCCTGCCTCGGCCTCCCAAAGTGCTGGGATTACAGGCATGAGCCACCTTGCCTGACCCATTTATCTTTAAAAAAATATTTTTAAGCTGTCAGTTGCATACAGATGTTCAACTAACAGCATTACACTTACCGTATATATCCAGCCTGGCAGTGCACGACACGATGCCGGCTTCATTCTTGGCTGACAACGTGTACCATCCAGCGTCTGATTTCTTGGCTGGCTGAATGAGAAGGCAGGCATACCCTGTTGTGTCCTGGTGCATACTGGAGAAAAAGAGAGAATATACCTATATTTTATCGGGGGGCAGAAATGCCTTTGTCAAATTTAGGGTTCCAGGAAGAAGGGGGAACTCAGCTTAAGGCAGACATCAAGACAAATTTGAAGGTGGAAGACGTCAAAGAAGAGCAGCAGTGAGCTTAATCATGCTAGGAGGAGGGGGCAGCTGGGGCTGAGACCTGCTGTTGCCCTCCCCACTGCTGCAAGTCCACTGAAGTTGCGCTCCCCACCAGCAGAACCCCCAATTTTCACAACCAAAGTTCAGAAAGATCTCTTTTCCAAACAAGGTTGGACATTTCATCGATAACTTTGTTAGGATGCTCTGGGATGAACAGGGAAAGCAAGACAAAATAGAGCCAGGGGGTGGATGAACTGGCAGCATAGACGGCATTTCCTAATGTAACCAGCTGGGCTCGTGCAGCTTCCAGCTTCACGAGGTTTAGGAGGAAATCAGCCTGCTGTTTCCTTCTGTTTTTCTCCACATCCATAGTTTTTCACCTTGACTGCATATTGGAATCCCAGGCCATATCCCAGGTAATTATATCAGAATCAAAGGCTGGGATCCAAGCATTAGGATTTTTGGAAACTCCCCAGTAATTGCAATATGCAGCCATGGATCAAAAACCATAGGGCCACATGTTCCCTACACCCCTTGTTGGCCTGGCCCTCTTATCACTCATACTTCCAAGCTCTCCTCTGGGGCTGCCACAGCTCATTTGCACAGTAGGGGCAACAGCAACGGCTTCCTGAGCTCAAAGGATGAATAAGTGTTTACCTTTCATTGAAAGTTATTATGTCTAAGAATTTATAAAGTAATAAGAATAAAGAATAAATCAATCAATAACAAGTATAACAAGAATAAAGTAATAAAATATCCACCACAATTTCACTACACTAACACATTGGCTACCTTCACCTTCTGATTAGTCAATTAATTAATCCATTCATTCTTTGATATATTTCTTTAGTAAACACTTACGAATACTATGTTGGGGAAAATGCTAGGTGCTACTGCCTTGGGTGCTGAGGGTGTAAAGATGAACAGGACAAAAATTCCTTCTCTTTTTTTTGAGACAGAGTCTTGCTCTGTTGCCCAGGCTGGAATGCAGTGGTGTGATCTCGGCTCACTGCACCCTCCCCCTCCCAGGTTCAAGAGACTCTTGTGCCTCAGCTTTCCAAGTAGCTGGGATTACAGATGCCTGCCACCATGCCTGCCTAATTTTTCTTTTTTTTTTTTTTTGGTAGAAATAGGGTTTCACTGTGTTAGCTAGGCTGGTCTCGAACTCCTGATCTCAGGTGATCCACCCTCCTCAGCCTCCCAAAGTGCTGGGATTACGGGTGTGAGCCACCACACCTGGCCAAAGAAATTCCTTCTCTAGAAGGATCCCTAAGTTTAATGGAAAATAAATAAATAAAAGATAAATAAGTAGAAATAAAGATAAATAGAATGCAACAAATGCTAGAGTAATGTCGTGGGAAAGATGCCTGGGGAAGACAGAGGGGAAAAGGTTATTCTGGGAAGCCACAGGCATCAAGAAGGAGGCATGAAGATACTGGATGTTCAGAAGCACCAGCATATGTGAGGTTAGGCTCACAGAAAAATGTAACACTGTATAAAGACCTGAGACGACTAAGACGAGATTACTTTAAAAATCTATTTCTCAAGCACTGAAATATAATGTAGCCAATTCAAGGGTGGGAAAACTTCCCAGAAGATGTGCTCCAGCTCAGTCTCAAAGGTCGAGTGGAAACTCACAGGGATGGTGGGATGTGGCTGTTCCAGGTGGTGGAACAGCCTGCACAAAGGCGTGGTGGTGTGGGAGGGATCATGGCATATTCCTTACAGCTGGGGTTGGAGTGCACACGGGGTACTGGCAAGTGGGGGGACTAGGAAGAAGGCAGGGGAGAGGGTCACGTGCACTATGGTAAAGGGACGGGACCCTTCCTCTCAGATTATGGGAAACTAATGATATATTTTAAGCAGGAGTTGATATAATCAGTTTGTATTCTCTTTTTTTTTTTTTTTTTTTTGAGACAGAGTCTCAGAGTCTCACTCTGTGGCCCAGGCTGGAGTGCAGTGGTGTGATCTCAGCTCAGTGCAACCTCTGCCTCCCAGGTTCAAGTGATTCTCCTGCCTCAGCCTCCCAAGTAGCTGGGATTACAGGCACATGCCACCATGCCTGGCTAATTTTTGTATAGTAGAGACAGGGTTTTGCCATGTTGGCCAGGCTGGTCTCCAACTCCTGACCAAAGGTGATCCACCTGCCTTGGCCTCCCAAAGTGCTGGGATTACAGGCGTAAGCCACTGCGCCCGGTCAGTTTGCATTCTTAAAAGGTCATTCTCACAGTGGTGAGGAGGGGTATTGAATAGGGCTTGAGCCTGGCCGCAGAGAGACACATTAGGGTGCTATTGCTGTAGTTTAGTGAGGTGAGGCAATAGCCGTGGAAATTCATGCATTTGTTTGTAATTCCTTCATCTTACATAATATGCTACTAGGTGAAAGGCATTGGGTGTTGTGAAGAGTCAGGACATACGAAAACAAAGAAGACGTGGTCTCTTCCTTCAAGATGCTCACAGTCTAGTCGTGGGAGAGAGAATGAAACCATTAGTACTAACAATTGTGACTACGTGCAACAGTTGCTGGTAGAAGAACATCAACTCAGTCCTGGACCAAGCTGGGGAGGAAGCAGGGGCACTGCTCTTCCTTAGAAAGATGATGTTTGAGGTGAGTATTAAGGGATAACAGACATTAGGGAAGTGGGCTGCAGCGTGGAGGTAGAGAAGAAGGCGAAGAGAGTTCCCAAAGAAGGAATGTCCTGAGCAGAGGTATATAGGTGAGAGAAGGCAGGGACATGAAAACCATAAATACTTACAACACTTACAACACAGTTATAATCACAGTGATATACAGGCAGTTCCTGACTTAGGATGCTTGCATTCCACATGCTCCTCAATTTATGATGGGGTTACATCCAGGTAAGTCCATCGTAAGTTGAGGAGCAACTGTATCTCTCTCTCTCTCTCTCTCTCTCTCTGTGTGTGTATGTGTGTGTGTGTGTGTGTGTGCGTGCGCGTTTTAGGACCATTCAGATGTTCCTAGGTGTGTGGTTTTCAGAAGCTAATCACTATGAGTTTAAAGTATCAAAATATCCTATTCTTTTTTTCTTTTGAGACTGGGTTTTGCTTGTCCCCAGGCTGGAGTACAATGGCATGATCATGGCTCACTGCAGCCTTCAAATCCTGAGTTCAAGCAATCCTCCCTCCTCAGCCTCCTGAGTAGCTGGGACTACAGGTGTGTGCCACCATGCCTAGACAATTAATTTTTTTTTTTTAGAGATGGGGTCTTGCTATGTTGCCCAGGCTAGTCTTCAACTCCTGGTCTCAAGCAATCCTCCTGCCTTGGCCTCCCAAAATGTTGGGATTACAGGCATGAGCCACTGTGCCCAGCCAGAATGTCCTATGCTTACATTAAAATGACAGGCATCTTGTCACTAAAGGCAGGGGGAAGATGAATGGGCAGTGAGTGGGCAGCGGTCTCTGAGTCTTAGGCTTTCCCCACGGCAGCATCTCAGTCACTCCTCCTCCCTCCCCTGCCACTGCCTTCCCCAGGAAGTGGTGACTAAACCGAGCTGGTCCTCAGAGTCCAGGACTGAGCAATCACCCGGTCCCAGCAGTCAGCCTCGACTGGGAATGAACTTTCCAGACATTGATTTTGTTTTTGCCCAATAAAACCATATTTAAAATTGTAGACCCTCAGTTTATTTAGAGTATATAGTTTAATCTAGTTTAACATATTGCATTGTTAGATTGGAGCATTAACCCAAGACTATTCTCTGTTCTTGCTTAAGTTTTACTGTAGAAAAATGCACACCCCCACACCCCCACAATCCCAACACACACAATACACACACATATTTTAGATGTCAAAATTCTTTAAAACCCAACAGCTACAGCATTCTCTGGGGCAATTTCCGTTTACTGTGGTGAAATAATTCTCAGTAGAAAGTTTTGTACAGAAGCTACCTTTACTTACTTGTCCCCTTGTGGTATAAAACCAAAATGGCAAAGAAATTGCCATTTCCCTAAGTTGGTTAGGGAAGATTAAGCAACGTACCCAGTTTAAGAAACTGGATCCTTAAGCTTACTTTAAAAACAATCATTTAGTGATGGATGGAAAAGGAGTATAACTGCCTTGATGTTTCATTTTGTGTTAGCTTTTTTACTTCAAAGAGCTTTTCTGGGTCCTGATATAATTGAAGACATGGGACAAAAAATTTGCAAAATCTTCCATAAATTCCTTGTACTTTTTTTTTTCTTTTTTTTGAGACGGAGTCTCACTCTGTCACCCAGGCTGGAGTCCCGTGGCGCAATCTCAGCTCACTGCAAGTTCCGCCTCCCAGGTTCACGCCATTCTCCTGCCTCAGCCTCCCGAGTAGCTGGGACTACAGGCACCTGCTACCACGCCTGGCTAATTTTTTGTATTTTTTAGTAAAGATAGGGTTTCACTATGTTAGCCAGGATGGCCTCGATCTCCTGACCTCGTGATCCACCCGCCTTGGCCTCCCAAAGTGCTGGGATTACAGGCATGAGCCACTGCGCCTGGCCAGGAATACATTCTTAATACACACAATAATATCAATGAAACGCAAATGCATTATTCTAAATGAAGTAAGCCAGACTCAAATAGCAGCAGACTTATTTGGGTGGCGCAACAAGCCCCACTGAGAGTGGGAGTCCCTCTGGATGTGGTGGCTGCTGTACCTGATCCTCTCTCTGGTGCAAGGGATGGTCTCATTGTCTTTCTTCCAGTAGAACACAGGTGGGGGCATGCCTATCACGCGGCACTCCAGTCTCACGGGGTGGCCTTCGGGAACACCGCAGTTCTGTAGTTTCTCCAGGATCACAGGTGCTTTCTTCACCTCTTTGGCTGAGCAAGAGAAGGGTCATTCTTTTTTTCTTTCTTTTTTTTTTTTTTGAGACAGAGTCTTGCTCTGTCACCCAGGCTGGAGTGTGGTGGCAAGATCTCAGCTCACTGCAACCTCTGCCTGCACCCCTCCCCTGCCAGGTTCAGGTGATTCTCCTGCCTCAGTCTCCCGAGTAGCTGGGATTACAGGCGTGCACCGCCAAGCCTGGCTAATTTTTGTATTTTTAGGAGAGATAGGGGTTTCGTCATGTTGGCCAGGCTGATCTCGAACTCCTGGCCTCAGGTGACCCACCCGCCTTGGCCTCCCAAAGTGCTGGGGTTACAGGCATAAGCCACTGTGCCTGGTGGAGAAGGGTCATTCTTATTTGAATAGTAAGTACTTTGAGGTTCATGCCTCACAGTCACCACAGTTCTGGAATTCAGCAGAGTGGGCATGCACCCACCTTACCTCCTGGTCAGAACACTCCTCATGTCTTTTAGTGAGGATCACTGCCTTGATAAAAGCTTCATAAATGGTTTAAAAAACAAAAAGAAATGGGGCAACCATCTCTGCACATCCCACGAGAGGCAATACTTGAGGATCTGGGTCGTTCGCATGGGATGCAAATGCCAGGAATGGTGGAATTAAAGGAATTTCTTTTATATCTCAACAGTAGATTTTGAGAACCATATATTTTATTTACTAAAACAGATTTTTGGGGGTGGAGTTTTATTTTGTAGAAGACATAATAGTTTTTCCACAAAAATCTGACACCTACAGAATAACACTATCTAAAACACACACACACAAGACTGTGCTTCCCAAGGAGGCTTTTAGAGATTTGGCCAGGACAAATTTAGGTAAAGGTACCTCATGTCTTAGGGTTCCAAAGTCAATATTTTTTAGCAAAATAGTGGAATAAAGGTAAAAGCCTGAAATCAATGTATTCTTGCAGAATGAGTTTTTCCTGTTTTATTGGTGAGAAGAAATTAAAAGTGAGGGAAGGAAAAAGATATACAGGGGAAACCGCCACTAGCCTAGAGAGAGGATTAGCATGCTGAAGCCACCCTGAATTTCTTCTTCTTTTTTTTTTTGAGATGGAGTCTTGCTCTGTCACCCAGGCTGGAGTGCAGTGGTGCAATCTTGGCTGACTGCAACCTCCACCTCCCGGGTTCAAGCGATTCTCCTGCCTCAGCCTCCCTAGTAGCTGGGATTACAGGTGTGCGCCACCACACCTGGCTAATTTTTGTATTTGTAGTAGAGATGGGGTTTTGCCATGTTGGCCAGGCTGGTCTTGAACTCCTAACCTCAGGTGATCCACCCGCCTCAGCCTCCCAAAATGTTGGGATTACAGGTGTGAGCCACCGTGCCCCACACCCTGATTTTCTTAAAGGGCCACACTGAGAGCAGAAGGAAGCCCAGCACCAGAATTCCTGCATTCTGAAATTTACTTCAGGGCTGGCACCTCCCAGATGACAATGTCTTGTTGTCCTTATGTATAGGCATTACAGTGTTTCATTCACATCATCTAAGAATATAAAGTTTCACTTGTTTAGATATTGATTCAATATTTCTTGGGCACCTTCCATGTTCCAGGCACTGAGATATGCAGAAGAGAGACAGAGGCACTGGAGATGTGCAAGACGAGCCACAGTCTCTGACCTTAGGAGCTCAGCATCTCTTCAGGGAGGCAAATAATTAACATTTACACAGAAGGCCCTACCTGCTCTATGAATCTCTCCTTTTCTGAGTGCTATGGAAACACTTTACGGTTGTTAGGCTGGGAAGGGGTATTTGTGCCTGGTGGATCCACTGTACCTGGTGGTGACATTTCAGTTAGGTCTTACAGAATGAGTAGGAGGTGCCAGGCAGAAAAGGACATTCAGGTAGAAAAGGACATTCAGGTAGAGGGATCATTGGTGCAAAGGCATGAAAGCTTAGACAGAGGACAAAGAGCCTAGTATGTTCCAGGAATGATGGACTGTAGGGCAAATAACTGGAATTTAGTGACAGCTAATTGATTGATTGATTGACTGATGATGACAATGGCTCTCATTTATTTAATGGGTATTATGCACATGGTGTCATATTATGATTTTAGATTACTGGCATGTTTTTGAAAGTGATGTGGGAAATACCACCCCTACCACAGTGAAGGGGAAATTGAGATTGGAGTTAGTAGGGCAAAGGATGAAGGAATTCTGGCAGAGGCTCTGCCTCTTTGGGTAATGACTTTGGAGGAAGTTGTGTTTAGGGGTCCCAGCAGCAAACCTTACCTACTACAGAGAGCTCCAGACTAAAAGAATTCTGCCCGGTTTTGTTGGTAGCGATGCACTTATAGGTCCCTGCGTCGCGCTGAGTGAGTGGGTCAATGAGCAGAGAGTGGACTCCGGTCTCCCTGACCAGCATCTTGTGGGAGGCATCTGGTAGCACAGGTTGGCCATTGAGTAGCCATGTCAGCTCCGGGGGCGGTAAACCACTCACCTAATAAACAACAGAACAGCTGAGGCACATGACTGATGACAGGCACATTTATTTGATGGCTGAATTCTTTATCCTTGCTTGGCACCAAACAGACAGTGAGAGAAAACATGGAGTGATGAGAAACCTCTCTGTAGGGGCATCGAGAGAAACGAAGAGTCTGAATAAACAGCTGCATGAATTTGAACTGTATGGTACTTTGGTCACAGTTAAGGTAATGGTTAACCTATTTGATTATACTCTAGATTAGAATAAATAAGAATTAAAAAGTGAAATAGATAGATATAATAGGCCTGCAGCATCAATTTCAGAGATGATATACTGCTTACATACCTAATAGCCAAGAGAAAAGCCAGATTTTTTTTCTAAAAAAAAAACGAAAACAAGAAAAACACAGGATACATGTGCAGAACACGCAGGTTTGTTACATAGGTATATGTGTACCACGGTGGTTTGCTGCACCTATTGACCTGTCCTCTAAGTTCCCTCCCCTCACCCCTCCCATCCCCCCAACAGGGCATGGTATGCTCCCCTCTCTGTGTCCATGTGTTCTCAGTGTTCAACTCCCACTTGTGAGTGAGAACATGTGGTGTTTGGTTTTCTGTTCCTGTGTTAGTTTGCTGAGGATGATGAAAGGCCAGATATTAAACCAGAGCTCTTGAATCTTGCTGTGTATTACAATCATGTGGGAGGTGTTTAAAAATCCTGGTGCCCATTTACCATAAGTGAGAATCTCTGCGGATGGGACCCAGGCATGGGAATCTTTCAGAGTTTAGGGAGGGGGATGTAGCAATCAATCCGAATATTATTTAGGCAGCCACAGAGAGAAGAAGAACCACAGATAGAAGTGGACCCTTTATGAATGCTTAATCTCAAGTTTTGACTAATTTGCATCTAAGTCTTCCATAGCATTCTGCATCTATGGGCAGAAAGGGTGACATAAGCTTCTCTTCATTCTGAGAGATATCCAAGCTGCTCAACTAGAGCCCGGTCAAAAAATGAGAATGCAGAATAGCTAAAGGTAATGGAGGTTGATTAGTATGAGAAACCAGCTTCTGTTCTCATACACTACCTTGGAGCCATATTTTCATGTCTATAAATTTTCAAAGGCCACACATTCAACAATTCACTTCAAGGATGTGAAAATCACACCATATGGCTTTATAGTAATAAAGGCCTTCCAGACACCATATGAAAAGGCTTGTATCTAAATCTTCCATAGCATTCTAGAATTCTTAAAAGGCTTAGATGCAAATGTCTGAATTATAGTAGTCCTCCTTTTGTCTAAAGTTTCAGTTACCCGAGGTCAACCACAATCTGACAATATTAAATGAAAAATTTCAGAAATAAAGTTTCTAAGTTTTCAATTGTGTTTCGTTCCGAGTACATGATGAAATCTCATGCCGTCTTACTCCATCCTACCCATGGGTATGAATCACCCATTTGCCCACCGCGTTCACACTGTCTATGCTACCTGCCCATTAGATACTTAGTAGCTGTCTTGGTTATCAACTTTAAAAAATAGTATATATAGGGCTCAGTACTACCTAAAGTTTCAGGCATTCACTGTGGGGCTTGGAACGCGGGCCCCTCAGATAAGGGGGAACTACTGTGTATCACCTCTTTGGTTGTCTTCTAAAAATGCAATTAACTTGATATAATACCAATGTAATTTTTATTAATATATAGAGATTCAAAAATTTCATAAAATAATTTCATCTGACATTAAATACTCCAAACAAGCCTTATGATGAAAAAAAGTGATCTGTCTCCCTTCCCCATCTCATCTTTCCTGAAAAAAAAAACCCACAAAACAAATACAAATAAAAATGAATGCAAACAAATACAAAATATGAACAGATCTGGAACTAAGCATGGGTGCTGGAGTCTACCTTACAGTCCAGCCGACAGAGGCGCCCCTCATGAGCTACCATATCCCCAGGAGCCTGCAGGAAATGTGGTCGGAAAAAGCGTTCCTGTAGGGGCTCTTTGTCTCTTTCTTGCACTCGGGATCTTCCCCTATAACAACAAGCATGTTCAGATATTAAACATAGAAATAAATTTACAAACTTATGATAATAGGCATTTAGGCATGGCTACAGACCTAGAGAACAGATTTTTTTTTTTTGAAGGGGGAAAGGGGAGGCTGGACTATAAACAATAAATAATGGTGTGGAGCTGATGTAAAACACAAAGTGGTAAGTATCTCATATACTGTGGGATTGTCTTGCGAGATCTGCAATCAAATAAACAGGCTTAGCTTCTTTCTGTCATTCTGGATTAAGTGGGCTCAGCTCCCCTTGCTATGAGTTCGACCAGTTATTCAAAAGCCATCAAAATAAACAAATAGATCAGTATTCAATCTGAACCTCAAACGAGAGCCAAAAGAGAAGTCCTGTTTATTACCCAGAGTAAGGCAGCTGCAATCCCTGTGTCTTTGAGTAATAAAATTTAACCTGGCTATAAATTATGGCAGACCATTAAAGATGACTATGAACTTAAACTGGATAAGACTGACCAACGGTAACAGCTGTTCTTAAAAAAGGAGGAGGAGGAGAAGGAGGAGGAGGAGGCAAAGGGAGAGGGGGCCAGGTGTGGTGGCTCAAGCCTGTAATCCTAGCACTTTGGGAGGCTGAAGCAGGTTGACTGCTTGAGCTCAGGAGTTTGAAACCAGCCTGGGCAACATGGTGAAACCCCGTCTTTACAAAAAAATACAAAAATTAGCTGGGCATGGTGGTGCACACCTGTGGTCCCAATTACTTGGAAGGCTGAGGTGGGAAGATCACTTGAGCCCGGAAGGTGGAGGTTGCAGTGAACTGAGATCGCACCACTGCATTCCAGCCTGGGTGACAGAGTGAGACCCCCATCTCAAAAAAAAAAAAAAAAAGAAGAAGAAGGTATAGTTGCAACGGTGGTGAAATACTGTATCTGAAACATGGGTCACTATTTTTGTTCCTTTGGTAAGTCACATTTAATTCGTCTGTGTCAGCAGCTATGGAATGCTTTGCTAAGACTTCGTGGCACCGTAAGATTCAGGTGGAAAGCCAGGCTCTTTCTTCTTAGTGGTTAGTAAAATCAGAGAGGAAGAAAACCAGTTGTTGTATTGGAGACAACAACAAAAACATTCCATCAATATACATTCAATCATTAAAGGTTTCTGTTTTATGAAACAAAAGATGGTAACTTACTTCAATGGGTCTGATTTACATATTATGTGTGCAGGTGCTACTGATGGTTACAAATTTTGAACCATTAAAAGCATGCCAGGTTGGGAGTGATGGCTCATGCCTGTAATCCTAGCACTTTGGGAGGCCAAGGCAGGAGGATTGCTTGAGGCCAGGAGTGTGAGACAAACCTGGGCAACATAGTGAGACACCTGTCTCTACACACACACAGAAAAATTGAGCCAGCATGGTGGCATGCGTCTGTAGTCTCAGCTACTTGGGAGGCTGAGGTGGGAAGATGGCTTGAGCCCATGAATTTGAGGTTGCAGTGAGCTATGATCACACGACTGCACTCCAGCCTGGGCAACAAAGTGAGACCCTGTCTCTAAAAAATAAAAATCAAACTTAAAAAAAAAGCCCCAGAGACTAGTGCTTGTTAAACTTTACTATGCTTGTGGATCACCTGGGAATTCTGTTAAAATGCAGATTCTGAGTCAGTAGATCCAGAGTGGGGCCTGGGATTCTGCATTTCCAACCAACGCCCAGGTGATGCTAGTGCTGCAAGTGAAGGACTACCTTTAATTAAGAATTTGTGGATCCAGTACTTTGGTGCTCACGATAGTGGGCAGGTGCTTGGGAAGGGCCTAGAGAGGGGGAATTCTTACTGTCTTTACCTGTGAGACTGACCAGCAGAGGTTAGCCGACTGCGAATGGGCAAACTTTGTACCATCAAGTGGCCAGAACAGCTGATTCTCCCCTGACAAACAGAAAAAGAGCAAGATTAAAACAAGAACAATCTCACATTTTTTCAATTTACATAAAAATTTCTGGACCAGAACACCGTGAAATTTTGGCTATTATGAGTTTTTCTTTGGGGGAGAGAAATAAAAACAATAAAATATGATTTCTTAAATCATTGTTAATATTCCAGGGGGAGAGATTTTTAAGAGTATGGTAACGACTTTCATTTTTAAACTGAGATATGAACAAGTCAAAGGTAAAAAGAAATTTGAATTCTTATGTACTTAACTTTATTTTCAGTCAAAATTTAGAAAGCATGGCCAAATATTTTCATACATTCCTCAACAGAGATTCTTCAAAACTAACATTTCAGTAGGAATGGATGTTATAGTTCTGTACTTCCTATTCAAATAGTAATTGAAGATGTTTATTCTGCCACATCTTTTAGGGGAATTTTAAGATTTGGCTTCATTCAGAAAAGGAAAGTGGATGATTATGGCTTTCCAAGTTTAAAAAACAAAACAATCCCAAAATGTGGACACTATGAGTTTGAGGGATATTCACAAACCTTCGCAAAGTAATTTGCCTATTCACTAAAGAACAAAAATGACAGATCGTTCTTGATAGAATGATTGATATAATGATTTATTGACTCTTCAAGAGAATCAATGTGTTGAGAAACACAAGATCTAGTTCAAGAAGTCTGCAAGGTATACATAGTGAAAAAATAGTACTAAGGTCCCTTGACAAAGGCTGAAGGATTGAGTGACCTGTCAGTGGCTAACTAGTCCTTTAAGTTGTGATGCTGTGCCCTAGTTACACAAAATCACAATGCTTCTCATTCATTTTCCTCAGCAATCCTTAGTAACTCGCACTTCTCAAGGTCTCATTCACAATGACATCAACCGCTCCTTCCTCAGAGTGCAGCACAGCGCAGAACCCTGCGTCTCCACCTGGGGGTTGGCTGCCATGATGGTGTAGTTGCCATCGTCATCACTGGTAGTGGATTCAATGTGCAGAGAGCATGTCCCATCTCCTTCTCGCCTCATTTTGCAGTGCTCATTTCTCTTAGAAATCTGCTTCCCATCTTTGAACCAGTAAACCTGAAATGAAAAATTATCAAGATGTACACTGTTTTGTTTATCTTTAGAGGTTAATGAACTAGGGTCTGGGGTGAGGAAAGGGCCAACTGCCATCTTTTAAGTGACCATACTTTATGAAGCACTTGAAAAAAAGTTATAAAACATATTAAAAATGGCTGTATAATATGCCCCTCCACTCGTACCTGTATAATACTATTTAATATTAAATATTATATTATTTAAGTCAAGAATCCAATATAATTTAGGACTAAGATGAAGCTTTTGACTATTTTTCTTGTACTTCACACATAGTTTTAAAAGCCACCCTAAGGACTGGACATGCCTTCAGAAGCAAAATAATGAAAACCAGGAGAGTGGATATTCTCATTACCTTATTTACAAGCTCAAGTTTCCTGCAGTTGCAGATCTCAGCACTTAGAACAAGTCACCTTGCTTGAAAGGTTAGTATGGTTTGTTACACTAAATGGAATGAGGCTAGGATTAACTTGCTAAATTTCTCATCTAGCCAAAATGTAAATATCTATGTGTGTGTGTGTGTGTGTGTGTGTGTGTGTGTGTGTGTGTGCACATACACATCTATCTATATATTTCCTGTTAAGTTTTGCATGTGTGAAGGAGATCTCTCAAAGACAGAGGAGATAAAGTGCTGGTTACAGCTGTCCTCCTCTACTTTTCCTGGTTACCTAACCATACATGATAACACTATGCTAATGTTTATGAAAGTAGAGCAGAGAGATCCTCTGCCACAAACATGCTGGGTGTAAATCCTTCTCTCAGCTGACTGCCAAAAAATCTGCTGACTGATGTGATTTTTCAGCATCCAGTGATAACGATATGACATTTTCAGCATTTACCAACCTAATACAGTTCACTTTGTACAAGAACAGGTACCCTGTGGATATTAAATAGATATTAAGCAGACAGAAAAATATCAGTTTGGTGAGTTTGATGGCTATGAAAATCAATAGCCCAAAATATAGTATCATGACTAAGACATTTATTTTAAACTTTTATTAAAATTTGAACTTACCCATAAGTCTGATTTCTTTTTAGCGTGACTATTTAATGATCTCATTCCTGATGGGGTTTTTTTTTAAGTGAAATTATCTGGGCTTTGCTAATTTTCTGGTATGGGTTTTCATTCCCTCTGTAGACACTTCACTAGAATCTGATAAGACTTTCTTACTAAGAGGGAAGTTTATAGCAATAAATACCTACATAAAAAAAAACCCAGAAAGACTCCAAATAAATTAGCTAAAGAGGCATCTCAAAGAACAAAGCAAGAACAAACCAAATTCAAAATTAGTAGATGGAAAGAAATAATAAATACAGAGCAGAAATCAATGAAATTGAGACTAAAAAAATGCAAAAGACCAAAAATACAAGAGATGAAAAGTTGGTGTTTTAAAAAGATAAACAAAATTGACAAACATTTAGCTAGACTAAGAAAGAAAGAGAGAAGAGAGAAGACCCAAATAAAATAAGAGATGAAAAAGGAAACAATACAACTGATAACCACAGAAACACAAAGGATCACTAGAGACTATTATGAACAACTATATGCCAGCAAATTGGAAAACCTGGAAGAAATTGGCAAATTCCTGGACACATACAACCTACCAAGACTAAACTACAAAGAAATAGAAAACTAGCAGACCAGACCAATAATGAGTGATGAGATTGAAGCAGTAACGAAAAAGTCTCCCATCCAAGAAAAGCCCAGGGCCTAATGGATTCACTGTTGAATTCTACCAAACATTTAAAGAAGAACTAATATCAATTCTACTCAAACTATTTCAAAAAGTTAAAGAGGAGATAATACTTCCAAACTCATTCTACAAGACCAGCATTATCCTGATACTCAAACCAGTCAAAGACCCAACAACAACAGCAACAACAACAACAGAACTACAGGTAAATATTCCTGATAAACATAGGTGCAAAAATCCTCAACAAAATACTACCAAACTAAATTCAACAACACATCGAAAAGATTATTTATCATGATCAAGTGTGATTCATCTCAGCTCTGCAAGGATGATTCAACACAGGCAAGTCAATACACATGACACATCCCATAAACAGAATCAAAGACAAAAACCATATGATCATTTCAATAGACACTGAAAAAGCACTCAATTAAATTCGGCACCTCTTTATAATAAAAAACCCTCAACAAATTGAGTGTAGAAGGAACACAACACAATGAAGTCCATATATGACAAACCCACAGCTAATATCGTACTGAACAGGGAAAAATTGAAAGCCTTTACACTAACATCAGGAACAAGACAAAGATGCCCACTTTTACCACTTTTATCTGATGTAGCCCTAAAAGTCCTGGCCAGAGTAATTAAGCAAGAAAAAGAAATAAAGGCACCCAAATTGGAAAGGAAGAAGTCAAATTATCCTTGCTTGCAGATGACATGATCTTATATTTTAGAAAAATGTAGGCTCTATCAAAAACCTCTTAGGGTAAACAAATTTAGTAAAGTTGCAGGATACAAAATCAACTTACAAAAATCCGTAGCATCTATACACTAACAGCAATCACTCTGAAAAAGAAATCAAGAAAGCAATGCTATTTACAATACCTACAAAAATAAATAAGTAAAATGCCTAGGAATAAATTTAACCAAAGAAGTGAAAGATCTCTACAAGGAAAACTATAAAACACTGAAAGAAATAGAAGAGGGCACACACACACAAATGGAAAGATATCCCACGTTCACGAATTGGAAGAATTAACATTGTTAAAATGTCTATACTGCTCAACGTGATATACAGATTCAACGCAATCCCTATCAAAACAACAATGACATCCTTTGCAGAAATAGAAAAAACAGGCTGGGTGTGGTGGCTCACGCCTGTATTCCCAGCAGTTTGGGAGGCCAAGGTGAGCAGATCACTTGAGGCCAGGAGTTCAAGACCAGCCTGGCCAACACAGCAAAATCCCATCTTTATTAAAGGTACAAAAATTAGCCAGGCATAGTGGCACACAGCTGTCATCCCAGCTACTCAGGAGTCTGAGGCAGGAGAATCGCTTGAACCCAGGAGGTGGAGGTAGCAGTGAGCAGAGATCTCACCACTGCACTCCAGCCTGGGCAATAGAGCAAGACCCTGTCTCAAAAAAGAAAAAAAAAAAAGAAATAGAAAAAACAATTCTAAAATTCATATGGAATCACAAAAGACCACAAATAGCCAAAACAACCCTGAGCAAAAAGATCAAAGCTGCAGGCATTATGCTACCTGATTGCAAATTATACCTTAAAGCTATCATATCCAAAACACCATGGTACTCGCAAAAAAATAGACACATAGACCAATGGAACAGAATAGAGAACCCAGAAATAAATCCATGTATTTATAGCCAACTCATTTTTGACAAAGGCGCCAAGAACATACATTGAGAGAAAGGACAGTCTCTTCAACAAATGGTGCTAGGAAAACTAAATACCCATATGGAGAAGAATGAAACTAGATCTTCACTTTTCACCAGATAAAAAAATCCAGTCTAAATACATTAAAGACTTAAGTGCCAGGCCTGAAACTATGAAACTACTAGAAGAAAACAATGGGGAAACACTATAGGATATTGGTCTAGCCAAATTTTTTTTTGGGTAAGACCTTAAAAGCACAGGCAACAAAGGCAAAAATAGACAAATTGGATTACAGCAAGTAAAAAGCTTCTGCTCAGCAAAGGAAACAATTAACAAAGTGAAGAGACAACCTACAGAATGGGAGAAAATATTTGCAAAGTATCCATCTGACAAGGGATTACTAACCAGAATATATAAGGAACCCAAACAACTCAATAGCAAAAAACAAAAACAAAAACAAAGACTGTTAAAAATGGGCAAAAGACCTGAATAGGCTGGGCGTGGTGGCTCACGCCTGTAATCCAGTACTTTGGGAGGCTGAGGCCTCCAGGGTGGATCACCTGAGGTCAGGAGTTTGAGAGCAGCTTGGCTAACATGGTGAAACCCCGTCTCTACTAAAAATACAAAAATTAGCCAGGTGTGGTGGCAGGCACCTGTAATCCCAGTTACTCAGGAGGCTGAGGCACGAGAATTGCTTGAACCTGGGAGGCAGAGGTTGCAGTGAGCCAAGACTGTGCCACCACACTCCAGCCTGGGCGACAGAGTGAGACTTTGTCTCACACACACACACAAAAAAGACCTGAATAGACATTTCTCAAAACACATACAAATGGCCAACAGGTATATGAAAAAATGTTCAACATTACTAATCAATAGGAAAATGCAAATCAAACCCCAAGAAATATAATCTCACCAGAGTTAGAATGGCTATTACCAAAAAGACAAAAAAAAATGCTGGTGAGGATGCGGAGAAAGGGGAACCCTCATACACTGTTGGTGGAAATGTAAAGTAGTGCAGCTGCTATGGAAAACAGTATGGAGATTCTTTTCTCCAAAAACCAAAAATAGAACTACCATATGATCCAGCAATCCCACTGCTGGATATATATCCAAAAGAAAGGAAATCAGTATGTTGAAGAGATATCTGCACTCCTGTATTTACTGCAGCACTATTCATGATAGCCAAGTTACAGAATCAACCTATGTGTCCATCAATGAATGAATACATAAAGAAAATGGGGTATCTATACACAATGGAATATTATTCTGCTATAAAAAGAATGAATGAAATCCCATCATTTGCAGCAACATGGATGGAACTGGAAGTCGTTATGTTAAGTGAAGTAAGCTGGGCACAGAAAGGCATGTATTGCATGTTCTGACTGACATGTGGGAGCTAAAGGAAATGATCTCATGGAGGTGGTGAGTGGAATGGTGGTTACCACAGGCTGGGAAGGATAGATGGGAGAAGGGAATGAAGAGAGGTTGGTTAATGGGTAAAAACACACAGTTAGATAGAAGAAATAAGTTCTAGTACTTGATAGCACAGTGGAAAAATTATAGTTAATAATAACTTGTATATTTCAAAATAGCTAGAAGAGAAAAACTGTAATGTTCCCAATACACAAAAAAGATAAATGTTTGAGTGATGGATATCTCAGTTATCCTGATTTGATCATTACACATTGTATACATGTATCAAAATATTGCATATACCCTAAAACATGTACAACTATATCAATAACAAATACAAAAAAGAAGAAAAAACATTGCGTATATTTTTTAAAGACCTTCTTGAAGGCACTGTCTATAGCTTCATGCTGTGAGGTGGCCAACTGGCTTGTCATCTTCCCTACCTTTGGAACAGGTATCCCAACAATTTTGCAGGTGAATGTAACTGGAGAGCCTTCTGTGACCCGGAAGTGCTTGAGTCTCTTGTCAAAGATGGGAGCAATACACTTGCCCGTGGGGATCTCATCATGTTGAATTTCATCATCTGATTCATCAACAGGAGTACGTTCCAAGCGAAACTCTATTTCATTCATCAGCCTCTGCTCAAAGCTTGAAATTTTGTACTCCTGTCAAAATGACAAACGTGTTTCAATTTCCATATGGCAAGGAAGAACATGTCCATCAGTACAATTGAGGAAGCCACTTTTTAAGATTCAGACGTTAGATTTATACCATGAAATCCAAATGAACCAGGTATGTTCCAGATCCAGTTTCTCACCATGGAGCACTAAAGGAAATGTCAGTGTCTCTCCTAAAATCCCACACGGCCTTAGTGAATCCTGATTTTCCACCTGAGCATGCAGCCCCAGGAGAATTCTGTAGGAAATGGAATGTAGATGGAATATAATTTTCAGAGCTACTATTAGTGTTCCTTTCAATATGGAAAACTTCCTATAGCATTATTTTGGCAAAGCCATTCTGAACTGCATTCTGATACATGCCTGCATCACCAGCTTCCTGTCTCTACTGGATTTTTCCATCTTCACACTTGAGGAAAACCTGTCTTGAAAAATATATCTCTACTGTAACAATACAAGAATGATAGAAAAAAAAAAAAAAGAGGCCAGGCATGGTGGCTCACGCCTGTAATCCCAGCCCTTTGGGAGGCTGAGGTAGGTGGATCACCTGAGGCCAGGAATTCGAGACCAGCCTGGCCAACACAGAAAAGCTCTGTCTCTACTAAAAATACAAAAATTAGCTGGGTGTGGCGGTGCACACCTATAATCCCAGCTACTGGTGTGGCTGAGGTATGAGAATTGCTTGAACCTAGGAGGCAAATGTTGCAGTGAGCTGAGATCATGCCACTGCAATTCAGCCTGGGCAACAGAGCACAACTCTGTGTCAAAGAAAAAGAAAAGAAAAAGAAAAAAATCTCTCTTAACCCCATGTCTGCTTTCACTGCATCTCTCTGCCCCCCTCACAACAAAACCATGTGAAATAATCCTCTAATGTTATGAGATTGTTTCATTGTCACCTATTCTCTTGCTAACCTACTTCAATTAGTCTTGTGTTCTTTTTCTTCCTCTGAGATTGCTACTGTAGGGTCTCCAAATATGCCACATCTAATTGTCATTTATCCATTCTTACCTTACTTGATCTAAGCAGCATTAGACACAGATGACTACTTTTTCCTTTTGAAACATTTCCTTCCGTGACACACCATACTGGTCTTTCCTTCTCTTTCTCTCACTGCACCAGTCTCCTGTGCTCCTCTGCTCTAGGTGAGCTCATCCAATCTCCTAGCTTCAGATACTTTCTGCTGATGACTCCCAAATCCATATCTCCAAGCCTGGTCTCTTTCCCAGAATTCCAGAGTCATATACTACTACTCTACATTATGGTGTCTAATGGGCATTTCAGACAGGATGGCTCAAACAGCACATGCTTGATTTCTGTCCCCAAGAGATACTTGTAACCTACTTTTCCTCATTTCAGGAAATGGCACCACTATTCACCACTTGGTTGAGTGATTAAACCAATGTTTCTCACACTGTCTACCATGAAAATCAGGTTTTAAAAATTTCCAGGCTGCACTTTTGTAAAGTAAAATAAAAACAAATTACTAGCCAAATGAAAGAAATGCAAAATTATTGTATACTATATAAAACTTCCCTGTCAAATTTCTATGAAATTTTCTGAATGGTTACTATTTTTTTTTTTTTTTGAGATGGAGTCTTCCCTCTGTTTTGTTGCCCAGGCTGGAGTGCAGTGGCTGGGATTACAGGCGCCCTCTGCCATGCCCAGCTAACTTTTGTATTTCTAGTAGAGACAGGGTTTCACCATGTTAGCCAGGCTGATCTCGAACTCCTGACCTCAAGTGATCCACCCACCTCAGTCTCCCATAGTGCTGGGATTACAGGTGTGAGCCACCATGCCCAGCCCTGAATGGTTACTCTTAATTTTTGTGCTAATCTCAAGGCAGAGAGGTGACATCTTGCAGGCTGGCACAGGTCCTCGGACCACACTTTGACAGCACTAAGTAAACCCTAAATCTAGGACTCATCCTGGATTCCTCTTACTCCCTCTCCCTGCCATAGCCTGCCCATCAAACTTAAATGTCACCTCCCCAAAGCAGCCTCCCCAGATCCCTTCATCTAATGTAACTCCCCATTCTAATTCTCTACATAGCACTGGTTACTATCTAGTATTTTTCTTGTTTGTTTATTGATTGAATGATTGAATCTTCAAGTGTTAGAATGTTAGCTCCGCTAGAGCAGGGATCTTGTCTTCCTTCTCCCTATATTGACAGCACCTAGAAGAGTACCTGCACCATGGCAGGTGAGCGCTCAATAAGATCTGAAGAATGAGTGAATACATGAATCAAATAGAAGCAATCACTTTTTCTGACATTAACACATCTTTGGGGAATCTGGAGCCATGTGCTTGGGGTGAGAGTGAGACCTTTGGTTAAATTTATGACTCTAGTTAACCCTAATTTTATAATTTAGGGGAGCTCTATGGAGATGGTACTGGGATGCTCCTGAAGTGGAATTTGGAATCATGTGGCTGATATGCACCTGCCCCTAGTCAGCGGGAGAGTAACTGAGTTCAGGACTCAAGCATTCTCAAGCTAAATCACATTAGTGATGTTCTCTAATTACTGCCTTATACATTCAATATAATCATCTGAATTTGGATAGAATTTTAACTTTGGAACTACAGAAACCAAGTGTTTCTTGGTTTTAATTTACTGGAACCAATTTTAAATCTGCTCCTCTCTGCCTCGTCTCAAACTGGGTAAAAAAAAGTAAGTACACAGTTCTTATAGGGTGGAAAAAGTGATTAACATCCAGCAAAGCTTATTAATTTTTAATGAGATCATTCAAATCAGTTAAAGTAAAAGATTGTTACTGGATTCTGAAACCAGATTTAGTTGAAATATATTAAGATTATTTCCTACATTATAGGAATATTTTTGGGAAAAGTTAACAATTAAAGCTTCCACTATCCACCTGTTAGGTAGAACCATGTGAAACTGACATTTTTGTAGGTCAACAATTGTAGACTATCAGAAGTTTCATATGATTCAGCCTAATTCTTCACAATGACTACATTTTCCAGAAATATATTAAATGGTCTCACAAGTTTGAAGTATTTTCTAGACTTGCCAGTTTAAAATTACACCAGGATATTTTTTTTCTTTGTTGGATTGTATTCATGATTCTAAATTGATATGATTCTAAATTGATATTACTTTTCTTTTTAATAAATTTGGGTTTATTTTCCAGGATGTTTAGAAGTAAACCAATAAATCATTTTATTCCCTTACCATGTGAGATAGGTGCTACATTTTATTATTTACTATTTTCAAATTACATTCAAAATGAATAATTCACATAGTTCTCACTCCACATGCAGATCCTAGACCCCAAACTTTTCATGAGGGTGGCTGTTCTCCATTTATTTCAGGCTCTGTGATCATTGGTGGGGAGGGGTGTGGACTGGGTGCCTGTGCTCATAAGGAGGAGTGCCTAGAGGTGCTGACTGAGCCTGTACGTGGCAGGGGGTGTTGGGGAGGGTATGTGGATGGCACCCACCCTGGAGGCCCCCACTAGGGAATTAGCTGGGGACTCTTGCTATGGGTAAATCATAAAGAAAATGTTATTGTTTTCTAAAAGCTAATCTGTGCTTTTCAGAGTTTTCTGTTCATTTTTCAGAAACAAAGACTAAAGCAAGCAGAAGTCCCAGTTTCTTTCTTTCTTTTTTTCTCTTTTCTTTTTTCCTTTCCTTTCCTTTCCTTTCTTTTCTTTTCACTTCTTCCCTTCCTCCCTTCCTTCCCTCCTTCCCTCCTTCCCTCCTTCCCTCCTTCCCTCCCTCCCTCCCTCCTTCTTTCTGACGGGGTTTCACCATGTTGCCCAGGCTGGTCTTGAACTCCTGAGCTCAAGCAATCCACCTGCCCTGGCCTCCCAAAGTGTTGGGATTACAGGCTTGAGCACGCCCGGCCGGAAGTCCCAGTTTCCATCATCACCAAGTTATAGCCATCCACCCTTAAATGGTTAACAGGAATGGGGAGGCTGTGTGGCTTCAGATGTTTCCTTTTCACCCACCAGAGATTCTCCTCTTTCCTCTCTCGATGCTACAGATCCTGGTCCTCCACCTCCCATTTCCAGCCCCCACTTCTCAGCATACTCCCAGGACTGGTTAGTGCTGGCCAGCCAAGGACAGGGCACAGGCACCGAAAGTCAGAAGAGAAAGCTCCAAGGCTTCGTCTCCCAACCTGTCCCTTCCCTGACACTGGGGCTGCAGCTGTTTCCCCAGACCCAACCCTGCTGTTGTCTGCTGCCCGCCCTCATTCCATTCCTGTTTCCTCTGCTCCTATCTCATTTCCATGTCCTGCCACAGTTCCTTAAAGAAATGCCTCAAAAAATACAAAAATTAGCTGGGCGTGGTGGCGTGTGCCTGTAATTCCAGCTACTCGGGAGTCTGAGACAGGATAATCACTTGAACCCGGGAGGCAGAGGTTGTAGTGAGTCAAGATCGTGCCATTGCACTCCAGCCTAGGGGACAAGAGTGAAACTCCGTCTAAAAAAAAATGCCTCCAACAGTTAACACAGGATCTGGGTTTACTCTGGACTCCTCGTGTTTACTCTGGTAAATCTTATTTGGGTCATTCATGCATCCGATCCTTTTACCAATTCTCTACGAATGGCCCTTGTTCCTATGGGACTATGTGAAGAAAAGGGCATATCAAGGTGGATATCAGACTCTTTTTACTCTCACATAGTCTGTTTCCAGTTATTCCTGAAAACCTTTACAAAGGCTTTGCTTGCTTTGTATCAGGATATTACGTATCTGAATCCAAATTACCAGGAACAAAAGAAAAACTTGATGGATGAAGAGAAACAAGAATACCAGTCCCTGAGGTCTATAGAATAAAATAAAGGGAGTAACCAAGGAGCCAGCCCAAAATGGAGAAGTATTCTGAGGGATTTTCTTTTTTTTCTTTTTGAGACAGGGTTCTCACTCTGTCACCCAGGCTGGAGTGCAATGACATGATCACAGCTCACTGTAGCCTCAACTCCCTGGGTTCAAGCAGTCCTCCCATCTTGGCCTCCCAAGTAGCAGAGACCACAGGTATGCACCATCATGCCCAGCTAATTTTTAATTTTTTTTCTAGGGATGAGGTCTCCCTATATTGCCCAGGCTGGTCTTGAACTGGGCTCAAGCAATCCTCCCACTTTGGCTTCCCAGAGTGTTGGGATTACAGGCCTAAGCCACTGTACCTGGCCTTTGGGGGTTTTCAATAAGCAAGAGGTCTTAACCTTCTATGGCTTCTTATCTTGTTTTATTATGTCCTCAAATTTCCAATCCATCCATACCACCTCTAGCCCCTATTCTAACAGAGTTCTTGCTACAAGCTAAAGAACCTTTTCTGCAGCTTCTATTGCCTGACTGGGGAGAACTGGTAAGTTCTTGGCTAACTACACTGTTAGAGTTATTACAGGGAAAGATGAATTCCTGAAATTCTGTATTATGAACTATTTTTTTTTCCAAATAATTTTTTTTTTTGAGACAAGGTCTGGCTCTACTGCCCAGGCTGGAGTGCAGCGGTGTGATCTTGGCTCCTTGCAAACTTTGCCTCCTGGGCGCAAGCCATCTTCCCACCTCAGCCTCCCGAATAGCTGGGACAACAGGCACACAGCACCCCCACACCTAGCTAATTTTTGTATTTTTTGTAGATGGGGTTTCGCCATGTTGTCCAGGCTGGTCTTGAACTCCTAAGCTCAAGCAATCCGCCCGCCTCAGCCTCCCAAAGTTCTGGGATTACAGGCGTGAGTCACCGTGCCTGGCCGCAGAGAAATATTATTATACATGGTGGTAAGTTATGATTATACTTATACTTCAGAAATACAATGGGTTATATATAGCTTTAAGCACCTGCCTGAGAATATAAATACCACATTGTCTCTATGTATTCCAAACAAACAATTTTAGGAACTTGATTTTAAGTTGGGGCCTGATTTTACAGAATTTAAATGTTTGAATTGATTTAGCCAAAGGAACTACAGAAGCAATATGATGAAAATATGTGCATTTTATTTGACTATAAATGTGTATAGTAAATACACACTTGGCTATAAATTTATTATCTTAACCAGTACTCCAAGTTGAGAGGTCATGAAAACAGAGAACTCAATGAGTTTTTAAAAATATACTATTAGAGACCGGGCGTGGTGGCTCATGCCTATAATCCCAGCACTTTGGGTGGCTGAGGCAGGTGGATCACCTGAGGTCAGGAGTTTGGGACCAGCCAGTCCAATGGGGTGAAACCTCGTCTCTACTAAAAATACAAAAAAGTAGCCAGGCATGGTGGCGAGTGCCTGTAGTCCCAGATACTCAGGAGGCTGAGGCATGAGAATCACTTGAACCCGGGAGGCACAGGTTGCAGTGAGCCGAGATCATGCCACTGCACTCCAGCCTGGGCGACAAAGTAAAACTCCATCTCAAAAAAAAAAATGCCATATATATATATGTGTGTGTGTGTGTGTGTGTGTGTGTATATATGTTATATATATATGTTATATATATGTTATATATATGTGTTATATATATGTTATATATATGTGTTATATATATGTTATATATGTGTTATATATGTTATATATATGTGTTATATATATGTTATATATGTGTGTGTTATATATATGTTATATATATGTGTGTGTTATATATATGTTATATATATATGTGTGTTATATATATGTTATATATATATGTGTGTTATATATATGTTATATATATATGTGTTATATATATATATAACATTAGTAACCAGGTAGTGAGGATACACTTGTAACTAGATTGTAATCAGAAGTTTCTACTGAGGCACCAAGATGGGCTAGATATCAGAAAACAAGTGACTTTTGAGACACATTATTATTCAGAAATTTCAAAGCAGGTGCTTAAGGACAGCTTAGATGATTTCAACCTTTTACCTTCATCACAGACTCAAGAGTCAGGAGGGAGAAGACCCAGCAAGAGGACTTTGGAGAGAGCCATTAATGTCTGTGAGATGCCTACCTCCACCCCTAACCCTGGGGTACTTGTTTCACCTCAAGTTTAGCGAGGGAGATTAAATGGACCCTCTTGGAGAGGGTCCAGGGTCCATCGGAGAGCTTGGAGAGCTTGCTATGCCTCCTACAGTTAGGAGGACACAGGGGTTTGCCATCTGCCCCCTGCCTGAGAAATCTAAAGAGTGAGGAGCAAGCTTGGCTTTTTGCTGATGGGCAAAGTGGAAGGCTGCCTTGACAGTGTGTCAGGGCAGAGGGTGTGCTGTGGTTCCCATCATGCATCTGTAGGCCACAGACAAAACAAAGTCAATGTGGCATCAGCTTAGGTCCTTTCAAGATCAAGAAAGGAAGGAATCAGGAGCAGAAGTTAGGCCGGGCATGGTGGCTCATGCCTGTAATCCCAGCACTTTGGGAGGCTGAGGTAGGTGGATCACTTGAGGTCAAGAGTTCGAGACCAGCCTGGCCAGCATGGTGAAACCCCATCTCTACTACAAATACAAAAGTTAGCCAGGCATGGTGGCGAGCACCTGCAGTCCCAGCTACTCAGGAGGCTGAGGCAGGAGAATCTTGAACCTAGGAGGCGGAGATTGCAGTGAGCCGAGATCATGCCACTGCAATTCAGCCTGGGCAACAGAGCAAGACTCCATCTCAAAAAAAAAAATTAAAATTAAATGTAAAGGTATTTTCTGCACTGTTCTGCACAAATGTTTCACTATCAATCCACTGTTTGTAAATGTCCATTTTAAATGTCCAGTACTGGGTTTATGCCGTGTTCTCCATTTTCCCTTGCCTCATCTCCTTTGTGAGTAAAAACAGGAGTTTTTGTGTTAGCTGCTCATAGATGACGTCTACACTCAAAGGAAAGAATATTTTTTCTGTGTAAATCTGGGTGTTATAGAAATTAAATCAATGAGAAATGACCCATCCTCTCTAGGCTAATGAATTGCATAGAATTAGAGTTGCTTTATGAAAGGAAATGAAAAGCTAAAAATATTTACTTCAGAAGAATATGCCACTTGAAAATATAACCATTTTTTTAAAAAAGATAATCCTCTTCAGGCTGATAAATTGACAACTTGAAACATTTGATTTCTGGGACACATCAGCAAAAAGTTTCTTCAAATTGGCAGTTCCTTCCAATTGGTGGAGACAGTTTTTCTGTTGCGAACCATAATGTAATGATGCATCCTAATTGGATATGGCACTGCTGAGGTATGGGCCATGATCCAACAGTCACTGCCTGAGCTCACCGCGGGCTTTCTCTACTCTGGGTCCTGAGCCTGGACTTCAGGGGCAAATAATCAAACAGGATCAAGCCAGCTAGAAGACCTGCTCAAAGTGTTCCCAACAGATTCTGGGTATGATGTGCAGTAAAAGAAAGCACTGTGTGTTAGAGAAAGTGTTCTCCTTTTCTTTCCAGAGACAGACAGAGTTTAGAGACAGAAGAAAGGATTCTTAAATAAACTTGGAGGTAGGCCGGGCACAGTGGCCCACGCCTGTAATCCTAGCACTTTGGGAGGCTAAGGCGGGTGGATCGCTTGAGCTCAGGAGTTCAAGACCAGCCTGGGCAAAATGGTGAAACCCTATCTCTACAAATAACACAAAAATTAGCCACGAGTAGTGGCACGTGCCTGTAGTCCCATCTACTTGGAGGTCTCAGGTGGGAGAATTGCTTGAGCCTGGGAGCTGAAGGTTGCAGTGAGCAGAGAATGCGCCACTGCATTCTGCACTCCAGCCTGGGTGACAGAAACTTGGAGGTTAACATAACTAGAAGATAATTTATTTTGCCATTTATCTAACATCACTTGTTGCCTTCAGTAGAAATAACTAGTTATCATAGCCTACCCTGTCTCTGCTGCCAAATTCTTAGTAAGTACCTATTATGTGCTAAACACTGTGATAGACAATGGGGATACAACATTCTGCAAAACACAGACTCTACCTTCAAGGAGCTTACCTAAAAATACTTTCAATCCAATTTTGTACTTAAGAATAAAGAATTATTAAAAGATGCACAGATTTACTTTATACTTAAATGTTTGGTTAACACAAGAGTTTTGTTTAATTTCTGTGTGTTTTTAAAAGATTTCATCTTGGCGAAACCTCCTCTCTATTAAAAAAACTACAAATAAGCAGGGTGTGGTGGCTTGCACCTGTAGACCCAGCCACTGGGGGTAGGGCTGAGGTGGGAGGATCACTTGAGCCCGAGAAGTCAAGGCTGCAATGAGTGGAGATCGCACCACTGCACTCCAGCCTGGGTGACAGAGTGATACTCTGTCTCAAAAAAATAAAAAAGTTTTCATCTTTTAAAATCAGCTAATTAAGTTGGATTGTTACCATAGTGGGTAGTATCCATAATGAGGTATAATCAGAATCTATATAGTCAAGTGAACTATTTTCCATAGTTTTGCAACAAATCCAAACTTTTCTACTTGGTTAACAGTTTTATTACCTTTTCTGAAACTAATGTAAATCCCATAGTCGTGGGTTGATTCAGCAATGTTCACTGAGCACCTACTCTGCACCATGCACAACAGGGATGCAGCAATGAACAAGACACCGCCCAGTCTGAGCCCCCAGGTTGCTCCTGACTGGTGCATTCTGTGTGGGTCCATGGCAGAGGATACAGAGACACTTCACTATCCCAGCAGCCAAGGTCCTGAAATGCCCAAAGTGGGCAGCATAAAGCCAGTGGCCTTACAAAGTAGAATGTAAGGCCAATGTGAAATTCTTGTTAGAAAGGGAATGAATGGCATGACTATTCACGGCTCACAAAAGAGGATTGTCATAAAGAATTCATGGTAAGAGATGAAAGAGGAAAGACTTAAATAGAAGAACTGACAGAACAGTTCAGAGAAGAAGGAGATTAGAGGAACAAAAGGCAGAACAAAAATTAGGAGGTACTTATTTTTTTTTCCTCTGTCACGTAGGGCAGTATCTGGAAACTGCAGATAGTTTAAAAGAAACATTAATAATAATAATAAAAAGCAGGGGGTGTGAGAGGACCAAATAACGAGATGGGAAAGTTTCCAGAGAAATGAGGTCAAGGAGGAAAGTTGGAATAAGACATTAGCTGGGGGTAGAGGGGTGGGAAATGGAGATTAGAAATTAACACTCAGTCAACATAGCTAGTCAACAAATATTTACTGGGTGCAGAACTTCATGCTAAGTCATGTATGAATTAAAATCATTTGTCATGAAAGCTCCATTATGCTTTGTGATCCTGGATTCCTTTTTTTTTTTTTTTGAGGCAGAGTCTCGCTCTGTCACCCAGACTGGAGCTCAATGGCATGATCTCGGCTCACTGCAACCTCCACCTCCTGGGTTCAAGTGATTCTCCTGCTTCAGCCTCCCGAGTAGTTGGGACTACAGGCACCCACTGCCAAACCCATCTAATTTTTGTATGTTTAGTAGAGACGGGGTTTCACTGTTGGCCAGGCTGGTCTTGAATTCCTGACCTCAAGTGATCCGCCTGTCTCGGCCTCCCAAAGTGCTAGGATTACAAGCCTGAGCCACCATGCCCGGCCGTGATCCTGGATTCCTTTGACTTTTCAGATTCACCATTCTAACCTAAACCATTTAGGATTTATTGATGTCCAGTCAAGATCCACTGGTGATGAATGGTACTCTTCAAAATAGCAAATGATGCAGCCTAAAAATCTAGAAATAAGGAAACCTTTCTCTTGGCTCATCCCCAACTCAAAGACACTTTGTTGTAAGTTTAGAAAGCTAAAAATTTTAATAAATATGAGCCTCTGAAAGGATGGCACCTTCTCATTTCAAAAGGTTCTAAGAATCTACAAATGTTACTTGCTAATTGTAAATACGTAAGATGAGTTAAAAGGCAAAGACTGAACTATCACAACAGAGAAACACAAAGTGGTAGATACATCAAAGAAAACACATTTTAAAACATAATTTATAAATTTGAGTTCTGGGGAGAAAATTGTTTATAGTCAGTAATATTCATTGTTCAAGGACTTCTGATTTATTTTCATGCTCAGCACAATGTGTTAATGCTAGATCATGCAAATGTTCTAGGACAGTGTATTCTTTATTTACTTAGAACTAAAATAGGGCAAGAGAACCCAGCTTTCTGGACCTAAAAGTTTTCAAAGCAAAACAAATGCATACTCTTCCGAAGGAATCATTTGCACCCCATTCCCACATGTGTAGGCTAATATGGGAATGAGAACACAGATTATTTTCATTCCTGTGACCCCGGACTGCAGGCCTAGACGACTATCAATACACAGGGGTCTCTTCATAATCTTTCTCTGCTTGTCTAGTGTTTTTACACTTTCCTAAGCTGACTTTCTTCTTAACTTCACCAGCGTGGGTCACAGTATATTTTAGACAGTTCTTCATGATGTTTTTACTATCATTTCCGAAGACAGCAATGGATAAAACAATATTATAATATGATCATCATTTTATTTCCCAAAACTTCCTCAGAGTCAACATCTGCCATCCAAATGCAAGCATTCCATCTCAGACAGCTCCCAGTTTCCCAAATTTCATTTATGCAGCTTGGATTTCATTATCCATGGCATGGAATGTAGTCTAAGATCAATTCTGTAATTAACCAACTGCAATAATTCTCAGAATAATAATTCTCAGGAGAATGACATATGTCACAAATATTCAGAGGAGAGTGTTGAGGTGCTTTTAGAGACTTTCCTAGTTCCTGCGATTAGTCCAGAAGTTAATTCATGATGGAGGTTTAAGAGAGATTTCTACTGGGTTTATGGCATTCAACTTGTGGAATTTCACGTTTACATGTACACACATGTCAGGTAACTAAGAGAAAAACCCTTCTTTCCCCTGAGCTGGGCAATGGGGTATCCTGGATCTACCTACAGAGTAACTATAAAAGTAAAATCAAACAGCGTATGTGCAAGCTAGCATTGTTTTTACAAGGCTCTAATTGCTCTCTCTCCGAGTTGTAAAAGACATAGGCTGAATACAGCTATAATTACAATGACACTTAGAAGGATTAACAACCACAAGTGTGGTGACAGTATTATAGGAAAACAAATCTGCATTAGACAGAGCAACATGTATAGAGCTTGAAGGTAACTGTTCTGTAAAACTGAAAACACTGCAGCGTTTCAGGGAAAATGTGAGAGTATCCTAGAAACCATAGCTCTAGTTCTAGTTCCACTACTGAGCCTGTGCCTTAGTTTCTCTGTCTAGAAGATGGAAGAGAAGAATAGTAGCGTTGGCATTTGCCTCCCAGAAATAGATGAAATTTGGTGAAATAATCCATGAAAAGTATACTCAGTTATGGCAAGTTTAAATATTCTCCTTAATAATTTTAAGTGAATTTTTAAAAGATTTTAAGAAGCACATTTTCAAAAGAATCCACTCAGTATAAGTTGCTCAATATATAACACAATTGCGAATTACTATATATCCATGGCTCCACTGGAAGTAAGAGACAGAAACACTAAGGAAAACAGCATATGGTCTGGGAAGTCGAGAGCTTTGTTTCTAGGAGTCCACAAATTCCACAATATTTGGCATACTGTACTGACTGAAATTTTGTAATATTTTTATCAGTTCCAATCTTGGGAAATAAACCAAGAGTTAGATTATTATAATGTAAACCTGCATTAAAAATAACCACTGGATTCTCAAAAGCAAAAATAAATGCCTCAAATAAGAAAACGTTCAGTCTATCTTTCTTTTGTTTGAATGATGCTCACAGGTGGCTTTCCTCTTTTTCCTTTGGTGTAAGCATTTACTAGAAAGCAAAGAGTTGTATAGGATGAACAACAGGATGTTGCCTAATGGCTATTTCACATGATTCAACCTAATATAAGGATTGAGAGGTACTGGTGATCAAACTTTTAAGCACATTAGATTGAAGATTAGACAGCTTAGAACCCCAGAATTCCTTAAAGTCTAGGTCATAGGCTGGGTGTGGTGTCTTATGCCTGTAATCCCAGCACTTTGGAAGGCTGAGGCAGGAGGATTGCTTGAGCCCAGGAGTTTGAGACAAGGCTGGGCAACATGGCAAGACCCCTGTCTCTACAAAAAATTAAAAAAATTAGCTGGGCCTGTAGTCTCAGCTACTTGGGAAGCTAAGGCAAGAGGAACACTTGAGCCCAGGAGGTCAAGGTTGCAGTGAACCGTGATCATACCACTGCACCCCAGCCTGGGTGACAGATCGAGACCTGTTTCAAAAAAGTTTAGATTGTAAACTGAGGTGAGGATTGCTGGGATGCGCAATAGATTGTCTACTCTCTTCTTTAATATATCCTATTCTGGGTAAATACATGTAAACAAGTAAACTGAGTTAACTACTGGGAGAATTACGAACCGCAGATCCACACAGGCAGGTTTCTCACATGACCTTTGGTTAGTCTGTGCTCTACCATCTGAGCTGCAACATCAGCCTCACTGAGGTTACCTGAGTATCCGAGGACTGAATCAAGCAAAATTAAATTCCTTACAATAAAATTTCAATAAACCTTCTAAATCCAACAATCTTACCTGCTGGTTTGGTCTGACATCACTGAAAGTTATTTTTTTCCCCAAGTCTCGAATCACTGCGTTCTTAGTTTCACGAATGTTATCATCATTCACTGGTTGAGGAGACTTTGTATTTTTCTTCGCTAATCCCTGGGATGGCCTGTAAGATAAATCCACACCTGACACACCCATGAAAAGCACTGGCCAGGGTAAAAAGGCCTAGAAATCAGAGTGGTTGAAATGACAACCAGAAACCAGCGGTCATTAGGCACTTAGGGAATTAAGCCCTGTGCAGAGAATCGGTATTTGTAAAGGTCTTTTTGATACTTTAATTTAAAAAATTTTTTTTTTGAGACAGAGTCTCTGTCATCCAGGCTGGAGTGCAGTGGTGTGATCTCGGCTCACTGCAACCTCCGCCTCTTGGGTTCAATGATTCTCCTGCCTCAGCCTCCTGAGTAGCTGGGATTACAGGCATGCACCAACACGCCCAGCTAATTTTTTGTGCTTCTCCTAGAGACGGGGGTTTCACCATGTTGCCCAGGCTGCTGTCAAACACCAGAACTCAAGTGATCTGCCTTCCTCGGCCTCCCAAAGTGCTGGGATTACAGGCATGAGTTACCACACCTAGCCTGATATTTTAATTATTAATAATCATTCAAAGTAATCATCCCCTTTGTCCTGAAGTGTTCCACATCCATTCTGTGCCTAAGAGAATAAGATTATCTAGGAATCCACAAAATGAGAGCCCTGTTTCAGATCAAGCTATTCAATGTGCACATCGACTCTTAACTAGCATCTTACATCAAGAAACCTCAATGACACTTACATGGATGGTGCACTTCTAGGCAGCCCCATGGCATTTGTGGGTGGGATGGCAGGGAGAGAAGGCAGAACAGAGCTGAGGAAAGCCACTGGGTTCTGAATCCGGCTGGTAGGAGAGACAGGAATTGGGGACACACAGCGGGGCTGAAACTGGTTTCCGCTGGGGATGGAAAATGTGAATGGTGGTGGTGTTGGTTCTGTTGGGCCTGGTGGGAGTGGCTCATTTTGGATGGAAAGCCCTCCTGGAGATTTGGTTTGCACAGAGGGGTGAGACACTAAGAGGCTTTCTTTGCTCACTGTCCTCTGAATAGTTTGAGGAGTGCTGCTCAAAGTGAACACCGGAGAGCTGGAAGGGGCCACAGTTGCTGCGGTGGTGTTCGTGGAGGGGAAGAAATACTTCGGCCGGGCCAAGCTGAACGTCTGTGATGAAGGAGCCTTCACCTGCTTACTGGATGTTGTCACCGCTGGGGGAGCATTGGAGTTCAAAACAGTCATGCTGAAAGGAAACTCCTTAGGAGATGAAGGAGGTGGGTTTTGCAATTGGTGTTGTTCCAGTAAGACTTGGTTATGAAGCTGTTGTAACTGAGTGGAATCACTGTACACAAAACAAGGGTGGAGAGAGAGAAGGAAATGTGTTATTATTGGCCTCACCTTTCAAACAATGTTCAGACAGACTGTTTATAACTTGATGATAGGCGGGGCATGGTGGCTCATGCCTGTAATCCCAGCACTTTGGGAGGCGGAGACAGGTGGATCACTTGAGTCCAGGAGTTTGAGACCAGCCTGGGCAACATGGTGAAACCCCGTCTCTAACAAAAAAAAAAAAAATTATATATACATATATATTAGCCAGACATGGTGGTGCACGCCTGTAGCCCCAGCTACTCAGGAGGCTGTGGTGGGAGGATTGCTTTAGTGATCCCAGGAGGATCCCAGGAAGATCACTTGAGATCCCAGGCTTGAGCCTGGAGGCGGAGATTGCAGTGAGTCCTGATCTTGCCACCTCACTCCAGCTTCAGTGACAGAGTGAGACTCATCTCAATAAATAAATAAATAAATAAATAAATAAATAAATAAATAAATAAAATAACTTGATGTTGATAAAGAACACACAACCAGAGTGGCAAGAAATCAGCTGATCAATAATTGGTGAGTTTGTCTTTCCTTCTTTCCAAGGGCGTCCTTCACACTGTATTCTTTGTATTGCGACCTTGGAGTTGTGCAACAAAGAGTTTATAAATTGGAAAAGAGAAATAGAGACAATGTTTCTCTTGTAGGCAGTGCTCAAAGTTCTGATGACCAGAGGAAAGTATCCCAGCTTCAGAACAGAAGGCACTGAGCTACATGCCAGTGTGAGTTACTGAAAAGGGCTGAATTCTCCATGAGAACATGCTGTATTCTCCACTCTGCCTTGTTTTAGAGCCGACCTTAACAAAGAAGCCGGATGTGTCTCAGAGAGGTTTCTCATTCTCTCGCGATAACAAACCTTTATAGATAAGGTGACCATATGTCCCCATACATTCAGGAAGGTCCTGGTTTAACATCTTTTCCTGGCATCATTATTTTTGTTTTTGTTTTTCTTTTTTTTGAGACAGAGTCTCACTCTGTTGCCCAGGCTGGAGTGCAGTAGTGCGATCTTGGCTCACTGCAACCTCTGCCTCCTGGGTTCAAGTGATTCTTGTGCTTCAGCCTCCCAAGTAGCTGGGACCACAGGTGTCTGCCACCATGCCCGGCTAATTTTTGTATTTTTAGTAGAGACAGGGTTTCACCATTTTGGCCAGGCTGGTCTTGAACTCCTGACCTCAAATGATCTGCCCGTCTTGGCCTCCCAAACTGGTGGGATTACAGGCGCGAGCCACCGTGCCCGGCCCTGACATCATTATTAATAGAACTCACTTTCACTCTCAGAAATGTCCTAATTTGAATGATGATTATATGCTCACCCTGATTATAAACCTTGCCTTAGACTTTTATTGTTCCTAAAAGGAGAAAGATCAAACTGGAAGCAGTTTCTCCATTTATAGAACCTGAGTCACAGAGGCATCACGTGATTTGCCTTAATGGTCCATTGAATTCAATGGTCTATTGAATTTCTCTTCACAAAAGAGTTATTTTTTAACAAAGAAAGTGCAACAAAAATGTCTTAAAATCATATATGCATAAAGTCATTAAGGCTGTCAAACTTTGATGTTTAGGAGAATCTACTGTTGAATGAGTAACCACGGGAAGACCCATAAGTGAGATCACAGTGCTTCAGGACCACTAATTATATGTTCTTTATTCTATTTTTATTTATTTAATTATTTTAGGCAGAGTCTTACTCTGTCACCTAGGCTGGAGTACAGTGGCACAATCACGGCTCACTGTAGCCCCAACCTCCTGAGTTCAAGTGATCCTCCTGCCTTAGCCTCCCAAGTAGCTGGGACCACAGGTGCGTGCCTCCACACCCAGCAATTTTTTATATTTTTTGTAGAGTTGGGGGTCTCGTCATGTTGCCCAGGCTGGTCTCAAACTCCTGAGCTCAAGCAATTTGCCCGCCTTGGCCTCCAAAAGTGCTAGAATTACAGGCAAGCGCCTTGCTGGTTTTATGTTCTTTGGAAATATGTGTTGCTTTTGGGACACAAAGACTCTGCATTATAAGGAATATAAAAGAAATTATTAAGGATTTTGAATTCTTAAGATAAAATGCCAGACAACCAACTTGAGATACTGTATCAAGTACTTTTGAAAGCAGTTTTGGCAATGACAATTTCTGGCAGTGTGTGCTGGAGCCAGTTCACTGGCTTTGAAGAACAGGTAGTGCACATCTCAACTACCCATTCGATGACTTTCTCTTAGTAGCTTGAAATTGGTGCAAATGCTAAAAATCAGGGCTTTCTCACCCCTGTCAGTCATTAAACATTTGCCAGTGCATCACTGACTTGGAAAACTAGTTCTGAGTAAATCTGCTGTGGTTTTAGCAGTAGTCACTGTGCTGGTTGCACATTTGAATCACCTGGAGACTGTAAAAGACAAATGAACCTTGCTGCTTTAGGCACCTGCTCAGAGTTAATTTACCTGGGATGGAATTCAGACAGAGTTATTATTATCTTTTCAAATGTAGGTCAGTCATTCTCAAACTTTACTGGGCCTCAGAATCCTCTGGAGGGCCTGTTAAAACACAGGTTTCTGGCCCCCATCCCCAGAGTTTCTCATTCGGCAGGTGTAGGGTGGGGCCTGGGAGTCTGCATTCCAACCAAGCTTCCAGGTGATGCTGATGCAGCGGGTCTGCCAACCACAAAGCCCCAGGTGATTCTCACAGTCATCCAGGACTGAGAACTGCTGCCCTAAAGAAACATTTGGCCCCAAAGCATAGGCTTTCCTAGTATATTCTGACTTTTGTCTGACATTATCTCACTTTTAAATGTTAATTATTGTGTTTTCCTGGGTATAGCGGGTGGGTGGTAGGGAGTGGGGAATAGTAGCAACTCTCAGGGTTATTTCTTTTTTCTTTCTTTCTTTCTTTTTTTTTTTTGACAGAGTCTTGCTCTGTTACCCAGGCTGGAGTGCAGTGGCATGATCTCAGCTCACTGCAACCTCTGCCTCCTAGATTCAAACGATTCTCCTGCCTCAGCCTCCTAAGTAGCTGGGATGACAGGCATGCACCACCATGCCTGGCTAATTTTTGTATTTTTAGTAGAGACGGGGTTTCACCATGTTGGCCAGGGTAGTCTAGAACTCCTGACCTCAAGTGATCCACCTGCCTTGGCCTCCTAAAGTGCTGGGATTACAGGCTTGAGCCACCATGCCCGGCCGGGGTTATTTCTCTAACTCTAGACCAGTGATTTCCAAACTGGCTGCACATTAAAATAATCTGTGGAGAGATTCTGATTCAATTGAGTTGGAGGGCATAAATGTTTTTTAAAAGCTCCACATTTTATTCTAGAGTGTAGCCAGGGTGAGGAATCACTGCTCTAGACAGCTTAATATTCAATCTGAAATTTCAAAGTCAGGCTTTGATGATACAAGGTTTAAAAATGACAGCTTCCCTTTCTGTAGCAATTTTAAGATCTACATTATCTCTATTTTCCATATGAATAGCAAATTGAAGGAACAAGCAGAAAATTGTATCCTTGAGAAGACTGAGTCAATATATTTTAATGCAAAGTTGTGAGGTTAAACTAATGAGGTTAAAACTAGTAAGAAAAGGTTGTAGGCATGTAGATTTACAAAGGGTGTGGTGTATGTGTATGTGGTGTGAATATATATATTCATATCTATACTAATGTAAACATATACATATATACAAGAGAAAAGGAAGGCAAAGAATATTAAAGAATTATATAGTGCTGAGAACTATGTTTTTAGAGGGTGTCACTACATGATTTAGTAGAAAGACGTCTTATATTAATTGGAAGTCTCATGTGGCAGGCACTGCTGTCTACTTAATTCCCCCCTTGTAAAAGAACCCGATTTTGTTCATGGTGGCAATATGTGCAGCTAGGGACTGTACTTCCAGCCTCCTTTGCAACTAGTGTCCCATCTGCCTAAATTCTGGCCAAAGAGGCAGAAGCAGATTTTGGTTGAAACCTCTAAGAAGTCTCCTTAGAAGGGATTCTAACATCAAGAGTGTGACTTTTGTCTGGGTGCGGTGGGTGGCTCACACCTGTAATCCCAGCACTTTGGGAGGCCAAGGTGGGTAGATCACAGGGTCAGGCATTTGAGACCAGCCTTGCCAACATGGTGAAACTCCTTCTTTGCTAAAAATACAAAAATTATCCAGGCGTGGTGGTGTGCACCTGTAATCACAGGTACTCGGGAGGCTGAGGCAGGAGGATTGCTTGAACCCGGAAGGCAGAAGTTGCAGTGAGCTGAGATCACGCCAGTGCACTCCAGCCTGGGTGACAGAGCAAGACTCCATCTTGGAGAAAAAAAAAAAAAGGCTATGACTTCTGCCCATTGTCCCTTCTGACTGCCTGAACTGTAGATGTGGTGACTTGACCACCATCAGCCGTCTTGGACCATGAGGGGACCTGGAGAAGAAGCCAGTGTTTGGGATGGCAGAGCAGAAAGACAGAAGGAGACTGGATTCTTAATGACCATGGAACCCACATCACAGCCCCAGACTCCCTGTCTACTTTATGTGAGAGAAAATAAACCCTCAAGTATTTAAACCCTGTTAGTTTGGGTTGTCTGCAAAGTGAAGCTCAACTTAATCCTAACCGACGTACCTGAGGACTGAACTCTGACCTTTTTCCATGCTCAAATCCTATTCTAAGGGGCCTAGAGAGAGAAGTCACTTCTTTTTTTTTTTTTTTTAATTTGAGACGGAGTCTCACTCTGTTGCCCAGGCTGGAGTGCAGTAACGCGATCTTGGCCCACTGCAAGCTCCACCTCCTGGGTTCACGCCATTCTCCCGCCTCAGCCTCCCAAGTAGCTGGGACTACAGGCGCCCGCCACAACACCTGGCTAATTTTTTTTTTTTTTTTTTTTTTTTTTTAGTAGAGACGGAGTTTCACCGTGTTAACCAGGATGGTCTCGATCTCCTGAACTCGTGATCCGCCCGCCTTGGCCTCCCAAAGTGCTGGGATTACAGGCATGAGCCACCATGCCTGGCCGGAAAGTCACTTCTACAAGCCATAAAATCTCATGAAACAGGTCTTTTTTTTTTTTTTTTTTTTTTTTTTTTTAAGAAATAATCTCATTCTGTCGCCCACGCTGGAGTGCAGTGGCGCGATCTTGGTTCACTGCAACCTCTGTGCCTGGGTTCAAGCAATTCTCCCACCTCAGCCTCCTGAGTAGCTGGGATTAAAGGCACGCGCCACCACACCTGGCTAATTTGAAACAGGCCTTTTTGACCCCGTGTATGGTGGTTTTCTTTTCATCCCGACTCTGGCATGGCATCACATGACAAACAGCGGATTCCCTTATTTTAACTTGAACAATCCTTTCTACTGACTCCAAGTTTTCAGACAAAACTTAACTCTTTCAATTGCCAGCCATAGAATCCCCAGCCCCACCTATGACTGGTAAGTCCCTGCTTTGAGATGTTCTGCCTTTTTGGGCCAAACCAATGTTTGTCTTCTTGTATTGATTTATGATTTTACCTGCAATTCTTGTCTTCCTGAAACGCATAAAACCAAACCGCAACCTGACTGCCTTGGGTGCACTTTCTCAGGACCTCTGGAGACTGTATTTCCCTGGGCCGCAGTCACTCATATTGACTTAGAATAAACCTCTTTAAATATTTTGGCAGAATTTTTTTTCCATCATCATATGTAACGGCCCCTAAAACTGTTACTGGGGAAGAGACAGTCCTACAAAGGAGGCAATTCCCCAGGAGGTTGTTTGGGGTTACCTGTTCCCTGTAACTCCCTTCTCTGAGAACTTCTCCCACCCAGTTTCTTCCAAACATAAATCCTCTAACAGTTGAGTGTACTGGGGAGGGGGCAGGAGGTCACCTGATCAGCCTGAACCAAATAGAATTGGGAGTTGAGGGGCTGAGACTGATTTAGTTAACAGTGGTACTTGACACAGATCATGATGTGGAATGGGGACATGGCCATGATGGGCCACTTATGAGCTGATGGGTCTTCAAAGAGAGAAGAATGGATCAGATAAGTAAAGAGGAAACAAGGAGATGCTCACGTAGACAGAGGGCGAACCAGCCGCGCAAGCTCCATCAGACAGAGGCTGGACTGACCTGTGATCCTGAGTGACAGGTGAAAAGGCCCAGTTCCCGCCTCTCTAGTTCTTCTCCTGCAGGATTTGGTTGTGTTTGGTTTACCCATTTCTGCCTATATCCCTGCAATAACCTCTTCCCCTCTTTTTACTTTAAGTGGATTCCTGTTTCCTGTGACTGACAGGACTTTGAGGGGACTGACATTTCTGGATGTGACTTGCTTAGAGGCATGTTTCACAACATTGAATCTTATGTCCAGAATTTTGCCTTATATAGTGGTGAGCAGAATATGAAACTAAACACGAATGGCTTCTAGTGAACATCTCATGGTGATGAGCAACACACAGTGGGTGCACTGGGACTGTAGATTTTGATGTTGATATTTAAAGGTTTCTGTAATTAGAAACAATTTTTTTATCATTTTGATGTGTGGATGAAACAGGAAATAATAGCAATATCATGCCCTTTATTTGCTTTGTTATGGATGGACATTTTAAACATTGCAACATGGCTTTCTAGAGAGTCAGGGCAACAACCACAGTAGGCTCCTGAGTTGAGTCAGAAAATCATGACCACTTATTCATCCTATTATATTCATCCAGCTGCAGCTAGGAACTATCTAAAAATTACTAAATAGTTTTTCCATAATGACTACAGAAGCTTAAGTTGAAGCAGAAATGGGAAATATAAGGATGAAATTACAGACTGTAAAGACGATTAGACACAAAAAAAGTCTTTATGAGAGAAGCACAGAAGTACTTTACCTGGGGACTCTGATGTCAGAATGTCAGACAAATGTTTCTGAATTAGTTTAAGTGCAACATTGCTTGGAGGTAGATTATTAATTAAGGATAATAGTGATAGCATGCTTCTATTGATGTAAGGATGTACATTTGGCAAAACATTTAATGTGTATTTTCTCATTTGGGAATTCCCCTTTTTGGTTCCATCTTTTTTTTTCCTGGACAAGTCTTGCTCTGTCACCCAGGCTGGGGTACAGTGGCACGATCACAGCTCACTGTAGCCTGAAACTCCTAGGCTCAAGTGATCCTCCTGCCTCTGTCTCCCACGTAGCTAGGACTATAGGTGTGCACCACCATGCCTGCTAATTTTTTTACTTTAAAATTTTTCTTTTAGAGACAGAGGTCTCACTATTTTTCCCCGGCTGGTCTCGAATTCCTGGGCTCAAGCGATCCTCCTGCCTCAGCCTCCCAAAGTGCTCGGATTACAGGTGTGAGCAACTGTGCCTAGCTGAGTTCCATTACTTTTAAGGAGATCAGATTCAAGAAAAGATCACAGAAGCTCCTGGTTATTCATCCTACTTTTTACTTACAGTTTGGGTTTGGCCAGAACTGGAGGGGGCTCTTTCACGGGGGAAGAAGGCTCTGGGGTTTTTGTTGCCTGTCCGTTGAACCTCTCCTGGAAAGAATCGGGCCTGGTCTGTCTGGTGGTCACCACACCAGCCTCGGAGGATGCTTCACTTCCTTTGTCATCTTCAGGCAGGTTGAAGTGCACACGAAGCCCAATCCTGGAGCTGGACCGGGGCTCATTGTGGTTCACCAGAACCCCCTCGAGTTTGGGTTTGGGGGGTTGTTCCACAGATGGAGGCTCTGAGTGGGGTGGGGAGGGCTGTGGCTCAATAGCTGCCAGGTTGGTGGTAGAGTTGGCTGAGTGAAGAGACCCGTTGTTGCTGAGGTCCTCATTTCCTGAAAGGACAATCACAGGACCTGAGCTGTCAGCCACTGTAAGCCTGAATTGGGGCATGTGCACAAATGGGAAAGTGTTCACACCAGAGGAATGTATGAATGGGAAAATGCTTGTCAAAAACAGATCATCATCTGGGCATTAAAGAATGGTAAGGATACAGGAAAAAATTAAATTAAAAATAAAAAACTAAATTTAAAATCTAAGTACCCTTTTGGAAAGAAATTTAGAAATTTATTGAGGAGATGTTCTCAGGAAATATAGTGATGACAGCAGGTTAACTGGGGTGGTGGCTGTAAGCGCAATAAGAAGTTGAAAATTGGACACTGTTCAAGAACATTTTCCTCAATAATTCAAATCTTTTTAGAAGAGCCAAGCCAGCTTTGTATGAAAAACAGGAAGGAATGGAAACACAAAATCTGCATATTCACACTCAAAGTCATAGGCTAAACTGTTCTAGCATTAAAGAGTCCTTACCTCTCACGTGCAGCTGTGCAATGCTTGACACTGTGCCGTATTTGTTGCTTGCAGTACATGTGAAGCACCCAGAATCTTCTGCAAACACCTCAGCAATGACCAAGGTGCAAATCTCCTCTATATGCCAGTGAAACAGAATGGTTACTGACTTCATTATGAAAACAGAATTATAGAATTTACTGGTATCAGATGATGATTCTACAAAGTCAATATAAAAAGCTGGCTATATTAATTCTTTGAAAACAATTGGTCAAAACAATTGTTTGATTGAATTGACTGATTAGTAGGCAAAATGAGTCAAAGAATGTAGAAACAATAACTCCATGCAGACAGGCCAAGTACTGACAAGGGGATTTTTTTGTTTTTTTAGGTGGAGTCTCGCTCTGTTGCCCAGGCTGGAGCGCAGTGGCAAGATCTCGGCTCACTGCAACCTCCGCCTCCCAGGTTCAAGCGATTCTCCTACCTCAGCCTCCCGAGTAGCTGGGACTACAGGCATGTGCCACCAAGCCCGGCTAATTTTTGTATTTTTAGTAGAGATAGGGTTTTGCCATGTTGGCAGACTGGTCTCAAACTCCTGACCTCAGGTGATCTGCCCGCCTTGGCCTCCCAGAGTCCTGGGATTACAGGCGTGAGCCCCCATGCCCGGCCTGACAAGGGGATTTTGTAAAAATAAGGATTCTCAGATAATCTTCTATTTTTATGTCATCAGTACAGATGGCAAAAATAGAAATGTATAACAATAAACTTAAAAAATCACAAAAACAAATTAGGAGTCAAAGGAAAAGGAAGTTTCTGTGAAATTAAAGGACTAATAAAACATTTTCTAAGCCTAGATCTCTCACTATTTCCTTGGGGAACTTTTGCATTGAAATTATTTTAAACAAGGACCACAATTTAAAATTGGACAACAAATAAATATTTTGCTTTACTAGTAGTAATGAGCTGATAGAGTAACTTGAAATTCTGTGTGAAAGAAGAGTGAAATGCATTTCTACTTTTGTATTACTGTGGTAATTCTTATGGATTACTCTGATACACTGTGAACGATGATTCTCTGTGAATAACTACAGAGGTGATTCCCAGGTAGAACCACATGATTACAGTCCAAAATTATTAAAGTTAGATATTCCTTGACAGCTAATAAAGAGGAGGTATAAGACAGCAGCATAAACCTCCAGTTATCACTCCATTGAACTGACATTAAAAACAAAATTATTAAAAAATAGTTGCATTAGGAGAAACTTGGCAGGCATCTCAGTGCTTCATGATAATTGAATTGAATTAACTAGACTGTTTCTAGGAAATCTGGCCAGTGGGGCATGGCAGGTAGTATTGAGTATTGCTATTTGAACATGTCCCCCAATGCTCATGTGCTGGAAACAATCCCCAATGCTTCAGTGCTGGGATGTGGAGCCTAAAGGGAGGTGTTTAGGTCATGATGCCTCTGCCCTAATAAATGGATACATGTTGTTATCTTGGGAGTGGGTTCGTCATGAAAGTAAGAGTGGCCCCCTCTCTCCCTCCCTTCTCTTGCGCATTTGCTCTCTTGCCCTTCTGCCTTCTGCCATGGAATGGCACAGCATGAAGGCCCTCACCAGATGCAGGCCCCTTGATCTTGGGCTTTCCAGCCTCCAGAACTGTAAGAAATAAATCCCTGTTCTTTATTAAAAATCACCCAGTTTCAGGTATTCGGTCACAGCAGCACACAGTGGACCAAGCAAGTACCTACTCAGTAACTCTTCATCCTCCTACCTCCTTGTTGATAGAACCCTGGCTTTGTCTACTCTACTTGGATTGGTCATATGTTCTGAAGAAAGCTGGTTCCTCTCAGCCTCAGATGGTAAATCATGACTGGTCTAAGCCAGTCAAGCTAACTCTATTCTTGTTAAGTGGTAGTTGAGACACACAATTCCAGTCAGTGTGATATTGAAACCATAACCACAGGGTTGACAAGAATTGCATACTAGGTTCTGGACAGAAATATAGTTAAGCATTAATCAGGCTGCACTTTGACCCACTTCCTTTGTCACTAAAAGTCACGTAGCACTAGATCCTGACCATTTGCATCCCCTTGTTCCTATAGATAGGATTTCTGACATTAGGATCATAAGACTGTTTAAGAATTGATTTGCATCCCCATTGTTGCTATAGACAGGATTTCTTTTATTTTTTATTTATTTATTTATTTTTGAGATGGAGTCTTGCTCTGTCACCCGGGCTGGAGTGCAGTGGCGTGATCTTGGCTCACTGCAAGCTCTGCCTCCCGGGTTCACACCATTCTCTCGCCTCAGCCTCCCGAGTAGCTGGGATTACAGGCATCCGCCACCACGCCGGGCTAATTTTTTGTATTTTTTTTAGTAGAGACGGGGTTTCACCGTGTTAGCCAGGATGGTCTCGATCTCCTGACCTCATGATCCACCCGCCTCGGCCTCCCAAAGTGCTGGGATTACAGGCGTGAGCCACCGCACCCAGCTGCTATAGACAGGATTTCTAACATTAGAATCATAAGGCTTCTATTTTTTTTGAGACAAGGTCTTGCTCTGTTGCCCAGGCTGGAGTGTAGAGGCATAATCTTGGCTCACTGCAACCTCCACCTCCAAGGCTTGAGTGATCCTCCCACCTGAGCCTCCCGAGTAGCTGGGACCACAGACATGCACCACTATGCCTGGCTAATTTTTGAGTTTTTGTAGAGGTGGGAGGCTCACTATATTGCCTAGGCTGGTCTTTAACTCATGTGCTCAAGCAATCCTCCCACCAAAGTGTTGGGATCACAGGTGTGAGCCACTGTGCCCAGCCTCATAAGGCTTTTGTTTAAGGATCTCTTAAGACATTTTTTTCAGGCCATGAATTCCAGCAACTAGTTTGAAGACCCCCACAGAGGATCGAGATCAGCATGAGAACCCGGCTTCTTCATCTCCCTGTCCCATGACTTCACCCCACACTTTTTAACCAACCAGTGATCTCCGCTCTTCAACCCACTCCAAAACCCTTAAAAACCCTATCCTGGCTAATTTTTGTAAATTTAGTAGAGATGGGGTTGTATGTATGTTGGCCAGGCTGGTCTTGAACTCCCAACCTCAGGTGATCCACCCGCCCCAGCCTCCCAAAGTGCTGGGATTACAGGCGTGAACCACCATGCCCGGCCTGAAGAGAGAATTATAATAATGAGATCACAAACCAGCTTTCTGTCACAGGGTTGCAAATACAATCTGATTTTTCCAGGTGGTCACAGAGAGGGCATTCAGATGTTTATGCCCTGTTTTGTGAGTGACTTGTATTTTCTAACTTCGCCTACTGTCACTTGTATCTCGTCGTAGTATCCTCCCAACCAAATCTAATAACATCACAGATATTTTATTGAATCTCTGCAAGCTTCAAAATCTGATGATGCATAAGTTTTGAGATACCTAGGCTATGGAAATGAAATTGACCTAGCATTATAAAAATTGCTTTGCCTAGTTTTGAGAGGGCTCAAATGGCGGCCATTTATGGAGGAAAAATATTCCTAAGAAACACTTCTCAATAACCAAGAACCAGCTGCATTCATGTGAGGTATTAAATATATATTCCAGATTTGCACATGCACCCCTCCTTTCCTCCTACAATAATAGCTATAGTTCATTTGGATGTTTTTTTTTTTTTTTTTTTTTTTGAGACAGATTCTTGTTCTGTCGCGCAGCTGGACTGTAGTGTCACGATCTCGGCTCACTGCAACCTCCACCTCCCAGGCTCAAGTGATTCTCCTGCCTCAGCCTCCCAGGTAGCTGGGATTACAGACGTGCGCCACTATGCCTGGCTAATTTTTATATTTTTAGTAGAGATGGGGTTTCATTTTGTCATGTAGGCCAGGCTGGTCTTGAACTTCTGATCTCAAGTAATCCGCCCGCCTCGGCCTCGCAAAGTGCTGGAATTACAGACATGAGCCACTGCACCCGGCCCATTTGGATCTTTTTTTCCTAAAACTTTATTTTTCACTTTTTATTCATCTCAGTGTAACTTCATTATGTATTCTTGTATATATAAAATCACTCATATACTAATAAATTAAAGTTGAAATCATCTTTACCTGGCTCTGCCATGGATCGAGGTTCTAAAAGAAAAGAAAGTAAAAGATTCTGAGCATTTATTTTACTGAGAAACTACATGTTCATCAGAAGCTTCCTATAGAATTTCACAGTCTCTTGCACACTCAGGAGTGATACAATAAGATTATGTGACAATATTAAGTAAGATGATCTCAACAGGGACAGGATGGATATTACAGAAAGGCAGCAAAAGAGCAAAAACTTTTTTTTTTTTTTTTGAGACTGAGTTTCACTCTTGTTGCCCAGGCTGGAGTGCAATGGCACGATCTCAGCTCACTGCAACCTCTGCCTCCTGGGTTCAAGCAATTCTCCTGGGTTCAAGCAATTCTCCTGCTTCAGCCTCCCAGGTAGCTGGAATTATAGGCATGTGCCACCATGCCTGGCTAATTTTTGTATTTTTGATAGAGATGGGGTTTCATCATGTTGGCCAGGCTGGTCTTGAACTCCTGACCTCAGGTAATCTGCCCGCCTTAGCCTCCCAAAGTGCTGGGATTACAGGCAGGAGCCACTGTGCCTTGCCCAAGAGCAACAATTAAATGATACTGCTTCCTCTTGAAATAAATCTGGGTTTCACTTGGGATACATAAACCTTAGCCAAGGAGGTTTGTGAGTTAGTTATATTTCAGAAATGACTCTTGCTTTTACTGGCACTCATTCAGCCTTACCTGAAAAAGGTTTGTGAAGATTGAGAGATTGTTCTTGGCTTTGGGCTCTGATATCCTAATAAAATATACACTATACCTCCTGCTCTGAGGTTTCTAAGATTAAGAGCCTCAAGATAGATCATAGTTTTTTCAAGAGTAGGTTTTTTCTTTTTGAGACGAAGTCTCACTCTGTTGCCCAGGCTGGAGTACAGTGGCAAGATCTTGGCTCACTGCAACCTCTGCCTCCTGGGTTCAAGTGATTCTCCTACCTCAGGCTCCTGCGTAGCTGGGACTACAGGCACCTGTCACCACACTCAGCTAAGTTTTGTATTTTTAGTAGAGACGGGGTTTCACCATGTTGGCCAGGCTGGTCTCAAACTTCTGGCCTCACGTGATCCGCCCGCCTCAGCCTCCCAAAGTGCTGGGATTAAAAGGCATGAGCCACCATGCCCAGCCAAGAGTAGGTTCTTATCTTATCTTAAAATTCTTTGGGCTTCATGAAAGTGCCCACGGTGGTACTGAATACAGGTGTTTGATTGATATTGAATTGCCAACACTCAAAAAGTAGTTGTTGAACTTAGTTTTAATCTTCTACACTGGTAGACCCATTGAAGTTTTTTTTTCTCTCTCTCTGTTTTTTTTTTTTTTTTTTTTTTTTTTGAGATAAGGTCTCACTCTGTTGCTCAGGCTGGAATGCAGTGGCGTGATCTCAGCTCACTGCAACTCAGCCTCCTGGGTTCAAGTGATTCTCCTGCCTCAACCTTCAGAGTAGCTGGGACTACAGATGCGTGCCACCACACCCGGCTGAGTTTTTGGTTTTTTTTGTTTTTGTTGTTTTTGGTGGAAACAGGGTTTCACCATGTTGGCCAGGCTGGTCTCAAACTACCGACCTCAAGTGATCCGTCTGCCTTGGCCTGGCCTCCCAAAGTCCTGGGATTACAGGTGTGAGCCACTGTGCCCGGCATCTCTCAGTTTAAATGGCATTCAGAATATATTATTGTTGCTGCTACTACCAATAAAACCTGAGAGTAGCTCTGATTCATATGTCACACTGATCTACAGACTGCTATTTTGTGATAGGCAGAAAAAGATTAAGAAAAAAGCAAATAACTCACCACAAAAAATGATGTGTGTGAGGTAATACGTATGTTCATTAGCTCAATTTAGCCATTCCACAATGTATATATATTTCAAAACATCATGTTGTACATGGTAACTTGTAAAATTTTTATCAATCAATGTAAAAAATAAAAAATAAAAGTTATATATGTTCATTATGGAAAAACTAAAAAAATACAGAAATGCAAAAGGAAGTAAAACAATTGACCCTAGACTCACTGCCCAGAGAAAGACTGCCAACATTTTAGCAAATTTCTTTCCCAAGTTTTTCTATCATATGATTGCTCTACATAGTTAATAAAACATATTTTTAAAAAGCAAGTATGTTGCAATGTAGTTTATGGCTGAAATGGGTCAAGGAGAAAGCACTGCATGACAAGGTGAAAGCATTGTGCGATAAGAAAAGAAGAATTAACCATGTAAATTTCTAAATAATTCTTACAATAAAAAAGAGCAAGAACCCAATGTGAAATAAAGAAATACAAAGACTTAAGTAAATATGAAAAAGAAAAGTTTCATCCCAGATTTAATTAGTGAAGCGCAGATTAAAACAAGTGTTCCCATTTTTTGGCCTATAAAATTAGTGAAGATTTTTAATAAAATGGTTAACACTCATTGTTGGTGAAGGTGTGAGATGAAAGGCATTCCCACGTATTGTTGGTTGTAGTAGGATATAGCTAGGGCGACGTGTGTCCCAGTTCAACTGGGGCAGACCTAGTTTATGCCTGGGATCCCTGTATAATTATTAATAGCATCCTCTTTCACTCCCCTAAAGGATCTCATTTTGGCTGATTAATTGTGTGACCATCCTAAATTTAGTTCAACCCTTTGGGGTGGCATTTTGGCAACATATTTTAAAAGCCTTAAAAAAGGTAAATTTATAGCAGCAATTCTCATACTAGAAATTTATTCCAAGGCAATAACTGTAGATATTCACAGCTACTGGGGAGGCTGAGGCAAGAGAATCGCTTGAACCGAGGAGGTGGAGGTTGCAGTGAGCCAAGATCGTGCCACTGCACTCCAGCCTGGGTGACAGAGTGAGATTCCATCTAAAAAAAAAAAAAAGTAAGGAGGCTCTGTGTTTATGGACATGGAAAGGTGTTCATTAAATGTTGAGTAAATAATTAATTTACAAAAAAGAATATGATGCTTTTCTTTAAAAACTATGCATGGAAAAATTCTTGGAGAACATATACTGAAATATTAACAGGAGTATGATTACAGGTGTTTTTTATTCTTTTTGACTATATTTTTAATTAGTTGTTAAAAAGTTATAAAAATAAGTGTGTACAATAAGTTCATAAAAACAAAATATCAGAAAATAATTTAAAGTATTAACTTACTTTTCTGTAAAATCCTAAAATCTGGAGAATCTTCTATTAAAGTCCCTTCTCTATACCACTCAACCTTAGGAGATGGAGCTCCTTTTACTCTGCATTCAAAGACAACCAGCTGACCCTCAGAAGCTGACAAATTTTGTAGCATCTATAATGATAAGAAGAATGTAGTTAGAACAAAAAAGTACACATTTTTGTAATCTAGTTTCGGTGTTGAATTTTAGAAAAAGATGCCGTCTCCATATTTGGATTTTTCTCCAAAGCATCTACATCTCTAGCAGCTTCAGTTCTGTGGATGTGCATTCAAAAGTAGTTTTGAGAGCTTGTTTGGAGGCTCTAGCAGGCGAGCGTGGCTACTCCTATGCCCTTGACCTAAGATTGGTCCTCCTCTATCAGGGATGGTCATCTTCTTCCACTGAGCGCACAGCTTCAGGAGGGACGCACATGGAAACAATGAGGGAGAAAAAGGGCACCCGCATAGCCAGCCTGATCAGCTGAATTAATTCTGGCCATCAATGGGGTGACAGATGTCACAGCCAGATCACCCTCACATCCTAAAAGTAGGTTTGAAGACAGAATCATCTGAGCCTATATAAAGCTTTTCCCTCGCTATTGTTTTCCTTTCTCTCTCTACCAATGCTAAGTAAATTTATTAAATATTAGGCAAGACATTTTGAGTAATATAGCTACTTTTAATATAGTGTCTTTGGGGTGGTTTTTTTGTTGTTGTTTTGGTTTGGGTTTTTTTTTTATTGGTCGGGGGTGTTTTTTTTTGTTTGTTTGTTTTTTTCTGAGACAGGTTCTCACTCTCTTTCCCAGGCTGGTGTGCAGTGTTGTGATCATGGCTCACTGCAGCTTCAACCTCCCAGGCTCAAGCGATCCTCTCACCTCAGCTTCCTGAATAGCTGGGACTAAAGGCACAGGTCACCACGCCCGGCTAATTTTTTTTTTTTTTTTTTTTTTGTAGAGACAGGGTTTTGCCATGTTGCCCAATCTGATGTCAAACTTCTGGGCTCAAGTGATCCACCCACCTCGGCCTCCCAAAGTGCTGGGATTACAGGCTTGAGCTACCGCACCCGGCCTCAGTACCTCTGTTCTTAAGTGCCCAAGTGGTGTTTGATTTCCAGAAATAATAATAATATTTAAATTTGCAGTGAGTATCTACTAGATGTGTTCAACATAGGAGTGATGTATTAGTCCACAAAAGAATGTGGCTGCTCATAATGTGGAAGGGTTCTATGGCCCAAGTAACTGGTTCTGTCTTCCTAGCTTTGCCTTGTTTACATTCTGCAGTCCTGGAAATTGATTTTCATTGTGCTGTTTTGTTTTTCTTATGTGGTCTTTACAGGATAGGCTCACTAATCTGTTGAGGAATAAAAGCAATCACAATCTTTATAAAATCTTAGTCACACATACAGTCAATGTCATTGTAAAATACGTTGTAAATTTGCGAAGGAATCATTAAATGCTTTTCCACACTCCCACAATGAAAGGTTTAGAAAGACCACTTTGAATTGTAAGATATCAGTGTATTCTGTATTAGACTCTAGAAGATAATAAAATGCACATTTTTTCACAGCTAGTTTCTTATTCATCATGGTTTGTGAGCTGAAAACAATACATTCTTTTCTGTAGTTGGCACTTCATGTGATTATGAAATGCTTTTTCGGCACATGTATTGGCATATTTTTGTTTTTCATTTGGCCCAAAGACTGTAAGCATAAAAAAGGTTACAATTAAACTTCCTCCACAAACTCTGTAAGCAACAAATGCTGCATGGATTTCTATTATTACAATTTTTGGACCTGCATTTAGGAAATACTGGCTCTTGCTTCAGAGAAGGGGAAAGCCAATCGTTTTTTCTCTTTTGTCATTCGCTGTTACGAATATTTCGTTATTTTTTACAGTTCTTGTCTGAACAACTTATGATATTCTGTACTTGGTCCTATCGTACTTAATAGCATTTACCTAAGGAGAATATGGGGCTGGGGAAAACCACATAGCATTAGCTGTGTAAGAGACTTTCACCTCAGGGATGTTATGCATTGATATTGTGACAGCCAGGAGGCGCTGTAGTTCAATGCTAGTGTTTTATTCTTTCTGAGGTCCCAAATTTGTTTGCTGAAGTAATTCAGGATGGGATTAGCACCGAGTGGTTTCTGAATTAATAAAGAACTATTTGACAGAAAAATCTTGTTATTATTTGTCTTCCCGAAACATCTACTAACGACAAGAATGGAAAACAGGAAGCATCAGTGAATTTTGGGTGCTCCCGGCAAACTGGTGAGTATGTCCTCCACCCTGACCTCTGAGCAAATTGTGTGCTCAAATGGCAGCTTTGGGGACCATTGAAAACTTTAATGGCACTTAGACACCCTCCTGGAGCTTATACATAATAAAGTTTTCATTCCTTCTTGAGGCAAACCAATTAGAAAGCCAAACCAAACATCAAAAAAGGTGGTGGTGGCAGAAGGGGTTGAGTAAATGAAACAGTACATTCACAGTAGAATGAGGTCAATCTAATATGCTCTGACATGGCCTAAAGTTGAGCTCAGATATATGAGCCAGTTCCCAATCTGCAGAGATTACACAAAAGCCCTGCTTGCAAAAGGATCTCCTTGAGAAAATATGTTGCTCACAATTTAAACCATCAGTTGGTTGTTATTCATTTAACATCAAAGGGCAAGACTTGTGTTCTATTCAAGAGCCCAGCCTAGTTATGTGAGATACTACAGTGTATGGAATGGGCCTCCTAATGTCTGTGATGGAAGCTCATTCCAGTGTGGCACATCATCAATACTCAGTAAAGGAGGTGCCAAGGGTCATCTCACAAGCCACTTAGAAAACTGTTAAGAGTCATAGTTATAAGGATGAGGATGGTTGTTATTGCTGAAAGCTGCTTTTCTACAAAGTTTCGTGAGAAAGAGCTGGCTCACATTGCCACAGATCAGGATCCAAACCAGTTACCCTATTAGAACATAGTGTAGCTGTCATCACGTTCATCACAACAGTAGGTCTTAGGCTGTTGGTTACTAATGGCATGGGGTGTACAGACTTGATCATTTCAGCTTCACTGACAACAAATGAGACAGACCAAACAGTCTCCAACTAGCAAAGATTAAGTTAGTCTTTTCTAGGAATTATGAGTCTGGGCTAAAGTCACTATAACCAAAGATCTACAACCTCCTCAGGTATGCAGTATTCAAAGTGCAAATCTATCTTGTGTGGCATCACTAAACTGGTCATCTGGGAGGACATTCTTTGTAGGGTGACTTGACAACATAGAGACTTGGGAAGCTTGTCTTCTTCCATGGCCATTTGACATTTTACTTTTTTTCTCTATTCCTCCTAAAGATACTCTGAAGTCACAAAGTAATGAAAATAATAATTTCTTCTTAGCTGAAATGGAAGGGTTTTTTTTGTTTTGTTTTGTTTTTTGTTGTTTTGTTTTCTGAGATGGAGTCTTGCTCTGTCACCCAGGCTGGAGTGCAATGGTATGATCTCGGGTCACTGCAACCTCCACTTCCTGGGTTCAAGTGATTCTCCTGCCTCAGCCTCCCAAGTAGCTGGGACCACAGGCGAGTGCCACCATGCCCGGCTAATTTTTGTGTTTTTAGTTAGAGACGGGGTTTTGCCATCTTGGTCAGGCTGGTCTCGAACTCTTGGCCTCAAGTGATCCTCCTGCCTCAACCTCCCGAAGTGCTGGAATTACAGTTGTGAGCCACCGTGCCTGGCCTGAAATGGAAGTTATTTGCCACAGAATAAATGTGTGCCTGCTTTGTGCCCAGCACCATGCCCACTGCTATAAACGTGAGTTGAAAGGATATAGTTCTTGCTTAGTAGATCTATAACCACAAACATAATGCTGGGACATCCTTGAGAAACAGCATCTGCCTTATTGGTTAAAAGATGTCAGCTACAAGGTTCGTTTTGCCATTTTATTTGTTTTTCAATCCAGTTGATAATTTTGCACCTTGGAAGATGCTGCAAGTGCACAGTGCTTTAGGATGGAGTTGGATCAAAGTGGTTTTTACTGATAAAGAACTGTCTGATTGAAAGCTCTTTTGCCCCTTGACTGTCACAAGTGCCCCATGCAATCATTGAGTAAGAAAAGTCTCCAGAATTGATTGAATGGGGAGAGGGGCCCATGAACTCCAGAAATCTGGATCCCACTACCGGCCCAGTTATTTCAGGGTTTCCTGCCTTTGCTGTTATATAATGAAGTGCTCTTTTTCAAATTCTCGCTTCCCCTGCCCCCTTGCACTCTTCAAATTACTGCTGAAGCAGCTGGGGCCAGGGCTGCTGCAGCCTTGAAAGCCTGCCAGAGCAGCTGCTGCTGGGGTGGGAGCAGTGATAGGAGTAAGATTCTAATTTGATCATCGACCTCCCTTCACATTCAAGAAGTGTGAGTGCTGTTTTCCCTGCATAAACAGAGCAAAAGTTTTTTTGATACTGCGTAGAGGATGGAGGATAGTCTATCTCTATCCACAGTTAAAGAGCATCTAAAAACATAGGTATCACCTATGAGTAGAGTAGTGAACTAGTTTTGGAATCCCACAGTCCTCTCTCAAATTCTACCACTGTTTTGCTGGGCTACTCTCCTTTTCATTTTAACTTTCTTTAAAAGAAGATAAGTACTTCGCTGTCACCAGCAGAGGAAGGAGTTAAATAAAACTCTGCTCGCTAAGCGTTGCTTTAAAAAAAAAAAAAACTGGCTTCTTGCCACGATTGGCAAAGAAATGCTTTGTTGGGCAGTATAGAAAGTGAGTCACAGGGAATGGAATGCCAGAAGTCCCTAAACAAGTAAATAGGGCAGGAAGAAGCCAAACAAACATATGCAAATAATCTGTTATCATGGCTCATAGCCACATGATACCATCCATCACTGGTGGCTCTGACTCAGAAATTTGCTAATGACACTGGCAGTGACTATGACCTCAATCCTGCCCTCACTGATGGAAACTAACGCAAGCACATCATTGCTGATAAGTCTTTCTGGAATCTGAGCCACTGCCTATCCTAGTGCCCAATGCCTGAACAATCCTTAACCCATTTATGGAGGCAAAAGCACATATCCTGACGAGGCTGAGAAAGCCTCGTCAGGGTTTGGGTCTGTGTACTAAGGACCATTTTCCCACCATGAAGCTATTTCTTTTAGATATTTTATCTAACAAACAAAGTATGTGAATGATTAATTCATTTTCCTATTTTTATTTATCAAAAGTATATGCATCTGCCAATCAGAGCATCTAATTATTAATAGAAGGAGCTAATCAGAATCACCACACAAAGGCAGCTCAATCTGTGGCTCTAATCAGCTCATGAAAATTAAATGTAAAGAATAAATGTGGCTGGGCACCGTGGCTCACGCCTGTAATCCCAACACTTTGGGAGGCTGAGGTGGGCGGATTACCTGAGATCGGAGTTCCAGACCAGCCAGGGCAACATGGTGAAACCCCGTCTCTACTAAAAACACAAAAATTAGCCAGGCATGGTGGTGCACACCTATAGTCCCAGCTATTTGGGAGGCTGAGACATGAGAATCGCTTGAACCCAGGAGGCAAAGGTTGCACTGAGCCAAGATCATGCCACTGCACTCCAGCTTGGGTGACAGAGGGAGACTCTGTCTAAATAAAATAAAATAAAATAAAATAAATAAAATAAAATAAAATAAAATAACATAAAATAAAATAAATGTTAGCCGGGTGTGGTGGTTCATGCTTGTAATCCCAGCACTTTGGGAAGCTGAGGTGAGCGGATCTGAGGTCAGGAGTTTTAGACCAGCCTGACCAACATGGTGAAACCTCACGTCTACTAAAAATACAAAAGATTAGCCAGGCATGGTGGTGGACGCCTGCTATTCCAGCTACTCTGGAGGCTGAGGCAGGAGAATCGCTTAAACCCGGGGGGGCCAAGGTTGCAGTGAGCTGAGATCATGCCATTGCACTCTAGCCTGGGCAACAAGACTGAAACTCCATCTCAAAAAACAAACAAGCAAACAAATAAATAAATGTTAAAGTCCTATTGGACTTTTCAAAATAATAACAACTTTTTACCTATTGTTGCCTCTATGGACTCCTATCTAGTTATTAGAGATAGTCTTCAAGGTGAACGGGAGAGATTGAAAGGTAAACAGCTTTACTGTCATGATAAACGTGCCAGAGGTATGCTCTGGGTGACATGTGTCAACCAAAAATGAAATTCTTAGCGCACACCCGCTCTGCACCCTCCCCTGCCTGCCCCCTACCATCTGAATGGACCCCTCCTCTCAGCAAGGGCATTCTGAAGCTAACCTGAAAACTAGTTCAGGTCATGATGGGAAGGGGACATGCCTCATTATACCCTCCTGGAATTACTGATAAAACAGACTCTTTAAGTCTGATAAGATCTGATAAAAAACATTTATAATCTATTCTCTGAAGCCTGCTCCTGGAGGCTTCATCTGCATGATAAAACCTTGGTCTCTACAACCCCTTATCCTAATCCAGACGTTCCTTTCTATTGTTAATAACTCTTTCAACCAATTGCCAATCAAAAAAATATTTGAATCTGCCTATGACTTGGAAGGCCCAACTTCCAGTTGTCCTGCCTTTCCAGACCAAATCAATGTACATCTTACATGTACGGATTGATGTCTCATGTCTCCCTAAAGGTATAAAACCAAGCTGTACCCAGACCACCTTTGGCATATGTTCTCAGAATCTCCTGAGGGCTCTGTCACAGGCCATGGTCACTCATATTTGGCTGAGAATAAATCTCTTCCAACTATTTTACAGAGTTGGACTCTTTTCCTAGACATAGATGCAGGGAAGACACAGTACCTAGGAAGATTTCAAATTGAGTGGAGATATTACCTGATATCCCTCTGATGTCACCTGTCTGTCTAGGCAGATGGAGTTGAGGAAGGGAAGAGAGGGGGAGACTTTAGCTGAGACTGAGTATAAACTATCTTGTGGTTTAGCTGCCTTTGAAGAGTCAGCACTGTCTCTAAGGTGTGACAAACTGGCATGATAAATTAAAGTGTCTGTGGCACTTAATCACTGTTTTAAGGTTAGATGACTTAGCAATGATGATAAGAGACAATAAGAAGTAGCTCTCTTAGCTGTGTTACAAACACACATACACCCCCCCGCATAAAGGTCCACCTATAACTCCTCATCAAAGTCTTGTATCCACCAAATCACAACATGTTGCTCTCCTACTTCAAGACTTTGAAAATAGTAAAGCTAAAATCTCAAATGTAGGTTATGAACTGAACTTGAAAAATTGAGAGGCATCTTGTTTCACATAAGAATGTTTGCCTAACTGATATGGATATTGGTAAACATGGTTGTTCGCTCTAGACTCCACTCTGGGTTTTGGAAAACCATCTTGAATGATCTGATACAGCAGAGCTCCCATGAAATGGATGCTTCTGTAGAAGCTGTGGATTTAGCTATTCCTTTAAGGATCAGTACTCACTAGAAAAATAGCCCATTTTTTCCATTTTGCTCAAACCAGGATTTCTCAGCTTCAACACTGTTGACATTTTGAGCTAGACAATTTTTGTTGTGGGGGGCTGTCATCCTATGTGTTGTGGGATGTTTAGCACCATTCCTGGATGCCAGGAACGCAACCCCCCAGCTGTGACAACAAAAGTGCCAATGACTCTGAAGGGCAAAATTAACCATGATTGAGAACCATTGCTCTAAACCAAAGCATACTTCAAAGAGGATAAAATCTATTTGGGCCTAAGTTTGGTGTTCATACAAACAATAAACAATAAATCCAGGCATAGATGTTGCCTATTTGGTCCTCATAATACCATAAAATCTAATGTGATTCCATTTTTTCATCTTCACACTCACTGGCTTGGGCAACATATAAACACAGTCTGATAGTCTGAGAATTGGGACAACTTGTTTGTAGTCCTGATTCTGCCACTAACTGGATCTGTGACATTGGCTACATGGCTTCATCTCTCTGGCCCTCCCTTGGTTTTTCATTTGTAAATGAATGTGCTTGACTAAATTTTCTAGTGCTAAGTACAAAGATTATGAGACTCAGAATTTGATGCCACCTCAACAGTTGATACTATGGAATAGAAAAAGAAAGCTCTTTGTCCTAGAGGGAGGGAGGCTTTATGTTAAACCTCCTAAGAGCATTTAACTCCATCTCCTTGAGCACCTAAGCCAGGTACCTGCAATTGAATTTTTCTAAAAATTCAGAGAAACCTTTGGAGTAATATGTGGCTAGAAATTTATCACTTGACCTCTAGGGGTGGCTCCTATGTTGAACAGTTGTATAATGGCCACAGAGATTAGTGTGGTAAGAGGGAAAGACATTTCTCTCATTACTAAAACTGTTATTGGAAATCTGGGACTTGAAGCGATACTGTAGTAACTAACAAAACAACCCAAACCCTATACCGTACATACAGAAGACCAAATCCTGAGATAAAAATGAATAAATCTTGTATCCTATAACTTTGGGTGCTGTGGTATCTTTAAAGCCATGACAGAAAGAAGTAATATTTTTATTACCTTTGTAAACACAGGAGCTGCAATGATAGGTTTTCCATCCAATCCCTGCAAGTAATTGGTGGGGCTCTGACACTGGTAGAAGGGAAGCAACAGTAAATTCATTGTTACTAATATTATTAGATGGATAGTGAGACATAACAAACCTATAGAATTTGGTATATGAAATGCATCCCAAACCAAAAAACTGATGTATTCTAAGTTTATGAATCACAGACTTCAAATTTTAGACTGAATTGACTCTATTTCTCTCTAGGTCATGGTGGCTATAAAATATGTGCTGCCTATCCCCACGCCACCCCTTCACATGTAGATCTGTGGATCTATGTCATTAACCCTAAACCTCCAAAGAGGCTCCGTAGAACCCCTGGGGCTACACAGATCACAGTTTGAAAACCAATGGATTAGAACTAAAACTTGACCCCTCTGCACTACTAAATGGGTTGGATAATTTTTAAAAAGAGGTTGTAGATAAATATATTTAAATACATTGATCATCAATAAAGAAATATATCAGGCTGGGTATGGTGGCTCACAGCTGTAATTCTAGCACTTTGGGAGGCTGAGGCGGGAGGATGGCTTGAGGCCAGGGTTCAAGACCAGCCTGAGCAACACAGTGAGATCTCGTCTCTACAAATAATTTTTTGAAAAACAGAAAAAAAATATGTATATAAAAGAAATACATCAATAACATGTTATATGTATATTTAGATAGTATGACTTCATATGTTTTAAAGTCTATGCATACATATATGTATTCTTCTATATGCATAGACAATGCCTGGAACTACCCACTAGAAACTACTAACATGAAGTACCTCTGAGGAGTGAAGGCACTGGAGTAGAATCTTGACTAAGCTTTTTACTTAATACATTTTTCGGGGGGGAGTGGGAGGACAGGGTCTTATTCTGTTGCCCAGGCTGTAGTGCAGCTATGCTATCACAGGTCACCTTGACCTCTCAGGCTCAAGTGATCATCCCATGTCAGCCTCCCGAGTAGCTGGGACCATAGGTGCATGGCACCATGCCTGGCTAATTTTTTTTTCTTTTTTGTAGAGATAGGGTCTCGCTATGTTGCCCAGACGGGTCTCAAACTCCTGGACTCAAGCAATCCTCCCACCTTGGCCTCCCAAAGTGCTGAGATCACAGGTGTGAGCCACCACACCTGGCATACTTCTGTACTTTTAAAGTGTTTTTACAATAAGCATGTATCATTATTATTAACTTGAAGGATGAGAGCCTTTGCTGTTTTCTAAAAAATAACTACATGCTTGCTTCGTCTTAGAAAGTGGAATTCTCTGCAGCTCCATGAAACTAATCAGGTTTTATGATATAGAGTGTTTGTTCTAGGCCAGTCTGAGAGCTGACAGCTCACTGCATATGTAATCAGCACCCTTTATAAAGCTGAAAAGCCAGGGACTAATTTGTAAAGCGTTTCTTCTCCTCAGAAATTTGCCTATTGAAGCCCGAGAATATGTTCCCAAAGCAACAGGAACCACTGCTCTCAAACATCAGAAATACAAGGTGATTATCCTGATGATGGAGTTGCACCTGAGAAAAACACGATCATGCCATGCAAGATGGTCATGGTCACCATGACTGTCTGTCACAGTGGATGGCACTTGTGTTTCGCTTGGATTCTTGTACCTGCTGGATGGTTGCCACACGAGGTTGGGCCACCAAATGCTGGGCTTGGGGTACTGCTGGAGGAATGACTGCAGAGGTAGTGGGAGGAGATGACACCTCATTTGGCTTCTGGATTCTGAGAAATTATTAAAATATAGATTATAAAATAGACCTATCACTCTTTGTGAAAATTATTTTAGGAAAACTAGTAATGGCATCACTGCTTACAGGTGAGTGTAATAAAAATCTTGGTTTGATGATATTTTACAAACGTTGACCAAGGGCATTTTTGCTACACATTTTGTTAGGCAATGCAAACACGAAAATGCATAAGACACCATTCCTGTCCTTGGGCCGTTGTTCTCAGTGTAGCCAGGGAGTCAAACATATTAACAGTTAACTGAGATCCAAGACAAATGCAGTGATGGAAGCATGTGCAGAAGGTAATTTTTTGAGATTTGTTTTGTTGTTACCCTCGGTATTTTCCCTCCCCCTCCCATTTCAAGTAAGAGGCCAGGCTTTTTAAATCTATACCTCTGATCCAAGACAGGGTCTCTCATATATAAAACTTAACCTCTGAGAATTTGGCATGGCAGAAAGTAGAAATGGCATGAAGTCAACAAGCTTTTCAAGTTTACACAAATTAAATTAAAGAGAGTATTTGAAGGGCAAGAGAGCCAGCAAGTATTCTTGAGAAGGCTGCAGAGGGGAGATTATTTTAGTTTTGTTGTGGAAGAGACAGAGGTCTGTGGATCTTGCCAGAGAACCTGACCCCAGGGAGAACCTACGTCCAGAGGGGAAGGCCATCTCTCTCGGTAAACGGCTCCCAGTCTTGTTAAAGATATCAGTAATTACACACGTCAGAAAGCAACAAGCTCTGGACTTGAAGAGAACTTGGGATTTGGGACATGGGCCTCTCACCTGTAACCCATGGATAGATGACTGGATGAGAGAGGGCTTTCCTTTGGTCTAGGTGTTATATCTCTTTGCCTCAGCTTCCTCATCTCTAAAATGGGGAAATAATAATTCCCGGAGGGGGCACGGTGGCTCACACCTATAATCCCAGCACTCTGGGAGGTTGAAGTGGGTGGATCACTTAAGACCAAGAGTTCAAGACCAGCCTGGCCAATATGGCGAAACCCCATCTCTACTAAAAATACAAAAAAATTAGCCAGGCATGGTGGCGTGTGCCTGTAATTCCAGCTTCTTGGGAGGCTGAGGTGGGAGAATCGTTTGAACCTGGGTGGCAGAGGTTGCAGTGAGCTGAGATCGCACTACAGCACTCTAGCCTGGGCAACAGAGCAACACTCTGTCTCAAAATAAACAAATAAATAATAAAAAAATTCTTATCTCATAGGGTTTTGTGAGGATTAAATAAGATAATTCATGTAATGTGTTTAGAATGGTGCTTACTCCAAAACTGCTCTCTCTCTCTATGGCTCATTGTAAAACTGTGAGGGGGAAAGTGACACTCAATACCAGACTGGATGTTTTCCCTAACCAGGCAGCATTTGGTCTCAAGCAGAATGATGTGCTAATGCAAAGCCAATCCGTGTATCCAAAGCATCTGTTTTCTTCTTCTACAATAATAGAATACCTGATTTCTTTACATGATTGCTCCAAATAAAGACTACATATCCCAAAATTCACTGCAGCTAGGTGTGGCCACATGGGTACTTTCTGGTTATGGGATATGAGGGATAGTGGTATATGCATTTTAAGAGAGATGACCTTAAAAGGCTGACAAGCCTTTATTTCTTTCTATTTTAGCCTAAGAAGACGAGGGCAACATCTTAGTGTGAGATAAAGCAGAAAGCAGGAAGCACAGAGGAACCTAGTGGAATGTGGGGTCATTTTACCCACCAAATCCAGATTTGTATGTAAATAAGAAATAAATATCTGTTTCATTTAAGTCACAGTTAATTTGAGTCTCTATGATACACAACGGAGGCTAAATCCCAACAACTACAAGTAGATTTAAAGCAAATAAATAAATGGGATATTTCTTGCTTATTTAAGTTTATAGATCAAAATTCATACCCCTTAGGTTTGTAACACATTATGGGAGCCACAAGGAAGCAGTGATGCGTGTGCAATAGGGGAGAAGTTTATTACAGAGCTCAAAGAGAAAGAACATTTAGACTGGGTTTTGCAGGACAAATAAGAGTTTGCTAGACAGAGAAGATAGGGCAATCCTAGCAAAGTGAATAGCTTGAACAAAGGAGTGAAGAGGAACTATACATGATTTGGGTGAGATGTCAACAATGTAGACAGCCTGAGGTGGGGAAGGAAGGAGGGGACAGAAAAACCTGGTTGATGCTCTACTGAATAAGGCTTTGTATGTATGCCATGTTAAGATTTTTTTTAAATGTTGCTGTTTGTTTTGTGTTTGATTTTTGTTTTCTCATAGATAATCTTTTTCTGAGTCAGGAAAACAATAGGATCAGAATCTTGATCTCTTTTAGAGAATAACTGGTCGTAGTTTGGACACTATAAAAGAGAGAAAAAGGCAGAAGCAGACAGGAAGCCCTCTAAGGAGGTGGTTGGCATAAAAGGCAGGAGAGAAGGAGGAGTTGACTCAAGGCCACGAGAATGATATAGGAAGGGGGTAAAAGAGGAGTCATTTACTCTGGTTATGAATGTTCGTATCTGCACAAAAGCTAGAAGCAAATTATCATTTCAAGGTAGGCATGAACAAAGGATTTCTGCCCTTAAGGAGCTCATCCTCTGTAGGGAGTAAATTGGAAAGATTCAAATTTATCTGCTAGGCAAGACTTAAGCAAAAGTAGGGTCTTCTTCAAATCCACTCAATTTGTTTGTTTGTTTGTTTGTTTATTTATTTATTTTTGTGGTCAAACCCTGGAGCCACCCTTCTTAAGTTCTAGTAACCAATTAATCATTCTCTTTGAGCTATTAATTGATCTGAGGATGCTAAAGCTATAAGACAGAAAATCAGAATTACCGATTCATCTCTTCCTTGTTAGGGTCGCCTTCTGAGTCAGAAGAAGAAACCCCTGGAAAAATAAAAACAAGACATAAGATTGTTAAGATGACAATTTCTTAAATTGGTTCCTAAACACGACATAAGATTTTTAAGATGATACTTTGTTTACCTGATTCCTAAATATCTGAATACCTACAGAATCTTAGAAATGAACTCAGTAACGCCGGGCGTGGTGGCTCACACCTGTAATCTCAGCACTTTGGGAGGCCGAGGGGGGTGGATCACCTGAGGTCCGGAGTTCGAGACCAGCCTGACCAACATGGAGAAACCCCATCTCTACTAAAAATACAAAATTAGCTGGGCATAGTGGTGCATGCCTGTAATCCCAGCTACTCTGGAGGCTGAGGCAGGAGAATAGCTTGAACCCGGGAGGCGGAGGTTGCTGTGAGCCGAGATCACGCCATTGCACTCCAGCCTGGGCAACAAAAGCAAAACTCCGTCTCAAAAAAAAAAAAAAGAAATGAACTCATTGATTCACTACACTAACACCCAACTTGACAAACAAGGAAATAGGCCCTAAGAAGTTGAAGGAATTGCTCAAGGTCACATGTCTAGTTAGTGGCACTGTTCAAATTAACTGACCCAACTTCTAAGCGTTCACATATGTAAAACACCTGCTGATGCCTTTGGCCTAACAGAGCAGTATTTGCAGACATTCTCTGGTGTTCGTAAATCCTCTTCCTCTTGGCCTACACAGATTGAATACAAGAAGGGATTACACTGGATTCCAAACATTGTAGGTGTAGGTGGATGCTCTTCCGTCCAGTCCTAATATTAACAAGTCATACTTCATTGTGAGAGAGGGGGTGTTTAAAATCTTTTTGTCACAAAGAAAAAAAAAACCCAGCAATCCAATCTCAGCACTGTTAGCAGAGCTTTGATCCTGGATTTACTTCTCAAGATAGTGCATTCCACGAAGATATATAACAGCTAAATCTGGAGGCATTTATTGGACTCCAAAAATGTGAGGATAAAAACACATACACATACAACACATTTCTATTCATGTATTTATTCAAAAAATGTTTATCAAATACTCACTATGTACTTGGTACTATGTAAGTACCTAGTACAAGTACATATTGGAGATATAAATAAGTCGTGGCCTTACAATCTAGTTGATAAATGGGCATCTATACCATAATAATATGTTTAAATGCTAAAACCAAGGCATACATAAGGTATTATTGGTGAAAAAAGTGCTAAAGAATGATCTGCAGACAAAATTCAGAGGATAAGATAAAATAGGAATGCAAATATAGGTAGATACAAAGGAGCATAAGTTGATTTTTTTCACCTCAAATTAATCATATAAACCTGATGCCAATGTAAATGCCTTTCCAGTGTTCCCAGATGGTACCCATGCATCTATCCTTGACTCCCTGCAGTATATTTTCAAACAGCAGCCATAGTGACTATTAAGTCAGATCGTCCAGGCACAGTGACTCACACCTATAATCCCAGCACTTTGGGAGGCCGAGGTGGGCAGATCACTTGAGGTGAGGAGTCCAAGAACAGCCTGGCCAACATGGTGAAACCCCATCTCTACTAAAAATACAAAAATTAGCCAGGTGTGGTGGCGCATGCCTGTAATCCCAGCTATTCGGGGGGCTGGGGCACGAGAATCACTTGAACCCGGGAGGCGGAGGTTGCAGTGGGCCGAGATGGTGTCACTGCACTCCAGCTTGGGCAATAGAGTGAGACTCCGTCTTAAAAACAAAACAAAACAAAACAAAACAAAAAACAAAAAAACTAAGATCATGTCATGTCTTTGCTCAGAATGCTCCAGAACTTCTCATCTACCTCAGGGTCAAAACCAAAGTCCTTGCAATGACCTACAAGGACTTTTGTGATCTGCTTACCTCCCTCCTTCCACTTCCACCCCATCTTACCTTTCAACCTCATCTTCTGTTACTTTCTTGCTCACTCCACCCTGGCCACATTGGCTCATATCTGTGTCTTAAGACAAGCACACTCCCACCCTCAGGGCCACTGCACTTGCTGATTTTTCTGCCTAGAGTAAATTTCTCTCAAACGACCTTGTGGCTCATTCCCCACTCCTCCGCCCCCTACACTCATACATACACCATTCCTATCTCTTTTTCTTGGTTTTTGTATCTTTCACAGTGTTTATATATACCTATCATATCATATATTTTATTTGTTTATCTTGTTTATTTTCTGTCTTTCCCATCATATAATGTAAATTATCAGTAAATGAGCCTAAGTATTTTTGTTCTACTCGGTTCACTGCTGTATCCTCATTGCCTAGAAGAGCGCATGGTAGAGGAGGCCCTCAATAAATATTTATTTATTATAACTAAATGTCTTACTATTAAGTGTCATACTCCAAGAGCATTTTGTTTTACCTTCTATATAAATCTCAGCAGAAGTCGAATCTGTCCCATAGATGTTAGAAGCAAAGCAGGAATAGCGTCCTGTGTCCTCTTCAAAGGCTTCCGCAATGGTCAGTGAGTGCAGATTTCCTGCCTGGACGATGTGAATATCTGGGGAATTTTCAAGCTCCTTGCCTTCACAGTACCACCTGCAGGGAAAAGGATATGGTCATTGGACATGACTCAAATGCAAGACAATAACATAGACAGCTCCAGATATTCTCTTAAATGAGCTTCATTTGAAGTCAGAACAACAACAACAAAAAACTCCATCATTATAACATTATTTTTTTGTAACAGTGAGAAGAGTTGGCAGTATTCAAACCATACTGACACCACACTCAGGAAATTAGAAAGTAGCTCCAGTTAAGAATGGTACAACTGAGAAAACTGGTGAGAAAGCAGGAACAGCCAAGAACAAAGATCAGGGTCTTTGATGTGGAACTTGGCTTCTCCTAAAATGACTTTCTGATTCCTATCATATGCATTAAGTGCTACATTCGCTTATATGAGAGAATCTAAGAGATAATACAGGTTCGTACAGTTGAGGACACTCGTTTCTTTCTATTAAGTTTTATCTGACCTAACTAAATGAAAATTAATTTGTTCTGTTACTTGAGCCATCAGAGTAAGGAGGAGGGGTCATATTCTCCCAGGAGTGGCCCAACTCTGGCAAATAACCCACGTTAAATATGTTTCTGTAGGTTATGATATTTTCTTTTAATTCTATATCCTTGAAGTTAGAAATTTTTATTACAGCCTAGTTTTCTGGCCAAAGTTTACCAAAAATACTATATAAAATAATGTTTAAAATGTAGAGGTGCATAATAAGAGAAATGGACATTAAAATTAAATGGAAATTCCATTCTTCACGTAGAAGATTGGCAAAACTCTAAATGTTTGACCACTCTTACGCATTGCTACTGTGAATGGCATAAACCCTGTGAAAGAAGTCTGCCAGTACTGCCAGAATTACAGATGCAAATATCCTTGGACCCAACAATCCCACTTGTGGGAATCTATCTTATAGATCCACTGGTATACATACAAAATGACAAATGTATAGGCTACTCATTCAAGCAGCAAAACATTGTAAACCATTCAGGCGTTCATCCTCAGGGGACTGATGCAGTCACACAACAGAACACTATGCTGCTCTAAAAAGAAGACGAGAATGATCACTATGTACTGACATGGAAAGAATCCCAAGATATATAATTGAATTTTAACAGTAAGGTGCAAAATAGTGCATATAGGGTGCTAGCCTTGTATAAGAAATGGGGTTTACGGGTTTCATTATGTCGCCCCACCATAGATATGTGGAAGTTCTACCCCACCCTTATACTTGTGAAAATGACCTTACAAGGGGGCAAGAAATAAGATATGTTCGTGTTGTTTGCATTTGCAGAAAGAAAATTGGAAAGAATAAAATGCAAATCATAAGCGGCTATTAGGGGCGAAGGGAAACAAGATGGATAAGGACAGATAGGAGTGAGATGGCTCAGTGTACCCTTTTACATTTTTTCATTTTTTGAAATAATAACTATTAATCAACATAATAAAAAGTAATTAAGTGGGAGGTATAATAACTACTAAGTGTCAAAAATTAAGTAGCCTTGGCAGTTGCTAATCTTTACTGTAATTTAGATCTAACCACTCAGTGCTATAATCCCTGTCTCCCTCCCACCATTTATACAGCAATATTCTTTTTTTTTTTTTTTGAGACCGAGTCTTGCTCTGTCACCAGATTGGAGTGCAGTGGTCCGATCTCCACTCACTGCAACCTCTGCCCCCCGGGTTCAAGCAATTCTCCTGCCTCAGCCTCCCGAGTAGCAGGGGCTACAGGTGCACACCACCACGCCCAGCTAATTTTTGTATTTTTAGTAGAGACAGGGTTTCACCATGTTGACCAGAATGGTCTTGATCTCTTGACCTCGTGATCCACCCGCCTTGTCCTCCCAGAGTGCTGGGATTACAGGCATGAGCCACTGCGCCTGGCCCTTTTTTTGGGGGGGTGGTGGAGGAAGGGTCTCACTCTGTTGCCCTGGAGTGCAGTGGCATGATCATGGTTCACTCCAGCCTCAACCTCCCCGGGCTCAGGTGATCCTCCCACTCCAGCCTCCCAAGTAGCTGGGGCCACAGGCACGTGCTGCCACACCTGGCTAATTTTTGTATTTTTAGTAGATTCGTGTTTTGCTATGTTTCCCAGGTTGGTCTTGAACTCCTGGGCTCAAGCGATTCATCCGCCTTGGCCTTCCAAAGTGCTGGGATTACAGGAATGAGCCACCACACACATCCTATAAGGCAAGATTCTAAAGCACACTGAAGAAAACTCACCTGTTTACTTCCCAACAGTCAAGCTATTCTTCATTATTCCATAAATATGTCATGGTCACCTCCACACATTCAAGTCTCTGCCCATGTTTTTTCTGTCTGAGATTCTCTTTTTCTGCCTTTCAGCTACTACAAATATAAGTCATCCATCAAAATTTGGCTCAGATATTACCTCCTCCACAAAGCTATATTTTACCATCAATTCTGAATGATTGTTACATTTTCTAACTTCACCTAAAAAAAAAAAACCTATACTATGTCATGCAAATACCTGATTATACACGCTTTTACTATTTTCTATTTTGAAAATGTGTCTTGCCTCACCAGTTTCCTAGGTTGTAAATGTTTTGAAGGTAAGGACAGTGTCTTGGATGCTCTTGCAAGCATCCACAGTGCCTACCACAGTTTTCTATATACTCTCTCTCCTCTGGCCATCTTATCTCATCCTATAGTTTCAATTATTACCTCTATTTGGGCCATCATCCATATTTGCCTTTCCAGATCTGATTTCTGGACCCCATCTCCCATCACTCTTCCCTTCAATATGTTCCAACCACGTTGGTCTTTTGATTCTGTGAACACATAAGCTTTTCCCCACTTTGGAATTTTGGCACTGCCTGAAACCCTCCTCCCCCAGACCTTTACAAAGATAGGTCCTTCTCATGAGTCAGACCTCAGCTCAAATGTCGCCTTCTCAGAGAGGCCCTCCCTGACCCTCTTCCCAATATAGCCCCCTTATCCTCAGTCATTCCAGCACATTACCCTCTTTTGTTATCTTCATAGCATTTGTTACTATCTGAAATTGTCTTATATACTTGTTTATTTTATTGTGGTTTGCTCCCTTCACTAGACTGCAAAGTGCACGAGAGGACCGTATTGGTCTTATTCACCACTACAATGTCAGCACCTACAATAGTGCCCTGGCACATGGTAGGTACTCAGAAAATAAGTGTTTGATGGGTTTGTTGAAAGATTGAATGATGGAAAAAATTCACAGTTAATATTTTCTAAGTATTTGTTATTTGCTTCATCAAGTTCTATGGCAACCTTTGATTTCTGTTGTGGCAGCAGCAGAACATAGAGCTGCTGAAATGGGTTCATAAATCTCCCAAAGCATAAAACTACCAAGACCACAAGGAGCTTGTACAAACAAATCCTCAGAGCGTGTGCAGTTCCAAATTCAAATACTGGATGTCCGATTAAACAAGACATATGGAGCACATATGTTTATCTTTACTCCCCTCCTGAAATGCCCCTAAAATGAGAATAAAAGAATTTTTTAAAGGTACAAAACCATAGAGACAAAAAGAATGGAAGGGGAGACAATAGCAGGTCTAAGACTTCAAAACTCTCGGAAGGTGGAAAGCAGGTTGAGGAGCCAGGAGATTTGAGAAATGTGGAAACCAAGTGCCCACTTGGGGATATTAGTCAAAGAAGAAGCCAATTTGTGCAGCAGAACCCCAGAAAGTTTTGGGATTTGGAGACACAAGATTGCTGACAATGGGAGAAGAGATACAGAGCTTAAAACAGGGAGGTTGGTTACAAGTTTGGAACATGAGCTTTTAGATCTCCCCACTAGGTCACTTCTCCTCTTCTGAGCCGTTAGTGAATGTCCCGGAATGAAGGCTGAGTTGCAGACTGAGCCAGCAGCTGCTCCATGTTGGAGCAGGAGGAAGAAGGGCTTCTAAAGGGATTTCTCTAGGGAAAAACATGGGCCTTATGGATCACCTAAGACTGCATGGAAGAGAATATTTAGGAGAAGTTACACAAATCTGTTGGAGGATTAAGACAAATTTGCAATAGAAACACAGAACTAAGCATGTAAAAAAATGGTGTCATCAACTTTAAGATCAAAATAAAGAGTTGTACAAGCAAAGAAGCATTCACTTTACCCTACCAGGCTTGGTAGTGAACAATACTTAGGTAGTAACTGGAAGGTAAGCAGTTTCCTAAACCACAGTGTGATGATTATAATGAAGTGATAAAGAAAGGAGCAAGGGGAATGCTAGTTTAAAGGGTGCTAACCCTTCATCTTGCAGAATAGGAAGTCAGCAGAAATGGCTAACATCAGCAAACCAAGCAATAGCAGTAGAAGCATATCACAGTGGTTCTGAAAGTGTGGTTCACTTTCTGTGAAGACAGAACTATTTTTATATAATACAAAGATATTATTTGCCTTTTCATTGTATTGACATTTACACTGATGGTGCAAAAGCCACAGTGGGTCTAATTGCTGGTGCTTTAGCAACACAAATTAAAGCACTGTTGCAAAACTGATTAGTGGTTATTGCATTTACCACCACACTTGCAATTAAAAAAAAAAAAAGAAAGAAAGAAACAAGAAAGAAAAAGAGGCCGGGCACAGTGGCTCATGCCTGTAATCCCAGCACTTTAGGAGGCTGAGGCGGGTGGATCACTTGAAGTCAGGAGTTCAAGACCAGCCTGACCAACAGGGAGAAAACCCACCTCTACTAAAAATACAAAAATTAGTGGGCATGGTGATGCACACCTGTATTCCCAGCTACTCAGGAGACTGAGGAAGGAGAATCGCTTGAACCCAGGAGGCAGAGGTTGCAATGAGCCAAAATCGCGGCACTGCACCCCAGCCTGCACGACGTGAGACTCCATCTCAAAAAAAAAAAAAGAAGAAAAAAGAAAAAGAAAAATTCCATTTCACCAAAAAATGTCCTTGATGAAGCAGTAAAAATCATTACTTTTATTAATCTCCACCTTGAGTCCATGTGTTCTTAATATTTGGGTGGTAAAATGAGAAATATTAATAGCATAAGTACTAATAGCATAAAAATCTGTTGCATATGGAAGAACACTTGTGTGATGTTTACATTAAGGGTTGAACTAGCTGCTTAATGCATGAAACAATATTTCAACTTGAAAGAACAAATGATAGACAAATTATGGTTATTCAAACTTGGGTATTCAGCAGACATTTTCTCAAAACTGAAGGAAGTAAACCTGACATTTCAAGTAAAAAAAAAACTGACAGTATTTGTTGGAATGAAAAAATTTGAGGTTTCAAGGGAAAATTAGAAGTTTGGAAAACTTGTATTCTCCACGGTAAGTTTATGGTTTTCCAATACTTAAATTTTTTTAATGAAATCAGTGATGATATTAACAAATGTGATTTTAAAATATTATATAATAAAATGTATCACCTTTTGGAAGATCTGCATTACTAATTTTCCTGATGACCAATGCGTGATATTATCCATTCAAAGTTCAAGACAGACCAGTAGGTTTCAGTATAGCAGAGCACAAAAGTTTATTGGTGTGGTTTCAGATTTCACATTGCAACAAATCTTTCAGAAACTACTGCTAGTTAATTTTAATATGGTATAAAATAAGAATAGCCACAATTTCCTGAAAAGACTATTAAAATACTCCTCCTGTTTCTGACTACATAACTGTGTAAGGTTGGATTTTTAAAAATTTACTTCAACCCAAACAACGTAATACAACAAACTGGATGCAGAAGCCAATGTGAGGATCCAGCTGTCTTCCATTAAGCCAGATATTAAAGAGATATGCGAACAATGAAAAACAATGCTACTCTTCTCACTAAATGGTTTTTTTGTTCATTTTGGAAAATGTAGTTATTTTTTATAAATTTTTTTTGTTAACATGTTTATTATTACTACTTAAAAATGAATAAACAATATTTAAAATCTTTTTCAGTTTTAAATTCTAATATGATTAATAAATAAAATATTACAACTCACATAAAACCTCATTTGGGCCTCACTGATTTTTAAGATTGTAAAGGGATCCTGAGAATAAAAAGTTTGAACCACTGGCATGTTATTTAGAAGCTAGAGGTAAATAAACAGAAAATTGCAAAAAAGAGTTGAAAATGGTCTGTTCTTTAATAACATTTGGCTTTTAAAGCAATGTAACTCTATTAACTTGATAAAACAAATATCAATAGCTATTTCAAAACTAATACTTTCCATTATACAAACATTATAGGATTATCTAAATTATTTAGAGAACATTTCTCGTCCTTACCAAAATGAGAGTGGAAACATCTATGAGCAATTGGATAGCCAGAAGGAGATAAGTGGAATGATTCAAATGCCCAAACTCTCTGTCAGAAGTGTTTTTGTCCTTACTCAGATGGCCAGGATGGCCTCAGCAGGCCTAAAAAAACAATCGGTAACCGTCACTCTGACTTTAACAGCATGACCCACTTAGAAATTAGGCAGGGATCAGGCTGGCTTCTGAAAAGGTATTAAATTTACCCTGCTATGCTGAAGACTTTTGAGGGTCAGGGGGAACCATACTCTCAAACCTCCATCCATGTTAGGGAATGCTTTCATAGAAATGCCCTGACCGGTGGCATGTTTTTAGAACGCCAAATCCTCATGACACTTACAGAATGGCAGTAGGTGCCAGGCATGATTCATGGCTCAATAGAAATGAGTCAATGATTGGGATAAATAGGGCAGGTCCAGATGGTTAAAGAAAAGGACCCACCTTTCACGCACAAGGATGGCTTGCCAGATCTGCTCATTTGGCTAGCTAGCAAGCCTGGGAAGAAAGAAGGAAGACACTGAAGAGACACATTTTTCAGATGTAACTGGACTTTTGGCTCTTTATCACCATTCTGCTGTGAGGTTACTATTTATTCTAAAATATGGCTTGGATAAATATTATGACTCATTGTTTTAGCACATTAACAACTTCTAAACGTAATTTGAATGTTATTCTGACTCACCAGTAATAACGCTTGTTAAAAGAATGATTACTCAGAGTCTTTCTTTAACCATGCCCCAGCCCTTCCAAAGTCCCTATCCCAACTTCTGTTATTCCCTCTCCTAACACCCTGTTCTTTTCCTTTCCAGAACCCTTATATATTTTATAATTATATATTTATTTGTAGGTTTATTTGTTTTAGTGTCTCTCTTCCTTACTGAACAATAAACACAAGGGCTAAAATTATCTCATTTGTTTTGTTTACCTCTGTCTATCCCACACCTAGCACAGTGTATGGTACATTTTAGCTGCTCAAAACATATTTGTTGTGTGAATGTTAACTGAATAACTCAACTAGGGTCATTATAGCCTCAAGTTTTTTTCATTTTCATTTTTTCAAGAAGGCTTGTGCACCAGAAAAGGACTTTCCTTTAATTGTCTTTGCCCAGCTTCATTTAGCAATGCTTGATCTCTTAAGTGAAGAATGTGGGGCCTAAAACACAGCCAAAAAGTAGTACATTTGCTTACTCACATTTCCAGCTCTCTCCAAGCATCAGAGTAACTCTTCTTCATATACAGAGTGCAACTGGAATATATCGGACAATAAGATAATAATAAATGTTGTCTAATAAAGTTATGTTGAATTTTGTGACACAATTTGTATGTCCTGTTTGACTGCTACTGAGTTAGTAAACTTAAGTCTTCATGTCCATGTTCCACTCATGGGAGGGTAGGAGTGTAAGTGGGAGGATATGTCTATGTTTTAAGTGTTATTAAAATTTATTGAGTTCTGGTTGGGCACGGTGGCTCACGCCTGTGATCCCAGCACTTTGGGAGGCTGAGGCAGGTGGATCACTTGAGGTCAGGGGTTTGAGACCAGCCTGGCTAACATGGTGAAACCTCCATCTCTACTAAAAATACAAAAATTAGCCAGGCATGGTAGCGCGTGCCTGTAATCCCAGCTACTCGGGAGGCTGAGGCTTGAGAATCGCTTGAACCCAGGAGACAAAGGTTGCAGTGAGCCAAGATCATGGCACTGTACTCCAGCCTGGGTGAAGGAGTGAGACCTGTTTCAAAAAAAATAATAAAATAAAATAAAATAAAATAATTTATTGAGTTCTTCCAGGCAGAAACTTCTTGGTAACTTAAGAAAAGCATAAGTAGGTAGTGGCTAATACCAAGACATCAATACCACCCCTTACCACATATCCTATTTAATTTAATTTAATTAATTAATTAATTTATTTTTTTGAGATGGAGTCTTGCTCTGTCACAAGGCTGGAGTGCAGTGGTGCGATTTCGGCTCACTGCAACCTCCACCTCCCAGGTGCAAGTGATTCTCCTGCCTCAGCCTTCAGAGTAGCTGGGACTACAGGAGCACACCAACATGCCCAGCTAATTTTTGTATTTTTAGTAGAGACAGGGTTTCACCATGTTAGCCAGGATGGTCTTGATCTCTTGACTTCGTGATCCACCCGCCTCAGCCTCCCAAAGTGCTGGGATTACGGGCATGAGCCACCATGTCTGGCCCACATATCCTATTTTAGATATAACAAAAGAGAGGATGAATAAATGTGAAGATGAAAACAGTTCCTAAAATAGTTTTTTTAAACATTAAATTACTTTGAGGAGGGGTGACTAGAAAGTTTTTATTGTCTCCTCTAGAAATCCTTCTTTTTCTTTGTCTGATAGTACTTATTACTAAATTGCTACATAATTTACTTATTTATTAAATATAATATTTATCTGTTCTCCTTCACCTCATCTAGAATGTAATATGGCAGGAAACTTTGCTTTATTTACTGATGAATCCCAAGTATTTGGAATAGTCCCTGATAGTAGTGAGACTAGTAGGGAGTGCTGAATGAATTGTTATTGAATGAATGAACAAACGAACATCTTGAATTTTTTAGTTTTGTTGTTAATGTTAATTCAATGTACTTGAATTTTTGCATGTTATAGATTTTGAAGAATGATTTCTTCCCTTCTTCTGTTTGCTATGTTAACTCTTTCTTTTAGGGTAAGTTCTTCTATTTGTTCAATTTAGAGCCTCTCATGGTGTTGACTTCTTAGCTTTTTGAAAATCTTGCTTTTTTGTGGAGGTTGGCTCTGATTACAGGGGGATATATTTGGTGATTGCTGGGGAGGAGCAGACTGTAATTTCAGGTAGGCATGTACTGTGTACCAGTAGCTCCTCAGTCCTCCTGGCTATCTGGGATGCTGCCCTGCTTGTCCAGCACACATTGGCTGCTCTGGCTTCCGTGTAAATTGGCTGTGCTTGTGGCTCAGCCCAAGCAGGGGAAGCAGGAGGCACTGACCTACACAGCTGCTCTGAATGTAGCTCCCAGATTAATCACCCTGACTGCCCTGGGCCCCCTCTCGCTTATTGTATCTTTTGTCCCTGAGCCTGGAGCATGTCCAGAGAGTTCCTTATGCTGCAACAGTCCTCTCTGGGATACAATTTGGGCTTTGGGTTCTCTTATCAATCAAGTTCCACCTGCTTATTGGCAGATTTACCATGAAACCAATGAAGCTTCAGGGTTCTTCACCTACATGGCTCCCTTCCAAAGCCCTGTACCCAATTGCATATTTACAATTTGCATTATTTATCTTAAAGGGGACTTCCCAAACTGTGTACACTTCAGGACCCACAAAACTTGACTCTCTTCCATCTATATGCTTTCTACCTTTGAGAAATTTGTTAAAATTTCAGGTCTATAGGCCGGGCATGGTGGCTGACACCTGTAACCCCAGCACTTTGGGAGGCTGAGGCAAGTGGATTGCATAAGGTCAGGAGTTCGAGACTAGCTTGGCCAATATGGCAGAACCCGTCTCTACTAAACATACAAAAATTAGCTGGGCATGATGGCAGGCACCTGTAATCCCAGCTACTACGGAGGCTGAGGCAGGAGAATTGCTTGAACCAAGAAGGTGGTGGTTACAGTGAGTCGAGATCATGCCACTGCACTCCAGCCTGGGTGACAGAGCAAGACTCCATCTCAAAAAAAAAAAAAAAAAAAAAATTGAGGTCTACACATGGCATTCTATATGGTTTTCCAGTTAGGTTTTGGGGTGTTGGAAGAGAAGATAGGCCCATGTGCTCAGTCTACCATTTTGGGATGATGATGCCCTTTTCACTGCTAAACTACTTCTAATTTGCCTTTGGTGCCCATCACCCTGTCAAACTGCTCTTACTGAGGTCATTATGGCCTCCCTGTTATTGAATCAAATGATACTTTTCAGTTTTCATTTTATTTGATCTCTAATTAGTATTCACTGTAGTCAACTACTTAATCCCTCTTGAAGCAACTCTTCTTTTTTATGACTGCCCTATATCCCCCCTACCATTTGGAATGTTCCTTGCCAATTTCCTTTAGGGGATTTTTGTCATCTACCCAAACTTTAAATCTTGGCATTCGTTTGCAGTATGGTCTGGACAGGAGTGATACTTGAAGTAATTAACTGCTGATTCAGAATGGATGCCACTACCAATCAGAAAGATGTAAACCATAACCAGCCTCAAGGGCTATACCAGTTGTACTAATTAAATATCACAACTGGGGCTTGGGGCCAATTATCTTCTGACAAAAATATGAGAAAGAAAATTGAGGCCAATTTTGTACTTGAACAAAAATGCAAAATCCTTTTAAAAATTAGCAAACCAAATCTTGAAATATATGAAAAGATAGTGGATTATGACAAAATTGTGTTTATCCAAAGAATTCAAGATTGGTTTAACATTATAAAATCAATATTCTTTACCATACTAACAGAGTAAAGGGGAAAAACACATGATAAGCTCAATAAATGCAGAAAAAGTGCTTGAAAAAATTCAACATCCTTTCATGATTTTTAAAAATCTTAGTATTTTAGACATCAGAACTTACAACAAAATCCTACATAATATGTTATTATAGAGCTAGAAAGCATTCTCTTCAAGATCAGAAATAAGACTAGAGCATGTATTGAACAGAAAAAGACACTTCTGTCCAACATTGTACCAAAGGATTTAGCAAGCTCAAAACAGCAAAAATAATGAAATACGAAATAGAGGATTATAAAGGAAGAACACACCCAAAAATCTATAGATAGATTTCCATAAATTTAGCGGTTGTTGAATGAGGAAAAGTCCTCCAAAGGAGAATTGTTTCATGAATTTAACAAGGTTATAGAAGTTGATTGTATTTCTATTACATAACAAACATAGAAAGTAATTTTTAACAATGATGCCATTAATAATAGCATTAAAAAATAATAATAGCATTAAAAATGAGATGCCTATGAATAAAGCTAACCAAGGATTTGTAAGACCCAGAGAAAAGATTACAAATCTTTTTTGAAAGAAATTAAAGAATACCGCCTATGAAGGCTGGCATAGTGGCTTACACCTGTAGTCCCTGCTACTCAGGACAACCAGGCAGGAGGATCACCTGAACCTGGGAGTTCAAGATTACAGTAAGCTATCATTGTGCCACTGCACTCCATCCTGGGTGACAGAAATTAAAGAATACCTTTGAAAATGGAGAAATATACCATGTCCTTGACTATGAAAGCTCAGTATTTTAAAGATGTCAATTCCCCTAAATTGATATACAGATTCAATGCAATTCCAAAAATCTTATTAGTTTTTTTTGTTGTTGTTCTTTTTTTTTTTTTGAGACACAGTCTCGATCTGTTGCCCAGGCTGGAGTGCACTGACACGATCTCGGCTCACTGCAACCCCCACATCCTGAGTTCAAGCGATTCTCCTGCCTCAGCCTCCCAAGTAACTGAGACTGCAGGTGCCCGCCACTATGCTCTGCTAATTTTTGTATTTTTGGTAGAGACGGGGTTTCACCATGTTGGCCAGGCTGGTCTCGAACTCCTGACCTCAAGTGATCTGCCCGCCTTGGCCTCCCAAAGTGCTGGGATTACAGGCGTGAGCCCCCACACCCGGCCTAGATTTTAAAACTTGGTAAGAGGATTCCAAAATTTATATTATAAGGGCAAAAGAGCAAGAAAGGCCAAAAATCCTTAAAGTGAAAAATTTGGAAACCAAGAGCTGTGAAAAGCCTATTATAGCGAGATAAATAAATCACAGGAAAATAAGAGAAAGCCCATACGTTTATGGAATTTCAATTTATGATGAGCTGACACTATAGATCAGTGGGGAAAAGATATACTTTTCCATCAACTGGTGCTAGAATATTGGCTATCCAATCTTAAAAAATGAAAATGGGTTCCCGGCTTTACATTATACACAAAAATCAACTTTAAGTGGATTAAAAACTTAAATGTGAAAGACAAAATTACAAAATTTTTAGAAGACAAAATACAAGAATATCTTTATGACTTTGAGGTTAGGAAGAATTTCTTAAACTAGATGCGAACTACAAAAACCAACATCATAAAGGAAAAAATTAATTAATTTGGAGCAAAAGTTAAGAATATCTAATTATCTAAAGATAAACTAAAATAAAATAAAAATAAAAAGAGGAAATAGAAAAATAAATGAAACCAGAAGAGGATATTTTCATAACGTGTTATATGACTAGTATCCAGTAGTATCCAGGATATTGCTGTTTTTTTTTTTTTTCGAGAGGATGAAAGGGAGTTTCACTCTTGTCACCCAGGCTGGAGTGCAATGGCATGATCTTGGCTCACTGTAACCTCCATCTCCCGGGTTCAAGCAATTCTCCTGCCTCAGCCTCCCGAGTAGCTGGGATTACAGGTGCCCGCCACCACGCCTGGCTAATTTTTGTATTTTTAGTAGAGACGGGTTTTCACAATGTTGGCCAGGCTAGTCTCGAACTCCTGACCTCAGGTGATCCGCCTGCCTCGGCCTCCCAAAGTGCTGGGATTACAGGCGTGAGCCACCACACCCAGTCTATACAGGATATTTTAAAAGTTTTATAAATCAATAAGAAAAGAACAAAAAATCCAATAGAAAAATGGGTGAAAGATGTAAACAGGCCCTTCATAAAACAAGAGTCCTGAAAGGTCAACAAACAAAAAAATTTCAACCTCATTTGTAACTGCGGAAATGAAAATTAAAACCACTTGAGATAATACTTCATACCCATCAGACTGGCAAAAATGTAAAAGTCTGGTATAGGTTGAGCATCCCAAATCCAAAAATATGTAATCCAAAATGCTACAAAAATTTAAAACTTTCTGAGTGCTGACAACACTCAAAGGAAATGTTTATTAGAGCCAATCTCATCTGAGATTTGAAATTCTCAGATTTGGGATGCTCAACCAGTAAGTATAATGCAATATTCCAAAATCCAATAAAAATTGAAATTTGAAACACTTCTGGTCTCAAACAATAATATCAATATTGGCAATGATGTAGAACAACCAAAACTCTTACACAATGTCGGTGGGAATGTAAATCAAAACAATTCCTTTGGAAAACAATTTGGTATTATCATAAAGTTGAAGTTATACATAGTCTGCCAGCAATTTTATGCCCAACGCACTCATTCACCAGGAAAAGCTTGTGTACCATACTAGAACATTTGTAATGACATTGTTCATATTAGGAAAAAACCTGTAAACAACCCAAATGTACATCAATGATATATTATTCTAGCCATACAGTAAAATACTGCATAGCAATGAAAACAAGTGGTTTAGAGTTGTGTGTAACATGGATATACTTTTTAAAGAAAAAAATTCAAGTAGTAGAAGAAAACAGACATTCTGATTTCACTTGTATCAGTTTTAAAACATGTAAAAGTTACTAATATTATTTTTAAAAATATTTTCATTATGAAAACCTTCAAACATACATAGAGAGACTAGAACAATGTACCCCTTTGCACACATTGCTTATCTTCAACAAATTATCAGCAGTTTGTTAGAACACAGACGGCCGAGCCTCTTCCCTAGACATCCTGATTCAGTGGGTCCGAGATGTGGCCTGTGAATTTGCCTGTCCATCAAGTCGCAGGTGAAGCTGACGCTGCTGGTCCATGGACCCACTTTGAGTAGCCTGCTCTAGGAGGCTTTTAGAATCTGACCTCTTGGAACTAGTTTAAGGCACATTAAAAAAAAAAGAGAGAGAGAGAGGAGAGAGAATCTGGCGTCTAGTCTCTCTCTATGCTTATCTCAAACCATTTCCCCCTCACTCTTTAAGATTTAGTGACATCAAGACATAATTGGTTTCTTCAATTTCTTAAACTCACCAATTAACTTGCTGCATCAAGGGCTTCAAATTTTCTATTCCCTCAGCCTGCGACACTTTTCCCCACAGACTACTTTGCCAGCCTAACTCTTAGCTGTCCTTTATGTCTCAGCCTTAATATTGATTTTCAAGAAAACCTTCCCAACCCATGAGGTTTGGTCCCTTTGCTATATGCTCCCTCCTTTATAACATTTATCACAATTGTAATTATATAAACAGTTATGGAATTTGTGTTTATTATCTGTGTTCCTTACTATACTCTATGCTGCATGAAGGCAGGGAATTTGGCTGTCTTGTTTGCTGCTTTAACCTTAGTGTCTACAACAGTATGGGGCACATAAATAGGCACTTAATATTTGTTGGATGAATGAATGAATGAAGGTATCTAGATTTTTCCAAAAAGTAGAAAGAAAAAGCCTCTAAATAGTGTAATATGAAATTCAGATATGCTTTTTATTTATAACTATTTTGTTTCCTACACTACTTGTAGACAAATGTCTAGAAGCAGCAATAACAAAACTTAACAGCCATAGCAGGCATCAACATCTATAAAAGGTAAATTTGTGCTGCCTGGAAAGGTTGTGTACAAGCAAACATAGAGTTACCCAGCTGTACATTCCTGGGGAAAGAATTTGGAGCTGGGATACAGGAAAGGATCACGGCCATTTGCTGTGAATTCTCACAGACTCTTTCATCTCTGGGTAATACATGAACGTATTTCATTTTCTAAGACAACTCCTCCAATGAAGCTATGTCCAAGAAAGATTAACAGGCTTGCAAAACACACTAGCTTCAGTGATACAGGATTCCACCCCTACTTATACAACAATTTCTACCCAATTAACTTGGAAATCAACAATATAAACAAAATAATTTTTCAACTTGTTAAACTAGGGTTACAAGAACATGGGCAAAACACTGATTATATAATACACAGGAGCACATAGGTTAGGCTTCAGTTGCCCAGTATGCTTATTATATTTTCTTGCTAAGATAGCAAAAAAGGATACTATCCTTATTGACTGTGGTGTTCCTATTTAGCAAACCAAAATGTCTCATTACTTTGTTATTTTAAGGTATTTTTTAAGGAAATCCTCTGAATCAAAATCTGTTTTCCTGGGTCCTGTGGAGATGCCTCAAAAGTTTCAGTGGCGAACAAACAGGTAGGGCTCCAGGCATCTCTACCCCACCCCTCTTCAAAACTCAATAGCACTACTTTATCTTAAAAAGATATATGTGTCCCAGGCTTGGCACGGTGGCTCACACCTGTAATCCCAGCACTTTGGGAGGCCGAGGCAGGCAGATCATGAGGTCAGGAGTTCAAGACCAGCCTGACCAACATGGTGAAACCCCATCTCTACTAAAAATACAAAAATTAGCTGGGCATGGTGGCACGTGCCTGTAATCCCAGCTACTCAGGAGGCTGAGGCAGAAGAATCACTTGAACCCAGGAGGCGGAGGTTGCAGTGAGCCAAGATTGTGCCACTGCACTCCAGCACTTCAGCCTGGGTGACAGAGCGAGACTTCATCTCAAAAAAAAAAAAAAAAAAAAAAAAAGATATATGTGTCCCAGGCTGGGCATGGTAGCTCACGCCTATAATCCCAGCACTTTGGGAGGGCAAGGGAGGTGGATCACCTGAGGTCAGGAGTTCAAGATCAGCCTGGCCTACATGGTGAAACCCCGTCTCTACTGAAAATACAAAAAATTAGCTGGGTGTGGTGGCGGGCACCTGTAATCCCAGTTACTTGGGAGGCTGAGGCAGGGGAATTGCTTGGAGGCAGGGGAATTGCTTGAACCCAGGAGGTGGAGGTTGCAGTGAGCCAAGATCTGGCCATTGCCCTCCAGCCTGAGTGACGGAGAGACTCTGTGTCAAAATCACTACTCCACTCTAGCACTGGACTGAACCAACTAGGAGATGGCTCCAAGTATTAGTTGTGTTTACGGTTCCTTTGTAAGTACAGAGATACTGTGTCAGGCTTTTCTCAGTGTCCAGGGTATTCCTTGGAATGTTTCTAGTTCCACTACTCTCTCATCTGACTTTCAGTCCTGCATTTCTGGCTGCCTACTGGAAATGGTCCTTCTGTCCCCTCAGACTCAAATTCCCATCGACCTCCTCCACAAACCAGCCACTTCTTCCCTTATCTCAGTCCATGCTGGAGACCCCATCTTTCTTTCAAGTATCCAGGTCCACAAACTTGTGGAGTAAATTTTGTATACCCATCCTTCTTCTGTGGTGTGTCACCAAGTTCAGCTTGATTTCTTTTCTTCTAAACATTGCTCGCTGACATCCTTCCTCCTCGTTCCTACCACACCTACCCGAGTCCGACCAGAGCATCAGATGCCTAGGATACCTTCCGCAGCTTCCTAAGTGGCTTCATGGCTTCATTTTTTCCAGGTGTGACTTATTCTTGCAGATTAATTATCCTTAAATCCTCCCTTTCATCTTGTTACTTCCCTATACATAACCTTAAATGGTTTCCAGTTTGTTTTGAAACCAAGTCTGAACTACTCTGCTTTGCTTTCAAGGTTCTTCGAAGTCATCTGACTCTACTCTCCTTTCCAGTTTGGTCAGTGTCCTCTCTGCTATATAAAAAATATTATTATAATTAGAGCGTCTGTGCCTTTCCATAAACATGCTGAAGTGACCTGGCCTGAAAGGACCCATTCCTTCCACCTACCTCTTCAACCTTATCTCTAATCTTTCTTACCTTTACCCTATGTTCTTGACATAGATGAGTACTTATGGTTCCCTGATAACACTTGCCTCGGGAGCTTTGCACTTGCTTTCCCCTCTACCCTTGGCCTCCTCTACCTCCTGTGTTAACACTTCCTTTATCATGCACTCCAGGCCAAGCAACTCATATACTCTTTTAAGCCACCACTGCCTCCTCTACAGACTCCTGTCATAGCCCTTATTACATAATACTGCAGTGATTGATTTGTTTGCTGTCTGCCTGATTCCTAGCTATTAGATTGTGAGCCACCCTCTCAGAAGAGTTTAGATTTGGTTTCAAAACAAGATTTATGACCTCCACTAGCTCACAATTGTTTTGTACTCCCAGTGAATCACTTTAGTAACTCAATTGATATTTGTTGAATGAGTAAATAAGAAACTTTCTACCTAAATTTTCACTATTCAAAGTTCAAGTAAAATCCTCCTACATCTCTGAAGACTTCTTTGACTTTTCTAGTCCTTCACTCCTTCTCTGACACCTGACACTACTTAAAGTTTGTACTATAAAAATTAGGATTATTTCTTTAACTGTATTGCAAGCTCCTTGAAGGCAGGGATGCATATTTATATTGTGTCTGTCATTGCATTGATCACTGTGCCGAACACACAGTAAAAACTAACTAAATAAATACATATTTGCTTTCTGATTGGAGTTATATAAATTCTGTGCTTAGGAAAATGGCAGCTAATAGTCTACTCGGACAATTCTAATTCTATTCTTAATCTAATTGCAGTCATAAAATTAAGTACTAACTCATTCAGAAAATATTTAGCATATACCTACTAATTTCCTAGCATCCAACCAGTGGTTAGGATACAGGCATGATTGCTGTCAGTAAAGAAATTCTTCCCAGGAAAAATTAGCATTGCTACATGGAAACTGTGTACATTTCTTTCACTTTTAAATTTGAAGATTTGCAAATTTTTAGTTGGCTGATTAAATGGTTTCTGAGTGGCCACCAGATTACTTTGCTTTGTGGGGAATGTCTTCCTAATTGACATTTCTTAGTGGTGCATTGAATTCATTCTTGTATCTGAGATTGTCATGGTTGAAAAATGAGTAGGATGAGACCTGAATGATCTGGTCTAATTTTTGTTTTAATCAATCTATGTCCAGAAACTAATGGATTGGACAGGACTAACCTAAGTTTTGTGTATATCACAACTGGAGTGCTCACCAGCTTACTTAGACTGACCAGATGCTGCTGAGTAGTAGCTGTCATGGGGCTGTAGTGACATCTCACTAGCATTACCAACCAGAGTCCCAGGGAGTATCATCAGGCACGTTCAGAGCAGAAGAGTAGACACCGCCCTGTGTTTTTCAGTTCCAACCCTTTGCTACATCTTAGGCCAACGGTCTCACTTCTGATTTAAATCTAAGTTGAGTTTCTTGTTTTCCTGTTTCTTTATCCACTAGCTCATTCAACATTTCTGAGTGGCTACCATGAGCCCAAAGCTGTGCTCAGTGCTCAAGACACAAAGGTAAAAACAACAGAATCCCTGCCCTCAAGGAGGTCAGCAGGATAACCTAATAGTCAAATGTATCTGCCACTGTAGAAATAATATTTGGCATTGCCTTATGTCGCCTTTGAAAAGCAAAAATCAATATATGAATATGTCTTTGGGCCAGAATCCCTTGAATTAATATGCCTATATATAAACAAAAATGCTATTATTAATACTACTATTGTCCTATAATTGAATATTATGGAATAAAAAGATGATGCCCAGATGCCCTATTTACATACAGAGAATAAATGTTAAATAGTAATGAAATCATATTCTAGTAATAATCAGGTAGTTACAAACACAAAGTAACTCTTGTAGGACTCTAAATACCAGGAATTCTCTACAAAAGTAATCCACTTCAACCACATTTTTCACATGTTATTCCATTATAAAATCAAAAGTAGGACATGTTACCCTAGGGGCTAACGCTGGTTCCAGGTTTTGTGGGACCTGAAGCTCATAAATGTGGAAGGGCTCCTTTAAAAAGTAAAATAAACTTAGAATGCAAAATTAGGTATAGCCTAGTCAAGTGAGGCGTCCTGAAACTTGCACTGCATTTGCCTCACAGAAAAGCTGACCATGGTAGGCAAATAAAAGATGAATAACCTCTCTATCCATCAGTCATAGCTTTCATGAAGCTGACATGGAAAGTGTATAATACATTTAATACATGTATAATGAATCTTTAAATTGACTTTAGCCTCAGCCCAATTCTATAGGTTTTTATGCTATTATTTGGGTTTCTTTAAAGTTTAAAAAAATACTGCAGGTATTCATTGCATAGAGACCTTTTTTAGGCTATAAATTGTAGCCCTGCGCTGTCCAATACTGTAGTCATTAGACACATGCAGTTACTGGGCACTTGAAATGTGGCTCGTGCAACTAAATAACTGAATTTTTAATTATACTTATTTATTTATTTATTTATTTATTTATTTATTTATTTATTGAAGGAGTCTCGCTCTGTCGCCCAGGCTGGAGTGCAGTGGTGCAAGCTCGGCTTACAGCAAGTTCCGCCTCCCGGGTTCACGCCAGTCTCCTGCCTCAGCCTCTCAAGTAGCTGGGACTACAGGCGCCCGCCACCATGCTTGGCTAATTTTTTTTTTTTTTTTGTATTTTTAGTAGAGACCGGGTTTCACCTTTTTAGCCAGGATGGTCTCGATCTCCTGACCTCGTGATCCGCCCGCCTCAGCCTCCCAAAGTGCTGGGATTGCAGGCGTGAGCCACTGCGCCAGGCCTAATTTACTCATTTTGAGATGGAGCCTCCGCTCTGTAGCCCAGGCTGGAGTGCAGTGGTGCGATCTCGGCTCACTACAACCTCTGCCTCCCAAGTTCAAGAAATTCTCTCTGCCTAAGCCACCTGAATAGTTGGCATTACAGATGCCTGTTACCACGCCCGGCTAAATTTTTTTGTATTTTTAGTAGAGATGGGGTTTCGCCCTGTTGGCCAGGCTGGTCTTGAACTCCTGACCTCAAGTGATCTGCCTGCCTCGGCCTCCCAAAGTGCTGGGATTATACGCTGGAGCCACTGCGCCCGGCCAAAATGAAGGTTGTATTCCCTAGGAAAATTTAACATCCAAATTGAAATATGCTGTCAGTGTAGAATTCACGCCGAGTTTCAAATCCCTGGTATAATAAAAATAATGTAAAATATCTTATTAATAATTCTTATATTGGTTATATGTTGAATGATAATGTTTTATTTTATTTTATTTTATTTATTTATTTTTGAGACTGAGTTTCGCTCTTGTTGCCCGGGCTGGAGAGCAGTGGCGCGATCTCGGCTCACCGCAACCTCCGTCTCCCGGGTTCAAGCGATTTTCCTGCCTCAGCCTCCGGAGTAGCTGGGATTACAGGCGCATACCACCACGCCCGGCTAATTTTTGTGTTTTTAGTAGAGATGGGATTTCTCCATTTTGGTCAGGCTGGTCTCGAGCTCCCGACCTCAGGTGATCGGCTGGCCTTGACCTCCCAAAATGCTGAGATTACAGGCGTGAGCCACTGCGCCCAGCCTACGATAATGTTTTTAATATGTTAGTTAAATAATGTATGTTATTAACTTTAATTTCACCTGGTTCTTTTTAGTTTTTAAAAATGTAGCTACTAGAGAAATTAAAACTACATACGTGACTAGGTTTACATTTCTATTGGACCAAGCTGCTTTAGATACCGACTACTTTTCTCAAAGGGAGTATATAATTTTGTAAACCAGGTGCTTAAATGATAATACTTGGGAGGGTCATGGTAGATGGAAAGCAACATTACTCAGCATTACCAATGGGACATTTTTACCTTACTTGAGGTGGTGGAATTCCTACCACTATGCAATCCAACTGTACTCGAGTTCCTTCTGGAACTTCTCTGCTCCGTAACTTTTGAGTGAACCGGGGAGGTTGCCCCAGAGGTTCTTCATAGTACAGAGATGAAGGGGAAGACCCTGGTGTAGTGTCTCCACCAGCCGCCTCACTGGCAGCCTGCTCCGCTTCACGCCTCTTGGCTTCCTGCTGTTCCAGGGCGTGATTCACTTCATTATCCCTGGTATCCGCAGGGATAGGGATGGGAACAGAAGATCTTTCTCGTCTTTCTGACAGATCTGAGAAACTGGAGCTGTTTTCCTGCATAACTTTGTTTTGAGATTCCAGTTTACTCTTGTGGTTTTTGCAGGCACGAGGTCTAATCCTTTTGGAGCTGTGGGATTTGAAAAGGGAGGATAGCTCTTCAATGAAGTCGGCAGCCTTATTTAAAAATACTTTTTTGGACTGGGTTTCAGAACAATACTGTGGCCTTTTTGCCTCCTGGGGGCTTTCTTTAGAGCTGGTGGGACTTCGAGGGTTATCCTGGCAGAAGTTAGGCTCAAAACTTAAATTAGGTGAGTGTTTCATCTGATCAGGAGAAAGTCGTTTTCTAGCTTGAGTTTCATCTGCCTTCTCCAAAGGGTCGTAATTGATGGCCAGTCTTGCCAAATTGACACTTTCGTCTAATTCTTCTTGGCTCAGAAAGGCTGAAAGATCTGGAAGGTCATCTTGGCCTCCGCCTCCTTCAGCGGCCCCAGAAGGACTGCCGAAATGGCAAGGGTTGGAGGAGGGCTCCGCTCGACTCCTCTCATTGTTTCCCCGATGTCTGGTTTCAGCTAAATAGCTCTCTCTTAGAAGCTGAGATATGGAAGTAGAAGCTTCTATGCTGTCGTCTTGCATGCTGTCACAAAATAATAATAACAAAAAGTTTGGATCATTTCTAGGGAATAACAAGTCTATGTCTATTATAGCACTGCAGACTCGTTAGAAATTAAAGCTCAAAATAAAGAATTGCCTAATTTTAATACTTTTACAAACTTTTAATTAATTTATTTATTTTTGAGAGAAGGTCTCACTTTGTCACCCAGGCTGGAGTGCAGTGATGCAATCTCGGCTCACTGCAACCTCCACCTCATGGGCTCAAGCAATCCTCCCACCTCACCCTTGCACGTAGCTGGGACTACAGGCATGTGCCACCACACCCAGCTGATTTTTGTATTTTTTGCAAGACAAGGTTTTTGCCTGTTGCCCAGGCTGGTCTCGAGCTCCTGGGCTCAGGTGATCCGCTCACCTCAGCCTTCCAAAGTGCTGGGATTATAGGGGTGAGCCACTGTGCCCTCCCCCTTTTACAAACTTTAAAGACTTAAATATTACTCTCAAATTATGAAATAAATAAGAACAGAATGAAATTTCCCTGAAATTGAAAATAAAGACCTGGATGATTACCACTTTATTAAACTCTTTAAAGGCAAGTTCAGTTGTGAAGGCCATGACATAACTGTAATAATATTAAATAACATTTCTAAGCCTGATATTGATAATGTCGATAATGGTCTTTTAGTTATACAGTGCTTTCATACACAGAGATTTGCTCTCCACCCTCTCCTCTTTACCTTGAATGTAATAGAATTATAGAAATTGAAAGATATTGACAACATAATCTCACCTAGTTACTGAAAATATGAACTTGATCTAGCTAGCTCATGGAAAGTAAACAATGCTTTTGTTTTTTGACAAGCTTGCTAGAGACAAGCTGTTTAAATTCAATGTTGTTATTAGGCTCAACCTGTTCTTGAAAACTATGATGATTTAGCTTCTTCATATTAGGCTACAAAGATATGAGTTAGAGCCTAGGTTTTTAAAAAATCTTAAATTAACTTTGGTTAAGAGGGGAAATGAGATATAATGGAATATGATGCTTGGCAGGAGACTTCGCTCTGTGTTCTTCCTAACTTTTGAATTTTAATTATATGATATTACCTATTCAAAAAATAAATATTTTTAAAGTCTTAAGAAAGTAATATAATAATGCAAGCCAATTTTGTATTTTTAATATTATATCCATTTATTCATTCAAACATTTACTAAAGGATGGCAAATTTGTGACTTAGGCTGTCACTACTCTCTCTCATCCTTAAAAGCTGCAGCTCAGTGATTACTGTACTTTCCCCTTGACCTTGACTTTCCTAACACTCCACTCCTTCAGCCATCACCAATCAGAGATGGCAATGGAGATGAAGACTATTTGCCATTCTTGGCTACTGTGTGGGAAAGTGGAGAAAAAAGTAATCTTCTAAATATTTTCTGGCTTTAACATCCTATAATAGAACTTACTTCAGTTGATTTCTTTCCATTCTCTTATATGACAGCATCACTTATATCACACGAAAGGCTTCCTAGGAACTGTCCCAGTTCCCAAACTTCTAGAATGCTATCCCAAACTAACCTCTGATTTGGCAAAGTAGGCAGCCACCTTGAGAAGCAATTAGAGATGACTGAAAGGACCATCCACAGTAAAATATTTTTCCCACCTACTTGCCACAGACTGAGATTGCCCGTACTAGAGCTACTTATTTGGATGAAGTCTATGATGCCTTTTAAAAAAGATTAATTTAAAATGCAAAGGTGACAGGGCACAGCGGCGCACGCCTATGATCCCAGCACTTTGGGAGGCCAAAGCGGGTGGATCACCTGAGGTCAGGAGTTTGAGACCAGCCTGGGCAGCATGGTGAAACCCTGTCTCTACCAAAAATACAAAAAATTAGCTGGGCGTGGTGGTGGGCGCCTGTAATTCCAGCTACTCAGGAGGCTGAGACAGGATAATTACTTGAACCTGGGAAGCGGAGGTTGCTGTGAGCCAAGATTGCACCATTGCACTCCAGCCTGGGCAACAAGAGCAAAACTCTGTCTCAATAAATAAATAAATAAATAAATAAATAAATAAATAAATAAAATAAAATGCAAAGGTGTTGGAGGGCAAAGATTTGTCTACAAAGGTGTTTATCACATGATAATATTTAAAAATTGTAACCATGTTCAGTAATAAGAAATTAGTTAATTAAATTATTACTCATTAAATAGAACTATATGGCTATTTATTAAATTTCATGGAACAGTGAATAATACACAAAATAGTATATGAAAGTATAATTGATACCCCAATTGAAAATCTTTCTCATTTGTGCACCAACTACATGTAGTAACAGTTAAAGATATATGAAATAAGGTGCAAAATGTTATTTGAAAATGTAATTAATATACCGAAAATCCTCATTTGTAACTCAACTATTTCTTTAGCCTCGTTTAATTTTCTGTTTCTGTTTAGATGGGGGGGAAATTAAGTGCCTTATAAATCAGGATGGCTTTCTCTCTATTCATTGGACATTACTGTTTATTGTGGTTTTTTAAATTTCCTTCCTTCCTTCCTTCCTTCCTTCCTTCCTTCCTTCCTTCCTTCCTTCATCACTCTTTTCCCTCCCTCTCTCTCTCTTTCTCTCTTTCTTTCTTGACAGGGTCTCACTCCCTCACCCAGGATGGAGCACAGTGGCATGATCATAGCTCACTGTAGCCTTAAACTCCTGGATTCAAGCAATTCTCCCTCCTCAACCTCCCAAGTAGCTGGGACTACAGCCACGCACCACCACACCTGGCTAATATTTAAATTTTCTGTAGGAACGAGGTCTCTCTATGTTGCCCAGGCTGGTCTCCAACTCAAAGAACCTCAAGTGATCCTCCCACCTCCATCTCCCAAAGCTCTGGGATTACAGGCATGAGGCATCGTGCCTAGCCTGTATATTGTGTTTTAATGTGACTTTGTCTTTTACTCTTTATTTTGAGATAGCTTTTATACTGAGGCAACATGGAATGAGCATTGGCCTTGGTACCAGATAGATCTAATTCCAAATTCTGCTTCATCTCGTAACAATTATGTAACTCTGAGAAGTTAACTTATTTGAGCTTTGGTTTCTTCATCTGTAAAACATGAAAAAATCTATTTCCCAGGGGAGTAAGGATTAATAACATCAAAGGCAAAGTCCTTAAAATAGGGCTTGCCACTATAATGGGTATTCAACTGATGTTTGTAAAAAACAATGCTTTGGTGAAGGTGATGTTAAAGTTGAAGAACTTTAAAAAAGTTTATATTTGTGGTGGAAATAGAAAATAAAATTCTTAGATAAGTTTTTTTTTAAGAAAAGAAGCCAATTGAGGTGTTAATGTACCTGTTCTTATGTTTATGGTTATGATAAATTATTACAACAAAACTTTCAGGTATTCAAAATAAAGATTTCTTTAATGTTTTAATGTAGTACTTATGACCTAGTACTTTGGCATTAGATAGAACTGGGTTCAAATCCTAGTTCTGACACTTCCTAATATCCTCGTATAAACTTGGGAAAGTTTAAACTCTATATGCCTCAGTTTACTCATCTGTAAAACAGATATAATAGTAGTAGCCATATCATAGGTAGAAGTGATGATTAAATGTGCTTGGGATTTAGTAAACATTCAATAAATGGAAGTTACTATTACTATAATAATAATAATTATTATTATTATTTAACAGCTATGGCCATGTATCATGGCCTCCATTTTATAGATAAGAAATGGAGGCAGAACTAGTGAAGTGGCTTGATCCGAGGAAAAATTTGAAGAAAAACCAAAGTCTACATTCATAGTTAATTCAGTGTATCTGTATTCTATTGAAATACAGTCTCATGAATTAACTGTGTTGACTTCAGATCTTTGTATTCTCTTTGCTTGGACTGCTTCCTGTGCCCACCTCTTTTCACTATCCTATCAGGCCTAATCCTACATGGTCTTTGGTTCCTAGCTGAGACATCACTGCCCTGGGATTTCTTCTCTTCCCTGAGTTGGGTACCTCTCCAATGTGCTCCCAAAGCTCACTGTCCTTGACACAGTCTCCAAACACAGTACTTATCACAATATATGAAGTGTATTTTCTTCTCTGTCTCCTTCACTATGTTTTGTACACCATCGTCTCTGCACCCACATAGCACATAGAAGGTGGTCAATAAATTTTTTTTTTTGAATTTATGTGTTCATTAGAATTTTCTGCTAACTCTACTATTAGCTTTCACTTTTTTTTTTTTTTTAAGACAGAGTTTCGCTCTTGTTGCCCAGGCTGGAGTGCAATGGTGCGATGTCGGCTCACTGCAACCTCCACCTCTCACGTTCAAGCGATTCTCCTGCCTCAGCCTCCCAAGTAGCTGGGATTACAGGCATGTGCCACCATGCCTGGCTAATTTTTGTATTTTTAGTAGAGACAGGGTTTCACCATGTTGATCAGTCTGGATGGTCTTGAACTCCTGACCTCGAGTGATCCACCTGCCTCGGCCTCCCAAAGTGTTGGGATTACAGGTATGAGCCACCATGTCCGGCCTATCTTTCACTTTTGATTGTAGGATAAAATAGGACAGATAAAGGAGGTCAAAGAAAACTTATAGACACAAAGAAAAACTATAAACTGGTAAAGGCAGTCATAACTTTAAGATGACTTTCAAGTGAAAATTTATTTATGATGGATAAAATAACTGAAATCATGCTTTGTTTTCTTTTTTCTTTCTTTTCTTTCTTTTTTTTTGAGATAGACTCTCGCTCTTATAGCCCAGACTGAAGTGCAATGGCACGATCTCAGCTCACTGCAGCCTCTGTCTCCCGTGTTCAAGCGATTCTCCTGCCTCAGCCTCCCAAGTGGCTGGGATTATAGGCACCTGCCACCATGCCCGGCTAATTTTTGTATTTTCAGTAGAGATGGGTTTTCACCATGTTGACCAGGCTGGAATGCTTTACTTTCATACCAGAAGTATCAGAGAACATCTGATTATAATCAGAAACCTGGGTTTGAATCCCAGCTCCAACACTAAATAACTTTGTTTTCTTGAGAAAGTCACTTAATGCATCTGAATCTCAGTTAACCTCATCTGTCAAATAGGACAACAATTCTATCTTTGAGGATTCTCAGATGAAAATGCATATATAAATTGTTAAACTGATAAAATATTAGCCAAAATAAAAAATATGAAAATTATTTTTTTAAGCATTAATTTAAAAACTTTCTATTTTAAGCATTAATTTTATAACTATTATAAAATTTGTACTTAAAAAAAATCATAAGTGCTCTTATAGGTACCCTATAATTCATTTATTCATCCAATAAATATTTATTGAGCATCTACTATGTGCCAGGCACTGTTCTAGGCACTGTGGATTCAGTGGTGAACAAAAGACAAAGTCTCTATCCTAATGGAACTGACATTCTAGTAGGGAAAATATTAATGTTGGGAAGAAAAATAAAATAGAAAAGGGGGATTGAGAATAATGGAGGAGGAAACAAAGTGTGTTATTTTAGCTAGCAAAGTCAAGCAAAGCTTATAATGCAGTGGAGAAGTTACTCATGTGACCATCTGGTAAAAAAAAATGTTCCTGACAGAGGTAGAAGTAAGCATCAAAGCCTGAAGAGGTGAGTGTTTTGTATGTTTAAGTCAAGCCCAGTGAGCGAAGAAGTGCGTGAAAAAGAAGAGCCAAAGAAAATGAGGGCAGAAAGGTTCAAGGCCAGATCATTTAAGGTCTTGCAGACCATGGAAAGGACTTCAAATTTTATTAAACGTGTGAAGGGAAACCACTTAAAGGTTTTGAGAAGCAGATGGCATGGTTTTGAAAAAGTTCCATCATGGCTGCTATGCAAAGAATCAAACTGAAGGAAGTAACAGTAGAAGTGAGCAGATCAGTTAGGAGGCAATTGCAACATGCTACACAAGGGATGATGGTGGCTTGGACCAATGAGCGGTAGCCATGGGAGATGGCCAGAAATGCTCGTATTTGAGATGTCTTTAAAAGTAGAGCCAATGCGGTTTGCTGATGGATTAAAAGTGGGATGTGAAAGAAAGAGCAGTCAAGAATTACTCCAATATTTATGCCCTGAGCAACTAGGTCATTAGCAAAATCATTTGCTGGGATGAGGCAGGAGCAGGTTTCAGGAAAGAAAATCGTAAGTTCTCTTAGACATTTCAGCTGCAGTATTCAGAGTGTCATTTGACTTTTTTTTTTTTTTTTTTTTTTGAGATGGAGTTTCACTTTGTCGCCCAGGCTGGATTGCAGTGGTGCAATTTCCGCTCACTGCAACCTCTGCCTCCTGGGTTCAAGCAACTCACCTGCCTCAGCCTCCTGAGTAGCTGGGATTCCAGGCGCGTGCCACCACCCCTGGCTAATTTTTGTGTTTTTAGTAGAGATAGGGTTTCACCAAGTTATCCAGGCTGGTTTCAAACTCCTGACTTCAAGTAATCCACCTGCCTCAGCCTCCCAAAGTGCTGGGATTACAGGCGTGAGCCACCATGCCCCGTCACAGTGATATTTGAGTTTGTTTCCTCTTTTCTGTTTCTCACAAAATGGAAAATTAGATTTTTTTTCCCACTTTCAAAATAAGAATGAGTAATTACCCTTGAAAACAGATCATGGCATTGATGAAATGGCACCAGATTGGAAATGAAACAATTAATGTGGCATCAAACATCAAGATAGACTTTAGCAAATCACGTAAAATAATTTGGCAACATAGACAGCTTATTTTACTTCCTTTACTTTCCTAAATATCTCTATTTTTTTCCCTAGGACTTTTCCAGAAAAGAGGATCTGCCCTAAGAACTTTCTGAAAATGTTGAGTCAGGTTTATGGTGGGGCACAGTGGCTCATGCCTGTAATCCCTGCACTTTGGGAGGCCGAGCCAGGCAGATCACTTGAGGTCAGGTGTTCGAGACCAGCCTGGTCAACATGGTGAAACCCTGTCTCTACTAAAAGTACAAAAATTAGCTGGACGTGGTGGCAGGTGCCTGTAATCCCAGTTACCTGGGAGGCTGAGACAGGAGAATCGCTTGAACCTAGGAGGCAAAAGTTGCAGTGAGCCGAGATTGTGCCACTGCATTCCACACTCCAGTCTGGGCAAAAGAGCAAGACTCCGTCAAAAAAAAAAAAAAGAAAAAAAAAAGAGAGTCAGGTTCATAAAAACAAAAGTTTGAGGCTGATACCTTTGGACATGTTTTTCAACTCATGTTAACTCGGTGCTATCCTTCTTCAGGCTCTAAGAAGACCCTGTTGTTGGAAATACATGGAATAAACTCATTTTTTAGTTATAATATGAAAATTTAAGCTGGGGCATTGACCAGAGAATTGGCAAAAACTAGTATGAAGTAACTTGAATTCAAACATAAATAGTGAAGTATTCTGATTGTGAAGTATTAGATACTTAAATGAGAAAACAAATCTGGGTGTGAGGAATGCCGAGATGTTGGTCAAAGGGTACAAAGTTCCAGTTACACAGGAGAAGGAATAAATTATGGAGTCTTGCTGTACAGCATGGGGACTATAGTTAGTAATAATGTAATGTATTCTTGAATATTACTAAAAGAGTAGAGCTTCAATTTTCTCACCACACAAAAAAGTGGTAAGTATGTGAGGCTATGGATATATTAATTAGCTTGATTTAATCGTTGCAAAATGTATACATACAGCAAAACATTACCTTGTACACCACAAATATATACAATTTTTAATTTGTCAATTAAACCTTCATAAAGCTGAAAAAAACGAATTTATTATTTTTTTAAATGTGTCTTTTTTTTTTTTTTGAGGCAAGATCTCACTCTGTCACCCAGGCTGGGGTATAGTGGTGCAGTCATGGCTCACTGCAGCCTTGAGCTTTGGGGCTCAAGCAATCCTCCCACCTCAGCCTCCCAAGTAGCTAGGACTACAGGTGCTTTCTACCATGCCCAGATAACTTTTAAAATTGGTTGTAGAGATGGAGTCTTCCTATGTTGCTCAGGCTGGTCTCCAACTCCTGGGCTCAAGTGATCCACCCACCTTGGCCTCCCAAAGTGCTGGGATTACAGGCATGAGCCACCGCACCTAGCTACATGTGTCTTTAAACACTGCTCTACATTCCTTATAATGTGGGAAGCACATTCATGAAAAAACCAAAGAACTCCTAAGTAACCTAAATCTGGTTTAGAGGCAGGCCCAAAAATAGCCTAATAGTTAATAATTATTTGTAAAGAGAGCCAGGATAGGAAAAGATAAATATGTTTAAGTAACTCATCTAAAACAGGGATGAGCAGAACTACCCTACTCATTTCATAGGTCTGTTTGTGAAAACACTTTAAAACTGTAGAGCACTATGCAAATTTGAGGTGACCTTTTGCTGGTGATGTGTAATTAATATGCCCAGAATGCTTTTTAGGGAAAGAAAAAATAGACTTTGCTCCCTCTTTTTAATGCCAGTATTGACCTGTTGGTTTTGCCTTCTATATCCAATGATATCACCCTAGAGAAGTATCTAAGTCAGTTCTTTTGGAGAAGTTCTTGCTGGGTCAAAAACCAAATCCCAGTGAACGGGAACCAGTCCTGGAGAGTTATGTACAGATCACCTTTTTAAAATCTGGGTGCAGATGGAGTGTACTTGGTACACTATTACAATATCCATCCCTTCACTATCACAGTGATCATCCCCATCTTACTTTTATTTCTAGTCTATTTTTCGTGTGAACGGCATTAGTAATTTAATAAATTAGTATATACTGCATTACCAGAGTAAGAACTTGAGGAATATGGAAATGATATGTCAATAATAATATGGAAATCATATAAGACACATTATCTCAAAAATTTTTCAGTTTGAAAGAAGAAAAGATAAATACAGACAAATGCATACATCAGAAAAGAATGTTGAGATAAAGAGGCCGAGCAGAGATGATCCATCAGGGAATTAATGAGAATCCGTTTAGGGACATTCCTTTAAGGGCAGAGGTTAAGTAATGAAGACTTTTAGATAATAAGCCAAAGGTGAGTAGGCCATTTTCTTATTATTATTTTAATCGAATTGGTAAAAGTAAGAATGTAGGAAAGAAAGTAAAGATTTCGTTTGAGTGGGAGAAAAAAGACTGGCTCCTACGAAGCGTATTATGTATGTTTTTGTATCCAGAGGATGACAAACATGTAGGGAAGCGCTAGTGAAAGACACTGCAGCCAGAGCTCAAAGGTACTATTTAATCTGAAAGACAGAGAAGAAATATTGTAAAAAATAAATCCTATGGCCCATAGAAAGTCTCATGGAAGGCAATCAAGAAGACTTCAAGAATCTAGGATCAAAAAAGAAAAAGGGTTTGGTGGTTGTCACAAAAGTGATAGGCATAGGAGGTTTTATATCACTCTCAAGATCTCACCATTCATAATGAACCAAACTGTTATAAAGGAAATCCCAAATGGGAAAACTTCGTCAATCCCTATCAACTCAAATATTTATTTTTTAAATGCAAAAATTTAACACTTTCATTCTTCTTCAGCTTCTTACTATTTGTGTCATTTTTAAGGTAATTAAGGATTTGAAAAAAGCTAACTTCCCTAATTAAATTGACATAATACATTTGCTAGATTGAGAGAGCAGTAGGTGTCCCAAGGGATCTCAAGATCAAGTTCTAGTTCAAGCACTTTGTTGGGAGGCTCTATTGGGCCCCTCCCTGAGAGTGGAGTGCACTGTGACTCCGAGTGGAGGTCTCCGTAGCAGGGAGCCTGCACAGAGCTTGTCAAGGTGACTCTGGTTATACATGAACTCTGAGAACTCTATAGCTACTGCAGGTAAATAGTCCCACCAACCTTTGTTCCCACCAAAAATATATCTGCTGAAATTGTTCTTAAATTTCTAAACAGACCATTTAGTCTCTACCTAAGTTGTTCCCTTTAAGCAAATGGGTAATGTTATAGTAGTTTTAAAAGCATTTGGTCAACCATGAAGCACCACAGAGATATTTTAAAAAATATCATCCCCTAGGAGAGGGGAAAACCTGTTAAGAAAACCCTTTCATTTTTCTATCTTGTTATCTAACACCATGAGACCAGCAACATCTTTGTCAAATCTCAATGTGAATGAAAAAAAAATTAATTGTTCTAGGGTTGGCAGGAGCATTTGACTTATATTTTCAGGTTAGTGAACTGAGTCTACTATTCCTATTACGTGTAGGAACTAACTGTTGAAAAATTGAACTCTCACTTTTTCACATACCAACATTAGTTCATTAAAACCCTTTCAAAATGGAACCTGATTTACCTGTTGTCTCATATGTTCAAAAGCAAATTTGCAAAAACTACCACTATGAATTCCAAAACCAGCTTGGACAAAAACTCATTCAACTTCTTGTGTCCATAAATTGTGGTTCTGTGTCTGTTCTACTGAAAGTGCCTTTGTAAGCATATTGTAGTAGTGTCTATATTATAAATTGTAGATATATGGAAGACTGGGGTTTTAACACATTATTATGAGTTCCAGTAGCATTAGCCATATACTATAAGTGGGGATAGAGACACACTTCCAGAATTTGGATAGTGTTCAACTGTTTGTTTCATAGTCCATTATTATAAGATTCTGTAAGGCCTATAATTTTATCTCTTGACACCTCTGTAAGTATATTATCCATATATTTCAGATTTCTTGGGATGGCCTTGATTTTAAATATTTTGCTTGTTGTCAAATCATGTGTCGGACAGTATATCTTATTTTCTGTTTTAAAAAATATGTTTATGATAGCTGTAAGTATAGACATTCTCAATTTCCTAGAAAAGGATTATGAATTTTATGTGAACTCAAGAGCTGTTATTATTAAGGAGAGACTATAAAGTTATGACAAATTTTTAATTTAGTGTTTGTAGGATTCATTTCATTATTACTAAAGTAAAAGTAATTGAATCATACTTTTTTGAGAAAGAAAACTGGATGACTGTGTTGTTTCTTTCAAGCTGATGTTAATATCTTTAATAAGCATATAAAAATCTGTTGATAAGTTACTAAAATTCCTTAACACCATTACTGTAATGTTCACTTTTGAGGACTGGAAATACATAATAATCCATCTTTTCTCTGTCTTTGCTTATACAGTTTTTAAAATTTAACTCAAGATGTGCATCTATTACTGCTAATAGTGCAATGTACCAGGCCAAACATTTGCCACTGACTGTCAAGTGTCTTTCTGATGCAGCTGAAAAGGGAGAGAGAGAAAGAGACGGAGAGAGAGAGAGAGAGAGAAAGGAGAAAGAAAGAGCAATGTCCCTTGAGCAAGACTTTCTGCAGCTGTTGTGTACATTAATCCAGGGAGCAGATCTCCCAACACTAAATATAGCAAGCGTATCCTTTTACATGATAAAAAAATTTAAAATGAAAGTCTTTATGCAGGCATATTATTTTAGATTCAACTTCCTTTAAAAAGGAAACTGGCATTGCTTACATATTCTCTATATAAACAACATTCTTTTAATAAATGAATGTGTGGAAAATGCCAATGAGATATGCAACATGTCACAACTTCTTCTGTTGAGATATTTTTCCTTAGGAACTCAAGTAGTCTGTGATCTCTGTGAGTCTCATCAATCCCCTCCAAAATCTTTACATGTGGAAAGCTTTATTTTTCACTTAATTTCGTGTCCCGTCATATGTAATTAGACAGTTATCCTAGGTTTCATTTCAAGTAACAGTAATGAGTTCTTTGAAATATTCGCTTTTCCACTGTCAGTGCCCTGTTATCAAAACACACTTGTGAACTTAAATCTGGATATTACCTTTCTTTTTTTAGTTGACCCAGATGAGGATGTCCAATCCAGGCACTCCACTGCAATGATAATTATCCAGGGAGAACTTTTAGATGAAAGCACAGGAGAAGAGGGAAATTCTTCACGCCCTTGGAAATAGAGAGTAGCCGTCCATAGAGAGTGAGGAGTTAACCTTAGTTTCAGTGAAGATGGCTGTAAGAAGCTGGACAACCTGTCACCACCGGAGCCAGAGCATTTGTCAGCTCACAGGTCCCAAGTTATTTTGAGCTGTATAAACCATGTGCCTGTGAAACATTCCACCTGATTGGACAGGAGAAAACTGAGCAAAGGGATTCCATAGCAGGACAGCACCTATGGGGGTGGGGGTCAATCAGTTCTTTTACCTATAGAATTTCCCTTATAGCTAGAGGCCCATGTTATTTATTGATTGACGTTTGGAATGAACACTAAATGCATTATACCATAGTTCATCATTCAAAAAAATGGCATTATTTTTAAATGTATGAAAACTCTTCATTTTAATTTTTAAGATCTTTAATTTTAATCAATAGGAAATTTACTCTCATTAAATCACTGATACATTTTAGGACATTTGGCTATGAAAAGCCAACCTGAAGCTAAGGTCTAACGTTTTAAAGCTGAGAGCTTTTTTGGATTGTTCGTCCAAAGGCTAAGCAAAAGCAGACAAGGTAACTAACGTTAAAAATTCCTTGGCTGGGCGCAGTGGCTCACTCCTGTAATCCCAGCACTTTGGGAGGCTGATGTGGGCAGATCACCTGAGGTCAGGAGTTCAAGACCAGGCTGGCCTACATGGCGAAACCCCGTCTCCACTAAATATACAAAAATTAGCCAGGTTTGGTGGCGCATGCCTATAAATCAGCTACTCAGGAGGCTGCGGCAGGAGAATCACTTGAACCGGGGAGGTAGAGGTTGCGGTGAGCCGAGATCACGCTACTGCATTCCAACAAGGGGGACAGAGCGAAACTCTGTCTCAAAAAAAATAATAAAATTAAAAATAAATAAATAAATAAACTTGAAAAAAGTTAACCTGATTGCTTAGTATAGATTAAATGATGCTATAACATTATCAATCATGGTAGAAGACAGGACTTTGAAAATTCAGACTTAAATGATGGTTATTATTCTTTAAAAAGATCATTCTTAGATTCTGATAGCATGAAACACATTGGTTTAAATCTAGCTTTCTTAATTAAGTCATACAACTGCTTATAGGGTTTCTTCCTAGTCATTCATTCATTTGATAATTATTTTCGTAATGCCTACTGTGTACCAGGTACTGAGTATAAAACAGTGCACAAAATACACAAAAATTTCTGACCTCGTGGAATTTACGAAGAGATCTTTATCCTCTTCAGTCATCGTGAGACTATTGATAGTACATTGAACAGATATAAAATTTCTTTGCTTATTGTGATCACATTGGAGGTTTAATTACACCTTTTTTATGTGGTTTTATGCTTACACAGGCAAAAAAAGATGAAGAACACTTTTAAATAATTCAGATTGAAATAACTGGTATTGAGGAGAGAAGAGGATACAGGAGGAAATGAATTATCTGTACAGGTTATTCTCATTACCACAGTAACCCAGAGCTTCAATGTACAGATTTATTTTTTCTCTTACCTAATCTTGTGCTGATACTAATGTCAAGACCACTTAATTGTCCTTCTGCATATTCTATTTATGTGGATATGCCAACAATTTCTTTTTATTTAAAAAGAGGATCTTCCTCCACTATCCCACTCAGATCTTAAGCCGTAATCAATGTTAAGTGCTGCTGGGTCTTGGGTAGGTCTCTCCCATGGGAGAATAGAACCTCTATTTCAGGTGGCTAGTAAAGGCAATGTTTAAACACACTATAAGTAAACACATTTTTACTTTCCTGCAAACTGCCATGATAAGCCTGGTATTCTACCTTTCACCCAGGTATAGAATACTAAGGTTGAAGGAGACTCATACTAAAAGGTAGAATAAAGCTGGTTGGGCAGTGAAATTAGGAATCTATATGAAGAATTAAAGTAGGTTTAAAATGCAAAAGAAGAGTTACAGAAAAAAGAAGCCGGCCGGGCGCGGGGGATCACGCCTGTAATCCTAGCACTTTGGGAGGTTGAGGCAGGCGGATCGCCTGAGCTCAGGAGTTTGAGACCAGCCTGGGCAACGTAGCGAAACCCCATCTCTACTAAAAATACAAAAAAAAAAAAAAATTAGCAGGGCGTAGAGGTGCATGCCTGTAGTCCCAGCTCCTTGGGAGGCTGAGGCAGGAGAGTCTCTTGAACCTGGGAGGCAGAGGTTGCAGTGAGCCGAGATGGTGCCATTGCACTCCAGACTGGGTGACACAGCAAGACTGTCTCAAAAAAAAAAAAAAAAAAAGAAAAGAGAAGCCAAAGACATTCTGAATGGCAGTCATCTTTCTCTTTTCATTTTTACTGCAACATTTTCAAATACAGATACCATACACAATTTTTGAGCTCTTTGAAAAAAAGCTGAATATAAATGTTTTAAATAAATAATATTTAGTAATTGTGAACACTCTGGTTATAGTACATCAAACATATTTTAGATTTTAGTTTTTAAAAACTAATTTCTGCTTCCAAATAACCCAGCTCCTGCCTTGCTTATCTTCAGTTGTAATTGTATAAACATTATATCACAAACCTACTAGTTCAAGATTTCATCAGAGTTTATTGATACAAAAAATAATCTTTAAAACTTTCTAATGCCCAACATAGTTAAAAACAAACTTTGTTAAGTGGCAAGCAAACACAAGGTTGGTTACATGTCTTAAGCCTTCCCCATAAAGTTGAGTGGCTCATCCAACACATGTGTTTCTTGTGGTTTGAACACGATCCTGTGCTTGCCTTCAGCTGTTTTCTTAATTCAGTCAGTCAGCCACAGAAACAATTTACTCACATTGGGATGATCCACAGGAATGCCAAGGAATCTGGAAGTTCTATGGCAGAGGAAGTCTTCACTTGGACGGTAAGCATGGGAGAATTTCCATGCTAGTAGATTCATATAAAATGTTTGCATTTGCTATTTTTTTATATCGCTATAGGCTCCAGTTCTCTAAAACAAATTACTCACATATACCAAAGCTTCAATAAGTTTTGCTTGAAGTTCATAGATTCATCTTGACATATCCAGTATCAGATGAAAAAACTAAACAAAACCTCTATGCCGTATTTTTGAAAAACAGAGAAAGTATGTATTTTTTAGCCATTTTTAATGAGAAAAATTTTCACAGCAAAGACAAGTTCTTGACTATCCAAAACAATAGATGGGTGGTGGATTATAAAAGATCTTATATAAAAGGCATGACAACAATATAATTGAAAAAGACAATGAAATCACTAAGAAATTTCTTTTTCATCTAAACTACTGAAAATGCTTGCCTGGGAAAACTAAAAACATTAAAAAAAAAAACTAAAAGTTCAAAACCCACTTAGTTTTAAAAACTAAAAACATTTTTAAAAACTAAACAGAACACCCACTTTAAAACATTATCCTGAGAAGTAAATTTGTGGTTACCTGTCTCAGGAGAAGCACCATTCCTATATCAATCAACCAGGATCATCTAAAGTCCAAATCTCACTGCCTAACTTGTGTCAGACACAAAAGTGCCATGAAGGAAATGTGATACTGCCCCGCCAGAGTAATGAAGGGTATTTACAGGGTTCCGTTGCAGATCCAGGGACAGTCATTTAGAACAGATTGCTCTTTCAGATCAACTTTAATAACTCAGTCTGCACGATGTTCTTAGCCTGCAGGGCTGGTGGGGGTGGATAATGACTAAGATGACTAAGGAAATAGGCTTTCTTGATTTCTCCTTAGTCTAAATGAAAATAAGAGTGAAGAAATTCTCAAGAATAAAGCATATGGAATACATAAGATATCTATACACAGGATGCATATTACATGTATAAATATCTTTATCTGGTACCAAACTGGGACTATGGTCAAGGCATTTATTAAGGTAAATACGAAAAAACAATCAATTATTACAACACTTCCTGTTTGTTCCCCTAATTTTAAGGTGATTAAATTAAAGCTTTACTGTGTGGTTTGCATTAAAACACAACAAAGCTTCCTTTACTTGTTCTTTTGGTATGTAGTACATATCAAAGTTTACACTTTTCAAAAAGTATTATTTCCAAGAAGAAAATCTATTCAGAACTTTTTAAAAGAGCACTCTGAGACTAAGTTACTGAAGAAATCTGGAACAATTGTTACCATGTATGTACTCCTCAAGGTATACAGTTAAATCCTACTTCTCACCACATTAATATAATGATTATATTAACACACATAAATATACTATAGTCTTGGTAGTAATAAGTTAACATTCCTTAGCTATGTGCGAGGCACTATGCTAGGCTCTTTGTGTGTGTGTTTTATTTAATAGATTCCTTTAACGTCTATGAAGTAGGTACTGTTATAATTCTCATTTTACAGATGAAAACTTGAGGCTTAGAAAGAAGTTTAAAACTTGCCCAAGGTCACACAACAAGTAAGTGACTGAGCCAAAATTGAACCTGAGTCTGTGCTCATAACCACTGCAAATATTCAAATGATTATATTTCCAACATATTTGTGAAAAATTCAAGGTAAAAATGAATAGAAAACATATTAGGCCGGGCATGGTGGCTCATGCCTATAATCCCAGCACTTTGCAGGCTGAGGCGGGTGGCTCACCTGAGGTCAGGAGTTCAAAGCCAGCCTGGCCAACATGGTGAAACCCTGTCTCTATTAAAAATACAAAAATTAGCTGGGCGTGGTGGTGCGTGCCTGTAATCCCAGCTACTTGGGAGGCTGAGACAGGAGAATCACTTGAACCCAGGAGGCAGATGTTACAGTGAGCCAAGATCACGCCCCTACACTCCAGCCTGGGCGACAGAGTGAGACTCTGTCTCAAAAAAATAAATAAAGAAAGAAATAATAGAAAATATATCTTTCTTTTAGTAAATATTCTAAGGGAACACTATATAGGGTTTAAGTTTGTAATTTTTCTGACTGAAACCGACCCTGACATTATTTTGTATGACTAAGCAAACAAAAAGAAGTGATAATTTAGAAAGAAAAAAGCAAATGCTTGCAATAAACTCTACATGCAATGTTTTATCTGGGAACATGAATTGATATGTAGACTGGAGTTAGGCATTATTGCTGAAAAGTGGGGCATTGGAAGCAGTCAGAATGCTATGACAGACCTATTTTTTCATTTCTATTTGTTATAATTATTGTGCTGAAATAATACAAGAGGTTTGTTCTTTTAAAACTAAATTTAAATGCTTTGGTGTTATTTCTGAGCACAGCAACATGGGTCAATAAAGTTTTTACAAGTTAGGGGTAGGAAAATAACAGCTTGAATATTCTCTCTTCATAAGGTTAGCTCAAAATATGCCAATATGCCAGGATCTGAGTGATTCCACACAGATTCTATTTTTGGTCTGCTTGGACATCTCCAAAAACTGAAAACAAAGTTCAGTGTTCTTACTCATGACCCAGGTAATCACACTAATGTTAATGATGTGCGGGAAAGGAAATGGGAACTAACATTTCTTACAAGTGTATTCTAGGCTGGGGAGTAGTCTAAGTTACTCTCATTTAATTCTCATAGCAACCCTGCAAAGTGTTGTTATCTGCATGTTACTGGGAGGAAATTACGCCTTAAAGAAGCATAGTTTTCCCAAAGTTACCCAACCAGTGAGTTACACAGTTGAGTAGATTCAAACCTAAGCCTTTTAGAGGCTTGTTGTTGTTTGAGACAGAGTTTCACTCTTGTTGCTTAGGCTGGAGTGCAATGGTGCGGTCTCAGCTCACTGCAACCTCCAGCTCCCAGGTTCAAGTGATTCTCCTGCCTCAGCCTCCAAAGTAGCTGGGATTACAGGCGCCTGCCACCACGGCTGGCTAATTTTTGCATTTTTAGTAGAGACAGGGTTTCACCACGTTAGTCAGGCTGGTTTTGAACTCCTGACCTCAGGTGATCTGCCCACATCAGCCTCCCAAAGTGCTGGAATTACAGGCATGAGCCACCACACCCAGCCTAACATAAGCCTTTTAGTTTAGAACTCACTCTCTTTTCAATGGCCCTCCACTGTCTTATCATGAAGAAGAATCTTTAAGATTAGTTCAAAAATCAGAACTCACTCAAAGGAGGAAATTCATCATGATTTTCATATGTATTGATGGGCAATGGGATTGTTAAAGATACCACTTTAGTTTTATTGACTTTGTGTTTATTTAATAGAAACATGAAGGGTACAGAAAAATAGCATATGACTAAGCTCTAGGGCTATTTTCACAAAGAAGACTCAATAAAATTGGTTGACTGAAATAGCAACGGCTAATACACACTTCTGGGAAGTTACCATCTTATTACATATAATTTGTCAGGAAAATAGTAAGTGCCAAATGGAATGAAACTGTTGTCAAGGAGGAAAGAGTACAGAGGAAGAGCTTGGAGAACACAGACCATGGAAAATTCAAAAGAAATTTGTATCTTATATCCTTATCCAAGTTCACATTTTTATTTGCATATGAATCTATATGTCTGGCATTTTCCAGAGTCAGCAAACTTCCAAGTGAATAAAGGCAGTAGGAAGACCTGCAAAATCTTTTTGTTTTGCTTTTTCATCCATTTTGCTCACCTCCAAATTGCTCTTCATTCCAAACTAAGAATGAATTAATCAAAACAGCCCAAACAAAGATTCATGGTTCAATGTAATTATCATGTGTATTAAATATCTTAGATCTCCTTTCCCTTCATCTTTTAGGCTAGACAGTGAGCTTCAGTTCGAAATGCAGGTGATAATGTCACTAAAAGGGATAAGTAAGCAGATAATGTTACAGAGAAGTTAAACACAAAAATTTTTCACAATGGGGATAAATTTAGCTGGGGATAAATCTATTATAAGTCCACTGGCCTGACAATATTGTGCAAATTTTCTTTTTTTTAATTGTAGTTAAGTTAATATAATCAAATACAAAGAAAATATTCCAAGAGCTTCCATAAGTAAAGAGCAGTTCACCTGCAAAGGAACAAGACCCAGACTGCCATTCGATTTCCCAACAGCAACACTGAATGCAAAACAATAGAGCCATATTTTTAAATAATGGAAGGAAAAGAAATTTGAACCTAGAATATTATTTCTAGACAAACTGTCATTCAAATTTGAAGGTATAATAAAAGTACTCTCTCACATAGGTCTCAAATGGTTTGCCATACAAAGACTCATTTTTTGTGAGAAAACATTTTGGGAGAAAGTAATAAAAATAAGAGAAGCACAGCAGGTGAAGTGGCTCACAGCCATAATCCCAGCACTTTGGGAAGCTGAGGCGGTGGATGACTTGAGCCTAGGAGTTTGAGACCAGCCTGGGCAACATGATGAAACACCACCTCTATAAAAAATTTAAAAAATAATTAGCTGGGCGTGGTGGTGTGTGCCTGTAGTACCAGCTACCTGGGAGGCTGAGGCAGGAGGATCGAGCCTGGGAGGTGGAGGCTGCAATGAGCTTTGATTGTGCCACTGCACTCCAGCCTGGGCTGCAGTAAAATGAGACCCTATCTCAAAAAAAAAAAAAAAAAAAAAGGAGAGAGAAATAGATCCCTGAAAATTGCTGTTTAAGAGATAGAGAATTAATGAAAACCAAATATTTTGGTAATATTCATCATTCAAGAGAACCCAGAATTTAAATTCTGGGCAGTATCAAAAAATTAAAGGCAGATGACAATGTGATAAAGTACTTTTCCTGTTAGGAGAAAAATGCAAATATTAATAAGTTAAGGAAGTCAATAGGGATAAGTAAATATGAGACTATATCTTAAGATAAGGATAACAAGTATAAAAACAAAATTTACAATTTCTAAACCAGCAGAAGAAAACTTGACCTATACAATTGAAATCAGGAACAGAAACAAAAAGGAAGAAATGAGAAGTTCAGTAAATTAAAAATATAATAAGCTATCAGAAGTAAGTTTTAAAAAATTGAGTAAATATAAGTACAAATAGGTTAAATCCACCAACTAAAAGACAGATACTGTCAACCTGGAGTTAAGAACAAGAATATTAAATAAACACATTGAAGACAAAATGAAAAAAAATGTTAAAAATGAAAGGAATGAAAGCTTATATTAAGCAACTATGAACCTAAAGAAAGTTGGTGTAGTAATCTTAATATCGGACAAAAGAGAATATAAAGCTAAAAAATACCATCAGGCCAAAGGATGACATTACATACTGATGAAGGCAGCTAGAGCAAATTTTCATCAAGGATAAGAAAAGCTTTGGTATAATCAGAAATGTGAGCATCCCAATCTTATGAAATACAAACCACTGTTCTGGTCTTACCTGCCACTCTTCTACACAATTACTTATCTCCAACCAAAATGTTCCACCAATATTTCCTTGCCTTCTCTTTACTTCGTGCCTTTGTTCACTGTCACTTCCACTTATGTAATTAAACAACTACTTGTTGCTTGTTGCAGTGTTTCTTATATTGTTGAATTCAACCAGGTCTTTTTTTACGTATTTATGTATTATTTACTCAACTAGATCAACTTTTTGAGAATTGAAGCTATACAAAATTTTTCTTTTTAGGTCACTCAGTTCTAATCTCAAGGCATGACACAAAGTAGGCACATAATAAATATTTATCTGTGGCATGCCATAAAAATGATGTGTAAACTGTCTTATTCAGTCAATCAACATGTATTTACTGAAAACTTATCATGTGCCAGGAAAGATCAAATGGCCTAGACTCTCAGCAACATTAACTGATTTAATTGTCATTAATGGTTATGATTTTTTTTAACACAAAAATACTATTAAGAATTAAATCAAATGAAGAAAGGAGCTAAAAATGATCGTATGTTCACCATGCACCAGTCACAAACTGAGGAACTATATGTGCATTTGGCTCAATGGATGCTTATAATTCTTGAGATAATTGGTATAGGGGAATTCTTGCTTTTGAAAAAGACTTGGTGCTGTTTTCAGTGACCACCTTGCCCAAGGGTTCGTCCACAGGTGCTAATAAGAGGTGTTTTCGTACTTTTACATCCTTCTAAACCGGCTTACTACTATTTTTTTCTGACTACCTTTGCCCAACCTTTGTTTTACATAAGGTCCTTGCTTTCTATCCACCCTGTAAAGATCAGGCTCTTTCTTGCTTCCATATGCTGCTTCTAATGAGTTTTGTGCTTCATGACCCTAATCCTCATCGCCGATGGGCAGTTCTGTTCATTCTCATGCGCTGGTTTTGGGGATCCCACTCAAGCCACAGACTGTTTCCTGTTTGCCCAGAAATAAACAGTACACTTAAAACACACATAATATTTTCTAATTTCAATCATGATTTCAACTATTTGTGACTGACTGCAAACTGGACTCATTTCTGGAAAGGCAGATAAGCCAGAATGAATTATTTAGCTCCCTGAGTGACCCTAGCTCACCCCAACCCAGCATCCACATTAACCAAGCTTTGTTCTTCATATTTAATTCATAATTTAATTTACTACAATAACCCAGGAAGTATAGGTCATTATCCCTATTTAGTGAAGGATGAAACTGAAAAAATTATATGCTACTGTGGTTTTTGCAAATTCAAGGATCTGAAAAAGACTTAGGAAGCATACTTTAAGATTTTCCAAGGTATACTATATCATTATCCTCTTTTTATAGAGGAGGAAACTGAAGATCAGAGAAGAAATTGCACAAAGCCACTCAGAGCTGTGATTCACATCTAAGGTCCATACAACGCCGAAGCCCAGCTCTTGTCTGCTACACCACGCCACATTTCAGAGGCCTGCACACTCATTAGTAATGCATTCAGGAATCTATTTGGAAAAAAACACAGAAGATGCAGAGTAACAAGATGGAGACATCTGGTGATATTGGTATTACCTTGATTTCATGACTTCCTCCAAAGTGTTTCCAAGTCCTTGGAAATGCAGGTGATTTACTATCTCTCACTAGTCAAAGAAATAGCTTAAAGGAATTGAAGCAACAATACATAATAAGCAATTCTCTCTGTGCATCTCTATCTGCAAATTATTAGTTACTTTTTTTTTTTTGAGACAGAGTCTTGCTCTGTCACCCAGGCTGGAGTGCAGTGGCACGATCTTGGCTCACTGCAACCTCTGCCTCCCAAGTTCAAGTGATTCTCATGTCTTAGCCTCCTGAGACATGAGGCTGGGATGACAGGCGCGTGGCACTATGCCCAGCTAATTTTTGTATTTTTAATAGAGACTGGGTGTCACCATGTTGGCCAGGCTGTAGTTACTATTTTTAAAGTAGACATCTGAAGTTACCTACAATCACATATTTGTTATTACATGCCAATAAAAACAACAACAACAACAAAACAACACTCCTGCCCTTGAAATTGGTCTTCATTATGATTATTTTGTATATAGGAAAGTTAAGCACTAGAAAGGCCATGCTGCATATCCATGTAAGCCAGCAGTAAAACTCAGATTTTCAAGTTGACATTATTAATTTAGTCTAATGAGGGTTATTTTGGGAGCCACCCCAAATTTTATCTATTAGCAAAACTGGAGCAATAAATGTGTGCCAAATGAGACTTACAACAGCTTTGAGTAACTGGGTATACAAGGCAACAAAAAGAAACATTAAAAGGTGGTTATAGATTATTTTATGTCTCTAAACAGTAATTACTACCAATATTATTTTACTAAGTCTTAAGAAAACTGTGAGAACCAGATTAATTTATATGTTCATCGAAACATATGTAATTGCTTCGTGAACTTTATTTTAAAGGTCACTTAGTGTATTAAAAACTTCTTCCCTGGCTACTATGGGAAATCTCATAAAATAAAGACCCAGATTTTCAAAAAAAATTTGTTTTTTGAGACAGAGTCTTGCTCTTGTCGCCCAGGCTGGAGTGCAATGGCATGATCTCAGCTCACTGCAACCTCTGCCTCCTGGGTTCAAGCGATTCTCCTGCCTCAGCCTCCTGAGTAGCTGGGATTACAGGCGCCTGCCACCACACCGGGCTAATTTTTGTATTTTTAAAGAGACGAGGTTTTGCCGTGTTGCCCAGGCTGGCCTCAAACACCTGACCTCATGATCCGCCCGCCTCGGCCTCCCAAAGTGCTGGGATTACAGGTGTGAGTCACCGTGCCCAGCCAAAAAATTTCTTACCTGCTTTCCAATTTTGCATGAATAGTGGTGAAAATAATCTAATTACTATGTTAATAAAAAGAAGTAGCTGGACTGCCTGTTTGTCATTTGTTCACCAATCATGTGAACTATGTGTTGGAATTAAGTGTTTGATAGAGATTTATTTTATTTTGTCCTCTCAAATTAATTTAGATTCTAAATCTATTAATTTAGAAAGTGAAGGGCAGAGAACGTTTCCAAGTGCCACGATCAGGTAATGTTTAACTTAAATAATAAAAAAATAGATAAGCATAAAAGCCATAGTAAAATTGAGATCTTTTTTTTGGAGACAGAGTCTCGCTCTGTTGCCCAGGCTGGAGTGCAGAGGCGCAATCTCAGCTCACTGCAACCTTCGCCTCCCAGGTTCAAGAGATTCTCCCACTTCAGCCTCCCAAGTAGCTGGGATTACAGGTGCCTGCCACCATGCCCAGCTAATTTTTGTATTTTTAGTAGAGACAGGGTTTCACCATGTTGCCCTGGCTAGTCTGGAATTCCTGAACTCAGGCAATCCACCCACCTTGGCCTCCCAAAGTGCTAGGATTACAGGCATGAGCCACCATGCCCGGCCTAAAATTGAGATCTTTAAGGACCTTAAGTTCAGAATAATGATGCACATGAACTAAATTTAAGAAAGGGACATCACCTCTTTTGAAAACAAATAGTACTTAAAAACTAGTACTGAAAGATGAACAATTTTAAAATTTGGAAATTGATATATGCCCCATTTGGTTTGGACACGGATTTTTTTTTTTTTAAATCAGCTATATAGTAAGATGATAAAAGAGAAAATCAAATAAATGCTATAATTAGGAAGAGAGTAATTTAGTATTTAGAGCTGTATTCCAACTCCGCCACTTATTATGTGAGAAACATTAGGCAAGTTATTTAATCTCTTTGTGTCTCAGTTTTCTCACCTCTGTAAAAGAGGAAAATATCATAGGAATGCTGTGAGACTTAAGTGAGTTAATACTTTTAGAACAATGCCTGGCTCCTAGCAAGTGGTCAATAAATGTAAACCACCACTATTATCATTACTATTATAAAAATATATTTATTTTAAATAAACATCTTTTAGTTCACTTTGTGAAGTCACAGAGTGGAGCACACCCAGTTGCACTGAGCTGTAAACTCTAAGGAAAGGCCAAAGGCTGAATGGGCCACCTAGACTGATGAGTCAGACACAGCAGCAGTTCAGGTTTCCAGACTGATTCAGTCCTTGGCGTCTATCCCGAGGCTGACAACAAGAATGCTAATTAGTGCCAAGGGTGATGAGTTTTGTAACATGGGGTGCTCCATTAGAGATGCAAATCAGATCACTTACATCTTGTACAGAGCACCAATAGTAATCAAGTTCAGATTCACACCGGTAACATAGAGGTAAAATGCTTCATATCTAGTTACCATGTTCCTGAACCATATGCTTCTGAATTCTATGTTCTCTACTCACCTACTGCCAAGGAGCTAAACATAGCTAAAGGATTTAAATTATAATTTGATCTGACAACCAGGTATCAAACAATCCTTCTTTAGCCAAATAAGTAGAGCAGAGACAAATATCAGAGCAGTATATCCAGTTTATGCTATGTGCTTTGTGATAGGAAAATAATAATTGAGCGTATTGATATATCTCTTGTATTATCTGATCTAAAAAGGATGTCAGCATAAGCTTGGTATTCAACATAGACTAACCAAATTATTGTTAAGGTTAAGTGATTTTGAATAGAGAAATCTAGGAAAGTGAGGAATATCCTAACCTTTCTATGATCGTGAATTGTCTAATAGACTACCGTTGAATGCATATAAACACTCTTATGTAGAATAAGACAAAGCAGATTCAGTTCTTCTAAATAAATGCTCCTGAGGATAATGATGATGAACTGGGACAGATGTCAAATACAAAGGAACGGTGATGTTTTAAATCCTATTATATTCAAATGCCCAAATATTATTAATAATACTGTGCTTGAATAATTTTTTTGCCTCACTCTGTCACTCAGGCTGGAGGGCAGTGGCACAATCTCAGCTCACTGCAACCTCCGCCTCCCAGGTTCAAGTGATTCTCCTGCCTCAGTCTCCCGAGTAGCTGGGACTACAGGCGGCTGCCACCATGCCCGGCTAATTTTTGTATTTTTAGTAGAGACGGGGCTTCACCATATTGGCCAGGCTGGTCTTGAACTCCTGACCTTGTGATCCTCCTGCCTCAACCTCCCAAAGTCAGATCTGCTTTAATACTCATGTTTCACATATGAGAAAACTGACATACAGAAAGAACAATTGACTTAAGAGTTACACGGCAAGTCAATACTGAAGTATTAAGAGTTATCATTTGCCCAGACCAGTGTTTATCTTATAAATCTTCAGGTTTTGGTGAATCTTGTCCCCATAAATAGGATGACATGATTTAGGAATTATTAGAAATATCGGTTGATTTGTGTATATTATCTTTTATCGATCTCTGAATCAAATTCATACCTAATAATGAACTATCTTAGCATAATTCTATTCTATTTCAATTTTGTGAGAAAAAGGCCTAATAAAAAATTTATTTTGAAATCTGATCTCCAGATAACAATTTTTTTTCCATTCTGGATTTTGGTAAAATATGCATAACATACAATTTACCATTTTAACCATTTTGAAGGTTTCAGTTCTGTGGCATTGAGTACACTCACATTGTTGTACAGCCATTGTCACCACCCACCTCCAGAATCTTTTTCATCTCGCAAAATTAAACCTCTGTATCCATTAAACAATAACCCCCTATTCCCCTCTTCCCCCAACTGCTGGCAACCACCATTCTCCTTTCTGTCCCTAGGACTTTGTCTTGCTACTCTTAGTTCCATATAACCTATGCTTATGAACATTCAAAAGTGTTTTGTCTTTAAAGAAAACTTAGGGGAAGATTCTTTAAATTATTCACTTCCAATTAGTCTCTGAAGTAAGACTCTGTAACAGAGCTCTGCCTGGAGGATCCACATTAGGCTGGTTCTAGGTACTCAGTTTGTGGAGTTGTAAATGGCTGGTACTTCAGATGGGAGGCAGGGAGACCCTGGTCTGCAGTGTGATTTGTGATAGGCTCTCCCACCTTGCCACAGTGCACAGGATGCTTCTGCAAATTACAGCCAAAAAAGAGTTAGTCATATGCATGCCTTTCATGCCTTATAATTTTTTTTTTTTTTTTTGAGACAGGGACTGACTCTGTCACCCAAGCTGGAGTGTAATAGAGTGATCTCTTCTTACTACAGCCTCGACCTCCCAGACTCAAGCAATCTTCCCACCTCAGCCTCCCGAGTAGCTGGGACCACAGATATGTGACTCCACACCCACACCCAGGTAATTTTTGAATTTTTTGTAGAGAAGGGGTTTTACCATGTTGCCAAGGCTGGTCTGGAACTCCTGAGCTCAAGCAATCCATCCACCACAGCCTCCCAAACTGCTCCTGACCTCGTGCCTTATATCTTCTTCATTGCTTTTAAAAAGTCTCCCTCTGTAGCCCAGGCTGGAGTGCAATGGTGAAATCTTGGCTCACTGCAACCTCCGTCTTCCAGGTTCAAGTGATTCTCAGGCCTCAATCTCCCTAGTAGCTGGGATTACAGCACCCGCCACCATGCCCAGCTACTTTTTGTAATTTTAGTGGAGACAGGGATTCACTATGTTGGCCAGACTGGTCTCGAACTCCTGACCTCAAGTGATCTGCCCACCTTGGCCTCCCAAAGTGCTGGGATGACAGGCCTGAGTCACTGTGTCCAGCCCCCATGCTTTATATTTTACACAGTCACACCCACCTATTTTTTGTTTTCTTTGAAAATGCTAAACTTTAAGACCCAGTGACATTGTTTCAGAGGAGCCTAATTTACATATCACGAAATAAATTTTATTTGTATTAAATGCTGCTACCTATGCCAGAGGTGTTTGAACCACGGTGACTTCCATCTCGAATAGGGGCTGGGTAAAATAAGGCTGAGACCAAGGCTAGAGGCAGTGGCTCACGCTTGTAATCCCAGCGCTTTGGGAAGCCGAGGTGGATGGATCACCTGAGGTCAGGAGTTGAAGACCAGACTGGCCAACATGGTGAAACCCCGTCTCTACTAAAAATACAAATATTGGGCGTGGTGGCAGGCAGCCTGTAGTCCCAGCTACTCAGGAGGCTGAGGCAGGAGAATCGCTTGAACCTGGGAGGCAGAGGTTGCAGTGAGCCGAGATAGCGCCATTGCACTCCAGCCTGGGCAACAAGAGCGAAACTCCATCTCAAAAAAAAAAAATTAATTAAAAAATAAAATAAGGCCGAGACCTGCTGGGCTGCATTCCCAGCAGATTAGGCATTCTTAGTCACAGGATGAGACAGAAGGCGGGCAGGATTGGTTTCACAAGATATAGATCGTAAAGATACTGCTGATAAAACAGGATATGGTCAAGAAGCCAGCCAAAATCCACCAAATCCAAGATGGCGACGAAAGTGACCTTTGGTTGTCCTCACTTCTCATTATACGCTAATTATAGTATATTCGCATGCTAAAAGACACTCCCACTCACCACCACCGTGACAGTTTACAAATGCCATGGCAATGACAGGAAGTTTCCCTATGTAGCCTAAAAAGTGGAGGGGCCCTCAGTTCTGGGAAATATTTACCCCTTTCCTGGAAAACTCGTGAATAATCCACCCCTTGTTTAGCATATAATCAAGAAGCAACAATATGTATACTCAGTCTATGTCTACTCAGCTCTGCCTACGGAGTAGCTATTCTTTTATTCTTTTACTTCCTTTTTTTTTTTTTGAGACGGAGTCTCGCTCTGTCACCCAGGCTGGAGTGCAGTGGTGCGATCTCGGCTCACTGCAAGCTCCGCCTCCGGGGTTCACGCCATTCTCCTGCCTCAGCCTCCCGAGTAGCTGGGACTACAGGCACCCGCCACCACACCCGGTTCATTTTTTGTATTTCTTTTTTTTTTTTTTTTTTTTAGTAGAGATGGGGTTTCACCACGTTAGCCGGGATGGTCTCGATCTGCTGACCTCGTGATTTGCCTGCCTGGCCTTCCCAAAGTGCTGGGATTACAGGCATGAGCCACCACGCTCGGCCTATTCCTTTACTTTCTTAATAAACTTGCTTTCACTTTACTCTATGGACTTGCCCTGAATTCTTTCTTGATCCAAGAACGCTGTCTTGGGGTCTGGATCGAGACCCCTTTCTGATGTCAGCTACATTTTTAGAGCCATGGTTTTGTCAAGAATTTTAAGCCATTTTAGAATACTTAAGAGCAAATATAATGAAACTTACCAAGGTCAAAAGCACTGGTTTCTAATCTTTTCAAGGTTGGGATGAGGCCTCCTTTTTCCAACATGTAAAAATGTTGTAGACAGCTGGACCTGGTGGCTCACGCCTAAAATTCCACCGCTTTGGGAGGCCAAGGCAGGAGGATCACTTGAGCTCAAGGGTTCATGGGAGACCAGCCTGGGCAATATAGTGAGACTTCATCTCTACTAAAAAAAATAAAAATTATCTGTTTTCAGATAATTTTTGATGTACACATGGATTTGTGGGCCCATTACAGTTAATTCATGGCCCTCCAGGGGTCTTGCTCACAAGTTGGAAACCACTGATCCAAGAAAACAAGCAGGTTCGAGCCCCAGCTCTATCTCTCACTAGCTATACAGCCTTGGGTAAATCATTCTACATGCTTCAGTTACCTCACCTTTTCAGTTAACGAAAAATGAGGAAAACTGTTTTGCTTACTTCAGAAAATTTACAATGAGTATAAGAATGAAATAATATACAAAGGATTGAAAGCTTAAACATGACACATAAAATAAAGTGACATAATTATGAAAGAATTTTATTTTATAGAAAACACATGGAAGCATCATACAGCACTCCTACACTCTGAAAATTTAACTAGAAAATCAACATATCATGAATAATGCATGTAATTTGACGATCCTTAAGAACAACTAGCATTCCTGTATTTATAAGGATGTTCATCAAGAACTGCTTGTAACAGCAAAAAACTGGAAACAACATACATTTCTTTTTTTTTTTTTTTGAGACGAAGTCTCACTCTTGTCCCCCAGGCTGGAGTGCAATGGCTCAATCTCGGCTCACTGCAACCTCCACCTCCCAGGTTCAAGTGATTCTCCTGCCTCAGCCTCCCGAGTAGCTGGGATAACAGGCGCCTGCCACCATGCCCGGCTAATTTTCATATTTTTAGTAGAGGCAGGTTTTCACCATGTTGGCCAGGCTGGTCTCAAACTCCTGACCTCAGATGATCCACCCACCTCGGTGGGTCTCCCAAAGTGCTGGGATTACAGGTGTGAGCCACTGCACCCGGCCAACAACATACATTTCTTAACATGGAAAGATGATATGTAAAATTTTTTTCACCAGTTTTCAAAACAATATTTATGACTGCACTTTATTTTTTAAAATTCTGGAGTCAAATACTCTTTTCTTTTTTTTAGAGACAGAGCTGTGCTCTGTTGCCCAGACTGGAGAGCAGTGACACAATCATAGCTCACTGCACCCTCGAACTCCTGGGCTCAAGTAATCCATTCACCTTGGCCTCCCAAAGCACTGGGATTACAAGTACTAGCCAAAGAACCCAACCTGGATTACAATATTTTAAAATGTTAGTTATAGCCAGGGAGCAGAATTACGGGTGATTTTTCTCTTGTAATTTTTTTTTTTTGGCTGCACTTTAAAAAAAAAAGTTCTAATAAAAGTGTTTATTTTTATAAAGAGGACAAAATAGTAAAACTCTTCCTCCACATCAAAAAACCAGAATGCCTCAAGCACATCAAAAGAAGGAAAATAAAAAAAAAACGAGCAAATTTGGGCTGTAGTCTAGGCTGGGCGCAGTTGCTCATGCCTATAATCCCAGCACTTTGGGAGGCTAAGTGGGGGCAGATCACTTGAGCCCCGGAGTTCAAGACCAGCCTGGGTAACATGGTGAAACCCCATCTCTACCTAAAATACAAAAATTAGCCCAGCATAGTGGCAGGCACCTGTAGCCCTAGCTAATCGAGAGGCTGAGGTGGGAGGATCACCTGAGCCTGGGAGCTGGAGGTTGCAGTGAGCCGAGATTGCACCAACACACTCCAGCCTGGGCAATAGGGCAAGACCCTGTCAAAAAAAAAAAAAAAAAAAAAGGGCTGTAGTCTAGTTGATGGTATATATGTATATATGTCTTTATACTTAAATATAAATATGCATATATCTATATCTTAAGAGGTAATAGAATGACAGGTAGGAAAGAGAAATCAGAGAATAAAGAATCAGCACTGTCCACCCGAGAGAGCCCTATTGCTCCTGGTGGAGAAGCTGGGAGCCCAGGCCAATGCTCACAAGATGCCATAATCAATTACCTGCCTTTCTCCAGTCCATGCCTACCCAGCAGCATTCTAATTTCAGTTTAGTTTTTTAAAAAATAAGTTTCCTCGTAAAGAAAAGAAAAGCTGATTTTTAACATAACATGCTGTTTGGTTTGCTTTAAAACCATTTTTATCATTGTAAATTAACAAATTGGAATTCTGGCTGACCTAGTACTCTCTTGGGAATTTGGTTAATGCGAGTACTTTGCTAAGGGGCCGGATCACTCTAAGAATTTTGGGAAAAAATATATATTACGTTTCTGAGTTTGAAAAGCTGAACACCAGACAATGAAACCTGGTAATTTCATCAATGTAATTATAAGCTCCAAGGTCTTATGACAGTCAACCAACTGGACTTCCTTAAGAAGCGATCCTATAATTCAATGTGTCACCTTTAGCATGAAATAAACACAGGGCAGGTATGTCTTGGAGACATAATGGAGTTTTACAGTATGAACAATGGGTATAACATTTTAGCTATAATCCAGTGTTATCATTCCTAGTCTGGAGATGTAGATAAAGACCAGAGAAAGTAAGTAGGTTATCTAAGATTATAATTGATAGTTCAAACTTGAAATTATAATTAGTGCCTCCTAGTCCGGGATATGAAACTATTTTCCCCAGCCTTTATGAAAGAATGTCACAGCTCTATATTGCACATATTCATGACTATATCTACCTTACCTGTTTTAATAAGTGCTCATTGAGGCCTGGCGCGGTGGCTCACGCCTGTAATCCTAGCACTTTGGGAGGCCGAGGCGGGTAGATCACTTGAGGTCAGGAGTTCGAAACCAGCCTGACCAACGTGGTGAAACCCCATCTCTACTAAAAATACAAAAAAATCAGCCGGATGTGGTGGTGGGTGCCTGTAATCCCAGCTAGTTGGGAGGCTGAGGCAGGAGAATTGCTTGAACCCAGAAGGCAGAGGTTGCAGTGAGCTGAGATTGCGCCACTGCACTCCAACCTGGGTGACAGAGTGAGACTTTGTCTCAAAAAAAAAAGTGTTCATTGAGTAGTATGTTCAAAGCATTCTGCCAGGTTAAGATTTTTTTCAAATCTGCTCTGTAGGTTTTATAACACGAGTAGACGTCTAACACTGAAAGTCGGATGGAGGAAAATATGCCTATTTACTAATAATCTAATACCTGCAAGGCGCTATTCTAGACACACTACATCATACTTCATTTATTATTTACTAAAACCTTAGGCTGTGTCCCATATAAGTTCTCTAATGATACCCTAAATGGATATACTTCATTCCATCAGATCATATCCAAGATTATCATTAAGTGAAAATTATCATTACTGTAAAGCATTTATTAATCATTTCATTATATATAACACTGAAGTACCACTATAACTGGACAATCTTAGAGTAATGGGTTATAAATATTCACTGAAAACAGAGACTGGAGACAATTACAGATCCTTTTTTGGGTGAATCAACAGTTGATACTTCAACAACAAAAGAGGCTTCTCTTCTCTCTTCTCGCACACTTAAGCATTCTCTTAAAAACAAACAAATAAGGCCAGGCGCGCTGGCTCACGCCTGTAATCCCAGCACTTTGGGAGCCTGAAGCGGGCGAATCATGGGGTCAGGAGATCGAGACCAGCCTGGCTAACACGGTGAAACCCCATCTCTACTAAAAATACAAAAACAAAATTAGCCGGGCATGGTGGCAGACACCTGTAGTCCCAGCTACTCGGGAGGCTGAGGCAGGAGAATGGCATGAACCCGGGAAACGGAGCTTGCAGTGAGCCGAGATCGCGCCACTGCACTCCAGTCTGGGCGACAGAGCGAGTCTCAAAAACAAACAAACAAACAAATAAACAAAAAACAGGCCAGGCAAAGTGGCTCACACCTTTAATGCCAGCACTTTGGGAGGCCAAAGTGGGTGGATCACTTGAGGCCAGGAGTTCAAGACCAGCCTGGCCAACGTGGCAAAACCCTGTCTCTACTAAAAATACAAAAATTAGCTGAGCACTGTGGCGCATGTCTGTAATCCCAGCTACTTGGGATGCTGAGGCATGAGAATCACTTAAACCCAGGAGGCAGAGGTTGCAGTGAGCTAAGCTAGCACCACTGCACTCCGTCCTGGGTAACAGAGTGAGACTCTGTCTCAAAAATTAAACAAACAAACGAACTCACAAAAGACTACGCATTGTGTGATTTCATTGATGTGAAATATCGAGAATAGGCAAGTCTACAGAAACAGAAAGTAGATTAATGGTTTCCTGGGGCTGTGAGTGGGAGGATGTTGGAGGAAAAGAGGAGTTACTGCTATTGGATATGAGGGGGTGATACAAATGTTCTAAAATTGTTTGTGGCAATGGTTGCACAACTCTGTAAATTTTCTAAAATCCATTGACTTACACACTTTAAGCAGGTGAATTGTATGGTGTATTAATTATATCTCAATTAATTTATTTTTTTAAAGTTCTGAATTTCTGCTATCCACTTGCACAACTCCTTCAGATTAACCCTGTGAGAAACTGTGTTAATAGCACTGGAAGGTTTTTACCATTAATGAGGAGCTGTAACTTCAAAAAGCAATTGGTAATATATTATTAAAATGAATTCTAGTATGGGAGACAGAAACTTATAGAAACAATGGAGAGTGATAGATCAGCACCCTGACTGGGAGTTATTCATGTGCAACGTAAAAATCTATCACTGATCCAGTTCTTTATGAAACAATAATACAGAATATTCTGGTCCTCTCTAGGATTCTGTTGACTGTCCTCAATCAGCTCAATTGCTCTGCACTTCATTCATGAAAAAAGCAGACTGTTGCCCACTGAGTCCTATTTGTATTATCTCTGATCTTTCCTTCTTGGCTCTGCAGTTTCTTTACATTGCTTGGCAATGCCCTTTCATCATTCCTTTTCCCACATGGCTTTAAAGATTTTTCTAGGACACCCTCCCCTCTTTAACACTTGAAAGAAGCAGCACCTACATACCCCAGAGAGCCCCAATTCAATAAGGTGAGAGGGAGTGGTTCAGATGAATACCCTGATTAAGGATGAATAGAATGTTCTTCATCTATTGCTCTCTTAATCATTAGATTCCTGGAGGCACCTTTTTACTGGGACAGTATTAAATATTTCAATTATCTGGACATCCCCTTAAGAAATCTCTTGCTTTACCTCCCAAGATGAATTTTGAGGGAGGACCTTACCTGGCACAAACAGCAGTGGAGCTCCAAAGGCTACATTGGGTAGTTCCAGCCGGGACTCCCAGCCCCTCACCTCACTTGTTGAGGGCAGGAAAGGCTGCCGTGGTTTTCCCTTCCTGGGCTTGCCCATCCTGCTAATTTTAGGCTGCTTCCTCATGCCACTGCCATGGGTATCAGAGCATGTGGCTCCCCTTGGAGGAGCTATTTTCTCCTGTGAGCCTCACTTGTTTGTTTCCAGCTTCTCTCCCTTCCCCTCCCTGCTCCCCACCTCTGTAGGGTAGAGTTGTTTCATAGTAAAAAATAAAACATCTTTCAGAATCATACTCTGATCTGCATTTATTCCTCAATCTAAGACACCAAGGGAAACTTTACTTTTTCCCCCAAGGGAAACTTTTCATGTTAGATTTAATTGTACCTGCCAATAGCAAGATTTCCAAATCATGTTTACTTAACGAATATTTGCTAAATTCCTACAATGAATAAGATCTTGCCCTAGGTCACTGGGATACAATGATGAGCAAAGCAAACTTGTATTTCACTGATGAAATCTTAATAACAGAGATTTATTAAACTTCTGCTATGTTCAGTGTTCTCTGTTAAGACTTTAAAATATAAAAATCAATAGGTAGAACCCCTTTCCTCAAAGAGCTCACAGATATTTCAATATGTAGAGAGAAATTCAAAGACACAGGTCTTATACATTCCTGTTGAGATTTAGAGATAATTAATGGATTCCCTCATTTGATTAATCAGTAAAATTAGATTTGAGATTATTTTATGGACATAGTATTCTGTCAGGCACTGGAAACAATAAATAAAAGTATATCACGGGTCCCTTCCTTAGAAAGATAACAATCTAAACAACGAACGATTGCTCAATTGACAAATATTTAATGGATATTTACTATATATATGTTCACAGTCTTCTCCATTGAGGACTTCTTGATAAGCAGCGCGTTTGCTTATGCAAATAACATATAAATATATAATTCCTTTGCTTTTTGGCAGTAATTATTTCTATCTTCAACCTTCCTACCATGGCCTCAGTTCAGGCTATCATCGATTCCAGCCTGGAATGATCCTTTTTCCTTAGCGACATTGTTTTGAAAGATTTTATATACTAAATAAAATGTTCTTAGCCGAGGCAGGTGGATTACTTGAGGCCAGGAGTTTTGAGACCAGCCTGCCCAGCACGGTGAAACCCCATCTCTACTGAAAATACAAAAATTAGCTGGGCATGCTGGCGGGGGCCTGTAATCCCAGCTCAGGAGGCTGAGGCAAGAGAATCGCTTGAACCCTGGAGGCAGAGTTAGCAGTGAGCCATGATCGCACCACTGCACTCCAGCCTGGGCAACAGAGTGAGACTCTGCCTCAAAATAAATAAATAAACAAATAATTAAATAAAATAGTCTAACAATTTATTTCTTATATGTATTAGTCAAAAATAAATATTTGGTAACTACAGCTTCTGAGTATAAGAAACAAGTTGTATTCATTCATTCCTGGGGATACAAGGGTAAAAAGACCGAAGTTCCTGACCTTCAGCTAGCAGTCTAGTGGGGGAGAAGACAGGAAATTGATTATGTTGAAGTGTGGCAAGCTCTGTAGCAGAGGATGGCACCAGAAAGGAGGTTGTTAACTGTCACAGACAGGCCAAGTCTTTATTAAGAAAGTACTGTCTAAGCTGAGTATTGAAAAATGAGAAACTTACTAGGTTAGGAGCAACATGAAAATTTAGGAAGATGTGAGAGAGCATATTTCATGCCTCATAAAACAAAGATGAGGCGTGATTTGAGGAATGTGGCAGGGATGAGTTTGCAGAGGAAGACAAAGGCTTGATTATGAAGAACTTGGAATGCCTAAATTATAAACGTTTTGAGGAGGTATGATCAAATCTGCATTTGAGAAAGACCACCCAGTGGCTGTGTGTTTGGACCAAAGGGCCAAGACTATAGGTAGTCTATAGACCAGGGAAAAAGTCCAGGCTGGAATAGATGATAGCTTGAACTGAGGCCATGGTAGGAGGAATGAAGATTGAAATCATTACTGCCAAAAAGCAAATGAATGATATCTTTATATGTTATTTGCATAAGCAAACACACTGCTTACCAACTTAAATGATATAAGTATGAAAGTGTAGTCGACAATATGAAAACTCTATGCAGCATCTCAACATTCTCCTTTCTATCCCCCTGAGCATTTTGCTCTTCTTTGGAGCCAGAGGAGTTGAAGAACCTGGAGAAGCCATTCTAGGCATTCAAAGCACGGGTGATGATTATTAACACAAGATACATCAGAATACATTCAACTTAAGATTTGTATTCAACTTGGATAGAATAAGACTGAACATATCCATCATTTATTTCTATTTGTGGTTAACTGCCCCTGTAGGTTCATGGTCTGGCGTGTTTTCCATATGAACATAACTAAGCCCTCCAATACTTGGAAAGAGGTACTTAGCACCTTGTTGAGTAAAAATAGGTTACAAAACTCCAAGATCCATTGAGCAAACTTTCATTGACTTCTATGTGTGTACAATATGCTTTGAAGTAAAGAAAAATATCAGGGCCGGGCACGGTGGTTCACGCCTGTAATCCCAGCACTTTGGGAGGTCGAGGCAGGTGGATCACAAGGTCAGGAGTTCAAGACCAGCCTGGCCAATATGGTGAAACCCCGTCTCTACTAAAAATACAAAAATTAGCCAGGCGTGGTGGTGGGCGCCTGTAGTCCCAGCTACTCACGAGGCTGAGGCAGGAGAATTGCTTGAACTGGGAGGCAGAGGTTGCAGTAAGCTGGGATCATGCCATTGTACTCCAGCCTGGGTGACAGAGAAAGACTCCTTCTCAAAAAAAAAAAAAAAAAATCAGAATGATGTTCAGTACAGTATTAGCAGTATGCATCTTGGGGTCATTTTTCTGATAGTTCTTTACTTCTTTACTGAACTATTTTAATTATTAACAATAAGCATTAATATTTAAAATAAAAGCTATTTTAATTTTTTTTTTTTTGAGACAGGGTCTCACTCTGTCACCCAGGCTGGAGGGCAGTGATGCAATTTCGGCTCACTACAACCTCTGCCTCCTGGGTTCGAGCAATTCTCCTGCCTCAGCCTCCTGAATAGCTGAGATTACAGGCGCCCGCCACCACAGCTAATTAGCCCAGCTAATTTTTTTGTATTTTTAAAGTAGAGACGGGGTTCACCATGTAGGCCAGGATGGTCTCAAACTCCTGACCTCAAGCAATCCACCCACCTCAGCCTCCCAAAGTGCTGGAATTGCAGGCATGAGCCACCACGCTCAGCCTGATTTTTTTAAAAATGGGAGTTCCCCATACTAAGCAAATTTAAAACAGAAGAGTTTTACACTTAAAAAAAAAAATCATCTTATCCAGTCTATTTATAACAGAGTTAGAGAAGGATGACAAGATGTTTCACCCTTATCATAGATTAATTCAATACATAATTATATTCTCTGATTATGCTGTCCTTTAAAAATAAACAAAGATATTTCAATGTTAAGAACAATTCTGACATTAACCATTCCTCAGGATTTCTATTTTATTGTCAACACTATCAGAGCTTGTGAATGGGAGCAGTTTGAAAGCTGCTCTTTGGAAGTTAGCTTGCTGGGTAATGCTTCCTTTTAGAGATTGAATAGATGAAGTTGTTTGTTGGAAGTGAACAGCACACAACACTTCAATTCACTTCTTAAGATCCTATTTTACAAAGAGTAATTTTTGTTTGGCTTTTTTTAAAAAAAAAAAGTAGGTAAAACAGCAGCTTGAATTACATGGCATTTTTCTTGGGCAAACATTTCTGTCATTTCAATATGGTTAAACTCTATTTAGGCAATGTGGAGGTGGCAACTATAATTTGTCTTCTAGGAACACTCTGTCCTTCCTAGTCACTACTGCTCAACTGTTCTGTCAGGCTATCAGATTTTACATCGAGATTTTAAGAACATTTTTCAAACTCTAATGAAAATCTGTCCATAAAAATTGTGGTGTTTTATTTATTTCTGGATGCCAACTATTAGGACAATCTTTTTCATTTTTCTGAAAGAAGCATGAGTAGCAATAGAGATTTTTTTTAAAATTTGCAATCACTGTGCATAAAAGTTACCTGTATGCTAAAGGCAACCAATAATTAGTTCTATAAACATAAGAAGTACACTAAACTTAAGGAAATTAGGGGCAGGGAGGGTTAAAAAGCTTTTTCATCTCCTTACTTTTGTAGTTCTCCGTGCTGCTTTCATAAAAATTGTAATGCTTAGTTAAGATATGAAATGTACTGTCAGTTCCCATTATAAAAGTGATAATCAAATGAGATGCTTAGCAAGGCTTTTTCTTTTATAACATTGCTTTGAAAGTTATTAATAAGGGATTCAATAGATGAAGATATCCATGCTCTGGCTAATTGTTATCCAAAGCAGCAGTACTGTTAATTCAACACAGATCTGTAGTTACAATTAGTTTTAGTCCTAATTTTATTTAAGGGCAGTGAGGCATGCAATCTAAAAATATACATATTCTTCCCAAATTTATATTTCTGACAGTTATATTACAACTTTCAACCTCAAATATCTTTATAGGACCCTTTGAAATCAGTAGCAACAAAATAGTTCAATTTGCTACTCGAAAGTATGACTGATAAGCTCTAACAGTTGAGATTCCTTCTTTGCTAGTCTCTGCTATTGCTATGTTCTGTTTTCTTTAAAAGAAGACCCATGGATTTAAAGGAATCATATAAGTATAAATTCTACACTTTCATATTGTATTACTTTGGTGATGCTGACTATTAACTAGAACTCACAGAATCCTCATTTTAGGACTGCTGTGGTTTAAAGCTAATTTTAAAGCACAGCTTATCATGTAGTTAAGTCTTTGATTCTAAACACAAATTTTATTTTTTACTGCCACAAAAAGCAGGGCAGTTTGAGAGCTTTCTCTGTTAAGAAAAAGTAGTAACTGAAGTAATCACATTATAATTTCAAATGTATGAACACATCCCCACATACTGGTGAAGGGCTACATTACATGTGATTTTTCACATTTATTCCTGTTTGAATGCCATTTGAATTTTGAATTCCTATAATTAGGCGATGGAAGACAAACATAAAGAAATCACACAGAGTTATAAAAGGAGAACATTTAAAAATATTTCTGGTATTTATGATGCAAACAGTACTACTATTTCACACTGGGATACCAAGGAGGGAATTGAAGCCAGAATGTAAATTTGGAGCCAGAATGGATGTCGGGATAATCGTGAGGGTGAAAGTAGAGAAGTCCTATAATAAATAACCTGGAATTATTATTCTTCATGTGTAGATTAAGTGGCATATTCTGTGACATACAATATTCTCAATAAAATTGTTTTGCTTGCATCCATTAGAAAGAAGGGCCACATTTTCCTGTCTGCTGTCTCATTTATGTGGCAGGAGTGAGTTATTTCTCCTATCTTACTCTTTTCTGGAACAGGCTCATACCTACCTAAGATAACAGAAAAAGGACTTTTTTTTTTTTTTCTTTGAGACAGAGTCTCTCTCTGTTGCCCAGGCTGGAGTACAATGGCACAATCTCGGCTCACTGCAACCTCCGCCCCCCAGGTTCAATCAATTCTCCTGCCTCAGCCTCCCAAGTAGCTGTGATTACAGGCGCCCACCACCATGCCCAGCTAATTTTTCTATTTTTAGTAGAGACGAGGTTTCACCATGTTGGCCAGGCTGGTCTCAAACTCCTGACCTCAGGTGATTTGCCTGCTTTGGCCTCCCAAAGGGCTGGGATTACAAGCGTGAGCCGCCGCACCCAGCCTCAAAAGGACTTTTTATAATGCAATTCAGAAGAAAAAAAGAAATGGCTATGGGCTGAATTGTGTTACACCACTCAATCCGCCACCCCTGAATTCATATGTTAAGTCCTAACCCCCAGTACCTCAGAATGTGACTGTATTTGGAGTTAGATTCTTTAACGAGGTAATAAGGTAAAATGAGGTCATATGGGTGGGACCTAATCCAATGTGACTTTATAAGAAGAGGAGTCTAAGACACAGTCTGTAATATGCAAATAGAAGAAAGCAAGAAAGAACTATAAGATGTGCAAGAACAACGAAAAGGTGAATGGGAAAACAGACTTTAGGGCAGGAAGAACTGTGGTGTCAATGACAGGAAAATGAACATGCACTCAGCAAATGTCCAGAATCCCAGGCTAATGAGATTATTTGCAGGCAGAAGGTACATAGATAATGTTGGTCTTTATCTCTTCTGAAATAATGTTTTCAAAATATATGTTACCCTATAAATCACCAGTTTTTCTTTAGGGTAATTGAGAGGTAGGTGCAAGTCACATTAAGTTTTCAGAAAATTAAGATAATAGAACAGTAGTGGGTTGAATAGAGCTCCCCCAAAATTCATGTCCATCTGAAACTTCAGAATGTGATTTTATTTCAAAAATACAGTCATGCACTGCATAATGATATGTCAGTCAACAACAGTCCACATATAGGATGGTGTGGTCCCATGAGATTATAATAGCATATTTTTACTGTACCTTTTCTATGTTTAGATACACAAACACTTAGTGTATGATACAATTATGTTACAGTTGCCTGTGGTACTCAGTATAGTAACATGCTGTACAGGTTTGTAGCCAAGGAGCAAAAGGCCATACCATATAACCTAGGTGTTTAGTAGGCTACACCATCTAGGTTTGTGTAAGTCCACTCTATGTTGTTTACACAATGACAAAATTGCCTAACAATGCATTTTTTAGACAATATCCCATCATTAAGGGACGCATGACTGTAATGCCTTTGCAGATGTCATCAAATTATGGCTCTGGAGATGTAAATAAGTTATAGATCTGATTAGGTGGGCCCTAAATTCAATGACCGGTGTTCTTAAAAGGGAAAGGAAAGAGGAAAGAAAGGAGCGATCACAGAGGAAGGGAAGGAGGCCACGTGAAGATGGAGGTTGAGATTGGAGTTACACTGCCATAAGCCAAGGAATGACGGGAGCCACCAAAAGCTAGAAAAGGCAAGGAAGGATTCTTCCTAAAGCCTTTGGAGGGAATGTAGCACTCCTAACACCTTGATTTTAGAATTCTTACCTCCAAAACCATGAGAGAATAAAGTCTGTTGTTTTAAGTCACCGAGTTTGTGGTAATTTGTTACAGCAGCCCTAGGAAATTAAATACAAGGATCAAAAGAAAACTGAGGGGTAATCTTTTAGTGGCACAAATGAACTCAAATTGGCATTCCCACATACATAGTTCTAAAATGTCTGACACCTCTAAAAGCAATGCTTACCAAAACAGAAACTTCTAATTCACTTAAAGGAGTCAAATAATTCAGCATTTAACTCATAAGATCCTCCTGACACTCAATATTTTACAAATTTCATAGAATTACAACCTTGACTTAAACTATATATAAATGTGAATATATACTTTGCAAATAAAAGAAAAATTTGATTCATTTGAAGTTCTGTATTTACTTTTAGATTAATGATATAATTATGCATATTTACACTTTCAACCTCTTCTATTTTTGAAGCAAGTAAGATTTCTCTTATCCACAACTTTTTAAGCCATAAGTTAAATATTTATAGAAATTTGGAAAATAGAGAAAAGAATTGCTTCAAATTTCAACACTCTAACACAATTTGCAGTATTTTGGTATATTTCTTTTCCATCTTTTAAAAACATGGCTACAAGCAAGAAACATACAATTTTGTATTCTACTTTTAAAAGAACCTTATGATTGTATCATGTAAATTTTGCAGCAACAGTCTTTCAAATCGTAATTTTACCAGCCACATATCAATACCCATTTTCCCATGTTGGAACTTAGGTTGCTTTTATGTTTTTATTTTTTATTTTTTTTAATATGGAACTTAGGCTGCTTTTAATTTTTTTTATTTTTTATGTTTTGTTTTTTGAGATGGAGTTTTGCTCTTGTCACCCAGGCTGGAGTGCAATGGTGCGAACTCGGCTCACTGCATCCTCTGCCTCCTGGGTTCAAGTGATTCTCCTGCCTCAACCTCCCGAGTAGTTGGGATTACAGGTGCGCACCACCAAGCCCAGATAATTTTTGCATTTTTAGTAGAGATGGGGTTTCACCATGTTGGCCAGGCTGGTCTTAAACTCCTGACCTCAGGTGATCCACCTGCCTGGGCCTCTCAAAGTGCTAGGATTACATGCATGGGCCACCACGCCTGGCTGGCTGCTTTTAATTTTTGCTATGGGAAATAACACTGCAATAAAAATCTTGTTCATACTTTCATTCACCCACCCCCATGTTTCTATCTATCCTGCTAGACTTGGGAGGGTGTGACATAGTAGGTGCTCAATAAACATTTGTTGAATGCATCTTGTATTTCCTTAGGACAGAATCCAGAAGTAATATTGTACAGGTAAATGGTTTAGGGCAATGTCTCACAATAAATATTGCTATTATTATGAACTATTAAATGAAATTTACTGGCTCTTGAAATATATTGCCAAATTTATTTATTAAAAGGTTGTGATAATTTACAATGCTGCCAGCACCATTAATTAATTAATTCAAGAAGTGGTTTTTTTTTTGTTTGTTTTGTTTTTTAGAGACAGGGTCTCTTACTCTGTTGCCCAGGCTGGAGTGCAGTGGCACAATCTCCGCTCACTGCAACCTTTGTCTCCTCGACTCAAGCAATCTTCCCACTTCAGCCTCCCGAGTAGCTGTGACCACAGGTTCACACCACCCCATCCAGCTAATTTTTGTCTTTTTCGTGGAGACGTGGTTTCACCATTGTTGCCAGGCTGGTCACGAACTCCTGAGCCCAAAGCAATCTGCCTGCCTCGGCCTCCCAAAGGGCTGGGATTACAGGTCTGACCCACTGCACCCAGCCTCAGGAGTATATTTTTAGCACTTGCCGTGGGCCAGGAACTGTTCAAGATCCCGGGGGATAGAGCACGGAGCAAAACAGACAAAATCACTGCCTTTATGAGTTTTCATTCTAATGGAGGAGGTGAAGTTAAATATCTATTTAAGTAATATGTAAATAGATTGTATATAATTGCTTATCCATTTTCTTAGTTATATATTTTTTATATAAGCATAATACATATTTATGAATTATATATTAAAATGTCAGTTTGTTATAATGGATATGAAGGAAAAGCAAGCAGGATAAGATGATAGGGAGAGAGGGGTGGTTTTTTGGATAGGCTGATCAGGGAAGTCTGTAGAGGTGACATGAGTAGAGACCTGAATGAAGAAAATGAGGTGAGATCCAGCAGGAGCAGTATGGCTGGAAGGAAGGGAGAAAGAGAAAGAGTGGAAGAAGAATGAATACTATTTTTAGATGTCTCTCAACAGTCTGAGCATTATTTTTTTTAAATAAAAATAGGTAAAAAAAATACTTTACTCTGTTATGAATTAATATTATTTTCTTTCTGGTCATATGGACTGCATTCCCTTACTAGTAATTCAGGAGAAATAATACTAGTAATAGTAAAAGCTAACATTTACAAAACTCCTGCCACATACAAGGCACTGTATGTGTCATTTTACTGGCTTCACAACAGCCCAGTGAGATATGGATTATGAACATAATTATAAAAATTATGGCTGAGATGTAATATTCTGTAAAACAGATCATTAGTAAATGCCCTTGTGTTTGGGGGGATAGAAGGACAGAGGTCTGAGGTAAGCTTATAGGGTTTAGGCTCTGAATTCAGATAAACCAGCACCAGAGATCATACTCACCAATATCTCATGCTGCATTTATACAACAAATTTACATTATTCTAATAACCCTAGGATCCCATACTTGTTTCATCTTAAAGATAATCACATGCTACTTTCTAAAACCTTGCACCATGGTTTCACAGATTTGTAAGGTTAAAAGGAACATGCAAAAATGTCCATTCCACTTTCTACAAGCAAGATCTATCTTTAAAAATATTCCAGATAGATATATATCCAGGTGGAATAGACAGCTGTCCACCAATTCATGCTCTCCCTTCCACAGCATGAAGTAGTACTTGGGAACTCAGGGACTATGCTTCCCAGCACCCTTGTTTCTACGGGCAGAGTTCTGTTTTGTGTATAGTAGTGCTATGTGGCATTTCCCAAACAAGGATTTTAAGAAGCTCACCCTCCCTCCATCTTCTCAGGTCCCTGGAGATCAGTTTTCACTCATTAGGAACACTTATTTGGACTGCTAAAAAGGTTAAAAAATACACTTATATTAAGCCACTCATTTTAATTTTTATGTATTATAGCATCAATTGTATATCTTAAAGATCCTGAATTCCATAACTTCCCTTTTAATGATATATTCTGAGGCAACAAGCCCTTAAGGGTAAAAGACCACAAACAAAAATCCTACAAGAGGCCTGGCGCGGTGGCTCACACCTGTAGTCCCAGCACTCTGGGAGGCCAAGGTGGGTGGATTACTAGAGCCCAGGAGTTGTAGATTACCCTGGGCAACATGGCAAGACCCTGTCTCTACAAAAAATACAAAAATTGGCAGAGCGTGGTGGCATGTGTTCTGTAGTCCCAGCTACTCAGGAGGCTGAGATGAGAGGATCCCTTGAGCCTGGGAGGTGTAGATTGCAGTGAGCCGAGATGAGCAGAGCAAGATGATGTCTCAAAAAAAAAAAAAAAAAAAAAAAAAGCCAACAAGAGCAATGAAACTCTCAAAATATGAGTATTTTTTGTGAACATTCCTACCATTTCTCATGTTGAAATTATGCTTTCCTTGCTTAAGCATCTTGTCATTCTACATTCATTTCTGTAACATACTGTTGTGGGTTAAATTTGATCCCTCAAAAGATAAGCTGAAGTCCTAACCTCCAGTACCTGTGAATGTGAACTTTTTTTTTTTTTTGAGATGGAGTTTTGCTCTTGTTGCCCAGGCTGGAGTGCAATGGCGCGCTCTAGGCTCACCGCAAAACCTCCGTCTCCCAGGTTCAAGCAATTCTCCTGCCTCAGCCTCCTGAGGAGATGGGATTACAGGAATGCACCACCACGCCCGGCTAATTTTGTATTTTTTCAGTAGAGACAGGGTTTCTGCATGTTGGTCAGGCTGGTCTCGAACTCCCGACCTCAGGTGATCCACCCGCCTCAGCCTCCCAAAGTGCTGGGATTACAGGCGTGAGCCACCGTGCCCGGCCAAATGTGACCTTTAATTGGAAATGAGTTCTTTGCAGATGTAATAAGGTTAAGATGAGGTCATAATGGATCAGGGTAGGCTCTAATCCAATATCTGGTGTCCTTATAAAAGAGGGAAATTTGGACAGACACACAGGGAAAACAAGGTGAAGAGGGATGCTTCTACAAGGATTGCCAAGGATTGTTGGCAACCACCAGAAGCTAGCAGAGAAGCCTGGAAAAGATTATCTCTCAGAGACCCCAAGAGAGAACCAAGCTTACTTTCACCTTGATTTTGAACTGGTCTTCAGAACTGTGAGACAATAAATTTCTGTTGTTTTAAGCCACCGAATCTGTTTTAATTTATATGGCAAGCCTAGGACACGAATACACACACTTGAACATATTCTAGCACAGACAGTTCTTATCTAAAACATGTTTTTCAACAAGAGATAAAGAAACAGGCCAGGACCGGTGGCTCACGCCTGTAATTCCAGCACTTTGGGAGGCCGAGGCGGGTGGATCGCCTGAGGTAACGAGTTTGAGACCAGCCTGGCCAATATGGCGAAACCTTGTCTCTACTAAAAATGCAAAAATTAGCCGGGCATGGCGGCGCATGCCCGTTGTCCCAGCTACTCAGGAGGCTAAGGCGGAAGTTCCAGTGAACTGAGATCGCACCATTGCACTCCAGCCTTGGGGAACAGAGCGAGACTCTGTCTCAATAAATAAATAAATAAATAAATAAATAAAAATAAGAAAAGAAAAAGAAAGATGGCCTATTTGTGGAACTTCTTCTAGGTACTGAATATTCATTCTAGCAATACCCAACTTACAATTTCAAAAGTGCATTGTTTCAAGTTCTCCTGCTTTTTAAGAAGTTAAGGCTGGCCTAGGAGATCCAGACTTCGTTTTTATGAATCAGGGACTGCAGCCAATGTGTAATTTTCTCTGATAGAATGAGACCCTGCAATTCAAGCCTATCTTTCAGGGAGAGTGTAGAAAGTGATGGTAGCCAACACTGTACAAGGAAACTGAACTGGTGGTGGTGGTAGTAGAGTAGCTTCAGCCATTGCCATCAACACATCTCACATCCTCAGACTGGCTCCAGTTGAGGCCATGGGATAAAATAACTCTTCACCAGTCTTTATGTTCATAATTGTGATGTTTCATCTGCTACTTTAAAATCTCCTTGGGAAAAGAGAGAGTAAAATAATAAAAAGACTAGCTAGCATCCATGAGCACAAAGACAACCAAACCAAAAAACAAAGTGATTTTCTTCATTAAAAGGCTTTGTGCACGCCGAAGCATTCTCAAAAACAGTTGACATCTTCTTCGTTTGTCTTCGCAAACTCCAACTTTCTGTATTTGGCTTTTCCCTCTTAAAGCAACGCAAAGCGGCACACTGCGCAGGCGCCTGTGGCCAGCCACCCCCCCCCCCCCCCCCCCGGAAGATTCGGCGCAGGCGCCGGTGCCGGGGCCGGGAAGTGGGCGGGCTCGCGCGCGTGCTCTGCGGTTCACTTCCGGCCAGCCCCTCCCCCGCCTCCCTCGCGTGGCCACCTCCCCCTCTGCCTTCTCCTACCCAGTCTCTTCCCCAACTCTCCCCACCCCTGGTGCTCTCCGCCCCGCTTGCCTCCCGTTCTTCCCCGCCCGCTCCATCCGGGTCGCTGACGGCTGTCTCTGGACTGGACAGCAGTGGCGTCCGCTTTTCTCTAAGGAACCCGGTAAAGTTTCCCAGGGGCCGGGGAGGGGAGCAGCGGAGCAGCGGCACAGACGCCGGAGGTGCCCTGGTGATCGTCGCCACTGGCTGACAGAGGAGGGTCCCAGGAGCCGGAGACGTGCTTCAGCGACCGCGCTGCCTTGCTCTCTGGGCAGGGGCCGCCCCCCGTCACCTTGGGCTTCCCCTACCCTGAAGGGCTTGGGCGAGTTGTGGCCCCAGCGGGTTCGGGGGCGTGTGACGGCGTTAGGGAGGGGCAGGCCGGGCTGGGCGGATGCAGGCCGGCCCGGCATAGGGCGCTTTCTCCGCGCTTCCTGGGGGTGAGGGGCGTGGGGCGAGGGCAGGGCTGTGGCTCCCTGGCCCCGGGGCTGGAATGTCTCATCTGCCTGGGGATGGGCTTCTCTCAGGTTGAGGCCGCGCACTGCCAAGCCTCGGCCGCCGGCCTCTGAAGCTGTTGCGAGCGGCCGGTTGCGGTAGTCGTCTGCTTGGCTGCGAGGTTGGGTGTGTGCAGATGATTTCTCTTTCCCAGTCCCCATGAGCTGATCTGGGTGCACGTTCAGGGAAAGACGGGACTAAACTGCTTCTCATTTCCCTACCTGTTGCTGGCGAGAGGACGCCTCTGTGTTTTAAAGAAAAGGGTGGTTAAACCTCGCGCGCTGAAGTCGGGGTATTTTCCTGTATTACTCTTATTTTGTTTTTAAATATGGGAAGACAATGCAGAACTCTTGGGAATTATCGAGTTCTGATACCCCAAAAGAATGAAATCAAACTTCTGTTAATGGGATGATGGGTCGTGGAATGGGACACCTTGGGCACTTGCTAACAGGAACATAGGAAAATTGGAGTTGAAACTTCGCAGGCTCTGTAAGAATGTGGATGACTGCTACAGAATAAGGCTGACTTCCTGTAATTATGATATTTAGTAACGCGATGTGTTTAAAAGTCTACGTATGTATAGATGAAGTGGACTCTGTTATTTGTGTCTTTCTTTACAAGTGAGGAAATATTCAGTCAGTGTGCTGGAAAGTTCTACAGATTTCGCCATCAGACTATCCATTCCTATTCTTGAAAAATCTGCAGTGCTGGAGTTATTTGCAATTCCCCCCCGCCAATCTTTAAATAATTGTCTCAGAGATATAGATAGATATAGATTGCCCACGGGTGATTTTTTTAATCCCGGTTACCACTTGTAATAAAAGAGGTTGAATTTTGGAGAGAATTGATATTTAAATTGCATGTTTTTTTTTCTGTATTATAATTATGCACATTGATTTAGTTTTAAAATTAGTGAGGTTGGAATGTTAGTATTTTGATTTGAAATCTGGGATCTTTGGAGGTGATTTAAGATTATGGTTTGGTAAGAGAATCTTCATTTTCTCTCTGGGCTAAAGAGTAATTGGGAGAGTCGTTTAAATTGTGGAAAATTGCTTTAAATTTCCATTATTGGTTTTATTTCTGTTACAGATAAGAACTCCATTTTCTGTTGATGTGGAGGTAGGTATTAGAAAGCTTAATTATACTAGGATTGCAAGGTTATGTTTCTGCAGTTGGCTAAATTTTGCACTGTGTATATTTGCTTTTTGGGCAGAGGAAAGATGTCTTATTTCTTGTTCCCATTGAAATTATTTAAAGCAAAAAGTAGAAAAAATTGTGATTAATTTCATCAAGGTACTTATTCCTATTAGTTTAGTCTATCACAAGATAACCAGAAGTCAAAACTAGTTAATATGTTTTAAATTTTGCAAAGGATCATAGAAAGTGTCATATTTTCCCTAAAAATTTCTGTATGATACATTTTAAAAAATACAACTGATTGGTTTTTGAAACTGAATGATACTTATGTAGCATGTTATAAAGTATATTTAATGTTTACCATGTAGCAATTATTGTAGCCTAGCACTTGAAAGAGCAATTATACATCCTTTTTTCTTTGAAGTCATATTAACTTCTTTCTATTTCCTCAGACATAGGGTACCTCCAACTTTCCGGGGTTTCAGAAGAGAATTTTTTATTGAAACTGGAAGACCAAAATAATTACAAGCATGTTGTGCTGGGGAAATGCATCCTTTGGGCAGCTAGGTTTGGGTGGAATTGATGAAGAAATTGTACTAGAGCCCAGAAAAAGTGACTTCTTTATAAATAAAAGGGTCCGAGATGTAGGATGTGGACTCAGACATACTGTGTTTGTTCTGGATGATGGAACAGTGTACACATGTGGATGTAATGATCTAGGACAGCTAGGTCATGAAAAATCCAGAAAGAAACCAGGTAAGTTGAAATGTTTTTAAAATTTGCTATTTTTAATAATTATATCATTTTAAATTTGAATCATCGTATAATTTCTCTAGTTGTAACTATATGTTTATCAAGCTTTAAAAGCAAAGTAGAAGTTATGTATTTCCATTATATGTGTATATTTGTATGGTTCTAAGTACTTTATGTTGTGGTTTCTTTTTTTTTACTACTAGTATTATAAAACCTTATTTTGTATGACGATATAAAACAATAAAGAAAATCAGCCTGCAGTATATAAATCTTTGGTACAGAGTGTGTAGTGTGCAGGTCCTCTTTAATAAATTCTGTTCAGCCACCCTGGATAGATTTTAAATGCATAATTTACTCTGTGTTTACCTTACTTTGGGAGGGGGGAGGAAAACAAGACGGAAGCTTTTTACTTTGACTTGCTTGCCTAAAATATATTTTTATTCTTTTTATCCCTCTGTCATAGTATTTTAAATATGTAATTTTATTTGATTTAGTTAGAAATATCTTTTATTCCTCTCATCTTCTACTTTCTGTAGCATTGCTAGCTATTAAAGATTTTGTGACTATGAAGTGTCCTGATTTTGTAGTAGTTGTACAAGCAAATTAAATAATTTGTAGGGTAATGAGAATTTTGAGGAATTTGGTCACATTTCATGTTCTGTTCCTGGATATTGTATTTTAAAATCAAATATTTCTACATTTAGGAGTATCATTGTTATGTGAGTTTTGCTTTCAATTATGATAACTAAAAGTTAATGATTTCAGGTGGTAAATTCAGATGAGACTGCAGCTATACTGACTTACTGTTTATTTTAACTGTAACAATAATGGCACTTCAGTATTTTCTGTGGCAGTTATTTTATCAGTTTATTAATTAGGTGGTTTCTGTTGTTACTCAGCTTTTGAGAGATTAATGTAATCTAAGATATTCAGGCATTAAATTAAGGCACGATTCATCCTTCACATCATCTCACGACCATGCCAAATCTCACTTTTCTAACTTGCAAATACTGTATCGTTTTCATCCTTTCTTTGTGGTTAAGGTCTTAGTGTATTTTCTTCTGCCTTAATTTGTAATTTATTTTTTATTGGATAAATGATAGTGACATTCATAAAATAGATTTTTAATTCTTGCAGAACTCAAAGTAAATGGCAGCTTTCTTGTACTCTACCTGTCTAAGAACATTTTATGGATTCCTACCAGATTTTCATGATCTCAGGCATTGAGGTGGTCATATTGGTAGAAATGAATGGTAATTTACTGATACGCATTTGATGATTGTCTCTGCTCCAGAGACAAATGGGCCCTTTACTATTTTTGCTTAGCTTGGAATGCTGCCTCAGGTTGAGATTTTCATGGTACGGAGGCTACTGCTGTTCTTTGTACTTTAGCATGCCCCATAGAAATAACTGAACATCTCTCTGTATTACTTTAATAATTTCTGAAAGGCCATAGGGCAAGTAGAAAGTAAAAAGCCAGCACATAGAAATTGCCAGTATAGTTACTTAGGTCTACTGAGGTTTAAAATGTTTAAGTGTTAGAGGTAGACACTGTGTACTAGTAGTATAATGATTATAGTGCCAGGAACAGCCTCCAACTGTATAGATGAGATTCTGAGAAACTTAACTAGCTAGAATAGGCTTCTTTGTGGTCATGTTGACATTGTGATGATTGCACTGTGACATCTATATCATCTTGATTCATCCTGGAACCATTATTTGGTAATGTAAAGTTGGGGCAGTGGGTTTCCCTAATTTGGGATACCTCTTTAGGATTGCCTCATTGTTGTCCCGATTACACCACAGCCTGTGGAAGAGAAAAGTGACAGGCATTAGCTTTGTCTTGAGAAATTTAGAGTCTGGGTTGGGAGTTAAGGTATACATGAACAACTGGAGAGAACTGGAAATTAGACATGATGTGCCATGCACTTTGAGCCTAGGACATTTAAATGATGGGAAATATTATGGGATAGAATTAAAGTAAGATTTCTGGGAGAAAATGAAGGCTTACATTTAATTCTATTGGTGATCACATAAACAGCTAGGAAATAAGTCTGGAGCTGAAATAGTTTTGTAGAAGGGGGGGGTCCTGATCCTGAGAAAAGCTTTTTATTATCAGAAGTTCTGGTTCGATGATATATTGAAGTGAACCTAGGTTTCAGAGGGAAGAGAAACAAGTTCAAAAAGTAGTAGTTGCTGTGATAGGAACTTCATCTTTTAATCTCAGCTTTGATTGAATATTTATTTATTTATTTATTTTTATTTTTATTTTTTTTTTTGAGACAGAGTTTCGCTCTTGTTTCCCAGGCCGGAGTGCAATGGCGCCATCTCGGCTCACCGCAACCTCTGCCTCCCAGGTTCAAGCAATTCTCCTGCCTCAGCCTCCCGAATAGCTGGGATTACAGGCGCCCACCACAATGCCTGGCTACTTTTCATATTTTAATGGAGATGGGGTTTTACCATGTTGGCCAGGCTGGTCTCGAACTCCTGACCTCAGGTGATCCGCCTGCCTTGGCCTCCCGAAGTGCTGGAATTACAGGCATGAGCCACTGCTCCTGGCCTAAGATGTTTTTTAAATAATGTTTTTAACTAAATTTTAAGAATGTTTTTAACTAAAGTTATTTATATTTGGAATAATTCGTTAATGATTTGTGTCATTTCCCCAACCCCTTTTTAAATTTGTGAATTTGAGGACTGGATTAAAAGATAAAAAGTTGTTGGATCTTATTTATTTTAAAGTCTTCTGGTAATTGAGCAAGTTGGTTATATTTCTGGGACAATGTAATAAACATAGTTCATTTCCCAGGAGGTTTTTGTTTTGTTTTGTTTTGTTTCGTTTTGTTTGAGACAGAGTCTCACTCTGTTGCCCAGGCTGGAATGCAGTGGCACGATCTCTGCTCACTGCAACCTCCGCCTCCCAGGTTCAAGCGATTCTCCTGCCTCGGCCTCCCGAGTAGGTGGGACTATAGGGGCGTGCCACCATGCCCGGGTAATTTTTTATATTTTTAGTAGGGACGGGGTTTCACCGTGTTAGCCAGGATGGTCTTGATATCCTGACCTTGTGATCTGCCCGCCTTGGCCTCCCAGAGTGCTGGGATTACAGGCGTGAGCCACCGTGCCCAGCTGACTTCACAAGAACTTTAAACTTGTGTCAGAAAGCACATGGAATGGAGGGAACTAAGAATTGTTTCTTTACATAGGTTGGCTTTATAAATATACATATTCCATAACTAATAAGGAATGAAGGAGAAAGAGGTAGCCTTATTAAGGATAAATTATTCTCGAGATTCATAATAACCTACTGGAGGACTTGGCCTGACAATGTAGTGAATAGATTTAACCTGTGGCCTATTGAAAAGAGGTGTTTCTGTTCTGGACTTTTTAGGGACCACACAGAAAGATTTAACTGAATTCCTTTATTATACTAAAGGTGCAGATTATGTTCATGTTCATCTCTGTTGTCTTGTATATGTATGTCCTTTTCTATCACTACTGGCTTTTCTGAATTATTTCCAGAGAAGTGAATGTCTGTTTCACTTTCATGTTTTTTTCTTCATAAGAACTTTAAAATACTTTTTAAGCTAATGTCTCAATTTTTAAATTTATAGCTAACAAATATATTTAATCTTCAGTGCGCTAGACCAATCCATTTAAATGAATTGTTGTTTTTTTATACTTTCAAATTCAGTTCTGAAGATTTTAAGTATGGGAAGTATACTTTTCTTTACAAGATCCTTTTCTTACTGTGTATCTAATCATAGGTATAATTTGGTGACCATGGTTATGTTTTGCACATTGATTTCCATTTGTTTCATGTTAGAAACAGTACTAAACTGTTCTGTGACCATAATTTGTAAATAAAGTGGTGTTCTGTTTAAAAACAAGCCCTGTTATCTAAAAAACAGTTTTTTGTGTTTTACAACATTCTTTCAAATGGAGTATCTCATTTAATTCTCACAACAGTTGTATGTAGCTAAGGCAGGTATCATGGTCCGCATTTTACAGATGAGGACACTGAGGTTAAAAGAGATTAAGAGACTAATAGGGTCACTTGGCTAGCACATCTTGAGACCACCCTAAATCTTGTGGTTTTTATCCTTAATCTCACAAATCTTTTCCTTTGCTACATTTAGAAGGTAAAAGAATATTTGTTCACCTTTGAGGAAGCTGGTTTCCATCAGTATTTTATTGTAATTCTGAGGGTTTTTTATTTTTTATATTTTTTTGAGATGGGGTCTTATTCTGTTGCTTAGGGTAGAGTGCAGTGGCGTGATAATAGCTCACTGTAGCCTTGGACTCCTGGGCTCAAGTGATCCTCCTGCCTCAGCTTCCCCAGTAGTTGGGACTACACTTATGTGCCACCATGCCTGGCTAATTTTTTTTTTTTTTTTTTTTTTTTGAAACGGAGTCTTGCTCTGTTACCCAGGCTGGCGTGCAGTGGTGTGATCTCTGCTCACTGCAGCCTCCACCTCCCAGGTTCAAGTGATTCTCCTGTCTCAGCCTCCCGAGTAGCTGGGACTACAGGTGTGTGCCACCACACCTGGCTAATTTTTTTGTAGTTTTAGTAGAGACAGGGTTTCACCATGTTGGCCAGGGGGGTCTCGAACTCCTGACCTCAGGTGATCTGCCCACCTCGGTCTCCCAAAGTGCTGGGATTACAGGCATGAGCCACCAGGCCTGGCCAATTTTTTTATGTTTGTTAGAGAAGGGGGTCTCCCTATGTTGCCCAGTCTGGTCTCAAACTCCAGTCCTCAAGCTATCCTCCTGTCCTGGCTTCCCCAAATTGCTGGGATTTATAGGGATGAGCTACTGTGGCAGCCAAGAAAAATCTTTAAAAAATTACTATCTTATAACTAAGCTTATACAATGAAGACAGCATATTTTATTGTCTTCCCCCTTGTACACAAACTTAAAAATCATTTTAAGAACTGATAAGAAGATCGAGAGTTCTATTTTCAAGATGTAATATTGTACCAACAAAAGCTAAAAAATTCAAATATGTATAGTGTATTACTGAATGGAAGACTAACTCGATTGGCAGAGTTTATAGGTAATAGTTTTAATAGTATGATAAAATTTATTGTGGTTTATGTTGAACTCTTTTTAAAGATGATGAGCATTGATTCTTTGTTTTCCATATCCTCGAATGGTAATTTCTACTGTTGAGTCATTCCAATAAAAGCATTTTGGTCACATAGTAGTGATTACTTGGCTTGCCTTTCTTGCTTCTTCATTTTTCTGACCTGTTCTCTCTGTTCATAAAACAAATTTATAAACGAGCTGCTCCTTAAAATATAGTTGAAATTTAAAAAGTAATATAGGAAAATATAACTATGGGAAATAAAGTTACTCACTTAAGGGTGGGTTAAAAATAAAAATACCAGATTATCCCACACATTTCTTACTGAACCAGAACATTTAAACCAAAGAAGCTCATTGCGTTTTATAACTCCCGGTTTTCACAATACCTTCTAAGGAAGAGAAAGATGTGGATGATAGATTTGAAAAAAGTAATTACTTGGGTCAGGAGTGGAGGCTTGCTTTGAACGCTTTACTTTGAGAAAGGTTAGTGCCCAAGAATCACAGTGTCAAGGGTAGGAAAAAAAATCATAATGCAAACAGATGACTACCGTTAGAGAAATGTATAATAATACTTTACTTTGTGTAGGACCCTACATCTGAGGAATTTCAAGAGCATTACACAATAACTCATGGTTCCTTTCAAAATGCTTGTGACACAATTTGCAAGAATTATCCTCATCTTAGGGGATAAATTTACGGAGAAATGGCAGCACACGTTGGTAAGTAACTTGTCAAAATAGCAGATGACTGGTGAACAGCTATAAGTTGAATCTGAAAGTTAGAGTCTACCAGTCTCCTACCTTATTCACTAAATTGTGCTTATGTTTAGAATTATTTACAGTAATATCTTCTGTTTGAGGCAGGTCAAATACTAGTGCACAGATTGTTTCCCTGCCATTCGATTTGATGGCCTGTTAAATCATTATTTTACCAAGATGCTTACATTCTGATACCACTTTGATACTTCAGTATAACTCTGTGTGGTATGAAGAATATTTGAACAAACGAACAGAAACTTAACTATGGTAATGCCCAGTCTTTTCTCTTTTCTGTTATATATTGTATATATCCCCTTGTCTAACTGCTATGCTGTACTACAAGCCAAGGTCCATAGTAACTGACTTGCAGAATTGATTTGGTGGCTAACCTTGGAACTTGGATTAGTTATGTTGTATAAAGTCCGCCATGTAGATACATGCATCTCTCTCTAAGATGCATTGGTTTGGTGGATGCTTTATAAAACTCTTAAAACCTACACAGAAGACAAAAATAGCAGTAGATGCCTAATCTGAGCAGTCTAACAAAGGGAAACTTCTTTAAAGTACTTGGAACCAGTGATTTTCTCTTGGGTATGTTAGTGTTTTTACATGATTAGAAGTGAGCCACATACTTTCCTTAAAAGATCAGCAGTGTGGTAGATTTGGTTTTACAATTTGGGTACTTAGCAGATTCTTGTTGCAGATGGCAGTCTAGGTAGTCTAGTTACCATTATCTCCTTAGTAAAGATTCTTAGGTTCTGTATTCCCAATATATCATACAAATGTAGCACTGTTTTTAAAGCTCATTTCTCACAAAGGCATGTATTTTTAAAACTGCTTTGAAGACACAAAAGTTACTTCTGTATTCCTAGGCTATAAAGTATATCAAGTGCTTGGGATATGTATGAAAGAATCTAATAGAGGAGGTGTACTCAAATGTTTATATAAGAGTTTATTTGGGCTTGGATAATGTTAGTAGAAAAATGGGTAACACTAATGAGGAAACTATATTAATGAGCTCATGGTTGACCTTCTTTCTGTTCCCCTGGATTTTTTTTTTTCATTTTGATGAAATTTAAAAGGCAATAATTAATTTTAAATTGTAATGAGTTATGATAATTACCTTATATGCGAGAAAAACCTATGCTGTGTGTAATTATACAGACATTTTATTGGAGTTTTGTTTTGTTTTTTTAGACAGGATCTTGTTGTCACTGGAGTACAGTGGTTAAATCGTGGCTCAATGCAGCCTCGACTTCCCTGGGTTCAGGAATCCTCTTATCTCAGCCTGCTGAGTAGCTGGGACCACATGTGCATGCCACCATGCCCAGCATATTTTTGTATTTTTTATAGAGACAGGGTTCCACTCTTTTGCCCAAGCTGGTCTCGAAGTGATCCTCGCACCTCAGACTCCCAAAGTGCTGGGATTATAGGCATGAACCACCACGCCAGGCCTTATTAGAGTTTGTTTGTTTTTGTTTTAATGGGAAATTTCTTGCATTTCGGTGGCTTATTCTTTAAACCATAAGTTTTATTTGCCTAGATTTACTCTTTTGTGTTCATTTCTAGCATGGCAGAATTTTGGTTTAGCCTTTCTTGGCCATAAGACATTCTGGAATCCTTTAGAATGGGCTTTTCACAAATTATTTGAAAATATATTAATTACTTTTTTATTCATATCTAAGTTTTGCCTCATTTTATTCCTTTGCTAGGTGTTATACTATTCTGAAATAACATATTTTTAGTTTTTCATAATTGTTTTCTATTATAAAAGTATTACATGTTCTTGGTAGAGAATTACTAATACATAGGAAAGTAAAAACTATAATGCCATCATGCATAGGTAAATAGTATTGTCACCTGAGACCTTTTCTATATTCATATATGTTTCTGATTACAAACTGGGAATGTGTTCTTGTATCTCAACTTTTTTCCCCCGATAATAATTTAGCATTTTCCCATGTTTTAAAGTTTTAGGAATATTGGGAATATTTAGGAATATAATTAACATTTCATCATTTAGATGTACCAAAATTTATTTAAGTATTCTATTTTTTGGATTTTTTTTTTTTTTTGAGATGGAGCCTTGCTCTGTCACCCAAGCTGGAGTGCATGGCGCGATCTCCACTCACCCTAGCCTCTGCCTCCTGGATTCAAGCGATTCTCCTGTCTCAGCCTCCTGAGTAGCTGGGATTACAGACGTGTGCCACCACTCCCAGCTAATTTTTTGTATTTTTAGTAGAAACAAGGTTTCACCATTTTGGCCAGGGTGGTCTCAAACTCCTGACCTTGTGATCCACCTGCCTCAGCCTCCCAAAGTGCTGGGATTACAGGTGTGAGCCACCATGCCCAGCCTATTTTTTGGAATTTATTTCCAGATTTTTGTTATAAGTAATACTGCAATGAACATATATATATCAATTTAGTTTTTATGTCTTTTTTTCTTTTTCTTTTTTTCTCTCTCTCTCTTTTTTTTTTTTTTTTTGAGAGAGAATCTCACTCTGTTGCCTATTGTCTAGGCTGGAGTGCAGTGGTGCCATCTTGGCTCACAGCAACCTCCGCCTCCCAGGTTCAGATGATTCTCCTGCTTCAGCTTCCCCAGTAGCTGAGATTGCAGGCATGCACCACCACACTTGGCTAATTTTTGTATTTTTAGTAGAGATGGGGTTTCACCATGATGGCCAGGCTGGTCTTGAACTCCTGACCTCAGGTGATCCATCTGCCACGACATCCCAAATTGCTGGGATTACCTGCCTGAGCCACGGCACCCGGCCTATTTCTTTCTTTTAATTATTTTTTATGTTTTGGGGACAGGGTTTTGTTCTGTCGCCCAGGCTGGAGTGCAGTGGCATGATCTCGGCTCACGGCAACCTCTGCTTCCTGGGCTCAAGCGATTCCCCTCAGCCTCCAGAGTAGCTAGGATTACAGGCGTGTGCCACCATCCCTGGCTAATTTTTGTATTTTTAGTAGAGGTGGAGTTTTGCCATGTTGACCAGGCTGTTCTAGAACTCCTGGCCTCAAGTGATCTGCCCACTTCGCCCTCCCAAAGTGCTGAGATTACAGGCATGAGCTACCATGCCCAGCCTCTGTTTCTTAATTATTATTTGAGACGGAGTTTCGCTCTTGTTGCCCAGGCTGGAGTGCAATGGTGCAGCCTTGGCTCACTGCAGCCTCCACCTCCCAGGTTCAAGTGATTCTCTTGCCTTGGCCTCCTGAGTAGCTGGGATTACAGATGCCCGTCAACATGCCCTGCTAATTTTTTGTATTTTTAGTAGAGACGGGGTTTTGCCATGTTGACCAGGCTGGTCTCAAACTCCTGGCCTCAGGTAATCTGTCCGCCTTGGCCTCCCAAAGTGCTGGGTTTACAGGTGTGAGCCACCACGCCTGACCTACCTCTGTTTATTTATTTAGGAAAAAGAACATCTTTAATTTTAAGGAGTGAGAACTGAATTTATTTTTTAAGCACAGTTGTGTCTCATTTTATGAAGTTTATACACATAAGATATTTGTAAATGAAAGTTTTTAAAATGTATGACAAGGCTGAGTGCGGTGGCTCATGCCTGTAATCACAGCACTTTGGGAGGCTGACACAAGTGGATCACAAGGTCAGGAGTTCAAGACCAGCCTGGCCTGTGTAGTGAGACCCCGTCTCTACTAAAAAACCAGAAAAATTAGCTGGGCATGGTGGTGTGCCTGTAGTCTCAGCTACTCGGGAGGCTGAGGCAGGAGAATTGCTTGAACCTAGGAGGCAGAGGTAGCAGTGAGCTGAGATCATGCCATTGCACTCTAGCCTGGGTTACAGAGCGAGACTCCAACTAAAAAAATAAATAATAAAGTAAATAAATAAAATGTATGACAAGCTTTCTATTACAACATGATGAATATCATTTAATGATCTAGTAGGGAATAGAAAACAAATGCACAAATAATAGAAAGGCAATTAAAATATGCTAAGTGTTACAGGATGTATAAACAAGAGTGCTGTGTAGAGATAGTATACTAAGCAGATGGCAACAGGCAAGTTTGAGGCTTACTAAGGGAAGAGTAGTCCATGTAATTGAGATGTCTTGAGAATAGTGAGCAGGAAGGTTAGGCAAAATTGAGGTCAGATTGTAGAAATAAATTAAGGAGCTTGAATTTAATTTGGTGAATATCTATTCACTCATAGTTTGTAATGGGAATTACCATGGATTTATAAAGGAAAGGTTGAAAGGGAGAGAAATTGGAGGTAAAGAAATAGTTAGGCTGTGATGGTAGTCCTTTATTTTTTATTTATTATTTTTTTTGAGATGGAGTCTCATTCTGTTGCCCAGGCTGGAGTGCAGTGGTGCGATCCCAGCTCACTGCAACCTCCGCCTCCCGGGTTCATGTGATTCTCCTGCCTCAGCCTCCTGAGTAGCTGGGATTACAGGCACCCACCACCACACCCGGCTAATTTTTTTTTTTTTGTATTTTTAGTAGAGACAGGGTTTCACTGTGTTGACCATACTGGTCTCGAACTCCTGACCTCGTGATCTGCCCGCCTTGGCTCCCAAAGTGCTGGGATTACAGGCGTGAGCCACCGTGCCCGGCCGATGGTAGTCCTTTAAAGCAAGAAAGGAGCAGGTAGATGATGGAGACTTAGAGAGGCAGAAAGAATGGACAGGCTTTGGTAACCAGATGGAAATAAATAGTAAATGTAACGGAAAGAGCCAGGTATGATCCTAGGTAGAATCATTAGCTATAGATTAGTATATTCATTAGTATAGAAATAAGGAATCCAGGAAGAAGAGAAATATTCTCTTTTAAGAGGCAAGTTAAAAGATTCTGGTAAGGTGAATTTTGTGGTAAACTTAATAATATTAAGTGAGCAGTAAGAAATGTAGTATTGTAAGTGGGGAGAAAGATCAGGGCTAAATGTGTGAAGTGTTTATTTTCGATTTTGTTTTATTTTCAGTTCAGATAGGCTGACATTCCAACTGTAGACTTCTCCCAGTTCTAACCTGTTAAGTAATTAATAATTCATTAACAATACTTAACTTTGTGCTTTTGGAAGACTGCTTAAGGCACATGGTGATATAATACCGTTGTAAATTTAAAGTAATCTAAATGGTTGCCACCTCTATCTGTTTTGTAAACCTGAATTTTTATATACAGATTTTTTTTTTTTTTTTTTTTTTTTTTTTTAAATGGAGTCTCGCTCTGTCACCCAGGCTGGAGTGCAGTGGCACCATCTCGGCTCACTGCAACCTCCGCCTCCAAGGTTCAAGCGATTCTCCTGCTTCAGCCTTTCAAGTAGCTGGGATTACAGGCACCCGCCACCATGCCCGGCTAATTTTTTTGTATTTTTAGTAGAGACGTGGTTTCACCATATTGGTCAGGCTGGTCTCGAACTCCTGACCTGAAGTGATCTGCCCGTCTCTGCCTCCCAAAGTGCTAGGATTACAGGCGTGAGCCACTGATCCCAGCCCATTTGCTTATTCTTTCGCTGACAGAAACCTATTCCTTTTTTTTTTTTTTTTTTTTTTTTTTTTGAGACGGAGTCTTGCTCTGTCGCCCAGGCTGGAGTGCAGTGGCGCGATTGCGGCTCACTGCAAGCTCCACTTCCTGGGTTCATGCCATTCTCCTGCCTCAGCCTCCCGATTAGCTGGGACTACAGGTGCCTGCCATGACTCCCGGCTAATTTTTTGTATTTTCAGTAGAGATGGGGTTTCACCATGTTAGCCAGGATGGTATCGACCTCCTGACCTGATGATTCACCCGCCTTGGCCTCCCAAAGTGTCAAACCTATTCTTAATTACTGTGTTTGACTTCAGGACTTCCCTCCAGGTCTTACTGGAAACAAAGCTTTTGCAGTCAGAAGGTGCAATGACATAGGTATAAGTTGCTTTTGGTTCCACTAGTAGCTGAAGTAATTTTAACTATAAGTTGTATATATGCGGGCAATGTAGGCAAGAGCTATTGGGAAATACACCTTTTGCGATAATGCTGTTGGTTCTGTGAAAGGGAAACGGTGTGGGGAAGAAAGAGGTGAGGCTAAAAGCGGTCCTAAAGAGCAGAATTAGGAGTATCTGAAAAGCAACTGGAAGAAAGTTTAGCTACTTTACCTATACATTATTAGAAGACATTTGTGACTTTTTTTTTTTTAGGATGGCATAACGAGGATAAAGTAGATCTTAAATTGCTTCCCACAATTGATACAAAGTACAGTTGATCAATCAGCATATGTGTAATTTCTAATCCAAGTATTGCTTAGCTATAGATTTCATAACTAGGCTCTCTAATAGGAATGAACCTTATATTTTGAAGAGTTACTAGGTAGAAGCCTGAGTGGTTGATGTTACCTGTACCAGAACATAGAACTATTCATATTTTCAGTTAGGAAGTTGAATGAGCCTCTGCAACTGAGAATAAGGGGAAAAGAGAACACATTATAAGTTGGTACTGCATTGTATAGGGTGAAGAAACACATAAACCATATAATTGGAGAGAAATTTAGTGTTGAAATATTTAGAATGTATTATTTATGGCTGGACGCGGTGGCTCACGCCTGTATTCCCAGAACTTTGGGAGGTCGAGGCGGGTGGATCACAAGGTCAGGAGTTTGAAACTAGCCTGGCCAACATGGTGAAACTCCATCTCTACTAAAAAAAATACAAAAATTAGCTGGGTATGGTGGTGTGCATCTGTAATCCCAGCTACTTGGGAGACTAAGGCAGGAGAATTGCTTGAACCCGGGAAGCAGAGGTTGCAGTGAATTGAGATCGTGCCACTGTTATTTGTGTCACTGCACTCCAGTCTGGGTGACACAGCAAGACTCTGTCTCAAAAACAAGCAAACAAAAAGAACATTATTTACACCTTATAATGCTGATTTAAAAAAATAATAACAGTAAACCTCCATTATATGCCAGGTACTGTGCTGAATCCTTTATTCATTATCCAAAAGTCTTGTATCTATCCTGCAAAAGTATGTGTTTTGGTGAGAACAGTCAGACTCCAGAAGATTAAGTAATTCTGCCAAAGTTGAAATTAAAGCTGAGTAGGAACAAGAGCCAATTAGAACAATGGAAGAAAAGAAACCAAATTATTATAATAGCAAGAGAAACAAAATATAATATAATATTATTATAATATATAATATTATGATATATAATATTATATAATATATAATATTATGATATATAATATTATTATAATATATAATATTATGATATATAATATATTATAATATATAATATTATGATATATAATATTATAATATATAATATTATGATATATAATATTATAATATATAATATTATGATATATAATATTATAATATATAATATTATGATATATAATATATAATATTATGATATATAATATTATAATATATAATATTATGATATATAATATAATATATAATATGATATATAATATAATATATAATATTATGATATATAATATTATGATATATAATATTATGATATATAATATGATATATAATATGATATATAATATTATGATATATATTATGATATATAATATGATATATAATATTATTATGATATATAATATTATAATATATAATGTTATAATATATAATATTATAATATATAATATTATTATAATATATAATATTATTATAATAGCGAGAGAAACAAAACAACCCAGGAATAAAGTAGTAAGAAATGTGCAAGACCTATATGATGAAGACTTGAAAGCATTACTGAGGAGCACAAAAAACTTGAGCAAATGAAAACCACATTTATGGATAGGGACACTCAACCACATCAACCCGTCAATTTTCTCTAATTTGTAAATTTAGTATGATCTCAATGAAAATGTCAAATGGCTTTTGAGGGAAGTAGACAAATATATACTCAAGTTCATATGGAAAAAGAAAAAGCTAGGAAAATTCTAAAAACACAGTAATACGTATTAACTTTTTTTAAAGACAGTTTCTAATATACATTAAGTAAAATGAGCAAGGTGTAGAGAGTAATGTATAGAGAGCTACATTTTGGGTTTTTTAAACAAGGAAAAATACACACTTGCATTTGCTTTATAGATACACAAAAAACCCTGGAAGGATATATACAAGTAATAACATTGGTAACTGTTGGTGTAGAGGTGGGAAAAGAAGTGGTGAGAGTTAGATTGATGGAGAACATACATAGTAGACTCTCACTGCATACCTTTTAAAAAACAATGTAAATATGTTACCCATTCAATTTTTTTTTTTTTTGGAATTAGAGTGCTTACATAAAAATCCTGGCTCTGTTGCTAGATCTGTTTTCTTGGTCACATTGCTTAACCTTTCTGTGCCTAGGTGTTCTCTTCTCTAAAATTAGGATAATCATGCCAAACTCCTAGAGTAGCTGCAGGAGAATTACTTGAACCCGGGAGGTGGAGGTTGCAGTGAGCCGAGATTGCACCACTGCACTCCAGCCTGGTGACAGAGTGAAACTCTCGTCTCAAAAAAATAAAGATAAAACCTAACAGTGCAAAGAACAATGCCTAGCGTATGGTGAGTATTCAATAAGTGTTTGCCTAGAAGAAAAACCAATATTAGAGTGGGAATTTAAATTTAGGTCTGCCTTACGGTAATGTGGTATTATGCTGTTTCATATTTGCCTAATGACTGTATATTGTCCTGTAGGGAAACTATATTGCTTTCATAATTACCTCCAGATATACAATACAGATCTTTTCATTTATGCCTGAAGTTCAGACATTTATTCAACAGACAGTTGTCTTCCTGCTGTGCCCTTGATATTGTGCTAGGCATGGAAGTACTTCTTTGCCTTTAGTCTTCAATTAACCTTACTAGAGCTCTTATTCAAAGACTATGCCAAAATTTTAAAAAATTATTTGTTTATGGTACTTAGAGGTAATGCTTTATTGGAGCGATATAAAATGGATTGGATTCCTTTACCTTCAGACTTTAAAGATACAATAATGTGACCAAAAAAGAAAAGAATTAAAGATGCCTTTTTTTTTCTTGTGAGAAGCACATACGTGATGGAAGTTAGATTGATCATTGATTTTAAAAAGGTTATTTAATGATTAATAATTATAAGGTGGCCAGGCATGGTGGCTCACACCTGTAATCCTAGCACTTAGGGAGGCCAAGGCAGGCGGATTGCCTGAGCTTAGGAATTCAAGACCAGCCTGGGCAACATGGTGAAATCCCATTTCTACTAGAAATAGAAAAAATTAGCTGGGTGTGGTGATGCACGCTTGTAATCCCAGCTACTCAGGAGGCTGAGGCATGAGAATTGCTTGAACCCAGAAGGTGGTGGTTGCAGTGATTGCACCACTGCACTCTATCCTGGGCAACAGAACAAGACTCTGTCTTAAAAGAAAAAAAAAAATAATAAGGTGTAGTTTGTTTACTGATATTTTGAGGATCATAGGCACTTGAGTAAATATACTTAGTTATACTTTTTTTTTTTTTTTGAGACAGAGTCTCACCCTGTCACCCAGGCTGGAGTGCAGTGGCGTGATCTCGGCTCACTTTGACCTCTGCCTCCTGGGTTCAAGCGATTCTCCTGCCTCAGCCTCCCAAGTAGCTGGGATTATAGGCGCCTGCCACCACGCACGGCTAATTTTTGTATTTTTAGCAGAGACAGGGTTTCACCATGTTGGCCAGGCTGCTCTCGAACTCCTGACCTTGTGATTCACCCGCTTTGGCCTCCCAAAGTGCTGGGATTACAGGCATGAGCCACCGTTAGTTATACTTTTAAAACCAGCCCTGCCCTTCCCAAAATGATGAGCTGACCTTAAAATGTAGAATGCATGGTTTGATCATACTTCTGTACTCTTATTTTGCATTTGCTGTTATTTTCACACCAATCTGAATAATATTTTGGCTTAGTGTGTTGTTGATAAACTGTGTACCCACTGTTATACAGTGCTTGACTGTGAGAGAAATTTATATGTCAAGAAAATCAAGGACAAATATATATATATATTACATGGATGTTTGAAATTGTATAAAACTGTTAAGTTGTGGAGAACAAAAAAAGGAACATTTAAAATGGAAGCCATTGCAGTTAGCTATCTTTATCTGTCAAAACAAAATGCAAAAACAACTCCTTTTCCTTGTTTGTTAATGCTTGCACTTACTTGGGTTCAGACCTTAAATTCACTTTAGGATCTTTTCCTTTCCCGTAGCACCAACATTGACCCAGTTGCCAGATTTTGGTTATTTTTCTCAGTGACTGTCTTGTTTTTTAATTTCCTTTGCAAATAGCTAACTGTGTCGTTTTGAGTTAATTACTTTAAACTATTGGGTCCTTAGTTTCCTCCTCTCTCAATCTAAAATTCTTTGTTTTCATTCTGGACTATTACTGGTGTACATGAGAACTGTGGCCAGTAGCTCTTTAACTGATCTCCCTGCTCCAGTTCATTCTTATTAATTCCAGGTTAATCTTTCCAAGGTATATTTCAGTTTCTCTGTCTTGAAATTTGCCCAGCTAAAGTACCATCTCCATCATTACTCCTTGGTCACTCTTATAAGAATTCAAGTCACACATTTTGTGTACTACCAAGTACAGCCCATGGAATTCAATAACTTAATAAATTGCATCGCTGTCTTCCCATTACAATGATCTTCCCTACCATGTCATCTCCTGGATGGTGGAAAACCTTGTCTTACATGTCTTTGCTAAAACCACAGTGAAATACTATGGTGCACATAGAAGGAACTCAGGGCAGGGTTGTTGAATGAACACATGATCAATGTATTTTATTGGTTGTGTCTTAGGAAAGGAAGATCATAGACTCTTGTTTTAATGAACTTGATCACCATCAGCTACATTAGAGCGAAAAATTTAAAATTTAAAACTCTACTAATATATTCTGAGGGTTCATTCTTGGCTTGTCTTTGAAAGAAATTGAACTAAAGCAACTATATGACTGTATTGTATTATGTTGGAGTCTTTATATTTCACCTTTACCCCTTCTTTCCTCTTCAAAGCAACTAATTTTAGCAGTTCATAGACATCCAGATAGTACTTCTTTAAAAGAAAAGGGCCAGGCGTGGTGGCTTACGCTTGTAATCCCAGCACTTTGGGAGACTGAGGCCAGTGGATCACCTGAGGAGTTCAAGACCAGCCTGGTCCAACATGGTGAAACCCCCCCTCTACTAAAAATACAAAAATTAGCCGGGCATGGTGGCCGGTGCCTGTAATCCCAGCTACTCAGGAGGTTGAGGCAGGAGAATCGCTTGAACCCAGGAGGCAGAGGTTGCAATGAGCTGAGATCAGGACACTGCACTACAGCCTGGGTTACAGAGCGAGACTCTGTCTCAAAAAAAAAAAAAAGGATATTGTAATGCCCCTAAGTAAAAATAAAACTATATTTTGGAAGTAAATTATTGAAACATAACTATGTTATATTTGAATATTAACAAAAGGACAGTGGTTCAATAAATACAGAAATGTTTATAACTTAGTGCCTTTATCTGTGAAGCTTAAGGATAACTTCCTCATGGTGTTATGAGGATTAAATAAGATTAAGTAATTAAAGTGCTAAGCTTAGTGCCAGGCACATAAGCTCTTTATATACGTTAATTGTATTCCTCTGTATAAATATATAAAAGGGGTATGAACTTGTCAACATATGCATTACAAATAATTTCTTAATCTTGTTAGATGTTTCTTCATATAAACATTTTATTGTTTGCTGTCAACTAAGACACATAAGTTAGTGTATATTAACTTTAGATTTTATCAGGGAACCCACTAAAATACTTTCTTGGCTATGGATTGTACCATTCCAAATTGCTACTGGTAATTATTAGTAATAATTAGAGGGAATAAAAATTTTAATTTATTGATGTTTTAGTTTTGTTTGTTTCTTTAATTCTGAATTTGTCTTAAAGTTTGTGATGATTGTTAAGTCCATCATGTTAGAGATCCTTTTAAAAGTATCAGTTACCATCAGCCTGGGCAACATGGTGAAACCCCGTCCCTAATAAAAATACAAAAATAGCCAGGTATGGCGGCACACTTGTGTAATCCCAGCTACTCAGGAGCCTGAGTCAGGAGAATCGCTTGAGCCCAGGAGCTGGAGGTTGCAGTGAGCCGAGATCGTGCCACTGCACTCCAGCCTGGGCAACAGAGCGAGACTCTCTCAAAAATAAAAACAACATAAAAAAATAAAAATAAATATAAAAGTATTAGTAAACAATAGTTGCACTTTGTTTTATTTAAACAATAATTTCACTGTTATTTTTCAGTAATAGGGAAGTTTATGCCTTGAGTGAAGTAGCCTTTGGTTATTTTTCTCTGCAACAAAATAGCAATGTAATTATTTAAAGTTATTTAAATAATTAAATATTAAAGTTATATTTAAATCTGAATTACTCATTGATGTTATTCACTAATCCCAAGTGATTAATATCTTTATCTTTAAAAAGTCAGAATCATAAAATGGGACAGATATATGTCTCATGCCTGTAATCCCAACACTTTGTGAGGCTGAGGTGGGTGGATCACTTGAGGTCAGGAGTTTGAGACAAGCCTGGCCAACATGGTGAAACCTCATCTCTACTAAAAATACAAAAAATTAGCTGGACATGGTGGTGCCGGCTGGGCGTGGTTAGCTGAGGCAGGAGAATTTCTTGAACCTGGGAGGTGGAGGTTGCCGTGAGCTGAGATTGCACCACTGCACTCCAGCCTGGGCAACAGAGTTAGTGAGACTCGGTCTGAAAAAAAAAAAAAAAAATCATTAAATACTTCAACTGCACATTCAGTTGTTTAATAAAACAAAGAAGAAGAAAAGAAAAAAAAATTATAAAAAACCAGTGTTAAATTTGGTAATCATTTTCCCAATCTTTTCTCTGCATACATGTGTAAGAATGGAGCTCTACAGTATCTTTTTTATTTTATAGTATGGTATCTTGAGAACTGTAAAGTTAAATTTTTAGGCATGGATTTTAGGTATACTCTGCATTGCCCTAGTTTAGAGTTTTGAGTTGTTCAGAGAGAAGAGAAGGGGAAATCTGTATTTTTAACAACTAATGAGGCATGGTAGGACAGAGGATTTTGAAACTTAATCTCTGGTGGTTTTAAACATGTACTAAAGAGTTGAAATGATCTCTTTAAAATAGGTATTTGACAACGTATATTCCTTCTGACCTCAGTATTAAAATTTTTCAGTGTGGATATACTTGTCGCTCTTCATAAAGCTATTGATTCTAGATCCTGTTAACGTGAACACAAAACATCAACAGAGATTTTTGTTCTCTATATAAAATGATCAATGTTTTAGTTTGTGGTCATTCCTGGACATGGGCATTCACAGAACTGCCAAATACTTGAGTCAGCAGATGTGCACTTTATCAGGGGAGGTTCAAGGCAGTGCTCTGCCTTTTTGTTCTAGCTGTCATTACAAACAAGTGGCCTTTTTGTGATATATTTAATGCCACATTTTTTGTATATTTTGCCCATCTTATTGGTGATTTTGCTGTTTAAAATGGTCCCCAGGCCGGGTGCTGTGGCTCAAACCTATAATCCCAGCACTTTGGGAGGATTACGTGAGTCCAGGAGTTCAAGACTAGCCTGGGCAAAATAGGGAGACCACATCTCTACAAATAATTAAAAAATTAATGGGGTGTGGTAGCTCATGTCCGTGGTCCCAGCTACTCGGGAGGCTGAAGCAGGAGGATCACCTGAGCCTGGGAGGTTGCTGCTGCAGTGAGCTGTAATTTCACCACTGCACTCCATCCTGGGCGACAGAGAGACCTGGTCTAAAAAAAAAAAAAAGTGTAGTGCTTAAATACATATTAAATAAGATGTTTTAAAACAGAAGCATCCCTAAAACGAGATTATGTATTTATCAGTTGACAAAAATGTTCTGACCAGAGGCTTGCAGGAACCTTACCTTGTATTTTCTTCGGGGGCAATGATTCAATATTTGCTAAGTCAATGTTCATGGTGATTTTATAGGACATAACTACTGCAGATAGTGAGAATTGATTATTCCCAGCTAGACTAGAATAAAAAGACTAATAAGTGGAAGAATGATGTGGTTTCTTAGAAGGATGATGCAGTAGTGAAATAAACTATCAGTATATAGCATCCTTCTGTTTCTTCGTGCATTGTACAGAGTATTGTGTCATTTTTTAAGAAGGTATAAAACAAGTCTGGAGTCTCTATCTTTGTAGCTTTTATTTTTCTCTTTTTGTAGCTTTCGTTTTCCACAATTAAGAATATAGAATTTTTCACTCTGTGTTCATAATGGCAAAGAGAAGAAAATTGACAAGAGGGAGATGTTTCACAATTCAGACGTTATCAGAGAGAGCAGCACTTTATGATGGTGAAATTGATCATATAAGTGAACTCTTACACAATGAATTGGAGTTGATGATACTCTATATGAATTTTCACAAGCTTAATTGATAATATTTCTGAGGTCCCAGAGGACATAGGATATTTTTACCCAGTTACTCATTCAACAGGAAGTACTTTGTTATGTAATATTTTGCAACAAGAACCTGGACTTGTCTATCCTGTATGTGAGACAGTATTCTTTTTTTTAATGATATTTGTGCAGAAAAATGTACTTGATGTAGTTCGTAAGCAAACAAACACTGAAGTTGGATTTGCCTACAAAGGTGATTGGAAGGACACAGATGATGTAGAAATGAAAATTTTCATTAGGTTGATCATTTTAACTGTTTTAAAAATAAGCCTAAAAATGAAAGTCTTTCTTTAAGAAGCAAAGAAGGATGCCCTCTTTCTCCTCGGTAAAATGATGCGCCATTAGTGTTTTCAAAAGTATGATTAATTATAGAAGTGTAAGAAGAACCAGAAGTAATGATGAACAAGGACCTATTAGAGATGTATTCGAAGTCGTTATCTACAAAGTGGATATGTTTCATCTGTCTAGCACTTTATCTTTTCAGGTTTTGCCTATGTCTCTGAAAAATGAATTCAGAAGGCAATTTTTTCCACTTGTGTTTTCCTTTTTGTGCCTCCAAAAATTAAATGTCTCTTTTTTTTTCTTGAAGAGAAATACTGTGACTCATAAATACTGATAGGAACACAATGATACTTTTTTTTCACCCTTTTTATATGAACAGTTTGAAGCATAAAGAAAAGTTGAGGCTGGGCGCGGTGGCTCATGCCTGTAATCTCAACACTTTGGGAGGCTGAGGCGGGCGTGTTGCTTGAGCTCACGAGTTCGAGATCACCCTGGGCAACATAGTGAAACCCCACCTCTAAAAAATACAAAAAATTAGCCTGTAGTCTCAGCTACTCAGGAGCCTGAGGTGGGAGGATCACTTGAGCCTCGGAGGCGGGGTTGCAGTGAGCCGAGATCACGCCACTGCACTCCAGCCTGGGCAACAGAGTGAGATCCTGTCTCAAAAAAAAAAAAAAAAGAAAAGAAAAGTTGAAAGAATAGTGTTAACATTGGCCGGGCATGGTGGCTCACGCCTGTAATCCCAGCACTTTGGGAGGCCGAGGCGGGCGGATCACGAGGTCAGGAGATTAAGACCATCCTGGCTAACATGGTGAAACTCTGTCTCTACTAAAAATACAAAAAAAAAACCAAAAAAAAACTAGCTGGGCATGGTGGCGGGCGCTTGTAGTCCCAGCTACTCAGGAGGCTGAGGCAGGAGAATGGCGCGAACCCGGGAGGCAGAGCTTGCAGTGAGCCAAGATCGTGCCACTGCACTCCAGCCTGGGCGACAGAGCGAGACTCTGTCTCAAAAAAAAAAAAAAAAAAAAATAGTGTTAACATTTTGCCATATGTTTTGTCTGTGTGTATTTATATTTTTAAATAACATACCTTTTTATTTCAGAATTACTGTTGACTATAATGATTATATGCTGTTATTAAACCTTTCCAACAAGTTTAGCATCAAACATTTGTAATTTCAACATTTTGTAGCCCTTATTTATCAAAGGATTCAATAGTTTTTTTAATGGACTTGTGTGGCAAGTTTTTTCTTTGTTTTTTTTTTTTTTTGGTCTTTGGGTTTTTCTACTGATCATCAATTGATGTGGTTTAATCCCCCCTTAACTCTCCGTTTTCTAATTGTGTTATTGGCCTTTAAAGGTAAATGTACTTTGGTGATAGTACCTGGAACATAGTAAATAATAAATGTTAGCTGTTAGATTTGGCATGAGTTTTTTTTGCATCCCTTTCTTACACGGAACATTACTGGGCCAGGCTTTGTAAGTGAATTTTTTTGTTTGTTTTGCTGGATTCATTTATTTCTCTTCATTCTTGCTTGTCATTATCTCCCTTTTTAGGCCATCTTGATTTGAGTATTCAACCAGAATTTGACTTGGATGTAAAATGTCTCAACAAACCATTGATATGACTTTCTAGGATACTGGGGAAAAATGGTTGAGATTATTCACTTTGATGAGCCATTTGGAAAAAAATAGATAACTTTTTAAAAATTATAGTGAAGTTATCAGTTTTGTGTATTTGATGTCTAAAAAGTCAGCTATTAAATATTATTCTCAAGTTGTGTGTTTTTATAATAATGTATTGCTGAAGTCATTATCCATTTTCAAAGTTAGTATCCCAATAATTTGATGGGGCTAAAATTCTGAAAGAACAAAAATTATCTTCAGTATTTAGTATGTTGAAAAAGATTAAAGAGCTCAGATTAGTTTTAAAATGAAAACAATGGTTTTAATACATTGCTTTAACTACTTACTCTAAGCGTCTGTTTCTTTTATATTTTTTAAGTTATATTTTATTTATTGTTTGTTTTGAAAAGACAATATATATTCACATGGTTCAAACATCAAAGCAATTTAAATACACATTGAGAAGCTTGGCTCTTACATTTGACCACGCTATTGTTCCCTCTGCCTATATCCCTTCTAAGTAACTACGCTTGTTAGTTGTTTTTTTGTTTTTGAGAAAGGGTCTCACTTTGGTTGCCCAGGCTGGAGTGCAGTGATGCAGTCTTGGTCACTGCAGCCACAGGCTCCCAGGATCAGGTGATTCTCCTACCTCAGCCTCCTGAGTAGCTGGGATTATAGGTGTGCATGGCTAATGTTTTGTTTTTTTAGTGGAGATGGGGTTTTTGTTGTCCAGGCTGGTCCTGAACTCCTGGACTCAACAATCTGCCTGCCTCAGCCTTCCAAAGTACTGGGATTACAGGCATAAGCCACTGCGTCTGGCCTTGTTTGTTTTTTGTTTTGAGACCGTCTTACTATCTCCCAGGCTTGAGTGCAGTGGCACAATCACGGCTCACTGTAGCCCTGACCTCATAGGCTTAAGAGATCCTCCCACCTCAATTCCCTGAGTAGTGGAAACTACAAGCATTTGCCCCCATGCCTGGCTAATTTTTAATTTTTTTGTAGAGACAGGGTCTCATTATGTTGCCGAGGCTGGTTTCGAACTCCTGGATTCAAGCCATCCTCCCGCCTCAGCCTCCCAAAGTGCTAGGTGGCATGAGCCACTGTGCCTGTTCGTTTGTTAGTTTCCAAAGTGTTTTTTTTTTTTTTTTTTTTTTTGTGGCAGTGTCTCACTCTGTCACCCAGGCTGGAGTGCAGTGGTGTGAATTTGGCTCACTGCAACCTCTGCCTCCTGGATTCAGGCAGTTCTCATAGTGAGATTACAGACACCCACCACCTAGGCTGGTCTCTAACTCCTGGCCTTAAGATCTGTCCACCTCAGCCTCCCAAAGTCCTGGGATTACAGATGTGAGCCACTGTGCCCGACTTATCTTTCCAAAGTTTTAAAAATGTAGATAAAATATTAGCAAATATGAATATGTTTTCTTCTTCCTCTTACACAAAAAATAGCAAATCATGTACACTATTCCACATCTTATTTTTTTTCTTCCCCAATGGATAATATATCCTGGGGATCTTTTCATAACAATGTGTAGTTTCCTCTTTTCTTGATTTTTTTTTTTAATTGCAGAGCATAATATTTCAGCGTGTAGATGGAATCTTTTGGATACTGGAGAATTTCCAGTGTTTTGCTATTGTATATAGTGCTGCAAATATATATATATACACATACACAGAGGTATATCTGTAGAACAAATTCCTGGAATTGGAATTGCTAGGTCTGAAGGGTGAATGCATGTGTTTTGTTAGATATTGCCACATTTCTCTTCATAGAGGTTGTACTGTTTTGTTTTTAGACTAACAGTATACAAGAGTGCCTTTTTCCCCATGAACTGTTATCAAACTTTTTGATTTTTATCAGATGAATAAATGGTATCTTGGTATGTGGGTTTTTTAAAAAACAAATTTAAAAAATACCCTTTCTTTTTAGAGCAGTGTTTTAGGTTCAGGGCAAAACTGAGCAGAAAATAAAGAGTTCCCTTCTACTTCCTGTCCCCTACCATGCACCACCTCCCCAGCTTTCTGGATGTTCTGCAGCACAATGGCACATTTGTTAAAATCAACAAATCTACATTGATATATCATTATCACCCAAATTCCATAGTTTAGCGTTCATTTTTAGTGTTACACATTAAATGGATTTTAACAGATGTATAATGACATGTATCCATCATTGTAATATCATGTAGAATAGTTTCACTGCCCTCAAAATCCTCTATGCTCTGCCTGTTCATCCCTCCCTCCCTGTATCCCCTGGCAACCACTAATTATTTTACTGTCTCCATCGTTGTCTTTTCCAGCTTGTCATATAGTTGGGATCATGTAGTTTGTAGCCTTTTCAGATTGGCTTTTTTACTATTAAGTAAATTTCTTCCATGTCTTTTCATGGCTTGGTAGCTCATTTCTTTTTAGCACTAAGTATTCCATTGTCTGGATGTACCACAGTTTATCCATTCACCTACTGAAGGACGTCTTGGATGCTTCTGGGTTTTGGCAATTATGAATAAAACTGCTAGAAACTTCTGTGTGGGCTGGGTGTGGTGGCTCATGCCTGTAAATCCTAACACTTTGGGAGGCTGAGGTGGGAGGAGCACTTGAGCCCAGGAGTTCATGACCAGCCTGGGCAACATAGTGAGACCCTGTTGCTACAAGAAATTAAAAGATTAGCTGGGTATGGTGGCATGTGCTTGTAGTCCCAGCTACCCTGGAGGCTGAGGTGGGAGGATTGCTTGAGCCTGGGAGGCTGCAGTGAGCCATGATTATGCCGCTGCACTTCAGCCTGGGCAACAGGGTGAGACCCTGTCTCACAAAAAAAAAAACAAAAACAAAACATTCATGTGCAGGTGTTTATGTGGACATAAGTGTTTGAGTAAATATCAAGGAATTGGGTCATATGGTAAGAGTAGATTTACTTTTGTAAGAATCTGCCAAACTGTTTTCCAAAGTGGCTGTACCATTTTGCATTCCCACCAGCAGTGAAGGAGAGTTCCTGTTGCTTCACATCCTTGACATCACAACTGGTGTTGTCAGTGTTTTGTCTTGTGGCCGTTCTAATAGGTGTGTAGTGGTATGTTGTTTTAAATTGTAATTCCCATGGGACATAAGTTGAACATATAAGTTAAATATCTGTTTGTATGCCTGCTTGCCATTTGTTTATCTTCCTTGGTGAGGTGTCAGTTTTGGTCTTTTACTTGTTTTTAAGATAGGATTGTTCGTTTTCTTATTGTTGAGTTTTAAGCATTCTTTGTTTACTTTGGATTAATACTTCTTTATCAGCTGTATCTTTTGCAAATGTTTTCCCCTGGGCTATGGCTTGTCTTCTTACTCTCTTGATAGATTTTTTATTCAAGCTTAACCCATATGGAAAAGTGCAAAATTGAAAATATATGTATAGCTTGATGAGTTTTCTAAGTGAATCTATTATTGGCTTCTCAGTGTAGTTTGAATTTGCATTTCTCCACAGGCCATTTCTGTTTCTTTCTCTGTGAACTTTTGGTTCACATCTCTTACCCACTTGTCATGCGAATTACTGACCTTTTTTTTTTTTTCCCTAAGAAGTCAATAAAAACTGGGGATGTTATTCTTTTGTCTGAGATGAATACTATTTTTTGTCTGATTTTTTTCATCAGTTTTTTGACTTTGCTGTTGGTTTTGCTATAACAAGTAATTCAAATTTCCTCAAATGGATACATGGACTCCTTCTCTTACCTCAGCTCAGGACTTAGCTAGTTTTCACTGTCTTCCAAAATTCTTCATGTTTTTTTTTGTTTGTTTGTTTGTTTGTTTTTCTGGAGACACAGTCTCCCTCTATAGCCCATGAAGGAATACAGTGGCGTGATCACAGCTCACTGTAGCTTCAACTGCTTGGGCTCGAGTGATTCTCCCCACTCTGTCTCCCCACAGATGTGTGCCACCACGCTTGGCTAATTTTGTAAAAAATTATTTGTAGAGACGAGGTCTCACTATGTTGCCCAGGCTGGTCTCAAACTCCTGGGTTCAAGTGATCCTCCCACCTTGGCTTCTGCAAGTGCTGGGATTATAGATGTGAGCTACCTCGCCTGGACTATCTTTTAAGATTTACATAAATAGCTCATATTCCTTTAATGCCTTTTGTATATGTTTATCTTAGCATTTAGTCACAATCTTTATCTCACCTCCTTTTCCATAGGCTGTAAACTCATTGAGGGCTAGGACGCTTATTTTATTCTCTCTCTCTCTCCAGTGCTTGGAGCACAAGAAGTGTACAATACAACTGTTTAATATAAATGATTGCTTCTTTGTTTCGTGGATTTTGGTACCTTTGACTTTACATTGCTATCTTTGACTTTACATTGACATTTGGTACCTTTGGTACCTTTGACTTTACATTGCTATCTTTATAGCTGATGCTATTAATTTGTTATTGTTGAACCAACCAAGCAGTCTTACTTACCTGTCTTGTCATCCTATCATTTTCTGCTACTTCCTTTGAGGATTGTTCTGGAGAGAACTTGACTTTTTCTGGAGCCTCTGAGATAACAGATCTTTTAAACATTTACTTCTTCATAATTAAGATTTATGGGAATGTTTTGATATAAACAAATGATGCTTCTAAGTATTTTTTCTTTTTTTTTTTTGGAACAGTGTGTGTCATATCTTGCTTGCCTTTTTTGTTTTTGTATGTTTCTGTAAAATACTTTTTTAAAAGCTATACAAAAAATGAGATATTAGTGTAATAAACTTCATGTACTGGAAGCTTCAGGAGTAGGTAAGTACTTAATACATCATTAGAGTTGTGCAGGTTCCTAGAGGCTATATAGGGCTAACCTCCCTCTCCAAAATGCAAGATAGTAATCTAGATACAATTTGAATTTCTGTATAGATAGGAATTTCAGCCTCTTTGGTTCAGTCTGTTTCATTATTGAACAGCTGCATTTGTAAATTGAGCTAAACTATGCCTCTGAAGAAACCCTGATTGATCCAGTTTTAACCACTTTCAACATAAGACTTTTAGTTTGTTGAAGACAATGATTATAGCTTTCTTATTAAGCTGAAAGAAAGTTAATTTTAAATGGTATCTTTTAAAAAACTTGTGATACTAGTAAAAAAACCTGACAAACACATCTTGAGGACTAAGAGAAACAAATTCACTTTCCTTATTGATTTGTCAATTGATGGCTACTGGTAGTAGGGCCAGTATTTTAAGGGCCAATATTTTAAGTTAATTTCTGTTTTAAAAATTGAACATATTTTAACTACATGTATCTTTTGATATTAAGTTGGCAGTCCACAAATGGAAACCCTGTCAGTCATGGTTTACTGCCTTTCAGTTCTCTACTCACCATATCTAATAGATGCTTTATTTATGAGATCTTTAAAAAATTTGTTTTCCATTCAGAAATTGCTAATTCAGATTATTTCCTTAATTTCCTTTTTTTATCTTGAGACACGGTCTGGCTCTGTCACCCAGGCTGGCTGGAGTGCAGTGGCATGATCTTGGCTTACTGCAACCTCCATCTCCCAGATTCAAGCGAGTCTCCTGTTTCAGCCTCCCGAATAGCTGGGATCACAGGCGTGCACCACCACACACCCAGCTAATTTTTGTACTTTTAGTAGAGATGGGGTTTCACCGTTTTGGCCAGGCTGGTCTTGAACTCCTGACCTAAAGCGATCCGCCCTCCTTGGCCTCCCAAAATGCTGGTATTATGGGCGTGAGCCAGCACACCGTGCCTGTTTCCTTAATTTCAGAATCACTTCATGGCAGCATATACATTGTAATATATGTGTCAGTTATGATCTTATTGTTAAAATCAAGCAGCCCAGGTTATTTAAATGATTTCTTCTTTTTTTTTTCACCTGGACTCTTTTATTAGTAATAGATTTGAATAGAAGGTACATTCTGAGAGAATCTTTATAAACCCTTAACTTCTTCCCAAAATGTTCAGGTCACTTGATATTCTGAGTTGATTATGCCCTATGATATATTTATCTGTGGTTTACCACAATGAGAATTACGTTTGGAACATATTTGTTGAATAGTTCAAAATAACTGGTTATATCTAGTGTGTGTTTAAGCATTTCTTTAGCTTGTTTGTATAAAATGAAGAATGTGTTTTGTTCTTATTGGAAGTTCAAAACTAGAATGCAATATCTTTTTCCTTGATTTCTGTACTAGAATGCAATATTTCTCTTCTTGATTTCTGTAGAGCAGGTTGTTGCCCTGGATGCCCAAAATATTGTAGCTGTTTCATGTGGAGAAGCTCATACGTTAGCGCTAAATGACAAAGGCCAGGTGTATGCTTGGGGTCTCGATTCTGATGGACAGCTTGGCCTGGTAGGATCAGAGGAATGCATCAGAGTACCCAGGTAACAAAGGTGACCAGAAAGAGGTCCTTAACAATCTTTTAAAATAAATTTGTTAATCTAAATTGTTCTGCTTATCTTTGGGCCTGTAAGAGTTGACATCTCATTATTTCTCCCCTTTGAGTCCTTTGATAAGAGTTTGGTTCTTGCTTATGATGTTGATTGAGCTATTGATTGATTTGCTATTTTTATATACTCTATATTTTCTCTATAATCAATAGAATTTATGTCTGTAAAAAAAGCATAGGGAATACTTGCTTCATTACAAATTTTTTTAGTGGGTTATACTAATTTAAACTACTACTATCTTGAGTATTCCTGCTATTGAAATATTTATTAAATATTGGTTTGTTGAATGTTTTTCACTAACTTGTCCTTTTTTTAGTCTTTATTGTTTCTGTTGAATATAGAAGTCCAACATGCTTACTGTAAAAAGAATTTAGTCACTTTCCACTTTGTACATAGCAGTGAGCCCAATTTAATTAATTCATCATATAATTATTTCACAATTAAAAAATAAGCAGTGCCTCATCAATGTTTTAGTCTTACACAGTTACATAGGGCATAATCGTTTTTTGTTTGTTTGTTTTTGAGACAGAGTCTCGCACTGTTGCCTGGGTTGGAGTGCAATGGTGTGATCTCGGCTCACTGCAACCTCCACCTCCTGGTTTCAAGCGATTCACCTGCCTCAGCCTCCTGAGTAGCTGGGATTACAGGCGCCCACCACCACAGCTGGCTAATTTTTTGTATTTTTAGTAGAGATGGGGGTTCACCATGTTGGCCAGGCTGGTCTCGAACTCCTGACCTCAAGATCTGCCCACTTTGGCCTCCCAAAGTACTCATGATTATAGGCGTGAAGCACTGTGCCTGGCTAATCATTGTTTTAATATTAAAAACTCTAACAGCATGAATTACATAGGTAAAAATATACAGATTTCAGTATTCAGTTTATTTCAGATACATAAATAATACATTAACTCATACTTAGTTTTAAAATTTACACAAATTCTGACCTCTTTAAACTCTTTTGTTCTTTTTCCTAGTAATAGTAATTCTTATAGAACAGGATTTTAAATTTAAGATTTTTAAAAAACTGTGTTTAGGATGAAAAGAGATTTGCATGTTAGATCTTCTGAGTCAGTATTCTCAAAACCATGATTCATGGCAAAACTTTCTAGTTTCCTTTATTTTTACTCTACCAGTCTGATGATTCTCATACTTAAACTTTTGTTGCTGTTCACTTTTAAGGGACTTTAGTCAGTAATACATAGGTAAATAATAAATGGAAAGAAAGTTAATTATAAGGAGAGAATTTTATTATGTATAAAATTTATATGAGGGTTGTCCAATAATAACAACTATGAACCTGGATGGGGACCTGAAAGAGAATTTACTTGAGTTCTTTGGTTTCAACATCTTTATTTTTGTATGTGCTCAACATCTGTATTAACTTTAAGCTGTATGTTAAGGTATTTCTGCTTTTCATCCTTCTCAGTTTTTCAAAATTTTATGGCTTGATCTGATTTGTTGTAACGTATACATAGTTTTTACTGATATTACCAGCTTTTAAAGGGCCATTTAGTATTTCAGTGGAAATGTTTTTTTATAAAAGGAAGAGTGCCAAGAGAGTTTTGGTTTTAATTTCAGTACCAAATCATTTTTCAGATGTAAGGCTTTTTCTAGGTGGCTTAGAGATGTCAGCCAGCTTTGTAAATTTTACATATAGTATCTATAAACAGATTTCTAAAAATTGGTGTTTATAGATTTTTGTTTGTTTGTTTCTTGAGACAAAGTCTCACTCTGTCACCCAGGCTGGTGTGCAGTGGCATGCTCACAGCTCACTGCAGCCTCGACCTCCTGGGCTCAAGCCATCCTCCCACCACAGCCTCCCTAGTAGGTGCGACTATAGGCGTGCACCACTATGCTTGGCCAATTTTGTATTTTTTGTAGAGACAGAGTTTCACCATGTTGCCCAGCTGGTCTTAAATTCCTGGACTCAAGGGATTCACCGGCTTTGGCCTCCCAAAGTGTTGAGATTACAGGCGTAAGCCACTGTGTCCTGCCTAGTGTTTATAGATTTTCGTAAGAGTAATCAGAATAGGCTGGGCATAGTGGCTCACGCCTGTAATCCCAGCACTTTGGGAGGCCGAGGTGGGTGAATCACAAGGTCAGGAGTTCAATACCAGCCTGGCCAAGAAGGTGAAACCCTGTCTTTTCTAAAAATACAAAAAATTAGCCAGGCAGGCGCCTGTAATCCCAGCTACTCAGGAGGCTGAGGCAGAGAATTGCTTGAACCTGGGAGGCGGAGGTTGCAGTGAGCCGAGATTGCACCACTGCACTCCAGCCTAAGCGACAGAGCGAGACTCCATCTCAAAAAATAAAAAAAAAGAGTAATCAGAAAAGTGAAGATTCGCATTAGGTTATACTTTTGTGACAACAAAACCCATTTTTAATGCCAGTGGATGGATAATATTAAAGAAGAATGTGAAATTAACAATAGGATATAACTGAAACAGTTTGATAATGAATTGTTTCCTACTTCTAATTTTGTTTTGTTTTGAAGTCACTACTTTGGGAAAGACCAAGTATTTTAAATAGTGTCTGTAGACCTGCATTTCTGGCTAGATGTTAATATAGAATATATATTACACCATTTTATTTAAAAAATTGACCCAAATTTTATTATCGTAGTTTAATATAAGTGGAAACACATAACTTTGCACACAGACTTCAGAAAAATAATTGTTGGCAATAAAGATGTAGTTTATCTTTTAAAAGTTCTGCTTCTTGGACATATACATTAAAAAATTATGGCAAGATAGTATAAGATTATTATTTTTGTGAGTACAGCAATTTCTGGACTATACAAACTAAACATATTTGAATTATTAGCTTGGTCAAAAATACAATTTATTTTCTTGTTATTCATTTTAAGATATATTACAATTCCTGCCTAATTTTAGCATCTGAAAATTTGGAACATTATAGATTAAAAAGAAAAATTAAAGAGTAGTTTTTAATGGTATAGAGTAGGTCAGTTTTTAGTCTAAATTTTTCATTTTTTTAAAAATCTACTCCCCTATTCTGAGATAAATTTTTCAAAATTGAAATGAGTTGGTGTTAAGATTTTTCTTAAATTACTAGGAAAGTTGTGGCTTAACTGGAAAATAGAAAATTGGTAATTGTGTTTAATTGCAAAATATTTAATACTTTAGCTCCTCAAATGTTTAATTACATAATATAAACTTTTTACTAAACATTAGTGGTTGGAATTTTGTCTTCAGAAACATAACTAACAATGCCTGATTTCTGCCTATATTGCCGCTACACATTAAGTTGGGAAAACAGAAGAATACAACAGTATACATATTCCATAATTGATATGCTTTAGCAGAGTCCCAAAGGAAGGGTATATAAATCTTATCTCCAATGTGTGTGTGTGTATATATTTTTTTAATTTACAAAATTTATTCTGGCTTCTTTTTCTTTTTTTCTTTTTCTTTCTTTTTTTTTTTTTTGAGACGGAATTTCACTCTGTCACCCAGGCTGGAGTGCAGTGGCGCAATCTTGGCTCACTGCAACTTCCGCCTCCTGGGTTCAAGCCATTCTCCTGCCTCAGCCTCCCAAGTAGCTGGGACTACAGGCGCCTGTCACCATGCCTAGCTAATTTTTGTATTTTTAGTAGAGACGGGGTTTCACCATTTTGGCCAGGCTGGTCTTGAACTCCTTACCTTATGATCTGCTCGCCTTGGCCTCCCAAAATGCTGGGATTGCAGGCTTGAGCCACCACGCCCAGCCTTTCTTTTGCTTTTCTGTTCAGTGTATTTGAATATTCAAAAATTAGAAATGATTAAACACATTATCTTTTTTATGTGACAAAGGGGATTACTTTTGATGAGTTCTAACAAATTTATTTAATTATTTTCTAATTTATCTCTTTAGAAAAAATGGAACATGGGAAGCCTTGTTTTACCATTCACAGTATTTTTTAATTTCTAAAAGCTAAAACAAAGAAAACAAAGCCAATATCCCCCATTCTTTAGGGTATTAATACATTTATATGAAGATGAAAGGGGATAGTTTTTTCTTTAACACAGTAATGACGCAGAAGAATATACTTCTGGTCTCTGTAGCATATAATGGTAAAAGATATTAGCATTTAATGTGTGTTACAAGCCTTAGGTTAGTATTTTGGAAAGGAGAGTAACTGAGTATAAATTGCTATGCAAATTTAGAAAATTTTTGGCAAATTTTATGACTAATACTAAAGCCTCCAAGACCTTACAAATGTAGTTATCCTTTAACAGTATATTCATTACGTACTATTAATTAGGCACTATAGTAGGTGCCAGGCATTATCATGGGTATAAAACACATAGTCTGCCTTCACAGAACTTACTGTTTAGCAGAGGAGACAAATATTAAATGAATAGGTACCTGTGGTTAGTAGCGATAAATGCTCTGAAGGAAAAAACATACAGTACTGTGAGAATGTAGTATTTTGAAATGTTTCATTTGCAAAATTGTACTTGATACTCAGAATAGTGTTTTTTTTTCCTAAAATACTTAATATGCTGAACAGGTCAATGTATCATCTGCCTAGTATGCATAAACAATAACAGTAAATGTTTAGTAATTTGAGCACAGTTGGGTATGTTCATGTATTTTTTATTCCTTACTCTGTTTGCATTGCCAGTGTTTGATTTTGCTATTTCAAAGAAATGGCATTTTGTTGAGTTTGAAAATTTGAAGGTGCATTGGATCCTGCTAATTTGTTGGATTCTGCTAAATTGTAGCAGTACAGCTCTCAGGTTTTGTAGTTAAGAGCATAACTTCACTAAATAAAAATATTTTTAATACAATAATATGGAATCAGAGTAACTCTCCTTTTTCCTGCTCAAACTTTGATTTGCTGAAGCTGCTTCCCGAAAATCATGTGTGTCGACTCTCTGGTCAGAATTTGCTCCGGACTCTCTTATGGCAGAATCAGGTCAGGTGACAGTATCAGGTAAAGGGAAATAAGAAACATATTGTGTACCTCCCCATCCCCCGTTTTTTCTTTTCTTTCTTTCTTTTTTTTTTTTTTTTTTTGAGACAGGGTCTTACTCTATCGCCCATTCTGGAGTGCGATGGTGTGATCTTGGCTCACTGCAGCCTCTGCCTCCCAGGTCCAAGTCATTTTCCTGCCTCAGCTTCCCGAGTAGCTGGGACTACAGCGTGCCACCACACCTGCTAATTTTTTTTTTTTTTTTTTGTATTTTCAGTAGAGACAGTGTTTCACCAGGTTGGCCAGTCTGGTCTCAAACTCCTGACTGACCTCAAGTGATCCGCCTACCTTGGTCTCCAAAAGTGCTGGGATTACAGTAACCCACCTGTAATCCGCATCTGGCATCCCCCCTTTTTTTCTTGAAAACATTCATTCAGGAAAAACAGTAACATGACCAGGCAAAGGGAAAGAACCAATGGAGATGCTGGGATGGTTGATGTACATACAAAGTTAATTGAGTTTTGTAATGTTTTAAAAATGAGCCTTTAAAGTTGCGTTGTGGTAAAACAAAACTCAGGAAAGGGGGGAAGGAAATTACGAAAGTATAAGGACAAAATACAAGACAGAAGAAAATAAGACTTAACATATTAGTAATGATTGTTATAACTGTGAATTGAGTAAATTTCCTGAGTAAAAAAATTGAATGTCCCTGATTTAGACGTAAAGCAAAAGGATAGCTTGTAAGGAATAGGTTTCATAATTTGAGAGTTGGTAGAACATACAAGAATCCCTGTTGGTTCTTAAGAAACCCGATAAAGGAGAACGTGCATTAAACTAGGCAAAACACCAATTTTAGACAAATTAGATAATGTACATTTGCTTTCCAGATGTATTGCCAAGTTTCTAACTGTAAGCTGATGATTTAAAAACACGTTTTTATAATGAAAGAAAATATCTGAATTATAAGAGCACTCTGAGGAGTACTTGAGGTATGAGTATAGCTCACTTTGCTTAAATACTGTCTTTCCAAGATGTGTTCTTTTCACCCCTTTAATTTTTTTTTTTTTGTATCTAGCTCTTGTTTACTGATTTTAGCATAAATTTTTGGTACGCTAAAATTGAGCTTGTATGAAAAAAAATAATATGACCTATGTGCATATAGTAGGCCATCAATAAATAACATAAATAGCATTCAAGATCAATTTGTTAAATGGAATTAACTGGTCTTGATCTGTCTTCTTCTTTTCTAGAAATATTAAAAGTTTGTCAGATATCCAGATTGTACAGGTTGCTTGTGGTTACTATCATTCACTTGCACTTTCTAAAGGTAAGCATTAGTTTTTATTTTATTTCTCTTCAGTTTTATTACTTGATACTTTTTTGATTGTGCATATAGTTCTCCAGCTTTGCTCATCTTTCTGCAAGATTGCCCTGGTTCTTGATCCTTTTCATTTCCATATAACTTTTAGAATTAGCTTGTCAGTCTGTACACACACATACACACACAAACACACACACACACTGCTAGGAATTTGGGATTTTGTTGTCTCTATAAATCAATTCAAGGAAAATCTTTACAGTATTGAACCTTTCAATTCTAGAACACGGTATATTTGTCCATTTAAGTCTCCCTTTAATTTTTTCCATTAGCATTTTGTTTTCCCTGGACAGGTCTTATACACCTTCGATTAGACTTTCCCCTAGGTATTTGATTTTTTGTTGTTGTGAATGGTGTCATTTTTTGTTTATTATATAGACATGAAATTGATTTTTGTGTCTGTTTATTAAACAGTTAAAAACTCTTCATAGCTGCAACTGGGGAAGATTGCTTCCCCAATCTCATTTAATCTCATAGATGAACTTTCTATGCATAGAAATAAAGAAGGCTAAACATCATATTTATTAGCTTTGTTTGCATTCCTCTCTTACCAGTTTAACTTACTAGTATCCTAGCTAAGGATTGGAACATGGGCTAGTAAAGAATCTGCCATATGTATGTTTTTTACCATTAAAATAAATAGGTTTGCTGGGCGCAGTGGCTCACGCCTGTAATCCCAGCACTTTGGGAGGCCGAGATGGGCAGATCACCTGAGTTCAGGAGTTCAAGACCAGCCTGGCCAACATGGTAAAACCCTGTGCCTACTAAAAATACAAAAAATTAGCTGGGTGTGGTGGCACACACCTGTAGTCCCAGCTACTCGGGAGGCTGAGGCAGGAGAATCGCTTGAACCCGGGAGGCGGAAGTTGCAGTGAGCCAAGATCACGGCACTATAGTCCAGCCTGGGCGACAGAGCGAGACTCTGTCTCAAAAAAAAAAAAAAAAAAAAAGAAGAAATAGGTTCCATTTGCTCCATTGTTACTATTTAGTGTTACTATTTAGTGAAGCCTACTACAAATAAAGCACTAGGAACCATGGGGAAGCACAGATAAATTAAGAGACAGGTTTAGGGATCATACAATCTAGTGAAAGAGACAGACATCCAAGTAAATAACTGTAGTCTGAGGCAGAAAAAAATATGTACTATTTCAGACAAGGTAAAAGTAAAATGCTGTGACAATGATATAATTGTTTCTAATTGATATAATTGGTAATAATAAGGAGGGGATTAGTATTTGATGCAAGTCTTTAAAGATTTATTAAAGATTAATTTTTTTATTAATAATTGGAGAAATGTTGAGAAGAACAAGGAGAAATGTTGAGTGGCTAAGGGGGTTGTGCTGGTGTAAAGGCATAGAGTTAAGAAAGTGGTGTATTTGAATATTGGCATGTAGTTTTATGTGGGTGTTGTGAGGGAGTGGGAGACATACTCATACTTCAGTTTAGGCTGAAATAAAAAGAGAAGTCTGTTATAAAGGGCCTTAAATGTCATATTAAGGAATTTGGACTTCTATAGGCAGTTAGGAACATGGAATCTCTGTGTATTCTTTGTTGTTTTGCCAACTCCTCTTTTGATATTTTGGTAGGTGGATCTAACATAAATTTAAACTCAAAGGTTTTACTGAGGACAGTTTTTCATATTGACCTTTTTGTTTGTTTGTTTACTCAGCTTTGTGGTGTAGGCAATATCTTATTCATTTGCTAAACTTTTTTTTTTTTTTTTTGAGATGGAGTCTCCCTTTGTCACCCAGGCTGGAGTGCAGTGGCATGATCTCGGCTCACTGCAAGCTCCGCCTCCTGGGTTCACGCCATTCTCTTGCCTCAGCCTCCCTAGTAGCTGGGACTACAGGCGCCTGCCACCAGGCCTGGCTAATTTTTTGCGTTTTTTTTTAGTAGAGGTGGAGTTTCACTGTGTTAGCCAGGATGGTCTCGATCTCCTGACCTGGTGATCCTCCCGCCTCAGCCTCCCAAAGTGCTGGGATTACAGGCGTGAGCCACTGTGCCCAGCCGCTAAACATTTTTTAGAGCCCTTAGTATGAACTAGGCATACTACAGTATACAGTAATAAGCAGTATACTACTTACTAGCCTTCGTGATATAGTCATTCAATAATGATATAATTACATACTATGATAAGGGCTATAAAGAAAAACTTCAGGGTATTTAGAACATAGGACAGCGGTACTAGACCTAATCTGGGAGATCAGGGAAGGAAGGCTCCTGCTGGGAGAGAGTTGAAATGAACTGGACAAAGATGAGGGAAAGGTTTAGGTAGAGAGAACAGCAAGTGTGTGAGAACTGGCCATTGGAGAATATAAAGGAAGGCAATACGGCTAGAGTATAGTGAGTGACTGATATGAGAAGAGATTGGAAACATAGGTAGATCATACAGCACCTTATAGGCCTTGTTTAAAGTGTTTATCCCAAGAGCAGTGAGAAAGCACTGAAATATATTTTTTGGGGTGAGCAATATTATCAAATCTGCATTTTTACAATATCTCTATGCATGTATACAAATGTCTATTTATATGTGCATAGAACATTTCTTGAAGGACTTACCAGTAATTGGTAAGAGCGATTGTCCCAGGCTGGGTGTGGTAACTCACACCTGTAATCTTAGCACTTTGGGAGGCCGAGGTGGGCAGATCACTAGGTCAGGAGTTCGAGACCAGCCTCGCCACCATGGTGAAACCCTGCCTCTACTAAAAATATTTTTTAAAAATTAGCCAGGCATGGTGGCACGCGCCTGTAATCCCAGCTACTCAGAAGGCTGAGGCAGGAGAATCACTTGAACCCGGGAGATGGAGGTTGCAATGAGTGAAGATTGCGCCACTGCACTCCAACCTGGGCGACAGAGCAAGACTGTCTCAAAAAAAAAAAAAAAAGAGTGGTTGTCTCTTGAAAGAGGAACCAGGATTCTGATTTTTTTGGAAGGAAGCTTACTTTTAAGTGTGTACTATTTTGTTGTTTCAACTTAAAAAAATCAGTTATTAGTGTATCAGTTATTTAGTGCAGTTGTTAGTTTAATAAAAGGATGTCTAAAGTTGCAAAATACGATGGCAATATGGGAGCAAAAGTGACAGGCAGGGAAAACTATTATAGGAATCAGTTAAGATGGTGAGGAATGGATCTATTTGCCGTATTTTTCTTTAGGAAGAAAACTGGATGTAAATTTGGTGATATATGATAGACTGGATATGTGTGAGGTTAAAAAAAAAAAGAGAGAGGAGTATTAAGGAAGACTCCCTAGGTTTATAATTTTTGCTACTGAGTCACTTAGGATGTTACTTACCAAAATGGGGAGCACTGGAAAGAGGTCCAGGGAAGTAGGATGGGGGTCATGAATTCAGTCTGGGGCATCCTAAGTTAGAAGTTCCTTTGAAATTTCCAAGTATAGTGTCAGGTAAACAATGGGTTATGTGGGTTTTTTGCTCAGGAGAGGTTTGGGCTAGTGTTAAAATTTTGAATGTGATCAGCAGATAGTTATTAAAGTTTGAGCTTGAATGAGTGCCTCTTGGGAGAAACTATAAAATAAAAATGAGACTTGAATATTAAAAGGAGACTGTTGAGGGGCATAAGGAAATGAGATTATTCCTTGTTATGTGATTCACCGGTTCATCTGTGTAGTCAATCAAACTTAAAGTGTACTAATACTGAATGTTCTTCTAGGTAGTAGTATATGTTCATATAAGAAATAAGTATAATTGCTAAAAATAATATTTATATTCTTTTGATGATAGGCAGAATGTCCCAAAATAATATTCTTTATATGAAATTTGAAATGAAATGATTATTTTCAAATTAAATTTTTTGCATGTGAGAAAAATGGTTAATTTTTCCATTACTGTTTTACAGCAAGTGAAGTCTTCTGTTGGGGACAGAATAAATATGGCCAATTGGGTTTAGGTACTGACTGTAAAAAGCAAACTTCACCGCAGCTGCTTAAGTCTTTGCTTGGAATCCCTTTCATGCAAGTTGCAGCAGGAGGAGCCCATAGTTTTGTACTCACCCTTTCTGGAGCTATCTTTGGATGGGGACGCAACAAGTTTGGTCAGCTAGGTCTTAATGATGAAAATGGTAGGTTCTCATTATGTATAGTTTAAGTGTACTTTTTGAAAGAGATGGTCTTTTGAGTTAGATCAGTGATTCTTAGTGTAAGAGAGAAATGTATCTTCCCTGGTATAGAGGTGGGGATGAGATGTTATTTAAAAATTCCATTTGGGGAATGCAGTGGGAAGATACAAAATATCCTTTATTCATTAAAGAACTATAAAAAGTATATCTGGACAAAATGTTTAGTATTGGATGTTTATTAAAAGACAATTGAAAAACATTACTTCAAATTGTTAATCCATTATTGGCCACTGTTAGTGGAAAAAAGCTGTAAAATTATTCTGGGGAAGTAACATGAAGTGTTAATCTTTGAGTTTTTCAAGGAAATATTTAAATGATTTGGGCTGTTAAATTAATCTTTGGTTGGGCTTCACTTTTAACATTGATGCTAAAGTCTTAAACATTTTGAATTTGAAAAAATTGTAACTGAAACAAGTTGGGATCTTGGAACTTATTTTTCATGATTACATTGAGTTGAATGCCAGTATTTGACTTACAAAAGCTAATTTCTTATAGTTCAGTATAATTGTAATGACTGAAATGGACAAAAGTGAGTTATTAATCTAGTAACAACTAGTAATGATAAGCAAACAATACTTTCAGAAAGAATTAAAGAATACCTTGTTTTGCATAAGAAAAATATGTCATATTAGGATATCATGTATCTTTTCTGCTACAAAACAGCCTAAAGTACATTTTTTTTTCCAGGCTTTTAAGTAGGCTCCTGTGGGTGTAACTATCATGAAGTGAATATAAAGAATGATGTATGTGTGGAAAATTAGAAGCAGTTAGATAATTTTGAAATTTCTTGATTTCTGAGTCCTTTGCATACTGGCATATTGGCTGTTTAGCACTTAACTCTTAAGTCCCTCCTTTATCACAATAGTATGGATAGGCCTGGGAACCTGACTTAGTAAGCTTGTACTACAAAATCATCGAATCATAGTTAAAATTATTTAGTCACAACTATCTACTGAGCTTGGCAAGCTGTAGAGGAAACACATCTAGATGAGTTTTGATTTTTAAAATACTATTAACATCTCTTGTTGGAATTTTCAGATAGGTATGTTCCTAATTTACTAAAGTCACTAAGATCTCAGAAAATAGTTTATATTTGTTGTGGAGAAGATCATACTGCTGCTCTAACCAAGGTATTGTACTTCTAAAACTTCTTTATTATTACTCATCATAGTTCTTTCATAATTAATGAATGTTCTCATGGTATTTTCTCAAGTTTTAACTTGAGTGTTATTGGTATTTCAAAAATAATTTATCTGGGAAAAAAGACTTAGATTATTCTTGAAAAAAATTTACCTTATTTTTCAATGTTGTTTTATGTTATTAAATGTGAATTCTGATATACTATTATATGTGATGATAGTATATTGCTGAATTTCTCAGCTTTATATGAAATACTGCTTAAGGTCATACTTTGAATAAAATTATTCCGTTTTAGTTCATTAAGCTTGCCATGATATATGCATCAAACCCATTTATATCGTGTAGCTCAGCCTAATTTGAATGTAGTTTCCATTTGGCTTATAAATACTTCATACAAGCAATAGAGGAGATGAATTTCTCTGTTATTCATAGGCCAAGTATTGTGCAAGCAGTTACAGTGATCACAGTCTTATCAATGGCTTTAACTCTGACCTCTCACTGTCTTGGGTATGTGCCAATTGAGTATCAGTACTGTTTAGTTCTTGAGTGACTAGAAGTTAGATGAAAATGAAAGCATTCAGTTAACCTTTACCAGATAATTATTTATTGCAGTCATGTTAATGTAAAGTTTTTCATTGGTCAAATTAGAAACTGGTTAAATTTCTTTATCTTTTTTGGTCTTACATAGTATATAAAATTGGTAAAAAGACATTAACGTCCGGGCACAGAGGCTCATGCCTGTAATCCCAGCACTTTGGGAGGCTGAGGCAGGTGGATCACCTGTGGTCAGGACTTCAAGACCAGCCTGGCCAACTTGGTGAAACTCTGTCTCTTCTAAAAATACGAAAGTTAGCTGGGCATGGCGGCAGGCACCTATCCCCAGCTACTCCGGAGGCTGAGGCAGGAGAATCAGTTGAACCCAGGAGGCGGAGTTTGCAGTGAGTTGAGATCACACCACTGCACTGCAGCCTGGGAGACAAAGAGTGAGACCTCGTTTCAAAAAAAAAGAGGCATTAACTTCTAATCAGGCTTTAAAATTCTACATTATATTTCTACTTGGGAATTTTAGCAGGACAATAATTATTCTTCGTTATTGTCAAATATAGTGAACTCAAGGCACTTTTAAAAATATAATGACCAATTATGAAAGTTAATTTTAAAGTATTTTGTAGTACTTGCCTTTTAGTAAGGAAGGATTATTATACCTGCCAATCTTATTATTAGGTTGGCGCAAAAGTAATTTCATTTTTTTGCCATTAATGGTAAAAACTGCAATTAATTTTGCACCAACCTAATATCATATTTTATTGATTTTGGCATTCAGATAACAAATGTAATCACTGAAGTCTTATTTATTCCTGTTGGCGAGTCTTAAATTTTACTCGTCCTTTTTCGTTATTGGTATTTGGAAGAAATTTATCAAAATATAAAAAATATCATGTGTGGTGTCATTCCAAAAACTAATTTTATGGCAGAAAGACTAACAATGTTAATGCTTTTCAAATTCAGCCTTTCAGATAACCATTCATCCTAATGTTCTAGGATAAGTAACTTTTTATGTCTATTTAGTTTTAAGAAATGCTAATTCTCTTAATCTTTTGTATTCTTCTCTCAGAAGATAGTAGCTAGTGATATTTGTTTATTGGAATTTTGGGTGTACATTATTTTTAACAAAATTAGATAGTTGTTAATATCCCCAAAGTAAAATATTTTATTTTCCCTTTATTTAAGTTAAAATACCTGTTCCATATCCATATGTCTTGCTTTTCTGGAAGAATTTCTTGGAAATAGTAAATAGATTAAGATTGCTTTATGAAGCAGTTTTCTGTACAAAACCTACCTTAGGAAAACTGCATTAGGAAAGATTTTAAAACCAACTTTTAAAAACAGAATAAATGGAAAGACATACCATGTTTATAGATATGAGGATACTTCCATAAAGATGTCACATTTTTTTCAAGTTTATTTGCAGATGTATTCTGTAAATCACATACAAATACACATTTTGATGTAGCAGTCCCACTTTTAGGAATCTACCCCAAAGATTTGAAATTGTGTGTGCACAAGACCATTTACTGTGACCTTTTAATGGCAAAAGACTAGAAGAAATCCAAATGTCCATGAGTTAAATAAATTGTGGTACATCCCTGTAATGAAGTACAGTGAAGTGTAAAACAGAATGAGGTATTTATGCTGTGGAATGATTTCTAGGATATATTGCTAAGTGAAAAGAGCAAGGTGTATGGAACAGCTTTCTGTAAGAAAGGGACCAAAATATGAACATATATCATATGCCATGTATATTTGTTTGTTTTTGTTTTTGTTTTTGGACACGGTCTCACTCTGTCACCCAGGCTGGAGTACAGTGGTGTGATCTTGGCTCACTGCAACCTCTGCCTCCCAGGTTCAAGTGATTCTCATGCCTCAGCCTCCCAAGTAGCTGGGATTATAGGCATGCACGATCACACCCGGCTATTTTTTGTATTTTTTTGTAGAGATGGGGTTTCACCCTGTTGGCCAGGGTGGTCTTGAACTCCTGACCTCAAGTGATCTGCCCGCCTCTGCCTCCCAGAATGCTGGGATTACAGGTGTGTAATCCTGCACCCGGCCTTATATGTTTTTAAAAATACAGTAAATTTAAAATTAATAGCCAGAACAAATGTGCCTTGCCTTACAATTTTTGACTTTGGAATCTAGAAACTGTTACATGTGATTAAAAAGCAAAATTATGGCTGGGCACAGTGGCTCACACCTGTAATCCCAGTGCTTTGGGAGGCCAAGGCAGGCAGATCACGAGGTCAGGAGTTCGAGACCATCCTGGCCAACGTGGTGAAACTCTGTCTCTACTAAAAATACAAAAAATTAGCCGGGCGTGGTGGCAGGCGCCTGTAATCCCAGGTAGTCGGGAGGCTGAGGCAGGAGAATCGCTTGAACCTGGGAGGTGGAGGTTGCAGTGAGCTGAGGCTGTGCCACTGTACTCCAGCCTGGTCGACAGCGAGACTCTGTCTCAAAAAAAAAAAACAAAGTGTTATATATATATGTAAAAATTATATGTAAATTATATAAATAAAAATATATATAATATATAAAAATTATATAAATATTCGTCCTTAAAAATTGAAAACTAACAAGTTAGTGGCACAACTACACCAGAAATAATTATTTTAGGTGATTTTAAAATACAGCATTTTGCTGTATATCACTAGGGGGAAATACACTAAGGATAAACTAAATCCACAAAGAAATCTTAAATTGCATTCTTTTTCTTTTTTTTTTGAGATGGAGTCTTGTTCTGTCACCCAGTCTGGAGTACAGTGGTGCGATCTCGGCCCACTGTAACGTCCACCTCTTGGGTTCAAGTGATTCTCCTGCCTCAGCCTCCTGAGTACCTGGGACTACAGGCATGCATCACCACACCTGGCTAATTTTCTGTATTTTTAGTAGAGATGGGGTTTCACCATGTTAGCCAGGCTGGTCTTGAACTCCTGACCTCAAGAAATCCATCTGCCTTGGCCTCCCAAAATGCTAGGATTATAGGCGTGAGCCACTGCGCCTGGCCCTTAAACTGCATTCTGTAACTTTTTTTTTTCTGAGATGGGGGTCTCACTCTTGCTCAAGTTGGAGTGCAGTGGCACAGTCATAGTGCACTGAAGCTATGACCGAATTCTTGGGCTTAAGCAGTCCTCCCACCTCAGTCTCCTGAGTAGCTGGAGCTACGGGCGCCACTGTGCCTGGCTAATTTTTTTATTTTTTATTTTTTGTAGAGATGGTGTCTCGCTTTATTGCCTAGGCTGGTCTGGTACTCCTGGTTTTAAGCGAGCCTCCCACCTCAGCCCCCCAAAATGCTGGAATTACAAGTGTGCATTCTGTAGTCTTACTGCTAGAAGTAAATTTGCTAATAGCAAATAAATTCCAATATATTACATATAAATAGGAGAAAGCAAAGAAGTAGTTATTTTACTGTATTATAAACTATGATTTTCAGCTTAAGAGAAAAGAGATAGATCTAAAACTATAGGAATTAAAACCTTGTGATCTTTACTTTGAATCGCAAGTGTTAGTATGAACTCATTTATTTTTCTCCAAGAATATGCTTTTTGTTTTGTTTTTGTTTTTGTTTTGCCATAACGAGTGAAAGGTCCTAGAAGTGATGAACCATGTATAATCTGGACACAATGATAATCCCTTGATTGTTGTAGATTCTCCACTAAAAGGAACCAGGGCTTCTTAGAGAAGAGTCTGATCCCATGTCTAGGGCAAAAAATATGTATAAGAATACCTTTGGGCATTTTGTGTTACAAAAAAGCAAAGATTACTACGGTGCTCTCAGAAGAACAACTTGAAGGAGCTTTCACTGGATATCGAGAAGAAATAATGACTGCAAAAAATGGAAAACATCAGATCTATAAAAAAATCCATGAATTTTTGTAGTGATCTTCTCTTCTTGCAAATCAATATAAGCAAAACTTATTGCTTACCTTTGGAAGTTGCTAGGACAACACTCATTTTTTTTTTTTTAACTGGTCAATAATGGGAAAGAATCAAGTATTCTGCCTTTCATTTGCAAATTGTATTTTAGGTAATTTAATAGTTAATGAGTTAAGTTATTTATAGAAGAATTCCAGCTCATAACGCTAGGAAAAATAATGCAACTAGAAAAATCACCATTTTACACTCCCTGATGAAATAATGGATCTAGGCAAAGACCATTAAACCTAATGGGGATGTATCAGGCTGACACACTTTGACTTATTTTTATTATATATATATATATATAATTAAAAATATAATAAATATATATATAATAAAAATATGTGATATATATATATAATTTTTTTCTTTTTGAGATGGAGTCTCACTGTGTTGCCCAGGCTGGAGTGCAGTGGTGTGATCTTGGCTCACTTCAGGCTTCCATCTCCTGGATTCAAGTGATTCTCCTGCCTCAGCCTCCCGAGTAGCTGGGATTACAGGCACACACCACTACGCCCAGCTAATTTTTGTATTTTTAGTAGAGACGAAGTGTCAGCATGTTGGCCAGGATGGCCTTGATCTCCTGTCCTCAAATGATCCACCCGCCTCAGCCTCCCAAAGTGCTGGGATTATAGGCGTGAGCCACCGTGCCCCACCCGACTTAGTTATTTTTAACTTCACTAACAAAGCAGACATATGCTTTGTGACATGATGCAATAAAATAATCAGGAAGATTTAAACATGGCCTAGTTATTAGCTGATATTAAGAAATTAGTATTGATTTTGTGAACGTGGTATAGTATGGTGGTTATATACTTTTGTCGGTTACAGATATATGCTGTTGAAGATACACATTTGTGGGTGAAATGATTTGATGACCACAATTTGCTTTAAAGTACTCAAGTTCTTTTTGTTTTGTTTGAAAATACCCCCAAAAGGGAAAGGGAGACACCAGTGAAACAAAATAACCAACCTTTTGCCAGTTATTGAAACTGAGTGATGGTTATATGGTGATTTACTATATTTTCTCTTTACCTTGTGTATTTGCTTGAAATTTTCTGTGATAAAAAAAGAAAAATGAATGTTCTCATATAACAGTATGTAGTAACGCTATTAAATGATGAAAGCAGGATATAAAGTTGCATATATAGCTACAGTTATGAAGAAAAGCAGTTGAACTGAAGAATACTAATTGTGATTGTGTTATCACAGATTTTTTCCAATACAGAACTTCTAATTTAGTTATAATTTAGTTATTTAATTAGTTATATATTATATGTTTTTTTGTTTGTTTGTTTTGTGACAGAGTCTCGCTTTGTTGCCCAGGTTGGAGTGCAGTGGTATGATCTCGGCCCATGGCAAGCTGTGCCTCCTGGGTTCAAGCGATTCTGCCTCAGCGTCCAAAGTAGATGGAACTACAGGCACCCACTACCATGCCTAACTAATTTTTTTTTTTTGAGACGGAGTCTTTCTGTCGCCCAGGCTGGAGTGCAGTGGCGTGATCTCGGCTCACTGCAACCTCTGCCTCCCGGGTTCAGGCAATTCTCCTGCCTCAGCCTCCCAAGTAGCTGGGACTCCAGGTCTGTGCCACCATGCCTGGCTATTTTTTTGCATTTTTAGTAGTGACAGGGTTTCACCTTTTTAGCCAGGATGGTCTCGATCTCCTGACCTCGTGATCCACCTGCCTCGGCCTCCCAAAGTGCTGGGATTACAGGCGTGAGCCACCACATCTGGCCCTAATTTTTGTGTTTTAAGTAGAGACAGAGTTTCACCATGTTGGCCAGGCTAGTCTCAAACTCTTGAGCTCAAGTGATCCACCTGCTTCAGTTATATGTTTTTATAGGGAGTTTTTTTTAAAAACATCTGTATATTATAGCAGCTGTATGCTAAAAATTTCTATAAGGCCATGCATGGTGGCTCATGCCTGTAATCCCAGCACTTCGGGAAGCCAAGGCAAGAGGATTGCTTGAGCCCAGGAGTTCGAGACCAGCCTGGGCAATACAGGAAAACCCCATCTCTACAAAAAAGTAAAAAATTAGCCAGATGTGGTGGTGCATGCCTGCACTCCCAGCTACTTAGGAGGCTGAGGTGGGAGGATCACCTGAGCCCACGAGGTTGAGGCTGCAGTGAGCCATGATCATGCCACGGCACTCAAGCCTGGGTGATAGAGCAAGACCCTGTCTGAAAAAATTAATAAGTAAATAAAAATTGCTCTATTTATGCACTCTGGTTACATGTACTCTTTTTGCAGCGCATTTATGTAAGGCAGTAACTACCTTGAAAAGTGAAGATGATACCGTTTTTAGGTTTCGTGAAATTATATATATGTATGTGGAATTCAGCAAGACAGTATAATGATAATGAAAGGCAATGCAAATAAATAATTATTTGTATCTCTTCAGTGTCTAAATATTTTATAACGGTGAAAACATCATTACCTGGAATTCTCATAGTTTTATGACATTTTACTTTGAAAGAGCCATCTGTCTGTTAAATTGTGAAGACAGTTCTTAGAAGAGAAAAAACTGAGTTTATATTAAAGATTTGGACTTATTTTTCTGGAGATCAGTTATTTTCTTTTATCATGCCTTCTAATGATAAGGGGTTTTGTCTTTTTTTAGGAAGGTGGAGTGTTTACTTTTGGAGCTGGAGGGTATGGTCAGTTGGGCCATAATTCTACCAGTCATGAAATAAACCCAAGGAAAGTTTTTGAACTTATGGGAAGCATTGTCACTGAGATTGCTTGTGGACGGTAAGGTGTTATGTAAAAGAGCATTTTGGTCTCTAAACTGCAGTTGTTTAGGGATTGCTTATTGAATTGTTTCAGAGATCCTAATAATCTGAGGAAACACATTCTGCCCCCAAATACCTATTTTGCCACTGAGGAGTCATAGTAACAGGAGAAACATCTTTTTTACTGTTATTTTATTTATTTTTACTTGAACAGATTTAGCTGAGGCAAGATGTTAATAGTGTATATGTAATATTATATTTATTGTAGTTGATATCACACTCGAAAGGCTTCTTTCTTTCTCTTTTCCACCTTTTTTTCTTTTCTTTTCTTTCCTTTTTGGGGTGATAGAGTCTTGCTCTGTCACCCAGTCTGGAGTACCACAATTATGGCTTATTGCAGCCTCAATCTCCTGGGCTCAAGTGATCCTCTTGCCTCAGGCTTTTGAGTAGCTGGGACTGCAGGCATGCACTACCATGCCCAGCTAATTTTATTTTTTTAATTTTTAGTAGCAACAAGGTCTCATTATGTTGCCCAGGCTTACCTTTTTTCCTTAAAGGGTGAAGAGATCGACCAGTTAATTAAGACAGAATTAATGTGATGAAAGTTTGATTGGCATAATTAAACCAATAATCTCCTAATTCTCCTTATTCTGAGTTCTTGGGAGTAAACAGAAGAGTCTTTGACATTGAGCTTCATCTGTTGATTCTTAGGTCTTGGGAATAAATAGAAGAGTCTTTGAGTTGAGCTTCATCTTTGGGGGAATTAAATTGAGCAGACTCCCAAGTAGCAAAATGTACCTTTTTTGACCACATAACTTAATTTTGATCACCTTGCTTAATGTTTTTCTACCTTGTATGTATAGCTATACAATAGTTTAGTTTTATCAACTATTAGCTTCAAATGCATGTAATCACACTGTAAGTATTCTTTGGTGATTCTTTTTTTCCTCTTAACATCAGACTTTTATGATTTTTATGTAGTTATGGTTCTCCATCATTAGGCCTCATTAATGTTTTTTATTCAATTTTATACATATATAATATACTCATTCTATTGCTGATGGACATTTGCATGTTGCCAGTTTTGGCAATTATGAATAATGTTGCTTTGCACTTTTATTATATGGTATATGTTAACCTTCATATATACCCAGAATGGAATTACTGGGTTATAGAGGACACTTAATTTGAATTTTGTAGGTTAAACCATATTTCCCATGTGGTTTTACCAGTTTGTATTCCCATTAGCAGTGTATGAGAATTCCTGATGCTCTTGTACTTATCACCAGTTAGTATTGTCAGACTTTTTGCTAATTTCTTGGATATTTATTGTTATTTCATAATTTGAATATACATTTCCATGACTTACTTGAGTACCTTTTCATATGTTTATTGGCCACTTACATTTCCTCAGGATATAAAAATTGATTCATAGTAGTTATTTATATAGTGTAGATACAAGTTCATAATGTTTCTCAATACAGGGATAAAAGTTCTTTATTGGGCATATGTTTTACAGATGTCTTTCCATGTTTTGCCTTACCTTGTCATTTTCATTCTGTTGTCTTTCAATGAACAGAAGTTTTAGATATTAATGTAGATGAATTTATTAATATTTTACTTAATAGTGCCATTTATTTTCTAAGAAATATTTTCCTACCTGAAGGCATAAAAGTAATCATCTCTGTTATCTTCAAAAACATAGTGTTGCCTTTTACATGGAGGTCTGTAAGTTATCTGAAGTTGATTTATTTTGTGGAGGACAGTATAATGTTCAAGTAAGGAATCAACTTTTTAAAAATATAAATAGTCAATTACCCTAGCACCATTAAAAGTTTTTGTGGGAAATACATACAACAAAATTTACCACCTTAACTATTTTTAAGTATACAGTCCATGGTATTAAGTACATTAATATTGTTGTGAAACCATCATCACCATTCATCTCTAGAATTCTTTTTATCTTGCAAAACTGAAGCTCTATACCCATTAAACAATGACTCCCTATTCTCCATACTCTCTTGTGGCAACCACCATTCTACTTCCTGTCTCTGTGAATTTAACTCCTGTAGGTATCTCATATAGGTAGACTCTTACAGTGTTTGTCTTTTGGTGACTGACTTATCTCACTCAGCGTAGTGTCATCAAGGTTCACCCATGTTGTAGAATTTCCTTCTATATATGTCAGAATTTCCTCCCTTTAAAAGGCTGAACAGCATTCCATTGTGTGTATATGCTAATTTTGCTTGTGCATTCATCTTTTGATGGACACTTGGGTTACTTTTGTGTTTTATCTTATTGTGAATATTGTTGCTATGAACATGAATATAAAAACATCCCTTCAGGACCCCACTTTCAGTTCTTTTGGGCATATACCCAGAAGTGGAATTGGTGGTTCATATGGCAATTCTGTTTTTAATTTTTGTAGGAACTGCCATACTGTTTCTCATAGTAACTGCCCTGTTTTATATTTCCACCAAAAGTGTACAGGGTTTCAGTTTCTCTACATCCTCACCAACACTGTTATTTTCTCATTTTGCCTTTTTCTTTTTTTTTTTATAATACCTATTTTAATACGTGTAACATGTTATCTCCTGTGGTTTTGATTTGCATTTTCCCAATGATTAGTGAGCTGAGCATATTTTTATATACTTGTTGACCATTTGTACATCTTTAGGAGAAATGTCAATTAAAGTGTTTTTCCCATTTTTGAATCTGGCTGTTTTGTTGTTGTTGAGTTTTCAGAGTTCTCTATATATTCTAGATACTAATCCCTTATCAGATATTTGCAGATATTTTCTTTCATTCTGTGGGTTGTATTCTATAGATAGTGTCTTTTGATGCATGAAGCTTTAAAATTGTATAAAGTCCAGTTTGTTTATTTTTTCTTTTGTTGGCTATGCATTTGGTGTCATATCTAAGAAATCATTGCCAAATCCAATGTCATGAAGCATTTCCCTGTTTGCTTCTTAGAGTTTTATAGTTTTACCTTTTACATTTAGGTCTTTGATCTATTTGAATTTTATTTATTTATTTATTTATTTATTTATTTATTTATTTATTTTGAGATGGAGTTTTGCTCTTGTTGCTCAGGCTGGAATGCAATGGCATGATCTTGGCTCACTGCAACCTCTGCCTCCCGGGACCAAGCGATTCTCCTGCCTCAGTTTCCCAAGTGACTGGGATTACAGGCATGCGCCACCTTGCCCGACTAATTTTGTGTTTTTAGTAGAGATGGGGTTTCTCCATGTTGGTCAGGCTGGTCTCGAACTCCCGACCTCAGTTGATCCGCCCACCTCGGCCTCCCAAAGTGTTGGGATTACAGGCGTGAGCCCCCACACCTGGCCGAGTCTGTACATTCTTTTGGGTAGCATTGACATCTTAACAATTTGTCTTCCAGTCCATGACCATGCTGTTTCTTTCCATTTATTTGTCTCTAATGTCTTTCCACCAGTATTTTTTAGTTTTATTTTACAAATCTTTTGCCTTCTTGTTAATTCCTAAGAATTTTATTCTTTATGATAGGTTTTAAATAAAATTTTATTTCCTTCCAAATTGTTCATTGTTAATGTATAGAAATTCAGCTAATTTTTGTGTGTAGATTTTGTATCCTCCTGCTTTGCAAAGTTTATTAGTTTTAACAATTTTTGTGTGGAATCTTTAGTGTGTTCTACATATATGATCATATCATCTGCATACAGAGATTTTTTTTTTCTTTCCAATTTGAATGAATGCCTTTTATTTATTTATTTATTTGAGGTGGAGTTTTGCTCTTGTTGCCCAGGCTGGAGTGCAATGGCGTGATCTCGGCTCACCGCAACCTCTGCCTCCTGGGTTCAGGCGATTCTCCTGCCTCAGCCTCCCAAGTAGCTGGGATTACAGGCATGTGCCACCACACCCGACTAATTTTGTATTTTTAGTAGAGATGGGGTTTCTACATGTTGGTCAGGCTGGTCTTGAACTCCTGACCACTGGTGATCTGCCCACCTTGGCCTCCCAAAGTGCTGGGATTACAGGCATGAGCCACTGCACGCAGCATTTTATTTCTTATTCTTGCAAAATTGCTCTGGCTAGAACTTCCAAGATTATGTTGAATAGAAGTGGTGAAAGCAGGCATCCTTATTCCTGATCTTACAGGAAAAGCAAGTGCTTTTTCTGCATCAATTCAGATGATTGTGTGTGTCTTTTCCTCCTTCAATCTGTTAATTTGATATATTACATTGATTACATATATTAATTTTCATATGTTGAACCAGGTTTGCATTCTAGGAATAACTCTCACTTGGTCGTGGTCATAGTATGTAACCCTTTTAGTGTGCTGCTGAATTCAGTTCTTAAGTATTTTATTGAGAATCCTTTGTGTATGACAACCTGCTTCTTTCATGCTGCTTTCAAGATTCTTTGTCTTTCAGCATTTTGATTGAACTGTGTGTCTCTGGTCTCTGAGTTTATCCTGCGTAGAATTCATTGGGGCTTATGGATGTTTAGATTCATGTCTTTCCCCATATTTGGGAGTTTTTGGCTATTACTTCTTCAAATAGTCTCTCTCTTGCTCTATTCTTCTGAGAATTCTACAGTGCTTATGTTGGTCTGCTTAATGGTATCCTATGGTTCCCCTAGGCTCTCTGCACTTTTTTTAAGATTTTCTGTTCCACAGACTCAATAATTGCAACTGTCCTATCTTTACGTTTGCTGATTTTTCTTCTGCTTGCTGAAATCTGCCTTCAAATCTCTCTAGTGTATTTTTTATTTCAGGTATTGTACTTTCCAACTCCAAACTTTTTTTTTTTTTTTTTGAGACGGAGTCTCGCTCTGTCGCCCAGGCTGGAGTGCAGTGGCGCGATCTCAGCTCATTGCAAGCTCCGCCTCCCGGGTTCACGCCATTCTCCTGCCTCAGCCTCCCAAGTAGCTGGGACTACAGGCGCCCGCCACTACGCCCGGCTAATTTTTTGTATTTTTAGTAGAGACGGGGTTTCACCGTTTTTTTAGCCGGGGTGGTCTCGATCTCCTGACCTCGTGATCTGCCCGCCTCGGCCTCCCAAAGTGCTGGGATTACAGGCGTGAGCCACCGCGCCCGGCCCAAACTTTTTTTTTAGTTTTTCTTTTTGATTGATATTTCCGTTTTGTTCATACATTTTTTTTTTCTTTTTACACGTCTTACTCTAGTTCTTTGAGCATCTTTAGGATGTTTGATTTAGTCTTTGTCTTTTAGGTCTGCCATTTGACCTTTCTCAGGGATAGTTTCTATTGTTGGCTTATATTTTCTTTGAATGGGCCACCCTTTCCTACTACTTTGTATGTCTTGTGATGTTTTTTGAAAACTGGACATTTAATAATATGGTAACTGGAAATCAGATTCTCCCCCTTTGCCAGAGTTTGCTGATTTTTGGTTTTTGATCATTGTAGGTTTTATCTGTGTCAGGAGTCACCCTGAGGTATAAAAATGAGGTCTTTTCTTAGCCTATACCTTTCCCTGCTAATGCACAGTGACATTCTAAATTCACCCATAAATGTGGTTGCTTTTTAATGTTGTAGACCTTAAATGCCTGGCTCCCCAAAGAAACAAGGAAAAAATGAAAGGTGGGGGTGGAAGGAGAGTAGAAGAAAAAAAGAGAAAGGCATCAGCCCTTTGAATTCCTTGGAAGTCTCTTTAGCCAGAATGGGAGAGTATACAACAGTGATTGCCTGCCTTTCTGCACCTTGGTGATCAGAAGCACCAATCATTGATCAGGGCACCAGTTCCTAAAACAGACAAAGTCGTTATTGCCCACCCTGGCTTCTACAAGTTGCATACAGGCTGCTCCTGGAAGCTGTTCATGGCTGCATTACACAGGAGTAAGGAGTGGGTAACTGCTACCATGCTAAGATCCGAAGTTGAAATTAACCAGAATTTGCCATCCAACTCTTCTCTTGGAAATAACAAACCGTGCATAGACTCCAGAGTTGCAGAATGGTTCTCTCAGACAGATTCTGTCAGTGTAATTGTTGTCTAGGTGGGAAACAGATTCTCGGTGCTTCTTATTCCACGATTTTCCAAGAATCCCCCTGTCTAGCTCCATTTTTGAAAATTCTTCACCCTCCTACTGTATGGTGTCACTGTTGCCATAAGCTGTTGTATGTACATGGATCTCTTTCTGTGATCTCTAATTTTTCAATCTATATGCCTGCCCCTGTGCCACTAAACACTATATAGACACCATAATAACTTCTTCTATTTGGGGTAAAGTGACTCCTTGTTATTCTTCTGTTCTTTAAGAATGCTTTGGCTGGACCGGGCGCAGTGGCTCACGCCTGTAATCTCAGCACTTTGGGAGGCCGAGGCGGGTGGATCACCTGAGGTCGGGAGTTTGAGACCAGCCTGACCAACATGGTGAAACCCTGTCTCTACTAAAAATACAAAATTAGTCGGGCGTGGTGGCACATGCCTGTAATCCCAGCTACTTGGGAGGCTGAGGCAGGAGAATTGCTTGAACCCAGGAGGCGGAGGTTGCAGTGAGCCGAGATCGCACCATTGCACTCCAGCCTGGGCAACAAGAGTGAAACTCCATCTCAAAAAAAAAAAAAAAAAAAAGAAAGAATGCTTTGGCTGATGATGACCTTTATTACTTTCATATAAATTTTAGCATAGGTTGTGAAGTTCTCTCAAAAAAAAAAAAAAAAAAAAGCCTTGTGGGGTTTTGATTGGTAGTGCATTGAATCTCTAGGTTAATTTGGGGAAAAGTTGTTATCTTTGTAATATTAACTTTTCTAATAATCAACATCCAGACTTCTTTAATGTCTTATAATAAAATGTTTTAAAATTTTCATCATAGAGGTCATGCATATCTCTTCGTAGTTCCATTCCTAGGTGCGTCTTTAATGGTATTATATTTTTATTTCCACTTTCTGAGGAATCACTGGCATGTAGAAATAGTTGATATTTACATATTGATTTTAAATACAACCACCTTGCTAAACTCTTATTAATAACTTACTCATGTACGTAGTCATACCATCTGTGAGTCAATTCAGTTTTGTTATTTCTATTATTTATACTTAACGTGTTTATATAATTGTTTTAATGTGCTGTTTAGGACACCATTATAATGTTTACTGTAACATAATGTTTCCTTTCTGTGGGAAAACTTTCAGTATTTCATAGTTAAGTATCATGTTTGCTGTTAAGATTTTTATAGATAACCTCTATCAGACTAAGTAATTTCCCTTTAATTCCTAGTTTTTTTTATTGTGAATGGATGTTAAGTTTTTAATGTTGTTTTTTCTGTATTTATTGAAATGATTTATGATTTTTTTTTCCTTTAATCTGTTAACATGGCATATTGATGGATTTTTTTTTTCTAGTTAACAGCTTTGTGTTTCTGGAATAACTTCAGTTTGGTCAAGTATTATCCTTTTTGTTTGGTGCTGGGTTTGATTTGTGAATATTCTGTTGACTCTTACTTATATTTCTGTTTATCAGTGAACTTGATCTATAATTTTTTTCTTATTATTCTTTTCACCAGGTTTTATTATGAAGGTTTTCTAGTCTGATAAAATAACATTGAGGAATGTACCTTTGTTTTCTAATTTTTGGAAATAGAACAGCTTGAAATGTTGGCACAACTTGTCATTAAAACCATTTGTGCCTGGCATTTTATTTTTTGGAATTTAAAAAACATTCTTCAATTTCTTTAGTGGCTATGAGATAGCTTTTATTATTTCTTGAGTCAGTTATGTGAATGTTAATTTTTTTCTAATAATTTTTTCATTTTGCCTAATTTTAGACTTATTGACATAGGCCGGGCGTGGTGGCTCATGCCTGTAATCCCAGCACTTTGGGAGGCCGAGGCAGACTGATCACCTGAGGTCAGGGGTTCATGACCAGCCTGGCCAACATGGCAAAAAAACCCATCTCTACTAAAAATACAAAAATTAGCTAGGTGTGGTGGCATGCACCTGTAATCCCAGCTTCTGGGGAGGCTGATGAGACAGGAGAATCACTTGATCCCAGGAGGCAGAGGTTGCAGTGAGCTGAGATTGCACCACTGCACTCCAGCCTGGGCAACAGAGCGAAAACTCTGTCTCAAAAAAATAAATAAATAAACTTATTTACATAAAATTTATAATGTCTGTATTGGTCTCTTGTGCACAAACAACATGTCAGTGACATATAATAGTAAATGTTTATTTGTTTCTCTGTGGTTCAGTAAAGCCAGGCCTTTGGCTATCTGGAGCAGCTTTTATTTAGGCTAGAGATTGACTGGGGCAGTTCTGTTTCAGGCTGCCTATTCACTGGGGTGACTTTGCTCAGGCTGTGTTTCAGCTAGGGTGGCTTTGTTACATATCTCGTTCTTGGGACTATACCAGAGGAGCAGTGGGCTGCCTCTGGGTATTCTTCTGATGGAGACAAATACACAAGAAGGCAAACTCAACTGTACATTCCATTTCAAGCCTTCTGCTTGCATCACATTCACTGAAATCTCGTTGACCAAAAGCAAACTATATGGCCAAACCTAAAGTTAAGGTATGGGGAATATAATATACAGCCCAACCACCATCAGGCTATGATGGGAATATGCATGCTTAATACTACAGGGTGGTGAATTTAAATCATTTTGGGTGACATACTCTATTAGTCCTTTGTGAAGTATCACAAATGATTTAATGTTATCCAGTTTTGTAATTCTTAGTAGCCAAAATGTACATGATTTGAATGGTTATTCTTAGCTCTGTAATACATGATTTGAATAGTTATTCTTAGCTCTGTAAACCAGTTCTTTTCAGCAGTTTTATTCATGTAACTGTTGGATCGGGGGTAAAATTTCGACTATTGAGTGAGATCTAAGGACTTAACCTAAACAGGAAGTGTAAGTAGGTATCTGGTATTTTGATCAGTTTGACTTCCAGGTAGTCAGTACTATAAGACATCTTATTGGGCCGGGTGCAGTGGCTCAAGCCTGTAATCCCAGCACTTTGGGAGGCCAGGGCGGGCAGATCACAAGGTCAAGAGATCAAGACCATCCTGACCAACATGGTGAAACCCCATCTCTACTAAAAATACAAAAATTAGCTGGGCATGGTGGCACATGCCTGTAGTCCCAGCCACTTGGGAGGCTGAGGCAGGAGACTCGCTTGAATCCGGGAGGCGGAGGTTGCAGTGAGCCAAGATCACGCCACTGCACTCCAGCCTGGCAACAGAGTGAGACTCCATCTCAAAAATAATAAAATTTTTAAAAAAGAAATATGTATTATTATTTCCTTATTCAATAATTGTCAAAAACCTCCTGAATGAAGCAGTCAGGATTACCAAAATGTCAGTTCATCAATAGACGATCCAAAAGAAAAAGGTTTACATTCCAGTAGTATAATGAAGTGCTTTCGAGCTCTTACATCAAATCTAGAGCTTAAGGTAGTTCTGTTCATGCAGTGGCTCTGAACCCCACTTTATACTATAATCACACACACATATATACATATATTTTTGAGACTGAGTCTTGCTCTGTTGCCCAGGCTGGAGTGTGGTGGCAGAATCTTGGCTCACTGCAACCTCTGCCTTCCAGGTTCAAGTGATCCTCCTGCCTCAGCCTCCTGAGTAGCTGGGACTACAGGCGCATGCCACCGTGCCCAGCTAATTTTTGTATTTTTAATAGAGACAGGGTTTTGCCATGTTTGCCATGCTGGTCTCGAACTCCTGACCTCAAGTGATCCACCTGCCTCGGTCTCCCAAAGTGCTGGAATTATAGGCCTGAGCCACCATGCCTGGCCAAAATATATATTTTTACCTAGATTCACCCCAAGATGATTCAAATATGCAGCCAGGGTTAAGAACCAGTGCTTTATTAGTCCAGTGTGAGGAGGAGTTTTAATAAAATAGTATTGCAGTAATTTTCAAACTATTAATACATTCCTTTGAGATGGCTGCTTCCTGAGGGAGGGTAGTAATCTAGCAGACTAGCTAACTTGAAAACTCTTGAATCAAAACCCCTTTAAAATAGCATGTGTGAGTTTGCCAGGTTGTAAAGAGAACTCCACCTGGCAAAAACAAAAGAAATTTGAAAACCAAAGGTGTTAGTTTGAATTGACTTTGGAGCTACCCTGAAAGAATTTGCCAATCTGGGTAATGTATTAGTTAGCTTATGTCGCTAAACAGAACGACTCCAAAACCTAGTGACCTAAAATAATTATTTAGCTAATAGTTCTTTGTTTTAGTAATTTTGGCCGGGCTTAACTGGGCTGCTCTCATCTTAGCTGACTTAGATGATCAGTTGATGATCTGGCTAGGAGCTGGAAGTCTAGGATGGCCTCAGCTGGGACAGTTTGTCTGTTCCAGATTGTAGATCATCCTTTAGCTGCTAACCTTGGTTTATTCTTACGATGGTAGAGCAGAATTCCTAAAGATAGTTAGGGAAAGAGTGTATAAAGCCACTTGTGAGGCAAAGGCTCGGAACTGAGACACTGTTGTTTCTGCTGGCCAAAGCAAGCTATAGATTAGGACTTGGATTTAAGACATGGAGAAAGAGATTTCCAGTCTTGCTGGGAACAACTGTAATAGTCATATTGCATAAGATATGGGTATGGTTAGAGGGATAATTTCAGCCACTTTTATAAACAATATGCCACAAATGGCAAAGAGGTTTAGGGCAAGAGACAAGATCTAAGACCTGATAGAAACAAGGGTGAGACCTGGAGATGCCATGTCCCCTCAGTAAAACCATCTCATGGATAGGGTACACAATGAAATACTTCCCTGCTTGCCTAAGGAGACTTTTTCTGAGGAGTTGGATAGGTTTACTGAGAGTGGATTGGTGGGTCATCCTTAGCTTCAGATCTGTGGTTTCTTAGGTTTGCTTTCACTGTAGTACCTCCAGAGGAGTTTTGGTGCGTACATATAGAGATTACTTTCCTCAGAAGAAAGGAAACATTGTTTCTGTCATGCATAAGTGTATATAACAATCTTCTGATTGGTACTAGATTACTTCCCATTTCTTAGCCTAAAACTTCTCGGTGATACCCAAGTGGAGGACTTTCATAGACCACAGCTCTGGACTAGAACTTGACAAGGGGAGTAGTGGGGACTTCCTTGAACAGCATAGGTAGATGCTACTCTGGTGCTGAATCGTTTATTGTAAGGGATTTCAGTATAGACCCAGGCTGTTTAAAATTTAAACATTAGTGGAAATTTTCTGGACCATGCTCGTGCAGCCTGTCTATGTGATGCAGAATTCATTCTATAGATTAAGTCTGTTAATGAATATTTGTACAGAAGCTTTGGAACTACAATTGGTTTTATTAATTTTTTGAAAAGAAAAATTACCTCTTTTGATATTTTCTCTGCTTTTGTCATTGTAAATTGTTGGAAGGTAACATTAAGTCTGAAGTTTTCTATCATTTTACTCTAGGCAGCACACTTCTGCTTTTGTTCCTTCATCAGGACGAATTTACTCTTTTGGGCTTGGTGGTAATGGGCAGCTGGGAACCGGTTCAACAAGCAACAGGAAAAGCCCCTTTACTGTAAAAGGAAATTGGTACCCCTATAATGGGCAGTGTCTACCAGATATTGGTAAGTTCTGTCATATTAAAGCTTTCCTTCATATATTGAAGTTCTTGTTAAAATGTTGCTCTTAAATCATGAAGATTTCTGCGAAAGAATTCCAAGATACATTGTTAAGTGAAAACAGCAAAATATAGAACAATGTATATGGTTGTTTGATTTGCTTATATTTACTTGTAAATGCATAAGGAAATTCTGGATAAGTAAAAGTTACTTACAGAGAGTGGGTCATATGGGAACTAGAAGATGGCTACATACCAGTGGGAGGGAGGTTTTTTGTTTTCTATTTTAAATTGTGGTAAAATATACACAACATAAAATTTACAGACGTAACCATTTTTTAAGTAGCATTAAGCATATTCACGTTATTATGTAACCAATCTCCAGAACTCTTTTCATCTTGAGGATACTAAAACTCTATGCATTAAACAGCAACTCTTCATTCCCTCCTCTTCCTAGTGCCTGGCAACTGCTATTCTACTTTATGTCTTTATGAATTTGACTTAACACTAGGCTAGGTACCTCAAAGAAGTGGAATCATATAGTAGTGTTTCTTTTTGTGACTCACTTATTTCACTAAGCATAACGTCCTCAAGGTTCATCTGTGTTGTAGCACATGTTAGAATTTCCTTCCTTTTTAAGCTATATAATTCAGGCATACCTTGGAGATATTGTGGGCTCAGTTCCAGACCACTGCAATGAAGCAAATAGTGCAATAAAGCAAATATCGTAATAAAGCAAATCACAAAATTTTTGGTATCCTAGTGCATATAAAAGTTATATTTATACTATATTGTAGTCTACTAAGTGTGCAATGATGACATTATGTCTTAAAAGACTGTGTATATGTTAGTTTATAAATATGCTTTATTGCTTAATAATGCTGACACAGAGATGAGCACATGCTGTTGGAAAAATGGTGCTGATAGACTTGTTCTATGCAGGGTTGCCCCAAACCTTCAATTTGTAAAAATCACAGTATCTGAGAAGCACAGTAAAGCAAAGCACAATAAAATGCGGCATGCCTGTGTTCTTATTATATGGATGTGGTTTGTGGCATCCAAACAATTGCAATAGTAACATCAAAGATCACTGATCATGTCATGCATTGTCTTATATCGCTAAATTAGTGATATGAGATCACCATAAAAGATAAAATAATAATGAAAAATATTGAAATATTGCGAGAATTACTAAAGCTTATAAGCTTTACTCAATTTTTGATACTGAATTTTTACAAATTGAAGGTTTTTTGACAACACTGCATTGAGCAAGTCAGTTGGCACCATTTTTCCAACAGCATATATGCTCACTTTGTGTCTTTATGTCACATTTTGGTAATTCTTAACAGTATTTCAAAACTTCTGTGTTGTTACTATATCTGTAATGGTGATCTGTGATCAGTGGTCATTGATGTAATTGTTTTGGGGTGCCATGAACCTTACCTATATAAGACAACAAACCTAATTGATAAATGTTTATGTTCTGACTGCTCCACCAGCTGGCCAGTCCTATCTCTCTCCTCTCCTCGGGCCTTCCTATTCCTTGAGGCACAACAGTGTTGAAATTAGGCCAGTTAATAACCCTACAGTGGCCTCTAAGTACATAAGTGAAAAGAAAATCTCTCACTTTAAATCACATTTCTCACTTTAAATCAAAAGCTAGAAAGGATTATGCTTAGTGAAGAAGGCATATCAAAAGCCCAGACAGGCTGAAAGCAAGGCTTCTTGTGCCAGTTATCCAAGTTGTTAATGCAACTTAAAGGAATTAAAAGTGCTACTCTGGTGAATACATGAATGGTAAGAAAGTGAAAAACAGCCTTATTGCTGATACGGAGAGAATTTTAGTAGTCCGAATAGAAAATCACACCAGCCACAACATTAGGATTAGCCAAAGTCTAATCCAGACCAAGATTCTAACTCTCTTCAAGTCTCTGAAGGCTGAGAGAGATAAGGAAGCTGCAGAAGAAAAGCTTGAAGCTAGCAAATATTAGTTCGTGAAGTTTAAGGAAAGAAGCCATCTCCATAATGTAAAAGTACTGATGTATATGCTACAGCAAGTTGTCTAGCATGTCTAGCTGAGGTAATTGACGAAGGTGGGTATACTAAACAACAGATTTTCAATGTTGACAAAACAGCCTTCTATTGGAAGAAAATGTCCTCTACAACTTTCTTTTATAGCTGAGAGAAGTAGTCAATGCCTAACTTCAAAGGACAGGCTGACTCTCTTTTAGGGTCTAATGCATCTGGTGACTTTAGGTTGAAGCCAGTGCTTGTTTACCATTCTGAAAATGCCAGGGCCCTCAGGAATTATGCTAAATCTACTCTGCCTGTATTCTATAAATGGAACAACAAAGCCTGGATGACAGCTCATCTGTTTACAGCATGGTGTACTGAATATATTAATATGGGCTTAAGCCCACTGTTGAGACCCACCGCTCAGTAAAAAGATTTCTTTCAAAATACTGCTGCTTATTGACAGTGCACCTGGTCACATCAGAGCTCAGATGGAGATATACATGGAGATTAATGTTTTCATGCCTGCTAATACAACATCCATTCTGCTGCTGTAGGAACAAGGAGTAATTTTTACTTTCAAGTTTTATTATTTAAGAAATACATTTCGTAAGGCTGTAGTTACCACATATAGTGATTCCTCTGATAGTTCTGGGCAAAGTAAATTGAAAACCTTCAAAGAATTCACCATTCCAGTTACTGTTAAGAACATTTGTGAAGTGAGAGGATTGCTTGAAGCCAGGAGTTTGAGACCAACCTGGGCAATGTAGTGAGACACTGTCTCTACAAAAAATAATTTTAAAAAGCCAGGTGTGGTGGCACATGCTACTTGGGAGGTTTAGGCAAGAGGATTGCTTGAGCTTAGGAGTTGAAGGTTTACAGTGAGCTATGATCATACTAGTGCACTCCAGCCTGGGCGACAGAGCAAGACCCTGTCTTTGATTCATGGGAGGAAGTCAAAATACCAACAATAAGAGTTTGGAAGAATTTTATTCCAACCTTCATGGATGACTGAGGGGCTCAAGACTTCATTCGAAGAACTTAACTATAGATATGGTGGAAATAACAAGAGAACTAGAACTAAAGCCTGAAAATGTGACTGAATTGCTGCAATCTTAGGATAAAAAATACCCTTCATCCAGTCCCAGGACATCTCAAAGCTCTGCAGAAAGAACTTGAGCAATTTGCCAAGCTCCTGAAGCAGAAGAGGATCACCCTGGGATATGCACAGGCTGATGTGGGGCTTACCCTGGGGGTTCTATTTGGGAATATGTTCAGCCAAACGACCATCTGCCTCTTTGAGGCTCAACAGCTTAGCTTCAAGAACATGTGTAAGCGGCGCGGCCCTTGCTGCAGAAGTGGGTGGAGGAAGCCGACAACAATGAAAATATTCAGGAGATATGCAAAGCCGAAACCCTCGTGCAGGCCTGAAAGAGAAAGCGAACCAGTATTGAGAACCTGGAGAATGTGTTCCTGCAGCGCCTGAAGCCCACACTGCAGCAGATCAGTCACATTGCCCAGCAGCTTGGGCTCTAGAAGGATGTGATCCGAGTGTGGTTCTGTAATTGGCGCCAGAAGGGCAAGCAATCAAGCAGTGATTATGCACCATGAGAGGATTTTGAGGCTGCTGGGTCTCCTTTCTCAGGGGCACCAGTGTCCTTTCCTATGGCCTCAGGGCCCCATTTTGGTGCCCCAGGCTCCCATTTTGGTACCCCAGGCTATGGGAGCCCTCATTGCACTGCACTGCACTGTGTTCCTTAGTGCCTTTCCCCCTGTTTCTGTCGCCACTCTGGGCTCTCCCATGCATTCAAACTGAGGTGCCTGCCCTTCTAGGAATGGGATACAGGGAGAGGGCGGAAGCTAGGGAAAGAGAACCCGGAGTTTGTGCCAGGGCTTTTGGGATTAAGTTCTTCATTCAGTAAGGAAGGAATTGGGAACACAAAGGGTGGGGGCAGGGGAGTTTGGGGCAACTGGTTGGAGGGAAGGTGAAGTTCGGTGATGCTCTTGATTTTAATCCCCATATCATGTATCACTTTTTTCTCAAATGAAGAAGACTGGGACACAGTAGGTAGAGAGAAAAAAAAGAAAAATACTCCTCATCCATTTATATTTTATGGATGAGCAAAGAAAGTGTTTTCTTGAGATGGAACCTACTGCTGGTGAAGATGCTATGAACATTATAGAAATGACAACAAAGTATTTAGAATATTCCATAAACTTAGTTGACAGAGCAGCAGCAGGGGTTAAGAGGCTTGACTCTACTTTTGAAAGCAGTTCCGTGGGTAAAATGCTATCATGCAGCATCTCCTGGTATAGAGAAATCTTTTATGAAAAGAAGAGTCAATCAGTGTAGCAAACTTTGTTGCTGTCTTATTTTAAGAAATTGCCACAGCTACCCCAGCCTTCAGCAATTACCACCCTGATCAGTCAGTAGCCATCAATGTTGACAATGAGGCGAGACTCTCCATCAACAAAAAGTTTAAGACTTGCAAAGCCTCAATTGATCGTTAGCATTTTTTAGCAATAAAGTGATTTTAAATTAAGGTATATGGATTTTTTTTTTAAGATACAATGCTATTGCACACTTAATAGACTACAGTATATTGGCCTGGCACAGTGGCTCATGCCTGTAATCCCAGTGCTTTGGAAAGCCAAGGCAAGAGAATCACTTGAGGCCAGGAGTTTGGGACCAGCTGGGGCCACATTAACTCTCATCTCTATAAAAGAAAAAAAAGAAAAACCAACTCTTGTCAATGGACTACAGTATCGTATAAACATCCTTTTTTTTTTTTAATGAGACAGAGTCTTGCTCTGTCACCCACGCTGGAAGTGCAGCGGTGCAATCTCGGTTTACTGCAACCTTCACCTCATGGGTTCAAGTGATTCTTGTGGCTTAGTCACCCTAGTAGCTAGGATTTCAGGTGCGCACCACCACACCTGGCTAATTTTTTTAGTATTTTTATTGGAGACAGGGTTTCAACATGTTGGCCAGTCTGGTCTCAGACTTCTGGCCTTATTTGATCTGCCCACCTTGGCCTCTTAAAGTGCTGGGATTACAGGAGTGAACCACTGCGCCCAGGCTAGTATAAACATACTTTTATGTGCACTATGAAACCAAAAATTTGTGTGACTTGCATTATTGCGATATTTGCTTTATTGCAGTTGTCTGGAACCAAACCCTAAATATCTTTGAGGTATGCTTATACCACATTTTGTTTATCTATTCATATATCAGTGGACGATTGGGTTGTTTCTACCTTTTGGCTATTGTGAATAATGCTGCTATGGATGTAGGTGTACAGGTATCTCTTTGAGATCCTGCTTTCAGTTCTTTTGGGTATATACAGGAGTGTTAATTATTTTCTATTTTTTAAGAATTTGAATTCTTTGAATCTATTGCTTATTAAAAATATTTAAAAATTTTGACCCAGAAGTGGATTCAGCACATAAGGACGTTTTCCACATCCATATGATTACATCCCCAACCGGTCAGCAGCACCCATTCTCCTGCCTGCCAAACTATCCTTGAAAAACCCTAGCCTTCAAATTTCTGGGGAGACTGATTTGAGTAATAAAATTCAAGTCTCCCATATAAAAACAACAAAAAATTTTTTGACTAGAAGGGAAGCTGCTGCCCTGAAGATAAAAGACCCCAGGCCTGACAGGATTTATCACTTGCTGACTAAAGAGCCCTTGGGCTTTGAATAAACATCAACAATAGACAGGAATTAGTCTCTACATGCTTTGGGTGAGACCCAGTACTGTCAGGTGTGATCTAGCACAGTCTTAGCAGTGGTGGCCATGGGAGTGCTTGCATCACCTCTACCCCAACTATTAAGAATCTCAGCACAGAGAGAGAGAGTGAGAGGGAAACTTCATTTGTTTGGGGGAGAGTAAGGGAGAAGAACAAGAGACTCTGCCTAGTAATCCAGGGAATTCTCCCAGATCTTACCCAAGTTCACCAAGGCAGTACCTCTATGAGTTGGCAAGAGTCACAGTTTTGCTGGGCGTGGTGGTGTGTGCATGTAGTCCCACCTACTTAGGAAGCTGAGGCAGGAGGATCGCTTGGGCTCAGGAGCTCTGGGCTGTAATGTGCTCTGCTGATTGGGTGTCTGCACTAAGTTCGACATCAATATGGTGACTTCCTGGGAGTGGGGGGCCACCAGGTTGCCTAAGGAGGGGTGAACTGGCTCAGGTTGGAAATGGAGCAGGTCAGAACTCCTGTGCTGATCAGTAGTGGGATCGTGCCTTTGAATAGCCACTGCACTCCAGCTTGGGCAACCATAGTGAGACTCTGTCTCTTAAAAAAAAAAAAAAGTGTTACTGGGCTTGGAGTGTCCACTAATGCAGATGGCTGCAGTGACTGAAGAATTGAGATCATTACACTCAATTCCTTTTGAATACTTGGAATGCCTTCCCAAGAAGTTCAGGTACAAACAAGTACGGACTGCAAAGGATAGAATAAATACCTAACTCTTCAGCGCTTAGACATTGCTGAAAATTTAGAAGCATCAAGACGATCCAGGAAAACATGACCTCACCAAACCAATGAAATAAGGCACTAGTGACCAAACATGAAGAGACAAAGCCATGTGACTTTTCAGAAATTCAAAACAGCTGTTTTGAGAAATCTCAACTAAACTGAAGATAAACAGAGGAAGTTCAGAATCCTATCAGATAAATTTAACAAAGAGATTAAAACAATGGTGAAATATCAAAGAGAAATTCTGGAGTTAGAAATGTAATTGACAACCTGGAGAATGCATCAGAGGCTCTCAACAGCAGAATTGATCAAGCAGAAGAAAGAATTAGCATGAAGACATGATATATGAAAATATACAGAGTTGACAAAAGAAAAAAGAGTGAAATACTCCCACAGGATCTAGAAAATAGCTTCAAAAGGGCAAATCTAAGGGTTACTGGCCTTAAAGAGGAGGTAGAAGGAGAGAGAGGGATAGAAAGTTTATTTAAAGAGCTAATAATAGAGACCTTTTCAATCCTAAAGAAAAATATCAGTATTCAAGTGCAAGGTTATAGAACACCAAGCAGATTTAACCCAAATAAGACTACCTCAAGACATTTGATAATCAAACTCCCAAAGGTCAGGGATAAAGAAAGGATCTCAAAAGCAGCAAGAGAAAAGAAACAGTATACAATGGGGCTCCAGTACATCTGGCAGCAGACTTCTCAGTGGAAACCTTACAGATTAGGAGAGAATGGCATGACATATTTAAAGTGCTAAAGGAAAATAACATTTATCCCAGAATATTATATCCACTGAAAATATCCTTCAGATGTGAAGGAGAAATAAAGACTTCCCAGACAAACAAAAACTGAGGGGTGGCCGGGCGTGGTGGCTCATGCTTATAATCCCACCACTTTGGGAGGCTGAGGCGGGCAGATCACCTGAGGTCAGGAGTTTGAGACTAGCCTGGCCAACGTGGCAAAACCCCATCTCTACTAAAAATAAAAATTAAAAAATTAGCTGGGCATGGTGGCTGGCGCCTGTAATCCCAGCTACTCAGGAGGCTGAGACAGGAGAATTGCTTGAACCCGGGAGGTGGAGGTTGCAGTGAGCTGAGATCGCACCATTGCACTCCAGCCCGGACAGCAAGAGGAAACTGTCTCAAAAAAAAAAAAAAAACAAAAACAAAAACAAAAACGCTGAGGCGTTTCATCAACAGCAGACCTGTACTATAAGAAATGCTAAAGGGAGTTTTTCATTCTGAAGGAAAGGGACATTAATGAACAATAACAAATCAACTAAAGGTACAAAACTCACGATAATAGTAAGTACACAGACATTGTGGTGTGCGCACTACTCATCTTGAGTAAGAAGACTAAAACGGATCAAAGATAATAATAACTACAGCAACTTGTAAAGACATATACAATATAATAAGATATAAATAGATGTAATAAAATTAAAGAGCAGGGGAAAAGATGATAAAGTGTAAAGTTTTTATCATTTTTCTCTTTGCTTATTTGTTTTTGTAATGAGAGTAAACTTGTCATCAGTTAAGATGTTGTTTGCAAGCCTGGTAACCTCAGATCAGATCAGAAAACAGGAGGCAAGAGGATTGCTTGAGCCCAGGAGTTTGAGATCAGCCTAGGCAACATAGTGATACCCCATTTATATAAAAAATAAAAATTAGCCTGGCATCATGGCACATGCCCATAGTCCCAGTTATTTGGGAGGCTGAGGTAGGAGGATTGTTTGACCAGGAGGTTGAGGCTGCAGTGAGCCATGATTGTGCCACTGCACTTCAGTGTGGGCAGTAGAGCAAGACCATGTCTCAAAAAAACAAACAAAATTAATAGATGCACAGAAAATTAAAAAAAAAAAGGAAATTAAAACATACCACCAGAGAAAGTCACATTCACAAAAAGGAAGATAGGAAGGAAGGAAAGAAGGAAGAGAAGACCATAAAACAAGAAAGCAAATTTTAAAATGTCAGGAGTAAGTCCTTATTAATAATAACATTTAGTAAACGGACTAAACTGCCCAGTCAAAAGACACTGAGTGGCTGGCTGGATGAAAAAACAAGACCCAGTGATCTGCTCCCTGCAAAGAAACACACTTCACCTATAAAGACACACATACACTGAAAATAAAGGGATGGAAAAAGATATTCCATGCAAATGGAAACCAAAAAGAGCAGGAGTAGCTATACTTATATCAGACAAAATAGATTTCAAGACAAAAAGTATAAGAAGATATAGAAGGTCATTGTATAATGATAAAAGGATTAGTACAACAAGAGGATATAACAGTTGTAAATATATATGCACCCAACACTAGAAAACCCAGATATACAAAGCGGATATTGTTAGAGCTAACAAGAGACAGACCCCAATAAAATTACAGCATAATATTGGCATAAAAACAGACACATGGACCAATGGAACAGAACAGAGAACTCAGAAATAAATTCATATATGTACAGTAAATTCATTTTGGACAAGGGCGCCAAGGACATACATTGGAAAAAGGATATTCTTTTCAATAAATGGTACTGGGAAAACTGGATATCCATATGCAGAAGAATGAAACTAGACCCCTCATATGGTTAGGCTTTGTGCCCCCACCCAAATCTCATCTTGAATCGTAATCCTCATAATCCCCATGTGTCAACGGAGAGACCCGGTGGAGGTAATGGAATCATGGAATCGGTTTCCTGCATGCTGTTCTTGTAATAATGAGTGAGTTCTCACAAGATCTGATTGTTTTATAAGGGGCTCTACCCCACTTTGCTCGACACTTCTTCCTGCCACCTTGTGAAGAAGGTGCTTTGCTTCCTCTTCGCCTTCTGCCATGATTATAAGTCTCCTGAGGCCACCCCAGCTATGCTGAACTGTGAGTCAGTTAAACCTCTTTCCTTTATAAATTACCCAGTCTCAGGCAATTTTTTATAGCAGCATGAAAACAGACGAATACACCCCTATCTCTCACTGTATACAAAAAGCATGTACAAATGGAATAAAAACTTAAATCTAAGACCTGAAACTATGACAAGAAAGCTGAGGAAACTCTCCAGGACATTGGTCTGGGCAAAAATTTCTTGAGTGATACCCCACAAGCACAGGCAACCAAAGCAAAAGTGGACAAATGGGATCACATCAAATTAAAAAGCTTCTACACAGCAAAGGAAACAAGAAAGTGAAGAAACAACTCACAGAATGGGAGAAAATATTTGCAAACTACCCGTCTGATAAGGAATTAATAACCAGAATATATAAAGACAACTCTGTTGTTTCAACTCAGTTGTTGAACTCTGTTGAACTCAACAACTCGGTTGTTCCTGAAACAACTCTATAGGAAAAATCTAATAATCTCATTAAAAAATGGGCAAAAGATCTAAATATGCATTTCTCAAAAGAAGGTATACAAATGGCTAACAGGTATATGAAAGGTACTCAACATCATCAGAGAAATGCAAATCAAAACTAAAATGAGGTATTATCTCACTCTGGTTAAAATGGCTTTTATCTGAAAGAGGGCAATAACATGCTGGCAAGGATATGGAGAAAAGGGAACGCTTGTATACAGTTGGTGGGATTGTAAATTAGTATAGCCACTGTGGAGAACAGTATGGAGATTCCTTAAAAAAACTGAAAATAGAACTATCAGATGATCCATTGCTGGGTATACACCCAAAAGAAAGGAAATCTGTACATCACAGAGGTATCTGCACTCTCATGTTTATTGCAGCACTATTCATAATAGCCAGTATTTGGAATCAATTTAAGTGTTCATCAACAGACATGGATAAAGAAAATGTGGTGTATATATACACAATGGAATACTATTCAGCCATAAAAAAGAATGGGATCCTGTCATTTGCAACAATATGAGAACTGGAGGACATTATGTTAAGTGAAATAGCCAGCACAGAAAGACAGTCACATGTTCTCACTTGTTGGTGGAAGCTAGAAATTGAAACAGTTGTACTCACAGAGATAGAGAATAGAATGATAGTTACCAGAGGCTGGGAAGGGTAGTGGGGTAAGGGGAGGAAGTGAGGATAGTTAATAAGTACAAAAATGGCAGGGGTGGGGTGGCTCACCCCTGTAATCCCAGCACTTTGGGAGGCTGAGGCGGGCAGATCATGAGGTCAGGAGATCAAGACCATCCTGGCTAACACAGTGAAACCCCATCTCTACTAAAAATACAAAAAAAAAAAAAAAAAATTAGTCAGGCATGGTGGCAGGCGCCTGCAGGCCTGTAGTCCCAGCTACTCGGGAGGCTGTGCAAGAGAATGGCATGAACCCGGGAGGCGGAGCTTGCAGTGAGCCAAGTGAGCCACTGCACTCGAGCCTAGGTGACAGAGCAAGACTCCGTCTCAAAAAAAAAAAAGTATAAAAATATAGTTAATAGAATGAATAAGGTCTAGTATTTCATAGCACAACAGAGTGACTACAGTCGAGAATAATTTATTGTACATTTAAAAATAAATATATTATTGGAACATTTGTAACACGAAGAAATGATAAGTGCTTGAGGGGATGGATACTCCATTTATTCTCATGTGATTTTTATACACTGTATGCCTGTATCACAATGTCTCATGTATCCCATAAATATATATACCTACTGTGTACTCATAAAAATTAAAATAAGGCTAGGCACGGTGGCTCAGGCTTGTAATCCCAGCACTTTGGGAGGCCAAGGTATGCACATCACTTGAGATCAGGAGTTTGAGACCAGCCTGGCCAACTTGGTGAAACTCCGTCTGAACTAAAAATACAAAAAATTAGCTGGGTGTGGTGGCAGACACCTGTAGTCCAAGCTACTCAGGAGGCTGAGACAGGAGAATTGCTTGAACCCAGGAGGCAGAGGTTGCAGTGAGCTGAGATTGCACCACTGCACTCCAGCCTTGGCGACAGAGTGAGAATCCATCTCAAAAAAAAAAAAAAAAAGTAAAAATTTAAAAAATTAAACATTTTAAATTTGCCTTTTATATCCATGCAGCTTTAGCCAAACTTGTATATACCTATTTTTTATCTATTATTCTTGCAGAGCTGATTATTTTTTCATTGATGTTAATTTACTACTTAGTTGGAAATATTTGAATGCTGTTTTCTCATTCATTTTTTTGACAACCTGAAACCAAAATGTCCTTCTTTTCATATATATTTTTTACTATCCCAAACTTCCTCAGAATTGTCTTCTTGTTTATCTATTGATGGAAACCAGAATTCTGATTTTCTTTAAAGTGATGCAAAAGTTGAGTCACGTGTGTGTTAATAGATTTTATCTATTCACAGTGACGAGGATACTATGAAGGTTGACATTTGTAAAGGTCCAGTGCTTTTTATTGTAAATAAACTTGATGTTTTTTTTATAATTAAAAGGCTTTTTCAGTTAAGCTCATATTTAACAAAGGTCACCATTACTTAGGAATGCATTTTGGCACCTTCGAAACTGTAGACCTTGAGATTATTTGCATTAGAATGGGGAAGGAGTTGGTGTTTTAAAATCAGTCGTTTTTGCTGCAATTTAGTTTCATCAAAAAATTGTGATACATTATAGCCAAAAGGTGGAAACAACCCACGTCCATCAGCAGATGAATGAGTGAAAAAAAATATTGTATACCTCTATAGTGGAATAGTATTCAGCCATAGAAAGTAATGAAATTCTCATACATTATGCAACTTGTATGAATCTGGAGAACATTATGTGGGGTGAAAGACACAAAAGGACAAATATCATATGAGTCTACTGATAAGAGGTACCTAGAACAACCAAATTCATAGAGACAGAAATAGTGGTTACTAGTTCCTAGAGGGAGGAGGGTACGGAGAGTTTCCATTTAATGGGTTTCTGTTTTAGAAGATGAAGTTCTAGAAATGATTAGTGGTGATAGTTGCACAACATTGTGAATATACTTGCTACCACTAAATTGTGCAGTTAAAATTGTAAATTTTATGTATATTTTATGATAAAAAATTGTGTAAAAATTGATAATCTTTTTGCACTGTACTCAAGCTGTATAGGATAAAAACTAGTTACATGTGAATTTAATTTACCAATTCTAGCCCATCCAGAGGTTAAACCCATGGCCCCCAGCATGAATTAACATTTTAATCATAAACTATCTGTGTGGCCAGTGCCATGGGTAAACAAGAGGAATTTTTTTTTTTTTTAAATACAAGGTCTCACTCTGTTGCCCAGGCTAGAGTGCTGTGACATGATCACAGCTCACTGCAACCTCAGCCTCCCAGGCTCAAGCAGTCCTTTCACCTCAGCCTCCTAAGTAGCTGGAACTACAGGTGTTTGCTACCACACTCAGCTAATTTTTAAATTTTTTTGTAGAGACGGGGTCTCACTATGTTGCCCAGGCTAGTGTTGAACTCCTGGATTCAAGTGATCCTCCTGCCTTGACGTCCCAAAGTGCTGGGATTACGCATATGAGCCACTGCACCCGGCTGACAAAAGGACATTCTTAACAGCCAGAATATTCCTTTGGTTTAGTGATTATTATCTCCCTGGAGCCAGGCAAGGGGCACACCTTTCTTTAAAATGTGTAAAGTTGAAACAACTATATTAGTTTGCTAGAGTTGCTTGTAACAACCTACCACAAACTCGGTGGCTTGAACAATACAAATTTATTGGCTCACTATTCTGCAGACTAGAAGTCCGAATTTAGAGTTGCTTCCTTCTGAAGGCTGTAAGAAGAATCTGTTACATATTTCTTTCCTAGTTTCTGGTGGTTTGCTGTCAATCTTTGGCATTCCTTCGCTTGTAGACCTTGGCCTTCTCTCTGTACGTGTCTGCATCCAAATTCCCCCTTTTATAAGGACACAAAACATTGGGTTATGGACCTACCCTACTCCATTATGACCTTAACTAATTATATCTGCAGTGACCTTATTTCCAAATAAGATCATATTCTGAGATATTGGGGATTAGGATTTCAACACACAATTTTTTTTTTTTTTTGAGACAGTCTGGCTCTGTCGCCTAGGCTGGAGTGCAGTGGCATGACCTTGGCTCACTGCAGCCTCCACCTCCCAGACTCAAGCGATCCTCCCACCTCAGCCTCCTGAGTAGCTGGGACTACAGGTGCATGCCACCACACCCAGTTAACTTTTTGTATTTTTTGTAGAGTTGGGGTTTTACCATGTTGCCCAGGGTGTTCTCCAATTTCTGAGCTCAAGCAATGTGCCTACCTGGGCCTTCAAAGTGCTGGGATTACAGGCATGAGCCACCGTGCCTTGCCCAATATACAAAGTTTTAGGAGACCCAGTTCAATCCATAGGAATACCCCAAACCTGCTGAGCTAATCTTTACTGCACAGAGGGTATCCTCAGCATCGCCCCTGTTAGTACAGGCAAACTTTGTTCCTTCAGATGACTTATTGGCTGGTGTGATGGCTTCCACCTGTAATCCCAGCACTTTGAGAGGTTGAGGCGGGAGGATTGCTTGAGGATAGGAGTCCAAGACCAGCCTGAGCAACATAGCAAGACCCTGTCTCTACAAAAGAAAAAAAAGTGACTTGTCATACCGGATTAAGTAACCGTTGTTCTCAAATATAACACTTCAGATAAGTCTTTGGTTGCATAATAGATTTTTTTCAATTATATTGTAGTAGGAAAGGGGACATATTCTTATTGAACCTTTATAAATATATTACTAATGAAGGGAGACTTAGTAAGAGATGGAATTCTGGGCATCAGTGAGAATCAGGTAGCATTTTTAAATAATTCCTTTTAGTTTACTCAAGCAGAGTTTTATGAAATTGTGGATAACTTTAGAAAGGAAAAATGAGCACAAAATCAAAATTAAACATTACTCAAACATGTAACCATAATAAATTTTTCTTCATCAGTTCATTCTTTCTTATGTCATAATGAATTCTTATTCTGCTGGACCTTGGGTTAGCAGTTTCATGAAATGTCTGTTTCTCACCTAACAAAAAAGAATATGAGGAATCCTAATGTACTTCACTGCTACGTTTTGAAAGTTATGTAAGAGAGATCTCTTCAGAACCCTATACCCAAGTGTCTTTTCTTTGATGTATACATTGTTTCACATACCTGTTGGAATCCTTTTAATAGGGCTCTGAGACTCCTTTGTTGAAAACACAAACTGGCCTGTAGCTTGTAGGAGAGTCTTCAGGCAAGCATCAGAGCAGACAAAAACTGCTCTGGTTAATAGGTTACACAGGCCTAAAATAACTGTGGCTAGTTTATTACTGATAATTATCAAATGATATGATCTGATGAAGATTCAGAGTAAGAATAATAATGTTTCCAAAGATGATGATTAGGCCTATTTTCAAGGAACTCAGTGACTCTTATGTCTGATATGTAAATATAGCTGAGCATAACCATTTATAGACAAAAACGAAATCTTGAGATACAACTTAATAATCTTGAGATCTAACATACCAGGTATACACAAGAATATCAAAAGAACCAGCAAGTGTAGGATCAAGCCTAGACATATTTTTATTTTTTATTTTATTTTTATAAAACTCCATGGGAGCCAGGCACAGTGGCTCATGCCTGTAATCCCAGCATTTTGGGAGGCCGAGATGGGTGTATCACCTGAGGTCAGGAGTTTGAGACCAACATGGTGAAACCCCGTTTCTACTAAAAATATAAAAATTAGCCAGGCATGGTGGTGCACACCTGTAGTCCCAGCTGCTCGTTGGGGCTGAGGCAGGAGAATCGCTTGAACCCAGGAGGAGGAGGTTGCAGTGAGCTGAGATTGCACCATTGCACTTAAGCCTGGGCAACAAGAGCAAAACTCCATCATGAAAAAAACAACTACATGGGTAAGCCTGAAGAACATCCCCTTTTGAGAACTACTGGCATAGAATATGTGGATTAGAAACAATAAGGTTAGAGAACCACTGGCATAAGTGAGAATTAGAGCAGTAAGGTTGTGCCAGAAAACATTTTAAATAATAACTGAAATTAGAACTGGATAGTACTGTACCCCCCCCCCTTTTTTTTTTTTCAATTGAGGTGGAGTGTCACTCTTTTGCACAGGCTGTAATGCAGTGGCAGGATCTCGGCTCACTGCAGCCTCCGCCTCCTGGATTCAAGCAATTCTCCTGCCTCAGCCTCCTGAGTAGCTGGAATTACAAGCAGTGCTACCACACCCAGCTAATTTTTGTATTTTTAGTAGAGATGGGGTTTCACCATTTTGGCCAGGCTGTTCTCAAACTCCTGACCTCAGGTGATCTGCCTGCCTCGGCCTCCCAAAATGCTGGGATTACAGGCATGAGCCACCATGCCTGGCCTGTATGATTTTTAATTGTATTATTATTATTTATTGAGAACTTTTGGGGTTTCTTAAAAAAATATTTTCCAGCCGGGTACACTGGCTCACACCTGTAATCCCAGCACTTTGGGAGGCCGAGGCAGGTGGATCACAAGGTCAAGAGATCAAGACCATCCTGGCCAACATGGTGGAACCCCCTCTCTACTAAAAATACAAAAATTAGCTAGGCGTGGTGGCACGCACCTATAGTCCCAGCTACTCCAGAGGCTGAGGCAGGAGAATCGCTTGAACCCGGGAGGCGGTTGCAGTGAGCCAAGATCACACCACTGCACTCCAGCCTGGCGACAGAGCGAGACTTTGTCTCAAAAACAAATGAACAAAGAAAAATATGTTCTATCCATGCATGGTTGATTGAATCTGCAAATATGGAACCTATGGATACAGAGGGCCGACTATGTTTCTTCCACCTCGTACAAGAGCACAGGTCATGGTGGATTAGGGCCTAATTTCCAAAAAGAGGAAATTTATGTTACTAAGAAACATGCAAAAATTATTACCCTCTTTAGTATCAAAGAAATGCAAATTTGAAAAGCAAGAGGATACTAAAAAAATAAAGCCTAATTTTAATAATCACCTCTTTAATGCCCTTATCTCCAAATACAGTCACATTCTGAGGTACTCAGGGTTAAAGCTTCAAACAGATCTATTTGGGTGGGGGATACAGTTCAGCTCATCACAGGAAGGCAAAAATCAAATAAGTATGAGAGGAAATGTGGATACTTCATTAAGATATAATCATAAGTGCTTGAGAAATAATACTTAGTTACCTATTTTACTACGGTGACAATAAATAAAAATAAATACAGATGATGATATGATTGAAAAGAACTTTAGCTCTTTTGTAAGTCAGGAGCCTTTGTTCTTTTTTCCTCTTAAATTTAAAGGACAATAAAGACAACATAAAGCATAGAATATTATTTTAATAAAACAGATTATTTGCTATCTAGCAGATTACACAAAAAGTAAAGAATAGCATTTTATATTATAGGTATTTATCAGTAAACCAAGGGAGCAGGTCCTTCTAAATTGAGTTAACTTTGCTAAGATGTTAACCATTTTATAGCTTCTTTCAGACTCAGGTATAAACTGAGGAAAATAAAATTCATTTCCCCAGTTGTATCTTTAGTTATGCTCTTTAATATTCTGCAACAAAGTGACATTTTGCTTGAGTTCAGTATTTCTATCTCAGAGGGTTCTTGAAGTCATAATGATTTTCTTTTTTTTTCTTTTTTTTTTCGAGACGGAGTCTTGCTCTGTCACCCAGGCTAGAGTGTAGTGGAGCGGTCTCAGCTCACTACAAGCTCTGCCTCCCGGGTTCTTGCCATTCTCCTGCCTCAGCCTCCCAAGTAGCCGGGACTACAGGCACCTGCCGCCACGCCCAGCTAATTTTTATTTTATTTTATTTTTTTATTTTTAGTAGAGACGGGGTTTCACTGTATGTCTCAATCTTCTGACCTCATGATCCACCCACCTTGGCCTCCCAAAGTGCTGAGATTACAAGTGTGAGCCACCGCGCCTGGCCAGTCAAAATGATTTTCATATTAATACTAAGATGTTTTCTATGCTAAATGTAATGCACTCAATATTGCTCATCTTCAAATAAAAAACTATTTTTTAAGTTTCTCAATTTTAAGTTCTAATACGTTAAGTATTAATGATTTTAACCCATGTAAACAAAGCCCTTTGGAGTCCTGAATAAGTGCTAAGAGTGGAAAGGGACTTAGAGACCATCAAAACTACTCATTTTCCATGTTAAACAAAAGCACATACACAGTTGTAGCTCTATCACTGTTTTGCTTCTAAGTAGAATTACAATTTACAGAATTGTGAATAGCTCAAAGACAGTGAAAGGTGGAGATAATCCTAAACAGTGCACTAATCAAGACTGTTTCTTGTGGGGCAGGGGGGGTGTCTATTTCAAGGTCTTCAAAATTTTCCCTGACAATATATTTTGTAAAGAAGAAGAAGAAGGCTGCCCAGGCTGGATTGCAGTGGCGTGATCACAGCTCACTCCACCCTCGACCTCTTGGGCTCAGACTACAGGCATGCGCCACCACGCTTAACCAATTTTTAATTTTTTTTGTAGAGGCGAGGTCTTGCCATGTTGTCCAGGCTGGTCTTGAACTCCTGGGCTCAAGTGATCCTCCTACCTTGGCTTCCCAAAGTGCTGGGATTACAGGTATGAGCTACTGTGCCCAGCGGAGAGGAATTTTAAGGACACTTTCAGATAGAGAAAGAGTGGCAAAAGTATGTATTACAGGTGGAAGATATGATGTCTGTTCATACACATTGAAACAAGGCATCACTGTTCTTTAGATAAGGGGGGGAAAATTACTTGACACATGAAAATTGGGGACAAAAAGGTCAGTTTAGATCCTAATGTCACAATATGCACTAAGATAAACTATAAATGAATTAAAGAGTAAATACTTCTTAAGACAAGAAGATATGAGTTGAGGATGGGAAAAGCCTTTCTCAGCATATATGCTATGAAAGTTATAAAGAATTAGATAAATTTGTTTAAATGGAAAAGTAAATGTTCTGTGAGTCAAAATTAAGCAAATAATTATTTGGAAAAAATATTTGTAGCAATTACAACCTAAGGTTAATATCCTGAATATCTAAAGTGTCCATACATATTAATGAAAAAAAAAAAAGACAGCTAATAGATAAATAAGACAAACAATAAATAAAGGAAATTAATGGAAGTTCCTAAAAGAAGAAATTTATATTACTAGGAAACATGCAAAAATTATTACCCTCTTTAGTATCAAAGAAATGCAAATTTGAAAAGCAAGAGGACAGTAAATAATTGTAATAGATCAAGCATTAATCCTCTCTTTCCTGTTATAAGATAACTATATAATAGGGAGAAACTAATGCTTCAGCTACAATATGAAGTAATGCTAACACTTAATTTTTCAACCTACAGTGAATGAGCATCAATGCCTACTACCACCACAAAAAAGAACTCAGTGAAAATTCTTCTCAAAGGAATTATGTGTTTCCTGATGGAACTACTCTCCTGCCTCCATGTAGTAGTTTTACTGAAATAACCAAATGGTGATTGAAACCTGTCTAGATTCAACCACCAATTTACAGAACAGAAGACCAAGCCAAATGTTAGGAGAAACCACAAAGATAAAGTCAGCAAAATCCAGTCTGCATAAAGTTGTACAGGACAAATGACTAGGTTTCTCAAACTTTTTCGAGTAGTGATTAAAAGGAAATTAAGGATAGGATGCAGTGGCTCACACCTGTAATCCCAGCACTTTGGGAGGCTGAGGTGGGCAGATCACTTGAGGTCAGGAGTTCGAGACCAGCCTGACCAAAATGGTGAAACCCCATCTGTACTAAATACAAAAATTAGATGTGGTGGTGGGCGCCTGTAATCTCAGTTACTCGGGAGGCTGAGGTTGCAGTAAGCCGAGATCATGCCACTGCACTCCAACCCGGGCGACAGAGTGAGACCTGTCTCAAAAAATAAAAATAAGGCCAGGTGCAGTGGCTCACACCTGTAATTCTGACACTTTGGGAGGCTGAGGTGGGCGGATCACCTGAGGTTGGGAGTTCGAGACCAGCCTGACCAACATGGAGAAACCCCGTCTCTACTAAAAATAAAAAATTAATCAGGAGTGGTGGCCCATGCCTGTAATCCCAGCTAATTGGGAGGCTGAGGTGGGACAATCGCTTGAACTTGGGAGATGGAGGTTGCGGTGAACCAAGATCGCGCCACTGCACTCCAGCCTGGGCAACAAGAGTGAAACTCCGTCTCAAAAAAGAAATAAATAAAAATAAAAAAAGGAAATTAAGGAAACTTAACTTTTGGTACCTAACTCATAGCCTCCAGAAACCCATTCATGTACTGTAGATTAGTCAACCATCTTGTAGGGAATTGTTTATAGAGGGCACAATCACATTTTAAGAGTAAATAAATAACATCCTGCTAAATCTTTTGAGGAAATGAGCAATTCCATATAGATTTGTGAGAATTATTTAGAAAAAAGATTTTAGGTTGAATAATTGGCTTATTTAATAAAGATTTACCCTTTTATTCTATTCTTAAAACTTGTTTTTGGCCTTAGGGTATTCTTGTGACTTACGGAAAATTTGATAGTAATTATCAAATTATTGTTCTAAACTCTGAAGCTCATTTTTGGTATAACCTAGATAACAATTGCATATTTGTATGGACAGGTATTTACTGATTTCTTTTACAAATAAAACATTGTGCTTGCTTGTAAGGAATAATCAAGGAAATTAACATGTGGTCATTTCCTTGAAAAGAATGGATAATTCTATAGCAGCCATGGTCACAAATAATACAAGGTGAAGAATTAGTCAACTAAGGAATGGGAATAGGATAACAGGGATAGACTATGGACTAGCCAAGCAATATTTTTGGTAATAGATACTCTTTCCAGTTTGGGGAGCAGAAGAAAAGAAAAAAAAGAGGCCCGGAATATCTTTTTCAAAAGAAACTTTGTTGCCCTTTCTTTATTCCTAATAAATTTGCTTATTAATGTATTCACTTTGGGGCCTAATTTGGCTTTTACTGACAAATAGCTGCCAACAAAGAGCTGTATGTATTATCTTGTACACCTATATTGAAAAAAAAAATTCTGCATTATGAAATATTTACTCCAGAAGTTTTAATTTTTGTTTGCTGTTTCTTTTTAAGAATAATTTTTTTTTTTTTTAGAGATGGGTCTTGCTATGTTGCTTGCTGGAGTGCAGTGGCTAGTCACAGATGCAGTCATAGCATACTGCAGCTTTGAACTGGGCTCACGCCATCCTCCTGCCTCACTCTCCCAAGTAGCTGGGACTACAGACATGTGCCACTGTAGCCCAGTTCAATTCTTTCTTTTTTTTTTTTTTTTGAGGTGGAGTCTTATGCTCTGGCCCAGGCTGGAGTGCAGTGGGGTGATCTCGGCTCACTGCAACCTCCGCCTCCTGGGTTCAAGCGATTCTCCTGTCTCAGCCTCCCAAGTAGCTGGGATTACAGGCACACACCACCACGCCTGGCTAATTTTTGTATTTTTAGTAGAGATGGGGTTTCACTATATTGGCCAGGCTGGCGTCGAACTCCTAACATCAAATGATCCTCCCACCTCAGCCTCCCAAAGTGCTGGGATTACAGGCATGAGCCACTGTGCCTCGCCAAGAATAAATACTCTTGATTTTTATTTCCTTCTAGCTATCTTTTGTAGCTTTTGTTCTATTTTTTTTAAATCATCTTTGGTTTAAACTGAAATATACTGAGATGCAGATTAGAAAAAGCTTTTTTTCTTGGTGCAGGGCAGAAGAAAGGCTTGTAAACTTCACCAAATGCTGCTTATGCTTGTGGGATCGTTTAATGTTCATCATTTGGTCAGTCTCATCCCCATAGCAGTCAGAATATTTCAAGTCACTTTATACCATGAAGTCCATGAATGGGAGGCCTTATTAAATAAGATGATTATGTGAAAATCTAATGGCATATTGATGCTCTGAAATATGTTATGTAAATCTTGGCTTTTAATTTTTTACATTTTTATTACAGATTCTGAAGAATATTTCTGTGTAAAAAGAATTTTCTCAGGGGGAGATCAAAGCTTTTCACATTACTCTAGTCCCCAGGTAATAATATAGTCATGTAAATAATTAAATAGCTCCAATAATTTTGACAAATTTTAAAAACCCATTATTAATGTTCTTTATATGTTACAAAGTAATTGCCTTAGTTTTTTTCCCCTTAAGTCTACAGAATAAGTTTTTTCTGATCTATTTGATAGGTTTTTGTTTCAGGTGTTCAGGAGAGATTTAATTCTGTTTAAAGAACAAATATATGGTGGGAATTTCTTGGTTTTTGAGTTATATATAATATCTCTTCCCTCTGACTAATCTTATTTGAAAATTTAGAACTGTGGGCCACCAGATGACTTCAGATGTCCCAATCCGACAAAGCAGATCTGGACAGTGAATGAAGCTCTAATTCAGAAATGGCTGAGCTATCCTTCTGGAAGGTTTCCTGTGGAGATAGCCAAGTAAGAAAAGCATTTTGGGCCAGGCACAGTGGCTCATGCCTGTAATCCCAGCACCAGGCAGATTGCCTGAGCCCAGGAATTGGAGACCAGCCTGGGCAACATGGCAAAACCCTGTCTCTACAAAAAAATACAATTAGCTGGGCGTGGTGGTGCACACCTGTGGTCTCAGCTACTTGGGAGGCTGAGGTGGGAGGATCAGCTGAGCCCAGGAGGTCGAGGCTGCAGTGAGCTGAGATTAACACCATTGCACTGTAGCCTGGGCAACAAAGTGAGAACTTGTCTCCAAAAAAAAATATCCATGGATATTTTTAAAGATCTTAATTAAATATGTATAAGTTGTAGTTCTTTCATGTGCATAGAGATATGTTAAATGATAACATAAAATATTTAATGTAGCCATTTTAGGATTGGCCTTGAAATGTGTTCCTTCTGGTTTTATAATGGTCACTATCTTAACTTTTATACTTTGTGGAAGACTTGAGTATTATTTCTTTCTTGAATATTTTGTTAACTTGCCTAGTAGCACTTAAGATGTTATTTGTTTTTTGTTGGTATTTGGGATGATGGGTTGTATTTGAAAAGCTGTTTTGTTTCTCTAGCTTGTTTTCCAAAACTATAATTTTTCTGAAAATCCCAAAGGCATCCCAGATTAGGCTCACTGCCAATATAAAATGTTTAAAATTTTTTTAAATTAAAAAACTTTTTACATGAACATACACACTTAATTTTTAAAATACCATGTTTTAAAGCAGATAACATTGGATAAATGGATGAAAGTAATATTTAAGAAAGTCTAGAATAAACAGTAATACCTTCATCAAGTATTATTTTATCAGTCTTTAGCAATTTATGTAATTCTGATTCATCTAATTGGGTGTTAGAGGAGTGCTCTGTAGCATTAAACATTAGATTAATTATTCATTTTAATTCTTTTTTAAGAAAGGGTAAACAATTAAATTTCTGATTCTATGATTAAAAAAACTTTTTTAAATTTTTTAGTGAGATAGATGGAACGTTTTCTTCCTCTGGTTGCCTAAATGGAAGTTTTTTAGCTGTTAGGTAAGTGGCAATTCTTTAATATGCTGAAATTTTCAAATTTATTGTCTTAAATAGTATATCAAATTAAAAAATGAAATAATTTTAAATTTTTATTCTATTTTTTTTTTTCTTTTCTGTTTTTTAGCAATGATGATCACTATAGAACAGGTACCAGATTTTCAGGGGTTGATATGAATGCTGCTAGGCTTTTATTCCACAAACTTATACAACCTGATCATCCGCAGATATCTCAGCAGGTCTGTTTTTAAAGTATTATGTTTACAGTATTATCTGTTGATTTTGTTTTCTTTTGTTTTATACGTTTATAGCCTAATTTACTTTGCAGTTTCACAGACTCTTACGATGTGCTTTTAAAATAAGATTTTATTTTAAAGCATTTGTAATTTAGCTGTCAAAGATCTATAAATCTTTTCAGATGTTTGAAGCAGACCCTGAATTACTTAACATTACCACGTTGCTTAAGTTTGTGTATGGTTATAGAGGTAGAGAGTTTAAATTGAGACTTGTACACGTGATTTTTTAAATTCTCCAAGTAATGCTTAGGCATTAATTTTCATTGTGCTCCAAAGTATATTCATTGTAAGACATTGTCTTTCTTTTTTCTTCTTCACCATTTCATATTTGCTGTAGTGCAAAATTTTCCTTTTCTTTCTTTTCTTCCTGCCTTCCTTTTTTTTTTTTTTCTTTGAAAGTGTATTCATTTTAAATGAAGTAGGTTTTACTTTTTGTCAAAATATAGGTGGCAGCTAGTTTGGAAAAGAATCTTATTCCTAAACTGACTAGCTCCTTACCTGATGTTGAAGCATTGAGGTTTTATCTTACTCTACCAGAATGTCCCCTGATGAGTGATTCCAACAATTTCACAACAATAGCAATTCCCTTTGGTACAGCTCTTGTGAACCTAGAAAAGGCACCACTGAAAGTACTTGGTAAGAATTCTAATATTTTTTCTTTTGAAACCTTTTCTCTTTAAATGAAAATGCTTCATAAGTTCTTTTGCCATTTGCAGTTCTGCTGCCCTGCTTATTTGACACTGTCTTAGGCAAAAATGAACCTGTTTTTCCTTTTCTTGCTTTTGTCTAGTCTTTTGATTCTAGTTGTTGGAGTTGTTGAAAGAAAAACATGTTAGATATAGAAGTTCAATTAAACATAACAGCAGAGACAGTATTAGGAAAGTTAAAAACTGTCACCCGTATTCCTTTCCCTCATCGCCTTTAGTATAATCTTGCTATTAAAGAAGTAAAGGAGGAGGAACAATTAAAACTGAACAAACATGGGCTTTAAATCTTCTTGGAACCCTGATATAAGCCCTTTATCTTGTGTTTCCTTCACTTGCTAATTTCATGATATTTGATTTTATTTTTCTGCCTATAGACTAGATTTTATTGCTCATCTGATCTTGCACTTCTATCTCTTACTGTTCTGGTTTTTTGGCATAAAGTTTTCTCACTTTAATTTTTCTAATTGTCTAGATTTTATCTCTATTTCCTGGCCTTTATACTTTTTTTGCTACATTTAACCCAGTGCTTTTCTTTCTAATGGTATTTGTTAGATATGTGGAGCTGAGATATATAGAAGTAATAATGTCAGTACAAGAACTTTAAGGCTGAGGGTAAATGGAGGAAGCAACAAGCAAGGGGTAGAATATGGGAATCTGAGGGAAAAAGAGTCAAGCAGGGACTGAAAAGAGTATTGCTTTCCTGTTGTCAGAAGTTTTTGTATTCTTTCTGCCTGCTTCATAGGATTGAAGTGTTTGTACTTAGTAACTACAAATAGTGAATGTGGGGAAGGACCCATATGTTACACTTTACATTGTTCAGCTTCTGTATTTGATCTTCAGGAGTACCTTGCATTTTAAAGGTAGTGGTTCACAATATTTCAACCATATATTAAATTGAAAGATAAAAGTTAGAAAGATCCTTTAGTATTAGAGCAATACAATTTAAAGGATGTTTTGTTTAAAAATTGAAACTGTAATTTTCAAAACATTTTTTAAAAACTGGTTTTAATATTAGGTATAGTGGTGAGTTTTTTATATAACTTAGGAAACCAAGAATATAAATTCAACAAGACTTTCACACTTTATTTTTGCTTTTGAGAGCTTTTCGGACAATATTGTTTAACTTGGTCGGGGGGAGGTTTATAAACCTTACAAATGTTACATAAGATATTGTGTTATATGCATCTTTCTGGGGTTTTCTCAGGTTTAACAACTACTGTTTCAGAAAAAAAGTCAGTATGATTTTGAAAATTGTGATTTTTTAAAAAATTCATTTTATTTGCATGTTCACTTTTTAATAACAGAAAACTGGTGGTCAGTACTTGAACCTCCACTATTCCTCAAGATAGTAGAACTTTTTAAGGAAGTTGTGGTACATCTTTTGAAACTCTACAAGATCGGTATTCCCCCTTCTGAAAGAAGAATTTTCAACAGTTTTCTTCATACTGCATTAAAGGTTTTAGAAATACTACATAGGGTATGTCCAATCATTCCTTTATTTTCCTCTTTCCCCATTCCTATTAACAGATTGATACTGTTCATTTTAACATTAATCTATTAAAGATTTAGATTGGCAAAAACAATGCATATTATAGAAATTTGGAAAAGTTATCTATACTTTCTCTTAAAAGAAGTAATAAACCTGTCCTTTGGAGCTCTGGTCTTACCTGACTTTGTTAGGCATGTATAGATAACTTATCCATAGTTGGGCAGAACAATAACATACTAATGAGTTAGAATTCTCCTTATATTTCCTTATGAAGAATATAATTTGTTAGTTTGCATTATATGGTTTTTGTTAGCTGTAAGTGGTTATCTTGTGAAAGAGATTGGGTCCTAGTTGTAATTATGAACATTAAAACTTGTGTTCTTTTGCTGTAGGGTACTAATGGCCTCAAAGTAGAACATTTCATTTGAAACAAATGACTAATTTAAAATTGGAACCGTATGTAATTCATTAATTTGCCTATTGTTCTTCCCTGCCCTTCTTCCCAGTGTAACAAATAGTACCCTTTACACTTGTAGCAGTTCAAAGTTATATGAAGAAGTAGACTCTGAGCTGTTTCATTAAAGATGGATTTTCATCCCTGACAGTTGGTAGGTATACCTCTGTTATGCCATTTGGTTTTCTCAAGTTGCTATTTAGATGAGACATGACCTAAGGGAGAAGCGTATGTTTCTAACCTATGGAATGACTAAAAAACCCACATGAACCTTTAATCTTTAGTTTCTTCTCCTTAACAGCTTCTTTGCATTTTCAGACCCTCTTGCCTAGTGCTAAGGTAAATAATAAAGGGATAAAGGAGATAATCCATCTGTTCTTTGTCTAAGAACAAACCTTTACCGGCCATTTATTTTCCTATTTTAGTGAAGCTCCTGGGTATTTTTCTCAACTACTTAACTTTCTGGACTTACTTTTTTCTTTGGTATTTAGTATGTCCAAGATTCCTAGAAAAACAACTCATTTCTCTTCATTTTGATTGATGAAATCATAGCCATGTATTTCCTAGGGAAACAGGTCATTCTTATGTTTGCCTTTACCCAGAACAGGGCTTTCTTTTAGCATATCAGGGTCCAGGTCTGCAGTAAACAGTTACTAAGAAGATTCTCTAACTACATGAGATGGGTCTCTACCTTTCTGTGTACTGTTTGCCGAGGATTCAAGAGATTAATTAGATTGTTTCTTTTCTCTGGACTTCATCCTACTGCTTTGGTGAACAATCCCTTTTCAGCTGGACCCTATTACCAAATAATTACTCATTCTGTGCTTTCATTATCTGCTTATCTTTATTCCCCCCTTTAAGAAATACTTTTTTTTCTTAGCTGTGTCTTTTACCTCGAGAAAATGGAAGGGGCAGAGAAGCGGGGGAAATTGAACATTTTTTCTTTCAAACTATAGGCAGAACTTAAGCAAGTAAGTTAAATTACCTGCCTAGCTCAGTAACTTCAGTCTCAACTAAGGAAGAACTTGATAGAGTTTCATCTTCAAAGACCTTTTTGATGGACTCATTCTAAATACTAGAATCTTCACATCTTGATAGTTGAAGGGGAAGGGAAAATTTATTGCTTGCTAACCACTAGAACCTCCTTTGTCTGTAGTTCATGTGAATACTCTAGATATATTTAACTTTAAAACCCTATATAGTCGGTATTTTGCCCCTTTTCATAGACTGGAAAAATGAATGTCCACATTTATATCAGCAGATATAGTAGTATAATCTCTTTAGAAGGGGGCTTGATTTTATTTTATGCCCCTAGATCTAGAAGTTCATATTCTAGATCACATATAGTATTATATTATAGGCGCTGGACTAGGAATCAAAAAGATCATATTTCTAACCCCTCTGTGTTGCTTCCTACCACTGTGATTTTGAAGAAGTCTTTTTCTTTATCCCATATGCAAATGAAGAATTATCTATAAGGATTGAAATACCAGCCCTGATAGTTTTCCAAGATTTATGTATTGTTTACATTATACAGTATGGGCTGGGCGTGATGGCTCATGCTTGTAATCCCAGCAGTTTGGGTGGTGAGGCGAGCGGATCACTTGAGGTCAGGAGTTTGAGACCAACCTGGCCAACATGGTGAAACCCCGTCTCCACTAAAAATACAAAAAAAAATTAGCTGGGTATGGTGGTGCATGCCTGTAATTCCAACTACCCAGGAGGCTAAGGCAAGAGAATCGCTTGAACCCAGGAGGCAGAGGTTGCAGTGAGCTGAGATCATACCACTGCACTCCAGCCTGGGCAAAAGAGTGAGACTCCGTCTCAAAAAAATAAATAATACAATATATGTAAGTTATTATATATTCATAAGACAGTGATTTTGTTACCACCACCACTTGAATGGAAAACCACTACTTTTGACTTGAAGAAATTATTGGGTTATGAGGAAACTGGGTTCTTGTTTGCAGTAGTTACAAAAGTCAAAAGCAGGATGATACTGGTATGACTTTCTTAAACATCTCTTTTTGGGAGGCTTTAGAGCAGTGAATTATCTTTCTTCTATGCCTTAGAGGAAACTTTCTTCATCCTGCTCTGCCATAAATAGGTATCTGTAGATATGAACTACGAGGGACGATTTATTTGTATCATTCAAGAAACCTATTACTATCAAAACTTGTTTATTCAAAGACACCTTGTATCTGACAGCTGCCTAAATTCCTTCCCTCTGCTCTATGGTTAAGAATTAAGGGGAATTTCCTCAGTTTTCTTCTTTCTCTAACTCTGGAGGATGATTATGAACCAGAGAACTGGACTTTGTGTTCCCTATTCATTTCAGGATTTATGGATGCACTTGTTCCTCCCATATGTCATGTCCTTTGGAAAGTTTTTGAATTAAAAATTGTTTTCAGTGCTCCAAATGGCATCATAAGAAAATACCTTTGGTACCTGCTGTCAGGAATGGATGTATTATCAGCTAAATGAGTTTACTGGCAAATAATTGGGTTATTTAGTAGTTTCCGAGTTCCACGTAGTACATTATAGACATGCTGGTATGCCAAAAGAGAAGCCTTACTTGGTCTGTCTAGCCTAGTCGCTACATATTTGTGCTGATCTAAATCAGTGATTTTCAAACTATTTTATGTAGAACCCTTAAATAAAACCAAACAGATAAAACATACTCACCATAACCACCCTTGAACTGAGGTTTTTAAGCAAGAATACTAAACTTTAATTAAAATGTGAAATAAAAGTGTTATAATCAAACTTATATAGGTTTTATTTTGTACATTTAGGCAATAATCCTAAACACATAAGTTGTTTTGAACTTCTACCGTGTGACTTCTTTTTAAAATTCATTTTGCAAATAGAGTGCCTACTATGTGCTTATTATTATATTAGATATTAGTGATGTAGTGATAAAAGACATGATTTCTGCCCTTGTTGAGCTTACAATATTGAGAGATTGTCTAAACTTTTTGGTCTTTATGTTACAGCATGGTAAGTACTAGATTAGGGAAAATGCAGAGTGCTATGAGAACACTTGGGAGGGCATGTAACTATGAAGGACTAAGGAAGACTTCCTGGAGAAAATGATGGCTGATTGAACCTTATCTACTATGCGAATATATTATTTTTATTCTAACATTAACATTTCTTTTCAAAAACGTATATATCATATCAGCAAGATATACAAACTGCAAACACTGGTTGCGTTTCTTTAATTTTTTTTAATTCTTAATTTTTGTGAGTACATAGTAGGTATATCTTTATGGGGTACATGAGATGTGCTATGAAATACTAGGTTTGGCCGGGTGCGGTGGTTCACTCCAGTAATGTAACCCCAGCACTTTGCGAGGCTGAGGCCGGTGGATCACTTGAGGTCAGGAGTTCAAGACCAGCCTGGCCAACATGGTGAAACCCCATCTCTACTAAAAATTACAAAAATTAATTGAGCGTGGTGGCACGTGTCTGTAATACCAACTATTCAGAAGGCTGAGGCAGGAGAATTGCTTGAACCCAGGAGGTGGAGGTTGCAGTGAGTCGAAATCGTGCCATTGCACTCCAGCCTGGGCAACAGAGTGAGACTCTGTCTCAAAAAAAGAAAAACCTAGGTCTTACTCATTTTTTTTTTAATATTTTTATTTTTATCTATTAGCCATCCCAACCTCACCCATGCCCCTGCCTCCCCACTACCCTTCCCAGCTTCTGGTAACCATTCTTCTACTCTGTGTCTCCATTAGATAAATTGTTTTGATTTTTAGATCCTACAAATAAGTGAGAACATGCGATATTTGTCTCTGTGCCTGGCTTATTTCACTTAAATAATGTCCTCCAGTTTTGTCCATGTTGTTGCACATGACACAGGAATGTCACTCTTTTTTTTTTTTTTTTTGAGATGGAGTCTCACTCTGTCGTCCAGGGTGGAGTACAGTGGCGTGATCTTGGCTCACTGCAGCCTCTACCTCTTAGGTTCAAGCAATTCTCTGCCTCAGCCTCCCGAGTAGCTGGGACTACAGGCATCTGCCACCACAACTGGCTAATTTTTTGTATTTTTAGTAGAGATGGGGTTTCACCACGTTGGCCAGGCTGGTCTCGAACTCCTGGCCTCAAATGATCCACCTGCCTCAGCCTCCCAAACTGTTGGGATTACGGGCGTGAGCCACCAAGCCTGGCCAGAATAGTACTTCATTGTGTATAAATACCACATTTTCTGTATTCGTTCTTTTTTTTTGAGATGGAATCTTGCTCTATTGCCAGGGCTGGAGTGCAGTGGCACAGTCTCAGCTCACTGCAACCTCCGTCTCCCGGGTTCAAGCGATTCTGCTGCTTCAGCCTCCTGAGTAGCTGGGATTGCAGGCGTACACCACCACACCCAGTTAATTTTTGTATTTTTTTTTTTTTTTTTTTGAGACAGAGTCTTCCTCTGTTGCCCAGGCTGGAGTGCAGTGGTGCGATCTTGGCTCACTGCAAGCTCCGCCTCCTGGGTTCATGCTGTTCTCCTGCCTCAGCCTCCCGAGCAGCTGGGACCACAGGCGCCTGCCATCACACCTGGCTAATTTTTTTTTATTTTGTATTTTTAGTAGAGACGGGGTTTCACCGTGTTAGCCAGGATGGTCTCTATCTCCTGACCTTGTGATCCGCCCACCTCAGCATCCCAAAGTGCTGGGATTACAGGCACAAGCCACTGCACCCGGCCTTATTCATTCACCTACTGATGGACACTTAGATTGCTTCCAAATCTTGGCAATTGTGAACAGTGTAGCAGTAGACCTGGTAGTGCAAATACCTGTATGATATACTGCTTTCGTTTCTTTTGGGTAGCTCCTCAGCAGTGGGATTGCTAGATCATGTGGTAGCTCTATTGTTAGTTTTTTGAGGAACCTCCAAATTGTTCTCCATAATGGTTGTACTAATTTACATTCTCACCAACAATGTACGAAGGTTCCCTTTAGTCCACATCCTTGCCAGCATTTGTTATTGCCTGTCTTTTGAATAAAAGCCATTTTAACTGGGGTGAGATATCTTACTGTAGTTTTGATTTGCATTTCACTGGTGTTCGGTGGTATTGAGCGCCTTTTCATATGCCCGTTTGTTTTTGTTTTGTTTTTTTTTTTTTTTGCTCAGTGCAACCTCCGCTTCCTGGGTTCAAGCAATTCTCCTGCCTCAGCCTCCCAATTAACTGGGACTACAGGCCCACGCCACCATGCCCAGCTAATTTTTTGTATTTTATTAGAGACGGGGTTTCACCGTGTTGCCCAGGCTGGTCTTGAACTCCTGAGCTCAGGCGATCCACCCGTCTCAGCCTCCCAAAATGCTGGGATTACAGGCATGAGCCACCGCACCCTGCCGCCTGTTTGGTATTTTTATGTCTTCTTTTGAGGAATGTCTATTCAGCTCTTTTGCCCACTTTTTAAATTGGATTATTGCATTTTTTTCTATAGAATTGTTTCAGCTCCTTATATATTCTGGTTATTAATCCCTTGTCAGATGATTAGTTTGCAAATATTTCCTCCCATTCTGTTTGTTGACTGTTTCCTTTGCTGTGTAGAAGTTTTTTAATTTAATGTAATCCCGTTTGTCCACTTTTGCTTTGGTTGCATGTGCTTGTGGGGCATTAGGAAATTTTTGCCCAGACCAATGTCCTGGAGAGTTTCCCCTAATGTTTTCTTAAGTAGTTTCATAGTTTGAGGTCTTAGATTTAATCATTAATCATTTTGATTTGATTTTTATATATAGTAAGAGATAGGGGTCTAGTTTGATTCTTCTTCATACAGATATTCAGTTTTCCCAGTACCATTTATTGAAGAGACTGTCTTTTGTCCAGTGTATGTTCTTGGTTCTTTTGTCAAAAATGAGTTCATTTTAGGTGTGTAGATTTGTTTCTAGGTTCTCTAGAAACAAATTTGTTCTGTTCCATTGGTTTATGTGTCTGTTTTCATGCCAGTACCATGCTCTTTTGATTACTATACCGCTGCACTATAATTTGAAGTCAGGTAATATGATTCCTCGCAGTTTTGTTCTTTTTGCTTAAGATAGCTTTGACTATTCTGGGTCTTTTGTGGTTCTGTGTAAATTTTAGGATTGTGTTTCCTATTTCTGTGATCAATGTCATTGGTATTTTGATAAGGATTGCAATGAATCTGTAGATTGCTATAGGTGGTATGGACATTTTAACAATATTGAACATGGAATATCTTCCATTTTTTGTGTCCTCTTCAATTTCTTTGATAGTTTTTCTTTTTTTCTTTTGAGATGGAGTTTCACTGTGTTGTCTAGGCTGGAGTAAGTACAGTGGCCTGATCTCGGCTCACTGCAACCTCCACCCCCCCGATTCAAGTGATTCTCATGTCTCAGCCTCCCAAGAAGCTGGGATTACAGGCCACTCCAGGCTATTTTTTAGTAGAGATGGGGTTTCGTCATGTTGACTGGGCTGGTTTTGAACTCCTGGCCTCAAGTAATCCACCCGCCTTGGCCTCCCAAAGTGCTGGGATTACCCGGTGTGAACCACCATGCCTGGCCTATTTCAGTTTTTTTGAATGGTTTAAGACTTGTTTTATGACATAACATATGGTGTGTCTTTGAGAGTGATCCATGTGCTAAGGAGAACAATGTTTATTCTGCAGCCATTGGATGAAATGTTCTGTAAATATGTGTTTGGTCCATTTGGTCTATAGTGCAGATTAAGTCTCATGTTTCTTTGTTGGTTTTCTGTCTGTACATCTCTGTCCAGTGCCAAAAGTGGAGTGTTGAAGGCTTCATCTATTACTGTACTGAGGTCTATTTCTCTCTTTAACTCTAATAATATTTGCTTTGTATGTCTAGGTGCTCCAATGTTGGGTGCATATATGTTTACAATGATTATATCCACTTGCTAATTTGACCACTTTATCATTATATAGTGACCTTCTTTGTCTCTTCTTACACTTTTGTAATCTATTTTCTCTGATATGGTAGCTACTCCTGCCCTTTTGGCTAACACTGGCATGGGATATCTTTTTCCATCCCTTTATTTTGAGTCTGTTTGTCTTTATAAGTGAAGTGTGTTTCTTGTAGGCAACAGGTCATTTGGTCTTATTTTTCTATTCATGCAGCTTTATGTCTTTTGATTCATGAGTTTAGTTCATTTACATCCAATGTTATTGATAAGTAAGGACACACTCCTCCTATTTTGTTACTCATTTCTGGTGGTTTTGCAGTTTTCTCTTCCTTTTTTTTCTTGCTGTTTTGTTTTTAGTGAAGGTGATTTTCTCTGGTGATATGATTTAGTTTTTGCTTTTTATTTTTTGTGTATTCATTATATGCTTTTGGTTTCAGGTTACCATGGGGCTTGCAGATACTATCTTATAACCCATTATTTTAAATTGATAACAACTTAACACTGTTTGTATAAACAAATAAGCAAAAAGAAGAGTAATGAAAACTCTACACCTTAACTTTGTACTCCTGCTTTTTAACTTTTTGTTGTTTCTATTTATATCTTATACTCTGTTTTGAAAAGTTGTTGTAGTTGTTATTTTTGATTGGTTAATTGTTTATAGTCTCTCTACTTAAGAGTAGTTTACACACCATAATTACAGTGTTGTAATATTCTGTATTTTTCTGTATACTATTGAGTTTTATACCTTTAGATGATTTGTTATTGCCCATTAATGTTTTTTTCTTTCAGATTGAAGACCTCCATTTAGCATTTCTTGTTCCACAGGTCTAGTGTTGATAAAATTCCTCAGCTTTTGTTTGTCTAGGAAAATATTTGTCTTTCAGGGTGGGGTGCGGTGGCTCATGGCTGTAATCCCAGCACTTTGGGAGACTGACGCGGGTGTATCACCTGAGGTCGGGAGTTCGAGACCAGCCTGACCAACATGGAGAAACCCCTTCTCTACTAAAAATACAAAATTAGCCAGGCATGGTGGCGCATGTCTGTAATCCCAGCTACTTGGGAGGCTGAGACAGGAGAATCATGCCAGTACCGTGCTGTTTTGATGACTATCTGGAAGGCGAAGGTTGTGGTGAGCCGAGATCGCGCCATTGCACTCCAGCCTAGGCAACAAGAGCGAAACTCTATCTCAAAAAAAAGTATTTATCTTTCATGTTTGAAGGATATTTTCACTGGATAAATTTTCCCTTCAATACTTTAAATGTCATGCCATTCTCTCCTGGCCTGTAAAGTTTGCCCTGAGAAGTCTGCTGCCAGCATATTGGCACACCATTGTATGTTATTTGTTTTTTTCTCAGACAGGTTTTTTTTTCTTTTTTTTTTGAGATGGAGTCTTGCTCTGTCGCCCAGGCTGGAATGCAGTGGCACTATCTCGGCTCACCGCAAGCTCCACCTCTCAGGTTCACGCCATTCTCCTGCCTCAGCCTCCTGAGTAGCTGGGACTACAGGTGCCCGCCGCCACACCCGGCTAATTTTTTTGTATTTTTAGTAGAGACGAGGTTTCACCGTGTTAGCTGGGATTATAGGTGTGAGCTACTGCGCCCAGCTCTTGTTTTTTTCTCTTTCTGTTTTCAGGATCCTTGGTTTATCATTGACCTTTGGAAGTTTGATTATTAAATGTCTTCAAAGAGTCTTATTTGGATTAAGTCTGCTTGGTGTTCTACAGTCTTCTACTTGGATATTGATATCTTTTTCTATGTTTGGGAAGTTCTCTGTCATTATCTCTTTGAATTAATTTTCTGCCCCATCTATCTCCTCTTTAAGGCCAGTAACTTAGATTTGCCCTTTTGGGCCTTTTTTCTAGATTCTGTAGGCATGCCTTATTGTTTTTTATTCTTTTTTCTTTTGTCTCCTCAGCTCACTAATTCTTTCTTCTGCTTGATCAATTCTCCTATTAAAAGACTCTGAGACATTCTTCGGTATGTCAATTACATTTTTTCAGCTCCAGAATTATTGCTTCATTCTTTTAAATGATTTCAGTCTCTTTGTTAAATTTATCTGGTATTCTTTCTCTGTATTATCTTGAATTTCTTTGAGTTTCTTCAAAATAGCTATTTAGAATTCCCTGTCTGAAAGGTCATGTGTTTCTTTTTCTCCAAGATTTGTCTTTGGTGCCTTATTTTGTTCATTTGGTGAGGTCATGTTTTCCTGGATGGTCTTGATAACTTAACAGATGTTCCTCTCTGTCTGGGCATTAAAGAGTTAGAGTTACGTATTTATTGTAGTCTTCGCGGTTTGGACTTGTGTGTCTTCGTGCTTCTTGGAAAGGCTTTCCAGATATTCAGAAGGACTTGGATGTTGTCATCGCTTAGAAGCTGTATCTGCTTTAGTTGGCACCCCACACCCAGTAGTGCTGTGGTTCTGGCAGACTCATAAAGGTACTGCCTTGATGGTCTTAGACAAGGTCTGGAAGAATTCTCTGAATTACCAGGCAGAGACTCTTGTTCTTTCTCTTTCCTTACTTTTTCCAAAACAAACTTTGTCTGTTCTGAGGCACCTGGAGCTGGGGGTGGAGTGACACAAGCACCCCTGTGGCGATGCTACCACCACTGGGACTACACTGGATCAGACCTGAAGCCAGCACAGCACTGGGTCTCACCCAAGGCCTGTTATAACAACTTCCTGGCTACTGACTATCTTCACTCAAGGTGCTGGCGCTCTACAATCACCAGGTGGCAAAGCCAGCCTGGCCTGTGTCCTTCCCTTCGGGGCAGCTAGTTTCCCCAGGCCCTTGGTGACTCCAGAGGTGCTGTCTGGGAGCCAGGGACTAGAGTGAAAAACCTTAGACGTCTACCTGGTGTTCTGTTGTACTGCAGCTGAGCTGGCCCTCAAACCACAAAATAGTCCTTACCACTCATCCCTCCCCTTTGCAAAGGCAGAGGAACACCCCAGACCTCCCCTTGGCCACTGTCACCAGGGGCCTGTGGGGAGTACTGCCAGAATACTGCCAGTGTTTCCTTGAGGCCCAAGGGGTTTTTTTGTTTGTTTGTGTTTGGAGACGGAGTCTCCTGTCGCCCAGGCTGGAGTGCAGTGACGCAATCTCAGCTCCTCCATCTCCTGGGTTCAAGCGATTCTCCTGTCTCAGCCTCCTGAGTAGCTGGGACTACAGGCCTGCACCACTATGCCTGGCTAATTTTTGTATTTTTAGTAGAGATGGGGTTTCACCATGTTGGCCAGGCTGGTCTCAAACTCCTGACCTCAAGGATCTGCCTGCCTTGGCCTCCCAAACTTGCTGGGATTACAAGTGTGAGCCACCATGCCCAGCCCAAGGGCTTTTTTGAGACAAGGTCTGGCTCTATTGCCCAGGCTGGAGTGCAGTGGCACAATCTCGGCTCACTATACTCTCTACCTCCCAGGCTCAAGCAGTCCTCCCACCTCAGCCTCCCAAGTAGCTGGGACTACAGGCATGTGACATTGTGCTGGCTAATTTTTGTATTTTTTGTGGAGATAGTGTTTCTCCATGTTGGCCAGGCTGGTCTTGAACTCCTGACCTCAAGTAATTTGCCAGCCTCGGCCTCCCAAAGTGCTGGGATTAGAGGCGTGAGCCACCATGCCTGGTCCTTAAGGGCTCTTTAGTCAGCTTGTGGTGAATGCTGCCTGGCATGGGACTTACCCTCTGGCCCAGCACAGGTCCAGAAATGCCATCTAAGAACCAAGTCCTGGAATTTGTTCACCCTCCTACGTTGGAGCTGGTACCCAAGGTACAAGACAAAGTCCCCTTTACTTTTCCTCCACTTTTCTCAAGCAGGAGTCTTGCCCCATAGCTGCCATGGTAGGGAATGTGCTGAGTCTCACCTGAAGCCAGGAAGTTTCAGGCTCACTCAAGGCCTTTGTACCTAGTACATGGATATTGCTGCTGATTATTCAGGGACCCAAGGGCTCTTCAGTTAACAGATAATGAAAGCTGTCAGGACTGGGTCTTTCTTTTCGAGGCAGTGGGTTCCCTTCTGGCCACTGTGTATCTAGAAATGTTGTTCAGGAGCTACAGTCTGGAAAGCAGTCTTCACAACTTTGACTGGTGCCCTATCCAGCTGTGGCTGAGCTGGTATCCAAGATGCAAGACAAAGTTCTCCCCACTCTTCCCTCCAGTCTTCTCTCCGCAAGTGGAAGGAGAAGATCTCTTTTGGAGCCACAAGCTGTGCAGCCTTGGGTTAAAGGAGGGGTAGTGCCAGCAGTCCCTAAACAGCCCCAGCTGGTGTCTCAGTAGGTCACATGCCTCTCCAGCTCACTGGCTCTGGGCCCAGTTCTGCACTTGGACTCACCTAGTAGTTGCGGTCCTTGTGGCCTGCACTATGTTTGAAGTTTATTGAGGGCCCCAGAGCACTTTAGCCCACCATGGTGAGGCTTGCAGGAACTCACATTTTGACAACTGGGACCCACAGTTCCCCTCTGGCTAGGGCTGGGTTTTAATGCTCCCTCTGTGGACAGGAGTCAGCTAAGTTTGATCCAGTTTTACTTTTTGCTGTAACAGGGCAGTGCTGAGCTCAATGCCTAACAATTGCTGCATTCTTTCTCTCCCCGGTGCACAGAAATGCTCTCTGCACCACAATGCCTCTGCCAGGGGCTGGGAGAGGGGTGATGTTGGTGATTCAAGACTTTTTTGTATCTCTTTTTTTCAGCAATATGAAGTTGAAACCAGGTGCTATGAGTGCTCACCTGATTTTTGGTTCTCAGGAAGATGCTTTTTTTGTGTAGATAGTTGTTAAATTGGTGTCCATGCAGCTGGGACAATCAGTGGAGCTTTCCATTTTGCCCTATTGCTTCACCTCTTCCACCTGTTTGCTTTTAGGGATGGAAACTGTGGTTTCACTTTTAAATTTTAAGTAAGATAAACAAAAATATATATCAGAGGTCAGTGGGATGTGAATCATATTCTGCAAGAGTCACTAAATTTTAGAATCCAATGTGATTAAAAATTAGTTTGTATATGTATAAACATAAATATTGGAGAGGGGAAAGCCATTGTGTTTTTTGTATAACTATTCTGTATATTTCTTTTTTTAGTAGAAAGAGTTTGGCTAATTATTTCAGTTGATTAAAGCACAATACTAAAGACTCCAGGGTAGGACCTGCAAACTTTTTCTGTAAAGGACCAGATAGTAAGTATTTTATGCTTTGTGAGCCATACAGTTTTTGTTGCAACTAGTCAACTCTCAACTCCACTGTGGACAGCATGTAAATGGATGGGAGTGGCTGCTTTCCAGCAAAATTTACTTAAAAAAAAAAAAAACAGTGGGTAGCATTTGACCTGGGTAGCATTTGACCCACAGGTTGTAGTTTGCCGACCCCTTCTTTTAGGATGAAAATTTTGGTCTCCATATGTAAACTTGGTGTCTTTGTTTTGTTTGAAAGCTAGTAATAGCAGTATAACTCTGGTCAGTTTCTCCCAAATGAGTATCCTGGCCACAGATATAAAGCAATCAAAACAGTGGGAGAAAAAAAGAACTGAAAGTGCTTTTGTCAATAATTAGAGGAGATAAAAGTATCAACTGTGAAAATAAAAGCAGTATTATTAAATGTGTGCTTTTTAAATTGGATTATTTGTACAATGCTAAGCCACAAGATCAAGCAAATTGGACAGTCATATAGTGAGTTAAGAATGCATGTGTCGGCTGAGCATGGTGGCTCACGCCTGTAATCCCAGCACTTTGGGAGGCCGAGGTGGGTGGATCACCTGAGATCAGGAATTTGAGACCAGCCTGGCCAATATGGTGAAATCCCATCTCTACAAAAATACAAAAAATTAGCTGGGCATGGTGGTGGGCACCTGTAATCCCAGCTACTTAGGAGGCTGAGGCAGGAGAATTGTTTGAACCTGGGAGGTGTCAACAGAGCAAGACTCTGTCCAAAAAAAAATAGAATGCATGAGTTATATTTCTGGCTCTGTTACTTACGTGACCTTGGTTACTTTCTTAAATGCTAAGCCTTAGTATACTCATCTTTATGATCATAATAATAGTATACATTTCATAAGACTGTTTAAATGAGACAATGTACATGAAGTCCACTTTAATGATAGGTTTTATTTTATTATTGGAGCATAAAATTTGAGTGAATTTTTTTTTTTTTAAAGACAGAGTTTGGCTCTTGTCACCCAGGCTGGAGTGCAATGGCACGATCTCGGCTCACCACAACCTCTGCCTCCCGGGTTCAAGCGATTCTCCTGCCTCAGCCTCCCAAGTAGCTGGGACTACAGGCGTGCGCCACCATGCCTGGCTAATTGTTGTATTTTTAGTAGAGACGGGGTTTCACCATCTTGGCCAGGCTGGTCTCGAACTCCTGACCTCATGATCCAACCACCTCAGCCTCCCAAGGTTCTGGGATTACAGGCATGAGCCACTGCGCCCAGCCAAATTTGAGTGAATTTTAAGGTAGAGTCTGCATTGTAGTGAAAATTTTAGCTTCCCTTCTCGATATGCATACTGAAGCCTGACAGTCCCCTATGCCCCTCCATGGAATGAGGCAGGGTAATGGTGTTATATATGTGTTTGTTCTCTTTCTCTATTAGGAATACTTCAGGGCAAAAGTTCAGAAAACATGAAAATTATATAAACAATTCTTTTTACGAAAAATTAACAATAAGCATACATTATAATACATCTCACTGAAAATGCAACAGATATAGACCGATCCTTTTAAAGTGCCATTAGAAGTAAGAACTATAGGCAATATCTCTTAAGTTTTATCTGTCCATCCATTCGTCTCATATTTATTGAGCACCTGTTTGGACACCAGCATTGTCTGGTTAGATTTATATATTTACTGAGTGATTCATTTTGTTCCCTTTCAGATATTCCTTAGTTTTAGTGTATATGTGATTATTCACAAATTATAATACTTTTGTTATTCTTCAAAGGAAAGTTAGCTAGTTTTGTTTAGTTTGTATGTTAGATCAACTTTATTTGTTTCTTTGGTGGTTTTTCTTCTCTTAAGTGCAACATCTCTATAGGGTCTGCATTTGGCTCCTTTTGTTTTACTTTCTACCTCTCCCTTACCTACTGCCACAGCTTATAGTTGTCTCCTTTAAGGAAAATGACTGTCAGTTATGTCTCTGAGGCAAACGTTTCTCGAGTAACTTGACAGTCCTGCCATTACTTTCAACTAAGAAAGGTTGTCTTGTTTTCCTGACCCTGTGTGTATGTGTGTGTGTGTGTGTGTGTGTGTGTGTGTGTGTGTGTGTGTGTGTACAGTAATTTTTTTTTTTTTTTTTTTTTGAGACAGAGTCTCTCTCTGTTGCCAGGCTAGAGTGCAGTGGCGTGATCTCGGCTCACTGCAACCTCTGCCTCCCGGGTTCAAGTGATTCTTCTGCCTCAGCCTCCCGAGTAGCTGGGTCTACAGGCACGTGCCACCGCACCCAGCTAATTTTTCTATTTTTAGTAGAGATGGGGTTTCACCATGTTGAATGGTCTCGATCTCTTGCCCTTGTGATCTGCCCACCTTGGCCTCCCAAAGTTCTGGGATTACAGGCATGAGCCACCGTGCCCAACCTATGTACAGTAATTTTTAAAATTACTCTTACCCAGGGTTGAAATATTGAAGTTGTCTTTGACTCTTCTCGTTTTCCATATCCGTTAGCTGCCATGACCTCTGAATTCTTATCTAGAGACTTTAAATCTTCTAGCAATATCCTAATCCTATTGCCAGCCTCTCTACTTATTCTTGACTATACCTCACTCTCTCAGCCGAATAATATTCATAAAATACAACTGGTTCTGTTACTTTTTAAATCTAAAACCTTATTTCCCCATGTATCAACTTTTGCCATAGTAATATTCTGTAACAAAACATGCCAGAACTCATTGGCATACAATGATGAACACTTATTCTAATTCCTACGGGATTGGGCCTTGTTTTAGCCTAAGCCTTGGCTGAGGATGGCTAACCTAGAGACGGTTGAGGTCAGCTTATTTCCCAACTGCATGTTGAATCCAGTTTTGCTCCATGTGCCGCTCATTCTCTTTAGCAGTTTAGGTGGGGGCAATTACATACAGATTGTGTCTCTTTAGCTGGTGCTGTTCTCTCTGCCTAGAATGTTCTCCTTCAAACCTTTTTTTTTTAAATGTTTTCCATTCACTTTCCTTTTTGATTTTTATTTGCAGTATCTTCAAACCTACAGAAACATTGAAAACAAATATAATTAAAACCTGTGTGCCCTCCATTCTAGATTCAGCAGTTGTTAACATGCTGTCACATTTGCTTTATATATGTGTGTGTATATTCTTTTTTCATGAATCATTTGAAAGTAAAATGTAGATATCATCCTTTAATACTTAATCTTTCATCTCTTAAGAATACAGGCATTTTTCTGTGTAACAGCAGTAGCATTATTTCTCTTAAGGAAGTTAACTATAATTCTATAATATCATCTATCTGTGCATGCATATTTCAAATTTCCTCATTTATAGCAAAAATGTTGTTTATATTACTGCTTTTTAAATAACTAGAGTCCAGTCAAATTTTGGTTTTTGCAATTGTTTGTTGAGTCTTGCTACTCTCCTTTCTGATTCATGAACATGGTGAATGACTCTTCAGTTTCTCTCAGCAGTGCTTGGTAGTTTTCAAGGATCTTGCATATTCTTTTAAAAATTTTATTCCTTCTCTTTCTCAAAGATTTATTCCTAAATGTTTTATGTTTTTGATGCTATTGTAAATGATTTTTAAAATTTTTATTTTCCAATTATTTGTTGCTAGTACAGAGAAATTCTTTTTTTTTTTTTTTTTTTTTTTTTTCCTCTTTTTTGAGACAGAGTTTGACTCTTTTTGCCCAGGCTGGAGTGCAGGCACGATCTCAGCTCACCGCAACCTCCGCCTCCCGGATTCAAGCGATTCTTCTGTCTCAGCCTCCCGAGTAGCTGGGATTACAGGCATGCACCACCATGCCCGGCTAATTTTGTATTATTAGTAGAGATGGGGTTTCTCCATGTTGGTCAGGCTGGTCTTGAACTCCCGACCTCAGGTGATCTGCCCACCTCGGCCTCCCAAAGTGCTGGGATTACCGGTGTGAGCCACCGTGCCTGGCCTTTTTTTTTTTTTTTTTTTTCCTTTGAGACAGAGCTTCACTCCTGTCACCCAGACTGGAGTGCAATGGTGAGACCTTGGCCCACTGCAACCTCTGCCTCCCAGGTTCAAATGATTCTCCTGCCTCAGCCTCCCAAGTAGCTGGGATTACAGGTGTCCACCACCACACTCAGCTAATTCTTACATTTGTAGTAAAGATGGGGTTTCACCATATTGGCCAGGCTGGTCTCAAACTCCTGAACTGTAGTGATCTGCCTGCCTCAGCCTCCCAAAGTGCTGAGATTACAGGCATGAGCCACTGTACCTGGCCTAGAGAAAATCAATTGAGTTTTGAGTGTTGGCCTTTTACCCTATGATCTTGATAAATTCTTAGTTCTGGTAATTCTCTTATAGATTGATTCATTTGGCTTTTTTATATACACAATCATGTTATTTTCTTGGCATATTTTATTAACTAAGAATTTCAGTACAATGTTGAATATAAGTGGTTATGGTGGTCATTCTTGCCTAGTTCCTAATCTTAGAAAGAAAGCATTCAATATCTTAATAGTAAGTATAATGTTAAATGTCGGTGGGGGGTGGGGGTGGTTAGATGGGTTTTATCTGTTTGAAGAAATTTTCTTCCATTTCTCATTTGCTGAGAGTGTTTATTATAAATGGATTTGAATTTTATCAGATATTGTTTCCATCTGTTGAGATGAACAGATGATTTTTTTCTCCTTTTTTTAGAAATATTGTGAAATTCATTGATAGTTGGATGTTAAACCAACCTTGCATTCTTGAGATGAACTTTACTTGGCATTATATTTGTATTATACTTTATATATATTATTGGATTTAATTTGCTAATATTTTATTGATGGTTTATATCTGTGTTCATGAGGGATATTGATCTGTAATTTTTATTTCTCATATTGCTGTTAGCTTTTGGTATCAAGTTTATTCTGGCTTCATAAAATGAATTAAGAAATGATCCTTCTTTATTTTCTGAAAAAGTTTGATTAAGATTGGTATTATTTCTTTATTAAATGTTTGATATAATTCATCAGTGAAACCATTTTGGCCCTGGAGTTTTCTTTTGGGAAAATTTTAAATTTCCTATTAAATTTAAAAAATAAATATAGACATTTCAGGTTTTCTGTTTCTTCCTGAGTCAGTTTTACCAAGATATCTATGTAATCATGTTTCTTCTTTAATTCCTGATAGTGGTAAATTGTGTCATCTCTTTTTCTTGGTCAGTCTGACTGTAGGTTTATTCATTATTATCTTTTCAGAAAACTCATTTGCTTTTAATTTCTTCTCTAGTGTTTTTCTGTTTTCTCTTTCATTGATTTCTTTGTTTCCTTCTGCTTGATTTGTGCTTAATATGATCTTTTTTTTTCTAGATTCTTAAAGCAGAAACATTGATCATTGATTTTAGACCCTTTATTTCTAATATGATCATTTAATGCTATAGATTTTCTTTTATGCCTGGATTTATTAGCATCCCACAAATTTTTATGTGTTTTTACTTTTAAGTTCAAAATATTTTCCTAAAGCCCCTGTTTCCTAGCTCCAACATTTGGGTCTTCTCTGAATCTGACTCTGTTGATTGCTTTGTCTCTAGACACTTTTTTGTTTTGTTTTGTTTGTTGATTTTTTTTTTTTTTTGAGACAGAGTCTCGCTCTGTCACCCAGGGTGGAGTGCAGTGGTGCAATCTCAGCTCACTGCAACCTCCACCACCTAGGTTCAAGCAATTCTCGTGCTTTAGCCTCCCAAGTTGCTGGGATTACAGGCATGTGCCACCACGGCCAGCTAGTTTTTGTATTTTCAGTAGGGACAGGGTTTCACCACATTGGCCAGGGTGGTCTTGAACTCCTGACTTCAGGTGATCCACCTGCCTTCTCCTCCCCGAGTGCTGGGATTACAGGCATGAGCCACCATGCCCAGCCTGTTCAGTTGATTTTTGATATGTCTCATAATTTTGGGTTATCTATAAAATAGTAAGAAACTGAAATCAATAGGTTTAAAGCTTATAAATTGGTACACCTCTACTATCTGGTATTAGTGTAAGGATTTGAGTTTAGTCAGGAGTTAAGCTGGAATTGAATTTTTAATTTGCTATAAATACCTTCATTACACTACAGGCCTGTAATGCTAGAGGAATTTGAGGCCTCTAACATTGGAGGAATTTGAGGCCTGTAGTACAATGTTTAGGGTGGAAGTGGGGTGTCAAATGGTTTTTGTGAATGTTTGTGCCCCACTTTGCATGCCTACTCCTTAGAGGGATTTTGTTCTCATTCTTTCCTCTTGTCAGTTGTAAACTGGTATTGCTTGTTACTCAGTGCTTTCAAGATTGGTAGAGGAGAGGGAACAGAAATGGTTCTTGGTTGTTGTGGTATAGCCTTGGTTTTAGGTAGATTATGTGTGCCTGGACCTTTGTCAGAGTTCCCTCCCCTCTTCCTGTGGCAACCAAACTCTGCTTCCGATTTTTTTGTGTGGCAGTTTCTGCTCCCTCCCCCAGCAATTGCAGACCTCTAGTCCTACTGATATAAGATTCTGAGCCTAGGACTGTTCTTGTCACCTTTCCTCCCAGGAATTGAAGGTTTTTCCCTCCCTCAGCAACAAGACATGGGTTTGCGTCCCCTTCCTCAGTGGCTGAAGGCTTTTGCTCTGTGTGAAAGAAGGATCTGGGCAGGGTGACGGGCCTTTGTTCCTTTCTCATGTGGCAGCTAATTCCTTGTACCATTGAGAGAGGCTCTTGATATTCTGCCTTGTTTCCTTTTTTCCCCCCCTCTGCCTTGTTTCCAGTTGTTTCATGGGCACCCAGTGGCATCTATGGACAAGAGGCTGTGAGTGAGTGCCAACTGCCTGGGACTCTGCGGGGTTTCATACTATCAAGCTACCCCACACTCAGCTTTAAGTGATCCTTAAAATTTTAGTGTATTACTTCTGCTTATATGACAGTAGTAGTTTCCTCTTTCTCTCTGCCACAAATGAGCCAATTCTGGTACCCTGTTACCTTTTGTAAGGATTTGTTGATCCTTGGATTCAGGCTACTTGGTTGTCTTGTAACTTTAGCTCTCTCACAGGTTCAAGAAAAGTTTTCAGTAATTAGAAGTGTTTTGTTTAATTGCCAGTATTCTAGGATTTTCCAAATCTCTTTCTGTTACTGATTTTAGTTTAATTCCATTGTGGACAGAGAACATATGTTGTATACTTTGGATTCTTTTAAATGTATGAAGACTTATTGTATGGTCCAGGATTTGGTCTATCTTAGTGAACATTTCATGTACAATTATTAGGTGAAGTGTTATGACAGTGAGTGCAAGTTGGTTTAAATTGTTATTCAGATCATCTATACTTGCTGGTTTTGTCTATTTTTTTCTATCAGTTAATGAGAGCAGTGTTAAAAATCTCCAAATATAATCATGGTTCTGTTGATTTCTCTTTCATATATTTTCAAGCTCTGCTGTTTTTGGATTGTTGTGACTTCTTGGTGAATTAATCCTTTTATTATTATGAAATATGCCCCTTTTCCTCTGGAAATGCTTGTTTTGAACTCTTACTGTAAGAGTAGCCTCTCTGGCCAGGCGCGGTGGCTCACACCTGTAATCCCAGCACTTTGGGAGGCCAAGGTGGGCAGATCACGAGGTCAGGAGATTGAGACCATCCTGGCTAACATGGTGAAACCCCATCTCTACTAAAAATACAAAAAAAAATTAGCCAGAGGTGGTGGTGGGCGCCTGTAGTCCCAGCTACTCAGGAGGCTGTGGCAGGAGAATGGCATGAACCTGAGAGGCGGAGCTTGCAGTGAGCCGAGATCACACCACTGTATTCCAGCCTGGGCAAGAGAGCGAGACTTTGTCTCAAAAAAAAAAAAAGGAGTAGCCTCTCAGCTGTGCTTTCTGTTGGTTTATTGGGTTTGAGTTTTATTTATTTATTTATTTATTTTTAGCAGGTCTTACTTTGTGCCTTGTGCATTCATGGTTTAGAGTTAGCCAAGGATGTGGGGGGAATTTGCACATAGATTTTGGGGCTTCGTCCTCTGGATTCCTTTCTTTGATTTTTTTATTCCTCACTGTCTGGCTGTGCTGGCAGCTTCAGTCTGTCTATTAAGACTGCTGCTTTCTGCTTGAGCTCTATCCTCTACTTGTGTCCATTCCTGTTTCTGCCTACTTTTGGTGGATCTCCAGTGTTTTTAAGTACAGTAGTTGTTCTTTAATGTATTGTCTAGAGTTTATAATTGTTAGTGCCAGGAAGAGTAGTCTGATACAAAGTATTCTGCCATATTTAGTACCAGAATTCCTCTAGTCTCTTTTAATTTAGAATAGCTCCTTTTTTTTTCAATCCCTGCTACCTTGACTTTTTGAAGATTCTTGGCCAGTTTTCTTATAAAAGTTTCATAATCAGGATTTGTCTGATTGTTTCCTCATTGTGATGTTTATTTAACTTGTTCCTCTATCCCTTGTATTTCCTATAAACTAAAATTTAGATTAGGAGACTTGATTGGATTTGGGTTAAACTATTTTTACTTCATAGATCATTTGTATGCTTCTTGTTGAGCTATATCACCAAGAACATAATATTTCATTGTTCCAGTATTGGTGATGATTAGTTAGATCACTTGATGAAGATGGTGCTCTCCACTGTAAAGATTTGTTTTTATCTTTGTAATTAATAGGTAATCTCTAGGGTGGTAATTTGCATCCTCTTCATTTTTCACATCGTGTCCAGATATCACCTTCTAAAGTTTATTCTAATCAGATGCCAGCACAGAGCAACACTTAACAAGCATTAGCTGCTATTATTATTAAGGTCCCATTTCCCAACCATAAGTCTTTATAGTATCTAGTTTATATATACCGTATACAGTTTAATCATTACATATCTCATACTGTGTTGTAGTTATAAAGACATGTCTTTTCTAGATTTTGGGGTACTGAATGCAGATATCACATCTTACAAATCTTTGTGTCTCCCATAGCACTTAACTAGCATTTTGCATATAGTAGGCACTCAGTAATTATTTTTTGTAGGAAGAAAAAAATAGCTAAGAAAATCCCCAAAGCATTTTTTTCTTTAGATATTTTAAATTTCTCTGTCTTGGCCAGGCGTGGTGGCTCACGCCTGTAATCCCAACACTTTGGGAGGCCAAGGTGGACAGATCACAAGGTCAGGAGATCGAGACCATCCTGGCTAACACGATGAAACTCCGTCTCTACTAAAAATACAAAAAATTAGCCGGTCATGATGGCGGGTGCTTGTAGTCCCAGCTACTCAGGAGGCTGAGGCAGGAGAATGGCGTGAACCCGGGAGGCAGAGCTTGCAGTGAGCTGAGATTGTGCCACTGCACTCCAGCCTGGTTGACAGAGTGAGACTCCGTCTCAAAAAATAAAAAAAATTTGTCTGTCTTGAGTACTGGTTAAATTTAATGTCAATTACATTTTCTTTTGTAGGTAAATGAGAAAATGGGACAGATTATACAGTATGATAAATTTTATATACATGAAGTACAAGAATTGATAGACATAAGAAATGATTATATCAACTGGGTCCAACAGCAGGCCTATGGAATGGTAGGTTTTCTGTGCAATTTGTGATTTCATTTTTATGTATATGTATCTAATAAAAAAAGAAACAATTGCTTGGTTTTGAAATGAGAAAGTTTTTTCAGAACTTTTATCCAGAACTTACTTTTTAAATAATAACACATTGCAAAGGAGTGCTATATATTTTACAATATTTATATGCAAACATTCTACTCTTTTACCAAAGCCAAACCAAAGAAATGGATTACACTGTAAAACAAAACAAAACAAGACAAAAAAAACCTACAAGTGTGAAATGGATTTTTAACTCTTTTATTTTCCATGAGGTTGCCTCTTATTTCTCCAGTGTTGAAAATACTGGCATTCTTCATACTGGAACTCCTAAGAATGCATTATTGTTGTGAAATTGGTGCTTCAAGACTACCAAAAGAGGACTGGGTGTGGTGGCTCATGCCTGTAATCTTAGCACTTTGGAGCCTGAGGCAGGTGGATTCCCTGAGCTCGGGATTTCAAGACCAGCCTCGGCAACATGACGAAATCCCATCTCTACTAAAAATACAAAAAATTAGCCAAGTGTGGTGGCACATGCCTGTAATCCCAGCTACTCAGAAGGCTGAGGCATGAGAATCACTTGAACCTGGGAGATGGAGGTTGCAGTGAGCCGATTATGTGTTTACTTTTATTTCAGATTTTTAATATAAATGTGGGTGCGTACATCTTTTTATGCAGCTAAGTCTTTAATAACTAGACACTATCCCATTAAAATAGTACCATGGTCTTATAAAACTTGAATTAGGCACATAAAATTTTAATGCAGAAATGGGTAAGCAGTTAGATACAAAATATTTAGGTTTACTACTCTTATTTGCTAGCCATTTGTGTATACTTGAGGCCCACTTTTCTGTACCCAGGTAATTTAATATGTGTGCAGCAGTTATATAATAGAAGGGTGAGTAACTTTTCATTGCTTGCTAGGCACCAGCTGTAAGCTCCTTGTGGATGGGTGCTCTTGTCAGTCAACCAGCACCTCTGACAGTGTCTAGAATATGTCTAGTAAGCACTAAAAAAGTACAGTAGTTTTTGAATGGCAATCTGGTTAGTGCACGCTGTTTTTAGGATACTCCCACCTTCCGGAATCAGGTTGCTTCTAGACATCTTTTCCTTCCCTAGTGTACTTGGGTCTGGACTGGGAGAGACTCATTGACTTTTCTCCTGAGTCACTTTGAGGCTGGGTCAGGTTTATAGCCATTCTATAGATTTAGGTCTATTCATTTGCTTATTCAACAAACAATGAGAATCTGTTATATAACAGGCACTGATTTAGGTATTGGAAATACAGTGGTGAACCAGACAGAGCCTTGTTTCTCATGGAATTCGTAATCTACTGGGCAAGATTGGCAATAGTCAAACAAAGCAAAAAATACCAGCTAATAATATGTATTATTAAAATGAGGGGACTTAGTAAAGATAGGTTTCAGAAAAGACTTATCTAATGAAGTATGAGTACTAATCTGAATGACAAGGAGCAGCCCTTTAAGATCAGGGCAGAGAGAATTTCAAGAACAACGAACATTTGGTAAAATACCTGAGGTGAAAACAAGCTTGACATGATTGAAGGACAGAAAAAAGCCAGCATTAGGCCAGGTGTGGTGGCTCACGCCTGGAATCCCTGCATTTTGGGAGGCCGAGGTGGGCAGATCACGAGGTCAGGAGTTCAAGACCAGCCTGACCAACATAGTGAAACCCCGTCTCTACTAAAAATACAAAAACTTAGCCAGGCATGGTGGTGGGCGCCTGTAATCCCAGCTACTTGGAAGGCTGAGGCAGGAGAATTGCTTGAACCCAGGAGGTGGAGGTTGCAGTGAGCTTAGATTGCACCATTGCACTCCAGCATGGGCGACAGTGTGAGACTCCTTTCAAAAAAAAAAAAGAAAGAAAGAAAGAAAGGAAAACAGCCAGCATGGCTTATGGGAGTGAGGAGGGAACAGAGAAATGGGCAGGGGCCAGATCATAGAGAGTTTAGTAAACTAGGATTAGGAATTTGGATTTTATCTAAAGTGTTAATGATAAACAGGGGAAACTTAATCTGATCTTTTTGAATGATCACTTTGTTGGCTGTGTAGGGAACGGGACAGAAATGAAAGACGGAAATCCATGAGAAAGCTATATTTTAGTAGATTAGGGGAGAGGAAATGATGGGTTTGACTAGGATGATGGTTATTTAGATGGAAGAAGGAAATGGAATATGTCTTGGAGATAAAAGGGAATCTTGGAGACAAAAGGAAAATAAAAATCACTGATGGATTGGATATGAAGTGAGGAAAGGAGAGAAATCCACAAAGATTAAAAAGCAGGTGTGGTAGAGGGAAAACTAGGAGAGTCTTGGAAACCAAAATTTAAAAGTGAAAGAGAGACTGTTGAATGCTGCAGAGGAGGAGGATGAAACCTTAGAATTGACAGTGAATTTGGTTACATGAAGGTAATTGGTAACCTTGATAATACCATTCTTGGGTTGGGATGTTGTAAAGAGAAATTTAGAGGTAAGGAAGCAGTAACAACCATTGGCAATACTTTGACGAAGTTCTGCATTGAAGAGGAGCAAAAAAAAAAAAAAAAAATGGAGTGGTAGCTGGAATCAAGGGATAATTTTTTAAGAAAGAAAATAATTGACCTCAGCAGTTTTGAATAAATATTTCCTTTTTTCTTCATCTCTGACCTAGGTAAAGCTTCTCAAACTCTTCCTTTAGAGAACCTGTGATGGCAGGAGAAATAACATATTTCTTAAGGATTTAACCTTCCCTCAGCAAGACTTGAACTGAGGCTAATTTTCTATCTTTAAATGCAAATTTTGCATTATGGGCATAATAGATATTGCAGTATAAAAGAGATTTAATTTATTTGTCATTGAGGAAAATTGATTCTTCAGGAAATGAACCTTGTTCATACCAAGACTTTGCATATAAACCCTCACACACCAACCAGGGTACCCTAGGTCTTTTAGCAGTGTTTTTGAAAGGATTCAGAACATTTGGAGGGATATGTGGACCCTTTTAAAGAAGAACAATTTCTTAAGAAGCCCAGTGTTCACTTACATATTATATAAATATATACACACATTAAACTAGTTCTAAACTCTTGGTGTTTAGCTCTTAAAAGAACTCTAAGACCACAGCAAATTTATAATTATAAATAACATTACAGTCCAGGTGCGGAGGCTCACGTCCCAGCACTTTGGGAGGCCGAGGTGGGCAGATCACCTGAGGTCAGAAGTTCTAGACCAGTCTGGCCAATATGGCGAAACCCCGTCTCTACTAAAAATACAAAAATTAGCCAAGCATCGTGGCGGGCACCTGTAATCCCAGCTACTTAGGAGGCTGAGGCAGGAGAATGGCTTGAACCCGGGAGGTGGAGGTTGCAATGAGTTGAGATCACGCCACTGCACTCCAGCCTGGGCAACAGAGTGAGACTCCATCTCAAAAAATAAATAAATAGTAAATAACATTACAAATTGGCAAATTAAGTTAATTTATTATGGAGAATGTTGTAATGATGAAGAATTCTAACTCACAACATAAATATGTATGATGAGAAAGCAGAGTAACTTTTATGAGAGTGCCTGGATTCAAATCCCACCTCAGCATATATTCAGTTCTGTCCTTGGGAAAATTACTTAATTTCTCTGAGATTTCATTTTGTTTTCTGTAAATTAGGATATTAGTACCTACCTTAAAAAGTTTTGAGAAGATTAATTTATATGATCCCTGTGAAGGACTTAGAGTAATTTCTGGCACACAGTTAAGTCTTTATAAAATGGTGATTATTGTTGCTGGCTACCTTGACACAGGCTACAAATTTGGCAGTAGCTTTTATTCTGACGTGTCTAATAACTCTGTTCTCTTGCTGCCTTTCTCTATGTGCACTATAATGAAACATTTTCTAAGAGCATTTTCTAGGTACTATTCTCAGTTTCCTTATCCTCCTTTAACTTTGCTTTTAAATTGTTTGTAAAAATACCTTATTGGTTACTACCAAACTCTTTGCTATTTTTTCTTCCCTTTCTGATACTTTTAGTTAATTATCTTTATCTGGTTTTCCCTTTGGTGCCTCTCTCTCTTAGAAAAATGATTATACCTAATGTCTAATCATCTCTCTTTTTCTGAAGTTTTTCACGTCCTATTATTTTTCATATTCTTGCCAGTTCACATCTTTCTGTCCCAATTTTTAGTGTAACCAAATTATATTCTGCTTAGTATGGGTTAGTCGCACTATAAATTCTAACATTATCTTACTGACTTCCCCAGTGTATAATGATATGTATAACATCTATATCTACTTACATGTAGTAGTAAAAAAGATAATGCATACATACTAATATTTCATTGTTTAGCTAAGGAGAAAATCGATCTCCCATACTATAAACTCCCTTGGTATATAGTATAGTTATCAAGCAGGCCATAGATAAATTTTTATAGGCTTTTTTTTTTTTGCTTATTTAAACTTTCTTAGTAGTAATAACACTTTTTAAATGTCCTACAAGAGGAATATTGGTGATATGAAGGCTGTGCATATGTGAGGATAAGGGTATATTGGAAGTCTCTGCACCTTACTTTCAATTTTGCTGTGAATCTAAAGCTGCTTTAAAATAATAAAGTTCTTTTTTCAAAAAAAGTCCCACAAGGTATACTATAAAAGGATTTCAGATGTTCCTTTTATATTGCCTTCTAGCTAAACAGAGTGTAATCTGAAAGGTTTTTTTGCAGAACAGTCTCTAAAGACTTTCATCTTGTTTACACTGCCAGTTGGAGCATTTATGTGGTAATAACTTGGTACTGTGAATTTTTTTAAAGAAATTCTTGTCAATAATATTCTTCCTCTGAATAGGGTTTGCATAGAGTGATGTTTTGCTTATGCTTACACTGCTTTGGCTTTACTTAATATAGTGAGAGAACCCAAAGTCTTTGCTAATATCTTAAATCCTCCAATAATATCGCTGGTGACACGTGGGAACTCAGTCAACTACAAAGTTAAAGAGAACAGTTTACACAAGACTGCCCTCACTTCTGATACCAATTGTGAGTTTGGGGAGGGTCCCCCAAACTACCCTTAGGTTTGATAATTTGCTACGAGGCCTCCCAGAACTCACTGAAAATTGTTACACTGATGATTAGGGTTTATTACAGGGAAAGGATAATAGGTTAAAATCAGCCAAGGGTCTTTTTGACTCTCTGAGCAGCACCATGACATTTGGCAAGAACAAGCACCTTATGAAAGGTGACAAATAGGGAGCAAAGAAGTGGTTAATCTACTTTCTAAAAAAGATAGATATGATATGAAAGCACGTGCTGTGTTCAGTATAAGAAATATTGGAGAGAAACACTAGTCACCAGGACTCAAGGAACCAAAATTATATCTGATGGCCTCAAGTGTTGTGTATATTTGAAGTGAACCTTTCTGATCTGCAGAATGATGAAATTGCATTTTAAAAATTCAAGCTGACTACTGAGGATGTTGAGGCGCTAAACGACCTAACTTCCATTGCATGGATCTTACCTGTGACAAAATGAGTTCCATGGCCAAAAACTGGTAGATCATGAAAGAAGCTCATGTTAATGTCAAGACCACTAATGGTTATTTGCTTCATCTGTTCTGTGTTGGTTTTACTAAGAAACGCAATGGTCAGGTACAGAAGACCTCTTACTCTCAGCACCAACAGGTCCGCCAAATCCGCAAGAAAGTGATGAAAATCATGATCCAAGAGGTTCAGACAAGTGACTTGAAAGAAGTGGTCAATAAACATTGGAAAAGATAAAGAAAAGGCTTGCCAGTCTATTTATCCTCTCCATGCTTGTCCTTGTTAGAAAAGTAAAAATGCTGAAGATGCCCAAGTTTGAACTGGGAAAACCAGGGAGCTTCATGGTGAAGGTAGTAGTTCTAGAAAGGCTACTGGGGATGTGACAGGTGCTAAGGTTATATGAGCTGATGGATGTGGACCACAAATCCAAGAATGTGTTTAAAATTTACGCTTTTGGCTGGGTGCGGTGGCTGACGCCTGTAATCCCAGCACTTTGGGAGGCTGAGGTGGGCAGATCACGAGGTCAGGAGTTCGAAACCAGCCTAACCAACATGGAGAAACCCCATCTCTACTAAAAATACAAAATTAGCTAGGCGTGGTGGCACATGCCTATAATCCCAGCTACTCGGGAGGCTGAGGCAGGAGAATCGCTTGAACCCAGGAGGCAGAGGTTGCGGTGAGACGAGATTGCACCATTGCACTCCAGCCTGGGCAACAAGATCGAAGCTCCGTCTCAAAAAAAAAAATTTTAGGCTTTTAATAGTGACAAATAGAAAGTTCCATCTGAGAACAAAAATCAGCCAAGGGAAGAAACACACAGGGCAGAGTCTGGGAAAGATAACCAGAGGCAGAGCTTCTGTTGTCCTTTCCATGTAGAGTCATGGATGAATTACTTTCCTGGCATAGATGTGTAACAATACAGAGTATTTCTAGCCAAAGAAGCTCACCAGAACCCTGGTGCCCAGAGTTTTTACTGGGGTTCAATCACATCCTGCTCCCGTAGTGACCTCTAGTTCCCAGCTCTTCTGGAAGCAGAACTGACAGCACATGGCCCAAGCCCCTATCATAAGTCACATTGTCCAGTGGCTAAAGCGCCAGGCAAACAAAGACACTCCTATCAGGCATGATATTGCACAGGTCTATAGGTCACCTCCTAGTAACCCAGGGCAATGCCCTCTCTTCTGGGGTAAAATTAATTCCTCACAACACAAGGCACCGTCCACAAATTTAGTAACATATTTCTGAAGATTCTGGTGCTTTACACGAGTCTGTGCTCTGAGCATATGTGGAAACTTTCTACAAGAAAATGTACATTTCTGTTCAATAAAGTGGTAAGCTTTCATTATAATTTCCACTATTACTGCCTTAATAAATATATCTTTCTCTCTTCATTTCTTTTTGCTTACCAACCCTTTTTCCCTGTCCTGTACTTTCTATTTTAAATTAATTCAGTTTTAAAGAATGCTTAATGTAAGATACCTTATGTTTTACTGTTTTTTTTTCTGTCAAATAAAAACAATTTATGGCTTATTTTTTCTTACTTTGTGTCCATATGGCATTTTAATCTACTAAACACTGTCAGACATTTTGCTGAGATTTTAAAGTCTTAAAGTCTGAGGAATGTTTTTTCCATTTTTTTTAAGTAGAAAAACTGAGCCATAAATTTTTTTTTTTAAGACCAAGCCAGGCATAGGATTAGTTTTCTTATTCTGCCTAAATTCTGCAAATGGGGGTGTTTAATTGCTGAAAACAAATTTCATTATGTTCAAGCCTCAATCATTTTATGATCACAAGGTACCTGAAACAAAGATCTTACATTAGTAGATATATAAGATGCTTGTGTAGGGGGTGTATTTGATTGTAGATGTATTTTCTACCTCATTACTTCAATATTCTGCTGTAGCAAAATATATGAAATGCTACCTTGAATAGAAATAGTTAAATTTGGACACTAATATTGCTCTTTCCTCGTTATTGTTATATTCTGCACTGCTGTCTTAGGATGTCAACCATGGATTAACTGAGGTAAGTTTGGTGTAATAAAGCTCATGTTTAGAGTAAAATATACTCCATTTTCTCCTGAGTAATAGAAGAGCCAAAGATTCGTTTTTTTGGTGTGGTTAAAAAATGTAAATAAATAGATATATATGTATCATTTTTTAAAATACAGTCTGTAGAGATTATCTTGTATAACATTTCAGAAGTTTTCTGAAGAAAATGAAATTCTGTTAACATTACACCTATATGATGCCTCAACAATATTTGCTTTAGAATAGTTTCTGTCCTCCTCAAGTCTTCCAGTATAAAATGTAATGTGTCCTCAGAATATAAAAAAGCAAACTTTTATTTTAAAATTTAGCAAATGCCTACCTAATGTGGCTGAAAACATTTTATATTAGAGAAGTAAAACAAACTTCATTTTTAAAATTGATTAATTGATACTCAGAATGGTCACAAAGTTAAACTTTTTGTATGATTATCTTTCTCACTTCTAATATATAAAGTTCTAGCACTTTGGTTTAAGTAATCAACAACCCTAGACTACCCTTTTAACACTTGGGAACATTATAATACTTTCTTTATCCGTTATAGATGTCAGGTTTTGCTTTGATTTGCATTTTGTTGGTTGCTATGTTTTTCCCAGCACTTGAACCAATGAAGCATTTTGAGTTAGCTTTAAATTATAGCTCTAATATTGTTTGCTTCCTCATTGTCAAATAGAATTAGCACATAAAATTATGAAAACATAGAGTTTTGAAGCCAAAGGGTGCTTTGGAGATATCTAAATCTTTTTGAATTTCAGAGAAGTAAAATTAGTTTTTATGATCATTAGCTAGGCAGTGCCACAAATATAGGATGGAGGTAAACCTTGTCACATGAAAAATACTGAAGAGTGAATGTTTAGAATGTAATAAAATACAATTTAGGGAGAGCATGATTAGGACTTAAAATATTTAAACTACGTACACTTCCCAGCAGGGGCAAAGCAAAGACTAAATGATGCATAGTGATATATAGAAATGCAGATTCAGGCTGGGCACAGTGGCTCACGCCTGTAATCCCAGCACTTTGGGAGGCCGAGGTGGGCGGATCATGAGGTCAGGAGTTCAAGACTAGCCTGGCCAACCTAGTGAAACCCCATCTCTACTAAAAATACAAAAAATTAGCCGGGTGTGGTGACAGGCACCTGTAATCCCAGCTACTCGGGAGGCTGAGGCAGGAGAATCGCTTGAACCCCAGAGGCGAAGGTTGCCGTGAGCCTAGATCGCACCATTGCACTCCAGCCCCGGCATCAGTGCAAGACTCTGTATGGGGGAAAAAAAAATGCAGATTCAGACTATAAAGAACTGTCTAATCACTAAGAAGTGGATTGTTTTAGGGTGTATTAATTCTTCATTAGAAGTCTCATAGCAGGGGCTCTGAGTCAGGGCAGGCACAAAGATATTGTTTTACTGGGTAGATGGTAGAAGTAGGTCGTCCTCCAACTACAAGAATGTGTGACTGGCAATTCATAACTCTTTATATTTTACTGCACTATTAAAATACTTAGCAATCAATATATTACCTGCCAGGATAAGTAATTGTCTATAAAGTGTCTAATGTCTAATAATGATAATAATAGATCAGTTCTCGTAACTTTAAAGGCTAACAGAATAGTAATACTAATGGTACTTTTTTGTATATTAAGTAAATGAAGAGATTATTGGACTCATAATAATTTTGATACCCTAATGACATTATACTCAATATCTGTTAAATGAAGGAATAGACAGATTACTTATCATTAGCCTCAGTTGCTGCAGTTGCCCTAACATGTAAGAATTGGCTATCGCATTTAACATAGGAGCCCCCAATTTTAGAACAAATTTGCAACCTCATTCACTGAGATTTGCAATTAACATATGCTAAGCAAAAGATACTTGCAGTATATGATTGTATAGACTCTCAAGTATACAGTCGCCCCCTAAAATTGGGAATTGGGTTCATTCCAATGCCTCATTTAATTTTTAATAATTCTGTAAGCAGCATGTTTTATTTGTAATTCCAGAACCACATGAGTGAATAAACAAAGAATGTAGTCCACTTTATAAGAAATGTCAGCATCCACAGTAAGTATATCACAAATCAACTTGTACTAATAAGTTAATTTTTTATTTCCAGTTGGCAGATATCCCTGTTACAATCTGTACATATCCATTTGTATTTGATGCCCAAGCAAAAACTACTCTGTTACAGACCGATGCAGTCTTACAGATGCAGGTAAAATATTATTTGAGAGGGTTTTTTTTTTTAATTGTTTCTTTGATGTTTCTGGACAGTAAATATTTGAAATTTTCCTAGGATCAGTAATGAAGGTACACAAAGTACTTTGGGTAGCTATAAAGAAGACTGCTGCATGTGATATGTATATTCTTATGAGAACATTTATAAAAAAAGGTTGCAGTGAAAATGGAATAACTTAACCTATAATCATTTTATATATTAAAAATTGTATAAGCCTCTTTCATTACAGAAATATTCAATCTTTATAAACCGTTTTACTAGTTTACTTGATAAGATGTTGGTTTGTTTCAAAATCTTGTTTCATTATATGTCCCCTTTTTATATGCTTGGTAAGAGATGGAAGTCACTAGAGGTGAGAGATGTTAAAAGTAGGAAGCATTTGATCTCGTTAGGAAGAAGATGTGAAATTTCCTTGAAGAAAGTTTCAATAATAAGGTATTAAACATGTTCCTGGGGTTGGTCACCATTATCTCCTATTCCTCTTTCTTTTCCCCTTCCTATCACCCTTTCCCATCCATTTTATGTTGAGAGTTCTTTCATTTATAGAGAGGATTTTTTAAACTAATTCATATTATGACTTTAAAGGGTTACAGTAAGTTTGCTTTATCATTTGATCCTGTAAATAAAAAAGATTTTGAGCTGCTTCCTCTGGTATAGAATATCTGACTATACCAACTAAGGATTAAGGAAAGGATGAAAAGAAAGCTTGAATATTTAATAGTCTAAAAATATTTTAAAAAATTAAAAACCTTCAAATCTTGGTAACCATTTTTATTCTGTTCAAATAAATGCATTTGGTATTCTAAATATTTTTGTAGTGTTCTATACTAACAGCTAGTAAGCCAATTTTTTGGAGGTCTTTGTTAAAACGATAAGTTAATAACTTGGTGATTTTACCATGGGATATTCCATTTTAGAACAAGAACTCAGGGAGAACCATAATAAAAGAACAAAAGTTTTAAATGGTAAAAGTCAAATCCTTGGTTCGTGAGCACATACCATGATCACTTAGTTAAGTGAATTTGTGTAATGCTTCCTTAGCCAGATCATTCCTTATTCTTTGTTTTTTATTTTTTATTTTTGAGACGGAGTTTCGCTCTTGTCGCCCAGGCTGTAGTGCAGTGGTACAGTCTCAGCTCACTGGAACCTCTGCCTTCCAGGTTCAAGTGATTCTCCTGCCTCAGCCTCCTGAGTAGCTGGGATTACAGGCACACACCACCACGCCCTGCTAATTTTGCATTTTTAGTAGAGACAGGATTTCACCATGTTGGCCAGGCTGGTCTTGAACTCCTGACCTCAAGTAATCTGCCCTCATTGGCCTCCCGAAGTGCTGGGATTACAGGCGTGAGCCACTGCGCCCAGCCTGTTCCTTATACTCTTTAAAGGTTTGTTTTTGCTCCTCCCTCTTTACCCTCCCCTCCAGTGAATGTTTTTTAGAAAAACCAATGCTCAGATTTATCAGTATTACTACCGTTCTGTACTGGCTTACTCTAATGGTGTTATGAGTTATACATTATACATTAGTATAAAAACATTCAAAAGGGTACTCTTTATGCTCAGTTTATTAAGTTTTATGCTGTACGGGATACTGTTAGGTGCTATGTTAATTCAGTAGCATAGGAATTATAGAATACCTGTAACTAATAGGTAGAGGTTAGCTTGTTTCAGTCACAGTAGCTTTATTGTAGCATTGCTGTTAAAATGTTAATCTTTTGTTTTCCAGATGGCTATTGATCAGGCCCACAGGCAGAATGTCTCCTCTCTTTTTCTCCCAGTGATTGAATCTGTGAATCCCTGCTTAATTCTAGTGGTGCGTAGAGAAAATATTGTAGGAGATGCAATGGAAGTCCTTAGGAAAACAAAGAACATAGATTACAAGAAGCCACTCAAGGTAATTTGACATTTTCTGTGGTATAATTGGGACTTTTATTCAGAAGCTATGTTTAAAATTTTCCTATTTGTTTTTAGTGAATCTTTTAAACTTAATAAATAAAATTATATTTATTTTAAACTATTAATTGTAGAGTATTAGTAATAAATAACATGTTCTAGGGTCTCCAGAATGTACTTTCATTTCTTTACAGTCTATTTGGTGTTTGCATTGTGCTATTTTAGGTTATATTTGTTGGAGAAGATGCTGTGGATGCAGGAGGGGTGCGCAAAGAATTTTTCTTGCTCATCATGAGGGAATTATTGGATCCTAAATACGGCATGTTTAGGTATTATGAAGATTCCAGGCTCATTTGGTTTTCTGATAAGGTAAAATGTCCAACCATCTAAATTACTTCTGTGTATATACCCATGTATTTATACCTGTATGTATCAAGTTAATTCAGTAAATAAGGAATTACTACTGGATCCCTAACATATAAGATCTGCTTTATTACAATTTGAGAAATTATAAACTTTGGACTTGGAGTTGTCAAAATACATTTGATGCTTACCACACATTTTAAATTAACAAAATAAATTAAGAGATGGTTAGCCAGAAAATAATGTTGACTATTCCTTCTGCTGATTTCAATTTGAGGATTGAATAATAATCACCAGATTAACTTTTCTGTTGGGAAAAATTAATTTATCATTAGGGATCATTGATTTATCTACCTTGTCATTTAGAGCAGGTCAGCAGACTATAGCCCATTAATCTCAAAGAAAAAAAAAGTCACACCCACTCTTTTACCTATTGTCCAAGGCTACTTTCATGCTACAATAGCAGCGGCAGAGTTTAAGTAATTACAACAGTGACCTTATGTCCAGGAAACCCCAAAATATTTGCCATCTGGTTCTTTATAGAAAGTTTGCTGACCCAATTTAGTGATCATAAGTGAAAAGGATGGATCAGTTTAGTAGAACTCCTGACTTGAAAGAAATTTAGATAGAATAGCTATTGGTTGTAAAAACCTCAATGTAATATTTAATCATTCTGCCTGGAGGTTGGCTGTCTTGTGTAATGTTAGCAGCTTAGTGCCTAGACTCTAATTCATCAGGGGTTGCAAAATGGTGTGCTACTCTAATATTTCTTTTTCATTTATTAGCTTGGATACTTCTGTATAGAGAAATTTCCTCACGTTTTCTGATTCCTTAGTAGTGCAATTCATAGGAAAGGATTCTATTTAGTTACCAATTTTTCAAAAGAATGAATTGGTTCATTAGCATAGTCCACTGGTAATAATTCATTTTTTGTGTTTTGCTTTCAAGTATCATTAGGTATTCATAGGTTTAAACATACTTGATGTTTTTCAATTCACTGCAGTTATTGTCTTCATTGATGCTCATATTGTCCCATCTTTGTTCAAGGAGAGCTCTTAAGGTTGGTGCCCAAGTCCTTTTGAAACAACCTATATACTTTTTGGTACCTTCCTTGCTACCTTGTGTACTTACTATGACAGAATGTTCCAGACTTATCTTACACATTTACTGCCTAACAGTACCAACATTACCACCAATATTATGATTACTAAAATGTTTTAAATTGTTTTTCAGTTCTTTTTGTACAAAGAGTATACCCTAATATAGATAGACAGCCAGATAATATAGTTTTGATATAATTTAAAATTGTTATACTCTATTGTTATACCACCAAGTGAATACTCATTTAAGCTAACTTATTTTTAGGGATTGCTTGTTCAAATTCAATTTAGTTTTACAATAATATAAAATGCCTACATAGTTCCAAAGTCAAATCTACAAAATAAGATGTGTTAAAAGAAGTCAAGCTCCACCTTGTTTTCCCCCTCTTCCTATGGGTGATCTTTTGAAAATGTATGGGCTATCCTCCTTTAAATATATATATATATGTAGATAGCAATATATTACATACCAAAGTAATTTTCCTGGTTTTGACCATGGCTATGTAAGCTGTTACCACTGGAGAAAACTGAGTGAAGGGTACATGGGAGTTCTTTATATTATTTGTGCAATTTAGGTGTCTTTTTTTTTTTCTTTTTTTTTGAGACTGAGTCTCCCTCTGTCGCCCAGGCTGGAGTACAGTGGCGCACTCTCGGCTCACTGCAAGCTCTGCCTCCCAGGTTCATGCCATTCTCCTGCCTCAGCCTCCCGAGTAGCTGGGACTACAGGCGCCTGCCACCATGCCCGGCTAATTTTTTTTATATTTTTAGTAGAGACGGGGTTTCACCGTGTTAGCCAGGATTGTCTCGATCTCCTGACCTTGTGATCCACCTGCCTTGGCCTTCCAAAGTGCTGGGATTACAGGTGTGAGCCACCGCGCCCGGCCTCCAATTTATGAGTCTTTAAGATATTTTAAAATAAGTATTTTTTTGGCCGGGCCCAGTGGCTCACACCTCTAATCCCAGCTCTTTGGGAGGCCAAGGTGGAGGTCAGGAGTCCAAGACCAGTCTAGCCAACATGATGAAACCCTGTCTCTACTAAAAATACAAAAATTAGCTGGGCGTGGTGGTACATGCCTGTAATCCCAGCTACTCGGAAAGCTGAGGCAGGAGAATCGCTTGAACCCAATAGACGGAGGTTGCAGTGAGCCAAGGTCGCGCCACTGCACTCCAGCCTGGTGACAAAACGAGACTCTCTTTAGTCATGTTTAGCTGTTTGGATAGAGGTAAGGATAAGAGCAACAGTTGATTTTAATCACGTTTTGGTTTTAACAAGTGAATGTAACACAGAAGGGAGTAAAAGGCAAGGGAGTTATTATAGTGAGGGATTATGGAATTTCAGCTTTGTGTGGACTTGGTTTGGACAAATAAATAAATTGTGACGGTGGAATTGTATTGAGGGGCTGAGATAAGAAGTCAGAGGTAATGGTTAGTTATGGAATGCTTGAAATTGAGATTTGGAGGGTTGTAGTTGAATGTAAGATATAACCATGGGTATGGGCATTGAGGTGTGGTGGAGAACAAGATTGTTGGAAACAGACAGGTCCAGAAACTGAGAGGCTAGTGTGTTGTATGCATTTTTTTTTGTCTGGATATTGAAGTTGCCAAAAACGATGGCAGAAATAGTGGTAGAGAAAGAAAGCATAAGATAGTGCCAAAGTTTGTGAATGAAGGAATTGTGGAAGGTTTTTTATACAACTGCCCAAGGAACAGTTGCAGGGAATATGGTCAGTTGGCCCGTGTTTCAGAGGAGTTGGAAATTTTAGGATGGCAAATGGAAAGAAGTCTAGAAACACAGAAGAGCAAGAGCAAGGAGACCTACCTTAGCTCTAGACGCAATCATATGAAGGATTGAAAAGTGACACCATTTGTGAGAGCTGCAGAGGAAATGGTGTCCTCAGGAGACAGTCTTGTTTCCTTAGACAAAAAGGGGAAAAAATTTGGAGTTTAGGATACAAGCAGTTTTCCAAATGGTAGATTGTGAGTTCCAGAACAAACAGTGAAAGGGTTTGGTGGAGCAAGGACAGTCATAAAATTGTGTCAGACTTGAGGGCATCCCACAATGCCATATGGATGTGGGTTTAGGGATAACCTATGAGTTTCGAGGCTTTGTATTTGTTCTGTAAACAGGCATATAAGACATGATGGAGTTAGTCCTAATGGCCTCTGAGGTAAGTGGACAATCTGCTCAAATCCTAGCCTCCTTCCTGGCACTGGTCTCTTTATAAATAGGGAAGTTTGTAGTGGTGTAGCAGGTAGAATTTGAGAGGGCATATGAGGTTGGGGGCTGTGCTGCTAGAAACACAGAGTTCTGTCTGCCCTTTAGTCAGTTTTAAAGAGATAATGTTTTGAGACAAAGGGAGGGGCAGTTGTAATAAGCTTTATCATGAATCTCTTTGGGACCTTTCAAGTTCTATCTCACCTTGGCTGGTGAGAGCCCCTTGGAGCCGGCTCTACTCTTTGGTGTACTTCTGACATATCCCCATTATTCTTCAAGCATTTCCTTACATTTGGTACGGTAAACATTCCAGGTTTATCTTGTGTTTTCTCCACCCCAGCCATGGCATTAGCATTTTTCTTAAGAGCCGTGTCTTCTTTAAGTGGAAAATGGTATTTAGAAATCAAGCTCTGGGTGCTAAGTGTAGTACTTCTTGCTTCCGGAGAGTCAGTAGTTCTACTGGGTTCTTTCAGCTGATAGAAATAGGATCTGTATGTGTGTATACACACATGCATCCATAGACTTATCTATATTTAGAGCTGTATATATGTTGAAGACCGTGAAATCAAACTGATACTTCTAATTCTATCCAAACACCAAAGAATTTACTCTAGCCTTCTTCCTTTCCATATTATGTATATAACTTTCATCATCAATGAGAAACCTTACTGCCATAATCTTTAAGATATTTACTTAAATCTCCCCTGTAGGGCTGGGTGTGGTGGCTCATGCCTGTAATCCCAGCACTTTGGGAGGCCGAGGTGGTTGGATCACCTGAGGTCAGGAGTTCAAAACCAGCCTGGCCAACATGGTGAAACCCTGTCTCTACTAAAAATACAAAAATTAGCTGGGCATGGTGGAATGCATCTGTAATCCTAGCTACTTAGGAGGCTGAGGCAGGAGAATCACTTGAACCTGGATGGCGGAGGTTGCAGTGAGCCGAGATCATGCCACTGCACTCCAGCCTGGGGACAGAGCAAGACTGTGTCTCAAAAAAAAAAAAATCTCCCCTGTATGTATCCATGGAGTCTTCAGGCTGCACTGGTCAAAAGCTCAACCTCAGACATACTGGACCACCCTCTCAGAGAAGGTATAATAGTAGGATGTTACCTGTGGATTTTTCCCAAATTCCCTTTATGGTGTTAAGGAAATTCCCTTCTGTCCCTAGTTTGTTCAGCATTTTTATCATAAAAGAATATTGGAGATACTCTTTTGTGTAATGGTTTTCCTTTTTTTTTGTTTTTTGTTTTGTTTTTTGTTTTTTTGATTGATGGAGTCTTGCTCTATCCTCCAGGCTGGAGTGCAGTGGCACAATCTCAGCTTACTGCAAACTCCACCTTCCAGGTTCAAGCGATTCTCTTGCCTCAGCCTCCCAAGTAGCTGAGATTACAGGTGTGCGCCACCATACCTGGCTAGTTTTTTATATTGTTGGTAGAGACGAGGTTTCACCATGTTGGCCAGGCTGGTCTCAAACTACTGACCTCAAGTGATCCACCTGCCTCAGCCACTCAAAGTGCTGGCGTGAGCCACCGCGCCCAGCTATGTGATGCTTTTTTACATTAGTAGAGATTACCATGTGGTTTGTTTCATTCTGTTAATATGGTACATTATGCTGGTTGATTTTCTTATGTTGAATCACCCTTGCATTCCTGGGGTAAATCCCACTTGGTAATAGTGTATAATCCTTTTAATAGGCTACTTGATTGAGGTTGCTATTATTTTGTTGACAATTTTCACATCTATAGTCATAAGGGATATTGGTTTGTAGGGTTGGATTTTTGTTTGTTACTGTTTTTTTGTTTTGGGGTGCGTGTGCAAGGTCCTTTTCTGGTATTTTGATAGTGATGATCTCATAGAATGATTTAGGAAATATTCCCTCTGCTGTGATCTTTTGGAAGAGTTTGAGAATTGGTGTTAATTCTCCTTTAAATGTTTGGTAGAATCTGATCCTTGGCTTTTCTTTGTTGGAAGATTTTTATTATTTTTATTTTTTATTTTTTTTGAGACAGAGTCTCACTTTGTCACCCCAGCTGGAGTGCAGTGGCACGATCTCAGCTCACTGCAACCTCCGCCTCCTGGGTTCAAGCGATTCTCCTGCCTCAGCCTCCCAAGTAGCTGGGACTACAGGTGCATGCCACCATGCCTGGCTTAGTTTTTGTATTTTTTGTATTTTTATTTTATTTTATTTTATTTTTTAGTAGAAACGGGGTTTCACTGTGTTAGCCAGGATGATCTCGATTTCCTGACCTTGTGATCCATCCTCCTCGGCCTCCCAAAGTGCTGGGATTACAGGCGTGAGCCACCGCGCCTGGCCAACTTTTAATTCTTTTTAAAAATTGTATTTATTTATTTATTTTGAGGGTGTGAGATAGAGTCTTGCTCTGTCACCCAGGCTGGAATGCAGTGGCACAGTCTCGGCTCACTGCAACCTCTGCCTCCCATGTTCAAGCCATTCTTGTGCCTCAGCCTCCCAAGTAGCTGGGACTATAGGTGCACCTCACCATGCCCAGCTAGTTTTTGTATTTTTAGTAAAGACAGTGTTTTGGCATGTTGGCCAGGCTGGTCTTGAACTCCTGACCTCAGGTTATTCCCCTACCTCAGCCTCCCAAAGTGCTGGGATTACAGGTGTGAGCCACCATGCCTGGCCTACTTTTAGTTCTTTAGGGAATCTCCACACTGTTTTCCATAGTGGTTGTACTAGTTTACCTTCCCACCAACAGTGTAGAGTGTTCCCTTTTCACCACATCCACGCCAACATCTACTGTTTTTTTATTTTTTTATTATGGCTATCCTTGTGGGAGTAAGGTGGTATTGCATTGTGGTTTTGATTTGCATTTCCCTGATCATTAGTGATATTGAGCAGTTTTTCTTTTTTTTTCTTTTTGCCATTTGTATATCTACTTTTGAGAATTGTCTATTCATGTCCTTAGCCCACTTTTTGATGGGATTGTTTTTTTCTTGCTGAATAATTATCTGAGTTCCTTGTAGATTCTGGATTGTGTATTATTTTTCTATTCTCTAATACATTTATCACTGCTTTAATATTTAGTTTTCTCCATCTGCTAGCTTTGGGTATAGTTTGTTCTTAGTTCCTTAGGATATAAACTTAGGTTATTGACTTGAGATCATTCCCTTTTTTTTAGTTTAAGTGTTTACAACTATTAGTTTCCCTCTGAACACTATTTTTGCATCCTATAAGTTGTAGTATGCTGTGTTTTCATTAGTCTCTTAAGTATTTTCTAATTTCCCTTGTGATTTCTTCTTTGATCTTTTGGTTGTTTAAGAGTGTATTGTTTAGACTGGGCATGGTGGCTCATGCCTGTAATCCCACCACTTTGGGAGGCCAAGGTGGGCAGATCACCAGGTCAGGAATTCGAGACCAGCCTGGCCAACATGGTGAAACCCCGTCTCTGCTAAAAATACAAAAAAAAAAAAAAAAAAAAAAAGAGTGTATTGTTTAATTTCCATATGTTTGTGAATTTTCCAGATTTCCTTTTGTTATTTCTAGTTTCATTCCATTATGATATGAGAAGATAATTTTTTATGATTTTAGTCTTTTTAAAATTTATTGAAAGTTTTGTGACCTAACATATGGTCTATCCTAGAAGATGTTCCATGTACACTTAAAAAGAATGTTTATTCTACTTTTATTGGATAGAGTATTCTATATATGTCTGATAGGTCTTATTGGTTTATAATGTAGTTCAGGTTCTCTATTTCCTTATTGATCTTTGGATTGTTGTATACATTAATGATAGTGGGATATTAAAGCTACCAGTTATTATCTTAGAACTGTCTATACCTCGCTTTGATTCTGTCAGCTTTTGCCTTATATATTTTGGAGCTGTGTTGTTAGGTTCATAACTATTTGTAATTGTTGTATCTTCTTGATGAATTGACCCTGTTATCAATATTTGTCTCATATCAATTTTGCATCATATTAGTCTGTTTTGTCTTAGTATAGTTTCTCTAGCTCTCTTTTGTTACTATTTACATGGAATAACTGTTTTCCACCTATTTCTGTCTTTGGACCTAAAGCAAGACTTGTATTTTTTTAAAGACTTGTTTTGTGGCCTAACATATATGGTCCATCCGTATGTTGTAGAGAACAATGTGTATTCTTCAGCTGCTGGATGAAATGTCCTATAAATATCTGTTAAATCCATTTGGTCTGTAGTGCAGATTAAGTCCAATGTTTCTTCATTGATTTTCTGTTAGAATGATCTGTCCAGTGCTGTAAGTGGAGTGTTGAAGTCTCCAGCTATTATTGTATTGGGGTCTCTCTCTCTCTCTTTAGCGGTAATAATATTTGCTTCATATATCTGGGCAGTCCAGTATGGGTGCATATTTATATTTGTAATTTTGTTTTGTTTTGTTTTGAGACAGAGTCTCGCCTTGTCACCCAGGCTGGAGTGCAGTGGCTCAATCTTGACTCAATGCAACATCTACCTCCCAGGTTCATACTATTCTCTTGCCTCAGCCTCCCGAGTAGCTGGGACTACAGGTGTGTGCCACCATGCCCAGTTAATTTTTGTATTTTTAGTAGAGATGAGGTTTCACCATGTTGGCCAGGATGGTCTCGATCTCTTGACCTCATGATCCGCCCACCTCGGCCTCCCAAAGTGTTGGGATTACAGGTGTGAGCCACTGCGTCTGGCCTATATTTGTAATTGTTATATCTTCTTGCTTAATTGACCCCTTTATCATTATATAATGACCTTCTTTGTCTTCTTCTATAGTTTTTGTCTTGCATCTGTTTTGTCTAATACCTTGTATTAGACAAAATAGTTAACATTTGCATGGAATATCTTTTTCCATCTCTTTATTTTCAGTATATGTGTCTTGACAAGTGAAGTGTGTTTCTTCTAGGCAGCAGATCATTGGGTCTTGTGTGTGTGTGTGTGTGTGTGTGTGTGTGTGTGTGTGTGTGTGTGTGTTTGTGTTTTATCCATTTACCTAGTCTGTGTCTTTTGATTGGAGAGTTTAGTCCATTTATATTGATTGATAAGGAGTTACTCTTGCATCTTTTTTTTTTTTGGACATAGGGTCTTGCTCTGTCACCCAGGCTAGAATGCAGTGGTGTGATCACAACTCACTGAAGCCTCTCCTGGATTCCAGTGATCCTCCCACTTCAGCCACCAAGCAGCTAGGACTATAGGCACGTGCCACCATGCCTGGCCAATTTTTATATTTTGTATAGAGATGGAGTTTCACCATGTTGCCCAGGCTGGTCTCAAATTCCTGGGCTCAAGTGATCTGCCTACCTCCGCCTCACTAAGTGCTATGTAAGCCAGCAGTGTCCAGCTATTCCTGCCATTTTTAAATGTGTTCTGGTTGTTTTTTGCCCTTCCTTCCTCCTTCTTCCTTCCTTCCTTCCTTCCTATTCCATTCCTTTTTGTGAAAGTGACTTTTCTCTGGTGGTATGTTTTGATTTCTTTTTTTTTATTTTTCGTGTATCTGTCGTATGTTTTTTGATTTGAGTTTACCATGAGGCTTGCAAATAGCTTATAACCCAATATTGTAAACACCAATTACATAAACTAACATGCAAAGAGAAAACTAATAAAAACTTTATGCTTTAACTGTGTTCCCCTGGTTTTTAACTTTGTGTTGTTTCTGTTTATTTTACTACACTATGTCTTGTAGCTGTAGTTATTATTTTTTATTGGTTCATGTTTTAGTCTTTATACTCAAGATATGGGTAGTTTATACACCACAATTAGAGTGTCATAATATTCTGTTTTTCTGTGTATTTACTATTACCAGTGAGTTTTGCTCCTTCACATGATATTGCTCATTAAAGTTCTTTTCTTTCAGACTGAAGAACTCAATTTAGTTTTTCTTCTTGAACAGGTCTCATGTTGATAAAATCCCTCAGCTTTTATTTTTCTGGGAAGATCTTTATTTGTCCTTCATGTTTGAAGGATATCTTCACTGGATATACATACTATTCTAGGATAAAAGTTTTTTCCTTCAGCACTGTAAATATGTCATGCCATTCTCCTGGCCTGTAAGGTTTCCATTGAAAAGTCTACTGCTAGATGTACTGGAGCTCCACTGTATGTTGTTTCTTTTCTCTTGCTGCTTTCAGGATCCTTTCTTTATCCTTGACCTTTGGGAGTTTGATTATTAAATATCTTGAAGTAGTCTTATTTGGGCTAAATTTGCTCTGTATTCTGTAACCTTCTTGTACTTGAGTATTGATACCTTTCCCTAGGTTTGGGATGTTCACTGTTATTATCTCTTTGAACAAACTTTCCATCCCATTTCTTTCTCTACCCCCTCTTTAAGGCCAATAACTCTTAGATTTGCCCTTTTGAGGCGATTCTCTAGATCTTGTAGGAGTGCTTCATTCTTTCTTGTTTTTTCTTTTGGCTCCTCTGATTGTGTACTTTGAAATAGCCTGTCTTCAAGCTCACTAATCACTTCTTTTTCTTGGTCAGTTCCACTGTTGACAGACACTGATGCATTATTCTTCAGCATGTCAGTTGCATTTTTCAACTCTAGAATTTCTGCTTCTTTTTATTTTACTCTGTTAAATTTATCTGATAGGATTCTGAGTACCTTTTCTGTGTTATCTTGGATTTCTTTTTCCTCAAAACAGCTATTTTGAATTCTCTGTCTGACTGAAAGGTCATATATCTCAGTCTCTCCATGATTGGTCACTGGTGCCTTATTTAGTTCGTTTGGTGAGGTCATGTTTTCCTGGGTGGTTGTGATGTTTGTGGATGTTCATTGGTGTCTGGGCACTGAAGAGTTAGGTATTTATTGTAGTCTTCACAGTCTGGTTTTATTTGTACTCATCCTTCTTAGGAAGGCCTTCCAGGTATTTAGAGGGACTTGGGTGTTGTAATCTAAGTTTTTGGTCATTGCAGCCATATCTGCATTAGGGGGCACCCCAAGCCCAATATCACTGTGTCTCTTGCAAACTAAGAGGTACTGTCCTGGTCTTGGATAAGATTTGGAAGAATCCTCTGGATTATCAGGCAGAGACTCTTATTCTCTTTCCTCACTTTTTCCCAGAGTCTTTCTATGCTGAGCTCTCTGGAGCTGGGGGAGGGGTGACACCAGCCAGCACCTTTGTAGACACCACTACTGGGACTGCACTGGGTCAGACCTGAAGCCAGCACAGCACTGGGTCTCACCTAAGGCTCATGGTAACCACTGCCTGGCTACTGCCTTTGTTTGCTTAAGGCCCTAGGGCTCTGCAGTCAGCAGGTGGTGAAGCCAGCGAAGCTTGTGTTCTTCCCTTCAGTGCAGAGAGTTCCCCTCAGTCCCAGTTGGGTCCAGAAATGCTGTCTGAGAGCCAGGGCTTGGAGTCAGAAACCTTAAGGAACCTACCTGGTGCTCTGTTCTACTGTGGCCGTGCTGGCATCCAAGCCACAAGGCAAAATTGTTCCCACTCTACAGGCCCCATCCATAGAATAATTAGGTGGGGACCTGTCAAAGGAGAATCCTCAAATGTCAGCATATGTTGGTTTTTTTATCCTTTGGGTTTTCAAGAAAGGTTGTAACCCTGGGTGTCTGTGTTTTAGTAGTGTTCTGGACCCTGGAAAGGGAAGCTAGGATTCTCCTTGTTCACTGTACAGACCTTCATTTGATCCCTTTGTTTTCAGTGCAGCACCCTAACTATCAGCTGTCTCAGATTCCAGACCCTCTGGTTCAGGCTCTCCAAAAAGGCAAAGGACTTTCCACCAAGCATCCTAGTTTCAACCCCACTCTAATACCTCCGCCTTTTAGAGTCTTTATGTTTACCAGCTGAGCTAACTGGGCTACCTCTGATATTGCGGGTATTGGTACGTCCAGTTCCTGAGCCTGTAGCACAAATTAGCTGTAAGTTACTATTTCAATTTTTTCTGCTTTACCAATTCAGTTACCAGCCATTTGTCTACTTTTCATATTTTGAAATGTTATTAACATCTCTTTATTGCTCTTACCTCCCTTATTCTCTTTTTTCCTGTGGACTTATACCATTTTTCCTCCTTCTCTTTTAGAGGGTTTTAGGAGGGGGAAAGATTTAACACATTAATCAGTCTGCTCTATTTAAGAACTTTATAAACTTAAACAGAATTAAGACATAACAGCACAGAAAGATTAATTTGACCACTGAAAACTGTTACATTTATGCATAGCAGAAAACATAAAATTGAAAAGCATGTAACAGGCTGGGTTGTATGTAACAAATATGACACAGAGTAATACTCCTAATATATGAAGAATTCAAATACAAATACTTAAGAAAAACATTATCCCCCAAAAGATAAGTGGGCAAAGTACCTGGAGAGATATTTCATGAGCACATATGTATCTCTGATTTTCAGTATCACAAATAGTCAGAAATGTGTACTAAAGCAAGTTGTCATTTTAAACTCAAAAGAAAAATGTGTTTGTGTGTGCATAGAGTATATATACAGATGAAAACGTGAAGAGTAGAGCATTTTCCTGGACTGCAAATGGCAGTTTAAACTGGAACAGGAGCTGGCGCAGTATCTCACGCCTGTAATCTCAGCACTTTGGGAGGCCGAGGCGGGTGGATCACCTGAGGTCAGGGGTTCGAGACCAGCCTGACCAACATGGAGAAACCCCATTTCTACTGAAAATACAAAATTAGCCAGGCATGGTGGCTCATGCCTGTAATCCCAGCTACCCGGGAGGCTGAGCCAGGAGAATCACTTGAACCGAGGAGGTGGAGGTTGCCGTGAGCCAAGATCGCGTCATTGCACTCCAGCCTGGGCAACAAGAGTGAAACTCCATCTCAAAAACAAACAAACAAACAAACTGGAACGGGGGTAGAGGAAAACAGATTAGCAATATGCTTGACTGTCTTTTGACTTATGAATTCTTCCTTAGGAAGTAGAATTTCTCCTAGGGAAATATTTCAAACTATGGACAAAAATATGCAAAAAGATGTCCATCTTATTTTTAATACTACTAGCTAGGAAGAATAACTGACATTTATTGAACCTTTAGTGTGTGTTTCAAGAACTGTGCTAAAAGTGTTTAACGTATATTATCCCATGTAATCCTCACAACAACCATATGAGATAAATACTATATTTACCTTCTTTGAAAACACAGAGGCTAGACTGCTAAACCAGGCTGGAGCCCACGTCTTATTTAAAACATTTATTCTTTAACCATCATGCTCACAATTTTCTGTAAATACATATTACTTTTATAAAGATGAGGGAAAAAAATAAACATTTTCAGTGTGTCAGTAGTGTAAGTATGTTTCAGTTATCTAAGCATCCAAGGAGAGTAAAACAGCTAAATTTAGCAACTCATTGTACTTTTATGATACAATATGCAGCCATTAAAAAGTCATGTTTTGGCCAGGCACGGTGGCTCACGCCTGTAATCCCAGCACTTTGGGAGGCTGACGTGAGCAGATCACCTGAGGTCAGGAGTTTGAGATCAGCCTGACCAATATGGTGAAACCCAGTCTCTACTAAAAATACAAAAATTAGCCTGGCTGTGGTGGTGTGTGCCTGAGGCAGGAGAATCTCTTGAACCCAGGAGGCATACGTTGCAGTGAGCAGAGATCACACCACTGCACTCCATCCTGGGTGACAGAGGGAGACTTTATCTCAAAAAAAAAAAAAAAAAAAAAAAAAAAGTTGTGTTTTAGAAGAACATTTAGTGACATAATACTCATGTAATTAGAAAATGAGATAAAATCTTAAATACGGTGTATTAAAAATATTTTTCTGAGCTTATTATAGGTGGAAATACACAAAATATTTTTAATCATTATTCCTGAGTGATTGGTTTACAGGTGTTTATTCATTTTCTTTTCTATGTTTTTTCTTTGTTTTCCAAATTTCGAATGTGTATTACTTTTTAAATCAGAAAAAAAGTTATAGTAATTATTTCACCTATTAACTTAATGTCGAATGACATGAATATGCTTATGTCTGGGAGAAAACAGTTGTAAAGTCGTATGTATAGTACGATTTCAGCTAGATATATTTTTTTTAAGTCTGAGAAAATATGCTACATGGAAATGTACAAAAATACTAACAGTGATGTTATCCCAGGGAGACAGTAATGAGGATGAACTTTTGTTATTTATTACTTTTTTCTCTATCTTCAAAATTGTATATGAGCATATTTATGTAATCTTAGAAAATTTAATATTTTAACTTGGAGGACATGTGTTTACTTTTTCTTATATTTTTAGACATTTGAAGACAGTGATTTGTTCCATTTGATTGGTGTTATCTGTGGCTTAGCAATTTATAATTGTACCATTGTGGACCTCCATTTTCCTTTGGCTTTATATAAGAAACTACTGAAAAAGAAGCCATCCTTGGATGATTTGAAAGAACTAATGCCTGATGTTGGGAGGTTAGTTGGAAAAAAAAGTCAAAAAGTAGTAGGGTTTGGGAGGTAAAAAGTGGGGAAGGTACAGAAAGCTTTCCTTCTATGAAAAAATATATTTTGTTCTTCTTGTTAAATTTCTGAAGTAAACAAATGCCCTTCTAATAAAGGAAAATCCATTATGTTTCTCAGATCAAAATTTTCTATTGAAAGACTAAATTTGGCTGGCCCAGTGGCCCACACCTGTAATCCTAGCATTTTGGGAGACCGAGGCAGGTGGATCACCTGAGGTCAGGAGTTTGAGACCAGCGTGGAGGTCAGGAGTTCGAGACTAGTATGACCAACATGGCGAAACCCCATCTATACTAAAATACAAAAATTAGCCAGGCGTGGTGGCCCACGCCTGTAGTCCCAGCTATTCAGGAGGCTGAGGCAGGAGAATTGCTTGAACCCAGGAGGCGGAGGTTGCAGTGAGCCCAGATTGCGCCATTTCACTCCAGCCTGGGTGACAGAGCAAGACTCCATCTCAAAAAAAAAAGAAAGACTAAATTTTTAGTTGTTTGACAATACCTTGCAAATATCAGATAATCACCTTAGGAAAGTAAATTTTTTTTCTGAGAGTGGTTAAATGATTTATTTGGACTTTTACTTCTGATAACCTTCATTCCTAGTTTGAATATGTGAAATTTATTTTTATTAAATAAAATGCATTAAAAATTTTATATAAGTTAGGACAAATGGGCCAGGTGCGGTGGCTCACGCCTGTAATCCTAGCACTTTGGGAGGCCAAGGTGGGCAGATCACGAGGTCAGGAGTTCGAGACCAGCCTGGCCAACATGGTGAAACCTGGTCTCTACTAAAAATACAAAAATTAGCCGGGCATGGTGGCGGTCGCCTGTAATCCCAGCTGCTCTGGCTGAGGCAGGAGAATTGCTTTTAAAAACCCAGGGGGCAGAGGTTGCAGTGAGCCAAAATCATGCCACTGCACTTCAGCCTGGGCGACAGAGCAAGACTCCATCTCGGGAAAAATAAAATAAAATAAAATAAGGAAAAATGTTGAAAATAGTTGGATACATGGCCTTTGTATTCAGAAAAGTGATAAGAACCTTTTACTAATTTTTTTCCTTAAGCATCATTTATAAGTTTGCCATTGTGTATTCACTATTCTGAAACAAATATAAAATTACAAATTGACAAAAGGATTTTACCAAGAGGGAATGAGAAGTATATATATATATATATATCCATAAGTAAAATAGTCAAAATATCCAATAATTTTTTCCTCTCAGAAACATATATATTATTTTGCAGAAGCATGCAACAGTTACTGGATTATCCAGAAGATGACATAGAGGAAACATTTTGTCTTAATTTTACGGTAAGATGGAAGGACATAGGTTAGCCTGATTATTTATCATCTCTTTTATTTAACAGCCGTGTCTTAGGGTTTTTCTTTATTTTGATGGATGGAATTCTTAAAGAACCCTTTAGCTAACATTTATTGAGCATTTACTACATGCTAGCTAGTCATAGTACATGCATTTCATTTAATCCTCAGCAATCCAGTGAGGTTGGGATTATCCCTGGTTTACAGATGAAGAACACTGAAAACAGTCATTACCTTGGGGAGTCAGTATGCATACCAGCCTCTGTGACTTAAACCTGTGTACTTTATCATTATGCTAAAGATATTGACAAATACAAGACATCCTCTTTACCCAAGTGTTCATTTTTGAGTCTGCAATTACAGAAGTGCTTTAGAGAAGCAAAAGGTTATTGTAATATGAGAATATTACTACTAAACTTAAAAACATTAATTTCCACTGGTACATTCCTTTCTATTTCATACTAACATTCATCCTTGCCCATCTTGTCTTATTCACTGTTGGATGATGTAGATAAAACAAATGCAAATGCATTGCAATATTATTTGGAAAATGAAATTGCAAATCTTGTAAAAGATGCACAATTTCATTAAGGCAGCAAAGGGATGTGGTTTTTTTTGTTTTGTTTTGTTTTTTTGAGACAGAGTCTTGCTCTGTTACCCAGGCTGGGGTGCAGTGACGTGATCTCAACTCACTGCAACCTTTGCCTCCCAGGTTCAAGCGATTCTCCTGCCTCAGCCTCCTGAGTAGCTGGGATTACAGGTGCCTGCCACCACACCCAGCTAATTTTTGTATTTTTAGTAGAGACGGGGTTTCACCACCTTGGCCAGGCTGGTCTCGAACTCCTGACCTCATGATCCACCCGCCTCGGCCTCCCGAAGTGCTGGCATTACAGGCATGAGCCACTGCACCTGGCCAAAAGGGATGTTAAATAACTGATCCAGTCACATGCAAAGCCATTGATAGATGAGGATATGGCAGAAGTAGACTAGTTGGTAATTAAATAAGAGAAAATCCATAAGTATTACGGTAAGGCACTCCAGAAGGGAACAATTTGAATATTATAAATTAGACTCTTGGAGAAATTGTAAAACCTTCAGTTTTCTTTTCCCTTTTCTTTTCTTTTTTTTTTTCTTTTTTTTTGAGACAGAATCTTGCTCTGCCCAGTCTGGAGTGCAGTTGTGCAATCTCGGCTCATTGCAACCTCCGCCTCCCAGGTTCAAGCAATTCTCCTGCCTCAGCCTCCCGAGTAGCTGGGACTACAGGTGCACACCACCATACCCAGCTAATTTTTGTATTTTTAGTAGAGATGAGGTTTCACCATGTTGGCCAGGATGGTCCCAATCTCTTGACCTCGTGATCTGCCCGCGTTAGCCTCCCAAAGTGCTGGGATTACAGGCGTGAGCCACAGCACCTGGCCTCTTTTTTATTTTTTAAATTTTTTGCTTGTATATTTGTTTGCCACCCTGCCACACACACAACATTCTCTTTATGGTTTTGTCAAAGCTGACAAAAGATGCCATATTCTGCTGTCATAAAATTTGCCAAAAAAAATTGCATGTTCATAATTTTTTCAAGAAAATTTTAAGACTGTTTTCTGTCCGGGCACAGTGGCTCACGTCTGTAATCCCAGCACTTTTGGAGCCCAAGGCGGGCAGATCACTGGAGGTCAGGAGTTAGAGACAAGCCTGGCCAACATGGTGAAACCCCGTCTCTACTAAAGATACAAAAATGAGCCAGGCATGGTGGCACGTACCTGTAGTACCAGCTACTCGGGGAGGCTGAGGCAGGAGAATCACTTGAACCTGAGAGGTGGAGGTTGCAGTGAGCTGAGATCACGCCATTGTACTGCAGCCTGGGTGACACAGTGAGACTCCATCTCAAAAAAAAAAAAAAAAAGTTGCTCTCCACAAATCCAGATAACAACAGAAAAGCATTTTCCAAAGTGTGTTCCTGTTAGAATAAGGTGACCATAAAATTAAAAAAAACAAAAACAAAAACGATTTTCTATGAAATTTTGGTTCTTTTTTATTTGATTCACTCATACCCTTGTTAGTTTCTTGAATTTTTATTGATCATCTCAGTTGACTAAAAAATTAAGTTTCAAGCTGTTTAATTTCTAATTTATCAGTCACCAAATTTGTGAATTCTTACTATATTCAAAGAACTATGGTAATTCAAACATTTCTTCCCACTGCCATTTCTTTCTCAGAGATTTTTCAGTGGCTCTTTATTGCTTGTAGAATAATAGCTTTAGAATGGGTGTCAAAGACATTTTTAAACTGGCCCTCTCCTTTCATTGTATCCCTCCCTTCATACCAAGTTTTGTCATATCACACAGTATTTTTTTTAATATACCTTACCTTCCTCTTTTTCAGAGCCACTTGCCATACATTTTCAGAAACTTGGTATTTATTGTAATATCTAATTTTTTGTTCAATTGATATTCTCTGTCTGAAATCTCACTCTCTTCTTAATCTTTCAAAATACTACCCCTACTTGTAGGTGCTTTTCAGATGGCATTTCTTCCTCAAGTTCTTTCACACTTCCTCTAGTTTAGAATTCTGTTTGCATTCCTCTATGATCTGATAACATTTTATTCATCTCTGTCTTATAAATGCATTATTTTATTATAATTAGTTCTTCATATGTTACATTTCTCTTCCTTTACTAGATAGTAAACATCACAGCAGGAATATACTCATCTAACATCCCACTCCCATCATAGTATTTTATAAATAGCAGGTTTTCATAAAAGAGGATAATATTCCAAAAAGAAGGAGTAGCAAAAGAAAAGATGCATAAGTGGGAATGGTAATATTTTTAGAAAAATTCCAGAAGTAAAAGAAATAAAAGGTTTCAAAATAACTGCCTATCTTTATAAACCAAATTAGTACATAACTGGAAAAACTGTCTGTGATAAAGTTTACAACAAGGGTGATAGAGGAACCCTGGAGTAGCAGTTGTCATGTGGGAAGAATGCATGGTTTTCTAAGCTGAATAGCATTCTCATACTTGGATTTTATCACTCGTCTAAGGAAAACATCCTGTCTAATATTTTATAGTAACAATTCTAAAGTTTTATGCACAACAAATGCTTAGTTTCCTTATTAACTTACCAAACTTGGTAATTTGTAATTAATCATGGTAGGATTTCAAACTAGAGAGTACCAAATTTCTAGTTCTGGCTTTAAGTAGAATTCTCAGATAAGCTATATGGTAGCAGAATTTTATCTCAAATTTAGTAGTTTTTTTTAATTAAATGAGAGAAAGGTAGAATATAATAATAGATTATTATAAGTTTTGAGTCTGACATTGACTTTTTTTAAAAATTTAAATTAATAGATCACAGTTGAAAACTTTGGTGCAACAGAAGTGAAAGAGCTGGTTCTAAATGGTGCAGACACAGCTGTTAACAAACAAAATCGGTAAGTGAATTTTAGCAGCAACAGTGGGAGTAATAAGATTCAGTAGACATTTTCTTCTGTACGTAGAAAACGTGTCACAACCCTAAGCTTTTACTCCAATAAAACTTTAATTTTGAGTGGTTAGTGAGGAAATAATCTGCCTTTTCCTCCTGAAATCCCTTGAAGACATTAAAACAAAGAGAAGGGAGAAGTGACAGCAGCAAACATTTTTGGAAGCCAGGAAACAGTAGTAACTAACTTAAGCAAACCAGAGAAAGCTACAACATGAGATGGAAAAGAGGAGTCACGAAGCCAGCTGGATCACTTCACAAAACAAAAGTTTGGGTGCTGAGAATAAAACATACCTTTAGAAAATGCATGGTGTTTGGGGAAATGCTAGAACTCTTATAAGAAGCAGTTAGAAACTAGTTTCCCATGCTAACATTGGATTTAAAACAACAACAGAAGAAATTAGTTTCCCTTAGCACACCAGGAATCTGGCAACTGCCCCTCTCTGGCCTGGGCAGGAGATTGGAAATTTACCTTCTGGAGAAATTGAACTAAAGAGACTGTGGGTTTGAGGACACCTGGACACTGCCACAGGTAAGGAGCTGAACTGAAAACAGGGAGATTAAGTGCTGAAAGTCTATAGCTCCCTCCTTCTTGGTACCGTATAGTGAAAGATCCTTTTCTGGGGAAACTGCCTAACATTTAAAATGTAAATCCATAGGCCCCGCACAGTGACTCACACCTGCAATCCCAGCACTCTGGGAGGCCGAGGCGGGCGGATCACGAGGTCACGACAACGAGACCATCCTGGCTAATGCAGTGAAACCCCATCTCTACTAAAAATACAGAAAATTAGCCAGGTGTGGTGGAATGTGCCTGTAGTTCCAGCTACTCGGGAGGCTGAGGCAGAAGAGTCTCTTGAACCCAGGATGCAGAGTTTGCAGTGAGCCGAGATTGTGCCACTGCGCTCCAGCCTGGGCGACAGAGCGAGACTCCGTCTCAAAAAAAAAAAAAAAATGTAAATCGATAGCCAAAGGTCAACAGACATTTAAGGAAAGGCCAAAACAGTCAAAAAGAATGGCAAGAAACCAGGAACCATGCAGGTTGAAGGACAAAACTTCAGAGGAAACCGAAATCAGTATCCTCAGAATGATGCGTGACATCCAGATGCATACAATTAAAAATGGAAAAAAAAAAAACTCATTTGAAAGAATTGGAATGAATGAAATCTGTCAAAGAAAATATTAAAAAAAAAAAAACTTCCCAGAAACGAATGACATCTTTTCAAGATTGAAAGCACGAGAAGTGGAAAAAAGATCAATACCAAGACAAGATACATGAAATTTCAAAATTTTCAGTCAAAGGGACCCTAAAACTGTCCAGAAAACCCACAGACCTAAGAATCAGTAACATCAGACACTGGAATCAAGGAACACTGGAAGCTAGAAGACCAAAATTTTGGGAGAAAATTACTTTTAACTTAGAATTCTGTATCCAAATTATCAAATGTGTGTGTTTAAAAACATTTTTATACATGCACAGTCTCAGAGAGTTTACTTCTGATGCCTTTTTCTCAGGAAGTTACTGGAGGATGTGTTCTGTCTACCAAAACAAGGAATTAAACCAAGAAAGAGGAAGACACAGGATTAAAAAAACAACCACCACCACCACCAGGATTCAAACAAGCAAAGATTCTTTCTGAAGGATCAATAACTGTGTCGATTTAGAAATAACAACTTGGGTTAGATCAAGAGGATGGAGGGCTCAAGGAGAGAAATAAATATCTAGTATTTTGAATGAATCTAGAGGAAATGGATATTTCTTTTGGAGAAGTTGGCGATGAATTAGCAAACTAAAGAAAACAGAAGTTCTTTTTAAGAGAAAAAGGGTAACCATAGAATACAGCTTAACTGTGAATAATATAGAAATGTTAACAAATATTGAACCAAAAATTGTTATATAAATATAATAGATGTACAGGGGAGTAGAAAGTGAATGGGACAATTACATTAAAGATTAATCCAAAGCAAATTGAAATTTAAGGAATAACAATAGAACTGTGTTGTTAGAAGCTTGAATATAAATATCAGAAGGAATAGCAAAAAGAGTTAAATAGTTGCCTTTTAATAGCGGGAATTTCTGGCAGAGAAGTGCAGGACAGAGTTGCTTTGTTCTCTTCTATTTTGTTACAATTCTTTAATAGTGGCTGTTGCCAGGGAGTTGGTCCAAAGGATTATAATCCTAATTCCGCTACTTAGATGCTTTATAACTTTAAATAAATTAGTTGATGTCTCAATGCCTCAGTGTCCTTCTCTGTTAAATGGAATGACAAATTATACTTACTTCATGGGGTTGAGAACTAGATGAGACAATATTTTAAGATACTTAGAATAAGAACTAGCACATGTAGTGCTCAGTAAATGTTGGCTATTAGGATTGTTACTATTTGATGTTTTAAACTCTTGATATGTCTTACTTTGATAAAAATAAAGCTGTTTTTAAAATGATGTGAAAAAATTTTAGGTCCTTCTAGATATCCTTGTTTTAAAAAAAAACTTGGTTCTGAAAGGCAACTTACCATTATTCCTATTGCAGAATCATCCTTTATTACTTGGAAGACAAAGATATAAAATAGTGAAATCTTCTAGTATCCATTCTCATTATTTGACCAGATAGCATCATAAAATGTTGTGGCTAGCAAAACAAAACAGATTGAATAAGATTGTGGTTCAAATTCAGGGGTTAAAGGGGCTTCTTTTTTTCTTTACAGTTTCGTTTTGTATCATAAGAGATAGAAGAGAATCAGAAGTGATTGTATATGTATTCACACGTACATTTGAAAAGAAACTACACTTGTACTCTTTAATGATTATCCTAAAAGAATGCTTAGTACCCTCTCTTAGGCATTTGTTAAAGTAAATTTTGTTCAGATTCCTTGGAACCCAAGGAAAAGAAGGCTATAGTTGGTCAAATGATCTGAATCCAAAGCTCTCATTTTTTTGTCACCTATTGTTTGTAACAGACATTCCTTTTAGGGATGCATGTGACATGATATATATAAATTCTCAATAACTTGTAAATATTTTAAAATTATTTTCATAGCCATTTGCATCATTCTGCCCATTAGGAAATGACATTTTTTCCATTAGGAATAGCCTAAGAATAACTGAATGCCTCATGGATACAGCTGATTTTTATATAGAAAGAATAATAGCTTTTTCCATAGTGACTTTGGTTTTGTCCTGTTTGAACGCTACTCATACATTCTCAGTTTCGTAGATATGTAGCAGAAATTGTAGGAGCACTTGAAGTTTTAATGACTACATTATGGATTCTTCATACATGATTTTTATAATCTGTACATGTGTGCTTTTTCATTTCTAGGCAAGAGTTTGTCGATGCTTATGTGGATTACATATTCAATAAATCAGTGGCTTCCTTATTTGATGCTTTTCATGCGGGCTTTCATAAGGTCTGTGGAGGAAAAGTCCTTCTGCTCTTTCAGCCTAATGAACTACAAGCAATGGTCATTGGAAATACAAATTATGATTGGAAGGAACTGGAAAAGGTAGGGGAAAACTAATCTCTGATATTGTTAAATGGAAAGATTTATATATGGAAATCTTGCCTTTTTATGTATTATTTTTTATTTTATACACTTTATTACTACCATTTTACAGGAAAGCACTCTACCCTTCAAACTCCACAATGAATGGATTTGAACGGTATATGAATTAGACACTATTATAATTGGTGGTATTGATATAGAAAACTCATCTGGCCAGGCACAGTGGCTCTCACCTATAACCCCAGCACTTTGGGGTGCTTAGGCGGGAGGATCACTTGAGGCCAGGAGTTCAACAGCAGCCTGGGGAGCACAGCAAGACCTGATCTCTAAAAATAACTTAGGCCAGGCGTGGTGGCTTACACCTGTAACCCCAGGACTTTGGGAGGCCAAGGTGGATGGATCACGTGAGGTCAGGTGTTCAAGACCAGCCTGGCCAACATGGTGAAACCTGTCTCTACTAAAAATACAAAAATTAGCTGGGTGTGGTGGCACGTGCCTGTAATCCCAGCTACTCAGGAGGCTGAGGCAGGAGAGTCTCTTGAACCTGGGAGGCGGAGGTTGCAGTGAGCTGAGATTGTGCCACTGCATTCCACCCTGGGCAGCAGAGCAAGGCTCTGTCTCAAAAACAAAAAATAAGTAAATAAAAGTAGATAAAAATAATTTTAAAAATTAGCCAGATGTGGTAGCAAACACCTGTGGTCCTACCTGTGGGAGGCTGCAGTGGGAGAATCTCTTGATCCCAGGTGGTTGAGGCTGTAGTGAGCCATGATTATACCACTGCACTTGACCCTGGATGACAGAGCAGGAGCCTGTCTGTCTCAAAAGAAAACAAAAATGTCATCTGTGACACAGCTAGATAGAAGCCCTAACCAAGCCAGGCGCGATGGCTCATGCCTGTAATCCCAGCACTTTGGGAGGCCAAGGTGGGCGGATCACCTGAGGTCAGGAGTTCCAGGCCAGCCTTGCCAACATGGTGAAACCTCGTCTCTACTAAAAATACAAAAATTAATCGGGTGTGGTGGCACACACCTGTAATCCCAGCTACTTGGGAGGCTGAGACAGGAGAATTGCTTGAACCTGGGAAGCGGAGGTTGCAGTGAGCCAAGATCGCGCCACTGCACTCTCCAAAAAAAAGCCCTAGCCAAAGCTGAATGGGTTTTCGTTCTGCCTCAGTCTTAGGAAAACCATCATGAAATGCAGTTATGATTTTTAAAAATCTTTGTTTCCTTTTTTTCTGATTAGTCTCAGTGTTACATTTTTTAGCAGAGTAATTATCAAATATTGATTCTGATAAACATTTAATAGAAAGTGCTGGCCCTGTGTGGTGGCTCATGCCTGTAATGCCAGCACTTTGGGACACCGAGGCGGGCGGATCACGAGGTTAAGAGATCGAGACCATCCTGGCCAACCAACATAGTGAAACCCCGTCTCTACTAAATATACAAAAATTTGGGCATAGTGTCGCACGCCTATAGTCCCAACTATCGAGAGGCTGAGGCAGGAGAATCGCTTGAACCCGGGAAGCGGAGGGTTCAAGTCAGTGAGATTGCGCCACTGCACTCCAGCCCAGGCAACAGAGCAAGACTCCATCTCAAAAAGAAAGAAAGTGCTAGGTTAAGCCAGGCATGGTGTCTCATGCCTGTAATCCCAGCACTTGGGGAGGCTGAGGCAGGCAGATCACTTGAGGCCAGGAGTTGGAGACCAGCCTGGCCAACATGGTGAAACCCCATCCCTACTAAAAATACAAAAATTAGCCAGGTGTGGTGGCACACTCCTGTAATACCAGCTACTTGGGAGGCTGAGACACAAGAATCACTTGAACCTGGGAGGCAGAGTGACAGAAAGTGCAAGGTTAGATCAGCTTTGAGGAAGATATATGTGAAATTAATCTGCTGATTTTCTATCTTTCTAATATACCATCCTCTGATTTATGCATTTATAATTAGTTAGATACTGTATACCTATTAAGATGACTAACATAAAAAAACAGAGCAGCACTTACCACTCTACTTTTTATGTCAGTCATATTAATAGGTGCAAAGCATCAGGAACATTTATATGTTGCCGATGGGGATACAAAGTGGTATAGTCACTTTGGAAACAGTGGCTGTTTCTTAAAAAGTTAAACATACATTTGCTATATGACCTAGCAGTCCTACTCCCAGGTATTAAATTATATTCACACAAAAATCTGTAAACCAAGGGGACAGAGTTTCAGTTTTACTAGATGAAATGAATTCTGGAGATGGTTGGTGGTACAACCATGTGAATGTAGTTAATGCTACTGAAGTGTACACTTAAAATGGTTAAGATACAAACTTTATGGTATGTGTGTTTTGCCTTAATTTTTAAAGACTTTTTTTTTTAATTTGCAAATGAGTGAAAAACTGGAAACAACTTAGATGTGCTTCAGTGGGTGAATGGGTAAACCTACTACAGTATACCTATTCAGCAGAATAACTACTAAGTGTTAAAAGGAAATGCACAGCTGGGCCGGGCGCGGTGGCTCACGCCTGTAATCCCAGCACTTTGGGAGGCCGAGGCGGGCAGATCACCTGAGGTTGGGAGTTCAAGACCACCCTGACCAACATGGAGAAACCCCATCTCTACTAAAAATACAAAATTAGCTGGGTGTGGTGCCTGTAATCCCAGCTGCTCGGGAGGCTGAGGCAGGAGAATCGCTTGAACCTAGGAGGCAGAGGTTGCAGTGAGCCGGAGATCGTGCCGTTGCACTCCAGCCTGGGCAACAAGAGTGAAACTCCATCTCAAAAAAAAAATGCACAGCTGGGTGTGGTGTCTCACACCTCTAATCCTGGCACTTTGGGAGGCTGAGGTTGGCAGATAGTTTGAACCCAGGAGTTCAAGACCAGCCTGGACAACATGATAAAACCCTGTCTCTACAAAAAATACAAAAATTGGCCCTTTATGGTGGCGTGCACCAGTAGTCCCAGCTACTCGGGAGGCTGAGGTGGGAGGATCCCTTGAGCCCGGGAGGTAGAGGCTGCAGTGAGCCCTGACTGCACTCTGTCATAGGCAGCAAAGCAAGACCCTGTCTCAAAAAAGAAAAAAAAGCACTATTGATACATGCAACAACTGGATGAATCTGAGGCTTTATGCTGAGTGAAAGAAGCCAGTTTCAAATGGTTGCATACTGTATGGCTCCATTTATGTGACATTCTTGAAAAGACAAAAAATTATAGTGAATAGAGACAAGGGGTTGAGTGGGAGGGTGTGACTTCAGAGGAGGTAGCACAAGAGGCATCTAAGAGCATAACAGTGATGGGACTGCTCAGTATCCTAATTGTGGCAGTGGTTACACAGATCTGCACATGTGCTTAGAACTTACAGAACTGTATACACCCCAGAATATAGCCAGTTTTACTGTGTAGTAATTTAAGGAATAAGATTTTAAGAATAATTAGGACTTCTAGTTAAACATTATGGAATAAACATGTCTGCTCCCTCCCAAAAATATCACTAGAATGACAGAAATGGAATAAAAATAGAAATATAAAATAAAAATACCAAAAAATAAAAATGCAATGAACAAGAGAAGAAATAGTTTTGGAAGACAGAAAGTAAGGAGATAAATTGATGAGTGACTTAGAGCAGAGGAAAATTGAATTCTAAGCCTCCAGAGGGACAGGATTGTCAGGAGGCAACTCTTTTTTTTTTTGAGATGGAGTCTTGCTCTGTCGCCCAGGCTGGAGTGCAGTGGCTCAATCTTGGCTCACTGCAGCCTCCGCCTCCCAAGTTCAAGCGATTCTTCTGCCTCAGCCTCCCGAGTAGCTGGAACTACAGACATGCCACTATTCCCGGCTGATTTTTTTATTTTTTTAGTAGAGATGGGGTTTCGCCATATTGGGCAGGCTGGTCTTGAACTCCTGACCTCATGATCCACTCGCCTCGGCCTCCCAAAGTGCTGGGATTACAGGTGTGAGCCACCGCTCCTGGCCCGAGGCAACTCATTTTATATCCTAGAATCTGAAAGGCTCAAGAATTGGTATACCATGTTACCCTTAATGGCAGGGATGAAGGTTGGACTAAGGGCAACAGAATTACTTTAAAGCCATTTTAAAGAATAATTGGACCATGCATGTCCCCTCTCCTACCCAGCAAAAGACAGCTTGGGAGAGAGGCTTTACAATTTGGGAAACAAGGTAACACTGAGGATGCTACACAGCTGGTAGCCAGGTGTAAATCCTTCAGGAAGGAGATTGAAGGTTCTTGTGTAGTAGTAAATTGATCTTCTCAAAAGAAGAAGCCTGTAGATACTAACTCTAAGGGGTCCCCCAGTGGAAATGGACTCCACCTCTAATCACCTTAAAATGAAAATGATATAACAGCTTCTCATCACCCTTTAGATCCTACACAATTTTTCCCTCCTTGCCTCATCTCCTGTCATTGTTCCTCTCACTCTGCCTCAGCCTTATTAACCTCTGCTGAGCCTAGAACCCTCCAGGCACACTCCAGTCTTAGGGCGTTTGTTTCCTTTTCCAAGTGCCTGGAATTCTCTTCCCCTGATAATCACAAAAGATTCTTGCTCTCACCTCCTTTGTGTGTTTATACCTTCTCAGAGACCTTCCCTGGATAACTGATCTAAAATTGCAAACCTCTCTCCTGCACACGTATCCTGTCTCCCCTCGCTGTTTTATTTTGCTTCTTTGGATTTGACATAATTTTACTTAGGTTGCTCCTTCCCCCCACCACAATGTAAGCACCATGAGGGCAGAATTTTTGCCTCTTTGTTCACTGCTGTATTCCCAGCACCTAGGAGAGCACTCAGTAAGTACTTGAAACCTTGCCTGAAGTGATAATTGATTTAAGTGTTCATTCAGTTAAGACAGGACATCTTAAAAAGTATATTGTAGCGGCCGGGCGCAGTGGCTCATGCCTGTAATCCCAGCACTTTGGGAGGCTGAGGCAGGCGGATCACGAGGTCAGAAGATCAAGACCATCCTGGCCAACATAGTGAAACCCCCGTCTCTACTAAAAATACGAAAATTAGCTGGGTGTGGTGGTGTAGGCCTGTAATCCCAGCTACTCGGGAGGCTGAGGCAGGAGAATCGCTTGAACCTGGGAGGCAGAGGTTGCAGTGAGCCAAGATCGTGCCACTGTATTCCAGCCTGGTGACAGAGCAAGACTCTATCTAAAAAAAAAAAAAAATATATATATATATATATATATATATATATATATATATATATATATATATATGGTGTATTTATTCTTAACACTTTGATTTCTTCTGTTGTATATCTGATTCATTACAATTTTAGTGATTATGATTTGGAGCTTTAAATGTTCTTTCTTAATCAGGACATGTGTGCACATTTCTACCAAACCATTTAGAGATTTAAAAGAAAAAAAAACTTTAGCCATCCTCTTTTCATTCCCCACTAACATGCTCACAGACTTTAATTCAAACAGTTGAATAAATTCCATAAATTCCATGCTAGAATTCAAGCTGTTTTCTTCAAACTTGTGTGCAACTAACAGCAAATATTTTGCATATTTGAATTATTGAGAGTTCAGTGATTAAGATAAATCATGGCTACAAATAAGGAAAGTCCAAAATTCAAGAAGCCCATTAGCAAGTATTTATTGAGCCTCTACTGTGTGCCGGATAATGTACAGCTGAAACCATGCAAGAGATTGAAGAGAGGGCAGGAAATAAGATAGAGACATGGTCTTTGCCCTAATAAGAGAGCTAGAAATTAAATGTTTAATACACAGTTTTAATTAATACAGTGAAAAAGAGTTTAGTGAATGGTGCGTAAGGAGGAGCCTGATCTAGGCTAGATGAATCTGGGAACGCCTCTTACTAGACGGTGAGCTCCACAAGGTAAGTGAGGATTCTGTTCACTGAGGTTTTCCCAGGGCCCAAAACATTGACTAAAACTCATTATATATTTGTTGGATGAATCAATGAATGAATTAGATGGCATTTAATCTGAGCCCTAAAAGGGTAAAAATTAGCCTGATGACCAAAGAAGAAAGGATGTGTCTGAGTGGTGTAGGCTGAGGGAACAGTATGTCCAAAGGACCTGACGCATCTGAAGAACTGAAAGTTAAAGCCAACTGCGGCTGGATAAGAACAGTTCACAGTATAAACTATTTCCTCTCTACTTCCTACCTGCTTCTCTTTTAGTACTAATTTTTTTGTTTTTTTTTTTTTTTATTTTTTATTTTTTTTATTGAGATGGAGTTTCGCTCTTGTTGACCAGGCTGGAGTGCAATGGCACAGTCTTGGCTCACTACAACCTCCGTCTCCCAAGTTCAAGCGATTCTCCTGCCTTAGCCTCCCCCAAGTAGCCGGGATTACAGGCGCCTGCCACCATGCCCAGCTAATTTTTGTATTTTCAGTAGAGATGGGGTTTCACCATGTTGGCCAGGCTGGTCTGGAACTCCTGACCTCAAGTGATCTGCCCGGCTTGGACACCCAAAGTGCTGGGATTATAGGCGTGAGCCACCGCGCCCGGCCAGTACTAATATTTTTGACAGGGGAGATATTTTAGTCCTATTGCAGCAAATTACCCCAAAACTTATTGGCTTCAAAATAACAATGAAACTCTTGTTTCATAGTTTCTGTGGGTCAGGAATTCAGGAGTGGCTTAGCTGAGTAGTTTGGGCTCAGGGTTCCCTCATGAAGTTGCAGTCAGAATATTGGCTGGTGCTATAGGCATCTAAAAGCATGATTAAGGATAGAGATTCACTTCCAAGGTGGCTTACTCACATGACTGTTGGCAGGAGGCCTCAGTATAGCACCATGAGTACTTCTCTCCATATAGGGATGTTTGAATATCCTCATGAAATGACAACTGGTTTCCCCCAGAGTGAGTGATCCAGAAGAAGGGCTGAAGCCATAGAGGTTTTTTTTTTTATGATTTAGTCTCAGAAGTCATACATTCCTCATATTCACAGTATCCTTATACACACGGGCATGAATACCAGGAGGCAGTGCTCACTGGTGGCCATCTTGGAAACTACCTCAGAAAATTTTTAGTGTTGCTTAGTACCATATTTTTAAAAGGAGAGATAAATTGTAATGGTTTGACTTCTGTTCATGAATACAGAGAAAGGGAATTTTCTGATTATCACAGATAATTCCATGTCAGACTTTTGATGGTCCTATAACATTATTTTATCTAGTTTCTCTTTATTTACTTTTGAAGATGATAGTATGATCCTATCATGTTCTTTGAAGTGCTAGGAAAGATTTCTGGTGATTCTTACGTATTTCTTCTTTTTCTCCTGGAACTAATAGCTTCAAATTGTAAATGTCCAGAAAACAGTGGGCAATCCATTGAATTGCACAAGTTGCAAACTACTGGACCATGTTAGCTTTATGTGCTAATATATTAGCCAGTGTGTCCCTTAATACTAATAAAAGATTATGTTGTTTTTAGAATACAGAATACAAAGGGGAATATTGGGCAGAACATCCTACGATAAAAATTTTTTGGGAAGTATTTCACGAATTACCATTGGAAAAGAAGAAACAGTTTCTGTGTAAGTATTTCTAACTAGTTGTATACTTTATGAGACTGGAATCTAATTATAGTATTATTCCAAAGCCCTGTTTTAATCTTCAAGTAATTTTTTTGAAACAGAACTATCTGCACTCTTCAGTACATGTATTTTCTTATTTCAAAGGCTAAATTCAGTTTGCCTTCAAAATAGCATTGATTCATTCTATGAAGTAAAATGGAAGCTAACTTGGAAATGAAAGCAAACTATAGCTATGTTATAGTTACAATAAACTGTGGTTACAATAAACTAGGATTGTAGAATTCCTTTTAGATTTCTAAAAAGATCTCTGGAGTATAGTCATCCTTTGGCATACATGGGGGATTGATTCCAAGACCTCCCTGCCAAGGATACCCAAATCCAGTAGATGCTCAAGTTTCTTGTATAAATTGGCATAGTATTTGCATATAACCTACACATATCCTTATACTTTAAATCTTCTCTAGATTACAGTCATGTGCCACATAATGACTTTTCAGTGAATGACAGACCATATATACGATAGTGGTCCTGTAAGATTATAATACAGCTACTGTACCTTTTCTATGTTTAGATACACAAATACCTACTGTTATGTTACAGTTACCTACAGAATTCAGTACAGTAACATGCTGTACAGGTTTGTAGCCTAGGAGCAATAGGGCTATATCATGTAGCCTAGGTGTGTAGTAGACTATATACTGTCTAGGTTGTGTAAATATATGATGTTTACAGAATGAAATCACCTAATGATGCATTTCTCAGAACATATCATCATCGTTAAGTGACACATGAATGTACATGTTATTAATACCTCATACAATGTAAATGCTATGTAAATAGTTGTTATACTGTATTGTTGAGGGACCAATGTCAAGAAAAACAGTTGACACATTCAGTACAGTCACAAGCATCCATTTTTTGAAAATATTTTCGATTTGCAGTCGGTTCAATCCATGGATACAGAGCTCACAGATACGGAGGGCCAACTGTATTGCTCTTTTCTCTGTTTGGTCTTCATTTTCTTTTTCTTTTTCTTTTTGCTTCAAGACTAAAACTTTGGCAATTTCTATATAAAATAAAGCTTTTTCAGGCCTTAGTTCCCTCATTTATAACTGATGCCTGTGTATCTTTCTTCTGTTAAAGTCTGTATTCTAATTGAAATTTGACTTATTTTTAAAGTTGTCAGAATTTATGTGTCCAAATCGGTGACATTTCCTTTGATACTCCTGCTTTTGCCAGGAATGATTTGGCAACCTCCGAGAATCTTGGTCAAATTCTTCTGTGTGTCATAAGGATGAGAAATCATTACTCTTTAAGAGTGATTTGAGCCTGGGCAACATGGCAAAACCTCATCTCTATAAAAATTAGCCCTGGGCTTGGTGACTGTGCTCCCAGCTACTCCAGAAGCTGAGGTAGAGAGGATTGCTTGAGCCCAGGAGGTCGAGGCTGCTGTGACTGTGACCGCACACTGCACTCCAGCCTGGGCAACTGAGCAAGACTCGTCTCAAAAAAAAAAGAATGATTTGAATTTTGGCTGCCCATTATAAATTTCTGATTTAAAAAAAATAACAGAAACGAAGCAAATAGAAAAAGAAATCATAATCAAAACTGCATTTTGTATTTGGTTTGTCAACTAGTTCTGAATGGCTTTTCCAAAAAAGGGCTCTCAAAATGTTTTGGCAATGGCAAAATACTCACTTATCAAACATTTATTAAGCACTTCCTTTGTGCCAGTATTAAGATTATACTTTTAAAGAAAAAATATTGTGTGGATGAGCAATTAGAATGTGTCTCAAAAAACTTGTCTTCCACAAATTAGGAAGTAAGATAACACGTTAGAGCAGATGTTAAAGTGAAGCTCTGCTGTAGCGACTGTACCAAATATTACTTGCTACTGTATCTTTTTGTTTTGAAGTGGTTGACTGAATGATTTCTTTCTTGGCAGTATTTTTGACAGGTAGTGATCGCATTCCTATTCTTGGTATGAAGAGTCTGAAACTAGTCATCCAGTCCACAGGAGGTGGTGAGGAGTATCTCCCAGTTTCCCATACTTGTTTTAATCTTCTGGATCTTCCAAAATATACAGAAAAAGAAACTCTACGCTCTAAACTGATCCAAGCTATTGATCACAATGAAGGCTTCAGTTTAATATAACTTTGGAGTTATAACTATTCAGTTTAGTGCAAAAGCATTAAACTATTTGTGTTTTTCTTGTGGTGATGAATTCAGCAAGGTGACAGAGGTACTATTATAATTCTTACTTGCAGAATGTTCAATCTACGAGTGTTCATGGAAGCCAAAAAATATTAAAGGAAAATGAACAAACTGTTAATATTATTGTACAGAACCATGGATTTTTTTTGACCATCTTCTAATAAACATAGCAAGTATTATGAATACATTAAAGTTTTACTAACATGAATTTTAAGAGTTTGCATATTTCAGAAATGATCTGGTGTGAGTGCATGGAAATATTGCTTAATTTTTCTTCAATCATTGAGTGAAAAACCTTTAACTTTGGCCTGCAATAGTCATTTGATTATTTTTTCATTTTGTAAATAATGTTAAGTTTTGTAATAAAATAGTTATGTTCTGATACCAGTACAGTTTCTATGGTTGTAATTGAACTTGAACAGACTTTTAAAGGTTAAAAATTATGATTTAAATCTTACTCTGAGACTCTATAAAAAGAAAAAAAAGGTAGCATGGTGGAAACACTATCTTTTCTTTTTTGCTAGAATAAGTGTCTTTGTGCAAACCTAAATCACAGATAGGGAATATACTACATAACCTGCAGTTCTTTTCTTTGTGAATCCTGACACACTGATAGATGGGGGATTGTCGATCAGAGAACTTATTAATATTTAGTACTGGAAGAACTCTGTCTCCACAGTTGCCAGTAATAAAAAGAAACATTGGCTACTATGAGCACCAATCACTGGGTTATAGCTTTCAAAATTATTGATGCTGCAGTGCTTTAGAGCTATTTCCTTGAATTTAAGAAACAAATCTTAACAGTTTTATGGTGCTGATGCTTAGTTGTCTCATGCCATTAAATTGTAAAAGTGAGTTGATGCAATACATGTGACTTTCTGCTATAATGCAAATATTTATTTTTTAAATTTATTTTAAAATGCCGTGAAAACTGTTTAATAAAGATTTATTGTTTTAATATTTAAACTTTCAGTGGTTCTCATATAAGAGTCAAAATTTTTCAAAAAGAGGGATGGTTCAGGGAAGGTCTCTTAAATTTCGGATGACTTGTTTCTATTCCTACATGAATTTATAGAGGTCCACAGTCTCTTAACCTGCAATTCTAAAATTTAAAAAAACTGAAAAGAATATTGTCATCTCTCACTTTGCAGAAAAACCTGATCTGAATTGTTGAAGCTATTTATGGTATTCACTAAATAAGACTATGACCGCTATTGGGTGCTTTAAAAAATTCTTCAGAATTCACAATTCCAAAATGCAAATAAGCCCAAGGGGTTGGATAAGGGATTGTGGACTTGTACTTTTCAGTAGATTAACTTAAAAAACTATTGGCGAACCATAGAACTCTTCTATAGATAGAAGCACTAAAACAATATTCTCACCTAAGGTACTTTGTCTCAAAGTAGTAGCATTCTTCCCCATGAGAGTGTTTCCACATACCTGATATTATACCATTTTCCCTGTTCATCCACTTCTTGAGGTAGTAATTATTCAAATCAAAAGCATGTCAGATGCTCTTTCTCAATAGTAGTAACCTTTGTATATTATGAAGCTGATTTGTGAAATAGCAGGCACTTTGGATTAATAGTTCCATGAACAAATATTTTAACAAGAGAATAGCATCTGGGAGCACACTGTACAAAGTTTAATTTGGGGACTTTTCCTCCCTGTTACTCCAGAACTGTGATACAATGTATTAACAGCAAGGAGATTCATGGTAGAAAGTTAAAATACCATTGAAGATTTCTGAAATTGCCACTTACTTTTAAAAAACAAGAAGAAGTCTCGAGCTTTGTAGATCAGAGCAGCAAGGCTGCAGATCATTTGCTAAATTGTAGGGACTATGATTATTGAGTTGGCTAAATACTGAAGTATTTGGCCTCCACACATCTATTTGTAAGGTACAAATACATAGTGTGTGTGTAGCTCTCCTGTCTTAGTAGTCATTCAAGCTATTAGCCATTGTTCAGGATGATTAATAAGACAGCAGAACCAAGACACTCCTTTCAATTAAAAGGAAATAAAACCAGAATGCAGGCTGGGCGTGGTGGCTTACACCTATAATCCCAGCACTTGGAAGGCTGAGGTGGGCAGATGGCTTGAGTCTAGGAGTTCGAGACCAGCCTGGCCAACATATTGAAACCCTCTCTCTCTCTACTAAAAATACAAAAAATTAGCCGTGCATGGTGGCAGATGCCTGTACTCCCAGCTACTCGGGAGGCTGAGGCAGGAGAATCACTTGAACCTGGGAGGCGGACGTTGCAGTGAGCTCAGATGGCGCTACTGCACTCCAGCCTGGGCGACAGAGCAAGACTTGTCTCAAAAAAATAAAAATAAATAAAACAATAAAACCAGAATGTAGGTGTAAAAACTGAGAGACCTAAATTAGATTCCCACGGTTAGCCTTCTCATAGGATCTGTTCCTAAGGACCATTCATTGGGGTCAATTTTTACTATCAGGTTGCTCTTCCTTACAGCTTTTTACTACATTTAGTAAAGCTGTGAATCAAGGTGTAATATGGCATAGAGCAGTCTTCCCCTGAAGAGTGCATGGTAAGCCTGCTAAAACAAGAGCAAAATATTCCTGTCATCAGTCTCTTCCTCCACTCCCCAACCTCTTTTGCACTTTGACCATCCAGAATGCCTTATGGTAGTTTTGTCCTCCTTTGCTGAAGAATTCACTCTATTTTGATAACTCCCTACTCTGCTGTATTTGCTTATGAACCCCAAATTACCTAATTTATGAAGCATTTCTAGGTAAAATTTGGGAATTGAGGCTAATGTAAGTTAACCTCCTTTTTTAAGCCAGCCCTAAGGAGTGTATGTTAAAAGTCATCAAAACAGAGCTCCTCAATTCTTTTCCAGCTAAGGGTGTTTCTCAAATCTGGCTATACTTTTGAATCGCCTGGGGGCGTTTTTAATACTCTGCACAAACCCCACCTTACACCAATTAAATCTGTATTTCTAGGAGGTCTCAGGCTATTCTTGCTTTTTAAAAGTTTTCAAGTGGTTTTTAATAGTCTCATTTGACAGTCACTTCAAAAGGTGGGGAGGTCATTAGACCATTTTTCTGTACTTTCTACTAGTATCCTAGTTTGAGCTGAAGGCCTAGAATGGCTTTAGATCTTTGGGGGAGAGGTTTTGGTGTACATACATATACATACTCCCCCACCCCTTTCTAGATTACAGGTCAGAAGTTGTGTTTCAAATAAAGCTTAGTTGGGGATTATGTAAAACACCATTGATTGAAGGTCCACCGTCATTTTATGTACCACTACAAAAAAAAACGCTAATTAAACCATGTGACATTAATTAGGGTATTACAATCAGTGAAATACAGTACATGCTGCATTAGCCAGTGGTTCAGCAATAACGTTATGCATAGGGCTTGAGTTAAATTAGGTTTTGCCAAATACCTTTTGACCACTTAAATTGACTATGTACCTTTAAAAGTATCAACTACCTGACTTCTTCAATTTGTGCATATATAGAATGTTCCTTAATTTTGTAATATTTTGAGGATATCATCTTACAGGTAATTTCTCTAGTGCTAACAATATACAGGACAGGTCTACCTAGAAAGTTTGCTGGGGAGGGAGGCAGAACTGGGAACAGGAAATTGCTAAAGCTTTATTCATTACATATACTTTTTTGTTCTTTGAGACGGAGTCTTGCTCTGTCACCAGGCTGGAGTGCAGTGGCGCGATCTTGGCTCACTGCAGCCTCCACCTCCTGGGTTGAAGCGATTCTCCAGCCTCAGCCTCCCAAATAGCTGGGACTACAGGTGCCGCCACCACACCCGACTAATTTTTGTATTTTTAGTAAAAACGGGGTTTCGCCATGTTGGCCAGGCTGGTCTTGAACTCCTGACCTCAGGTGGTCCGCCCGTGTAGGCCTCCCAGAGTGCTGGGATTACAGGCGTGAGCCACTGCACCCGACCAAGTTACACATACATTTTAAGGGGTACACTGCTGGCCTCTTCAGTAATACTTTCGCCCTCAAAACCTTTAATGGCTTAAGTAGGTTCTCAGGTCAGCCTCAGAAAGTTGATACCAAATGTGGTCTGCAGTCTTCAGACTTGAAAGACCTAGCATCCCAGAACAGATTTTCAGTTAACCCAGCCTTTGCATCAGATGGATTTTCACTATCCACCACTTCCTGTTCTCTCTCAAATCCCAAACTCCTGGTCCTTTATCATAGGACATGTCACATCCTTCTTAGGCCCTGCCCTGCCTTTTCTCCATGTTTTACTTGCTCAGGCCTCTAGCCTAGAATGGCTGAAATAGTTTTTGAAATGCTTGGTGGTGATGCATCACCTGCTACGATCAGCACCATCAGGGTTTTGCAAGTACTGGTCTGGTGAGACTAATGTAATAAACCAAATGAAGAAATGTAGTATGAGAAAGAAAGCATCTAATACTATAGCATTCGAAGCTGTACAAATTCTGTAAGACTTAAAAATTATATACCTTAAACAATGTAAGTTAACAGAAAAAAGTCAAATGACAATTTTAATAGACTTTAAAACAGTGTACAAGTAAAAAACACTGGTTTTGTATTTCAAAAGTTGAAGGAAGATATCCAGTCATTAAACAGTCTACAAAACATATGCCAGTAAATTACATAAAAGACTATGTACAATATAAAAAGAGCTGAAAACAGTCTTCACTGTAAAAATAATTTAAAACAAACTTTTCAATTTAAAATATCATCTATAGCACACAAACATCATGCAAATGGAAAACTAAATATACTGCATTCTTTAGTGTAGCCAAATAAATTCAGATTGAGACATCTTATAAGTAGGGAAATGGCCATTCAATACGATTTTTTTCTCTGGCAGTAATGGTCCTAGCTGGGTGTTTTATGCATAAAGAACAGCTATATTTCAAACCCTTTTTATTGTAATAAATACTAAAGCAACAGAGGAATACTTTATTAATTTAGGAGTGATGTTCAAAAATGGTCTGAAAAATAAATGCTTACTGTGCAATTTCATAAAGTATGAACTTCTTGAAAGACTAGAAGCTTTTGCAGCTGAGAAAGTTGATCTCTAGTTTTAAGGCAGGCTAAGCTTTTAAATAAAGATAAATTATAAGAACTAGTTTCATTCATTAACTATTCTGCTATTACAAGTTACATCATCATGTTCATCTCCATAATACTAGGGCTAGCAGTTTGGTATTTAACACCAAATCCTCCCAATGGGAGACATGTACTTTCTGGCTGAATTACAATTAACATCTTATTACTTTGGAACTGTATAATCAGGGGCCTGTTGCTCTCCTCATTAATGGAAAACAGCAGTCCAAAATATTACACTCTCCCCAGTAGAAGTACCATTATTATAGATTCAGAAAGGCTTTGCATATTCACATTTTGGCAGTTTAATACTTGTGGAAAAGATCAATGCAAGCTCTACCACAGTGATAGGTATTTAAACAACAATGGCAAATATTTCAAAACTAAGGGGATCCAGGCAGGCACTAATGTTTCTAAAGCAACTGAAACATTTCCAAAGCATTTATTTGTTTTTCAGGTTAGTTTTATGAGCCAATATAGACATTGCTACATGTCCACAGGAAGTACAAAAGCCATCTTCATTTGAACGTAAATACAATAATCCTGAAATTCTTAGCACCAAGTATTACTTTTAAAAGTAAAGACAACCGAGTGCTCTCCCCACATATTGTTGACTTCCTTCTACTCACACTGCATGTCATTTGAGATTTTAAAAAGTTAGCTGCCACAGTTTTGGAAAATGCCAGTGTTTAAAAATAATTGTGTTAAAGAATCAAAAGTTTAGCGTAACAGATTTTGAGTACTTCAAACCATTCAATGTTACAAAGAAAAGTGAAAATACCATTCTTTGGTCTAGATTAGCTGTTCCCTTTACATTAATTTAACATTCCGATGGCTTTTTGAAAACTTTAAAAATGTTGAAACTCACTAGACAAAACAAAAAAAATTATATATACACATATGAATTTATCATACAAATGAACCTTTAAAAGAAAGTTAGTCTTGACCAACAGCTGATTGAAGATACTTAGTACCTTTTTTTTTTTAAAAAAAAAAAAGTTAGTGTTGAGTTTGTACAAGTACAGAAATAATGAAGTTAAAAATTATCCATGAAAAACAATCTATTTTACCAACCTATAAATATTACACCTTTCTGGTTTCCTTGCTCTATCGAGTTCACAAGTAAACATTCATTTTGACATGCTAAAGTTCCTAATGCTGGTGGAACAATTCCTGTACCTGCACAATTATTACACTATGATTTGTTTGATGGATAGTTCATGTCTGTTACTTCCTGTTTCACAGATATAGCTTCATTAATTGCCTCTTGATCATCTCCATCAGTCCCAAATCCAGCTCCTCCAGCTCTCTCTGGAACATCAGGCTCATCTTCTAAGCCATTGTAGAATTCTTCAATTTCACTTTCATCCTCCATGGGTTCTTCTAAACTTGGACTCTGGCATGTCCCACTATCACTGTTACTGCCACAAGAACTAGAGGATAAGACGTCATCTTCAGAGTCTGAATATACCTCAGCGCCATGGAAAATGTAACGATTTGGTGGCAAAAACAGATACTGATTACCTGAAATACAGTAATAAAAATGTTACTTTCAGTTTTCTAACACTAACTCAGTCTGAGCAGTCTGGAATGAAGTGTGGGTTCCAGCTCTGCCTTTATTATAAGTGTCCTTATGAAAGACTACTATTAGTGTTTAAAAACAACTGGGAGGCATGGTGTGCCTGCAGTCCCAGCTACTCAGGAGGCTGAGGCAGGTGGACTGCTTGAGCCCAGGAGTTCAAGGGCCAGCCTAGGCAACAGAGTGAGGCCCTGTCTCTTAAAAATTAATTAATTAAATAAATACAAGCAATACACTTAGTCCTGGGTTCAAATCTTAGTTCTGCCATTTATTGTATCTTTGTAAGTGTACCTCTGTGCCTCAATTTCCTCATCTAGAATATGAAATAAATTTTCACAACCCTATGAAGGAGGGAAGTGTGAAAAATGTAGAAAACCATATTCAATAAAGGTTATTTCACCAATTATTTTAAAAAGATTTGATGAAAATGAAGTATCCAGCCCAGCCTACATTAGATACCCAATTTGTGTTAAGTAGCTTCTCTAAAGTACACAGGCTTTTAAAGCATCTTCATTAACTATTTTAACTTTTTTCTGATTATAAACCTAAAATATTTTGTCAATAATGTAGTCACCACAAATTCATAGTGTACTCTGTAGACACTGTGAATCTACAGTATCACCTGTGAACCTAAATTTACATTCACCCGAGATCTCAGGCCCCAAGACCCACCTACTGCTTCAGAATGTGTGTGTATATACACATACAGTCTAAGACGCTTTTGAAAACTCCTCTAAGATGTAATGTGAATCCATGAATACCAATGAAGTTCTTTCTACAGCACACCAAATCAATCCTAGCTTGGCCATTTGGGGTTTAAGTGAAAGAGTAGGATCCCTAAAAACTGATGGAAAAGTTTTCTATCCTTGAATTCACAGTATGTCCCTAACTTAACATCTCTTCACACATAATAGATGTAGTATTTATTGTACCGTATCCCAGACGAATTCTCAAAAGCCTGGTTACCACACTGGTAGGTGGCCTATCTCAAGTTCTCTCCAAAGTGGCTCTCGAACTTTTTCATACTGCATCATGACCCAGTTCTCACCCTGACTACAACCTGTGTGACAACTCTGACCTGAATCCCTAAAATTTCACAGTCCACTACAAATCACTGTGAAAACCACTTATTTCCCTCTATTACAACAGACACATAGTACTCATGAGTTTCCCAAGACACCACAGGCAGGGCACAGTGGCTTACACCTGTAATCCCAGCACTTTGGGAGGCCAAGGCTGGCAGACTGCTTGAGCCCAGGAGTTTGGTATCAGCCTGGGCAATGTGGCAAGACCTTGTTTCTACAAAAACTAAAAAAAAAAAAAAAAAAAATAGCTGAGCATGAGGGCATGCGCCTGTGGTCTCAGCTACAGCTACTCTGGAGAGTGAGGCAGGAGAATCGCTTGAACCCGGGAGGCGGAGGTTGCCGTGAACCGAGATCACACCATTGTACTTCAGCCTGGACAACAAGAGCAAAACTCCGTCTCAAAAAATAAATAAATTTAAAAAAAAATGACTGTTCCAGGTTAACTCTGTTTCCTGGGCAAAGAGATTGTCCGTTTGACACATCTGTCAAAATGACATTCAAGAAAAGTTCCCAGTGCAAGTCTTAGTGCATAGGTAGACTTTGTATACGCTAGAGACAACTGTGTATCTAAGTCAGTAGCAATTTTTCTACTTTCTGACTTCTGCCACGATTTGCAAACGTAAGCATCCCTCTATGCTTTTTCTAGTTTCCCCTGTGAACACGTCTGCTCTTTTTAAATCCCTACTTATTGTTAAATATTTTGCTCCTTAGAAAGCCTTCTGTAATCTAATCTCCAAGTAGAATCTACCTTTTGGGGCTGGGCGCCGTGGCTCACGCCTGTAATTCCAGCACTTTGGGAGGCCGAGGTGGATGGATCATGGGGTCAGGAGTTTGAGACCAGCCTGACCAACATGGCGAAACCCCGTCTCTACTAAAAATACAAGAATCAGCCGAGCAAGGTGGCGCATGCCTGTAATTTCAGCTACTCAGAAGGCTGAGGCAGGAGAATCTCTTGAACCTGGGACGCAGAGGTTGCAGTGAGCTGAGATCGTGCCACTGCACTCCAGCCTGGGCGACAGAGTGAGACTCCGTCACAAAAAAAAAAAAAAAAAAAAAAAAAAAAAATCTACCTTTTGTGTGATGTTTTGTTCAAAACAATAATAAAGTACTTTGTTCTTCAGCAGCACCTATACCAAAGTATTAATGAGTATCACTCACATTTATAATTATACACAACATTAATCACTGTGTCTCCATAACTTACCACAGTGCCTAATATGAAAAAGGCCAAAGGTTTATTCAACTGAACTAAAATGTATTTACAGCAAATGACTGGAATACTCAAATACAGTTGTCTAAAATTTGTCAGTTTTCGCCAAGTATGGTAAATGGAATGAGACTTAAAGTTCTAAGTTATATAAGACTGTTATAGCTAAGTTACAGTGGTTTTCTTTTTTTTAACATAAGTTAGGAATTTCCACCATACAGACTACTTGGACTTAAAACATCGGCTTCCAAAGAGTAGAAAGTGATTTCACATGTCAGTTAACACTTATTGATAAAGACTATGCATGTTCTAAACAGGGTAGAAACTATTCCTATATTCAGTGGAGAAGAATCACGCGTGTTTTTTCTAAGTCCTCAGAGAAAACAAAGATGTGTTCTACATCTGAGACAACACCGCATAGTAGTTAAGGGGGCAGGCTCTAAGCATAAATAGACTGGATTTTAATCTGGTTCTTCCACTTCTTAGTAGTTACTGTGCATGAGGTATTTAACCTCTATGGTCCTGAGTTTTCCCACCTGAAGAAGAGTAATAGTTCCTACCTCAGATTAAAATCAGGTAACATATGTAAAGCAGCTGACCTACAGTAAGCACTCAAATCTGTCATCATTTCTGCCAGCTAATAACCCATTCTTATTTTTCCATCCCCTAGAGAAACACAACATACAGAGCACTATTAAACACTTCCTTCTCCATATCATGTTAAGATACCAGAAGATTTACCTTTCTGATTACGAACTGTACAGTTTCTCTAAACAGAATCAACTACATAAAGCTACCCTATCGATTAACCTGCCGAAATAGCTAATTTTTTGGAAATACTGTTATGACATTTATACTTTCAAAATGGTCCGACTGCCTTTCTTACCATCAAGCCGCCTACTAATCTGCTCCTTTGCCACTCTATTAGGCCAGCATTTTCTCACTGTTCCAGCCACTGAAGTTCTTTCATTTTTCTCCCCAGTACTAGAACCAACATTCTTCAAATCCGGATTTTCCATCTGTTCAGCAATACTTTCAACATTCCTAGAAGTTTGTACTTCCTGTGGTTTTTCTTCCATACAACCTTTTGATTCAGACACATCTAAATCATCATTACTCTTAGCTGCTTGGTCTAAAAGTGTGACAATCACTGAAGAATCTGGTGGTGAAGTTCTTTCTGGTGAACTTGAGTCTTCTGAAACATGAAGAGGTGTGGGTGGCAACTCTGACAAATAAGCCAATTCTTTTTGTGTTCGTGGAGGTTTTTCAGTAATTTCTGAAAGCTTTACAGGGTTACAGCAAAGTTTGGCATATTCACCACCTAACCTATGACACAATTCATTAATTATGACATCACAGTCTCCAAGAAGCTCTACATCAAAATGCAGATGAGGCAAAGGTTCTCTATTAATTAATATCTGAGGCACTTCATGGGGTATGGAACCTAAAATAGGGTGAAAAATAAGAGTTAGAAAAAGGGAGGAGGAAGTAAGCTAATAAAACCACAACAGATACATTATGCAAAAATCCAACAAGGGCTTGAGCTCCAAATTCCCAAAAAAGACCCATGCACTAAATACTTAACCAAGCCATTACATTTCATCAAGCAAGCAGATGGGCAGTTAAGTGTCTTTTATAAAACGCTCAAGTTCTGCTCCTATCACCTGGTTACCCCTGAGCAATCTTCCCAGACTTTCCCACTCTGAACCTCAAATTTCCTTGTCTGCAGAATGGGGATGATAATAGTACTTCTCCACAAGACTGTGGTGAGGATTAAATGAGTTAGTCAAGTGCACAGAAGAGTTCTTGGTACATAAATGTTCTACTTAAGTAGCTCCTGATATAAAGAAGGTGAGCTGGGTACAGTGGCTCACGCCTGTAATCCCAGCACTTTGGGAGGCCGAGGCAGGCGGATCACCTGAGGTCAGGAGTTCAAGACCAACCCGACCAACATGGTGAAACCCCATCTCTACTAAAAACACAAAATTAGCCGGGCGTGTGGTAGCGCATGCCTCTAATCCCAACTACTTGGGAGGAGAACTGCTTGAACACGGGAGACTGCAGTGAGCCGAGATCATGCCATTGCACTCCAGCCTGGGCAATGAGGGAGGGAGGGAGGATAGGAGGGAGGGAGGGAGGGTGGGAGGAAGGAAGGACGGACAGATGAACGGAAGGAAGGACAGACAGAAGGATGGACGAAGGAAGGAAGGAAGAACGGACGGGAAGGATGGACAGAAGGAAGGACTAACAGAAGGAAGGATGAATGGAAGGAAGGACAAACGGAAGGGAGGGAGGGAGGGGAGGGGGGGAGGGAAAAAGTCATATAAACATATTCTACGCTATTATAAACCTGTTTCTTTTTTTAATTATCTTTGCAACACATCATACTATCCCACAGAAAGCTTTTGAAAGAAAAGTTTTTAAGGACCAGGCATGGTAGCTCATGCCTGTAATCCTAATGCTTTGAGAGGCAGAGGAGGAAGGATCACTTGAGGCCAGGAGTTTGTGACCAGCCTGGGCAACAAAGTGAATCCCGTTTCTACAAAAAAAAATTTAAAAATTTGCCAAGCATGGTGTGCGCCTCTGGTCCTAACTACTCAGGAAGCTGAAGTGGAAGGACTGCTTGTCCCCAGGAGTTGAAGGCTGCAGTGAGCTGAAACTGCACCACTGCACTCTAGCCTGAGCTACAGCAAGACACCCGTCTCTAAAAAATAAAAAGAAAAGCTTTTAAGCAGAGTGCCTTTGATTTTGCTTTAAGAAGAGCAACTCAAGAACAAAGAGATTTGTATATTAAATTTTCATGTTTCATTTAATTGCAAATTGTCTTGTATTCTACTTTAACAGAATTTCACAGCTAATTAGGTAAGACTGAGTTAACTGCTAAAGCCACGAGATATGGGATAGACACAAAATTGAAGAGCTTGACTCCATGTTTCTTCCAACTGTTTACTCTGGCTGCCTTGACTGCTGATGTGGGGTCTAATTCAATTCTCTGGCTAGGGATTTAATATTTTTCCTCTCCTCTTTCCCTCACTTATGAAAGGACACATCTGATGCAACTGAAATCTCTCTCTCTCCTCCTCTGATTCTAAACTAGAGGAGGAAACAGACAGTATGAGAATATATATGACAAAGAAATTTTCCTGAGAGTAATAAGGATTTAAATTTTATGTGAACACTTTTATATACACACCCTTTTGGGTAAACTATATCGACATATCACCGTTATGGCATGGCTGTTACTACAAGAATGAACCAATCATTCTGAGCCCCCAAATTCCATCTTACATGGTATGTTACACTTCTACCAAACTATACATTTGAATTTATTAAATGTGAAATCAATTAAATTTGAAAGATCAAAACTGTAATCAAAAAATATAAGGATAAAGGACCATTTCATAAATTAATTGATGCTAACCCTTGCAACATTAAAAACACATTCCACCAAAAAGTCTAAGTTGAACTCTACCTTTGTCTTAATTTTTCACATAAATTAGAAGTAGAGTTTAGCATTACTTCTGGGTTTGTTTTTGATTTTTTGAGACAGAGTCCCACTCTGTCACCCAGGCTGGAGTGCAGTGGCACATTCTCGGCTCATTGCAACCTCTGCCTCCTGAGTTCAAGCGATTCTCATGCCCCAACCTCCCAAGTAGCTGGGACTACATGTGCACACCACTATGCCCAGCTAATTTTTGTATTTTTAGTAGAGACAGGGTTTCACCATGTTGGCCAGGCTGGTCTCAAACTGCTGCCCTCAAGCGATCCACCTACCTCGGCCTCCCAAAGTGCTGAGATTACAGGCACGAGCCACCAACATTACTTGCGTTTTGACAACCCTCCACCCCCCATCAAAATGTCAGATTCACCAGTCTCAATGAACAATGCCACCTAAAAAAACAGTTCAGCCAGATGTGGAGGCTCGTGCCTGTAATCCTAGCTACTCAAGGGGCTGAGGCAGGAGGATCACTTGAGCCCAGGAGTTCGAATCCAGCCTGGGCAACACAACAAGACCTCATCTCTACTAAAAATAAAGAATTTCTGGCCAGGCATGGGGGCTCATGCCTGTAATCCCAGCACTTTAGAAGGCAGAGACAGGCGGATCACCTGAGCTGAGGAGTTCGAGACCAGCCTGGCCAACATGGTGAAACCCGGTCTATACTAAAAATACAAAAACTAGCCAGGCATGTTGGTGGACGCCTGTGATCCCAGCTACTCAGAAGGCTGAGGCAGAAGAATCGCTTGAACCCGGGAGGCGGAGGTTGCAGTGAGCCAAGATATGCGACTGCACTCCAGCCTGGGCAACAAGAGGGAAACTCCATCTCAATAAACAAACAAACAAACAATTTCTAAAATTAGCTCTTCACCACTCTTTCAAACAGAAGCAGAGTTAAGATTACTAGCGTCTATTATACAGACCCACAACCCATGACATTATATATAGAAATGTTCTCCAAAAACCATCACCAACTTACTTGGAATTAGTGCTACTGGTCTTACTTTGAGGGAAGACCCAATAACAATGAGGAGGTCAACTTCATCTTTGTCATACTTCATGGCTCTATGAAACTGTTCTGGTAAATTTTCACCAAAAAACACAATCTCTGGTTTCATGATAGCAAGCGGTTCATCAGCTGGGCACCTAGGACATCGAGGAACTACCTACATATTTTCAGATTTTGGTTGAGGTAGAGAAGCAAAGAGTAAGCCCAAGTTAGAAATAGTCAACATTTCCATACCTCTAAGAATACATTTCAGAATTATTAAAAAAAAAACAAAACAGAAAAGCTATGGATAAACAGCAACTGTCAATGATGGGTAGTTTATTAACATACTATGAAACAATGAAATACTATGCTCTTGTTATAATATCTATGTAGAAAAACACTTGACATTGAAGAGTCCATCATATATTAAGAGGAAAAACATAATGTGTGTATATACACTAAATGGGAATTGATCCTTTCAAAAAAAAATAGACATTTGTCAAATAAAATGATTCCATTTTATTTATTTGAGATGGAGTCTTGTTCTGTTGCCCAGCCTGGAGTGAAGTGGCATGATCTCAGCTCACTACAACCTCCACCTCCCGAGTTCAAATAATTCTCCTGCCTCAGCCTCCCAAGCAGCTGAGATTAAAGGCATATGCCACCATGCCAGGCTAATTTTTGTATTTTTAAGAGAGACGGGGTTTTGCCATGTTGGCCAGGCTGGTCTCACTTCTGACCTCAAATGATCGACCCACCTCGTCCTCCCAAAGTGCTGGGATTACAAGCATGAGCCACTGCACCCGACCAATGACTCCATTTTAATATACTATTCTTCCTCTTTCGTAATGACATGATTACCTCCATATATTGCTAAGCACACAGGACATATTTCTGGATAATTTTTATTTTCTGCCAAATTTTCCTATATTTTTTGGCAATGAACATGTATGAAATAATTTTAGATTACCATAACTAATTTAAGGTCCAAATCTGACAGGCACAAAAAGGGAGAGGAAGGAGAAAAACTACTACAACAACAACTTGCTTATGATCTGACATTTTATGTTCGGCTTAGATACTAAGAAGCCAATTTCATAATTTGAAGAGCCTTTATAGGGCTGTTTTCTATATAAGGTATTGAAAGGTTCTCGTGTATTTTACCAAAATTCCCAAATGCTAACTATTTTCTTCCTGAATCTTTCTGTACCATATATACTTTAAAGGGGTAAAAAAGGATTTTGAGGCAAAAGAAGAAATACTTCAGAGACATGAACAATTCCTAAAATATGGGCAACAAATTACCTGATTAAAAATATCTCCTCGTACAGCTTCACAGTCAACTTTGTATTTACAAATCAGGCAAGATGCTGTTGCAAAGGAACCTAAAAACAAACAACATATATATGCTTTATTAAAGAAGTATTTCTGTTTCTTGAACACACCACAAACGTTATAAAGTTTAACATCACAAATGTTAAGAGGGTTTAAGGATTTTTGTTTTTGTTTTTAACTTTGATTTTAAACCTCAGAACACACTGCAGATTTTGTGATATACTACAGGAGAATCTAGGGGATGAAGAATTTATATATTTATACATAGAATGAATATGATTCTCAATCTCTGAGACACTAATATAATGATGCCTTCTAAAGCTACTCTTTTCAACAAAACTGTAACAGCTCACTCCTCCAGGGCTAAAATCCTGCAGAGTTGGACAGTTCCAACTCTATTACCTTAGCTCGGCAGTTCTTAGAAACACTTTAGATACCTAATGGCCTGTTGATACTTGTTTTAAACATTTCTGAATCTCTGAATCCTGTACATCTCAACTATCCAGTTCTTTTAGTTTCATAAACTAAAGATGTCACATTTCTTCATTAACAGCTAATACTACTCTTGTATTCAGAATTTCTTTTTCTTTTTTTTTTTTTTTTTTGACAGAGTCTCACTGTCTCCCAGGCTGGAGCGCAATGGTGCAATCTTGGCTCGCTGCAACCTCCAACTCCCAGGTTCAAGTGATTCTCGTGCCTCAGCCTCCTGAGTAGCTGGGATTACAGGCGCCTGCCACCATGCCCGGCTAATTTTAGTATTTCTAGTAGAGTTGGGATTTCACCATGTTGGCCAAGCTGTTCTCGAACTCTTGGCTTCATGGGATCTGCCCGCCTCGGCTTCCCAAAGTGCTAGGATTACAGGCGTGAGCCACTGCACTCAGCCAGAAAAGATTATTTAAAATAATTGAATGCATGCAACTGCAGCATCTTTTGAAATCAAAAGCAAATTAATATCTGAGGTTTTCTATAATTAACTGTCAAGGCCAATACTTCTGTTTTTATTATTTTTGTTTTCTACTTTTCTGAGGTTATCGATAAATGAGATAACATGATTAAATAATGCTTTATCTCCACTTCTCGATGGCAGTCAGCTTTATAGGAAATATCTTCCTATAAAACTAAAATAAATTACAGAAAACCACTCTGAAGTTTACTAACCATGACACTGAATTATCCTTTGGATTCCCGCAACCTGTTCCAGCGTGTCTATGTTCTGGGTATAGTTGCGAAGTAGTTTTCCTTCCTTATCTGACAAGGCTATGAATTTGTGACAGAGAGATGGCTGGAATTGTCCAGGATATATTTCCTGTATCAAGCAAATGGTAGAAAAAATTTACATTAGTGAAATAAACTACAGATGTCATATGTTTAACAAAAAAATACTGATAATCCCACACACATAATTTTAAAAATGAAATAGATGAGCATTTTAAAGTATCTAGATGGATGCGACACACACCTACAAAAGGACGGTTGCTGTCATATGCATAAAACTCAGCAATTAGTGAACTTGGCCCCTTGAAGAAAAAGACAAAGTCGGCCCATAAACATCTCTAAGAAATGTTGATATTTTAATAAAAGTCAGAAGTAATACAACCTTAGGATATCTAATTTTTGTTGGCTGCAAATTCAGATTTTTTTCTTTAAAGAAAAATGGGAAAGTTTAAACTAAAATTACAGATATCAAGGTAGGGTGATTTAAAAAAAAAAGCACTGTCAATACAAGAATATTTAAAATTTTTTTTTGATTTATCATTCATTAGAATATCAACCTGCTGGAAGTTTAAAGCTAAAGTTTTAATCCTTACCAAAATTGTTTTCCTTCCACTGCACAGGCACATACTGGTATAGTATAGAGTTGCTCATGAATGCTGAGTTGCTGGATTTTGTGTGTGTGTTTTTCCCCCCAAATAATGCTTCAATGCTGTTTCTTCTTTAAAAACAAAGAATTCAGATATACACATGGCAAAAAGATCAGAGAAAAAGTATCAATTTTGGTCCTCCCAACTTTTGACAGTGTTTTTATTAAATTCCATTTAGTAAGTGACTATGGCAAAGGAAGTTTATTCTCTACTTTTTCCTTCAAAGTAGTAGTGCTATCATCTACTTACTTCCTTACCATTCATTACAGGCTCTAATCTATCACAATGCTAGCAAAAAACTAGACACAACCATATGTCCATCAATAGGGAACCGGTTGTATAAATATGGTACATCCATAATAGTGGAATATGTAGCCATTAAAAAGAATTGAGGGAGATCTAGATGAACTGCCCTGGAAAATGGTTCATGACATACGTGAAAAAAGCAAATTAGTCACCAGTATGTGTAACTTTTGTTTTTGTTACTAAGCAAAAATTGAAATTATATGCATATGTATATAGAGATGTCCATTTAATCAATCAAGTCAGGAAGGATACAAACAGGCTGTAAGCAGATGTGGGGAACTTTCACTTCTGACATTATACAAAAAAGTTTAATAGAGATTAAAGATGACTTTTTACCTATTTAATCTTTCAAATTAAAAAAAAATTCCCACTGCAACTTCTAGGTTCTACTACCCAGGCTTCTAAGTAAAACTTAAGTGAATTCCGTTAACAGCTATCACATACATGTACACATGCTGCTAAAAACCTCGTATAAAGAATCCAAAAACGTTGCCTTAGATTCAAATATTTATCACAAATTTCATGAATAACTCTTTGCAATTTAAGAAATAGAGAGTGCATATAGTAGCAAGGGAAAAGCTTAATAAAGTCAATGTTTACAGAAAATCAAAAGCCACTGTTTTGGAAAAGTGAGTTCAGTTAAATCAACCACTGTTTTCTTCCCCAGAATGCTTTGTTCTAGTACATTTACATTTGAGAGATTAAGCATTGTATGTCTCATTAAAGCTCCCTCTGGAAATAGCTTTTAGAGTATTTTAGGCACTATGAGAATATGCTAGGCAACAGATAAAATAGGACCTATAATAGTAAGCAAGTGATAATAGCATGCCAAATGCAGAATTTAAAAAATAAAATAACTCCAAAGCAAGGTCAGGGAAAAAGAGCAAGTACCAAGACTCCACCGTCCCTGAATTAACTGTGTGCCTTATCCACGTCCACCCCCACCCTTTCTAAAGGGTAGAGTAAGAAACACAAAGATGTATGGGACACTAGATTTAGCTCTTATTAATTCAACTACCTTTAAGACAAATCATAAGGGACATTTTTGTTTTATTTTATAAGCCTGCTTTTTTTTTTTTTTTTGAGACAGAGTTTCGCTCTTTTTGCCCAGGCTGGAGTGCAATGGCGCGATCTCAGCTCACCACAACCTCCACCTCCCGGGTTCAAGTGATTCTCCTGCCTCAGCTTCCTGAATAGCTGGGATTACAGGCATGTGCCACCACCCCAGCTAATTTTGTATTTTTAGTAGAGACGGGGTTTCTCCATGTTGGTCAGGCTGGTCTTGAACTCCTGACCTCAGGTGATCCGCCCACCTTGGTCTCACAAAGTGCTGGGATTACAGGCGTGAGCCACTGCACCCGGCCAAGCGTACGTTTTACATATGTGAGAATCTGAATGATTTGAGTCTTTGACTCATACTTTCTGTCAAGTATGAAATGGGCCATGTCTGAATTATTAGATTTAAATATAGTGTTCAAACTAAAAGTAGTAGTACAGGTGTGGTGGCTCACACCTCTAATCCCAGCACTTTGGAAGGCCGAGGCGGGCAGGTTACTTGAGACCAGGAGTACGAGACCAGCCTGGGCAACATGGAGAAACCCTGACTCTACAAAAAACACAAAAATCACAAAAATTAGCTGGGCCTCACGGTTCATGCCTGTAGTCCCAGAAACTCAGAAGGCTGAGGTGGGAGGATCACCTGAGCCCAGGGAGGTAGAGGTTCCAGTGAGCTATGATCGTATCACTGCTCTCCAGCCTGGGTGACAGAGTGAGAGCCTTTAAAAAAAAAAAAAAAAAAAACAAACAAAAAAAACTAAAAAATCTGAAATAATGAAAAAAATTACTCTGGAAGGACTGTTCTAATATACCACTCCTCCTAAGATAGGACCACTTGTTGAAAACCAATGACTGGAGATACAACTTACAGATAGAATATGGATTAACTCTTCCATGGTGAAAGTGTGACATGCTTAGTCCTATTCCAAACAAGACAGGCCACCCAGTTTGAATATCCTAAAGCCTTTTTAAGCAACCAATCATGAGGGCTGGGCCATTCTGTTGCTGCCATAGGGATCCTTATAGACCAAGAGTGGAAGCAGAACTGGAATCAAAGGCTCAAAACACTATTAAAACAAACCCTGCTTTCACATAGCTGTGTCTGGAAACATGCAAATAATCCAGGAATTGGCCATAGGCAACCAACGTGGTCAAAACTAAAGCTTAGAACTATCCGCAGAAATTGGCCGGATGTGGTGGCTCATGCCTGTAATCCCAGCACTTTGGGTGGCCGAGGTCGGCGGATCACAAGGTCAGAAGATCGAGACCATCCTGGCTAAGATGGTGAAACCCCGTCTCTACTAAAAAATACAAAAAAAAATTAGCTGGGCATGGTGGCGGGTGCCTGTAGTCCCACTACTCGGGAGGCTAAGGCAGGAGAATGGCGTGAACCCAGGAGGTGGAGCTTGTAGTGAGCCTAGATCACACCACTGCACTCCAGCCTGGGTGACAAAGAAAGACTCCATCTCAAAAAAAAAAAGAACTATCTGCAGAAATAATGGCTTTTCTGCAGAGATTATGCCTTTCTTTCTTCTCCAAATTTCTAGCAATATGAATAAAAGACCCTAGAGTAAAAGGCATAGGTGTAAATGCAGTCCCTCAAGACTAAGAAAGCTGGGCATGGTGGCACAGGCCTGTAGTTCCTGCTACTGGGGAGACAGAGGAGGGAGAATCACTTGAGTCTGGGAGTTAGGGAGCTGTAGTACTCTATGATCGTGCCAATGGATGGGCACTACACTCCAGCCCGCACAACATAACAAAATTCACACCCACCTTTTTTTTTGAGAGTCTCGCTCTGTCACCCAGGATGGAGTGCAATGGCACAATCTCGGCTCACTGCAACCTCCACCTCTCCTGGGTTTAGGCAATTCTCCCACCTCAGCCTCCCAAGGAGCTGGGACTACAGGTGCGCGCCACCACATTCAGCTAATTTGTTTTTAGTAGAGACAGGGTTTCACCATGTTGGCCAGGCTGGTCTCAAACTCCAGACCTCAGGTGATCCACCTGCCTTGGCCTCCCAAAGTGCTTAGGATTACAGGTGTGAGCCACTGTGCCCAGCCAAAATTCCCTCTTTAAAAATCAGAATTTTTAGAGAATTCATCAAAATTTACTGATGTTAATCTTTGCTGATATCCACCCCCTCCTATATATAGTTCAGATGGAGGCAGTTAAGTAGAGTTGCTGAGAAAATAGAACCTAAACTTTCCTTCCTGTCAAAAAAAGTGAAATGCATCAATCCTGCTAAGGAGAGTCCTCATAATCCCTCCTGTCTCTTTCATTCCACAAAACCACACTTGAATAAACTGCTCAACATCTTAATCAATACTAATAAATTGGTCATATGACAAATTCAACTGTATTTCAATATATAAATAGTATGGCTATGTTCTAATAAAAGTTTGTATTTATGAACACTGACATGAAAATTTTATATAATGTTCAAGTGTCATGAAACAGTTCTTTCAATTTTTTCCCCAGTCATTTAAAATTAATTATTAGCAGGGGGTGGAGGTGGGATTGGGAAGACGCTGGGAAGAATAAGTTCAGGAGATCTATTGCTGACTATAATTAAGAACATATTGTAGCCGGGCGCGGTGGCTCACGCCTGTAATCCCAGCACTTTGGGAGGCTGAGGCAGGCGGATCACCTGAGGTCAGGAGTTTGAGACCAGCCTGGCCAACATGGTGAAACCCTGTCTTTACTAAAAATACAATAACTAGCCGGGCGTGGAGACAGGCGCCTGTAATCCCAGCTACTTGGGAGGCTGAGGCAGGAGAATCGCTTGTACCTGGGAGGCGGAGGTTGCAGTGAGCCAAGATAGCGCCACTGCACTCCAGCCTGGGGACAAGAGCGAGACTTCGTCTCAAAACAAAAACAAAAACAAAAACAAATATTGTATACCTGAAAATTATTAAGAGTACATTTTAAATGTTCTCACCACCAAAAAAAAGTATGTGAAGTAATGAATATTAGCTTGAGTTAGCCATTCCATAATGTACACACATCAAAACATCATGTTGTACACCACATAAACTTTATTTGTTGATTTAAGTAATAAATTAATGCTTAATGCTTAGCTCACAGCCTATACAAAAACATGGAGTGGGCCACATTTGGACTGAGGCCATAGTACGCCAACCCCTGTATTAACCTAACACAAGAGAATGTCAATTAGTTAAACTGCCAGTCGCCACTTAATAAATTTTAGTATGTACCACGTATAACATAAGCACTTTTAATTTCCTCTTTATTATGCTACAGACAAGGCTGAAGACTGGGTTTTTTAATTTGTTCAAGGCTGTAAAGAAAACAAAGAACATATGACAGAGACCCTATGCAGTCTGCAAAGCATACTACATATTTACTACCAGGCCCTACCTTACTACAGAAAGTTTGCTGATCCAGCTGTGAACATATACCCCGATGCAGATGAAAACAAATACAAAACAAACCTAACTTGCCATTTTGGTCACAAGAGCAAGTAAGTAGCAGAGCCCTGTTTTGATATGAAAATCCAGCACTGGACTGGGCAACATGGCGAGACCCCATCTCTACCAAAAATACAAAAAAAAATAGCCGGGCATGGTGGTGCACATCTGTGGTCACAGCTAGTCAGGAGGCTAAGGTGGGAGGATCGCTTGAGGCCAGGGAACAGAGGTTGCAGTCCAGCCTGGGTGTCAGAGCAAGACTATCTCAAAAAAAAAAGAAAACCTAAAAACCCTAGCATTTAAACCTCTATGCAGTATTTACTGTCTTCAATTTCTGATCCTTCACCCTCAAGTTTTCTATTTTTCTTTTAGGATAAGCACCATTTCTATTACATATTACGAACCAAATGACTAAGACTAGTAAGTACATTTCAGTTTGCTCACCTTCATGGGACTACTAAAGGCTGGAATCCCAATAAGCCTAACTCTTCAAGAATATATAATGTACACGTACAACTATTATATATCCATAAAAATAAAATTTGAAAGGTAAATCAAAAGAAAAGAACATAATATTCCCAGAAGTCACTGTGAAAAAGCACCCAAATGGAGAAAAATGGCTAAAAACAAAGAGGTAATTCAAGGATATACAAACGGCCAGTAGTAACCAGCAGTCATCCACGCTAATAAAAACAGAACAGGCCTAACCTGATAGTTAACGCCTACAATCCCAGCACTTTGAGTAGCTGAGGCAGCAGAATCACTCGAGCTCAGGAGTTTGAGACCAGCCTGGGCAACATAGCAAGACTGTCCATATAAAAAAAACAAAGAAACAGCAGGGCATGGTGGTGCACACCTGTAGTACTAGCTACTTGGGAGGCTGAGACAGGAGAATCATTTGAGCCCAAGAGTTGGAGGCTGCAGTGAGCTGTAAGATCACACTACTACACTCCAGCTTGGATAACAGAAGGAGACCCCGTCTCAAACAATAAGATGTTGAGCCAAGCGCGGCGGCTCACACCTATAAACCCAGCACTTTGGGAGGCCAAGGTGGGCGGATCACCTGAGGTTAGGAGTTCAAGACCAGCCTGGCAAACATGGTGAAACCCCCATCTCTACTAAAAATACAAATTAGCTGGGCGTGGTGGCACACACCTGTAATCTCAGCTACCTGGGAGGCTGAAGCGGGAGAATCACTTGAACCCGGGAGGCAGAGGTTGCAGTGAGCCAAGATGGCACCACTGCACTCCAACTTGAGCGACAGAATGCGACTCTGTCTCAAAAAATAAATAAATAAATAAAAAATAAAGCTGGGTGCTGCTTTATTTTTATAATTTTATTTAAAATTGTATTTATTTTTGAGATAGAGTCTCGCTCTGTTGCCCAGGCTGGAGTACAGCAGCATATTATTGGCTCACTGCAATCTCCGCCTCCCGAGTTCAAGCGATTCTCCTCCCTCAGCCTTCCGAACAGCTGGGACTACAGGCGCTTGCCACCACGGCCGGCTAATTTTTTGTATTTTTAGTAGAGAAGGGTTTCACCATGTTTGCCAGGCTGGTCTCAAACTCCTACCTCAAGTGATCCACCCGCCTCGGCCTCCCAAAGTGCTGGGTTTACAGGTGTGAGCCACCGCACCTGGCCTCTTTTACTTACTATAGTTTTTAAACTGCCTTAAAAACAACCCTAGATCAAAAAGACAAAAATGCAGATACCTATCAATAGGAGACTCATATACTGTGAAACAACTTTAAAATAGAATGCTACACAGCCTTCTTTGAAAAATAAGGTATATCTGTTAAGTGCTGTTACGAAATTATTCTCAAGAATATTATATGGTGAAAAAAGATAGAAAACAAGGTGTTTTTGATTCTGTTGGCAATCATTTATCAAGTATTAAAAACTTATGCTGACATCCCTCCCCTATCCCAACACAAATTTTTTTTCCCCCTGAATGATTTCCAAGAGTTTCACCATGGTAACCATTAAGGACAGATATTAGGGGCAGCAAAGACTGAAGGAAGGGGCAAACTATATATAGATATATGATTTTTGAAAGATACTGCACACGTCTGGGTATCAGAGACAGGCCCTGTCTCAAATATATATATAATTATATATATTTATATAACTTTTTTTTTAATGCTAAGAATGTATCCTGGGGTTTTTGTGGATTTTGGGTGGATACAGGTGGCAGTGGCATGATAAATCAGCCAAATCAGCTAAATCCCAAAGTGCTCGGATTACAGGCATGAGCCACTGCACCCAGCCCTAATAGAGGATTTTATTTCAACCTTTCCAAGCTGCAATACGACAAAACATATCAGGAGACTTAAAGGCTTAAAGAAGAACTTTGACATGTTTCTCTGAAATTCAAAACTGAAATTCACTTTCAGGAATTTATCCTAAGAACACTGGAGACATACCAAAAAAGGACAACTGTAGCAACACTATTTGTACATCCAAATGTACAAATACAGAATTACAGTTCACCACTTCATAAATAACCATTAAAAAGTATTCAAGCACCTCACAGAAAGTAAGTTTATTATATTAAGTAGAATATACTACAAATTGAAAGCAAAGTAAAACAGCCAAGTTTTTTCTTTTCAGGGATGGGTCTTGCTCTGTCACTCAGGCTGGTGTGCAGAGGTGAGGTCACAGCTCACTGCAGCCTCAAACTCTTTGGTTCAAGCAATCCTCCCACCTTACCCTCCTGAGTTGCTGGGACTACAGTCGCAAGCCACTGGGCCCAGCAAAAGCCAAATTTTATGCTAAAAATGTAACATAAATCCAGCTACAATACTATAAACGTATAGATATATAATCCATATACATGTTGAGTATTAAAACATTATTTTCAGATGAATGGCACTGTGACTACCATCTATTTTCTTTTTACTGACGTTGATTTTTAATAAGCTTGTTCTAGAACTCAAATTTTTAACTATTAATACATAATCTGGTATGTTTGCATATTATCAATAAAGTAATAATTTTTTGAACAAATGTAAAAATACATTCTTGGAATTAAGTTCATAAAATTCAGTTCGTGTTTCTCCCTCTACCTTTTCTTGTATTTTAATCACTAGGGAAAGAACAGTGAATTCAGTATGGGACAGAAACTACACTCTTCGAACATAGTATAGTCCCTTTTCTTTTTTTTTCTTTTCTTTTTTTTTTTTTTTGAGACAGAGTCTCACTCTCTCGCCCAGGCTGGAGTGCAGTGGTGCCATCTCAGCTCACTGCAACCTCCGCCTCCTGGGTTCAAGTGATTCTCCTGCTTCAGCCTCCTGAGTAGCTGGGATTACAGCATGCGCCACCACATCCATCTAATTTTTGTATTTTTAGTAGAGACAGGGTTTCACCATGTTGGTCAGGCTGGTCTCAAACTTTTGACCGCCCGCTGTGGCCTCCCAAAGTGCTGGGATTACAGGCGTGAGCCACCACGCCCAGCCGAACAACAGTCCTACTTAAAAAAAAAAAAAAAAAAAAAAAGTTATTTTATACATCCTAATTCAGTTTCGCCTTGACTCTAAATACAACCACTCATTTTTATTAACATCAGTGAATTATTTTAGGTTTCTGAGAACCATGACCACAACTTATTATCAATTTAAGTCATTATGCAGGATAAGAACACAGTGCAGGCTGGGCGAAGTGGCTCACGCCTGTAATCCCAGAACTTTAGGAGGCCAAGGTGGGTGGATCACCTGAGGTCAGGAGTTCGAGACCAGCGTGGCCAACATGATGAAACCCCATCTCTACTAAAAATTCAAAAAATTGGCTAGGCACAGTGGCTCATGCCTGTAATACCAGCACTTTGGGAGGCAGAGGTGGGTGAATCACAAGGTCAAGAGTTCGAGACCAGCCTGGCCAATATGGTGAAACCCCGTCTCTACTAAAAATACAAAATTAGCCAAGCATGGTGGCGGGCACCTGTAATCCCAGCTACTCAGCAGGCTAAGGCAGAACTGTTTGAACCTGGGAAGCAGAGGTTGCAGTGAGCCAAGATCCCATAATCAAGTCTACTCAAGAGGCTAAGGCAGGAGATTGCTTGAACCTGGGAGGCGGAGGTTGCAAGTGAGCCGAGATCACACCATCGCACTCCAGCCTGAGCAACAAGAGTGAAACTTCATCTCCAAAAAAAAAAAAACAAAATACAGTTCAGAAATGGCCCCACAGCTTTAAAACTGGCCTTAACTGTTCTTGTGTGAAAGAATCCAAAGTGGTACCACAGCTAAGCACACTGTAACACACTGGTGCTCAGAGAGTAATTTCTTTTTTTTTTGAGATGGAGTCTCACTCTGTCAATCAGGCTGGAGTAGAGTGGTGCGATCTCGGCTCACTGCAACCTCCGCCTCCCAGGTTCAAGTGATTCTGCTGCCTCAGCCTCCCGAGTAGCTGGAATTACAGGTGTGCACCACCACGTCTGGCTATTTTTTGTATTCTTAGTAGAGACAGGGTTTTGCCAAGTTGGCCAGGGCCAGTCACCTGGGCTTAAGTGATCTGCCAGCCTCAGCCTTCCAAAGGGCTGGGATTAAAGTTGTGAGCCACCTCAGTTAGCCTCAATGAGCAATTTTGCAAGGAACATTTTGAAGACATTTTTTATTGTCAGGACTTGGGGTGGGGATACAAACGTAGGTGGAGACCAGCGAATTTTTTTTTTTTTTTTTTTTTTTTTTGAGACAGATTCTTGCTTTGTCACCCAGGCTGGAGTACAGCAGCGCGATCTCAGCTCACGGCAAACTCAGCCTCCTGAGTTCAAGTGATTCTCATGTGTGTCACCACACCCGGCTAATTTTTGTATTTTTAGTAGAGACAGGGTTTCACCATGTTGGCTGGTCTCTTCTGAACTCCCAGCCTCAAGTGATCCGCCCACCTCAGCCTCCCAAAGTGCTGGGATTACAGGTGTGAGCCGCTGCACCTGGCCGGCCAGGGACATTGCCAAACATCCTACAACGCACAGGAAAGTTCCCCATAGCAAATAAATATCAGCCCAAGGCCGGGTGCAGTGGCCTATGCCTACAATCCCGACACTCTGTAAGGCTAAGCAGGAGAATTGCTGGAACCCAGGATTTCAAGACCAGCCTGGACAACATAGTGAGAACTTGACTCTACAAAGAAAAAAGAAAGTCAAAAACACATTTAGCTAGGTATATGGTACGTGCCTATGGTCTCAGCTACTCAGGAGGCTCAGGCAGGAGCCTCCTGTTCAAGGAGCCCAGGAGTTCAAGGCTGCAACGAGCTGTGATGGCTCGACAGAGTGAAACTATCTCAGAAACAAAAAGAAAAATCCAGCCCAAAATGTCAATAGTGCCAAATTTAAGAAACTGCTCTAACAGAGCAATAACTTCCTTAACACACCTCTCCATTACTTGAAATTTCCAGTCTAAATGAAATTTAAGGGCTGGGCGTGGGAGACTCACGCCTGTAATCCCAGCACTTTGGCCTAGGCGGGCGGATCACCTGAGGTCAGGAGTTCGAGACCAGCCTGACCAACATGGTGAAATCCCGTCTCTACTAAAATTAGAAAAATTAGCTGGGCGTGGTGATGGGCACCTGTAATCCCAGCTACTCAGTAGACTGAGGCAGCAGAATTGCTTGAACTCGGGAGGTGAAGGTTGTAGTGAGCCGAGATCTCACCACGGCACTCCAGCCTGGGTGACAAGAGCAAAACTGTCTCAAAAAAAAAAAACAAAAAAAAAAAAAACAAGTTAATTCTCAATAATCACATACAATCAATGATATAATAGATGGTATAGAAATTCTTTCCAAAAAAAAAAGAAAGTCTCTCTTTCCTTCTGAAGTATCTAAATTTCACCAATATTTCCTTTTCATGGCTTCATTTTTAATGTTTTCTCATAAGTAGCAAAAATCATAAACCACTTTAGTGAACTTTCTGCCTAGTACACTGACTCACAGAAAAGCTTAGGTTATCCTATGAATATTCTATTCTTGTAATATTTAGAAATTCAGTAAAATATCGACAATATTTACATACCCTCCCCATCCTCCGTGTCAGGATACTATCCTGCACTCTTTGTCCTTACTTATTTCTCCTTAAGCGCTTTCGGCTCACTGCAACCTCCACCTCCTGGCTTCAAGCAATTCTCCCCGTCTCAGCCTCCTGCGTAGCTGGGACGACAGGCGCCCGCCACCCAAGCCTGGCTGATTTTTGTATTTTTTATTAGAGACGGGGTATTGCTGTGTTGGCCAGGCTGGTCTTGAACTCCTGACCTCAGGTGATCCACCCACCTCGGCCTCCCAAAGTGCTGGGATTACAGGTGTGAGCCACTGTGCCCAGACTGGAAGCTTTCTTTTTTTAGTCAGTTCCCAATGTGAGAATTAAAGGATGGACAAAGAATTATATGTGAGTAACAACTGTAAAGCCTAGCTGATTTAACCATTACCATAAATGAAAACTCAGAAAAGCAAAATTAAATTTATCAGCTGGACATTGTGGCTCACACCTGTAATCCCAACACTTTGGGAGGCTGAAACGGGCGGATCACGAGGTCACGACGAGACACGTCCTTGCCAACATGGTGAAACCCCGTCTCTACTAAAAGTGCTGATCGTGATGGCACGTGCCTGTAGTCCCAGCTACTTGGGAGGCTGAGGCAAGAGAATTGCTTGAACCCGGGAGGTGGAGGATGCAGTGAGCCGAGATCGCGCCAATGCACTACAGCCTGGCAACAGAGCAAGACTCCATCTCAAAAAATAATAATAATAAATAAATTTATATAAACAGGATTAGAAGAGGCTACACCTTATAAGTGACTGAATTTTTTTTCAGTTTAACAATAAAAAATGTATTCTCCATAACTAGTGAGTCAAGTTTTTTGTAGTTGATTTAAGATCAAAGTAACTTCTAGTTACTTGCTGGTCTTCTGATAGTGTCAATGTCTGCGCTACGTGGAGATTTTATAAATGCCAGTGTCCTAGCTCCAATTCAAGAAACCTTTAAGTCATACTTCACTGGTCTTCAAAACCATGCAGTAGTGCCACTAGCAGGAGTAGGTTAAAACAGTAAATCTTCACTAATCCATAATTAACAAAAAATAACTTTACATTATTTATTTAATCCAGGTATGAACCAGTTGTCTGCTCTAAAAGCTAGATATAGATGACCATCATCATTACGGATATATGAAGTAAAAAGTTCAAATTATATAAGTTTTAAGTTAAAAATTCTCTTGATAGCCTGAAAACTTTTCAAATTCAGTTTAGTAATCATATTCAAGAATTAATATAATTTTCCCACTTTACACTAATGCCCATTTAATATACCACAACCTGGATAAAACAAAAGTTACATGGGGTGGAGGGGTGTAGTGATTAGGGTCTCACTGTGTTGCGCAGGCTGGTCTCAAACTCCGGAGTTCAAGAGATCTTCCTATCTCAGCTTCCCAAAGCACTGGGATTATAGGCACGAGCTACTGCATCCAAAAAATCACTTTTTTTTTAAAGACAGTCGCCAATTTAAGTAACATAATTTATTCTGAATTAGCAAAGCTTCTCCTGTAGTCATGTAAATATACCACATGGTCTGAAAGTAGATAAGGCCACTGTTTAGTTAAAATTTAGGTTCATCGGCAGGGCGCGGGGCGCGGTGCCTCGCACCTGTAATCCCAGCACTTTGGGAGGCTGAGATGGGCGGACCACAAGGTCAGGAGTTCAAGACCAACCTGGCCAACATAGTGAATCCCCGTCTCTACCAAAAATACAAAAATTAGCCAGGCATGGCAGCACGCGCCTGTAGTCCCAACAACTCGGAAGGCTGAGGCAGGAGAATCTCTTGAACTCGGGAAGTGGAGGTTGTATGGTGAGCAGAGATCACACCACTACACTCCAGCCTGGGAAACAGAGCCAGACTCCGTCTCCAAAAAAAAAAAAAAAAAAGCTAGGTTCATTAACTTCTGGATTCATTAAAGAAGTCCCTATTCACAACTTCTAACGATTAGGTGGGGAAAAAGCCACTAATACAAGACTCCTTCGCTGGAAGCCATCATCCTCAGCAAACTAACACAAGAACAGAAAACCAAACACCACATGTCCTCACTCATAAGTGAGAGTTGAACAATAAGAACACATGGACACAGGGTGGGGAACACCACACACAGAGGCCTGTCAGGAGGTGGGGGGCAAGGGGTGGAAAAGCATTAGGACAAATACCTAATGAATGTGGGGCTTACAACCTAGATGACAGGTTGATAGATGCAGCAAACCACCATGGCACATGTATACCTATGTTAACAAATCTGCGCATTCTGCACATGTATCCCGGCACTTAAAGTAAAATAAAATAAAATGACTCTTTCAAATATATATACCTCCAAGTTTAACAATAACAAATTTTGTAATTTCTTTCCAAAAGACTGAAATACAGGAAAGAAAACAGTTTTCTAATGACTCAATCTCTTGAGAATGGTGTAATGCATTATTAAACTTTCTATGCTAAAGCAGAGCTGTACAATAGGTACATAATGTGAGACATACATATAACTTTAAATTGTTTAGTAACCACATTAAGGTGAAAACTGGCCAGGCGCGGTGGCTCACGCCTATAATCCCAGAGCCTTGGGAGGCCGAGGAGGGTGGATCACCTGAAGTCAGGAGTTCAACACCAGCCTGGCCAACCTGGTGAAACCCTGTCTCTACTAAAAATACAGAAATTAGCTGGGCATGGTAGCGGGCGCCTGTAATCCCAGCTACTCAGGATGCTGAGGCAGGAGAATCACTTGAACCTGGGAGGCAGAGGTTGCTATGAGCCAAGATCATGCCATTGCACTCCAGCCTGGGGGACAAAGGAAGACTACTTCTCAAAAAAAGAAAAAAAAAAAAAGTAAACTTCAAAAAACATACATATATTTTGGAAACACTCTTGCTCTGTTGCCCAGGGTGGAGTGCAATGGCAGATCATGGTTCACTCAGTCTTGAGCTCCTGAGCTCAAGGGATCTTCCCACCTCAGACTACTGAGTGGATGGGTCTACAGGTGCACACCACCATGCTCAGCAAATTTTATTATTTATTTTGTAGAGATGGAGTCTCATTATGTTGCTCAGGCTGGTCTCAAACTCCTGGGCTCAACTGATCCTCCCACCTTGGCCTCCCAAAGTGCTGAAATTACAGGCATGAGGCAACACGCACAGCCCAAAATACATTTTATTTAACCCAATATCAAAAGTATTTCAAAAGAATTCAAAATTAATTTTAAGTATTTTTTCCATATAAAAACCAATATTTGTTTAATATTTGATGAATAAAACTAATGAAATACTTTGTATTTTCCATACTGGATCTCTAAAATCCAATATGTCTTCTACACTTATTGCACATATCAATACATTTCAAGTACTCAACAGCCACATGTGGCTAGTGGCTTCTGAACTGGACGGTGCAACTCTAGAGCAGAATAATGATCCTCTGCAATTTGCTGACAAAAATGCAACCCAAGAATCTTCCCATTCTCTAATTACAAATGATTTTTCAGGCACATCCTTATGTTAAAACTTGACTACGAAACACCAAAGTGATGTTATAACCTTTACAATCTCTAATAAAATATTAAAAATCACAAGTTATGTTACTTTTATATGGTGTGCAAACCTCTTAAAAAAGCCCAGGCAGAATAACGACCATCGCTGCAGTGCAAATTTTAAAAATATGAACTATCTCTTTGAAAATAAGCTCACTCCTAAAATGAAGTAGATAATAGTCCTCCTCTAGGAATAAAGGAATTCTAGCCATAATGAGTGATCTTACTCCGCCACAGTAGCAGCATTCACTTTACTAAACAATGAACGATAACCTTAAGGTGGCTGTATGTGAACAAAATACTTTTTCATGAGAGAAGGCCAAAGAAACAACCAGAAGAGTTCATAGTACCTTTGCAAACTTGAAGAATGGTCTTGGATCTTTTCTGAAATATTCAATATCAAACATCGCTTGAGGATCTGGAAGATCTGGGAAGTCTACAGCAAGGCGAGCATAAATACCATCCCTTGACCTGAAGTCAGGTATTCCACATGAAACAGACACCTAAAATGTGCATGGCATAATTTGTAAAATTAAATCTTCTACCTTTATAGGAACTAGCTAGCTCTCTTACCATATAATTAGGTAAGAGTTGAGAAAGAAAATTTTAGTCTGAAACTTCTTTTAAGAAATAAAAATACAACCCTACCCTTATTTCAGAAATAAAACTCCCAAATAACTGAGTAAAATTAAACATACCTCATATTCCATCTTTAACACAGATAAGGAATTTTTAAGTCAGGCCAATTTTAAGCCTTTTAAGCATTTAGCCAACAAATTAAAGCAAATGCAACTTGAGAAGAAAATAAACCATTTCAACAAATTATTTTAAGTAGGGAAGAATTTTTTCTTTTTTTTTTTGTTTTTTTTTTTTTTGAGACAGAGTCTCACACTGTCGCCCAGTCTGGAGTGCAGTGGTGCGATCTCGGCTCACTGTAAGCTCCGCCTCCTGGGTTCACACCATTCTCCTGCCTTAGCCTACTGATTAGCTGGGAATGCAGGTGCCTGCCACCGCGACCGGCTGATTTTTTGTATTTTTAGTAGAGACGGGGTGTCACCATGTTAGCCAAGATGGTCTCGATCTCCTAACCTCGTGATCCGCAGGCCTCAGCCTCCCAAAGTGCTGGGATTACAGGTGTGAGCCACCGCGCCCGGCTTTTTGTTTTTTTTCTTTTTAGACAGTTTCGCTCTGACGCCCAGGCTGGAGTGCAGTGGTGCCATCATGGCTCATTATGGCCTTAACCTTTCCGGCTCAAGCAATCCTCCCACCTCAACCTCCTTAGCAGCTGGGACTACAAGTACGCACCAGCACACCAGGCTAATTTTTTGTAGAGTCAGGGTCTATGTTGCTCAGGGTGATCTCAAACTCCAGGGCTCAAGTGATCCTCCCACTTTAGCCTCCCAAAGTGCTGGAATTACATGCATGAGCCACTCCACCAGCCAAGAATTTCTATTACAGAGAAGTAATTCCAAAGAAATTGCTCCTTTAGTTAGGATTCTATTACCTCAATACTACAACAATTCTCTATTTTCATTAAAAAAAACAATGTATAGCCAGGCACGGTGGATCACGCCTGTAATCCTGGCACTTTGGGAGGCCAAGGCAGGCGGATCACAAGGTCAGGAGTTTCAGACCAGCCTGGCCAATATGGTGAAACCCCATCTCTACTAAAAATACAAAAATTAGCCAGGTGTGGTGGTGTGCGCCTGTAATCCCAGCTACTCAGGAGGCTGAGGCAAGAGAATTGCTTGAACCCAGGAGGCAGAGGTTGCAGTGAGCCAAGATCCTGCCACTGCACTCCAGCCTAGGCAACAGAGCAAGACTCAGGCCAGGAGAGGCTGAGACTGCAGTGAGCCATGATGACACCACTGCACTCCAGCCAGGGCAACACAGCAAGACCCTGTATCCAAAAAAAAGAAAAAAAAAAAAGGTGTATAATATTTCAATTCTTCATTTCTTTGAGACGTGCCCACTAATCGTACAAAAAAATCCTGACATTTCAAATAGAGATTTCAGAAGTTATTGTTTCATCATCTTACCAGAGTTGACTCCAATTTGACCTGGAGTCAAGGTCAATTTAAGTTAAACAAACTTGTCTACATCGTTATCTGTGAGCAAAACATACTCCTGATGATCATCTAAGATTATGTAACACCCTTTCGCAACTCGAAATGGCAGAAAACAGGACAAAATTTTACTACAGCAGTTGCTCTGGTTGCTAACATGTAATATACTCTGTATAAAACACACACTATGCAATAGTCTTAGGTAACTAATTAGCTGCAACCCTAAGGTAGATCAAATAGAAAATGTCAAGTCGCCACAATCACATCATCTTAATTAATATGGAGGGAAGGTAGGAATCTGTTACTCTTCCCAACACTAAGCTTTTCACTTGTGAATACCAATTAGGTTTCCAGTTTCTCATAAAGATCTAACAAATACCCAATTTCTCCATCAGACTGACATCCCTTAACAAAAGCAGAGTTTCAATTCCCTGCATCTCCTTTAGGAGCTATGATATAATGTAGGTAGAAATCTTGCCTTAACTCCATTTACCCACTGTGCTATAAATAAGCAGAAGCAAATATTTTTTTAAGGCTGGAGAGGTTTTAAAAATCTGAACTAATTTAGCAACTGCTGCTGCACTCAGTTTTTGGCAGTTCCCAAACATCCATTATCATGTAAGGATAAATCCTTCTAAACCAGAAAAATGTTTCCTACTTGGAAAAGGCATAAGAAAATACATATACGACCTCCCCATGTACTAGTCTTACATACCCCAGCTCCAGTTAGAACTATAATTTTTTTGCACTCTTGCAGTAATTTCACAGCATCTTCAATTGTATTAATATCTTTTCTTTTTTTCCTTTTTGGTGGTTCTGAAAGGATATTAATAACAATCTGCCACAGTGTCATATCATCCAACTCAGGTGGAGGTATTGTTTCCGGCAATAAATCTTTAAGAATTGTTCGAGGATCTGTGCCAATCATAAGATGTTGCTGAACAAAAGTATATGGACCTACAATAAGGGGGAAAAGGCTTAAAGTCAACTTATCAAGTAATTCAAAATCTCATTTATTTTCTGAAGTAATGAGTTAGCATTCTGTGAGGGTTTTTTGCAAAGTAAGAAAATGCAATTTAATGGTATTTCATTCTCGGTACACTCAGAATTAATGCTATATCCCAATGAGATTAGGAAGATCTAATGAAGAGTTGGGAAGACCCCCTTCAGCTGTAAGTATATATTTCAAGAGTCTAATTAATTAACAACCAGAATTAAGTTCTTATGGTTAATATCTAGAAACACACACCATAATACCAAAAGTATTTACAAAAGGGTTCTACGACATAGAAAAATCGTACCAGTCCTAAAAGCCTGTACTACTTATCATTAAAACCACACAGGAAAAAGAAATGAAAATCTATACATAACTGCCATCTTAATTTTTTTCCGGTAATTTTTCAATTTGATCTTAACCCATCTTCCAAGATAATACATACAATGTTGATGTTCTGAGAACTAATCATTTTCTTTTACCCTGAGATTGCTCAAACCAGCTCCCTAGGCTTGAGAAAACAAAAATAAATAAATAAATAAATTACAGACACCAAAGAGAAACTGATCTTCACTATGTTTAAATAATCAAGCCATTTGTAAGAGTGAGAACACAAAAAGATCCACTTTCAAGATGGTTATACCTTTGGTATAAAAAACTGATAATGCTTTCTACATCGAAATACTTTCCCATTTCATTCACATATTTATTAAATATTTATTGAGCACAAACTATGTGCCAGGCACTTTTTTAGGCACTGAAAAGACAGGAGTATACAAGTCAGTCAAAAATTCCTGCTCCCGTAGAACTTATATTCTAGACCAGGAAACAACACAATTTAAAAAGTAAGATACAGAGCTTTTCAAGAAGTGGTAAGTGTACAATAAAGTGAAAAAACAAGGAATATGAAGTGAGGGAGGAAGATATTCTAACCGGATGAAGAACACTACACAAAAAGGGGACAAGTGAGGTGGGGCAAGGTGGCACATGCCTGTAATCCCAGCACTTTGGGAGGCCCAGGCGGACGGATCACCTGAGGTCGGGAGTTCAAGACCAGCCTGACCAACATGGAGAAACCCCGTCTCTACTAAAAATTCAAAATTAGCCGGGCGTAGTGGCATATGCATGTAATCCCAGCTGCTGGGGAGGCTGAGGCAGGAGAATCGCTTGAACCTGGAAGGCGGAGGGTACGGTGAGCCGAGATCGCGCCATTGCACTCCAGCCTCCGCAACAAGAGCGAAACTCTGTCTCAAAACAAACAAACCAAAAACCGTACATTTACTCTCTAAAATTAACAGCTCTGAGCCATACCTATCCGTGGCCTTGGAGTCCAGTCACTAGAGCTTGCATGTGAGGCTCTATCCTCCTCATCACTTTCACAGGAATGAAAACCATTAGTGATAATTTCATCACCGAACAGAAGGTTATCTGCAAAAGAAACCAAGTCAGTCAAGGCTATCAAAACAACATGCACCTAAAATGTATGAACGGTTATAGAGCAATCATTTTCATCGAGTACAGCATTTAACATTTACACGGCGTGTGTAAAGCATGCCTATGGGGTCAGCTTGCACTGTTCATTGGAACAGTTTCTTCATCTTTAGGAATTCTGCTCACTCAGTTTCAGCCAAAATCTAAAAATAAATTAAGTCTACTTAAAAAACAGAAAAGATAGCCGGGAGCGGTGGCTCACGCCTCTAATTCCAGAGCTTTGGGAGGCCGAGGCAGGCGGATCACCTGAGGTTGAGAATTCGAGACCAGCCTGACCAACATGGAGAAATCTCGTCTCTACTAATAATACAAAAATTAGCCGGGCATGGTGGCGCATGCCTGTAATCCCAACTACTCAGGAGGCTGAGGCACGAGAATGGCTTGAACCCGGGAAGCGGAGGTTGCGGTGAGCCGAGATCACGCCATTGCACTCCAGCTTGGGTAACAAGAGCGAAACTCCACCTTTTAAAAAAAAAGAAAAGGAAAAAAAAAAAGAAAAGATAATAATCTAGCTAGAATGTATCATACAATCACAAACAATAGCGTTCGTGAAACGTGTAATAAATGGACATTTACATAAAAACGTCATTCAAATATAACCTTGGCAATGCGCACGTTAAACTTACACAATACTACAAGTACCTCTGCATTGTTTCCTCTATTAAATAAACAGTATTAATAACACAATTATTATTAGGTAAATAATAAATTAGTACTCAACTGTGTTGCTTGAAATCAGGGTCTCTTTACTAAATCAGTCCCTAAAAACACATATTACTTTTTTTTTTTTTTTTTTTTGAGACGGGGTCTCACTCTGTTGCCCACCCTGGAGTGCAGTGGCAGGATCACAGCTCACTGCAACCTCGAACTCTAGTACCTGGGACTAAAGGTGTGCGACACCACGTCCCGCTTTTTTTACTTTTAGTAGAGAGGAGGTCTCGCTATGTTGCCCAGGCTGGCCTGAAACTCCTAGGCTCAAGAGATCCTCCCGCTTTGGCCTCCCAAAGTGCTAGGATTACACGAAAGAGCCACCGCGCCCGGCCTGACCCAAATATTGATAAAGATGAACACCTATCAAGGATAGAAACTCCTCAGATCAAAAATAAGAAACCTGACCGGGCGCGGTGGCTCACGCCTGTAATCCCAGCACTTTGGGCGGCCGAGGCGGACGGATCACGAAGTCAAGAAATCAAGACCATCCTGGCCAACATGGTGAAACCCCGTCTCTGCTAAAAACACAAAAATTAGCTGGGCGTGGTGGCGGGTGTCTGTAGTCCCAGCTACTCGGCAGGCTGAAGGAGAATCGGTTGAACGCGGGAGGCGGAGGTTGCACTGAGCCGAGATCGCGCCACTGCACTCCAGCCTAGCGACAGAGCGAGACTCCGTCTCAAAAAAAAAAAAAAAAAAAAAAAGAAACCTTCAAGAACATGACAACTGCAACATATCTGCTTCATTATGCTAGAAGTGTTAAGTTTGTGTCTCAATACTACATACATACAAAAAAAGCATGTTTAGCCCAAACACCATTACCGCACAAGAGCAAGATTAGAATAAAAGTAATATGAACAGCTCTAAAAGTACTCTCTCTCCCATACCCACTCCTAACTGCATTACAGAATGGTAATGTCTTCAGGAACAGCCACGTTCTTTAAATTTTGCAAGCTGTGACTATAGAAACAGCTTTCCTCTTTCAAAAATTGTAATTTCAGTCATAAAAATATAGACCAAAAAAAGCAAACTGCACAGGTGTCAAGTTTGCAAAAAGCAATTGAAAACGCAGACCAACGGGACAGCCAAAAAGTTGCAGACTTAAGTGTGCTGGGGGGTAGAGGAGAAAAGCAATGAAAATAAAAAATAAAGAAAAAGAAAAAAAAAGCTCTAACAAAAGCAATATGCTAAAAGAGTAAGAGGGGGAGAGAAACTTATTTTAAAGCGACTGCGAGAGTCTCCCGACCTGGCTGCTGCGGAAAGAACAAGGCCGCCCAGGCGGGCCACGGACGGAGGAAAAGAGCGAATCCACTGGCAGCTCGCGCAGTAGGAACCGCAGCCCCGGAGGAGCGCGGCTGAACGGAGGGCCGGGGTGGGGAGGGGAACGCCGCGGAGCCTGCCCCGAGCCCCCAGCCGCCCTCAACCTCAGGCCAGTAGGAGCCCGGGGAGAGGGAGGAGGAGATGCGCAGTTCCGGCCGCCCGCACCCTGCGCACCTCGGTACCCAATCGCCGCCGCCGCCGCCTCTTCCTCCTCCTCGCCCTCGTCGTCGTCGTCTTCGTCGTACAAGTTGTCGGCCAGCGGTGGCTCCCGAGATGGGCCCTGCAGGCCCGGCCCATTGTCTCCTTCCCCAGCCGCCGCAGTCGCCTGGGCCTCTTGCTCCCCGCCTGCCGCCGCCGCCTCTGCCTCCGCCTCCCGCCACAGCGCCGCCGCCGCCGCACCCGGGCAGCCCCTGGCCGCCGCCGGCACCTCACGCTCTGGGGCCGCCCCACCGGGCTCGCCCGGGCTCCGCTCGAGGCCGGGACCATCTCTCCGCGGCCTCTTGCGGAGCGGCTCCCCGGCGGGGGACGACGCGGCCTCCCTGTCGGCCCCCGCCGCCGAGGGGGAGCCGCCGGGCTGAAGGGCGAGGGCCGCCTCGTCCGCCATCTTCCAACTGCCTCTCTGGCCCTCCTCCCTCGCCTCCTCTGCTCCCGCTCGACGCGCGGCACTGGCGCCCCCGCGGCTCCGGCTGCGGGAGATTTAAACCCCATCACGTGACCCGCCCCATCGCCGCCCCCGCCCTCTCGGCGCTCCCGCCACCCACGCGGGCCAGACCACAACACTACGGGTCACGTGGCGGGCGGAGGCTGTTGCGTCTACCGCTCCGCCTGGGCTGGAAGCGCACTCGGCCCCGGCGGCCGGCGGCCCTTCCTCTTTGTGGCGAGCGTGTAGTGCAGCCAAATTCGCCCCTCGGCCGCTTTCTCAACTTCTCTTTCAAACTGACCTCAAATCACTACCGCCGGAACAGCTCAAGTTTTGGTCCGCCCTGGGAATTTCCACGTCTTCCTGAAGTGTACACCTGGCCTGCCTTAGCCTTGTCTATATTTAGCTAAGGGTTAAAACACAGCTGAAGCTGGCTAAGACTTAGCTCCCTGAAATACGTTGGATAGTCGTTCTGTTTTGTTAATAAGTAGGAAGAGAGGCAAAAGGAGGCGGCTCCTTTCCCACTCTCCTCACACCGTTCTGACAGCTCCTCTTTTGCTCCTTTTTCTGCTCCTTGCTTTTCTCCTTAGTCGGTTGCTTTTTTCCCCTCTCTCCCATCACTTGTAGGGTGGTATACATTGTAAAATCCTTGAAGGCATATGTCCTCCTGGGAAGACCTTTGACGTGGAGGTTTGGAGATCAGCCGATCTACTTTCTGGCCCCAGCTTGGCTTCAAACGTGTGTGAATTCCCTCCTCCGGGCCTCAGTTTTCTCACGTGCAGAATGGGTTTGTTGGGTCAGTATGAGAGCATGGGAAGGAAATGACTTGGCCTCCATGCACATCTGCCCTTGGTTAAAATTTGGAGTCCTTCCTTTCTAGCGTGAGCTATCTAGCCGTTTCTAAACTTAATTTTTCTCATGTCTTAAATGGTAATAAGTATTTTAAAACGTCATAGATTTAAATGAGATAACCAGATGTAAAACGAGGGGTACCTAGTAGTTCAAAAGGCTTAGTGGAAAGCCCTTCCACTTTCCTCTCTCCCTGAAATTCTGGCACACTGTGACTCCATATCTAATCTTAACTAAGGACCCATATAACCCATGGTAGATCTAGAGCCAGTGTTTGTTATGGCATCTGCCTGGAGCACAGCGTTTCTATCTGTTTAAAGGACCTCTACGAGTTTATGGTACACTGTCCCTTAAGCCTAGTATGGGTTCTGGCCATACTGCATCAATTACCTGCGTGACTTTAGGCAACCAACTTAAAGCTGTTTCTTCATCCTTAAAATAAAAAATAAAAAGCTGGAAATATATCGCTAAGGTCCTATCTACATCCAAAAGTCTTATTTCATCTGGTCACCACTATTCATTTCTGAAAGTAATCATCTCCAGTCCTAGAAGCCTTAAAACCATCTTTGGTTGCGTGGGGGTCAAGGGGAGGGAGAGCATTAGGACAAATAGCTAATGCATGCGGGACTTAAAACCTGGCTGGGCGCGGTGGCTGCTGCCTGTAATCCCAGCACTTTGGGAGGCCGAGGCGGACAGATCACCTGAAGTCGGAAGTTCGAGACCAGCCTGACCAACATGGAGAAACCCCGTCTCTACTAAAAATACAAAATTAGCCGGGCGTGGTGGCACATGCCTGTAATCCCAGCTACTCAGAAGGCTGAGGCAGGAGAATCGCTTGAACCCAGCAGGCAGAGGTTGCGGTGAGCCGAGATCGCACCATTGCACACCAGCCTGGGCAGCAAGAGCGAAACTCCGTCTCAAAAAAAAATATAAATAAAACCTAGATGAGGGGTTGATTGGTGCAGCAAACCACCATGGCTCACCTATAAGTATGTAACAAACCTACACATTCTGCACCTGTATCCTGGAACTTAAATTAAAAAAAAAATCTTTGAAGCGTTCCTTCATACCAATCCCTCTGAAATCCATCTGACCAATCAATGACCAAATCCTGTTGTCCTTCCTTTCTTGCTACACTCCTCCCAATTCCTGACTAGGCACCACACTCCTAGTGGTTGACATACTTGGTCCTCCCCACTTTCTGTCTTACACTACAAAATATTTCATAAATTGACTCTCAGCTACGTTGGTGGAATGCAATATATGAAATGTTGAGAGTCAGTATCCCAATAAAACAGAAACAAAATTCCCAGCTTTTTTGAGAAAAAGATGTCTGTAAGCTTATGAGCATCCTGTTGTTCATTAATTCATTTATATTTATAGTATATTATTGACACGTGAAGTTTATGAACTACAAGAAATGCTATGTGATCAATATTATTGTTAGTATGCTGAGAGGTCAGAGATGCAGTATGCTTTTCAGGTAGGATAAATGAGAAACAGAAATTGTATTACAACAAACACAAAAACAAAAAATCCCAATTAGACTTCTGGTCTACCACTGGTTAAGAACTAACATTAAGGCTAGGCGCTGTGGCTCACGCCTATAAATCCCAGCACTTTGGGAGGCCAAGGCGGGCGGATCACCTGATGTCAGGAGTTCGAGACCAGCCTGACCAGTATGATGTAACCCCGTCTCCACTAAAAATACAAAAATTAGCCCAGAGTGGTGGCATGCGCCTGTAATCCCAGCTACTCGGGAGGCTGAGACGGGAGAATCGCTTGAACTCAGGAGGTGGAGGTTGCAGTGACCTGAGACAGTGCCATTGCACTCCAGCCTGGGCAACAAGAGTGAAACTCTGTCTCAAAAAAAAAAAAAAAAAAAAAAGAACATTAATATTCTGGCTGACTTAGTAGTTCTATTCTCCTAAGTTAATAAATTGGCCTGCCAAGCACGGTGGCTGACGCCTGTAATCCCAGCACTTTGGGAGGTCGAGGCGGGTGGATCACGAGGTCAGGAGATCAAGACCATCCTGGCTAACACGGTGAAACCCCGTGTCTACTAAAAATACAAAAAATTAGCCGGGTGTGGTGGCGGGCGCCTGTAGTCCCAGCTACTCGGGAGGTTGAGGCAGGAGAATGGCGTGAACCCAGGAGGCGGAGCTTGCAGTGAGCCGGGATCGCGCCACTGCACTCTGGCCTGGGCGACAGAGTGAGACTCCATCGCAAAAAAAATAAAAATAAGAATAAATAAAAAATGAATAAATAAAAAAATAAATTGGCCTAATAGCTCTGATATCAGTCTCATGTGACTACAATTAGTAAGGGAGTTAGTATCAACTCTTTTGTACTAATAAAATGTTATTGTCAAAACTGAAAAACACAAATGGAAATCCCTACTTCACACAATATACGAAAATAAATTCCAGCCAGGCGCGGTGGCTCACTCCTGTAATCCCAGCACTTTGGGAGGCTGAGGGGGGGCAGATCACCTGAAGTCGGGAGTTCAAGACCAGCCTGGCCAACATGGACAAACTACTACTGACTCTACTAAAAAATAAATTAGCCAGGTGTGGTGGCACATTCCTGTAATCCCAACTACTTGGGAGGCTGAGGGAGGAGAATTGCTTGAACCTGGGAGGCGGAGATTGCAGTGAGCCGAGATTGCACCATTGCACTCCAGCCAGGGCAACAAGAGCAAAACTTCATCTCAAAAATATAAAAAATTAAAAATTCCAGATGGATTGAAGATCTAAATGAAAAAATACAAAAATAAAAATATGACATTTTAGAATATTTATAACTTTGGATCAAGAAAGAACTTTTTAGCAAGGCAGGAGCCATTTTTTAAATGATAAAAATATTTGACAATATAAAAATTTAAAATATGCTCAAACCTATTAGTAGTCAGGGATACGTAGTGAAAAAATGTCCTAGCCAAGTACAATGGCTCATACCTATAATCCCAGCACTTTAGGAAGCTGAGGTGGAAGGATGGCTTGAGACCAAGAATTTGAGATCAGCCTGGGCCACACAGTGAGACCTCATCTCTCCAAAACCTTTAAAAATTAGTCCAGCATCCTGCTTTGCGCCTGTAGTCCGAGCTACTTGGGAGGCTGAGGCAGGAGGACTGTTTGAGCCTGAAGGTCGAGGCTGCAGTGAGCCACGGTCTAGCCACTGCACTCCAACCTGGGCAACACAGCAAGACCCTAACTCAAAAAAATAAAATACGGCTGGGCGCAGTGGCTCACGCCTGTAATCCCAGCACTTTGGGAGGCTGAGGCGGGCAGATCATGAGGTCAGGAGATTGAGACCATCCTGGCTAACATGGTGAAACCCCGTCTCCACTAAAAATACAAAAAAATTAGCCAGGCGTGGTGGTGGGCGCCTGTAGTCCCAGTTACTCGGGAGGCTGAGGCAGAAGAATGGCGGAAACCCAGGAGGCAGAGCTTGCAGTGAGCCAAGATCACGCACTGCACTCCAGCCTGGGCGACAGAGTGAGACTCCATCTCAAAAAAAATAAATAAAGTAACATCCGGGTGCGGTCAGTCATGCCTGTAATGCTAGTACTTTGGGAGGCCAATGTGGGCAGATCACTTGACGTCAGGAGTTCGAAACCAGCCTGGCCAAAATGGTGAAACCCCATCTCTACTAAAAATATACGATAATTAGCCAGGCATGGTGGTGCACGTCTGTAATCTCAGCTACTCGGGAGGCTGAGGAACGAGAATCACTTGGACCTGGGAGGTGGAGGTTGCAGTGAGCCGAGATTGCGCCACTGCACTCCAGCCTAGGTGACAGAGTGAGACTCCGTCTCAAAAATAAAATAAAATAACATTAAAACATGACCGGGAGTGGTGGCTCACACCTGTAATCCCAGCACTTTGGGAGGCTGAGGCAGGAGGTCAACAGTTTGAGACCAGCCTGGCCAATATTGTGAAACCCTGTCTCTACTAAAAATTAGCCAGGTGTGGTGGCACAGGTCTGTGATCCCAGCTACTCAGGAGGCTGAGGCAAGGCAATCGCTGAACACAGGAAGCAGAGGCTGCAGTGAGCCAAGATCGCAAGATCATGAGACAGAGTGAGATTCCATCTCACCAAAAAAAAAAACAAACAACAACAACAACAAAAAACCAAGGTATTACTTTTCACCCCTCAAATAGGCAAAAGGAAAAAAAAAGTTTTTATTGTCACTGTCTGTTGCTAAGCAGAATATGGAGAAACTGATACATTGTTGACATAATGTTGGAAAGTAATCTGGAAACATTTATTTAAATTATACGTATATAATCCGAGCATTTTGGGAGGCAGAAGCAGGTCGATCACTTGAGGTCAGAGTTTGAGACCAGCCTGCCCAACATGGAGAAACCCTGTCTCTACTAAAAATACAAAAATTAGGCCGGGGGCAGTGGCTCACACCTGTAATCCCAGCACTTCGGGAGGCTGAGGCGGGTGGATCACGAGGTCAGGAGATCAAGACCATCCTGACTAACACAGTGAAACCCCGTCTCTATTAAAAATACAAAAAAATTAGCCGGGCGTGGTGGTAGGCTCCTGTAGTCCCAGCTACTCGGGAGGCTGAGGCAGGAGAATTGCTTGAACCCGGGAGGCGGAGGTTGCAGTGACCCAAGATCGCGCCACTGCACTCCATCCTGGGCAACAGAGCGAGACTCTGTCTCAAAAAAAATAAAAAAATAAAAAATGAAAAAATAAAAGGGTTTGTAACTGTCGTTGTTGAGGAGTGTGTGTGAAACACTGTGAGTGAAAAAAGCAAGTTGCACAGTAATGTGTGCATTATTGTCCTTTCTTATTTAATAAATATCCCTTTATTATTATTTTATTTTATTAATTAAATTTTTTTTGAGATGGAGTCTCTCTCTGTTGCCCAGGCTGGAGTGCAGTGGCACAATCTTGGCTCACTGCAACCTCCACCTCCTGGGTTCAAGCGATTCTCCCACCTCAGCCTCCCCAATAGCTGGGACTACAGGTGTGTGCCACCATGCCCGGCTAATTTTCATATTTTTAGTAGAGACAGGGTTTCGCCGTGTTGGCCAGGCGGGTCTCAAACTCCTGACCTCGTGATCCACCCGCCTTGGCCTCCCAAAGTGCTGGCATTATAGGTGTGAGTCACTGTGCCTGGCCAATTATTATTATTTTTTAAACCTCTATATGCCTATGAGAAAAGAAAAGTATTTTTATCTGATGAATGTGAGTCATTTTAAATTATTAGGCCCAAAGAGACATAAAAACGAGACAGCAGACTGGGCACAGTGGCTCACAGCTGTAATCCCAACACTTTGGGAGGCTGAAGCGGGAGATTGCTCGAGGTCAAAAGTTCAAGACCATCCTGGCCAACATGGCAAAACCCCGTCTCTACAAAAAATACAAAAATTAGCCAGGTGTTATGGCCCATGCCTGTAGTCCCAGCTACTTGGAAGTCTGCGGTGGGAGGATCACCTGACCCTGGGGAGATCCAGGATGCAGTGAGCCGAGATTGCGCCACTGTACTCCAGCCTGGGTGACAGAACTTACTCCCCACTTTGTGTATTCGTCTCTTGAAACTGCTTGCCACAAGTAGCTATAAATTCACCCAATGCTTCAGCATATCATAAGAGTGAAAAGAAAAAAAAATTCATCCAATAATGCCACACCAGACACTATAAACTGCACCCTATAACTTAACAATGTATAGCCAATCACTAATCATTGCTTTTTCTGTAAACCAATGAGAATTTCTGACAGATACCTTTGTTATTGGCTCACTCCCCGCCCACTTTTTCACTTAAAAAACCTTCTTGTAATGGATAAGGAGCTGAGTGAAGCTCATATCCAAGATTACTTGGGTCTGAATCTTCCAGGCAGCTATCTTCACTTTGGCTCAGTTAAACTCTTTAAATTATATTTTGTGCCTCAGCTTCTTCCTTTTAGGTCAATGTCTTTTTTTTTTTTTTTCTTTTTTCTTGTTTTTGAGACCAAGTCTCCTGCTGTCACCCAGGCTGGAGTGCAGTGGCGCGATCTCGGCTCACTGCAACCTCTGCCTCCCAAGTTCAAGCGATTCTCCCACCTCAGCCTCCTGGGTAGTAGCTGGGATTACCGGCATGCGTTACCATGCCCGGCTACTTTTTGTATTTTTAGTAGAGACAGAGTTTCACCATTTTGGCCAGGCTGATCTTGAACTCCCGACCTCAGATGATTCACCCGCATTGGCCTCGGAAAGTGCTGGGATTAAAGGCGTGAGACATGGCGCCAGGCCTAGGTCAAAATCTATATACAAATCTACATACAAGGGCAGGTGCGGTGTCTCACACCTGTGATCCTAGCACTTTGGGAGGCCAAGGCAGGGAGACTACTTGAGCCCAGGAGTTTGAGACCAGCCTGGGCAACATGAGGAAACCCCATCTCCATAAAAAGTACAAAAATTAGCCAGGTGTGGGCTGGGCACGGTGGCTCACGCCTTTAATCCCACAACTTTGGGAGGCAGAAGCAGGCGGATTGCAAGGTCGAGAGTTCGACACCAGCCTGACCAACACGGTGAAACCCCATCTCTACTAAAAATACAAAAATTAGCTGGGCATGGTGGTGCATGCCTGTAATCCCAGCTACTCAGGAAGCTGAGGCAGGAGAATCGCTTGAACCCGGGAGGTGGAGGTTGCAGTGAGCCAAGATCATGCCATTGCAGTCTAGCCTGGGCGACAGAGGGAGACTCCATCTCAAAAAAAAAAAAAAAAATTAGCCAGGCGTGGTGGTGCGCACTGGTAGTCCCAGCTACTTGAGAATCTAAGGGAAGAGAACTGCCTGAGCCCAGAAGGCAGAGGTTGCAGTGAGCTGAGGTCGCACCATTGCACTCCAGCCTTGGCGACAGGAGTGAAACCCTGTCTTGAAAAAAAAAAAAGAAAGAAAGAAAAAGAAAAAATATCTACATATAAATACGGCTATAAGGCTGGGCGCGGTGGCTCATGCCTGTAATCCTAGCACTTTGGGAGCCTGAGGTGGGTGGATCACGAGGTCAGGAGTCTGAGACCAGCCTGGCCAACATAGTGAAACCCTGTCTCTGCTAAAAATACAAAAATTAGCCGGGCATGGTGGCGCATGCCTGTAGTCCCAGCTACTAGGGAGGCTGAAGGAAGAGAATCGCTTGAACCTGGGAGATGGAGGTTGCAGTGAGCCAAGATCGCGCCACTGCACTCCAGCCTGGGTGACAGAGCAAGACTCTGTCTCAAAAGAAAAAAAAAAAAAAGGCTGTAGAGGCTTAGAAAAAGTATGGCAAGTTACATATCAAAATGTTAACATTTTAACATCCCTGATTGAGGGGCCTGGACATAGATGGGAGGGTTGAGGACACATTAATAACTATTTCTTGCTAAAATTTCACATTATTAAAATGAGAACTTTTTTCAGAAATTTAAAGGAAAAAGAGTAACTTTTTTTGTAACTGCAAGCTGAGCGCTAGCCCTTGAGCTCTGGTGACCCTCCCACTCTTTGAGGCTTGAGCAGTTGGCTGACTTTATTGTCCTACGTCTCTTCATTTTAGATTTCCTAGGCATACCTACACATTTAACAGATGCTACTCTTTCATGGTTTAAAATATGTTGTTTTTTCAGAAACAGGATCTTACTATGTTGCCTAGGCTGGAGTGCAGTGGCACAATCATAGTTTGCTGCTGCAGCCTCAAACTCCTGGGTTCAAGCAATCCTCACTTCAGCCTCCTAAGTAGCTGGTCTACAGCCATGTACCACCATACCTGGCTAATTTTTAAATTTTTAATAGAGATGGGGTCTTGCTATGTTGCCCAGGTTGGCCTCAAACTCCTGACCTCAAGGCATCCTTCTGCCTGTTTTGTCTTTTTGACGAGGTTAAAAGACAAATGTTGTACTTTCCAACAGAACTTAAGATTCTGCACTTTATCAAACACCATTTGGGGAGCTGTGTGAAATTTCCAAACTATAACAAATAGGCAGTTTAGTCATGCAGCCTGCCTTCCACCAGCAGTATATAAACCTAGATCAGTGGTTCTCAACTGGGAGATTTTGCCCTCCATCCCCTAGAGGACATTTGACATTTCAAAGACTTTTCTAGTTGTCACACCTGGGAGAAGGATGTACTGCTGGCATCCAGCAGATAGAAGCCAAGGGTGTTGCTAAACGTTCTAGAAATCTAGAAAACAGCCATCTACAACAAATAATTATCCAGCCAAAATTTCAACAGTGCCATGCCTGAGAAACACTGGCCTAAAATTTCAACCATATAGGGCAAGTGGTAATGATTGGGGCTCTAAATGAGGAAGGTTCCCAAGGGAATGAAAGGGCAAGCTTTTATTATCAAGGCTAGGTTGCAGAGCAGCAGAGGAGTGATTTTCACATTGGTTTTTATCAGCAGAATCCACCCACTGAATGAACTTAACTCTACTGTACAGTATCATAAAGATATATTTCCTTTATAAAGGACTCTCATTAATCAGTAAGAAAAAGATTGATAGCGTAGTTGGAAATGAAGAGTTCAGTTCACAGAAAATAGGACACAAGTGGCTTTTAAACATATGAAAGTTGTAAAACCTCACTCATAAATACACAACTATGCATTAACCTATAACAAAATGTCAGTTTTCACCCATCAAAATAGTAAGGAACTGGCCAGGCACGGCCTGTAATCCTAGCATTTTGGGAGGCCGAGGCGAGCAAAATCACTTGAGGTCAGGAGTTCGAGACCAGCCTGGCCAACATGGCAAAACTCCGTCTCTACTAAAAATACAAAAATTAGCTGGGCATGGTGGTGGGCATCTGTAATCACAGCTACTCAGGAGGCTGAGGCAGGAGAATCACTTGAACCAGGGAGGAGGAGGTTGCAGTGAGCCAAGATCGTGCCACTGCACTCCAGCCTGGGTGACAGAGCAAGACTTTTTTTTTTCTCCCTCTTTTTTTTTTTGTTGAGATGGAGTCTTGCTTTGTCACTGTTGATGTCATCTATGATGTCATGAGAGTGGCGGCCATCAACATTACAGCCCACAGACTGGGCAGTCCCCAGGATCTCTTTAATGGTTCCAGAGAGTTCTCTGGCTAAGGATCGGTGCCGCATCTGTCGAGCAACCTTGATGATCTCATCAAAAGTGATATTCCCACTGTGTTTAATGTTTCTCTGTTTCTTTCCGTCTCTTGGTGGCTCCTTGAGGGCTTTGATGGTCAGGGCGGAGGCAGAAGGCACCACCTCAATCTGGGCTTGTCTGTTCTGAATTGTCAGTTTCACTGTAATCCTCAGGCCCTTCCAGTCACCCGTTGCCTTGGCAATGTCATCACCAACCTTTTTTGGAGACAGACCCAGGGGGCCGATCTTGGGGGCCAGGGCAGAAGTGGCACCGACTTCACCTCCGGTGCACCTCAGGTATACGACTTTGATCTTGTTGGGGTCGAACTTCGGTGGCATGGTGGAGGCGGCTGGTGTGGGATGAACCCGGATTCGGAACGACGGAAGAAAGTTGCACCTTGGCCTCCTCCGAGCCGAAAGCCGAGAGCTGTTTTCATATTGTTGTGTTTCATGTTTTCTTTTCTTTTTTTTTTTTTTTTGAGACAGAGTCTCGTTCTGTCACCCAGGCTGAAGGGCAGTGGCGCGATCTCGGCTCACTGCAACCTTCGCCTCCCGGGTTAACGCCATTCTCCTGCCTCAGCCTCTCAAGTAGCTGGGACTACAGGCACGTGCCACCACACCCGGCTAATTTTTTTGTATTTTTAGTAGAGACGGGGTTTTACCGTGTTAGCCAGGATGGTCTGGATCTCCTGACCTCGTGATCTGCCCGCCTCAGCCTCCCAAAGTGTTGGGATTACAGGCGTGAGCCACCGCGCCCGGTCTTATGTTTTCTATATATTCTAGAAAAAGTCCTTTGTCAGATTGGTGACTTGCAAATATTTCTCCCAGACTGCAGCTTATCTTTCATTCTCTTAAACATGTTCTTTGCAGAGCAGAAGTTTTCTATATTGTTGTTGTTTTGAGACAGAATCTCGCTCTGTTGCCCAGGCTGCAGTGCAGTGGCGTGATCTCGGCTAAATGCAACCTCCGCCTCCTGGGTTCAGGGGATTCTCCAGTCTCAGCCTCCTGGGTAGCTGGGATTACAGCTGCCCGCCACCACACCTGGCTAATTTTTGTGGTTTTAGTAGATATGGAATTTCGCCATGTTGGCTAGGCTGGTCTCGAACTCCTGACCTCAGGTGATCTGCCTGCCTTGGCCTCCCAAAGTGCTGGGATTACAGGTGTGAGCCACTGCGCCCAGGCAGAAGTTTTTTATATTGGTGAAGATCAGCTTACCATTTATTTTTTTTTTATGAATTTTACTGTTGATATTATGTGTAGAACTCTACCTAACCCAAGGTTCCAAATATTTTCTTTGGTTTTCCTTCTGAAAATTTTATTTTTCTTTTTTTTGAGACAGAGTCTGGCTTCATAGCCCAGGCTGCAGTGCAGTGGCGCGAACTTGGCTCACTGCAACCTCTGCCTCCCTGGTTCAAGTGATTCTCCTGCCTCAGCCCCCCGAGTAGCTGGGAGTACAGGCACCCATCACCACATCTGGATAATTTTTGTAATTTTAGGTCGGGCGCTGTGGCTCACGCCTGTAATCCCAGCCCTTTGGGAGGCCTAGGCTGGTGGAACACGAGGTCAGGAGCTCGGGATCAGCTTGGCCAATATGGTGAAACCCCGTCTCTACTAAAAATACAAAAATTAGCTGGGTGTGGTGGCACTTGTAGTCCCAGCTACTAGGAAGTCTGAGGCAGGAGAATCGCTTGAACCTGGGAGGAGGAGGTTGCAGTGAGCCGAGATCGCACCACTGCACTCCAGCCTGGGTGACACCGTGAGACTCCATCTCAAAAAAAAAAAAAAAATCAATTGCTCATGCTTCCGTAGGTCCCCTTCTGGACTCTATTCTGTTCCATTGATGCAAATGTCTATCCTTTCACCAACACAGTACTACCCTGTCTTTTTTTTTTTTTTTTTTTTTTTTTTTCTGAGACAGAGTCTCACTCTGTCACCATGCTGGAGTGCAGTAGCTCGATCTCAGCTTGCTGCAACCTCCACCTCCCCAGTTCAAGCGATTCTCCCACCTCAGCCTCCTGAGTAGCTGGAACTACAGGCGTGCACCACCATGCCCGGGTAATTTTTGTATTTTTAGTAGAGACGGGTTTTCACCATGTTGGCCAGGATGGTCTTATTCTCCTGACCTTGTGATCCGCGTGCCTCGGCCTCCGAAAGTGCTGGGATTATAGGCGTGAGCCACCGTGCCTGGCTCTATGCTGTCTTGATTGTGTAGCTTTATACTAAATCTTGAAATCAGATTTAGTGCCAGTCCTCCAGTGTTTTTCTTCTTCTTCAAAATTGTTGAGGCTGGCGGGGCACGGTGGTTCACATCTATAATCCCAGCACTTTGGGAGGCCGAGGAGGGTGGATCACTTGAGGTCAGGAGTTCAAGACGAGGCTGGCCAACATGGCGAAACTCCGTCTCTACTAAAAATACAAAAATTAGCCAGTTGTGATGGTACACACCTGTAGTCCCAGCTACTCAAGAGGCAGAGGCTGCAGAGAGCCAAGATCGCACCACTGCACTCCAGCCTGGGTGACACAGCAAGACTCTGTCTCAAAAAATAAAAAAGAAAAAGCTAATTGACAGGCCAGGCGCGGTGGCTCACACCTGTAATCCCAGCACTTTAGGAGGCTGAGGTGGGTGGATCATGAGGTCTGGAGTTCAAGACCAGCCTAATCAACATGGTGAAACCCTGTCTCCACTAAAAATACAAAAATTAGCCAAGCATGGTGGTGCAGGCCTGTAATCCCAGTTACTCAGGAGGCTGAGGCAGGAGAATCGCTTGAACCTGGGAGGCGGAGGTTGCAGTGAGCTGAGATCGCGCCACTGCACTCCAGCCACAGCAATAGAGCCAGACTCTGTCTCAAAAAAAAAAAAACAAAAAAAGAAAACATATCCATCACCTCATATACGTATCATTTTTTTTTGTAGTGAGAACATTTGAAATATATTTTAGCCAGTTTTTAAATATATAGTGCATTATTATTAACTATGGTGACCATGCTATGCAATCAACCTTAAAAACTCATTTCTGGCTGGGCACGGTGGCTCACACCTGTAATCCCAGCACTTTGGGAGGCCGAGGTGGGCGGATCACGAGGTCAGAAGATCAAGACCATCCTGGCTAACATAGTGAAACCGTATCTCTACTAAAAATACAAAAAATTAGCCGGGCGTGGTGGCGGGCGCCTGTAGTCCCAGCTACTCAGGAGGCTGAGGCAGGAGAATGGTGTGAACCCAGGAGGCGGAGCTTGCAGTGAGCCGAGATCGCGCCACTGCACTCCAGCCTGGGCAACAGAGTGTGACTCCGTCTCAAAAAAAAAAAAAATTCATTTATCTTGTCTAACTGATCATTTAGAAATACAATTAATTTTCAATATTAACTCCAATTTTACTAAACTCACTTATTAGTTCTAGAAGCTTTTCTGTAGATTCTTTGAAATTGTCTACATGGACTATCATGTTGTCTGAGAACACAGACATTTTCATTTCTTTTTTTTCAAATCTGCATGCCTTTTATTTAGTTGTTCTTGCCTTATTGTACTGGTTATGATTTCATACAATGTTGAAGGGGAGTAAAGACAACAGATATCCTTATCTTGTTCCAGATATTAGGAGGAAACATTAGTTCTTTCACTATCTTTTTTAAGACAAAGTGTCTCACTCTCTTTTCCAGGCTGGAGTGCAGTTGTGCTTACTGTAACCTTGAACTCCTTGGCTCAAGCAGTCCTCCTGCCTCAGCCTCCCAAGTAGCTGGAACCATAGGTGCATGCCACCATGCCCGGCTAATTTTTTAATCTTTGTAGAGACAGGGTCTCACTGTGTTGCCCAGGCTAGTTTTGAACTCCTGGGCTCAAAGGATGCTCCCACCTCGGCCTCCCAAAGTGTTAGAATTATAGGCATGAGCCACTGTGCCTGGTCCCAGGCTTTCACTATTTAGTATGACGTTAGCTGTAAGTCTTTTAGTTTTAGTTTTTTTTTTTTAACAGATGTTCTTTTTCAGGTGAAGAAAGTTTCTTTTATTACTAGTTTGCTAAGAGTTTTTATTATAAATAGGTGTTAAATGTTGCTAAATTTTTTTTTGCATCTATTGAGATGATCATATGGTTTTTCTTCTTGGGCTGTTGAAATGGTGAATTACCTTCTTTTTTTTTTTTTTTTTTGGTGTAGGGGGACAGAGTCTTCCTCTTGTCACCCAGGCTGGAGTGCAATGGCACAATCTTGGCTCACTGCAACCTCTGCCTCCCAGGTTCAAGCAATTCTCCTGCCTCAGCCTCCCAAGTAGCTGGAATTACAGGCACCCACCACCATACCTGGCTAATTTTTGTATTTTTAGTAGAGACAGGGTTTTGCCATGTTGGCCAGGCTGGTCTCGAACTCCTGACCTCATGATCCACCCACCTCACC